>NC_000003.12:32510000-33760000 GCF_000001405.40 Homo sapiens | reverse complement strand
CCAGGCTAGAGTGCAGTGGTGCAATCTTGGCTGACTGCAACCTCTGCCTCCTGGGTTCAAGACATTCACCTGCCTCAGCCTCCCGAGTAGCTGGAATTACAGGCACCTGCCACCACGCCCGGCTAATTTTTGTATTTTCAGTAGAGATGGGGTTTCGCCATGTTGGGTAGGCTGGTCTCAAACTCCTGACCTCAAGTGATCATCCCTATTCGTCCTCCCAGAGTGCTGGGATTACAGGCATCGTCACTGCGCCTGGCCAAGCTTCATTTTTATTTTTAAGTTCAGTGAAACTTAGGCATATAGGCTATTGTTGCATTCTCAGAGGTCTTATGATATGACTTGTTCTTCAGTTCTAGGTAGCTAAATCACTTCTGATGAATGATCATTTCTAAAAATTATAAAAAAGAATTGTGTATATTCCCTCCCTACCTCTATTCATTGTGTAAGAGATGTTACTATTTTAAACTTGTTCCTACTTTTAAACTATACTCTCCCAAGATGTATTTAAATTTTATTTTCTCATATTTTGTTTTCATTTGAGTTGGAAAACAGCTGACCTTTATATTTATTTTTAAAATTGTATTTTAAAAGGGTATTATTAAATCATTCTGATTGCATTAGTTGGGATTTTTTTGTTGTTGCAAGTTACAAAAACTCAAAGTAGCTCAAATAAAAAAGGATTATGGTTACCTTCAACTACAGTTGGATCTGGGGGCTCAAACACAGTTCTCAGGGACTCATGTTTTTCTCTTATAATCAGCAGCTATGTCAGTCTCAAAAAACTCTCATTCCAACAAAAAAGCAAGAAAAGCCCTGGAGAGTACTCTAATTGGTCCAGCTTGGTTCACGTGCCTATGTCTGAACCAATCACTGTTTCCATGGAGAAGAATGGCTAGGCCTGGTCATGAGTGAGTGAACATGGAGAGCCTCACCAGAACCACATGAAATGGCTCCCCTACAGAAAAGGGGTGTCCTAGTACCAGAGTAAGAGGAAAGGAATGCAAATCACACCCATATGTCCAACAGATGTCTACCCACTGTTCCTGGCAACGTGAATACAGAGGTAATAAAACATGGACACTACCCTTAATGGGCTCATTCTCTCCCATCTTCTTCCTTTTTCCTCCTTGATTCATTTGACACTTCAGTAAAGTGCTTTACCTCATTTGTAAGGTGCTACTCCAGATTGGAGCCTTCTGATTTCTGTTTAAATATCTTTGTGATCTGGGGGTTTCCATTTTGGAATTATACTCAAGAAAAATTCCTGAACATTTTGGGACTCTCCCATTCACTGTGAGAACAAAAACATTTTAAATTAAAAACATTATTTGCCTAATGTTGTAAGGGGTTGTAAGTAAAATATAACTGGTAAGACCAGAGGCTCCTTTTATTAAAATAAGTAATGCATGATTGAAGCAATTCTGGGGAAAATAATTTCAATCTAGATCTACCAATCATGGTATAGGTGTGCCTCTGGCATGTGCACACATGTCCTAGGCATACCTTACATATGCACATCATTCATGCTCACCCCACCTCTCCCAGGAACCTGTAGAGTCAAGGAGTGTTTCAGTTATTACTAAGACTTGAATAAAGGGTGGGGGTGGGGGTAGGGGTAGAAGTGTATATGAAGCTGCAAATGCCAAGACCCACTATCTAATTTACCTGCCTCCTTCATTTTTAAGATTACCATTTATAATATGACTATTTAATGACTTTGATATGTATATCAAAATATCAAATATATATATAAAATATATATAGTCTAATTTACCGTCTCCTTCATTTTTAAGATTACCATTTATAATATGACTATTTAATGACTTTGATATGTATATCAAAATATCAAATATATATATAAAATATATATAGTCTAATTTACCTGTCTCCTTCATTTTTAAGATTAACCATTTATAATATGACAATTTAATGAGTTTGATATATATATCAAAATATCAAATATATATTTTATATATTTTAAAGTCATTAAATATGACTAATGACTTTGATATTATATATGTGTGTGTGTATATATATATATACACATATATATAAATATATATACACATATATATAAATATATATATACACATATATATAAATATATATACACATATATATAAATATATATATACACATATATAAATATATATATACACATATATATAAATATATATACACATATATATAAATATATATATACACATATATATAAATATATATATACACATATATATAAATATATATATACACATATATATAAATATATATATACACATATATATAAATATATATATACACATATATATAAATATATATATACACATATATATAAATATATATATACACATATATATAAATATATATATACACATATATATAAAATATAAAAGAGAAAAGAACCTGAACGATTGCTTAGTCTATTTTCTTGCTTCAGAGACAGATCTATACCTGATTCAACTTAGGAATTAATCCTTGGGCAATAACATTCCAACCACTCTTGGTAATTTACTGCACTGGGGCCAATCCCTAGTACCCAACCCAGAACTTAGTTGGATTGGAGAACAAGATGGGGCATAAATGAACAAGGTGGGGCATACATGAATGGAAGTATTAATGAGCGATAGACAGAAAGAGAGCAAGCAAAAAAGCAAAAGCAAAAAAAGGGTGGTTTTTGAAATGAGAATAGAATTATTCAAAAAGTTATGTGATTCGATTTTTAGTTAAACATGACAAATGAACCGTATCTATTTATTTTGCTACATTCTAAAACTTCACCAAAACAACTATACTTGAATTTTTAATGGATTTATTGAGGTACACTTGACATACAAACTATACATATTTAAAGTGCACAGTTTTATAAGTGCATGCGTGTGTGTGTGTGTATATATGTGTATATCCATCTCCACCATTAAAATCAAGATAATGAACTTACCTATAATCCCCAAAAGTTTCCTTGTTTCCCTTTGTAAACCCTTCTTCAGATTCTTCCCCATCCAATACCCTTTCCCAGGCACCCACTGATCTGCTTTCTGGTCACTATACATTGGTTTCCATCCTAGAATTTCATAAAAATGAAATCATACAGTTTGTAATCTTTCATGTCTGGCTTCTATCATTCAGCATAATTATTTTAGAGTTGAGATGTAGAAGGTATCAATAGTCCATTCCTCTTTATTGTGGAATAACATTTTGTTGTATGGACATACCACACTCTGTTTATCCATTATTTGATGAACATTTGAATTATTTCCTGTTTTGGGCTTTTACATAAACTTCCTACGTATATTTGTGAACAAATCTTTGTATGGATATATGCTTTCACTTCCATTGGGTAACTACTTAGGATTGGAATGGCGGGATTGTATGATAGGTATGTGTTTAACTTTTAAGAAATTGCCAAGTTGGTTTCCAAAGTGATTATTGTCCAGCAGTGTAGAAACATCCTTGACAACAGTTGGTATAGTCAGTCTTTTAAATTTTATTTATTTTAATAAGTCTGCAATGGTATCTCATTCTGATTTTAATTTACATCTTCCTAATGACTAAAGATGTTGAGCATCTTTTCATCCATATGTCTTCTTTGGTGACACGTATGTTCAGATATTTTGCCCATATTTTAACTGTGTTGTTTGTTTTTCTATTATTGGCACTAGAGAGTTCTTAATATAATTTAGATATGGCTCTTTATCATAATTTTACTTTGAAAATATTTTCTCTGAGTCTATGGCTTGGCTTTCCATGCTCTTAACAGTGTCTCTTGAAGAGTAGAACATTTTAAATGTTGTTGAAGTCCAATTTATAAATTTCTTCTTCTTTTTTTTTTTTGAGATGAAGTCTCACTCTCTTGCCCAAGCTGTAGTGCAGTGGTGCAATCTCAACTCACTGCAACCTTGGCTTCTAGGGTTCAAGCGATCTTCCTGCCTCAGCCTCCTAAGTAGCTGGGATTACAGGCCTGTGCCACCAAGCCCAGCTAATTTTTGTATTTTTAGTACAGATGGGGTTTCAACACGTTGGGCAGGCTGGTCTCAAACTCCTGACCTGAGGTGATCTGCCTGCTGTGGCCTCCCAAAGTGCTAGGATTACAGGCATGAGCCACTGCACCCAGCCTCTATCAATTTATTCTTTTATGGATTGTGCTTTTGACATTATATTTAAGCAGTCTTTGCCTAATCCAAAGTCACAAAAATTTTCTCTTAATGTTTTCTCCTGGGAGCGTTATAGTTTTATATTTATGTCCCGATCCATTTTGAGTTAATTTTTGTATAGGGTAAAAGCCATTAATTGAAATTTTTTTAATTTTTAATTTTTAAAATTTTTTTGAGACAGAATCTGGCTTTGTCACCCAGGTTGGCGTGCAGTGGTGCAATCCTAGCCCACTGCAGCCTCCAACTCCTAGGCTCAAGTTATCCTCCTACCTCAGCCTCCTGAGTAGTTAGGACTACCAGTGCACACCACCACACCCAGGTTTTTTCTTTTTTTAAGAGATGGGATCTCACTATGTTGCCCAGGCTAGTCTTGAGTTCCAAGCCTCAAGCAGTCCTCCAACCTCAGCTTCCTAAAGTGCTGGGATTACAGATGTAAGCCACTGTGCTTGGCCAAAGGCTTTGTTTTTTAATTTTTTTGTTTTGTTTTTGTTTCATGCATATGGATGCCCAATTGTTCCTGTGGAGGCATTTGTTGAAAAGACTATAATTTCTCCACCGAATTGCCTCTGCATACTTTGGGGAAATCAGTTGTCCATATATGTATGGGTCTATTTCTCTTCTTTCTATCCTATTCCATTGCTCTATTTGTCTCTCTTCATGCCAATACCACCCTGTCTTGATGTCCATAGCTTTATTCCTTTTGAAAGTAAGTGGTGTTAGTCTTCCAGCTTTGTTCTTCTTTCTCAAAGTGATTTTAGCTGTTGTAGGACCTTTGCATTTTCATTTGAATTTTAGAATCAGCTTGTCAAATTCTGTATAAAATCCTGCTGGGATTTTTATTGGAATTGCACTGAATTCAGAGTTCAATTTGGGGAGTGATATGGTTTGGCTGTGTCCCCACCCAAATCTCATCTTGAATTATAGCTCCCGTAATCCCCACATGTCATGGGAGGGACCAGTGGGAGGTAATTGAATCATGGGGATGGGTTTTTCCTACACTATTCTCATGATAGCGAAAAAGTCTCATGAGATCTGATGGTTTTATAAAGGGCAGTTCCCCTGCACATGCTCTCTTGCTTGCTGCCATGTAAGATGTGCCTTTGCCCCCACTTTGCCTTCCACCATGATTTTGTGGCCTCCCCAGCCATGTCAAATTCTAAGTCCATTAAACCTGTTTTTCTTTATAAATTACCCAGTCTCAGGTATTTCTTCAAAGCAGTATGAAAATGTACTAATACAGTAAATTGGTACCAGGAGTGGGGTGGTACTGTAAGGATACCTGAAATGTGGAAGTGACTTTGGAACTGGGTAACGGGCAGAGGTTGGAATAGTTTGGAGGGCTCAGAAGAAGGCAGGAAAATGTGGGAAAGTTTGGAACTTCCTAGAGACTTGTTGAATGGCTTTGACCAAAATGCTGATAGTGATATGGCCAATAAAGTCCAGGCTGAGGTGGTTTCAGGTGGAAATGAGGAACTTCTTGGGAACTGGAGTAAAGGTCACTCTTGCTATGCAAAGAGACTGGCAGCCTTTTGCCTCTGCCCTAGAGATCTGTGGAACTTTGAACTTGAGAGAGACGATTTAGGGTATCTGGCAGAAGGAATTTCTAAGTAACAAAGTGTTCAAGAGGAAGCAGAGCATAAAATTTCAGAAAATTTGCAGCCTGATGATGCAATAGAAAAGAAAACCCCATTTTCTGGGGAGAAATTCAAGCCTGCTGCATAAATTTACATAAGTAAAGAGAAGCCAAATGTTAATCACCAAGACAATGGGGAAAGTGTCTCCAGGGCATGTCAGAGACCTTCATGGCAGCCCCTCCCATCACAAGCCTGGAGGTCTAGGAGGCAAAAATAATTCTGTGGGCTGGGCCCAGGGCCCCCCGCTTCTCTATGCAGCTCCCCTGCTCTATGCAATATGATGTGCTGCGTCCCAGCTGCTTCAGCTCCAGCTGTGGCTAAAAGGGGCCAATGTACAGCTCAGGCTGTTGCTTCAGAGGATGCAAGTTCCAGGCTTTGGTGGCTTACATGTGGTGCTGGGCCTGCAGGTACACAGAAGTCAAGAATTAAAGTTTGGGAACCTCCTCCCAGATTTCAGAGGATGTATGGAAATACCTGGATGGCCAGGCAGAGATGTGCTGTAGGGGTGGAGCCCTCATGGAGAACCTCTACTAGGACAGTGCAGAAGGGAAATGTGGGGTGGGAACCCACACATAGAGTCTCCACTGGGGCACTGCCTAGTGGAGCTGTGAGAAGAGGGCCACCATCCTACAGACCCCAGAATGGTAGATCCACCAACAGCTTGCAGTGTGCACCTGGAAAAGCTGCAGACACTCAACGCCAGCCCATGAAAGCACCTGGGAGGGGTGCTGTACCCTGCAAAGTCACAGAAGTGGAGCTTCCTAAGGCCATGGGAGCCAAGTTCTTGCATCGGCATGACATGGATGTGAGACATGGAGTCAAAGGAAATCATTTTGGAACTTTAAGTTTCAATGACTGCCCTATTGGATTTCAAACTTGCATGGGACCTGTAGGCCCTTTGCAATAGAAAGGTTGAAAATTACAACAGAGGAAGTCCCCTAGAAAGCAGAACAAAAATCAAAGATATGGAAAAATAGAAGAAAAAAATATGAAAATTAGTGAGGGCATCTAGTCCAGGAAGTCCAACATCCAACAAATAAGAGTTCTGGAAAGAGAAAACAGAGCAAATAGAGGGGAGACATTTTCAAAGAGTTAAGACAAAATTTCTCCAAATTAAAGGACATGGATTTCCAGATTGCAAGGGTTAATGAGTGCCTGGAAAAATACATTACAATGAACTATGTCAAGATACATCATCTTGAAAGTTTACTACAATTGAAATAAAGCATTCTACAACTGCTCAGTGAAAACACTGAAATCCAGAAGACTTTGAGCAATGTCTTCTAAAATGCAAGATAAAGTTATTTACAACATAGAATTCTATAGACAAACCACTCAATAGTAAGTGTAGAATAAATGCAGTTAGAAATACTAGGTCTTAAATAATTTATCTTCCAGTGGAGGATATGCCTCACAAAATACAGGTATAAACCAAGAAGGAGAAAACTATAGAATCCAGACAATATGCAGGTATAAACCAAGAAGGAGAAAACTACAGAATCCAAGATACAATAAACCAGAGAAGGGAATTCCTTGAATTTTAGTAAAATGAAGTCAAGACAGCTGTGTAGCCCACCTAGAAAGCAATCAGCCTAGGCTAGGACAGAACAGAGGGCTCCAGGAGAAATATCAAGCAATTGCACTGATAAACTTCTATGTGTTTATAGCCATTGGGAAAAGTTTTATGATTCTCACAAATATTTTGAGAATGAATTAATGCTAAATATGTGAAATATTAAACAAAAAACCAAGGCAATTATATATTCACAGGTTGCATGCACAAAAAATTGCACAGAAAGGAGATATAATCACAATTTTCTATGTGGCTCAGTAATAAACAGTTACATAGTTCATAATAAAATTACTATGAATATTAAGCTAACCACAAATTGTGATTTAAATATATTGGAAAAATGGGATGAGAGGAAGTGAAAGTGAGGAAAGGAAAATGGAAATGTAAGAAAAATAAATTCTGAATTTCCATTTGGAAAAGAATAGCTAATATTTAATTTTGAAAAATTTTTAAAAATGGCCTCATAAACTGGTATTTAGAAATATGGTAGTAAGTACCAAAAAAAAATGCTTAAACAGGTTACTTATGGGGAGTGGAAAGGAAAAATGGGGAAAGGTGTGCTATTTTTTACTGTCAAGTTTATTGAACTATTTGACCTTTAAAAATTATTCATGGTGGGCAGATCACCCGAGGTCAGGAGTTTGAGACCGGTGTAGCCAACATGGTGTAATCCCATCTCTACTAAAAAGACAAAATTAGCCAGGTCTGGTGGCACATGCCTGTAATCCCAGCTACTTGGGAGGCTGAGACAGGAGAATCGCTTGAACTGGGAGGCGGGGGTTGCAGTGAGCCGAGATCGTGCCATTGCATTCCAGCCTGGGAAGTAAGGGCAAAACTCTGTCTGGGAAAAAAAAAATTATTATTCATGTGTATAATTAAAATATTTTATTGAAATACAATATGTATACATAAATGTTCACATTTACAAGTAAAATTTTGATTTAAAAAATACATTTAAATAAGTCAAAGGAACCATAAAAAGCTTTACAGATGTGGCCTCGGGCATAGTTCACTGTTGATGGAAATGATGAGCCACTAAAAGTGTTTCTGAAGGTATGATTTCAGAAGCATTGGTTTGTGGTTCTCAAGCACTTTGGAGTTTTCTGAAGAAAAAGCAATAAACAATATTACTCATTCTTTTGAAATAAAAGATTAACTGTGACTTTCTGAGAAAGCTGATTACGTTCTTATAAGTATTACAGTCTTTTTTTTCTACACTGTTCTGAAGGTACATCAGCAATTTCAGTCTTAAAGAAGGATCTGAACTGCTCATTTTGACTAAAGTTCAGTTAACCAGATATAGATTATCTTTGCCAGAGTGTTTTGGAGTTATTTCTATGTGATTGTTTACTTTTGTCAAACTTAATAACATGGCTCTTGGAAGCCAAAAGTTAGTAATGAAAACAGTAACTGAAATACTACTACTAAGAATAATTTAGCTATTCTAGGCATTTGTCAACATCATTTATTTGGGCTAAGCCCAATTTCAAGCCTTTAAAAATGAACAATAAGTGGAAATTTCAGAACTCCAAAGAAACAGTAATTAGTGAAATATTCTGCTGCTCCTTTTTCTCCATGGCAATGCCCCCCAACCTTGCTTGCACACTGGAATCACTTGGGGAGCTTTTAAAGTTCCAGTCCTCAGGCCACACCTCAGAACAGGTAAGTCAGAATCTCTGGAGGTGGGACCCAGGCATTGGTATTGTTAAAACTCCCCAGGTGATTCCAACATGCTGACAAGGTTGAGAACAACTGCTTAACGGAAAATCATAATGAACAACATTCAGGTACTATCACATTGGTTTCAGTCCTTTTTTTTTTTTTTTTTTGAGATGGAGTTTCACTCTTGTTGCCCAGGCTGGAGTGCAGTGGCCCAATCTCAGCTCACTGCATCCTCTGCCTCCCGGGTTCAAGTGATTCTCCTGCCTCAGCCTCCTGAGTAGCTGGGATTACAGGCACCCGCCACCACGCCCAGCTAATTTTTTGTATTTTTAGTAGAGATGGGGTTTCACCATGTTGGGCAGGCTGGTCTCGAACTCCTGACCTCAGGAGATCTGTCTCCCTTGGCCTCCAAAAATGCTGGGATTACAGGCGTGAGCCACCATGCCCGGACGGTTTCAGTCCTTTTCTTAAATAATCCTTAAACCTCTGCTGTGAGATCCTCCAACTTTTTTGAGGGGAAGGCATTAGGGAAGGGGAGATTATCCTCTCAACCAGACACTGGCTTTAAAGGAGATGTTTGCTCCAACCCCCAATATAACCCCGCTTAGGGCAGTAAAGATTGGCAGGGATGACATCCAATCATAACTCCACTACCCACTTGAGCTTAGCTTCATGAGCAAGTTCCTCTCTGCTCTTTAGTTGCATTATTAAATAAAAATTTAGCACATTTTAAAAAATAACAGTTTCATTGGGTTATGATTTATATACCATAAAACTCATCCTAAGTCTGCTGTCTTAAAAAAAGGTCACTCATTGAAAGTGCACAATTCAATGTTTTTTTTAGTATATTCAGAGAGGTGTGCCACCATCATCACTATCTAATTTCAGAACATTTTTGTCGCCACAAAAGAAACCCCACATCCTTTAGCAGTCACTCTCCATTCTCCCTCTAGGGAATTCCCAGCTCATAGGCACCACTAATCTAATTTCTGTCCTGTGGATTTGCCTATTCTGGGTATTTCATATAAATGGAATCATACAATATGCAGTCTTTTATGGTGGCATCTTTCACTTAGTGTATTCTCATGGTTCATGTTGTAGCATGTATCACTGCTCCCTACCTTTTTATGGATGAATAATATTTCATTGTATGAATATACCATATTTTCTCTATTAACTCATCAGTTGATGGACATTTGGGTCGTTTTTCTCTTTGGCTATCATGAATAATACTGTTATGAAATCTGCATACACATTTTTGTCTATTTTTATTTCTCTTGGGTATATACCTAGGAGTAGAATTGCTGAGTCACATAGTAACTCTATACTGAACTTTTTGAGGAACTGCCCAACTATTTGCCACAAATTTTGCAACAGTTTTTTTGAAGTCATGTGCAAGTATTAAATGTTTAATTTGTAACAATAAAATAGAATACAATTTATTTTTCTGAGAATGATGTTCAGAGATTTTTTTTTTTTTTTTGAGATGGAGTCTTACTCGGTCACTGAGGCTGGAGTGCAGTGGCATGATCTCGGCTCACTGCAAGATCCACCTCCTGGGTTCAAGCAATTCTCCTGCCTCAGCCTCCCCAGTAGCTGGGATTACAGGCGCCTGCCACCACACTCAGCTCATTTTTGTATTTTTAGTAGAGACGGAGTTTCACCATCTTGGCCAGGCTGGTCTTGAACTCCTAACCTCGTGATCCACCCACCTCGGCATCCCAAAGTGTTGGGATGACAAGCTTGAGCCACCGCGGCAGGCCGATGTTCAGAGATTTTAATGTGACTTTCTTGAGAAACGTAGTTAACAGCTGTCCTCAAATTTTAACTTTCATCCCTTCCCCATCCCTTTCTGGAGAGGAAAAAACTGTTTTATGGACGGTGAGGGGACTTAAGACTTTTAAAAGTGGATTGAAACAAGGATCTCTTGCTGGGTGTGGTGGCTCACACCTGTGATTCCAGCACTTTGGGAGGCCAAGGCGGGCAGACCACTTGAGGCCTGGAGTTCAAGACCAGCCTGGCCAACATGGTGAAACCCTGTCTTTACTAAAATACAAAAATTAGCCGGGCATGGTGGCACGTGCCTGCCATCCTAGCTGCTTGGGAGGCTGAGGCAGGAGAATTGCTTGAACCCGGGAGTTGGAGGTTACAGTCAGCCGATACCATACCACTGCACTCCAGCCTGGGCAACAGAGTGAGACTCCGTTTAAAACAAAACAAAACAAACAAACAAACAAACAAAAACAAGTAGCTCCTGATGAGTTGTCACAGATCTTTAGGACAAATATATAATGGATATGTGTATACAACTAGATTTTTTATATGACTATGACTATTTGGACATTTCGTGGGGAGCTCAGAAATTCATTTTTCCCTAGTCCACAGTATATAGTCTGTTCTAAAACTTTGTCAATTACTGGTATAAATTCATCAAAATGTAATTTTGTTTTCAAAAAGGAGCAGTGACCTTGCTGGTAAAAATCTATTGTGTGTCTTTCTTGAATTAGTGCAAAATAATGACTTCTAATAAAGCTAGTAAGTCTTGTTACAAACATAGGAGAAGAGACCCAAACTAGAAAAACATCATTCAACGTTGCACTCTAGGTAACAAAAACAGGAATAAATTCCATTATTGTTGGCTGGGTGTGGTGGCGCATGCCTGTAATCCCAGCACTTTGGGAGGCCGAGGTGGGTGGATCACGAGGTCAGGAGATCGAGATCACCCTGGCTAACACTGTGAAACCCCGTCTCTACTGAAAATACAAAAAATTAGCCAGGCGTGTTGGCGGGCGCCTGTAGTCCCAGCTACTCGGAAGGCTGAGGCAGGAGAATGGTGTGAACCCGGGAGGCGGAGCTTGCAGTGAGCCGAGATTGCGCCACTGCACTCCAGCCTGGGCGACAGAGTGAGAACTCTGTCTCAAAAAAAAAAAAAATTACATTGTTGTTAACAAATCTTGGAAATTCACGCAACAAAATTAATGACAAAGAAGCTTGGAGAGCTAAGAGAATGAACTATTGGCGCAAAACTGATTTATCAAATGACATTATTGGACGTAGAAAATAAATTATAATGTATGTATTCTCACAGATGTTTATCTCTTTAGTTGGACAAAGCTATTCTGTGCAGAGCAGGAGTCAGCTCTTGGCAAATAGGGAAGATTGCTCAATGACTTCTTGTTCTATTTATTATCAAAGCCCATCTTACAGGAGAATGTTTTCTTTTTTGAGTTTGAACCATCTCACCTTGGTCTCCCATCTCCTGTAAGGACTGGGGAAATAGCCAGAATAGCCAGCTCCTCTCATGTTCATATCAAGTCAATGCTCAAAAGCAGTGAGAATAGGAAGCTTCGTTGTCCCCCTTTCCAGATTTTCTCCATATGGTAGCACTGATAAGCAAGACAAGTGAGTCCATATGGATCCACAGATTCTTGGTTGGTTTCCACAGGTTGTAACTACACCAGGGGAAGAAACAATAGGTGCACATGGTGGCCAAGATACTGAGGAACTCACAGGTGCAGTATATTCCTTTTATCTAAAATCTATGCCAGATAATTTAATACATATATATATATATATTATAGGTGTAGGGTCTTACTCTATTGCCCAGGCAGGAGTATGGTGGTGTGATCATAGCTCACTGCAGGCACAAACTCCTGGGCTCAAAGCAGTCCTCCTGCTTCAGCCTCCTGAGTAGCTGGGATTAAAAGCAGACACCATCATACCTGGCTAATTTTTTTTATTTTTTGCAGAGACATAGTTCTCACTATGTTGCCTAGGCTAGTGTCAAACTCCTGGCCTCAAGTGATCGATTCTCCCACCTCAGCCTCCTAAAGCTCTAGGATTACAGGAGTGAGCCACCTGTGCCCAGCCTTAATTTTTAAGTCTTTTCCTCAAACTTTGTCTAATGACATATTTCCAATAAACCCCTAAGTGCTCCATTACCTCTGGTATACAACTTATTTTATTTTCCTGCAACATTGCCCATTACAATATAATTCACACGGGCAGAAGTCATTAGCATGCAATCATATGGTTATGCAACCTGTTTTCAGTCAAGATCTCCATCACCCTTGGTCAGATCCCACCTCTTTTCTTGTCTCACTTCACTTTTTGACTACAAAACTGTAGAAACTATACAAACGTTTCTTTTTTATAATGCCTATGCTCTTGTGCTAGACCAGTCTTTGCGTTGCTGTAAAGAAATACCTGAGACTGGATAATTTAATAAGAAAAGAAGTTTAATTGGCTCACGGTTCTGTAGTCTGCATATGCATGGCACTAACATCTGCTTAGCTTTTGATGGGGCCCTCAAGGAGCTTTTGCTCATGGCAGAAAGTGAAACAGGAGCAGCCACGTCACATGGTGACAGTGGGAGCAAGGGAGGGGAGGTGCCACACTTTTAAATAACCAGACCTCAGGAGTACACACTCACTACCGTGAGGATAGCCCCAAGCCAAGAGGGATCTAGCCCATGACCCAAACACCTCCTATCAGGCCCCACCTCCAACACTGAAGATTACATTTCAAAGTGAGATTTCGGCAGGACAAATATCCAAACCATATCAGTCCCCAAATACTCCACTGATTGAAACATATTCATCTAATTCCACTGATTATATTTTACACTAAATTATTTACAAAATATTTTTCACCAAACATTCCTGAGCATAGATAACCATATGATTACATATCTTCCTTTTCAAATCCTCTACTAAATATAAATTACTTATTAGCTATCTTAAATATCTGAAATCCAATAAAATAAATTAGTAATATTACTAATTAATATTATTTTTTATAATATTACTAGTCTGGAAAGTGTGCTTTTATATCTGGACTGATTACATAGACAGCAAGGGAGGGCACCAATATGCAAATAAAAAAGGTTGGACTGAATGTCAATCCACATACTGCTTTATTCACTGTTTTGGTGAGGAATGATATGCTAATTGACCTTGACTTAATACTGAAGGAAATCATGAAAATAAATATTGTAAACACAGAGACTGGAAGTCTGGAGAGGCCAAAGGGCACTACATCAGGTCAGCTGCAGACAGCAGTTGCAGAGCCCTCAGTCACTCAGTATTTATGCAAATAGAAAACCTCAAAGTAATCTGTTTTCAATGCAAAGTAGCTTCTGTTACGTTTTTAGGATTTCAACTGAACAGCATAGATTTAAAAATGGGCAGCCGGGCGCGGTGGCTCACACCTGTAATCCCAGCACTTTGGGAGGCCGAGGCGGGTGGATCACGAGGTCAGGAGATGGAGACCATCCTGGCTAACACAGTGAGACCCCGTCTCTACTAAAAAATACAAAAAAGTAGCCGGGCGTGTTGGCGGGTGCCTGTAGTCCCAGCTACTGCGGAGGCTGAGGCAGGAGAATGGCGTGAACCCGGGAGGCGGAGCTTGCAGTGAGCCGAGATCGCACCACTGCACTCCAGTCCGGGCGACAGAGCGAGACTCCTTCTCACACACACACAAAAAGGGCATATTGATGCTACACACTTGCTTAATTGTATAAGCTGCCAAATGATCCTGGCCATTCTGACCAATCCTGATGGATTTTCTCTGAACATTGAAGTTCTCAACTGACTCATACTCACGTATAGGTAGTCACAGTGTTTGAGATGCAGGCTGAGAAAAATGCAGTAGCAAACTGAGGTGGAGTTAGGCATTTGCCATTGTAGACAACTTATAAAGACGATCATGTTACCTGGAATTAGTAGTGATAATAGAGAATGAGGGTTATGAGGAGAAGGGACTATATGAGAATTCATAATATATTTGTTGATATTTTCCTGTAATTTTAAAATTTTGAAATAATTTTTAAAAAACAGAAAAATTTCAAGAGAGAGAAAGAGATGGTACAAAGAACTATTGTATCCTTTTTTTTTTTTTTTTTTTTTTTTTTTGCGACTGAGTCTCGCTCTGTTCGCCAAGCTGGAGTGCAATGGTGCGATCCCCGCTCACTGCAAGCTCCGCCTCCCGGGTTCACGCCATTCTCCTGCCTCAGCCTCCAGAGTAGCTGGGGCTACAGGCACCCACCAACACGCCCGGCTAATTTTTTGTATTTTTAGTAGAGACGGAGTTTCACCATGTTAGCCAGGATGGTCTCGATCTCCTGACATTGTGATCCGCCTGTCTCAGCCTCCCAAAGTGCTGGGATTACAGGCATGAGCCACGGCGCCCGGCTTCTTGTATACTCTTTATTGCAATTCACCACTTGTTAAAGTTATGCCACCTTTGCTTTATTAGTCTCTCTCTCTCTCTTTCTCATTCTCTCTTTTTTTTTTTTTTTTTTTTTTTTTGAGACGGAGTCTCGCTGTTGCCCAGGCTGGAGTGCAGTGGCGCGATCTCGGCTCACTGCAAGCTCCGCCTCCCGGGTTCACACCATTCTCCTGCCTCAGCCTCCCGAGCAGCTGGGACTACAGGCGCCTGCCACCAGTCCCAGCTAATTTTTTTGTATTTTTAGTAGAGACAGGGTTTCACAGCCTTAGCCAGGATGGTCTCGATCTCTTGATCTCGTGATCTGCCTGCCTCAGCCTCCCAAAGTGCTGGGATTACAGGCGTGAGCCACCATGCCCGGACCTCTCTCATATTTTTATTTTCTGGATCATTTGTGAGTAAAATTGCTGATGTCACAGCCCTTTACTCCTAAATGCTTCCAATTTCTCATGAAAAGAAAGAGATATACCATCTTCTCCCAGATCTCCTTCACTAAAGGAAAAAACTACTTACAGCCCTGTCATCTTTAATCAGAGTTAATATCATGAATAGCAGAACAAAATGGTGTAAGATTCTATGAAGAAACTTTTCTTTCTCTTCAAGTTTATATATCCCATCTAGCAGCTATGTATTGTTAGAACAGTATGTGATACTTAAAAAATTTTCCTCTTATGTTTACATATTTAGGCCAAATAGTCTAACTGCAGCTATTGAGTGAGATAAAAAAAAAAAAAAATCTAGATTATTAGAATGAAATCAAGAAACTATGTCAAAGACATAGTTGTAAACCTGTGTGTGTGTGTTTGTGTATGTGAGATGGTGTCTCCCTCTGTCGCCCAGGCTGGAGTGCAGTGGTGCAATCTCGGCTCACCACAACCTACACTGCCTGGGTTCAAGTGATTCTCATGCCTCAGCCTCCCAAGTAGCTGGGATTGCAGGCATGCGCCACCACACCAAGCTAATTTTTTGTGTGTTTTTAGTAGAGATGCGGTTTCACCATTTTGGCCAGGCTGGTCTCAAACTCCTGAACTCAAGTGATCCACCTGCCTCAGTCTCTCAAAGTGCTGGGATTACAGGCGTGAGCCACCATGCCTGTCCCATAGTTGCAAACCTTTCTTAACTTACAGAAAAATTGCAAGGACTCGTACAGATTTTCATATACTCTTTACCCAGTTTGCGTACATTTGTCTGCATTTGCTTTATCATTCTCACTTTGTATATGCAAATGTATGTATTCTTTCTGTATCATTTGGAAAAGGGAAACATTGTACCATTAAATACTTCAGTGTGTATTTCTAAAGTACTAGGAGATTCTCTTAGATAAGCACTGTGCAATTATCAAAATCAGGAAATTTAACATTGATACAATACTATTATCTAGTTCACTATCCATATTAAAGTTTATGGATTTTAATTCACCTTCTATTGCTGTGTTTCTGCCAGTCCAGAATAATGCACTACATTTAATTGTCATGTCTCTTTAGTCTCCTTTAATCAGTAATCAGGAACACTCCTAACACTTTTCCATGTATTTCTATATTTCTTGATCTTAACCATTATAAGACTTTAAAAAATTATTTCACCTGCCTTGCTAGCTTCATGAAAGAGATTCGGAATTGTAACCAGCTGTAACTATCAATGTTAGTACAGTTTATGTTAGCCATGATGTCATATTCTTGTTGGAAATGAAACATATCTACAGGGCCCTTCCATGACAGTCTTGATCAAAAGTTGCCACCATTTATAGCAATTGTCACCACCTAATTGTTGTTTATGGGAAACTTTCAGAAATTGGCCAATAGCTTGGTTTTATTTTACCATGTTATGCAAGTAGAGTAATAAAATAAATAGTTGGGAAAACTTTAAACATAAATTGCAACACATTACATATATGTCTTTCTATGTATATACTTTTAAAAGGGCAGCAACAAGATCTATATGAAAGAAACTACAAAGCTCTGATAGGGAAATCCAAGAAGAACTAAAACAATAAAGAGATAGTTCATGTTCATGGGTAGGAAGACTCACTATTATCAAGATAGCTATTTTTCTTAATTTATTCTCTAGATTCAACACAATCCCAGTCAAAATCCTAGTAAGTTATTTTGTTGTTTTCAACAAACTGATTCTAAAGTTTATACAAAGACCCAAAAGACCCAAAATAACTAACACAATATTAGATAAAAGCAAAGTTGGAGAATTGAAACTATTCGACTTTTAAGACTTGCTATAAAGTACAGCACCAAGCAGTGTTATTGGCAAAAGAATAGACAGTAGATCAACAGAACAGAATAATAGACATCCCAGAAATAGACCCACATATAAATACAGGCAACTGATTTTTGACAAAGGAGCAAAGGTAATACAATGTAGAAAACATAGTCTTTTCAACAAATGATATTGGAACAACTGGACACATAGAAAAAAATGAATCTAGACACAGACTTTACACCCTTCACGAAAACTGATTCAAAATAGACCATAGAACGAAATGTAAAATGCAAAACCATAACACTCCTAGAAGACAACACAGGAGAGAATCTAGATGACTTTGGGCATAGTGATGACTTTTTAGATACAACACCAAAGTGATGGTCCATGAAATAAATAATTGATAAGCTGGACTTAATTAAAATGAAAACTTCTGCTCTGTGGAACACTGTCAAGAGAATGAGAAAACAAACAAGCCATAGACTGGGAGAAAATATTTGCAAAATGCATATTTAATAAAGGACTATTAATAAAAATATACAATGAACTCTTAAAAGTTAATAATAAGAAAATGAACAAGAACTCAATAGCGAGAAAACAGATAAACACAATTTAAAAATGGGGAAAAGACCTGAATAGACATTTCTTAGATGAAGACATACTATGCCATAAATTTAAACAACTAAAAATAGTTTAAAAAGAAGACATATAAATGGCCAAACAGTACATGAAAGAAAATGCTCAACATCACTAATCATCAGGGAAATGAAAATCAAAACTAAGGCAGGCACAGTGGCTCACACCTATAATCCCAGCGCTTTGGGAGGCTGAGGTGGGCGGATCACCTGAGGTCAGGAATTTGAGACTAGCCTGGCCAATATGGTGGAACCCTGTCTCTACTAAAAATACAAAAATTAGCCGGGAGTGGTGGTGCATGCTTGTAATCCCAGTTACTCAGGAGCCTGAGGCAGAAGAATTGCTTGAACCAGGGAGATGGAGGTTGCACTGAACCATAATCGTGCCACTGCACTCCAGCCTGGGTGACAGAGTGAGACTCCATCTCAAAAAAATAAAGAAAATAAAGCAAAACTGAAATGAGATATTACCTTATACCTTAGAATGGCTATTATCAAAACATCAAAAGATAGCAAATGTTGGCAAGCATATACAGAAATTGAAATTCTTGTATACGGTTGGTGGGAATGTAAATTGGCACAGCCACTATGGAAAACCATATAGAGCTTCCTCAAATAATTAAAACTAGTACTACTCTATGATCCAGCAATTCCATTTCTGGAAACACATCCAAAAGACATAAAATCAGTATCTTGAAAAGATATCTACATTCCCAGATGCATTGCAGCACACACACACACACACACACACACACACACACACACATATTTACACATATACACAATGGAATATTATTCTACCTTTAAAAAGTAGGAAATCAGCCGGTCGCGGTGGCTCACGCCTGTAATCCCAGCATTTTGGGAGGCCAAGGTGGGCGGATCACGAGGTCGGGAGATGGAGACCATCCTGGCTAACACTGTGAAACCCCGTCTCTACTAAAAAAATACAGAAAAAATTAGCCGGGCGTGGTAGCAGGCGCCTGTAGTCCCAGCTACTCCGGAGGCTGAGGCAGGAGAATGGCGTGAACCCAGGAGGTGAGCTTCCAGTGAGCCGAGATTGCGCCACTGCCCTCCAGCCTGGGCGACAGAGACTCCGTCTCAAAAAAAAAAAAAAAAAAAAGTAGGAAATCCTGTCATTTGCAACAACATAGGTGAATTTGGAGGACATGATGCTAAGTTAAATAAGCCAGGCACAGAAAGATGAATACTGCATGATAACTCTTTTATGTAGAATCTAAACAAGTCGAACTCATAGAAGCAGAAGGTAGAATGAATGGTGTTTGCCACGGGATATAGGACAGAGGAAATGGGGAAATGTTGGTCAAAGGATACAAAGATTCAGTTATGCAGAAGAAATAAGTTCTGGAGATCTAATGTATAGCATAGTGACTATAGTTAACAATAACATATCATATACTTGGAATTCACTAAGAAAGTAGAACTTAAATATTCTCACCAAAAAAAGGTAACCATATGAGGTAATGGATATGTTAATTAGCTTGATAGTGGTAATCACTTTACAGTGTATACATATACCAAAATAGTACATTGTACACTTTTAAAATATATAATTTTTAATTTGTCATTAAGTTTAATTTGTCATTAATTTGTCTCAATTAAGTTGGAAGGGAGATTGGCAAATACTCTGAACAGATACCTTTTCAAGGAAGATACACAAATGGGAAATAAGCATGTTAAGAGATGTTCCACATCACATATCATTAGGGAAATGCAAATTAAAACAACAATGAGATACCTCTACACATCTATTAGAACAGCCAAAACTCAAAACACTGACAATACCAAATGCTGGCAAGGATGTGAACTCTCATTTATTGCAAAATGAGATAGCCACTTTGGAAGACAGTTTGGCAGTTTCTTAGAAAATTAAACATACTCCTTGGTATTTACCCAAAGGAGCTGAAAACTTATGTCCACACAAAACCCGTACACTCATGTTTAAAGCAACTTAATTCATAATTGCCAAAAACTTGGCAGCTACCAAGATGTCCTTCAGTAGATGAATGGATAAACTGTAGTACATCCAACGATGGAATCATATTCAGCACTAAAAAGAATGAGCTACTGAGCCATAAAAAGACAGGGGGGAAACTTAGGTACATATTACTAAGTGAAAGAAGCTAATCTGAAAAGGCTACATACTGCCTGATTCCAACTATGTGACATCCTGGAAAAGGCAAAACTATGAAGACAATAAAAGGATCAGTGGTTGCCAGAGGTTAATGTGAAGGAGTGACAAATAAGTGAAGCACAGAGGATCTATTCTCACTATTATAATACCATTCAGAATAGTTACATAGCCATTTCATATAATAGTGGATACATGCCAGTATAGACGTGTCAAAACCCACTGAATGTACAACATAAGAGTGAAACTTAAGGTAAACTATGGACTACGGGTGACACAGAGTTGTCAATGTAGGTACATTGATTGTAACAAGTCTACCATTCTCTGGAAGATGTTGATAGTTGGAGAGGCTGTGCATATGTGTGGTAGAAAGTATCTGGGAATTTTCTGCAGTTTTTGTTTAATTTTGTTGTAAACCTAAAACTTCTCCAAAGCATAAAGTGTATTCTTTTTTTACCCATATCCCATATTTTACCCATACATTTAAAACCCACATCCCTCCAACCCAGCCCCGGTTGGTCACAGAGTATAAAGTTTCAGCTAGACAAGATGCATAAGTTCTGGATATCTATTGTACAGCATAGTGACAGCAGTTAATACTATATTGTATACTTG
Organism: Homo sapiens; assembly: GCF_000001405.40. Classification (NCBI taxonomy): domain Eukaryota; kingdom Metazoa; phylum Chordata; class Mammalia; order Primates; family Hominidae; genus Homo; species Homo sapiens. The sequence continues at coordinate 33,739,145 of NC_000003.12, read as the reverse complement.
AAATTTGCTAAGGGCAGGTCACCTGAGATCAGGAGTTCGAGACCAGCCTGGCCAACATGGTGAAACCCTGTCTCTACTAAAAATACAAAAATTAGCCGGGCGTGGTGGCGGGCACCTATAATCCCAGCTACTCGGGAGGCTGAGGCAGGAGAATCGCTTGAATCCGGGAGGCAAATGTTGCAGTGAGCCGAGATCGCCACTGCACTCCAGCCTGGGCAACAGAGGAAGACTTCATCTCAAAAACAAAAACAAACAAAAAGAATCCATTTTTTCTCTATTCCAAGTTGAAATATTTACCTTTCTAGTATGGGGCATATGTTCATGTAGTGTTGAAAATGGCATCAGTGAGAAATTGCTTAGTGATTTCAGGGCTTACACTTGATCATATATTGAGGAGTAGCTAACAGTGATAACCAAAACATGCTGCCAGTCCAAATGATCTGGAGTGGAGCTTAAGGTCAACTACTTTAGCAGGTATAACATTAGAAAATAAACCAAAAAATAAAAATAAAAACTCCACTGGATGTAGAGCTTGACCTACAGCTCAAGCTGTATAGAAATTCTTTTCGAAAGTCTTCAAGTAACATCATCTGTTTCACACACACTAACCTTTATTCACTATAAAAATGTAAATGAATCTTTTTTTAAAGTTTCCTAAATTTGGTGATCCAAACAGCCACCAAGTAGCCCATATAGGCAAAGTTGGAGAAACTATGTTGACCTCCAAGACTTACAAATATTTTGGGACGGTCTCCAACATACTTTGGACCAGGGGGGTTTTAACTATTTTAATATATATTTTTAAAATTTTGAATAAAGCTTTTGATTTTTCATGACTTAAACAAATTTTTAATTTGAAATAATCTCAAGCTCACAGAAAAACTGTAAGAATAGTACAAAGAACCCCCATACATACCTCACCTAGCTTTCCTAATTGTCAATATTTTACAGTAATTTTATTTTATGTAGTTTTATTTTTAATTATAGAATTATTACATGTTTATTGGAGAAAATTATTAAAAATATTCAATAGAATAAAGAACATAGATATCATCAATCATCCACTATGAAGAGAGAGCCACTGTTGACATTTATTTTATCTATGTCAGGCTAAAATTTTTATTCTTAACTGCTTTTTTGGTAATGATTGGTATTTCTTTCCAAGTCTGGGATTAGGGTGAGGCAAGTGATGTGTTTAGGGCACAAAATTTAGGAGGCTCTCATTCTCAGAGTTCTGTAGAGTGAGCATTTATATGATCCTGAGAGTGAGTATGTCCTTACATTTTGTGCTGTAGGTACCTCAGATGCCTCACTCTATTCCCTGCCCTGTTATTTTTTATGTTTTCTTCCACCCTCCATTTCGAGCTATGAGAGCAGAAAGAGAACAGGATGTCTCTTTCTCACTTCAGAGTTTCAAAACCCTTAAGGATGGAAAGTGCTCAATGAATAAACAATGTTTGGGAGGGAAAAAAACTGAATAATATTTGCACCAACTCCTGCCTTGTCACTAAATATTATTTTATGAGTACAGGGAAAAGAAGAGGGGAAAGGGAAATGATGGGAGTTTAAGGAAAAATGAGACCTTGCCTCTTACCCACTCTGGGAGAACATGAAAGCCAACTCCCAGAGTGCTAGAGTGTATCATGCTATAGTGTAGCATGGGAATAGCAGTGGGACCTGAAGGCAGCTTGAGTATAGGAATTAGGGTCAACTCAGCAGCGATTTGCCTATGCCTGATAACCTAGGTATCAGATGCTGAGTTGAAGGTTATCAGGGCCCTACTAAATTCCCCCAAAGGCTCCTGGAACTTAGATGATGCAACTTGAGAAAGAAGGTGTAGCTAGAGGGACACACAATTTAATGAAGATTACATTTCTACCACCCCAGTGGAATGGAGGTTTACAAGAACAATTATACAGGAAAAAATATGTAATGTTTTCTGTATACCTGAACATGTCCCCTAAGATGTGTGTCCATTATGCAAGAGCAGAATGACCCACTGATCCGAATCATATTATATGACCATGAGATATGGGTGGGTGAGTAAAGGTTGAAGTTATATAGCAGAGATTCAGTCTTTCAGAAGACAGGGGATCCTCTCAGGAACCCGTTTGCCACTATGGCTTTCTTTGTGTTCTCAACCTTACATGTCCAACTACCCATACTATTTCCCTCAGTTAACATACCCTCCACTTCCAACTTTTTGTTTGGAAATGTTATCTGCCTTCTAAAACCCAGAACATAAGACCCACTCCAAGACTTTCCTGATCATGAAGCTATGGGCACTTCTTCCCCATCTCTTTGGGAACCCACCATGTGTATTTAGGGGATATTTAATATTTTCTGCATGAATAAGTGATATGTGGTCTCAAATCATACTGTGAGTCTCCACATCTTATTAATAAATTTGTACTTTTCATGCAAGTATGAACTGTATCATACATATAAACATGAAGGTGTTTTAATAGTACTCAGTATGTATAAGAGGTATTCAATGTACATGTATGAAAGGATGAATTCCCACGTTGTCTGTCCACCAAAATGGAATACCTAGTGTCTTCGACTGACTTCTCCCAGGACTCTGAGCCAAAGTTTCAGGTGGAAGTGATTTATTAAGAAATTGCACCTAGGTCAAACTAGCAAGGGAGTGAAGGAAGCAGGATAGGAAAGGGGATGCAGACAAGCAGGGTACAGGTTTAGATGACTTCCTGGACTCACTCTGATCCTGTGGAGAGCTGTGTAGCATAAGATACATCTGTGAGTTCATCCTGTCTTGAGGCTAGGGAGCTGGGCTTTTGTATGCTAGTCAGTGGCTGGCTACCAGCTATTTTGGGGGATGTGAACTCCCAGGCATCTCCAACCTTCTAACTGGAGGTGGCTCCAATAGCCCAGGGGCCATCCTTCAAAGAAGGTTGCAGTATAGCCTGAGGAGATTCTGAGGGGATCTGAACGGGGTACCAGTATGTTCACTGCACCTGGTGACACAGTTTTGTGGGCTTCATTCTGAGGAAGATGCTCCTGTTGATCTTTGTTTTTCAGTCAGTTAATTCATTTCTTTTTTTGGTCTGTTTGCTAATTTATATCCTATCTCTTTGTGTTGGTTTCTACAAAACAATAAAACATTAAAAAGTTATCCTTAAAGAAAACCAAATATCAGATAATCCAAAGATTTATGTCTGAAAAAAAGGAAATCATAAAAGTTCTGGATGAAGGCTTAGAGGGGCTTTGGGAAGCAGGAGCTTAAGAAGGTTAAGCTGCTCTATAGAAGGACATAGAAAGAATTTTTTTTACATATATTTTTTAACTCTGAAAGGCAAGCACAGGGAAGAGAGAAGTGAGTACAGAAACAAAGGATGTAGCCAAAAGACTACTAAGAAGAATATCTGATGTTTGATCTTAAGATGACTATGTGGCTCCACCTCCCTAAACATTGATCGTAGACTGCCACCAACTCAAAACCTCGGGTAAATAGGAAATTTTTTGTTTAGTATTAAAACTAAGGAATGGATTGCAGACAGGGTAGAGATGAAGTTGCAGAATGGAAAGCAAGAAGTCAGTGGAGGCAGCCAGAACCAGAAGAACCATGAGACCATGACTCCACAGAGAAGAGCCACACATCTTGGCAGGGACACTGGGTTTCCCTTTCCCTAAGGTCTAGAATATGAACATTGTAGCGTACAAAAGCCCAATCTTATCTAGATCCTTCCGATAACTGGATTACTCTAAGGAAGCTAACAGCACTTTAAAATTTCTTTATAAGGGGCTTTTATAAAACAATATACAATCAAAATATGGGAGAAGTTATGTGAGTCACGTGAAAATGCAAAACGAGGAAGAGGCAAAGGCAGAACCAGAGCCCAGACATTGTGAGTCTTAGTCTGGTCTTCTGCTATATATTATTGTTCCCAATAGCAATTTGCAATGGCAGGAACAGAGTTACTGACTGTGTCTGAGGCTTCTTGGAAAATCTTAGTATTAAAACAGAGAGTCTGAAAAATGGGTTCATTAAATTCCCTATGTGTCATAGCTGAGAAGCTGTTCACCCACTCACTTTGGTTCAAATCCAAGGTATTCTATGGACTTGGAAAAATTGGCTGGGTGAACTTTTCTTTTTAACAGCACATTAAATCTCTTCTACTCCATCCTTCTTTTTAAAGACTTAACAAGTAGGCTTTGGTATTAAGGAAAAGTAAGCTATTCACGACCTGAAAACTTTTAGAATGGTGCAGGCAATTCCTGAGACCAGGGAGTCACTGTATGTATTCCAGGGACATAAGAAAGGCTTTGGGTTTTTCAAGAAACAGCAACTAGTTTCTTGTGACTGGGGATGTAAGGTATACAAAGCCTGGAGAAATCATAGGAGCTAGGCCAGAAATTTGTAATCTGTCTTTCAGCAATGGGAGGTTACTGAAGGTTTTTCAGTAAAGGAACAGTATTAAATCTATCTGGGAAAGATCATCGGTTGCAAAGTGCAGAAAAAGTCAAAGGGAAGCCGGGGGTTTTAGTCAGCTTGGGCTGCTATAACAAAATGCTATAGGCTGGGTGGCTTAAACAATAGACATTTATTTCTATTGTCCAGCATTAGAGTGCCAGCATGGTTGGGTTCTGTGTGGGTCCTCTTCTGGCAGATGGCAGTCTTCTTGCTGTGTTCTCACATGGGGTGGGGATGGGAGAACACTCTCTGGTCTTCTCTTTTAACCCCACACTAATTCTATCAGGAGGACCCCATCTTCATGACCTCATCTAAACCTAATTACCTCCTAAAGGCCCTATATCCTAATACTATCACATTGGTGGTTGGGACTTTGGCATATGAATTTTGGGAGGACGCAAACGTGACTTCAGAACACCAGGGAATCATTTTTTGAGGAGGCTTTTGCAATACTTTAAAAGAGAAAGGTTGTACTTCTACTCTTGGAGTGAGAGTCTCACTGACTATCAAAGATCTGACTAAGATATTAGGAAAGTAAAGTCCAAAGAGGATAGAATGATTTCACTATCAATTACTTCAGATACACACACACACACAAAACAACTAAAAGAAAAGTCAGCCTTCGTGCACTTAGCCTGAATGCTAAATGCTATGGTAAGGAAATACAGGATACTAAAGCTTCTCTGACTTGTGAATACCATGATATTGTTCCCCAAACCGGGGTGTCAAGTAAATGTGGCAGCTCATGTTTGGACTCAGGTTGGAAACATCAATGAGAGGGTAGGCGCGAGAAAACTGAAAGGCATTGGAAGGTCAAGGCCGCTTCTGGAGGGTGAAACCACTGCTCAACTCAAGCTAAGTGTTGCCTTTCGGGAAAGTGGGCTTAATATTGCAAGACTTTCCCATTTCCCAAAAGAAAGTAGTATTCCAAATTTCTATGTGGGCTCCACGGCATTTTAAAAATTGAAAACTAACTCTAATTTTTTTTTTTTTTTTTTGAGACAGAGTCTCGCTCAGTCGCCCAGGCTGGAGTGCAGTGGCTCAATCTCCGCTCACTGCAAGCTCCGCCTCCTGGGTTCACGCCATTCTCCTGCCTCAGCCTCCTGAGCAGCTGGGACTACAGGCGCCCGCCACCACGCCCAGCTAATTTTTTTGTATTTTTTTTTTTTTTTTTTTTAGTAGAGACGGGGTTTCACCGTGTTAGCCAGGATGGTCGCGATTCCTGACCTCGTGATCTGCCCGCCTCGGCCTCCCAAAGTGCTGGGATTACAGGCGTGAGCCACCGCGCCTGACCAACTAACTTCAATTTTAAAAAACAATGACATGGCCCAGGCGCTGTGGCTCACGCCTGTAATCCCAGCACTCTGGGAGGCCGAGGTGGGCGAATCATGAGGTCAGGAGTTTGAGACCAGCCTGGCCAACACGGTTAAACCTCGACTCTACTAAAAATACAAAAAAAAAAAAAAAAAAAAGAAAAGAAAGAAAAGAAAAAAACACAACAAAACAAACAAAAAGAAACAATGACACTGTATGAGCCCAATAATATATGTTTGTGTGCTACATTTGGTCTGCAAGCATCATATGACCTCTGGCCTCTTTCCTAAACTAATTTATGGAAAATCCACTTTACATAAAGCCCTGTGCTCTGCTCTAAAGATAAAAAGATGAATTAGGTACACCCTGCCCTAGAATCACTGGCAGTGGAGTAGGGGGTCAGATAATTATAATAAAATATGCTGATGCTCTGAGAGGTTGCCCATAAGAGTTGGTCCTACTAAGATGGTACCTAAATTGACATCTGTGTATCTATATTTTAATTGAATATTTCAGTGCTATATGCCAACTGGCCTAAAATAACATCTTTCTACAAGGGCTTATGTGATTTGGATCTGTGTCTCCACCCAAATCTCGTGTAGAATTGTAATCGCCAATGTTGGAAGTGGGGTCTGGTGGGAGGTGATTGGATCATGGGGGCATGTTTCTCATAAATGGTTTAGCACCATCCCTTTGATGCTGTCCTTGAGATTGTGAGTTCTCATGAGATCCGGTTTTTATAAAAGTGTGTAGCACCTCCCCTCTCTCTCTCTCTTGCTCCCTCTCTGGCCATGTGAGGTACTGCTCCCCTTTCTCTTTCCATCATGATTGTAAGTTTCCTGAGGCCTCCCCAGAAGCCAAGCAGATGCCAGCATCATGCTTCCTGTACAGCCTATGGAATCATGGGACAAATAAACCTCTTTTCTTTATAAATTATCCAGTCTCAGGTAATTCTTTATAGCAATGAAAGAATGGACTAATACGGCTTACATGTAGTATGATTGAAAACAAGGACTTCTGTGACTATCTGTAGGTTATCTTATTTACTGTTATTTTGGAGGGAAAAAGTTTTGCTGTATTTTTTGGCTCATGGGTAGATGCAGTAAAAGGAATCAGAAATCAGGGACATGAGATGTGGTCAAAGGAGAAAGCACCATGCTGGATGGAGTATTAGTTTCCTAGGACTGCCATAACTAATTGCTATGAACTTGGCTTACAACAGAAATCTATTCTCTCACAGCTCTGGAGGCCAGAAGTCCAAAATCAAGGGGCAGCAGGGTTGGTTTTTTCCTTCTGGAGGCTCTGAGGGACAATCCCTTCCATGCCTCTCTCTTGGCTTCTGGTTGCCAGCAATTCTTGGTGTTCTTTAGCTTGTAGACATATCACCAATCTCTGCTTCTGTCTTCACGTGGCTTTTTTCCCTCTGTGTCTATCTACTCCCCTTCTCTTCTAAGACCTTTGAGGTCTAAGGACGTCATCCCTAATCCAGGAAGATGTCACCCTGAGATCCTTGACTTAATTACATCTGCAAAGATCTTTTTCCAAATACTGTAACGTCACATTCACAGGTTCTGGGGGCTAGGATACAGACATACTTTTTGGGAGGCCATAATTCAACCCACTACAGATGTTCCAGTACAGTGGTTTTCAACATGAGTCAAAATTATTTTCATAATAATACTAAGACATTATCTGCCATTTGCATTGTGTTGACATTTGCCCTGATGATACAAAAGCAATAGTGGGCAGAACTGAAGTTTCCTTAGCATGAACAATGCAGTGGCAGCAACTGCACCTGAGAAGGTGCAGGTGTAGATGGTGCAGGGAGAGAGAAGTGGGAGAAGCAGGCCTGTTCTGGAGCTGGGTCTTTGGCAGCCGAGGGCCACCAAGGCTGGTCTTCATAGAGCCACAGTAGACCCCAGGAGGACCCAGCAGGAACAAATAGCTGAGGCCGAGGCAGAGCAGCAACTATGGTTGAGAGGATAGAGATACATACCAGGGTAGCCTAGAAGCAGGCACTAGCCCAGCCTGTGAAAGGGTCTTGGGTACCAGGCTGTATCTCCTTTTCCTGGATACAAGTTTTTAGGGCCCTAGTGGTACAAGATAAAGTATAGTCTCAGTGGCAAATTTCAAATGTCAAGTTTTTTCCTGAGGCAGTAAAATAAGTGTATACCTCCCCAGAGGGACCATGGTGACAACAGCTCTTAGAGAGCATAGATATCCAGAGGCTGGGTGCTGGGGTCAGACTTGATTGGATTTTGTCTTAGCCTGGGTTCTTCCAGAAGTAAGGATTCGGGTGCAAGTACTTGATTCAGGAGATAATCTCTGGACAGGTGGTGAGAGAGTGGGGAAATGAGACTTGCAAGGAAGGATAGACAAGAAAGGTGGTGTTAATGAATGAGTTACTGTAGGAGGCAACTGGGACTTAAGCCCTCTGGAGCAGTGTAGAATACTTAGAAGTGTCTCACAGAGAGGCAAGTAAGCTGGAGAACTTATAGTTCAATTCCTACACCCCCTTTCTGTTGAGGGTCGCCCCTCGGGTCTTAACTCCCCAGCCATAATTTCATTGCCGGAGAAAACCATCAAAAAGAGAAATGCAGGAATTGAGTGTATAGAATGGTCTGTAGGTAGGGGCACAGTCGAAGGACTGACAGTTTTGAAACTCCTTTCCCTAAGCTAATTAATTACATGGCTTTTATTCTCTGTGCTTCAATTTATTCATCTACAGAAGGATGATGATAATAATTGAAACTCATAGGGTTGTCATAGGAATTAAATGACAAAATACACATATGTAAAATGCTTACAAAATTCCAAGAAGCAGACTAAATACGATTATCAAATAACTTCTGGAATGTTCCTTAAATTAATTATTTAAATTAGTTATAGTTATCTCTCTCTTATAACTTAGGAAGATGATAATCTATTTGGCATTAGTTGCTGTTTCTTTAAAAAACGAATCTAATGGTTTTTCCTAACAGATTTTCAGCTTCACTAGTGTTTACAATTGTGAATTTCCCTCTGTCACTCATCAATATTTTTTAGCTGTGTGATCTTTCTTTTTCTATTTTACTTTTAGAGACAGGGTCTCACTTTGTTGCCCAGGATGGTCTACGAACTCCTGGCCTCAAGCTAACCTCCTACCTTGGCCTCCCAAAGTCCTGGAATTACAGGTGTGAGCCAGTGGGCCTGGCCAGCTGTGTGATCTTTCATTAACTGAACTGATTTCAGTTGTCTGGAAACCGCAACATTTTCGTTGGGGCCACAAATATAAATAGAAAACTGAAGTGTCTTTCACTTCACCTCTCCCAGAATGCCAATGCAAAATGTGATAAATGTATTTATATTTTCCAACTGCAGTATAGATTTCTACAGATATTCTGCATATATTTAACTAAAGTTTGCCTTCATAAGTACAGGTCCTTATTTATTTATTTATTTTGGCCTAGGCATCAACCAAGGTGGAGCTAATAAAACTGCTTCACGGATGGTTTGCTGTGCTTAGCAATTTTTTTAATACACATATCAAATTCTGTTGCACAAATGCATCTAGGAGCTCTGAATGATTCGGGACTAGAAAATACATCTCTCCTCACCTGTTTATATTTTTTATCTCCAAATGATGACTTAAACTGTATATCTTGAGTATCACCACCCAAACTGTGTAGTTTCCTCCCCTAAATGAGCATAGCTAAGACAAGGGATTTGGGGCAGGATTACTTGGACTCAAATTTTGGCTTTGACATTCAATAGCAGGGTGAACATGGGGAAGTTACCTAGTCTCCCTTTGCCTCTATATCCCCATCTGTCCATTGGGAATATTCATAGTATCTACCTCGTAAGTTTATTATGAGGATTAAATGAGCCTATATTGTACAGTACCCAGCTCTTAGTAAATGCTAAGAGTCTGCTTAATAAAAATACAAAAGTTTGCATATGTTGACTGTTTAGTATTCAGTATATACTTTCCCTTTTATGACTGGTGCTTTGTGTGGATCAGGTGGAAAGCAGTATAGGTACCCATTTATCTTTGTGGAGGCTGTCATTATTCTTTGTCTAGACAATTGCATTGAACTTTTGTAGGGGGTCTCATCCCTGGCCTTCTTTTGGCCATAATTCTAGTTTTTTCAAAAAGAATTTTTTTCTTTTTTGTAGAGATGGGATCTCACTATGTTGCCTAGGCTGGTCTTGAACTCCTGTAATCCTGAAGTGGAAGGACTCAAAGTGATCCTCCCACTTCACCCTTCCAAAGTGCTGCAATTATAGGTGTGAGCCACTGCACCTGCCTCAAAAAGTTTTAATAGTTCTGTATTAGTCGGGGTTCTTCAAAGACCCAATAGGAGACATACCTTTTTTTTTTTTCCACAAAGAAAAATAAAAATTCAACCTTGAGATAGAAAATTCTGACCAGCAGCTACTCTTGGCTAAGGCAGTATACATCTATACAGTAAAGAAAGCTTTCAAAATCAACATGTTCGTTATAAATTTGACTCAAAAATCAAATAAGCCATTTACTTTTTTAAAGCAACATTTACTTCTTTACTACTCCTCTGAGAAAATATAAAAATAAATTTTCTGCAACAAAGTATTCTTGGGCAGAAACCTTGAAATGGGTAACCTCTTCATGAAGTTCCGTCAGGTATTTGGCTTTATCTCTGCATACTTCCATAGATTCTTTTCCAGAAAATTATCTGTGTTAAAATACTTTACTATCTGGTTGAAAATGTTTTCACCAGTTATTTTACTAACATGCATCTTCACAGACATCACCATTACAAATAAAATAAACAATTGCCTAATCAATAACAATCATGCATTCATCCAAATATAAGAAAAAGAACTGGGTTACATATGACTTTTTAAAAAAAATAAATATTCGAATGTGTGCATTAACTATGCCGCTTTTATAAGAACATATTTTTTAAATGACTGGCGGCCTCTTTTGACCTAAACAGATATGGACATATCTACCTTTTAGGGTGTCACTAATTTTTCTTCTTTTTTATAAACTTCAGTTTCCTAAGGCAATTCAACAACCTCTTTTGAAGATTTATGCAATTTTTAATGATTAGCATGTTTAATTTTTTAGTACATTTAATTATAATACTCCACTCAGCCTTCTCTGTAACTGAAAAAAGTGATCATAGTTTTCTTTAAAAGTTTGTAAAATTGGTTGTTAAATGTCATTTCAAATATAATGGTTTCATGGCCAGGCAAAGAGGCTCACACCTGTAATCCCAGCACTCTGGGAGGCCGAGGCGGGTGGATCGCTTGAGGTCAGAAGTTTGAGACCAGCTTGGCCAACATGGTGAAACCTTGTCTCTACTAAAAAAAAAAAAAAAAAAAATTCGCCATGCGTGGTAGCAGGTGCCTGTAACCCCAGCTACTTGGGAGGCTGAGGCAGGAGAATTGCTTGAACCTGGGAGGTGGAGGTTGCAGTGAGCTGTCACACCACTGCACTCCAGCCTGGGCAACAGAGCAAGACTCTGTCTCAAAAAAAAAAAAAAAAAAAAAAGAAATAATAATGGTTTCAGGAAATTATTACTCAGTTTTCTCAAATAACAAATACCAATCTTTAGGCTCACTCACATATCCATAATAATGGAAATTTGTATTATAAGTAAACTTCTAAGCATATCCTGTACATTCTGGATGGACTTCAGCTTATTAGAATGGTGACTGGAATACCAACGACCACAGTTCAGGCTGTCAGTAATCTCAGTAATTTCAGGTTTTTCTGAATATTTTCTATTTTCACTGTTTCAAACTTAAAATTAAAACTTACTCCTTTTGGGGAGAACAAAGTGGCCCTGCTGAGAGTGCCCCATAGCTCTCCTCCACATCCACCGTGATCCACAACCACAGTGATACCACCATGTCTGACCTTGTTGTCTGGTCCCTGTTCAATTCGCTCTTCGTTGAACTGATGCTGCCTGAGCTTCATAGCACTGGCCTACTCTGTGAAATCTAGGGACAGGAAGATGGTTGGCAACCTGACTGGGGCCCTACCATGCTTCCACTGCAAAGTGCCTGAACATCTATGTCCTGATCTTCGGCATCCTTGTAGCCACTGCACTCATCATGATTTTCACCACTAGCTCAGGGATAATCTCCCAAGCAATTTCTCAGATGATAAAGGATCTCCAAGGCCAGTAGTTGTGCCCATATACTCCACCGTCCATTGCTGGCCTTGCACCTTGCCTGGGGCTGTTGGCCCTGCCCACTTGATTCTGCCCATTTATGCAGCAGTTTATACTCACATACTTTTCTACAATGGTATTTGATACAGGGCATGTGTTCTTGAAAAAAAAAATACTTACTCCTTTTAACCATTGACTCATGCTCCTATATGAAAATACAATGTAAAAAAGTATTACAATTAAAGATGGTGTGATAGTCAGCTTCCGAAATGGTCCTCATCTTTGCCTCCAGTTTTTTATGTCCTAGCATAGTTCTCTTCCACACTGAATAAGACTGACTTACATCAACAGTAGACTATGGTGGAAAAGATGGTGTGTGACTTCTGAGATTGGGTAATAAAAGATATTGTGACTTTCTCCTTGGTATTTCTTGGATTACTCACTTTGGAGCAAGTTGGCTGCCATGTCAGGAAGACAATCATGGTAGCCCTATGGAGAGACCCTTGAGGTAAGGAAGTGAGGCCTCCTGCCAGCAACCGTGGGAATGAGCCACCTTTCCATGGCTGACATCTTGATTCTAACTTCATGAAAGAACCTGAGCCAAAACCATCTGGGTAAACTGCTCTCAAACTTCTGGCCCATCAAAATCTGTGAGATAATAAATATGTGTTGTTGCTTTAAACCATTAACATGAAGATAATCTGTTACGCGGCAATAGATAAACTAATATAGAAAATCATATAGAAACCAAATTTGCAACACAAACTTTTCAGTACATTTTTCCTATCAGAAAACTCTGCTAAATGGGTCAGGCATGGTGGCTCACGCCTGTAATCCCAGTATTTTGGGAGCCCAAGGTGTGTGGATCACTTGAGGTCAGGATTTTGAGACCAGTCTGACCAACATGGTGAAACCCCGACTCTACTAAAAATACAAAAAAATTAGCCAGGCATGGTGGTGCGCGCCTGTAGTCCCAGCTACTCGGGAGAGTGGGGCAGGAGAATCTCTTGAACCCAGGAGGCAGAGGTTGCGGTGAGCTGAGATCACGCCACTGCACTCCAGCCTGGGTGACAGAGCGAGACTCCATCTCAAAAAAAAAAAAAAAAAAAAGAAAAGAAAAGAAAAAAGAAAACTCTGCTAAATGAAATGGAAAAGGTGTCATTTGGAACAAAACATCTGGTCATAGGCAACTGGGATGGGAATTTATTTTATGGGAGTTAATGAATAACTTTTTGTCACAAAACATTTTTCAGGTCTTTCATAAGGTGGAAAATTTAGTTTTGAAAATACTGGCTGGGTGGATCCTTGCAGACTAGGCAAGAAAGGTCATGTTAATACAATGGGTAGCAGTAATGTTTTCACGGTCTATCTTACCACCGTCTGACATGTTTTTGATACATTTGACAGGAAAACATCACTGGACACCCCGGCAACATCAAAGCACCAAATTTTCCTGTCATTAATTGCACATAAAAATGTTCTATTTCTCCTGGCTTTTATGGAAAACAAGACATTGACTGTCGTGAAAAAGTGGTATATTGTTTTATTTTCCTTATTACATGCATGTGACAAAACCTTTTTAGGACTTAAAAATTCCAACAAGAACTCTCTCATATAGGTCCCAGAAAGCAGCTGAACTAGCGTGGCCATGATTACTGAACTCTGCCTGGCATTTCCTCCTTCGGCCTCCAGACTTCTCATTCTTGGGGTTTCTTTTCTGCCTCTCCCTGCTGAAATCACCCCCATTGTCCCACTCACCCCATTTGCTCCCATATCAAGAAGCTTCTCTTGAATCTTCCATGTAAGAGTACTCTCTCCCAGCTTGGACCATACCAGTTTATGACTATTCCTATATTTAGCATTTATAATTTACACATTTTTGGAGTTGAATTTTTCTCCCACGGAAGAATTTAAATTCCTTCTGGATTTGAATTATACTTTATAAGAGCTTAGCTCAAATTCTTGAAAATGGTAGGAGGCCCAAAGGTATTTCCAAATTGAAGGGTTGCATGAATAAGTCTTTCTGCACCTTGAGGGAATAGTGGGATGTTAGGAGAATTGAAGCCATTGGTGGTACAGAGATGAGAAGTCTTTTCAATAGGCAAGGGGGTAGAAACTCTGCAACTCTCAATTTTAACTCCTAGTCACTTTCTTCAACGAAGCATTGCACTCATTGGGAACCTACCTTTGACTTTCTTTCATTGGAAATCAATAAGCAAATATTTAACTCCCAGAAAATGATTTTATTGCAAACATTGTTGGGACAAGTGTATTTACTCACAGAAATAATTTTATTGCAAATATTGCTTGGACAAGTGTATTGCATCTTTATTAATTTCTGTAGCAATGTATGAAGCTTTATTTGGCCTTCCTAGCTTAACTTTCTTAATATTGGTGCCAACTAATATTGGTATAAAAATATATTTACTACATTTATGGAGTCATTTCACTTTGTAATAGATTCAATTTGATTATTACCATAAAAGAAAAGAAAAAAATAGCCTTTGGTGGTGGGTGACAGGAGTTTTTAAACCCTGTTTACAAACTAATAACTTAGCCTATGACTATTTCATTGATGCTGGCAGAAGACCTGAGACTCCTGGGTCAGGGACAAAGGACTTTTTTACTCACAGCACAGCAAGTAGCATAAACTCATACACTTTGCCTCCCAAACCTCATGGAGAGAAACACTGAATTGGGGATTCTGCAATTTTACAGAAAGCAGTAAGCAAATCTGTTCTCTGTCTGGGAGGGAGACATTATTTCATCCCTCAAGATTGCTCGCTGCAAACATAACCCAGAGAAATAGCCCAGGTAATGAGTAGTCAGGGCCTTGTATTCTTGGCATACCTAGCAAAACATGTGCAAGACTCATGGAAGAGTATCTCTCCCAACAATCATTATGAATCTGCATTATTTAGACTGAAACAATGAAGCTCCGAGAAGGTAATAGATGACTTTATTACATTTACAAAGCCATTAGTATCAGAACCTGGGTTTTCCCAAGAAACTTGCACTAATATGTAAAATATTTTATATAATTTTTTTGTTTTAATCACAGGCTTAAATGATATTATTTGAATATAAATAAAATATTATTAAGTATAAATAATATATTATTAATATGAAATTTAGGCCGGGTACAGTGATTCACGCCTGTAATCACAGCACTTTGGGAGCCCGAGGCAGGAGGATTGCTTAAGCCCAGGAGTTCAAGACCAGCCTGGGCAACACTGTGAGACCCCTTGTCTACAAAAAATAGAAAAAAATTAGCTAGATGTGGTGGTACATCTGTAGTCCTAGCTATCCAGGGGGCTAAAGTGAGATGGTTGCTTGAGCCTAGGAATTTGAGGTTGCAGTGAGCTGTGATCTTGCCACTACACTCCAGCCTGGGTGACAAAATGATACCTTATCTAAAAAAAAAAGATATTTAATAAAGGCATACTAAAACATGATAACAGAACTTTATTAAATATTTTTTAAATATTGCTATATAAAATACTATTAAATATAATTTATATATTAGTAAATACAACTTTACCTTTTTTTAACTTTCTAAAATGTGTATACTAGAAAAATTTGAATTATGTATACTATATGCTCACATATATATTATATTTCTATTGTCTATCACTGAAATAGACTGTAACTGCTTTATCTCCTTTTTTCTTTTTAAATATCTTGTTCTGAATCTCCACCCCCCAGTCCTTTTTTGGGTACAACATGCATATAGTAAATGCATCATGTACTTATCTTAAGCACAGAACTTGCTGAATTTTTACCAATGCATATGCTCTTATCATCACCACCCAGATCAAGATACAGAACATTTCCATCAGTGCAGAAAGCTGTCTCAGGCCCTTTTCTAGTCAATGTCCACTGACTCCCTTCTTTTGTGATACCCACTATTTAACTTCCATCACCGTCAGTAAGTTTTTCCTACATTAGTAGTTCATGTAAATGGAATTACACAATATGTACTCTTCTGTGTCTGGCTTCATGTGCTGAATGTGATTTTTTAAAAGACTTAGCCTCATTGTTGAATATATCAGTAGTTTGGTTTTTACTGCTTTGTAGAATTCCATTGTATGGCATACAATGGAAACCACATTTATCTATTTTCCAGTTGATGGATATATGGGTTGTTTCCAGTTTGGGTTATAATGAATAAAGCTACTATGAACATTCATATATATGTATATCCCTTTTAACCTTTAAAGAAAGATTGTGATAAATCTTTGGCAAGACACTCCCATCTATTCCCCCACCCCCACCCCAGTACCTAACACAATGCCCTTCTTGAAGGATATTTGCTGAAGCATGATTTCAAACCAGCTGTGTGATGATTTATTTGTCTCCTAGCCTTCGTATGGAAAATAAAATCCAGTGGCAGAACAAAGTCTACTCAAAGTTTCCACTATTATCACAAATAATGAACAAATAAGTCAGGAAGTCAGTCTGCTGTATTTAAATGATCTATTTCAGTCTTGTTGCCAGTTAAAAATAGACTTCTGTTCCCAGATAAATTTTAGTGACTGATCATAAAAGAATGCAGATATTTCCTACACCATTTTCTTTTTTAAAATTCCTCCCCATTTTCTCCACCTCCTTTCTTTTTTCTTTTTAGCAGAAATTCAGAGAAAGGCGGGTCCTAAATGAAAATATAAATAAATATTCAAAGAAATACAATATGTTTTGCAAGGAGTGTTATTATTGTGGTAGTTAATTCAAAACTTTCTTCTTCCAATTTTCTTTTCTTTAAGTCTATCTATTTGAAAGACCACAGAAGCCAGACATCCTGGGTTTGAATCATGGATCTGAAATCATGAGTGAGTCTGGGAACTTAATCTCTGAGCCTCAGCTTTCTGCTTGCTAAGTTGGGGATATAATATCTTCCATACAGGGTTGCTTAGAGGATTAAAAGCCCTAACACATGATTAGGCATGAGTCTTTGTGAAGCCCAGTCCTTATTGAATCCATACCTTCTTCCTGCATGATTACCATTTGTTTCCTGTTCTCTTTGTCTCTCTGAAAACTTGGGCATCATCAGGCATCTGTCTGCGTCAAAGTTCCCAAATTGTGTGGCCAGCACCCTGGGGTGCCGAAGCACACACACCAAGAGCACTCCAGGATATTTTAAATTTTGAAGGGCAATGGTGATCATGGGCATTTGTGAGACATGTAATGGCTCCAAGTAGTGCATGGTTTCAATATGAGATTGTGGTACATTTTTTTTCATTGATGTCGTGTCTTTGTATTGTAGCACATTTTTTTTGTTGATGTCATATCTTTGCAAGGCTGTGTTTTTTGTGGTTGTGTTGATTTAAAAAAAATCAATCAAATCTTTGAGCCCAGGAGTTCAAGACCAGCCTGGGCAACAAAATGAGACCCTGTCTCTACAAAAAATAGAAAAATTAGCCAAGCTGAGTATTGATGTGCTCAACTGCCTGAGTATTGATGTGCAACAGGATGAGAATGATGATATTCAGTCTCATTCCAAGGTTAGAGAAATTGGGCAGTAACCAGTAGGCACCGATATCTCATTTGTAAGTGTGGTTGTTCAAGAATGAAATTTAAAATACAATTTTTGATTTGCATATTTTTTTCATATGCCTAGTAAGTTGCTAGGATATAAATACTAAGTTGTTTGGATCTCACCTATTTAGTGGACTTCTTAGGTGTTTCTTTTGGTCTAGGGATGCTGTGAAAAAATGACTGAGGTGCTAGCAATTTTGTGAACTTTCAGCTCTAACAATGTTGAACCTAGGACAGATAACAGTGATATAAATAAAGATGTAGATTTTGTAGTGGGTATATACTGATAATAACAAATGGTTAATCAAAATAGTTGAGACTACATCTTGTAGACAAACATGCAACTCCCCAGGAAACCAATTCTTTAATTAGTTAATTCCTAGTTATCCTCAAAGTTCAATTTAAATATAACCTCTTCCAAGAAGCCTTCTTTAATTTATAACTTTTCTACTCCCATACTAAGTACTATCTAGATAAGGAGCCTCTCATCTAGGTTTCAAAAACCCTCTGTTTACCCTATCACAGCATCTCAGAAATGTTGATTTTCTTGTCCCTACTAGAGCTTGTGGGCAGAGACCAGGTCTAAATGAATTTTGGGTCTTTGGAACTTTGGCACAGTATCTAGCACAATATAGGTGCTCAGAGGATATTTGTTAATGAATTAATGAAACACAGAAAGAATATATAAGTAATAGTGACCAATGTTTACTATTAACTTTATAGGCCAGGTGCAGTGGCTTATGCTTGTAATACCACCACTTTGGGAGGCCAAAGTGTGAGGATTGCTTGAGGCCAGGAGTTCGAGAATAATCTGGGCAACACAATGAAACTTCATCTCTACTAAAAATAAAACACAATAAATGATAATTAATAATAATTTTACAGGTTCTTCCAGAGTTACTCCTAAAGATGATTTAGTTAACTTATAACTTAAAAATGACCTAGTGTGATTTTCAATTTACATTAAGTTCAGAAAGGGAATAGAGACAACCAAGGGTGAAGAGCAGCAGTCACCTTTGGTCACAGGAACAGGTAGAGCTGAACCTAGAATCCAGGGCTCCTGCATTTTTTTTTTTCTATACCACATACTGCACCTGGTCACCAGCAATTACAGTGTAAAGTTCTTCTGGATAGGATCCTCTTTTTATATCTTTCTGCAACCCTTTAAGAACAGAACCTTTGGACACTCAAACCCAAGGAATAGTTACCATAATGTATTAGTCAGGGTTCTCCAGAGAAACAGAACCGGTAGATAGATATGTGGAGAATCATTTTTTTTAATTTTTTAATTTTTTTTTTGAGACAGGGTCTTGCTCTGTCACCCAGGCTGGAGTGAAGTGGCACAAACACAGCTCACTGCAGCCTCGACCTCCTGGGCTCAAGTGATCCTCTTGCCTCAGCCTCCCATGTAGCTGGGACCACAGGTGTGCACCACCATGCTTGGCTAATTTATTGATTTTATTTTTGGAGAGACAAGGTCTCACTTTGTTGCCCAGGCTGGTCTTGAACTCCTGGGCTTAAGCGATCCTTCCACCTCAGTCTCCCAAAGTGCCGGGATTACAAGTGTGAACCACTGCACTTGGCCTAATGAGAGGATAATTATTATAGGAATTGGCTCACACGGTTAAGGGAGGCAAGAAGTCTCATGTCTGCTGTTTGCAAGCTGGAGAACCAGGAAACCTGGTGGTGTAATACAGTCCTAGTCTGGAGGCCTGAGAATTGGAGGACTGATGATATAAGTTTCTGTCTGAATACTAAAGTTTGAGAACCAGGAGCACCCATCTTTGAGAGCAGGAAAAGATGGATGTTTCCGATCGAGCAGAGAGAGTGAATTTGGCCTTTCTCCACACTTGTGTTCTGTTCAGGCCTCAACGAATTGGATGATGTCCACTGACATTGGGAAGGGCCATCTGCTTTACTCAGCTCACCAATTCAAATGATAATCTCTTCCATAAACTCTCTCACAGACACACTCAGAAATAATGTTTTGCCAGCTATTTGGGCATCTCTTGCCCCAGTCAAGTTGACACATAAAATTAACCATCACACATAGTTTACTTGATTGAGGCATAGTCTGAGGGAAATTACAACCAATTAAAGATGGAAGAAACTTTACAAACTCAATACAATGTGAAACACAGAAATACTGAAAAAAGAACACAGAAAACAGTCAATTTCTTTGAATTTTGAGTTTGTTTATTCTTAGTTATTGTGAATATTTCAAATATCAATTTTTGTTGAATTCATTCACTCATTTAACTTAAATTGGCCACCCATTATTTGCTAGGCACCACCCTAGGAAAACACAAAGGTTCCTGGAGCTTTCTGTGTATTAGAAGAGAAAGATATTACATAAATAATCATTTTGTTGTGATTGGGAATAATTGTCAAGAAGATAAACACAGTGTGCTTTTGGAATGTATTAGACAACTTTACCCCCACCAGAATGGCTAAAACTAATAACCCTGACCATATCAAATATTGTGGAGCAACTGGAACTCTCAAGCATTGCTGGTGGGGATTTAATATGATCCAGTCACTTTGGTAAACAATTTGGCAGGTTCTTCTAAAGTTAAACATACAACTTACAAGACCTAGTAATGCCAGTCCTTGGTATTTATTTACCCATGAGAGAAGAAAATATATCCACACAAAAACTTGTGCACTAACCGTTGTAGCAGCTTTATTCATAATTATAAAAAATAGGAAACAACCCAAATATCTACCAACAAGTGAATGGATCGACAAATGGTAGTGATTCCACAGAATGGAAAGCAATAAAAAGGAATGGACTTCTGAGACACCAACAGCGCTGGATGGACCCCAAACGTTATGCTAAAAGAAACCAGACTCCAAAGAAGCACAGACTGTATGAAGTTCAGGAACAGGGAAAACTATGTTACCATGCTAGAAATCAAATTAGAATTGCCTAGGGAAGAGCAGATAATTGGGAAGTGTCCTGGGACTTCCTGGGGTGTTGGAAACGTGCTGTACCCTCACTGGGGTGGCGGTTCCACGGGTGAATACATTTGCCGAAACTCATGAAGTGTACGCTGAAAATCTGTGCGTTTTACTTTAGGCAAACCTAAGTTTTGTTTTGTTTTGTTTTTTTAAGTATTACACAGTGACTGTGGTGGTGGCTGGAAGCAGAAGTCAGGAGTGTATTCTTTTTTTTTTTTTTTTTTAAACCGGCAGTGGGGGCGGGAAAGGGGGATGCCAAGTACTTTCCTAAGTGTTGAATACAAGTGGAGGCAAACTTGGAAACGTTCCACATTTCACAGGGCGAGGGCAGGGTGCCCTGACAGCGGCTAGCAAAGAACGGCCCGCCTCCCAGGGGGCTCGGCCCAACTCGGACCCCAAGTCTCCCTAGAGGTCCTATCGCTCCCAGCGGTTTCCGCAGCCACCTCCACCACCTCCGCAGCAAAACGCTAGCCGGACTGGAGGGCCCTCGCCGGCGTCGTGCTGACGTCACGCGCGTGCTGACGTCGCCCGCGGCCGCGGCCTCTGAAGCGGGCTGGGGATCGGGGGGCGCCGAGTTTGACTAGTTTGGGGGCGGCTGGGCGCTTGGCGTTCCTCCCGCCGCCCGCTGCGCCCCGCAAGCCGCGCCCCTGGCGGGCTAAGTGAGTCCCGCCCGCTCCCGCGGGGACCCGCACTGGAGGCTGGGCGGCTCTCGGCGAAAGTTGGCCGCTCACAGACTGGCAGGCGGGCGGGCGGCCGCAGCCATGGAGCCCCGCAGCATGGAGTACTTCTGCGCCCAGGTGCAGCAGAAGGACGTCGGCGGCCGGCTGCAGGTCGGCCAGGAGCTCCTGCTCTACCTTGGCGCCCCCGGCGCCATCTCGGACCTGGAGGAGGACCTGGGCCGCCTAGGCAAGACAGTCGACGCGCTCACCGGCTGGGTGGGTTCGAGCAACTACCGGGTAAGCGACGGCGGCGAGGCTGGGCTGGTCACGCCCTCCGCGGCAGCCCTTTAATCCCGGACGCGAGCGCCGGGCCGGGAAAGCTCCCGTCCGAACCACTGCTTAAGAGGGGAAACACACTTTGGGAAGCACAGGCGGGCGGATCACGAGGTCAGGAGTTCGAGACCAGCCTGACCAACATGGTGCAACCCCGTCTCTACTAAAAATACAAAAATTAGCCGGGCGTGGTGGCGGGCGCCTGTAATCCCAGCTACCCAGGAGGCTGAGGCAGGAGAATCGCTTGAATCTAGCAGGCAGAGGTTGCAGTGAGCCGAGATCGAGCCACTGCACTCCAGCCTGGGCGACAGAGTGAGACTCTGTCTCAAAAAAAGTAAAAAATAAATAAAAATAGGGGAAACAGGGGGGTCCCGCGTCCCCACTGGGCAGACCGCCTCTTCGTACGCGAGCCGAGGACTGACTTGTGACCACATTTTTCTACACTTGTGGACAATGACAAATTCAGCGATTCCGTGACACGTTGCGGAGTTACTAGGACACAATGTTGATCACTTATTTTGAAAAAAAAATCAGTGAAAGACTTCGACATTTGTGTTCACCTGTGTAAACACTACCCAGACCAACAGATAGGACATTAGGATACGATTTTAGGTTGATGTGTCTTAGTAGATAGGCTAATGCTGGGGGGGAAAAAGTTACAAAGATGAGGTGCGAGAAAGAATGAGCCTTTCTGAAGAGTTGGTGGTAGGCAGGGTGTAATGTAGCCGCGTTGGGAGGCCAGGTAAATATTTTGTATTTAACTTGCCCCGTAGTCGTTAGTAGTTACTTTTCTTTCTTGTCTTCTGGTGGCAGTGTTGCTTTAAAATGCTGACTGCAGCTTCCCATGGATGAAGTGATTCTTCTTAGTAACATATTCTCATGATCCAGCGAATAGGCTGTACTTTGAAACCTTTTATTCAAAAAGAGAAGAAAGACAAACTCTAGAATTATGACGCAGATTTAATGGTAAAGCCCAGATGAGTTTTGGAAAGGTTAGACTTTTTACAAGGACAATAAAGTTTGAGAGTTACCCACGTCGATGCTTCATTACATACCATCTCTTGATTATTATTTTTAAAACGTTTGGGGAAAAGGTAATTTAATAATATATCATTACCATTTGGGAGATTATTTCTTTGGAAGAAACAAGCTAAATTTACTCTGTAAGAAAGGCATATACATATTCACACTCAAGATAGTTGATTTTATGCTACAGCATAGACTGTTGTAGAAAGACAGCGCTTTGGTAATGTTTGCACCCCTTCCGAAGTTAAGATTGGTGTGCCATCTTCTACACGGGCTGTTGTGAATTGGCTTTGGGCCATTTCACTCCTCAGATGTACCTCAGTGAATGACAGTTGAGCAATCACGCTGATATTCTGTGATACCACAGTATGCTAGTTTTCTGTTATGCCTCTAAGCCCTACTTCTACTCGGTGCTGTGTTTTTAACTGTTCTTTAAGAGTTAGAATCCATCAGGGGTCTCATCCGGGTTCTTTTCTGTTTTCACTACGTATTTTCTCCATGCTCCTCACTAGATAATGTAGCCCAAGACAATTTCAGCAGTCAGAAGAGAACTGCCATAGTCTCCCACCACCTGTCTATACACTTCCTTGTAGCTGTGACCATATAATCTTCCTTTTTCCTTGTTAGAATAGATAAATTGCCTGTTTTCCTCATTTATGCAATTCCCTCCACGAAAGTATTAGATTCCATGCCTTCTTGCTTACTCAAGGACATTGATCCATCAATTCTGCTCTCTTTCCTAAATCACTAGTTCTTCCCTTTCTGTTGAATTCTATAGCATAGAAACTTTTCTGACATTGCTAGGGAAAGGGCATTCTAATTAATCTGTTGCTTTAAGTTTTATAAGCTAAGTTACCCAACTGGGTAATCTTTTTTTTTTTTTTTTTTTTTTTTTTTTACTTAAGATACAATAAAACATACTTAACTGTTTTAAAAAGTGTGTCATAGGAGCTTTTGAACATACAAATAGAATCATACTTCAATTTCAGTTTATACTGAACAAAATACAGTTTTTCTTTGAATTGGTAGTACTTCAGAATCTGAGTGTCTTAACAGTCATTGTGTTAGTAAATTTGAGTGCCTCCTGTATGCTGGGTATTCAAGATGCTAAGGATCCATCCAGCTTTGAACAAGACAAGGCCCATTCATTCAGCTGCATTAGGATATTTATCGATGACCTATTATTATCAGGAACTTACTCTTCTAGGCATTGCAGATACAATGTGAAAAAAAGACAAATCCTTGTCTTTGTGGACTTAGATTCTAGTAGGAGGAGAGGAATAAGCAGGAAAGATAAATAAAATGTATAGTGTGTTAGATGGTGATAAGTGGTTTGGAGAAAAAAACAATGAAGGGAATAGGGAATACTAGGCAAGATGCATATGTTGGAATTTTAAATAGTTGGTCGTTAAAGACCTCATTGAGAAGGTGACTTAACAGAAGATGGGAAAGTGAGATCCCTGCCATTGCATTAGAAAGAGGTAGACAGGTATAGAAATTAGATCATTTCAGATAGCATGTGCTTGTAAATCAACATGGTATGAAATGATTATGAGACTCTACTTTGGGTGGTCAAGAAAGGTGACATGTGAGTGCAGACACTGAAGAAACATAAGAGTCAAGAATGATTGAAGCAGAGGAAACAGCAAATTCAGAGACCCTAGTTTTGTTGAGGAACATAAAGCCAGCCTGGCTAGAGTTTAAATGAGTGAGGTGTTAAGAAAGACGAAGTTGAGGAAGCAGCTGTAAAGTCATAGGATTTTATTCTAAATGTGGTGGCAGTAACTGGGCAGGTATAACATCATAGGATTTTATTCTAAATATGGTGGAGGTATAACATCATAGGATTTTATTCTAAATATGGTGGAGGTAACTGGGCGTGGTGGCTTATGCCTGTAGTCCCAGCTACTTGGGAGGCTGAGACAGAAGGCTCACTTGAGGCCAGGAGTTTGAGACCAGCCTGGGCAACATAACAAATTCCTGTCTAAAAAAAAATAAATACAGTGGGGGGTTTTATGTGTGTAAAGGGTGGCTGCTTTGTGGAGAGTCGACTATAAAGGAATAACAGAAGCAGCAGAGAGATAATCGTGGCTAGGCCTGGTTTGATAGCAATGGCAATGCTGAGAAGTGGAAAATTTGGGCTGTGATTTGGTGGTAGATCCGACAGGAGCTCCTGGTGGATTGGGTTTGAGGGTTGAAAGAAAGAGAGGAATTATGGATAATTGCCTTGATTGAGCAGTAGGTTAGATTGTGCTATTTATTGAAATAGGGAAGACTGAGAGAAGAACAAATAAATTGGGTGACGGATGTAAAAAGTTTAGTTTTTACTGTGTTAGGTGTGAGAAGACTGTTACAAGTTGAGATGATAGACAGTTGGGGTCCCAAGTTCAATGGAGAAGTCATAATTGAAGATTCAAAATATGGAAATAGGCATATATGTAATATATGTAGTCTGACATTTGACTTTTACTAAGAACAGTCCTGCAATTTCAGGAGTTCTCAAATTTTTAAATGGCATTATGGCAATAAAATTTGCCTCATAAAATACAGTTAAGTACGATAACCACCATTTACAGAGTCCTTAGTGAGTACCAGGCACTGTCTCAAATGCTTTATTTGCATTGTCTCATTTAATTTTTGAGATGGCCTTAGGAAACCAGCATACTATTATTTTCCTTTTTTTGTAGAAAAGGAGACATAAGTATATTGCTTTAGGCCATAGACCTGGTAAATTAGTGAAGGAGGTGCTTGAGCCTAGGGAGATTAGAATATCCATATTCCTTTTCTCTACTTTTATAAACCTCTTCAATATCCTGTTATTTGCCAGCTCTACTTTTACTTTTGTATATTATGAGGATTAGTAACATTTACATTTCATCTGCAACCATAGAGTAAGTTGACGTTAAAAAATGGAGAAAACACAGCCTGAGCAAGATAGTGAGACCTCATCTCTACCAAAAAATTAGCCCAGGATATTGAGACTGCAGTGAGCCGTGATTGGGCCACTGTACTCCAGCCTGGGCAACAGAGCCAGACCCTGTCTCAGGGGAGAGAAAAAAAAAAAAGTGAAAACATTTATAACTATGTAGCGCTATGTAGTGCAGGGCTGTGTGCTAGCATTTCATGTATTTTCTCAGAATTCAAAATCATAGCCCCTTTCGCATTCTGAGGAGGATTCTTCCCAACATTGGTGTCACCTCAATTATATATCCTATAAACTATTAAGAAATATGCCATTTTTTAGTTTGCCAAAAGAGATGAGGTTTATCTACCCATTAATACATATTGATGTTGCCTATTCCATTTACCTGCCATATAGGTGAACATCCAGGTTGTTTTTAATTCTTTACTCTTAACATTGTCCTTTTTGTCACCTTGTTACATATGCATAAAAAATTTTACTAGGGCAGTGATTCTCAATCCTGTCAGAGTCAGTGCCCCTTTTAATTACCCCTTCTCCCTTTTCAATTCTGAAATAAAATTTATAGATAATATCTGATACACATAAATTTTAAAAACCTCTATAATGTCTTAGCTGTACTATAAAGGACAATCACACATAATTTATGAGGTAAAATATATTTCAACATGTAAATATGTCATACTGACTACCCATGAAGACATAATGATGGTTACATGGTTGTAAATGCTGCCACTACCAATTCAGACCACTACAGGTGTATGGTTGCTGGTGATTCACACTTTCTTTTTTTTTTTTTTTTTTTTTTTTTTTGAGGTGGAGTTTTGCTCTTGTCGCCCAGGCTGGAGTGCAGTGGTCTCAGCTCTTTGCTCAGGTCTTTGCTCTTGTCGCCCAGGCTGGAGTGCAATGGATCTCAGCACACTGCAACCTCCACCTCCTGGGTTCAGGTGGTTCCTCTGCCTCAGCCTCCTGAGTACCTGGGATTACAGGCACGCACCACCATGCCCGGCTTATTTTGTATTTTTAGTAGAGACAGGGTTTCGTCATGTTGGCCAGGCTGGTCTCAAACTCCTGACCTCAGATGATCCACCCGCCTTGGCCTCCCAAAGTGTTGGGATTACAGGCGTGAACCACCGTGCCCGGCTTGACCCTTTCACCAGTGGCATTACTGTTGGTGATTATGATATTCCGGAACTCTAAATTCGGAACCTCATTTCTTTGAACTTGAAGAGTTTTACCACCCCACGTGACATCTGTTTCATTAAGCTTACCCATTAATCATATCCTTACATCCATTCTTTTTTTAAAAAAAAATTTATTATAATTTCAGTGGTTTTGTGGGTACAGGTGGCTTTTGGTTACGTGGATAAGTCCTTTGTTGGTGATTTCTGAGATTTTAGTGCACCTGTCATCCAAGCAGTGTACACTACCAATATATAGTCTTTTATCCCTCAACCCTCTCCCAACCTTCCCCTTGAATCCCCAAAGTTTATTTTATCATTCTTATGCCTTTGATTCCTTATAGCTTAGCTCCTAACTTATAAGTGAGAACATACGATCTTTGATTTTCTGAGTTTCACTTAGAATAATGGCCTCCAGCTCATCCAAGTTGCTGTAAAAGACATTATTTTGTTCCTTTTTGTGGCTGAGAAGTAATCCATGGTGTATGTATACCACATTTTCTTTATTCACTCATTGGTTAATGGGCACTTAGGTTGGTTCCATATCTTTGCAAATGTGAATTGTGCTGCTATAAACGTGCATGTCCCTGTGTCTTTTTTATATAATGACTTCTTTTCCTTTGGATAGATACCCAGTAGTGGGATTGCTGGATGGAATGGTAGTTCTACTTTTAGGATTCTTTAGGGAATCTCCATACTGTTTTTCAGAGTGGACACCAGCAGTATTAAAGTGTTCCTTTTTCATCACATCACATGACACCAACATCCATTGTTTTTTGACTCTTTAATTATGGCCATTCTTGCAGGGGTAAGGTGGTATCTCATTGTGGTTTTAATTTGCATTTCCCTGATGATTAGTGATGGTGAACATTTTTTCATATGTTTGTTGGCCAGTTGTATATCTTCTTTTGGAAATTGCCTATTCATGCCCTTTGCCCACTTTTTGATGGGATAATTTGGTTTTTTTTTCCTTGCTGATTTGAGTTCCCTGTAGATTCTGGATATTAGTCCTTACATTCATTCTTAATTCTATTTTCTGTCTTCATTCTTGTTTTATGGTCCTTATTTGATAAAATGCTATACTGCGCTGAGCATGGTGGCTCACACCTGTAATCCCAGCACTTTGGGAGGCTGAAGTGGGCCGATCACCTGAGGTTGGGAGTTTGATACCAGCCTGGCCAACATGGTGAAACCCTGTCTCTACCAAAAAAAAAAAAAAAGAAATAAAAAAATTAGCCAGGTATGGTGGTGCATGCCTGTAATCCTAGCTATTCGGGAGGCTGAGGTAGGAGGATCCCTTGAACCTGGTAGGCAGAATTTGCAGTGAGCTGAGATTGCGACACTACACTCTGGCCTGGGTGAGAGAATGAGATTTCGTCTCAAAAAAAAAAAAAAAAATGCAATACTGGTTAATCCCACTCAGCCTACCCTATAGCTACACTAGGGCAACTGAAGGTGTTTGGAGAAAAACACAAAACCTCTTTAACTGGCTTCATTTTAAATTCCTGACCATTATATGGGCCCTTAATGCTGCCTGACAGTCATACTATATTTTCTTAGTTCATTCACTCTTTCACTTAAACAACTATTCTACATCTTTTCCTCTCCCCTTGGTCCTACTAGTACCTCTTCTGCAATCATCATTGTCAGCTGAGGCATGTATTGCTTCCGACTTCACTGAGAAAATGGAAGGAAGCAGAATTTCTTTTTTGAGATGGAGTCTCACTCAGTCGCCAGGCTGGAGTGCAGTGGCGTGATCTCAGCTCACTGCAACATCCGCCTCCCGGGTTCAAGTGATTCTCCTGCCTCAGCCTCCAGAGTAGCTGGGACTACAGGTGTATGCCACCATGCCCAGCTAATTTTTGTATTTTTAGTAGAGACGGGGTTTCACCATGTTGGCCAGGCTGGTCTCAAACTCCTGACCTGTGGTGATCCGCCTGCCTTGGCCTCCCAAAGTACTGGGATTACAGGCGTTAGCCACCGCGCCTGGCCAACTCCTCGGTAATTTAAAGTGTTAGAGAGTATCATAAATGCTATTTGTTCTTTTGTATTTTTATTATTTATTTATTTTGGAGACAGGATCTTGCTCTGTTGCCCAGGCTGGAGTGTAGTGGCACGATCATAGCTCACTGCATCCTCCAATTCCTGGGCTCAAGTGACCCTCTGGCCTCAGTCTTCTGAGTAGCTGAAACTATAGGTATGAGCCACTATGCCTTTAAAAATTATGTTTTTTGGCATATAGAAATAAAATGGCATTTGGTATATTGATTTTTATGGCTAGCCTGCTTATGATAATAATTAAAAACATTTTTTATCCAATTTGTGGATTTTTAAAAGGTTTTCTATATGTATATCACAGACTAACAACAGTTTTGCTTGGTTTTGGTGTATTGGCTAAGACCCTTAGGATGAGGATGAATAAAAGAAAGTATGCCTCCTTGTGTTCTGGGTACCAAGGGTGTTTTCTAACATCTCACCATTAGGAATCATGCTTTCTGTAATTACAGAAACTTTACTATGGAGAATATTGAACATACGTAAAGGTAGACAGTAAAATAAATTCAGCCACAAAGCTTATCAGCCCGTGGCCAATCCTGCCCCATCACTGTGTCACAAATCACAGATATCATATTGTTTCATCCCCAGGACTTCCTAGTTACTGTGTCAAAGATATATGTTCTTTTAAAAAAATTATTAATGTAACCTCAACTTCATCACAATTATAAAACAATAATTCCTTGATGTCACATGTGCAGGGTTCACATTTCTAAATCTTTTAGTAAGTTATTTTAAGAAAAATTAGGAACCAAATAACAGCCACATGTTGTGATTCATTAATATATTATCTTCCTATTGCTGCTAACAAATTATGACACACTTACTAGCTTATACACTTATACATTTATTCTTTTACAGTTCTAGAGGTCAAAAATCTAAAATGGGTTTCATTGGGATAAAATCAAGGTGTCAGCAGGATTATATTCCTTCTAGAGACTTCAGGGGAGAATTTTCCAGCTTCTAGGGGATGCCTGCTTTGCTTGGTTCTTGGTGTCTTTCTCCATCTTCAAAGCCAGCAGTATAACGTCGTCACATCTCTTCATCTGACCTGTTCTGTCATAAAATCTCCTCTGACTGTGGCTTTTGGCCTCCTCCTTATAAGTACCCTTGTCTTTAAAAGGATTCCCCCTTATAAGGACCCTTCAAGTAAATCCACACATATATAGTCAACTAATTTTTGACAAAGACACCAAGAATACACAATGGGGAAAGGATAGTGTCTTCAATAAACAGTATTGGAAATACTGGATATCCACATGCAAAAGAATGAAATTGGATGAAATATGGTGAAATTATTTTACACCGTACACAATAATTACCTCAAAATGGATTAAAGACTTAAATGCAAGACCTAAAACTGTAAAACTCCTAGAAGAAAACATAGGGGGAAATATCCTTGACTTTGGTCTTGGCAGTGATTTTTTGGATTTGACATGAAAATACAGGCAACAAAAGCAAAAATAAACAGTGGAACTACATCAGACTACAAAGTTTTCTGGACAGCAAAGGAAGCAATCAACAAAACAAAATGGCATTCTACTGAATGGGAGAAAATACTGGCAAATCATATTTGATAAGGGTTTAATATCCAAAACGTATGAGATGCTCATCTAACTCAATGTTTGAGAAGATACCAACATCAGTAATTGTCAGGGTAATGTAAGTCAGAACCACGATGAAATATCACCTCATACCAGTTAGGATGTCTGCTATCAAAAAATCAAAAGAGAACAAGTATTGGAGAGGATGTGGAGAAGAAAATTGTACACTGTTGATGGGAATGTAAATTGGTACAGCTATCATGGAAAATGGTTAGGAGGTTCCTCAGAAAGTTAAAAATAGAACTACCATGTGCTCCACTTCTGAGTATATATCCAAAGAAAATAAATCACTATCTCAAAGAGATATTTGCATTCCCTTGTTCATTGCACCATTATTCACAATAGCCAGGATATGGAAACTGCTGTGTCCATAAACAGATGAATGGATAAAGAAAATGTGGGGGGTGTGTGTGTGTGTGTATGTATATATATATATATATACATATATACATATATATATACATATATACATATATATACATATATATATATATACATACACACACACACACACCCACACACACAACACATGACACACACACAAAGGAATATTATTCAGCCTTAAAAAAGAAGGAAATCCTGCCATTTGTGACAACATGGATGAACCTGGAAGACATTATGCTAAGTGAAATAAGCCAGACACAGAAAGACAAATATGGCATGATCTTACTTTTATGTCAAATATTTAAAAAAAAAAAAAAGTCAAATTTATAGATAGTAACAGAATAGAATATAGAATGGTGATTACCAGGGGTTGGAGGATGTGGGAAAAGGGGAGGTATTGGTCAAAGGGTACATGCTTTCTGTTATACGATGAGTAAGTTCTGGAAACCTAATGCACAGTATGGTGACTATAGTTAATGTATATTGTACTTGAAATTTACTAAGAGCGTAGATGTCACGTTCTCACCACAAAACAGATGGGGAAGGAGGAGCCCCTAGTGATACCTTTAGGCCTAGGATAATCCAGAGGAATTTTTCCCTCTGAAGATCCTTAATTATATCCACAGAGTCCCTTTTGCCAAGTGTGATACCATATTCAGAGGTTCTGGGAGTCAGGATGTAACGCCTTTGTGAGGTTATTATTCTGCCTGCAAGAGTCAACATATTTATTAAGTCTCTTTTAATGTTTCCCCCTCAGTCTCTATTTAAAAAAATTCTTGAGTTTTATTTGTGTAGATTTTCCCACAGTCTGGATCTTGCCGGTTTCATTCGTGTAATGATGTTTGACTGTTCCATCTGTTTTTCCTGTAAATTGGTAATTTAGTTAGATCTAAAACTTAAATTGAGTCCTTTTTTGTGGGGCAGGGAGGCAAGACTATTTAATAGGAAATACTCTCCTTTCATCTCCTTCCTGGAGACACATGAGATATGGAAGGCACACAAGCTCTAGGTCTCTTTTTTGTGTGTGTGTGATGTTAGAGGCCATTAACGTTCAGTGTCTAGATCTGTTAATTCATTAGAGTTTGCAAAATGGTGATATTTGAATTCTGTTATTTCTTCATTTATTGGCTGGAATAGTTTTATAAGGAGAAACTTTCCCCATTTACAGTTATTTGATTACCTAGTGATATGGTTTATATAGAATGGTAGGTATATTGCTATGATTCTTTCCATTTACTTACTAATTGTGAAAACAATGGTTTTTTTAGTGTCCTTCAAATGTTTGTTTTTGTTTTCATATAATTATGAACTCATATATTTAAACATATCTAATGTGTTTCAAGACAGTGCAGTTACTATCCTTTTTGATATTCAAACTGTCCTATCTTGACATGACCCTAGTAATCTTTGACTGCTTCTTTGCTGTCTGGTATCACAAGATGTATTTCCTGCTCCAACTGGGGAATGAGCCACCTCTCCAAGAAGCTCTTGATCTTTTTTTCATGGGAAGAGGTGCCTGGAAACTGCAATGTGGTGCTAGTGGTATTCATGTTCCTTGTTTGGTCATTGTTTCTAGATTTATTCAATGGACAGAGTTAGATTTTATTTTATTTGGTTTATTTTTATTTTTTGAGACAGGGTCTCTCTCTCTCTTTGTTGCCTAGTCTGGAGTGCAGTGGCATAAACACAGCTCACTGCAGCCTCAACCTCCTGGGCTCAAGCAGTGCTCTTATGTCAGCCTCCCAACTAGCTGGGACTACAGGCGCACACCACCATGCCCAACTAACTTTAAAATTTTTTTTTCTAGAGATAGGGTCTCCCTATGTTGCCCAGGCTGGTCTCGAACTCCTGGGCTCAAGCATTCCTCCCGTCTTGGCATCTCAAAGTGCTGGGATTACAGGCATGAGCCACTACACCTGACCTAGATTTTATTTTAATTTTAAAGAAAAATATGTCATGAGTTCATACTGATATTTCTAATTCAGATTTAAGACTACAGTTTTTACTTCTGTCTTCTGTCTGTATCTTTTTTCTGTCAACAACAATAAGATTTATAAAGACTGTTAACTGTATTTTTCAGAGTTTTGTTTTTGTCTGTAGGATATGTCCCATTGACAAGATAGAGCCAAATTACTGTGTTTCAAGTCACTTGAAAATAGTCTTTTGTGTGGTTATGCTACTAACTTGATGTAAATTTAGATTCATTTATTTTATTTCATTTTCAAAATAGTTGTTGCTAAAAGAAGATATCTTCAAATAACTCTAGTTTCTTTCTCTGTTCCTTGTATCCTGTTCTCACCGTTAAAACTTTATTTTCCATCATTGTGTCTTTGTGTGTTTTTTGTGTGTTTTTTGGGAGAGGATCTCACTCTGTTGCCCAGGTTAGAGTGCGGTGGCACCATCATGACTCACTGCAGACTTGACGTCCCGGGCTCAGGTGATCCTTCCACCTCAGCCTCCCCAGCAACTGGGACCACAGGCGCATGACACCATGCCTAATTTTTTATTTCTTGTAGAGATGGGGTCTTGCCATGTTGTGCAGGCCGGTATCAAACTCCTGGGCTCAGGTGATGCTTCCACCTTGACTTCCCAAAGTTCTGGGATTACAGGCATGAGCCACCGCACCCAGCCATCATTGTTTTTTATAAACATTTATGTCTGTCTATATCTATTTAATTCCCCTTTTTTTGATATACATACTTTTCCCAACTTTGCTTTTTTCACTTAACAGTATACTGTGGAAATCATTGCATAGCAGAATTAGGGTAGTCTTCATTTTTATTTTTAAAGTGTCATAGTATCCTGTAGTGTGGATACACCATGGTTTACTGAATCTGTCCCATATTGATGAATGTTTGGATAGTTTCCAGTCTCTTGTAGTGAATAATTTTTGCATGTCTTTTCATAATTTTACTTGTATATCTTGGGGATAGATTCCTAAGTATATTCTTAAGAGTACACATTTTTTCCTGCTTATTTGAGATACTGCTTGGCTCATATATGTGTAATTGAGTCTATTTTGGATTTTAAATTTTAACAGCTCTATTGATATCTCATTCTGTATAATTCACTCATTTGAAGTGTATATTACATTGATTTTGTAATAGCTACAGGTTTGTGCACCCATCACCACAGTAAATTTTAAAACATTTTCATCACCTCCAAAAGAACTCTTTACCTTTTAGCTATTATACCACCCTCCATACCCACCCCAACCTAGTCCTAAGCTACCACTATTCTACTTCTTATCTTTATAGATTTACCTATTGTAGACATTTCTTATAAATTGAACCATATAACATGTAGCCTCTTGTGACTAGCTTCATTGAACTATGATATTTTCAAGGTTAATCTATGTTATAGCATGTATCAGCCATTCGTATTTATGGATGAGTAAAATTCTGTTGTATGCATAT
Organism: Homo sapiens; assembly: GCF_000001405.40. NCBI lineage: Eukaryota > Metazoa > Chordata > Mammalia > Primates > Hominidae > Homo > Homo sapiens. The sequence goes on along the minus strand of NC_000003.12, from coordinate 33,705,185 downwards.
ACTACATTTTGTTTATCTGTGCATCAGTTGGTGGACATGTGGGCTGTTTCCACCTTTGACTATTGTGAATAATGCTGCAGTGAACATTGACGTACAAGTATGTATGGCTGTATCTGTTTGAGTCACTTCCTTTGGGTATATACCTAAGAGTGGAATTCCTGGGCCATGTGGTAAATTTATGTTTAACTTTAGGAGGAACTGCCAAACTGTTTTCTTCAATGGCTGCACCATTTTACATTCCCACCACCAGCATATAAGGGTTCCAATCACTCTACGTCCTTACCAACATTTGACATTTTCCATTTTCCTAGTAGGTGTGAGGTAGTATCTTATTGTGGTTTTGATTTGCATTTCTTTAATGACTAATAATGTTGAGCATCTTTTCATGTGCTTATAAGCCATTCATATATATATATATGTATATATATATTTTTAGACTGCGTCTCCATCTGTCACCCAAGCTGGAGTGCAGTGGTGCAATCTCGGCTCACTGCAACCTCCACCTCCCAGGTTCAAGTGATTCTCCTGCCTCAGCCTCCCAAGTAGCTGGGACTACAGGCGCGTGCCACCATGCCCAGCTAATTTTTTATATTTTTATTAGAGATGGGGTTTCACCGTGTTAGCCAGGATGGTCTCGATCTCCTGACCTCAGGTGATCCACCCGCTTTGGCCTCTCAAAGTGCTGGGATTACAGGCATGAGCCACTGTGCCTGGCTGCCATTTGTATATCTTATTTGGAGAAATGCCTATTCAAGTTCTTTGCCCATTTTTGTTTTTTAATAGGTTTTATTTTTTTAGAGCAGTTTTAGGTTCACAGTAAAATTGAGTAAGAGAGACAGATTTCTCATATGTCCGCCTGCTTCTGCATAATGCACAGCCTCCTCCACTGTCAGCATCCCCTACCAGAGTGATACACTTGTTATAATTGATGAGCCTACATTCACACATCATTATCACTCAAGGTCCACAGTTTACATTAGGCTTCACTCTAAGTGTTGTACATGCTATAGGTTTTGATAAATATACTTAACATTATAGTATTATGCAGAATAGTTTTACTGCCCTAAAAATCCTCTGTGCTCTCCCTAAAACTTCCTCCTTCCCCAATCCCTGGCAGTCACTGATCCTTTTACCATCTCCATAGTTTTGCCTTTTCCAAATGTCATGCAGTTTGACTCCAACAGTATGAAGCGTTTTCAGGCTAACTTCTTTCACTTAATAGCATACATTTAAGATTCTTTCATGTCTTATTCATGCCTTGATAGCTCATTTCCTTTTAGTGCTGAATACTATTCCATTGTCTGAATGTACTACATATTTATCCATTCACCTACTGAGGGACATCTTGGTTGCTTTCAAGTTTGCCAACTGTGAATAAAGTTGCTTTAAACATGAGTGTGGGCTGGGCATGGTGGTGCATGCCTGTAATCCCAGCCCTTTGGGAGGCCAAGGCCAGTGGATTGCTTGAGTCCAGGAGTTCAAGACCAGCTTGGGCAACGTGGTGAAACCCTGCCTCTGCAAAAAACAAAAACAAAAAATATGAGTGTGTAGGTGTTTTATGGACATCAATTTTCAACTCCTTTGGCTAAATACCAAGGAACATGAATGATCATTGGATCATATGGGGGAAAGTATATATAGCTTTGTAAGAAACTGCCAAAATAACTGTACTGTTTTGCATTCCCACCAGTAGTGAATGAGAGTTCCTCTCTCTCCCTACCTTTGTCAGCACTTAGTGTTGTCGGTGAATTGGGTTATGGCCATTTTAATAGGTGTGTAGTGCTATCATAATTTTATTTGCAATTCCTAATGACATACGATGTTGAGAATCTCTTCATGTGCTTATTTGCTGTTTATATATCTTACATCTTTTTTGGTGAGGCACTGTTTGGATCTTTTGCCCATTTTTTGAGTTGTTTATTTTCTTGTTGTTGAGTTTTAAGAGTTCTTTGTATATTTTGCATTACAGTCTTTTATCAGATGTGTATTTTGCAAATATTTTCCCCCAGTCTGTGGTTTGTTTTCCCATTCTGTAGACATCTTCCATAGAACAGAAGTTTTTAATTTTAGTGAAGCCCATCTTAACAGTTATTTCTTTCATGGACCATGCCTTTGGTGTCATATCTAAAAAGACATTGCCACATCAAGGTCAATTAGATTTTTTCTTATGTTATTTTCTAGGAGTTTTATATTTTACATTTAGTTTTATGATCCTTTGAGTTAATTTTTGGTGAAGGGCATAAGGTCTCTGTCTAGATTAATGTTTTGCATGTGGATCTCAGTTGTTGCAGTACCATTTGTTGAAAAGACTATCTTTTCTTCATTATATTGCCTTTGCTTTTTTGTGAGAGATCATTTGATTGTATTCATGTGAGTGTATTTCCAGACTTTCTATTCTTTTCTGTTTGCTCATTTTAAAAAATGGGTTATTTGTCCTTTTACTATTACGTTGTAAAAGTTCTTATGGATACAAGTCCCTTAACAGATATATGTTTTACAATTATTTTCCCCTATTCTGTTGGTTGTCTTTTCACTTTCTTCATCGTGTTTTTTTGAAGACTAGGTGTTTTTAGTTTTGATAAACTCTAATTCTTTTTTTGTTTGTTGTTTATGCTTTTTATGTCCTGTCTAAGAAACCATGGCCAAGGTCACAATGATTTACCCTATGTTTTCTTCTAATAACTATAGAGTTTTAGCTCTTACATTTAGGTTTATGATTCATTTTGAGTTAATTTTTATGTATGGTGTGAGGTAGTGGTCCGCATTCATCCAGTTGTCCTAGTACCATATGTTGAATCATTCCCCCATTGAATGGTCTTGACACCCTTGTTGAAAATCAGTTGCCCATACAAATGTATGGGTTTATTTCTGGACTCTGAGTTCTATTTCATTAATTTATATTTCTCTTCTTGTGCCATTGTCACACTGTCTTGATTACAGAAGCTTTGTAGGATGTTTTGAAATTGGGAAATTTGAGTCTTCCAACTTTTTCTTTTTCAAGCTTGTTTTGACAATTCTGGGCCCCTTGAATTTTCATATGAATTTTAGAATAGGCTTCTTAAACTCTACAGTGAACCCAGTTGGCTATCAGATAAGTATTTTGCAAATATTTTCTCTTAATCTGTGACTGGGTTTTTCATTTTCTTAGCCATGTCTTTTAAACAGCAGAAGTTCTTAGTGAAGTCTGCTTTATCAATTTTTAAAATTTTATGTTGTCTCCAAGAATCTTTTATGTTTTTTTCTTTTATGTTTCTTTTCATGTTGTCTCTAAGAATTATTTGTGTACTCCAGGTGTAAAGATTTTCTCCTGTGTTTTCTTCTAGTAGTTTTATAGTTTTAGGTTTTATGTTTATATCTCATACATTTTTGAGTTGATTTTTGTAAATGATGTGATGTATAGGTTGAGGTTCATTTTTTATTTTGCACATGGATATCCAATTGTAACATCACCATTTATTGAAAAAGTATATTTCTTTCCTTCATTGAATTGCCTTTGCACAGTTGTTGGAGATCAGTTGACTATATATGTGTATGTCTATTTTTGGACTGCCTCTTCTGTTTCATTGATCTATATATTTGTTTGTTCTTTTGAGACAGGGTATTACTCTGTTACCCAGGCTGGAGTGCAGTGGTGCATTCATAGGTCACTACAGCTTCAAACTTTTGGGCTCAAGCAATCCTCCTGCTTCAGCCTCTTGAGTAACTGGTATTATATGCCTGTGCCACCATGGCCAGCTACTTTTAAAATTTTTTGTAGAGACAGGTTCTCGCTATGTTGCCCAGGCAGGTCTCCAGCGATCCTCTTGTCTCAGCCTCCAGAAGTGCTGGGATTACAGGCATGTGCCTCTTACAGCCCCCACATTGTCTTGATTACTGTAGGTTTATATTAAGTCTTCAAATCAGATAATTGCACTGTAACTTCATTTTTCTTACTCAATATTGATATGAGTATTCTAATTCATTTACCTTTCTATATACATTTCAGGATCAGCTTGTCGATTTCTGCATCAAATTCTACTGGAATTTTGATTGGGATTGCATTCACACAAGAACAATTTGTGGGGTTTCAAATCTTTATAATATTAAGTTGTCCAATTCATGAACTTGGTGTATATATGTATGTGTATGTGTGTATATACCATTTATTTAGCTCTTTTTCTATCACTTTCATTAGCATTTTGTGATTTCAGCATGTAGATCTTGGACTTAATTGTTAGAATTATATCTAAGTATTTTGTGATTGTTGTTAGTTTTGTAAATGATACAGTATTTTGAAAATTCCCAATTGTTGAGTGCTGGTCTGTAGGAACACAGTTTGTTTTGTTTTATTTTTTTGAGACGGAGTTTCACTCTTGTCACCCAGGCTAGAGTGCAATGGCGCGATCTCAGCTCACTGTAACCTCTGCCTCCCAGGTTCAAATGATTCTCCTGCCTCGGCCTCCCGAGTAGCTGGGATTACAGGCACCCACCACCACACCTGGCTAATTTTTTTTGTATTTTTTAGTAGAGACAGAGTTTTACCATGTTGGTTGGGCTGGTCTCGAACTCCTGACCTCAGGTGATCTGCCTGCCTCACCCTCCCAAAGTGCTGGGATTACAGGCATGAGCCACCGCACCTGGCCCACAATTGATTTTTTTATAGTGACCTTTTATCTCATGACTTTACTAAACTCAATAGACCTAGTATTTGTTTTAGAGTGTCAGTTAGTTTTTAGAGTAATTAAATACATATATTTTTAAGGTTTTTTTGTTTGTTTGTTTGAGACAGTGTCTTGCTTTGTTGCCAGCTGGAGTGCAGTGACACAATCTCAGCTCACTGCAACCTCTGCCTTCCAAGTTCAGATGATTCTCGTGCCTCAGCCTCCTGAGTAGCTGGGATTACAGGTATGTGCCACCACACCCAGCTAATTTTTGTATTTTTAGTAGAGATGGGGTTTTGCCATGCTGGCCAGGCTGGTCTCGAACTCCTGACCTCAGGTGATCTTCCTGCCTTCCAAAGTGCTGGGGTTACAGGCATGAGCCACTGTTCCCAGCTTATTTTTAAGGTTTTAAATATTTATTTTAATTTCAACTATTTCCTGTTATTTCTTAGTGTAGATCTAAGTTTTTGTCTGCTGTCATGTATTTTTTTCCCTGAAGATTTTCCCTTAACATTTCTTGTGATACAGGTCTCTTGTAATGAATTCTATTAGATTTTGTTTGTTTGAAAAACTTTTTATTTCTCCTTTAGTTTTAAAATGTCTTTTAAAATATCTTTTATTTTAACTAGGTATAGAATTATGAAGCGACAGCATTCTTTTTTTTTTTTTTTTTGGTAGTACAATAATCTGTGGTTTTGCTTTCTACGGTTTCACTTACCTGTGGTCAGTTGTAGTCCCAAAGCAGGTAAGTACAATATAAATTTTAAGAGAGACAAGACACACGTAACTTTTGTTATAGTATATTGTTATGGTTATTATACTTTATTATTGTTAATCTTTTACTGTGCCAAATTTATAAATTAAACTTTATCATAGGTATATATTTGTAGGAAAATTTATATATAGGTCTCAGTACTGTCTGTGGTTTCAGGTATCCACTGGGGTCTTGGGATGTATTACTTAAACAGATAAGGGGGGACTACTATACTGTAACAATGTCATTCCATTGTCTCCTTACTCTCATACTTTTTGGCCGGAAATCTTCTGTACTTGTGTATTTAATGTCCTTTTGTTTTTTTCTCATTGACTTTAAGATTTTTCTTTCCTTTGGTTTTAACAGTTTGAATAGGATGTGTCTTGGTGTTTTTTGGAATTTTCTGTTTGGGGGTTTTCTGAGACTTAGATGTATGGTTTGATGCCTTTCATTATTTTTCCTATATTCTTGGCCATTTTCCCTCCAAATATTTCTTCTACCTTGTTCTCTCTTCTAGAATTCCTATGACATTATGTTGGGCAATTTAGTATTATCCCACTGCTCTTGAATGCTTTGTCTCTCCCCTTCCCTTTTTGTTCCTTTTTGTATTTCAATTTGAGTAATTTGTATGAACGTATTTTCAGATTCCCTGATTCTTTCCTTCTCTGTATCAAATCTTTTGATGAACCCATCAAAGGCATCTTAATCACTTTTACCTTGCTTTTAATGCATTTAAAAAATTATTTGTATTTTGACTCTGCCTTAAAGTTTTGGTCTCTCTGCTGGAATTCCTTTTATTCCTGCATGTTGTTGGCTCTTTTAACTAGAACATTTACTACATTAATCACAGTTATTTAAATGGTCTGATAATTCCAGCTTTCAGATTATCTATGTATTTTGTTCCATGCTTTATTCTTGATATTGGTATTTATCCCTCCTTGCTTTTTTGTGTGTCTCATAATGTGTGGTTGAAAACTGGACAGTGTTTAAGATGTTTAAGAGCAAGTTAAATAGTACTTATGCCTGGAGATGACATGCCTTTTTTCTGCTAAACTTACATATAGTGTGGAGCTATGCAGTCAGTCTAGTCAGGAGTTGAGTTAGGTTTCAATGTTATGATTGCTATAGTTGCTTTAGTTCATATTTGCTTCAGTTTTTTTGTCACTTGGTTAATTTTATGAAGGGTTTTCCTCAAGTTTCTACTCAACTCTGCACTTTAGGTTTTCCCTATTTTCTTGTGCTTCATAGAGGATTCTTCTTCGTGTTCTTGCCCCTTCCCCACTGGTAGACTGCTGTTGCTTCTTATTTCATGCTTGCTGGTCTGGTTGGGGGAAACAGCGTCATTCTTTGTTTTTCTGGTCTAGCTTCAGTCTTAGGAAGCTTTTTGTTCTGAGTCTTGGGGTAAGGCTTTATAAAGACCATGGCTTTCCCCAACTAGAGACCTTTAATTATATGGGCCCCAGGATGTTTTTCTGCTCCTTCCTCTGGGGTAGAAGGCTTTTTATCTTTTTCCTCTCCTTAATAGCATTGAGTTTTACCTGTGCCTTAGGCGTAACAGTGTTTGATATCCTTCACTGAGGAGCTTCAAACTTTTATTTCTTAGCTTCAAGCTTTTGTTTCTTACGGGACAAGGGTACTAGGAGCCTTTGTGCCTTTCCTGCACAGGCAGCGGTTTCCTTCCCCCAGGACTGTACCACCAAGAGATACTTTATCCAATATCCTTCTCAGCCCTTAGTCTTAAGAGTGTCCAGTGGAGGTTTGTGGAGAAAGAGCTTGCAAGTAGGTGTGAACTAGAGCCTGTAAGTAGGTATGAGTTCTCCTTGTGTCTGTGGCTAGTTGTGTTTTCATGCTAGCCCACACTCAGTTGTAAATAGTTTTGTTAAGTATAACTGACTTCTTCTTACCCACTTACATCATGGGTTTATTTTCCTCCTGTCCTCTGTCACATGTGACCTACTGCCTGTGTCCCATGTCTTTGTTTAGATTTCAGGTTAGTTGGTTATTCTCCAGCCTTAGCTTTTTGATGGATTCAAGAACAGTCATGATTTTGTAGACCCAGTGGGCTTTTTCTTGTTAGAATGAGAGGGATATTCTTTCCAGTTTCTACATCCCAGACAGAAGATGAAATTCCTCTGTAATTAAAGAGGCCTACATTTTTAACTGTTACATTTAGGAAACATTTCAAAGTTACAAATATAGTTATGCATACCACATAACAACATTGTGGTCAATGATGGACTGTATATACAATGGTGGTCCCATAAGATTATAATAAAGCTGAAAAATTCCTATTGCCTGGTGACGTCATAATTGTTGCAATGTTGTGCTTGCATTACCTTTTTATGTTTAGGTACGCAAATACCATTGTATTATCAGTTGCCTAGAGTATTTTGCACAGTAACATACTGTACAGGTAGTAGCCTAGGAGCAATAGGATATACCATATAGCTTAGGTTTGTAGTAGGCTATACTGTCTAGGTGTAAATGCACTCTGATGTTTGCACAATAACAAAATTACCTGATGATACATTTGTTAGAATTTATCCCTGTCATTAAGTGATGCATGACTGTAGAGTCAGTAAACTCCTGTGTGACCTTTGTCTAATTTACTAGTTAGCATTGTGCCAAATATGCTTTATTGCTATCTTCCTGTTTACACGTTATTATTGTTGTTTTTATTGTTGAATCATTTGAGATTAGGGTGCTTAACCTCATGACTGTTTACCCTTGAATACTTAAATCTCATTTTTAAAAAATGTAATATATTTATGAAGATCTTTTATATGTCAAAAATTAAATACTGATATTAAAGTATGCATCAGTAATTTATATTCATTAAAATCCCTTTTTATCTGTAGGTATCATTAATGGGATTGGAAATTTTAAGTGCCTTTGTGGACAGATTATCAACACGCTTTAAATCCTATGTAGCAATGGGTAAGTTAACTTTGTTTATTTACAATTCTAAATAAGATTTGACATGATGACTTTTTTCGTTAGTTTTTATTTAGCAGAAATAGTTCTCTGTAAATTAAAAAAATGTAATTTCTGTAATCCCAGCACTTTGGGAGGCCGAGGCAGGCAGATCACCAAAGGTCAGAAGTTTGAGACCAGCCTGGCCAACATGGCAAAACCGTGTCTCTACAAAAAATACAAAAATTAGCCAGGTGTGATGGCGTGTGCCTGTAATCCCAGCTACTTGGGAGGCTGAGGCAGGAGAATCTCTTGAACCTAGGAGGTGGAGGTTGCAGTGAGCTGAGATCATGCCACTGCACTCCAGCCTGGGTGACAGAGCAAGACTCTGTCTCAAAAAAAAAAAAAAAAGTAATGTTATGTAACCCAGAGATCTGCTACTTAGCATTTCAGTTTACCCAGAGACAAGGTTTTAAACTTACTTAAATCACCTTTGAGGCAAAAAAAAAAAAAAAAAAAAAAAAAGAAAGAAAGAAAATTGTTTTTACTGGATCTTTTACTATTTTGTGAAATGCCACAATTTGTAATATAACTTACAGTGCCATGTTTCAGACTATTTATGGGGAAGGATCAGTTTCTTCATTGCCAGCATGTTGCAGACCAATATTTTATAAAATACAATAAGAATAAATTATAGCAAAATTAAATGAAAAAAAAAACAAGACCCAATTTTTTATCATTAGATGCAACAAACAAAATTTCTTTGGTCAAATTGCTTTAAAAACATTTTCTAAGTACTCTAAATTTCCTTATCATAGACAGTCTGTAGATTGATCCTAGGCTGTAGATCATACTTTGAATAGCACTTACTTACAGTGTGTTTGTAGTACAGTGCATATGGTAGGATAATGCTCTTCTTTGTATGGTTATTAGGATTACAAAGTTGGCTCTGACTTATTTTCTAAACCCAAATGACCTTCATGTACCTTTAGAGTATGTTATAAGTGGATTTGATCCTATTATATAGCAGCATTATATAGCATATAGAAGGGTAGCCTCAGATGTTAGTGATTTTCTTTGCTTTTTTCTTTTGTATTTTAAAATAGAGATGGGGTGTTGTTATGTTACCCAGGCTGGTCTTGAATTCCTGGGCTCAAGCAGTCCTCTCACCTCGGCCTCCCAAAGTGTTAGCATTATAGGCATGAACCACCATGCCTGGCCAGTGATTTTCTTTTGTGGATTAAGTTAATGCCTCCTAATATCAGTATATCATCACATTTAACTTTTTGATATGTTTGGTTAACTTTTTTCTTCATGTTTGGTATGCTACCTACCATTCTGTCAGTTTTTTCTTTTATTTTCTAGTTATCTTTTCAACAGAAGCATCTGATGGGGTTTCCTATCTTTATTATTTAGTTTTAATCAACACCAGGTTCCACTTCATCCTTTGTGTTAATATTTTCTGAAAAGATTTTTTTTTTTAAGCTGTTAGTCTCCCCTTACAACTCTATAGTAGGCCCATGGACTCACTGGCTCACACCTGTAATCCCAACAGTTTAGGAGGCTAAGGTAGGAGGATTGCTTGAGGACAGGAGTTTGAGACCAGCCTGGGCAATAGAGTGAGACCATGTTTCTACCAAAAAAAAAAAAAAAAAAAATTAGCAGGCTTACTGGTGTGTGCCTGTAGTCCTAGCTACTCTGAAGGCTGAGATGGGAGGTTGGGCCCAGGATTTCAAGGTTACAATGAACTAAGATTGCACCACCAAGCCCTGGGCAACAGAGTAAACCTCTATCTCTTTAAAAAAAAAAAAAAAACTATAGTAGATATTGAAAACTGCTCTGCAAGTATTTTACTTGTTTATGTTTTGTTTCTTTCTTTCTCTCACTGTCTCTGTCTGTCTCTTTATTTTCTTTCCTTCCTTTGTTTTTCTTTTTTGAGATGGGATCTTGCTCTGTCACCCAGGCTGGAGTGCAGTAGTATGATCGTGGCTCACTGCAGCCTCAGCCTCCTCAACACTCAAGTGATCCTCCCACCTCAGCCTCCTGAGTAGCTGGGACCACAGGTGTGAGCCACCATGCCCAGCCTGTATTTTCTTAAAATATTTTGAATCAGTGTTTAAAATTGAGAAGTTTTACATGAAAATTCTTATTTCTGGCTTGTCTCAAGAAATTGCCTAATGTAGTGATGCTGATCAGAAGTTGCTTTGTAGTTTCTCCTGTGTCTAGGTGATGATCTTTCCAATTCGTAAAACCTCCTCCACCCCCAAAATCCTCTTGTCTCTTCGTAACTGAGAAAGTTAGGTATGATATGGTAAGGTTGGAATACTGCACTTCTTAAACTGGCTCAATTTCAGCATTTCCTGTGTCTCCTTGACCATAAACATTTGTGTTTGTGACTGTTGCCCTGTAGTAGCTCCCTGTTATTAATTGCTACAGAGAAAATTTAGACTTAAGAATAGTTCTAGGTATTATGTATCTCACTTATTTTTCAGACACCAGGAGTACCACATGGGGTTTTATGTACTGACTACACTCATATTGAGGCAATGGGAATATTGGAACCAGAATTCTAGTTTGACTCCCAACACTGCCCTCCTTTCAGAACTTAATTCTCTTAAGCTGTCTTTTACCATATATGTTCCTTCTCCATCTCAGTAGACTTTTTCTTTGTAATCTTTAGCAAGTACTTTGTCTTCACTCTAAGCTAATCAGAAACTTGCTCACTCTTTCTAGGCCTAGCTGAACTTGTTTGTGCATCTGCTGTGCCCTTATTTCGTTTTGAAATCTTCCCCTCTTCTCCATGGTCCTTTCTTTCCCTTCTAAAAATGTACTTCAGATTTGAGAATCTCAGGAATTTTCAGGTTAACCTCACCCCACATTGAATTTTTCTTTACTCTGTGATTCTTAATACAGTTAAATACTTAATAAATTACATTAACTTACTTTTGTTGGTTAGTGTTTTTCATTTGTATTTGTGCAACTAGATGGCACATGTTCACACACTCTTATGTATGTATAGTTTTTCCTTTTAATCTCCTATTCTTTCTGTTATCCCTGTGCATTTACTGTCAGTCAATATTGTTTTCACTTTGAATCATAAGTGCTCATCATTTTCCTTAATGAAACTTGAACTTGTTATTACTTTAGGGTAATATACAGTGTGGTATAATAGGAAAATTTTATCACAGCTTTGCTATCAATTAATTGAATGCCTACTTTTTACCCATTTTTGCCTATTTACCTTTTACCCTTTTACTACTTTACATACATGAAAGATTATCCTCACTTCATTTCTAATTTGTAGAACAGCTCTGCAAGATTGGCAGCATACCTATGTGCTCTTAGAGAGGTATGGAACTGGACTAAGAGTCCCAGAGTTAGCTTTTTGGTTTTATCTGTGTTACAGAACTTAGCCAGATCTCTTTAGGAGTCTTTCTGTAAAAGGAAGGAGTTGAATTGAATTATGTCTGGAAGGTTTTTTGATAATCTAACTGTAGATATATATAACTTGATTTGAGAGATAATGTTTAGTTTTGGTGCACTCGGGTTATTAGTTATCATTACATGTATTTTTAATATTCTTTTACGTTAAAAGTGAGAAGTGTTTTAGGAAAATTGAGATTCATTTTTGGTTTTAGATACAGTTCCAAAAAGAGTATGAGCTCTATTAATGTAATTCTTAAATATATGATCTATATACATAGTATTAATAATAGAAAATATTTGTTTCCTTTTGTGACCACATATATTGTGGAAAAATATAATTTTCAAACAAAAAATATGCAATTTACATTTAATATTGATCACCAGCCCTGGTTTTATAACTGATTCAGTAAAGGATCTCATATCTTATAAATTTTGTAAACTATTTTAAAATTTTAAACAATTTTAACCCAAAATGTTATTGTAGAAGGAATACAAGAATAATTAGGCTACCCGGTTATCACTTTTTTAGAATGGTTTGCATCTTGTACGAAGCTAAAAGAAAAAAAAATACTAAGAGTTACGTTTCAGACTTCTTCCATGTGTCATTGTCCAAATTCCAGTCTGTGATAGATTGATTCATTTGTTTAACACATTCATATGGAGAGCCTATTGAGTGAAAAATTCTGTTCTGGATACCCAATAAATATTTGTTGAATATTCATCATATTAAATGATAATTCAATGATCATGGGCTTGGTACAGGTGCTTTTTCCTTATTTTACTTCATCCTGTCACTAGTCATGTGAGGTATAGTTCTGTCATCCTTCCGTATTTTACAGACAAGGAAACTTTGAAGTTCAGGGAATTTTCTGTTTTGTAATTAGTAACTGGTAGAGTTAGGAATACAGTCTTGTTCTATTTGACTTCAAGGTAGTATGTGTTAAAAAGCGATCCAGTGCAAAAACAGTATGAATTTCTTGTTTAAATTATTAGCTGTAATAATTTTATGTAATGTGAAGTTTTTTGTTTTTGTTTATGTTTCGTAAAATGGTTTTTAATATTAAAGTGAGCCCCTGTTTGGGCCAACATTTGAATTTTCTTGTTGGAGTTAAATTTCACCTCTCAGGAATGAAGTGTCTTTTCTTTTTCCATTATTGTTATATGGTTGTTAAAATATGCACACACACTCAAACACCTCAAATTATAAGTAAATGGAAAATGGAGATGGTTATGACTTTGATCACACATTGTATAGATATTTATTTATTTATTTATTATTTTTTTGAGACACTGTCTTACTCTGTTGCCTAGATTGGAGTGCAGTGGTGTGATCTTAGCTTACTGCAGCCTCTGCCTCCTGGGCTCAAACCATCCTCCCACCACAGCCTCCCAAGTAGCTGGGCTACAGACACGCATCATCACGCTCGGCTAATTTTTATAGTTTTAGTGGAGATGGGATTTTGTCATTTTGGCCAGGCTGATCTCAAACTCCTGGCCCCAAGTGATCCACTTGCCTTGGCCTCCCAAAGTGCTGGGATTACAGGTGAGAGCCACTGCACCTGGCCAGTATAAATTATTAAAAACCTGGTTTCACTACTTGTTGTTTGCATGACCTTGGATAAGTTATTTAATCCTGCTGTGCCTTCTCTATCAAATGGGCCTACTCTGTTTCATAGGACTGTTGCAAGGATTAAATGAGATAATTCAGTGGTTAGTGCATAATAATATCTAACATTTGTTAAGTGTTTACTATTGTCTTCTGCCTTTCAGAAGCTATCAGAACCAGAAGCCCATAATGGCCAACCTTATAGATGTTGATAAATTCTTCTAGTGTTAACAGTACATCCAAGATGTATGAGAAGAATTTATATTGTTCCTATTGATGAACGTTGCCTCATAATTAGACTTATGATTCTTATGTTGAGGACATTGATTTCTTACACAATCATTTCTGTGATTAAGCTTAATATCTTTCCATTTGGCATGTTGCCTTCTCACTCTAGTCATTTTTTTTCCCAAAAAGAATGTAATTTCTTTTTTCTTTAACTCTTGTTCATTACTATATCAGTTTTGGTTATTACATTATAGATAATAGATTGGCTTCAAATTATATACACATTTAATTATATGTGTCTATAAATAAACCAGGGAAATATTTTTCTTGATCTGTTTCTTTCTCCTTCCCTTGTTTAAACTAGACTTAGTCCTCCGTTGATTCAGAGAAAGAAAAGCTATGTAGTAGTCCCCCATTATCTTCAGGGGCTGTGTTCCAAGACCCCCAGTGGATTCCTGAAGCCTCCGATAGTCCAAACCAGTCCATGACCTGTTAGGAACTGGGCTGCATAGCAGGAGATGAGTGGCCAGCAAGTGAGCATTACCACCTGAGCTCTGCCTCCTGTCACATCAGCCACAGCATTCGATTCTCAAAGGAGCACGAACCCTATTGTGAACTGTGCATATTGAGGGATCTAGATTGTGCACTCTTTATGATGCCTGATCCCAAAACCATCCTCCCCACCCCCTGCCACTGTGGAAAAATTGTCTTCCACAGAACCAATCCCTGATGCCAAGAAGACTGGGGACTGCTGCTATACATGCGATGTGTTTTTGATCTGATAACCAAAACAGCTACTAAGGGACTAATAGGCAGGTAGCATGAACAGTGCGGGTATGTTGGACAAAGGAAGGATTCACATCCCATACCGAATGGAGCGGGACAGTCCAAGAATTCATCATGCTACTCAGAATGGTGCACAATTTAAAACTTATGAGTTGTTTATTTCTAGAATTCTCCATATAATATTTTCAGACCACAGTTGGCCATGGGTAACTGAAACCACAGAAAGTAAAGCTGTGGATAAGGGGGGACTACTGTATAGCTGTAATATCAAAAGAGAAACAAGGCAAATTTTCTTGCTTTTGAACATGCAGAATGATGATAGTGATAGTGATAGTAGGTGGCATATTATAGAAAGTGCTTACTCTGTGCCCTTTACTCTTTGAGTTGTTTATGTGTATTATTTTTTAATTTTCAATAATCCTCTGAGATGAGTACTGCTACCCACATTTACGGCTGAGGAAATAGACAAAAGGTGTCTAAAAAATAGACATTTGGTCACACACCTAGTACGACCACACTAAATGGTAGTGGTAATTTAAGGGATTACAGGAAGATAATTTTGACTATGAGATACTTTGGCCCTATGAACTGACTTTAGAACCTGTTCCCTTTGAATTCTACTTCCTCCTTGTCCCCTCGTCTATACATTTCTCTGAGAAAAATAATATTTAGTTTTGCTGTTTTTTTAACATTATTATAAGGAGATATCATGCTGCATGTATTCTTGTGAAACTGCTCAGTTATTTTTTATTGGATTCATGTGTAAAGAACTTAAAACAATTTCTTTACCTCACAACTCTTCATTTATGGAAACAATTGCTATTTGTAATTTTGAAAAATATAGTTTTTAATGGAGATGAGTTATAAGTAATTACTCTTTTACTCCCTCCCCTTCTTTAGTTATTGTAGCTTTAATAGACAGAATGGGAGATGCCAAAGACAAGGTTCGAGATGAAGCTCAGACTCTGATATTGAAGTTAATGGATCAAGTAGCACCACCTATGGTAAGCCTACATTTTAAAATTCAGATTTTGCTAATGGTAATCACAGGAAATCATTAAAGCCACAGCAAGCATGAACACTGAAATTTTAAGCAATGATTTGTTGCTAATACTGTTAAGAAGTTGATATTTAAGATACAGTGTCAATGTTTGACTTTCTGGTTTTTTGCTTCTGATTCTTATTTTGTACTCTTAATGCTTTTTTTTTAAAAGCTAACTAATAGATTTCAGTGATTTGACAGTATACGGATTATGTTATACTTTAGGATTTTTTGGTTTCTCTTTTTTGTAAATTATAAAATGTTTATTGAGAAAGCTTATTTTGAGAACACTGAATGCTATATTGTTCATTTCTGCAACTCCTACAGAGAGCAGAAGAAAATTTTTTCACAGGTGGTTACTATGTTTTCCCAAATATTTTATATTTCAGAACTAATTTTTTTTTTTTTAAATATTGTGGTGGGTATCCTTCCACTCTCGTTTATTCATTTACATTTTAGGTTGTTTTTGGCTTTCTGTGACTACAAACAGTACCATAAGGGGCATCCCTTGTACTTCTATCTTTGAACATAAATATAGGTATTTATATGGAATAGCATTCCTGAGGTAGTATTGGTGAGTCAGGTTACTCACATTTAAGATTTTTTTTTTTTTTGTAATTTCTTAAGCCACCTTCTTGAAAGTTTGGTAGGGAGAGAGAAATATATTAATAGAACTGAATACAGACTCCAGAAAGAATACTGAGTACCGAAAGAGGATGGCTGTGTATGTTGTATATTTGAATTTAGTAAAGGGTAAAGGTGGTGTTTCCAAATGTGGAGAAAGGATTGATTGGTACAGTTGGCTTTACGTTTGTAAAAATAAAGTTGGATTTCTTGTTACGCCCAGAATAATTGGTTTAGATTATTTGTATAGGTTTATCTATGCTTTTTCTAACAGAAAAGTGTGGTAGGTAGCTATAAAATGAATTGCCCAAATACGTCTCTGAATTTGGATCCAGCATTAAAAGGAAAAAAGTCTGAATTATAAAATGTCCAAAAAAAAAGCGCCTGTTCCATGTGAGTCTATATTAGTTGCTAGGCAATGTTGGACCACTTAAATACTTACTGGACTGCTGGACTTATAATGGCAGCATTGTTATTGAAGGTTTCTTAATTATAGAAGAAATCCTGTGTCCTTGGAAATTCTAAGGTTTTCAGTTGTTGGACATGGTTCTTCTGAGAATATCAAAATCTAAAGTGAAATATATATAAGTACTAAAATGTGATTAAGGTAATAAAAATGGGTGAGAGCAATTGTGTAATTTGGCTTAGAAAAACTTGTAAGTAGTGGAGAAATGAACAACAGTCTGATGAAAACATTCAGTTACCGATAAGGTTGGTAGTAAGATTGGGAAGAAATAAAAGATTATAACATGAATAATTTAGTTTTTTGTTATACGTTTTTACTTTTCTTTCAAATAGTACATTTGGGAGCAGTTGGCTTCTGGTTTTAAACACAAGAATTTTCGATCTCGAGAAGGCGTGTGTCTGTGTCTTATTGAAACCTTAAACATGTAAGTTTTATGATTACTGAAAATAACTGTCTTGTTTTTTATTTCTCTAAAAAAAACCTCAGTTCACAAAGTCAAGGAAAGCTATGGTAATAACACATTTAAAATTATTAAAGCATATAACTTCATTTGATACCTTTACTGTTCATTTTTTGTGTATGTTATCTTTCATGTTCTTAATTTTTCAGTTATGTCAGTAATAAGTGTTTCTCTTTTTTTCTTTAGTATGTTAATAGTAGCCACCCAAAACAGATGGTCATGGAACTGATATGCTGATAACTTAGTATCTACTTCTGTTCTGGATTGAATTTGGAATTGCTTTTAATTCAATGATATTTCACATATTATAGTCATTTCCCATCCCCACCCTACCCCTAGAGCAGTGTGGGTGGGTACCAGAATCATAGACCAAGCAAAACTTTCCCAGGTAACTGGACAGTGAGGCTGGTAGCTGTGTGTAGAGTTCTGGCTGCCGTAGTTGCCACAGAACTATGACTCTGATCTGAAAAAATGCTAGGACTTTTGTTCTTGCTGTGGATTATTTTTTTAGGTTCTATGCAATGTCATAGGTCATATGTAGTAGCTTTCAGCTTTTCCTATAGTGCTACTTCCTTTTCTTAACTATATTTTCACTTATTTTCTTTTATTACTTTATAGTCCTTTCTGCCCTCTAGAGCCTATAAGTGTACTCAGTCTGCACAGCTCTTTGTGCTGGGTTTTGGCTCTCCTGCCATAAGCATAAAGATCTTTTAATTTACTTATTTCATTGGAATGCATTTATTTGAGACCAGAGTCTAAAAAAATCACAATTTTAAAAGTGAAAACTCTGATTTTCTTAAGTTATTCATAGGTTGCTAGGTTTAAGAGTGCCATTGTTGAACATTTTAATCTATTAGAGTATGTGTTGTCTTCACTGTCAGTTGTGATTATTCAGGTTTGCATACTACATTGCTTAGAATTATTTTTTGCTACATTGCTTAGAATTATTTTTTGCTTATGTCTCATATCCTTCATGTTTTAATGATGTGTGCCCATCCTGTCCACTATATTTGTTATATTGCTACAGACAAGAAGGTATAAGGATATTTTGTTTACTGTTTATTAAAAACAAATTTTCTTTATTTTTTTCTCAAATTATATTTAGTTTTGGGGCTCAGCCACTAGTCATCAGCAAATTGATACCACATTTGTGTATCCTGTTTGGAGACTCCAACAGTCAGGTAAAATTTTATTTACATTCAAGCATTGACTGATTTTTTGGCTACCATTTCTTTTCTAGTCCTCTTATTCTATTTTTAAAAAAGAAGAGAGAGGGTGGAGGGGGATGCTGAAATCAAGATTTTACCTCATTAAAAAAAATCCATCAAAGTTAGTTTTTAAAAACATTATATTCATGAAAGTTGCTTATGTTTGTCAGTTGTTTGGCTAGTAGTAAGGACAGATGGGACTTAATGGTTAGTTCTTGAGTGTGAGAGACTGAGTAACAAAGAGCTTCGATTCCCTGCTACAGTCTACCTGTATGTTAATTGTGGGCACAGATTGTCAGCTTCCTTTGGTTATTGCTGAAATTGGCTGCATAACATTTTGCAATTGTAAGAACCCTACTTAACAGAGAGGATTTATATCAGTGGTATATCAGTTATTAGAAACTTTTTTATCTGAACTGTCTATACCAGCGGCCCCCAACCTTTTTGGCACCAGGGACAGTTTTTCCATGGGCGGGGTAGGGATGGTTTTGGGATGAAACTGTTCTACCTCAGATCATCAGGTATTAGTTAGATTCTCATAAGGAGTATGCGACCTAGATCCCCTCGCATGCACAGTTCAAAATAGGGTTTGTGCTTCTATGAGAATCTAATGCTGCCACCGATCTGACAGGAGGTAGAGTTCAGGCGGTAAAGCTTGCTTCCCTGCTGCTCACCTCCTGTTGTGGTCCTTGAACAGGCTATGAACCCATATGAGTCCATGGCCTGGGGCTTGGGGATCCCTGGTCTATACTATAGGTATAATACAGGGATGTGTTCTGGTTCATGTCCCTCATGGTGAACTTGAATCTTGACTGTAACCTTTTGGCTCAGCTTGGCGATTTGGAGTGACCTCAGGAAAGATTTTCCCTTCTTTTAGATCCTACCTGCTCTGAAGACGTTTGCAGAGAATTCTACTGTCTCTTCAGTTGCTATTTCACAATGAGCTGTGCAAGGGAACTAGAGCTACCTTTCAAATTCCTGTATTCAGACCACATTCTTTTTTTTTCCTTTTATTATAGCAAATACAATATAAAATTTACCATTCTAGCCATTTTTAAGTGTAAGTTCAGTGGCATTACGTACATTCACATTGTTTTGCAACACCCATCACCACCATCTAGCTCCAGAACTTCTTCATCTTCCCAGACTGAAACCCTGTACCCATGAAACAGCAACTCCCCAGTCCCTGGCAGTCCCCCGTCACACCCCCGGCGCCCCCTCCCCCTCCCCAGCTGCTGGCAACCACTATTCTCCTTTCTGTCTTTGTGAATTTGACTGTTCTGTGTACCTCATAGAAGTAGAATGATAGAATATTTGTTCTTTTGTGTCTGGCTTGTTTATTTAGCATAATGTCTTCAAGGTACGTCCATCTTGTAGCATGTATCAGAATTTCCTTCCCTTCTTTTTTAGGCTGAATAATATTCCATCGTGTGTATATAGCACATTTGGTTTATCCATTTATCTGTGGATGGACATTTTGGTTGTTTCCACATTTGGCTGTTGTGAATAATGCTGTTGTGAATATTAGTGTAAAAAGTATCTGTTTGAGTTCAGGCCACATTCTTGAAATGCAGTCTTAATACAGGAAAATACATTAACCGTGATCATAATTTGTATTAATATAATTATTGGCAGTTGTTTACATAATCTTACTACAGATAGGATTTTTTTTTTTTTTTTTTTTTTTTTTGAGACGGAGTTTCGCTCTTGTTGCCCAAGCTGGAGAGCAATGGCGTGATCCTGGCTCACTGCAACCTCCACCTCCCTGGTTCAAGCGATTCTCCTGCCTCGGCCTCTCAAGTAGCTGGGATTACAGGGATGTGCCACCACGCTGGGCTAATTTTTTGTATTTTTAGTAGAAATGGGGTTTCACCGTGGTAGCCAGGCTGGTCTCAAACTCCTGACCTCAGGTGAACCGCCAGCCTTGGTCTCCCAACATGCTGCGATTACAGGCATGAGCCACCGTGCCGGGCCTACAAATAGATTTATTATTATTATTATTATTTATTTATTTATTTATTTATTTATTTTGAGATGGAGTCTTGCTCTGTCGCCCAGCCTGGAGGGCAGTGGCACGATCTTGGCTCACTGCAACCTCCACCTCCCTGGTTCAAGCAATTCCCCTGCCTCAGCCTCCTGAGTAGCTGGGATTACAGGCACATGCCACCATGCCCAGCTAATGTTTTTGTATTTTTCGTAGAGGCGGGGTTTCACCATGTTGGCCAGACTGGTCTCAAACTCCTGACATCAGGCAATCCACCCTCCTTGGCCTCCCAAAGTGCTGGGATTACAGGCATGAGCCACCGTGCCTGGCCACAAATAGATTTTTTAAAAGCTTAATAAGTAACTTTTATTGACAAGTTTCTCAAATTTCTGTAAAATCATCTTTTAGTAGTTTTTTCTAGAAGTATCTTGGCAGGCCCTCTTGTTTTTTTACTGATGACAAGCCATATATGCAGGGGCATTAAAATCCACTTAGAGCTTCAAGTTGGTCTGTTAGTGTAATGTTACCTTGAGATGAAGTATTTTATTGTATCATATATAAGTTTATTAAAAAGTTCTGAATTCTTTGACAGGTGAGAGATGCTGCAATATTGGCTATAGTGGAGATTTATAGACATGTGGGAGAAAAAGTGAGGATGGATCTTTATAAGAGAGGAATTCCCCCTGCTAGGTAAGTCTTGCTAAATTTGGTTCTTTTTTTTTTTTTCACCACTAGTTTTAAAAGTTTTCATTTTATTTGTGTATTTCAATGTATTTTTTATTTATTTATTTATTTATTTTTTTGAGATGGAGTCTTGCTCTTGTTGCCCAGGCTGGAGTGCAATGGCGCGATCTTGGCTCACCACAACCTCTGACTCCTGGGTTCAAGTGATTCTTCTGCCTCAGCCTCCCGAGTAGCTGGGATTAGAGGCGCTTGCCACCATGCCCAGCTAATTTTTTGTATTTTTAGTAGAGACGGGGTTTTTCCATGTTGGTCAGGCTGGTCTCAAACTCTCAACCTCAGGTGATCCACCCACCTCAGCCTCCCCAAGTGCTGGGATTACAGGCATGAGTCACTGCACCTGGCCTATTTTAATTTTTTTTTTTTTTTTTTTTTTGAGACAGAGTCTTGCTCAGGCTGGAGTGCAGTAGCACAATCTTGGCTCACTGCAACCTCTGCATCCTGGGCTCAAGTGATTCCCCTATCTCAGCCTCCCAAGTAGCTGGGACTACAGGCATACGCCACTACACCTGGCTGATTTTTGCATTTTTAGTTGAGACGGTTTCATCATGTTGACCAGGTTGGTCTCGAACTCCTGACCTCAAGTGATCTGCCCACCTCAGCTCCCTAAAGTGCTGGGATTAGGTGAGAGCCACCGTACCCAGCCTGTGTATTTAAATAGGTTCAAATTTTTGAAATTTTTTTTGTTTTGTTTGTTTTTGAGACAGGGTCTGGCTCTGTTGCCTAGGCTGCAGTGCAGTGTTACGATCTCGGCTTACTGCAACCTCCACCTCCCGGGCTGAAGCCATCCTCTCACCTCAGCCTCCCAAGTAGCTGGGACAACAGACGTGTGCCACCACGCTTGGCTACTTTTTGTATTTTTTGTAGAGATAGGGTTTCACCATGTTGCCCAGGCTGGTCTTGAACTCCGGAGCTCAAGCAGTCCTCCCGCCTCAGTCTCCCTGGAATTATGGGCGTGAACCACTGCAGTCAGCTGAAATGTTTTAAAATTCAAAAGATACAAAAGGATATATATGTTATCACCATTTAAAAAGTTCTTAAGGTCCTGTAATATTTTTTGTCATTGTTTCATTATATATTCATTTATTATTTAGTATGTAATTATGTACCATTATCAAGTAATCATCCTTTGATACCAGGTGGTAATAGTCATTATTTGGGAGATGCTTGAGCAAGGATTTACTAAAAATATTAATTCATTCATCAAGTAAATCCTTTAAAAGTATGTACTGTTGAAAGGTACCATACAATTTATTGGGTAACAGAAACTGTATGAGAATCAGTTTTTTAAAAGCTTAATAAGTAACCAATTGTAGGGTTCTTACAATTGCAAAATGTTATACAGCCTATTTCAGCAATAACCAAAGGAAGCTGACAATCTGTCCCCACAATTAACATACAGGTAGACTGTAGCAGGGAATCTAAGCTCTTTGTTACTCAGTCTCTCACACTCAAGAACTAACCATTAAGTCCCATCTATCCTTACTTCTAGCCAAACAACTGACAATTTGTTTTTGTTTTTGTTTTTGTTTTTTAAATTAGTCACTACTCTTAAAACCTGTTCAACTAAAAAGGAAATCAAGAATATATGAGTAGTGTGGCATTAGTCAGATCACTAAAGATCCTGCTGATAATCTTCTAGTGTATCAGAAAATATTTTTCAATGGCTTTTTTTCTTTACTGCTTCTCAGTTTATATACTTTTATTAAGGATATTTGTATTAAAGTATTTCTTTTTCTTCATAATGAAATTTTGAGGGCATTCACTAAAGGAATTTTTTAAAACTTTTTATTAGGGTATTTAGCATTTCAAACAAATACTCAAGTAGGTGGAATAAAATAATGAACCTTCATTTACCTATTACTTGGTTTAAACAATTATCAGTGTGTATCCAGTTTTTTGTGTTACACCCTAGACTACTTACCCTTGTGCTGTATTATGTTGAAGCAAGTCCAAGTTATAACATTTCACTTGTAAATATTTCAATGTATTTTTAAAAGAAAAAATTTTTTGTCAGTCACAATACCATCATCACACTCTATAAAGTTTTTTTTTCATATAATTCTATAATATCAAATATGTAGTTAGGGTTCAAATTTCCAGTTGTTTCATAAATATCATAAGTGTGTGTCTTAATCTGTTTTGTGTTGCTGTAAAGGAATATCTGAGGCTGGGTAATTTATAAAGAAAAGACGTTTATTTGGCTCATGATTCAGGGGCTATACAAGAAGCACCGTGCCAGCATTTGCTAGGCTTCTGGTGAGGGCCTCTCACAGCTTCTACTCACAGTGGAAAGTGATGAGGAGGTGGTGTTTGCAGAGATCACCTGGCCAGAGAGGAAGCTAGAGAACAAGAGTCAGGCTCTTTTTAACTACCAGCTCTCCTAGGAACTAACCTAGGGAGAACTCATTCACTCTTCCCTGCCCCAGGGAGGACAGGACATTAATCTATTCATGAAGGATCCACACCCATGACCCAAACACCTCCCATTAGGTCTCACCTCCAACGTTAGAGATCAGATTTCAGCTTGAGGCTTGGAGGGATCAAATTCAAACCATAGTAGTATGTATGTGCTTTTAACAGTTTGTTGAACCAGGGTCCAAATAAAGTCTATATGTTATATTATGTTTTGTTAAGTCTTTTAAAACCTTTATGTACTCCAACACTCTTTTATCCTTGTGTTTTATTTGTTGAATAAGCTGACAGTTTATTCTGTGAAGTTTCCCCCATTCTGGAGTTTGCCAATTCTTTTCCTGTGGTATATAGTTTAACATGTTATTTTCTCTTCATATCCTGTAATTGTGTAGTTAAATCTAGAGATTTCAACAGATATTTGGTGGGGGGATGTCAGGAAGAGCAAGGCGACTTTACGGGTGGTGATGTGTTCTAGTATGATGTGTTTCATTATATTTGATTGTCTCTCTTAGCAGCAGTTGTTTGCCAATACCAATTATTTGCTGGTAATAAGATTGTCTCAGAAATAAGCTTTTTGTTGACTTGATCATCTATTCATTTTCTACTTCCAGGGCTAACAATTCCATTTGAGTAAATTCTACATCATTTTATGGATGAAAGAAAGAAGTGATGTTAACATATGTATTTGTGTGTGTGCGTGTGTATGTATACATTATATCTTTTCTAAATTTATATTGAAATTACTTTATTCTTTTTTTTTTTTTTTTTGAGATGGAGTCTCGCTCTGTCACCCAGGCTGGAGTGCAGTGGCGCGATCTCGGCTCACTGCAACCTCCGCCTCCCGGGTTCAAGCAATTCTCCTGCCTCAGCCTCCTGAGTAGCTGGGATTACAGGCACATGCCACCACGCCCAGCTAATTTTTGTATTCTTAGTAGAGACGGGGTTTCGCCATGTTGGTCAGGCTGTTCTCAAACTCCTGACCTCGTGATCCGCCTGCCTCGGCCTCCCAAAGTGCTGGGATTACAGGTGTGAGCCACTGCACCTAGCTTTATTATTCTTAAATAGATTTTAATTTAATTTTTTTGAGACAAGGTCTTACTCCTGCCCAGGCTGGAATGCAGTGGCGTGACCACGGTTCACTGCAGCCTCAACCTCTTGGCCCCAAGCAATCCTCCCACTTCAGCCTCCTGAGTAGCTGGGACTACAGATGCACACCACAACACCTGGCTAATTTTTAAAATTTTTTTGTAGAGACAGGGTCTCCCTATGTTGTCCAGGCTGGTCTTTAACTTCTGGGCTCAAGCAGTTCTCCTGCCTCAGCCTCCCAAAGTTCTGGGATTATAGGCATGAACCACCATGCCTGGCTAGACTTTATTTTTAGAGCACTTTTAGGTTCACAGTAAAATTAAGTGAAGGTACAGAGATTTCCTGTATACTCTGTCGCTATACATGCCTAGCCTCTCCCATTATCAATATTCCTCAACAGAGTGGTACATTTGTTATAATTGATGAACCTACATTGACATATCATTATCACCCAAAGATTATAGTTTGCACTAGGGGTGACCCTTGGTGTTATATATTTCATGGGTTTGGACAGATGTACAATGACATGTGTCCGCTATTGTAGTATCATACAGAATAGTTTTACTGCCTTAAAAATCCGTAATGTTTCATCTGTTTATCCCTCCCTCTGGCCTAATCCTTGGCAACATTCATCTTTTTACTGTCTCCATATAGTTACATTCATACAATATGTAGCTTTTTCAAATTGTCTTCTTTCACTTCATAATACATATTTTAGGTTTTCTCCATAACTTTTCATGGCTTGATAGCTCATTTCTTTTTAGGGTTGAAAACTTTTCCATTATCTGGAAGTACCACAGTTTTTCCATTCTACTGTGGGACATCTAATTTGCTTCCAAGTTTTGGCAATTATGAACAAAACTGCTAAAAATGTGAGTTTGCAGGCTTTGTGTGGACATACATTTTTGTCTCCTTTGGGTAAATACCAAAGAATGCAATCACTGTGTTGCATGGTAAGAGTATGTTTAATTTTGTAAGAAGTTGCCAGACTGTCTTCCAAAGTGCTTGTACCATTTTGTATTCCCACCAGCAGTGAAGGAGAGTTCCTATTGCTTCACATTCTCGCCAGGATTTGATCTTGTCAGTGTTTTGGGTTTTGGCCATTTTAACAGGTATTTAGTGGTATCATGTTTTAATTTTGCATTTCCCTGATGACCTATGATTTGGAGTACCTTTTTGTATGCTTGTTTGCCATCTGTATATCTTCTCTGGTGAGATGTTTGTTCAGATCTTTTGCCCTTATTTAAAATGGATTGTTAACTTCCTTATTGTTGAGTTTTAAGAGTTCTTTTTTTATTTTGGGAAGCAGTCCTTTAACAGATGTGTCTTTTGCAAATATTTTCTCCCACTCTGTGGCTTGTCTTCTCATTCTCTTGATGGTGTCTTTCAAAGAGAAGAAAGTTTTAATTTTAATGAAGTTCAACTTATCAGTTATTTCTTTCATGGTTCATGCTTTTGGTGTTGTTTTAAAAAGTCATCACCAAACCAAAGGTCAATTAGATTTTCTCCTATGTTATCTTCTAATAGTTTCATAGTTTTGCTTTTTATATTTAGTTCTGTGATCCATTTGAATTAATTTTTGGGAAGGATGTAGGTCTGTATCTAGATTCATGTTTTTGTTTGTGAATGTCCAGTTGACCTAGCACAGTTTTTTGAAGAAACTATCTTTTATTCTTTATATTGACTTTGTCCCTTTTCCAAAGATCACTTTTATCATATTTATGTGGTTCTCTTTCTGTTCCATTGATCCATTTGTCTGTTCTTTCACTAATACTACACTGCCCGTAGTTTTGTAAGTTAGGTAGTGTCAATCTTCCAAATTTGTTCTTTTCCTTTAATAATGTGTTAGCTATTCTAGATCTTTTGCCTCTCCCTATAAATTTTAAAATTGTTTTGTTGTTATCCACAAAATAACTTGGCTGGAATATTGATTGGAATTGCATTGAATCCATAGATCAAGTTGGGAAGAACTGACATCTTGAAAATACCGAGCCATCCTATCCACGAATGTGGAATATGTCTCAATTTATTTCTTATTTTTTGGTTTCTTGCATCAGAGCTTTGTACTTTTCCTCGTAAAGTCTTACACTTATTTCGTTAGATTTATACCTTTATGTAGATCTGAGTTTTTGACCTGTATCATTTTCCTTCTCTCTAAAGAACTCCTTTTTAACATTTCTTGCACTACTGGCAACAAATTCCTTCAATCTTTTTTTGAGAAAGTCTTTATTTCTTCTTTACTTTTAAAGGATAATTTTACTGGGTATAGAATTCTAGATTGGTAGAAAAGAAAACTAAAAAGAATTGTAGATTAGTGTGTTTTTTCTGTCAACACTTTAAATATTTCACTTCACTTTCTTCTTGCTTGCACAAGGAGAAGTGGGATGTAGTTTTTATCTTTGCTCCTCTATAGGCAGTGTTTTTTTCCCCCTCTGGTTACTTTGAGAATATTTTTCTTTATTTTTGATTTACTATAGTTTGAATATGATATGTGTAAGTGTAGTTCTTTTGTCATTTGTTCTGCTTGGTGTTCTCTGAGCTTCCTGGATCTGCGGTTTGGTATCTGGCATTAATTTGGGAAATTCTCCATGATTATTGTTTCAGATACTTTTTTTCAAGTATTCTTTCTGTTCTTTCTTGTTCTATTATCCCCATTAACATGTATGTTCCATCTTTTATAGATGCCCCACAGTTCTTGGATAGTCTCTTCTGTTTTGTTTTCCAATCTCTTTTTTCTTTGCTTTTTCAGTTTTGGAGAATTCTATTGAGATTTCCTCAAGCTCAGAGATACATCAGTGTGCAGTCTAGTAATAAGCCCAATAAGGACATTCTTTAATTTTATTAAGTTTTTCATCTCCAGCTTTTTTTTTTTTTTTTGGTACTTTGTTAGAATTTCTTTCTCTCTTCTTACCTATCTACTTTTTTTTTTCCTTTTTGGCATGCTATCTGCCTCATTCTTTGGAGCCCTTAGCTATTAATCATAGTTTTTGTTTTTAAACTTTAGATAAATTTTTTATTTTATAAAATAGGAATAATTTTTTTTTTTCAGGCAGCAAGCCCCACGTGTGTTAGACATTTTTTTTTATTTTTTATTTTTTATTATTATTATACTTTAAGTTTTAGGGTACATGTGCACTGTGCAGGTTAGTTACATATGTATACATGTGACATGCTGGTGTGCTGCACCCACTAACTCGTCATCTAGCATTAGGTATATCTCCCAATGCTATCCCTCCCCCCTCCCCCCACCCCACAACAGTCCCCAGAGTGTGATGTTCCCCTTCCTGTGTCCATGTGTTCTCATCGTTCAATTCCCATCTATGAGTGAGAATACGCGGTGTTTGGTTTTTTGTTCTTGTGATAGTTTACTGAGAATGATGATTTCCAACTTCATCCATGTCCCTACAAAGGACATGAACTCATCATTTTTTATGGCTGCATAGTATTCCATGGTGTATATGTGCCACATTTTCTTAATCCAGTCTATCATTGTTGGACATTTGGGTTGGTTCCAAGTCTTTGCTATTGTGAATAATGCCGCAATAAACATAAATGTGCATGTGTCTTTATAGCAGCATGATTTATAGTCCTTTGGGTATATACCCAGTAATGGGATGGCTGGGTCAAATGGTATTTCTAGTTGTAGATCCCTGAGGAATCGCCACACTGACTTCCACAATGGTTGAACTAGTTTACAGTCCCACCAACAGTGTAAAAGTGTTCCTATTTCTCCACATCCTCTCCAGCACCTGTTGTTTCCTGACTTTTTAATGATTGCCATTCTAACTGGTGTGAGATGATATCTCATTGTAGTTTTGATTTGCATTTCTCTGATGACCAGTGATGGTGAGCATTTTTTCATGTGTTTTTTGGCTGCATAAATGGCTTCTTTTGAGAAGTGTCTGTTCATATCCTTCGCCCACTTTTTGATGGGGTTGTTTGTTTTTTCCTTGTAAATTTGTTCAAGTTCATTGTAGATTCTAGATATTAGCCCTTTGTCAGATGAGTAGGTTGCGAAAATTTTCTCCCATTTTGTAGGTTGCCTGTTCACTCTGATGGTAGTTTCTTTTGCTGTGCAGAAGCTCTTTAGTCTAATTAGATCCCATTTGTCAATTTCGGCTTTTGTTGCCATAGTTTTTGGTGTTTTAGACATGAAGTCCTTGCCCATGCCTATGTCCTGAATGGTAATGCCTAGGTTTTCTTCTAGGGTTTTTATGGTTTTAGGTCTAACGTTTAAGTCTTTAATCCATCTTGAATTGATTTTTGTATAAGGTGTAAGGAAGGGATCCAGTTTCAGCTTTCTCCATATGGCTAGCCAGTTTTCCCAGCACCGTTTATTAAATAGGGAATCCTTTCCCCATTGCTTGTTTTTCTCAGGTTTGTCAAAGATCAGATAGTTGTAGATATGCGGCGTTATTTCTGAGGCGTCTGCTAGCCAGTTTTCCCAGCACCATTTATTAAATAGGGAATCCTTTCCCCATTGCTTGTTTTTCTCAGGTTTGTCAAAGATCAGATAGTTGTAGATATGCGGCGTTATTTCTGAGGGCTCTGTTCTGTTCCATTGATCTATATCTCTGTTTTGGTACCAGTACCATGCTGTTTTGGTTACTGTAGCCTTGTAGTATAGTTTGAAGTCAGGTAGCATGATGCCTCCAGCTTTGTTCTTTTGGCTTAGGATTGACTTGGCAATGCGGGCTCTTTTTGGTTCCATATGAACTTTAAAGTAGTTTTTTCCAAGTCTGTGAAGAAAGTCATTGGTAGCTTGATGGGGATGGCATTGAATCTATAAATTACCTTGGGCAGTATGGCCATTTTCACGATATTGATTCTTCCTACCCATGAGCATGGAATGTTCTTCCATTTGTTTGTATCCTCTTTAATTTCATTGAGCAGTGGTTTGTAGTTCTCCTTGAAGAGGTCCTTCACGTCCCTTGTAAGGTGGATTCCTAGGTATTTTATTCTCTTGGAAGCAATTGTGAATGGGAGTTCACTCATGATTTGGCTGTTTGTCTGTTATTGGTATATAAGAATGCTTGTGATTTTTGTACATTGATTTTGTATCCTGAGACTTTGCTGAAGTTGCTTATCAACTTAAGGAGATTTTGGGCTGAGACAATGGGGTTTTCTAGATATACAATCATGTCATCTGCAAACAGGGACAATTTGACTTCCCCTTTTCCTAATTGAATACCCTTTATTTCCTTCTCCTGCCTAATTGCCCTGGCCAGAACTTCCAACACTATGTTGAATAGGAGTGGTGAGAGAGGGCATCCCTGTCTTGTGCCAGTTTTCAAAGGGAATGCTTCCAGTTTTTGCCCATTCAGTATGATATTGGCTGTGGGTTTGTCATAGATAGCTCTTATTATTTTGAGATATGTCCCATCAATACCTAATTTATTGAGAGTTTTTAGCATGAAGGTTGTTGAATTTTGTCAAAGGCCTTTTCTGCATCTATTGAGATAATCATGTAGTTTTTGTCTTTGGTTCTGTTTATATGCTGGAATACATTTATTGATTTGCATATATTGAACCAGCCTTGCATCCCAGGGATGAAGCCCACTTGATCATGGTGGATAAGCTTTTTGATGTGCTGCTGGATTCGGTTTGCCAGTATTTTATTGAGGATTTTTGCATCAATGTTCATCAAGGATATTGGTCTAAAGTTCTCTTTTTTGGTTGTGTCTCTGCGCGGCTTTGGTATCAGGATGATGCTGGCCTCATAAAATGAGTTAGGGAGGATTCCCTCTTTTTCTATTGATTGGAATAGTTTCAGAAGGAATGGTACCAGCTCCTCCTTGTACCTCTGGTAGAATTCGGCTGTGAATGCATCTGGTCCTGGACCCTTTTTGGTTGGTAAGCTATTGATTATTGCCACAATTTCAGCTCCTGTTATTGGTCTATTCAGAGATTCAACTTCTTCCTGGTTTAGTCTTGGGAGGGTGTATGTGTCCAGGAATTTATCCATTTCTTCTAGATTTTCTAGTTTATTTGCGTAGAGGTGTTTGTAGTATGCTCTGATGGTAGTTTGTATTTCTGTGGGATCGGTGGTGATATCCCCTTTATCATTTTTTATTGGGTCTATTTGATTCTTCTCTCTTTTTTTCTTTATTAGTCTTGCTAGCAGTCTTATCAATTTTGTTAATCCTTTCAAAAAACCAGCTCCTGGATTTATTAATTTTTTGAAGGGTTTTTTGTGTCTCTATTTCCTTCAGTTTTGCTCTGATTTTAGTTATTTCTTGCCTTCTGCTAGCTTTTGAATGTGTTTGCTCTTGCTTTTCTAGTTCTTTTAATTGTGATGTTAGGGTGTCAATTTTGGATCTTTCCTGCTTTCTCTCGTGGGCATTTATATTTCCCTCTACACACTGCTTTGAATGTGTCCCAGAGATTCTGGTATGTTGTGTCTTTGTTCTCGTTGGTTTCAAAGAACATCTTCATTTCTGCCTTCATTTCTTTATGTACCCAGTAGTCATTCAGGAGCAGGTTGTTCAGTTTCCATGTAGTTGAGTGGTTTTGAGTGAGTTTCTTAATGCTGAGTTCTAGTTTGATTGCACTGTGGTCTGAGAGATAGTTTGTTATAATTTCTGTTCTTTTACATTTGCTGAGGAGTGCTTTACTTCCAACTATGTGGTCAATTTTGGAATAGGTGTTGTGTTGTGCTGAAAAGAATGTATATTCTGTTGATTTGGGGTGGAGAGTTCTGTAGCTGTCTATTAGGTCCGCTTGGTGCAGAGCTGAATTCAATTCCTGGGTATCCTTGTTGACTTTCTGTCTCGTTGATCTGTCTAATGTTGACAGTGGGGTGTTAAAGTCTCCCATTATTAATATGTGGGAGTCTAAGTCTCTTTGTAGGTCACTCAGGACTTTCTTTATGAATCTGGGTGCTCCTGTATTGGGTGCATATATATTTAGGATAGTTAGCTCTTCTTGTTGAATTGATCCCTTTACCATTATGTAATGGCCTTCTTTGTCTCTTTTGATCTTTGTTGGTTTAAAGTCTGTTTCATCAGAGACTAGGATTGCAACCCCTGCCATTTTTTGTTTTCCGTTTGCTTGGTAGATCTTCCTCCATCCTTTTATTTTGAGCCTATGTGTGTCTGTGCACGTGAGATGGGTTTCCTGAATACAGCACACTGATGGGTCTTGAGTCTTTATCCAGTTTGCCAGTCTGTGTCTTTTAATTGGAGCATTTAGTCCATTTACATTTAAAGTTAATATTGTTATGTGTGAATTTGATCCTGTCATTATGATGTTAGCTGGTTATTTTGCTCGTTAGTTGATGCAGTTTCTTCCTAGTCTTGATGGTCTTTACATTTTGGCATGATTTTGCAGTGGCTGGTACTGGTTGTTCCTTTCCATGTTTAGTGCTTCCTTCAGGAGCTCTTTTAGGGCAGGCCTGGTGGTGACAAAATCTCTCAGCATTTGCTTGTCTGTAAAGTATTTTATTTCTCCTTCACTTCTGAAGCTTAGTTTGGCTGGATATGAAATTCTGGGTTGAAAATTCTTTTCTTTAAGAATGTTGAATATTGGCCCCCACTCTCTTCTGGCTTGTAGAGTTTCTGCCGAGACATCTGCTGTTAGTCTGTTGGGCTTCCCTTAGTGGGTAACCCGACCTTTCTCTCTGGCTGCCCTTAACATTTTTTCCTTCATTTCAACCTTGGTGAATCTGACAATTATGTGTCTTGGAGTTGCTTTTCACGAGGAGTATCTTTGTAGCGTTCTCTGTATTTCCTGAATCTGAATGTTGGCCTGCCTTGCTAGATTGGGGAAGTTCTCCTGGATAATATCCTGCAGAGTGTTTTCCAACTTGGTTCCATTCTCCCCGTCACTTTCAGGTACACCAGTCAGACGTAGATTTGGTCTTTTCACATAGTCCCATATTTCTTGGAGGCTTTGTTCATTTCTTTTTATTCTTTTTTCTCTAAACTTCCCTTCTTGCTTCATTTCATTCATTTCATCTTCCATCACTGATACCCTTTCTTCCAGTTGATCGCATCAGCTCCTGAGGCTTCTGCATTTTTCATGTAGTTCTCGAGCCTGGGCTTTCAGCTCCATCAGCTCCTTTAAGCACTTCTCTGTATTGGTTATTCTAGTTGTACATTCATCTAAATTTTTTTCAAAGTTTTTAACTTCTTTGCCTTTGGTTTGAATTTCCTCCTGTAGCTCATAATTTGATCGTCTGAAGCCTTCTTCTGTCAACTCGTCAAAGTCATTCTCCATCCAGCTTTGTTCCGTTGCTGGTGAGGAACTGCGTTCCTTTGGAGGAGGAGAGGTGCTCTGCTTTTTAGAGTTTCCAGTTCTTCTGCTCTGTTTTTTCCCCATCTTTGTGGTTTTATCTACTTTTGGTCTTTGATGATGGTGATGTACAGATGGGTTTTTGGTGTGGATGTCCTTTCTGTTTGTTCGTTTTCCTTCTAACAGACAGGACCCTCAGCTGCAGGTCTGTTGGAATTTGCTAGAGGTCCACTCCAGACCCTGTTTGCCTGGGTATCAGCAGTGGTGGCTGCAGAACAGTGGTTTTTCGTGAACCGCGAATGCTGCTGTCAGCTCGTTCCTCTGGAAGTTTTGTCTCAGAGGAGTCCCCGGCCATGTGAGGTGTCAGTCTGCCCTTACTGAGGGGTGCCTCCCAGTTAGGCTGCTCATGGGTCAGGGGTCAGGGACCCACTTGAGGAGGCAGTCTGCCCGTTCTCAGATCTCCAGCTGCCTGCTGGGAGAACCACTGCTCTCTTCAAAGCTGTCAGACAGGGACATTTAAGTCTGCAGAGGTTACTGCTGTCTTTTTGTTTGTCTGTGCCCTGCCCCCAGAGGTGGAGCCTACAGAGGCAGGCAGGCCTCCTTGAGCTGTGGTGGGCTCCACCCAGTTGGAGCTTCCCAGCTGCTTTGTTTACCTAAGCAAGCCTGGGCAATGGCGGGCACCCCTCTCCCAGCCTCGCTGCCGCCTTGCAGTTTGATCTCAGACTGCTGTGCTAGCAATCAGTGAGTCTCCGTGGGCGTAGGACCCTCCGAGCCAGGTGCAGGATATAATCTCCTGGTGCGCCATTTTTTAAGCCTGTCGGAAAAGCGCAGTATTCAGGTGGGAGTGACCCGATTTTCCAGGTGCCATCTGTCACCCCTTTCTTTGACTAGGAAAGGGAACTCCCTGACCCCTTGTGCTTCCCAAGTGAGGCAATGCCTCGCCCTGCTTTGGCTCGTGCACGGTGCGCTGTACCCACTGACCTGCGCCCACTGTCTGGCACTCCCTAGTGAGATGAACCTGGTACCTCAGATGGAAATGCAGAAATCACCTGTCTTCTGGGTCTCTCACGCTGGGAGCTGTAGACCAGAGCTGTTCCTATTCGGCCATCTTGGCTCCTCCTTAGTCATAGTTTTAAAAAAATTCCTGGTCTGGTAATTCCAACATATCTTCCATAACTGGATCTGGTTCTGTTACTTGCTCTCTCTTTTTTTTGTCTTTTATAATGCCATGTAATTTTTTTTTAATAGTTGGACATGATGTATCAGGTAAAAGGAACTACTTGAAACAGGCCTTTAGTAATGTGTTGGTAAGGTATGGGAGAGGAAGTGTTCTGTAGTCCTGTGAGTAGGTCTCTTTTAGTGAGCCTCTGTCTCTGAATTGTGAACCTCACAAATGTTTCTAAGTGTTTCCCACCCTCCTCTCACTTAGGTGGGACAGAATGGCTAGCTAGAGTGGGCTGGAATCATATATTTCCCTTTTTTTTCAGGTGGAAGGGTATAGGAGACTGGAGTTCGGGATTTCCATTTCTCCACGTGGAAAACTAGAGCAGCAGGAGATGGGTATTTTCCTAGGTCATTTAGGCTCTGATAAAACCCCAGCAGGTTAAGTCTAATTAAATAGTTTCACTTAAGGTCAGACATTGTTAAGGAGAACAGAATACACTCACATATTTCAAAATGGTTCTTTTTCGGTTCTCCCTGCTGGAAACATGATAGGATTTTGCATTGATATTCTGAAAACCAAGTTGAACTCCTGGAGGTAAAACTCAAAAAGTGTGATCTCCCTCTGCACCACCATGACTGTGTCCCCTGGAGTTTTTAACTCTCAAGAGTTGTCCACTCTGATCCTCCACCAATTTGTTAACTACAGGTCAGGTTTTCCTACCCTGGCACTGGTTTTCACAGAGGTTTCTGCTGATGGGTTATGCTCTGGTAAGTTGTGATTCTCTGTTTTCATCTCCCCATCTCTAATTTTTGGTGCGGCGGTTTGCCATGTGACCTCACTTTTCTTACAGATCTAAGAAGAGTTGTTGATTTTGTAGTTTGTTTAACTTTTTACTTGTTGTTAGGGCAGAGTAGCAACTTTCCAAGCTTCTTACATATGGAAATCAGAGGCAGGAATTACTTTTTAAAAAAATATTTTAAATGTTTATTCAGCTAGGAACTCCATACAGAAAAGTGCACGAATCATTAGTATACAAATCTATAAATTATAGCAAAGTGAATGCATGCATGTATCCACCACACAGATGAAGTAGAACATTACAACATCCCAGAAGCCACTTCAAATCCTTTTAAATGTTTACCTCTTCTCTTCCTAAAAGTAACCACAATCCTGACTTCTAACACCATAGTTTAGTTTTGCCTGTTTCTGAATTTTATATTAATAGAATCATATACTTTTTTGTGTTTGACTTCTTTCTGTTAAAATTATGTTTTTTACGTGTGTGTGTGTATATATATGTGTGCGTGTATATGTATGTGTGTGCATGTGTATGTATATATATAGATTCTTTTGGGTTGTTGGATCCAGCTACAGTTCTTTTTGATAGCCTTATAGTTTTCCATTGTATGAATAGACTACAAATCCAAACTATAGATGGATATTTGCATTGTTTTTGGTTTACGGTTTTTATGAGTATGCTGCTAATAACTTTCTTGTATATGCTTTGTGGTATACATACTAATTCATTCTTTTGGAGGCATTTAGTTGATATGGACAGTTTTCCAGAGTGGTTGTATCCCATTTGTATTATCACTGGTACTGTTTGCAAGTTTCCATTATTCTACATATTCACCATTATTTTGTATTGTTAGGCTTATTTTTACTAATTTTAGGTTTTTAGTGGGTGTAGTGTTTCATTGCAGTTGTAACATGCATTTTTCTGATTACAAATA
The DNA here is from genome assembly GCF_000001405.40 of Homo sapiens. Classification (NCBI taxonomy): domain Eukaryota; kingdom Metazoa; phylum Chordata; class Mammalia; order Primates; family Hominidae; genus Homo; species Homo sapiens. The sequence goes on along the minus strand of NC_000003.12, from coordinate 33,669,676 downwards.
GAGAGAAGCACCATTTAATCTGTTTATCAGCCATTTGGATGTCTTCTTTTGTGGTGTTCTTTTCAGGCCTCTTGCCAATTTTTTTTTTTTTAAATTGAGTTCTCTTTTTAAAAACTTGATTTGTAGAACTTTTTTATATGTTCTGTATACAAGCCATTGTCAATGCTATATGCTTCAAGTATCTTCTCTCACTCTGTGACTTGCTTTTGTACTTTCTTGGTGATACCTTTTGATGTACATAAGTTCTTAATTTTAATGTAGTTCTTAGTCATTTTCTTTATGAGTAGAAATTTCTGTGCCCCATTTATGAAATCTTTGCTTACCCTAATGTATGAAGACATTCTTGTATGTAATTGTCTTAACGTTTTATTCACATTTAGAGCTATAATCCACTTGGATTTGTTTGTTTGTTTGTTGGCAAATGCAATGATAAAAGACTTCAGGTAAAAATTTTTTTCGTGTGGATACTCACTTGACCCAACACCACTTATTGAAAACATCTTTCTTCATTTCTTATTTTGTTATAAATTAAGTGTGCACATATGTGCTTAGAATTTTTGCATCTATGCTCAAAATGATGACCTATAATTTTCCTTTCTTCTTGATTTATATCTTTTGTTAGTAATGTTACTTGTTAGAGGAAACTCTTTATTTGATTTTCCTCTTATCAGAATTAACTTCATAGGGGTTTTATCATATGCAGGTAGCTAATACTTTAATGTTCTTACTGAAATAGGCCAATGACTTATTACCCCTAGCCATTCTTACCATTTCTCCCTCCTCGAAGTGGGTAGTCACTTGGCAGATGAAGACTCTGAGACCCAGAGCAGTGACAGCTAGTCAGTAAGAGGTTGATGGCTTCCTGACACGCAGTCCATTGTTCTTTCTTCCATGCTGTGCTTGTGTCATTCTCCTTGGTGATGCTTCTTTAGCAGGTAGTAGGCAGTGGAGGACTCTGGGTACGTGAGCTTTGCTTTTCAAACATGCAGAGTGTTTTCTATTCTTGACGCCTATGGCCTTATTATTTTATAGGTAGTATTTCGAATCCTCAAAATAACAACACATATTAAACAGATCTTAAACTTCTGTAAGTTAAAGCGTAGATTAATTTCGGTTTACACCTTTCTTCAGACTATTGTTCCACTATTTCCCTTTTTCCACTACCATATATTCTCAAGAGTTTATACTGAATATTACATTCATTTGAAACAAGTATTCTTTTGTTATAGTGATCAAATTCTAACTTTAATGTTTAGAAGGCATAGTTTTGATTCTCAAATACTGCTCCCTTTATGGTTTCCAAATTTTCTGTTGGATATAGCCCTCTAAAGTTAAAGTTTGTTTTTGCCCACTCTTAAATTTATATCAGAACCATTCTTCTTTGTTAAAACAACTAAACTTAAGTATGGTTCATAAAGACATTAAGTCAAATAGTTTTTTGTTTTGTTTTGTTTTTTTGAGTTGGAGTCTCGCACTGTCACCTGAGCCGGAGTGCAATGGCACGATCTCAGCTCACTGCAACCTCCGTCTTCTGGGTTCAAGCGATTCTCTTGCCTCAGCCTCCCAAGTAGCTGGGATTACAGGCCCCTGCTACCACACCGGGCTAATTTTTTGTACTTTTAGTAGAGACGGGGTTTCACTGTGTTGGCCAGGCTGGTCTCAAACTCCTGACCTTGTGATTTGCCTGCTTCAGCCTCCCAAAGTGCTGGGATTACAGGTGTGGGCCACTGCGCCCAGTGAGGTCAAATAGTTTTAAAATAATAATTAAACAATTTTTTTCTATCAAATATTTTTTAAAAAGTAAGTTCTGGTGGTATGGTACTAGCATAACACTAGATATAGATCGATGGAACTATACTGAAATAAACTCATATTTTTGGTCTGTTGATTTTTGTCAGAGGTGCCAAGACCATTTAATAGAGCAGGAAAGAATAGTGTTTTCAGCAGTGGTGCTTTATAAACTGGATATCCCCAGGCAAAAGAATGAAGTTGCAACTCTTCCTCACTCCACACCCAAAAATTAACTCAAAATGGATCATACAACCAAATGTAAGAGCCAAAATAATAAAACTCTTAGAAAATACTAGGCAATGGTTTCTTAGATACAACACCAAAACACAAGCAACCAATGGAGAAAAATAGATAAATTGGATATCATCAAAATTAAAAACTTATGCTTCAAGGAACGCCATCAAGAAAGTAAAAGAAAACTCATATTATGGGAGTAAATACTTGCAAATCAAATGTCTTTTTTTTTTTTTTTTTTTTTTGAGATAGTCTCACTCTGTCACCCAGGCTGGAGTGCAGTGACACGATCTCGGCTCACTGCACCCTCCATCTCCCTTCAAGCAATTCTCCTGCCTCAGCCTACTGAGTAGCTGGGATTATAGGTGCACACAACCATACCCAGCTATGTTTTGTATTTTCAGTACAGATGGGGTTTCACCATGTTGGCCAGGCTGGTCTTTAACCTTTGACCTCAAGTGATCCGCCTGCCTCGGCCTCCTAAAGTGCTGGGATTACAGGCATGAGCCACCGTACCTGGCCAAAATCAAATATCTTCTAAGACACGTATCTTGACTGTTATAAGGGGCTCTTTACAACTCAATAGTAAAAGGACAGATAACCCAATTTTTAAAACAGACAAAATATTTGAATTTCTTCAAAAAGAATATACAGATGGCAATAGCACATAGAAAGATGTTTAACACCATTTAACCATGAGGGAAATACAGATCAAAACTATTATGCACCCCCAGGATGACGAAAATAAAAACTGATAGACAAATAAAAATGATAGACAATAACAAATATTGATGAGGATGTAGAGCAATTGGAACCCTCATACATTGCCATTGGGAATGTAAAATGGTGCAGCAACTTTGGAAACAGTTTATAATTCCTCAAAATGTCAAACATAGAATTATCATATAACCTAGTAATTCCATTCCTGGCTGTATATGCAAGTGATATGAAAACATTCCTCACAAAAACCTACACACAGGTGTTCATAACAGCATTATTTATAATAGCCAAAAAATAGAGACACCCCACATCTACATATGTCCATTACTTGGTGAATAGATAAACAAAATGTGGTAAATCCATACGATGGAATATTATTTGGTCACAACAGGGATGACTGATACATCATGCATCAACCTTGAAAACATTCATGAAAGAAGCCAGTCACAAAAGGCCACATATTGTATGATTCCATTTATATGAAATGGCCAGATATGGCAACTCATAGGCTAGATATAGTCTTTAGAGAAAGGAAGTAGATTAGTGTTTGCCTAGGACTGGAGAGATCAGGGTAAATGGGGAATGATTGCTAATGGGTATGTGGTTATTTTTTGGGGTGATGAAAATGTTCTAAAATGGATTATTTGGTTGCACAACTCTGCAGATATACTAAAAATCGTTATATTGTACAGTTTGAAGAGGTGAATTGTATGGTATTGAATTCTACCTCAATAATACTGTTATTTTAGAAAGATAAAGTCTGAGATACCTAATTGTCTCTTTCATGTTATACTTGGGATTTACTATTCTTATTCTAAACTTTTAAGTCTGGACTTTGGTTAGGGTTGCTTTTCTAATTCTGTCCTCCTTACCCTATGAGTTAGAACCTTCCTAATACTTTACTGGCCTCTATCCTTATCCTAAGTCAGAACCTTCCTAGAGCTTTGTGGGCCTCCTAAATTGTGTTTATAATCTTTTGGACAATCCAGTCTCTGTTGTATTTTTCTTCCATTGAATTTCCTAATTTCTTCCCCTGAATTACTTAAAATATCTTAGGCTCTTCTTTCTGCTCTTAAATTGTTTATTTCTTCCTTTTTTCACCAAATTATATGTATAATAATCATCTATTATAAATGCGTTTGTTTTTCTAAAATAAGTGTATAGAGTTTGATGATGGGGTTGGAGGGATTCAGTGAGGGCCACGTAGAAAATTATACTGTGTTGTTTTGTTTGCTTTAAAGATAAGTTATGAACTTATCCTTTATAAAATTTTGAACAAGTGACTAAAATATTTTTAATAAATACCAAACAAAAGTCAGATGTTAATTTTACTTGAAAGTTGGTAAAGTGAGAATCATTAGAAGGAAAGAGTGACTGAGAAGAGAGAGTAGAACAGTCATAGGAAGAGTGTATTGAGTAACTGAAGAGCTGGCAGCAAGGTTAATGCTGCGAGGCAATCATCTACTCTGTGTGTCTTTCTTAGCCCAACCCAGTCCCAAAAGACCTTTGGGTGATACCTTCTACTCTGGCCCCTTTTTCTTCTTTTCCCCTCCCCTCCTCTCTCCCATATTCGTATTATATTTGCCTACTATTTCATTTGAACCCTCTTCCACTAAAGCTGCTTACATCCAGATTCCTGTCTCCATGTATTATCTGCCTTACCTTAATTCCTTGCCAACCCACTTCTCTTTCTGAGCTTTCTGTCCTAAAGTTTTTACTCCTGTTCTTCTAATCTATAGCCAAATGTTATGCCCCTTCATGTCTTGTTCTGCTTTTTCTCAAACAGCTCTCCGAAATCCTCTCCTTTCTTTCTTTCTTTTTTTTTTTTTGAGACAAAATCTCGCTCTGTCACCCAGGCTGGAGTGTGCAGTGTCAGGATCTCGGCTCACTGCAACTTCTGTCTCCCAGGTTCAAGCGATTCTTGTGCCTCAGCCTCCCTAGTAGCTGGGACTACAAATATGTGCCACCACGCCCAGCTGATTTTTGTATTTTTGGTAGGGATGTGTGTTTTGCCATGTTGGCCAGGCTGGTCTTGAACTCCTGTGCTCAGGTGATCTGCGCTGCTTGGCCTCCCAAAGTGTTGGGATTATAGGCATGAGCCACCACGCCCAGCCTCCTTTCTGAGGTTCCAGCCTCCAATTCCAATGCTTCCTTCTATCTTATGTCCACCTCTTGTGTCTGGGCAACCTGCTTGGTGTCTGTTCAACCCTCCAGAATATACTACTCTGTAGGATAAAGAGACCTGTGTCTTTGAACTGAAATGCTTTCTATATGTAAATAGTTGTATTTGTTGAATTTATTGGAAGTAGGAGGTGATGTTAAGGTTTAGAAATCCTATTATAATGAATTCCTAGGAGATTTCAACTAAAAAAATTTTTTAGTTCTTACTGAAATAAGCCAATAATTTATTTCAAAAAGTATCTGTATCTATAATTTACTGGTAAGAAATGACCACGATGAGGACCAAGGCTTAAGTAAGGTTTTAGGAAATGAAATTTGACACATGTATATGGGTGAGTCAGAGAAGAACATTTGGCAACTAAAGGCAATATGTCAGTGACCCTCCTCTCTTCCTCAATTCTCTAAGTCACAAATTTAAGAATGAATCATAGCACAATATATTGGAAAGAGAAAGAAAAGCAAACTAAAAAAAAAGTGCTGTCAGTTTTATCCCATTTCACTCTGAAGAAAATTTGTATATGAATATAAAAGTATCAGAAAGGATACAGTTAATAAATACATTCTCTGAATGATAGAAATGTGGTTTTTTCTTTGTTCCTATTTATATTTCCTAATTTTCTTTTATAATGAATGTACATTACTTTTGTAATAAATACATTTTTAACTAAGAAAAGTGATAGCAGAAGTGCAGAAAGTGTAATTATCCTGAATATAAAATTAGAAGGACCAGTGGAATTGGTGTTGTATGAAAACAGTCGTGTGAAACAGGGATAGCATCAGATTATCAGTGATATTAGCCATCTCTTTAGTTTTTGATATTTTATATTTTATTGTTTGTATGTTTGCCTTAAGTTACTTTGGCATGATTTTTATATGCCTTTAAAAGATGTCTTGGTGACTGAGTAGACTTATTATGAGGTTGAAACTAGGATATTTTTGATGGATTTGGAGGAATGATTTTATGATGAAACATGAGAAACTGCTTTGTGTAAAAATTGTCTTTTCACAAACATACCTGCAAATATGTAGAGTCCTACCTATATGTGACTTCTTTCAACTGAAGAGAGATGGGTTTTGTGTCTTCTTTCAGTGCGTTAATTGTGAAAGAGAGTTGTATAGAAAACTAGCTGAATCCCTACAATTGTTTTTTCTAAGGGAATGGTGAAGGAAATTGTTTCTATTTAATCTATATGTTTTAAAAAATCAAACAAACCCAATTTATTCTTTATTCCCAGATTAGAAATGATATTTGCCAAATTTGATGAAGTGCAAAGTTCAGGCGGTATGATTTTGAGTGTCTGCAAAGGTAAGAGTAATTAAGCTCTCAAACATTTCTAAGACTATTTAGCAAAGTTTTAGGCACTAAAATGTATTATATATCACTGATTCAAAAGAGTTGATTTTGTGGCTTGAAAACTTAGTTGAGATATAATAACAAAATATTTACATCCTGCTGATAATTATCTATCCTCTGATTCTTTTGGAGTGAGTGGAAATTTAATAGTGAGTCAGTTGTGTAAAATGATACTGTTCTTTTTTTTTTTTTTTTTTTTGGTGATACTGCCTTGTTTTTTGTGTCTTCTGGGTTGAGGTATGATGACCTTCTTGCCCTCCATTTTCCATGCATACAATGTGTTTTTATACCTAGAATAATTGTTTTACTTAGTTGTCTTTAATAGAAATTGTGGGGTTGATGGGTTCTATTATATCTGTGTACAGACTATAATAGATCAAGAGACTATAACTGATCAAGAGACTCATACACAGGAACTTCACTAGCATAATCACCTCAGGCTTAAGTAGAATGAGACCAAGTTGGAATTCAGGGAGGTCTGGAGTTAATATCTGGTATTGATTTGATTTTTGTGGTTCCTCTCCTTTTTGTAAAGTTGATAAATTATGTTTAGCTTTGTTGGGTAGCATTTACCTACACTTGAGACTTTAAATATTAATTAGCCATATATGTAAAGAATATATTCTATTTCCAAAGATAATATAGGTTGCTTTTCCACCTAGTAAAGTAGTTTCATATTAAAGAGAGTGTGGTTAGTTTAGTAATATAAATGATGTTGGAGTAAAAATTTGGTGTGTGAATTTACAGTCAAATAATTGGAAAACTAGTTACTAATATAATTTAGTTACTGTTCTTTGGGTTAAACCAAGACTGAGGATGTGTTGCGGGAAGTCAGATGGAGTAAGTGAGTGTTAGAAAGATTGTGTTTACCCACATCTAAACTTAGTTCCAGAAGCATAAATTGACTTCAGTGCTACCAGTCCTCACCTTGAATGCCAGAAGATTCTCACTTCACTTCTCTGAATAGAAAGTGTTTTAAGTATCTTCTCCTTATTTTTCTAGCAGTTACCTCTGTCAATTTCTGTAGAAACCAGAAACAGTAGGAAGAGATTTGACAAGATGCTTGAACTTGTGTGTTTTCATAACATGATCGTTTGTGTATTTCAGACTAAGTTAGTTACAACTCTAAGGAAAAAAGTAGAATACCTATAAAATCTAAGGTATTCATTGCTTGGGTATGGTTTATTTCGAAAGCACTGTTATTCTTGTATTTTGTGACATTATTTCTGTTACCTTCAAAATAGAGCTTTTTTGTTTCTTTAGTTCCCATTACTTTTTCTCTTGTTTATCACTCCATAAACAGGGAGGTTCGGAGTTAGTCTCTGGCATTTATTTTTTTTGAAGAAGACTTCAAAGATTGTTTGCATTGATGATTACAGTCTGAATATTGCAAGTATGGTCAAATGTGAAAGTTAAAGTCATATTGGTCATAATGTTTTTGATGATAATATGCTGTCACTGAAAAATTCCTTAATGAATTAATTAACAAGAGGATGCTAGAAGAAGGAAACCTATTTATCACGTTGGAAAATCCCAGGGCCCAGGCCTCCTCTTCCCTGTTTTTATTCTCTCTTTCTTAGTGATCCAACCCCACTCAAAGGCTTTAAATGATAACTCTTTGCTAATGATTCCCAGTATGTAGGTCTAGCCATCATTCATCTCTCCTTTGGGTTAGGTCTAGACTTGTTAGCCTGTGGCCTTGATGACGTTCCCATTTGGCTGCCTAATAGGCATTTCAAGCTTCCTATGTCCAAAAATGAAACCCTGTTATCTTTTCTTGCCTCTCAGATCTGTTCCTTCTCCAGTCTTAGCCATTTTAGTCAGTGGCACCATCATCAGCTCAAGCTAGAAACCTGACTTGATTTCCTATTCTAACTGATCAAACATTTCTACTTCTGAAATACTAACATATCCCAAATTTGCTTATTTTTTCCATCTCCACTGCTAATATCCTCTCTAAATCTCCTTTAGCTTTTGCCTGGACTACTTCTGTAGACTTCTGTTCCATGTTTGCCCCCAGGAATCCATTTGCTACTCAGAAATCATAGGGATCTTCTTAAAATGTAAATTAGATCATGTCACAACAGGAAGAAGATAATGAAATTTCTCCCCTTAAGGAGCCTATAATCTAGTGATGGAGATAGATCATAAACAAGTAAATAAATGGATATACAATGTGGTTACAGTTGGTAATGGAGGAAATATAACTACTCCTTGTTTAATGAGTTTAAATTATTCCTAAATACCCTGCTGCCAAGTGAAAGACCATTAGATGAAAAAATTATTTTCACCAGTGTTAATGAGAAAAATTACGGTGTGTTTCATCCCAGCCCATGATACTTGAGTAGTTTTCCCAGGTAGAAAAATATATCAATTGAATACTGAAAACAAATTTTTATAAGTAACAATTTGAAGGGAAATTGTACATGAAGTAATATCATGGAGTTTAATTCAACTTCTTCTTTATTTCTGCACAATTTTTCCCCACAAAATTTTCAGGCCTTTGTTGATTCATTTTTATTGCACACTAAAACTAAAACTAAAACTGTAAATAAAGTGATAGAAACAGGAAAACATTTTAGGACAGAGTAAAGGCTCGGCATGAAATCTTGTGGAAATAGTTCATGCACACAAAGAGCTGTTGAAGATACTACCTTTTCTCTCCCTCACTTGGTGCATTTATGCAAAATAAATTGTTTTGGGTCTGTCCAAAAATGGCACGCAATTCAAATTTGTTCCACCTGATATTCTGTGACCAGAAACTATTATGGTAAACAAAATTTTTTGGTGTGTCTTTGCCTGAAACCATAATAATGACACATCATACATCTTACAGCATATTGATTTAGAGTGTTTCGTGATGAAAAAAATCATTTTACTAAATACAAGAAACCAAAGGATTTGTTGTAAAGGTGATATAACTTTTTTATAGCTAAAAGTTGTCATCTGAACAGTCATTAAGTGAGTTATAGAGTATTTGATGGTTTTTTGAACTCAACTTGTTATATTGTAAAAGTAAGTTAGGCAGAGTCCCTAAATGCAGTAGAATTAGCTCTGCTGTTAGAAGAAAACTGGATTTAAAATCTGTCAGATCGTGACTAGAAGGAGGGAACACCAGCCCTGTAGGAAAGAAAAGACTGAAAGTTGGAGACCCCCTGCGATTATGGCAGGCGCTGGTGTCGTTATGGAGCTTTCTAGACAGTCTCCTGCACAAACCAAGGATGTAAACACTAACAGTGTTGGTGGCTGTAATTGCAAATCCTTTTCTCTTTCACTGTGAAAAAAACTATGCATAATTCTTATTTGTCGAGTGTGTGTTTAGGACCTAATGCAGTCTTGGCCATGCAATCATTAGTAAAGTATTTTCTGGCTTCTCTGTTTGAAACAGTTGCTAGGAAAAGAATTGTTCTTGGAGGCTGGCAATAAAATAAAACCTGGAAATGAGGCTTTGAAATTACCTTAATATTTGGCTTCTATGAGTCAATAAGATAACTTCCAGTCTAGTTTTGTATATTTTTATAACATACCCTTTGGTGAAAAGCAAAGCAGCTCTTTTCTTTGGTTGATTTTTAAAATGTATCTGTTTGTGATCATGAGCTCCAGGGCCTGCCTTCAGAGCTTGACAATGTGCTGATGGTTGTCAGCTTGGATAGAGGGTGCTCTGCGCCCCTGCAGCTGCGCATTGGCTAGGTTCTGTCTCCACCAGAAGTAAGCTTTGTTCCGTGTGGCCCTGCTGTCCGCGCACAGAGCAGCCTTTGATGGGCTGCCTTTGACGTGATTTGTTTACGGCAGCCAGAAATGCTTCCTGCATAATGAGAGCAGTTAATCATGGAAACTGGGCTATTCCTGTTTATGCACTTCTAGCAATCTTCTGTTGTAAATATTAAAAGGTAACGACAAAAGGATGAAAACCTTTTTAAAAAGGCGCAAATCAGTTAATCCATCAGATCATGTGATTGCTACTGATTACATGGATATCTTTAGGGAAGCAGAAAATGATTGCTGAACACATGCCTTGTGTTTTGATGATTGCATTAAAAGTCCCCCAGCGGGATGGCATTTATTGGCTCTCAGAGCTTTTCTTAGATTAAATTTCAGGCAGCCAGTACAAGGAGAAACATCATAACCTGTATCCAACAGCATATGTGCAGCTAAAGAGTAATCTTAATCAAGTCCTTCTAGGCTGTGCTAAATAAACGAGGGTTTTCAGCAAGACCCCAGACTTTTATTTTGAAGTGGAGTAGCAGCTGTTGGCTATTGCGGTGCAGAGCTGCAGCGAGGCCTGGGTCACACAGTGCTCCGGGTGTCTGCAGGCTGCAGGCCGAGCCCAGTGGCGCAGGCACTGAGCTGTACTTATTTGCTGTGCTATTTGACCTCTTGGTTTCAGAGAGCTCCCTGGACCATCTAATGGCTATGGGAGATGGTGAGTAAGATTTATTTTTCTTCTTTTGCTTGTGTTATACACTTCCTTTTAAGGTGACGATCATTTGCTGTGTAAGAAATATATTTCTCCCTAAAGAATGAAGGACACTTGTGTGTTTATGCATGTGTGTACACTTGTGTGTACATTTATGCATGTGTGTGCATGTCATTTGACATCTTTTTTCACTTGATGTGTCTGTGTGGGATCTGGCAAGCATGAGGTGACAATTTACCTTGCAACCCAAGCAAGCTTCAGTCTTGGTGGTAGATATGAAGGGATATTGGAAGAAACGTGGAATATGTGCAGAAGCTTAGAGGAAGAACATTGCCTTTGGAGGAATGACAGATTTTAGCAGGAAGATTTGACTAGCTAGCTTGATATCCTTCCTGTTGTATTTGACACAAGTAGAATTCTGTGGAAATAAAATATTTAAAGAAGCAAAATGGCTTGCCATGGGCATTATTTTAATTCATATGATTGTTAATTGTCAGTGTCCCAACATTTTTCTAGAAAATATTTAGCCTTTTAAGATTATGCACAGGGTATAATTTGATTAAAAATTGATTTTGCCAGTGTTTTAGTTTGGTAAGGATAATTTTAAAAACACATTATTTCTATAATGCCTTATTAGGCATTATAGTTCTCCAAAGCACTTTTGTATACTTAATATATATTAACTCCTCAGGTGTGAACAACTCTGTGAAGTGTTCAGAGTGTTTTGGTATTTCCATCTTACAGATTGGGAAACTGAGACCTGCTGAGACAATATGTCCCAGATCCAGGCACAGAAAGCAAACCAGTACCAAATCTAGGGTCCCAAATGTGTGTTTGGTATTTTCCATTATAACACTTAATACTTGAGCTTTTTTTCTTTTTTCATTACACCTTTTTTTGTTACGAGGCCTAGAGATATACTTTATAATCACATCAACATCACAGATATGTATGAAGGGAAACCTGAGGTTCCTCAAAAATGTTTTGAGTGTTTTTTTGCCAGGTTCTTAAGGAAGACTGGTCCATATATGGAGGTTTTAACTCTTAACAGTTTCAGCCTTCCTTTGACTATGTATGTAGTGAACTCTTCTAAGAAGTAATTCCCCTAGGGGCTATGAGAGATAGGATACAAATATATCAAAATGATGGTGTTGGTAGACAGTCATTTGAACTATTATGTACATTTAAATGGAAATCTGATAGAAAATTTGGTTTGGCATATCGTTATGATTTATTCCAAGAATTTATGTAACTATTTTATATGATCTTATGGAAATAAATGAGAAAATAATTTTTCAACTACCAATTTTTAAGACAAAAGCAGGATTAACAAATAAGTTCTCATATACTTAAGGGCATTGCCAAGTTTCTTCCTTTTTAAAAAAAAAAAACCAAACCTAATTTGTAGATAACCCTAAATGTTGCATTTGGTGTGGGCCATATCCAGATTTTATTTTATTTCTTAAACATTTTAGGTTCAATGGTTATAGTTTTATATTTACTTAGTTTTTCTTTTTTCAAATAATACATAACATTTGGACTGTTGAGGAATATATTAATTATTTTTAAAAAAGTAACAACCTCTGACAAAGATCAGAGGGTAACATTTCAGCTAATTCTCTTCTTCAAAAATATATACCTTTATAAAAAATTTAAACAATAAAGATATGTATATAGTGATAGGCTGTCTTGGGATTTATATAGTTCTTAACAGTTTGATATATACTCCTGCGTATTAGTCTTTGTCACATCCAGTGCACATACACTATACCAGAATCATGTAAACATATAAAACATGAACATATAAAACAAATGGATTATACTGCCCCTACCTGATGTTTTTTGTTTATTTACGAACTTACAAACTTTGTTTATTTACGAATATACAAATGTCATTTCCCTTTCAAAATTCAAACAATGAAGGTAAAGCAAAAATCCCTTCAAAACCACCTTCAAGCCCCGAGCCCAGGTGTAAACAGAGGAGAACACTTTTATTAATACGTAGCATGTCTTTTTCTACCTGTTACTGTGCCTTTACATACATACTAAATATCAAAGTATATGGTTTTGCTTTGACTGTGTTTACGTAAATGATACCATTCTGAATGTAATTTTGCCATTTGCTGTGTTTACTCAGTATGGGATGGAGCTTTTTAAAAAAATACTATCGTGTTATTTCGCATCATTTTTTAAAACGGTTGCATAGTATTCTATAATATGGACATATCATAACCATTTTGTCTTCTATAGAAATTTGTTTACTATATATAATTTTTCTAAATGGTTCTGAAATAAGCACCTTTGTACAAACTACATGTGTTTGTGTATATACACACAGATATATTTCTTAAAATAGTCTGGACGTGGAATTTCTGAATCAAAGTTTTCATTTATTTTAGAATTGTGTTAGGTATAGCTAATTTGCTCCAAAAGAGGCTTTACCACATACACTCCCACCAGTAGTGTCTGCTGTCCTACATTCTTTTCAGTTCTGGTTATTATTAAAATTTGTCTATCAGATGGTTGAAAAATATCTCACCCTTTATAAACATCTATGCTTTCTGATAAGATTGATCACCTTCATGTGTTTGGTTATTTATATTTCCTTCTCTGTAGATGCCTTTCAGCATTGTAGCCAACTTTTTGGTTGTTTGACCTTTTTGTGGTTGTTTATTTATACTTGCTTTTTATATATTCCAGTTATTAATCTATTATCTATTGAATATGTTATGTAAGCTTAACTTCAAGACCATGTGAAAGATTTCATTAGCAGTTTTATTTCTAGGCAAACTTGGGTTTGTGAAGCACTATAATGGCTTTCACTTATGAATTGAGGGTGGGTTTGGGGGGCTTTTCAATTTAGTTGTCCTCACCCTTACCCATGAGTATTAAATCAAGTAGTCAGATAATCATGCAGTAGCTCTGGGCAATCAAACCAGATAGAGTTAAAAACCTGTAGGATTATTATGTGGTGCTGAGCCCTGCAGTCTGCCTCAAAAAGCGGGCAAGAGGAATTTGGCCTTTTGTTGTTATGCTGCAGAGTGGCTGGAAAGAAATAAGGTTTTGTTGTAAATAGATTCTTTCTAAACTTTTAACATTTCAGCACAGTCTATTATTCCAAAAATGAGTCTTTAAAAATATATATAAAAGTGATGATATAACCATGGCTTTCTAGAGACCAGCCTTCTGGGACTACACCAAACTAATATATAACTTGGTATGTGTGTATATATATATAAAACTTGATTTACAATTGTTTATAGAACAATAGCAATAAATTAGTACTAAATAGATCTCTCTTCTTCCATGCTGTTGAATATTCTTTGTGATACACTGGGATCAGGTAATTTAAATTAATGAAAGAAAGCAACCATTTGACTTACTGGCAAGAAGGCTAACTTTTCTTGTAGGGACATTGATAGAGGGAAAAGAAGTCTATAAGGTGAAAAAGTAAATTACAAGAGACAGAAGATTGGGCATTAGCAGTAATACAGGCAGTAAGTAGCAGGCACTAAGATTGAAAATAGACAATGACTAAAATAAAGCCACCCTATGGTACCTTCCTGCTGTAGCCATTGAAGGTGTTGTACAACCATCCTGTGTTTTAGGTCTGTGTTAAGGGCATCTAAGTGAATATACTGTACCTTTGAATAAATAGTGTCCTTCTAAGGCAGTCTCATTTAACGGGTGCAGGGGGTTGGGCACCAATAGTAACATATCCTCAAACCTGATGTTGCTAATAAACTTGAATCTTCAAGAAAAGGTTTACATGTTTTCTTTGTACATATAGAATAGTACAATTGATGTTCTTAAAGCTGCAGTAGGCTAAACTGTCTTGAAAATTTAAGTAGTTGAAATGACTAAATTTTGTAAAGGTTCTAAATAAACCTGATTCTGAGCCTCATTTATTATTTAGTTTGCTGTTATGGCTATTATGGCATGTGTTATTTAATTTCATTAATACCAAATAATGGTTTAAATTGTGATTGTCCCGTTACTTCATTGGACTGTTCAAAGTCTTGAATTTTTAAGGGACCCCTTTAAATAAAAGGGCAAAAGTCTTCAAATATATTTTTAACTAGTCAGTTATATCTACCTAGAAATTTCAAGATACTTTATCAATTATCATGGCCTCTATTAAACTTTGTATAGAACTGACTTTATTTCTTATAAATAAAATAGTTAACTAAGGTTGTGCTGCTGAGAATACTGCATCTGCATGTGAATATTAAAATATAGCCAGTTGTCTTATTTTTGAAGTCCTTGAATTTTCAATTTCTAATAATTTTACTAAATTTTTTCATTTTAGTTTAAATTGAAGATGTTTTAAATTTTTACTATTTGATTCTTTTACTTCTGAAAGCTTGTGATTTTCTTTAGCTCTGGGAAGTTTTCTCCTATTATTTTTTCGTAAGCTTTTCCCCTTTATTAGTTTAGTCTTTTCTTACCTAATTGTTATTCAGATATTGAACTTCCTGGGTTGATCCTCTGTCTTTTATGTTTTGTCTTCGCTTTCAAGTTTTATGTCTTTCTCTTATTCTATATTCTGGGAGATATCCTTGACTTTCTCACCCAATCCTTCTATTAAATTTTAACTTTGACAAACAAAAGTTTAAATGTGTCCAAGAACTTGCTTTTTCCTTTTTCCGTGGTTCCATTTCCACAAAATCCTGTGTGTGTGTGCACTCATGTGCACATTTGTGTGTAAAATGTTGTGTTCCCTGAATCAGGGATGGGAAAGAGTTTGATAAAACGATTCCGTAGATTTTCAGTTGCTCCTTGTGCTCATCCCTGTACTTTCTGGCTTAGAAATAGTCACTTCTCTGTTATTCTGCAAGGTAGATAAATTCTCTGCTGTTTTAGCTTCTGAGAATCACAAGTTGTGGCTTTACTGTGGTGTTAACGGTGTTATTCTTCAGTAGCTGTTCGTTCTTTTTTTTTTTTTTTGACAGTTCAGAGCAAAGGGAATGTGCCTTCTTTTTTTGCATCTTTTAAGAATTCATTGTGATTTTTTAGATGCTGATTTCACGTATTCCACCCTCGTCTTATTTTCTTTACCCTTTTGAGTTATTTTATTGGGATTCCAGTGCAGGATTTTAAGCAAGGGAGTAAAGTGATTAAAATTATTATAATTTTTTAATGAAGCATTTCAGACATACCCAGAAATAGTATTATAATGAATTTCCATTACTACTTATCATCCAGTTTCAAGAAATTATCAATACATGACTAGTATTTATTCATCTAGATCCCTACCCCATCTTTTCCCAGCCCTGCTATCCTGCTGGACTAAGATGTGTGTGTATGTGCACATGGTACTCATCATGTATATCAAATAAAGTGTCTTTTAGAAAGACAGTTACAATACCATTGTCACACCTAAAAGTTTAACCCTTAGTGTCAAATGTGTTCACATTTTCTCAATTGTTTTATAAATATCTTTTTACAGTTTGTTTTGAATCAGTATTTGAAGAAAGTTCACCATTGCAATTGGTTGATATACCTCTTAAGGCTCTATTCATCTATAGGATTTATCTCACTTTTTTCTCCTCTTGCCATTTATTTAGTGAAGAAAAAAACATCTGTTAAATATTCTTCCTGCACACTAGATTTTTTTATTGTGTTGTGTGGTGCTTTTATATTTCTGCTTTTTAATGTTTATCTCCTGTATTTCCTCAAAATTGAAAATTTTTCTAATGGCTTGATCAGAATCAAGTCTAATTTATTAGAGTGGGGTTGGTACATATTTTCATGTGTGGTATTTTGGATTTCTGTCAGAAGGCATACACTGTCTGATTGTCTTTCTTTGTGATCCTAATATTGAGCAGTGGGTTTAGGTGTTATCAGCCTGATCTGTCCTTTATACAGTTCCCCCTCAGCCTTTCATTTAGTGTTTTTGGCAGCTGTTGATCCAAATTATTTTTTAGAGGATTATATTGTCTACTTTGTGGTTTGGAAAGAAGTCAAAAATAGAAGCAAGGAGACCAGTTAAGAGGCTCTGGTAGTAGTATAGGCAGAGACAATACTGGTCTGGCCTTAGATTAGGAGTGGCAGCAGAGGTAAAGAGAAACAGTGGATTTAAGCACAAGAACTGTTGGTAGACGATCTCTGTGGGTCAAAGGAAAACTTGAGCACATTATGAGCCTGAGCAGCTGAGTAGATGGTGACGTTATTTACTGGGATTGGGGAGGACTTAGGGAGATCAGTTTTGGATGATGTTGGTTTTATGTGTCTATATGAAATTAGAGTGGCTTGGAGATACCCATGGGGGAGATACCTAGTAGGCAATTGGATATATAGGTCTGGAACTCAGAGATGGTCTAGGCTAGAGACAAACATTTGAGAGTTGTCAGCATATAGAAGGTATTTAAAACCGTTGAGAATGAATGAGGTCATTTAGAGAGTGTATAGTCTGGAGAGAAGGAGAATATTCAACATTTAATTGTTGGGTAGAGAAAGAACAGCCAACAGAAGAGACTTAGCTAGAGGGACCTGTGAGATTAGAGAAAAGCCAAGGAGAGCTTCCCGTTGTAAAAGCACAGTGTGGGAAGTGTAGACAGCTAAAATTTGAGTTTTCCAAGGTATCTGTGGTATAATAGTTTATAGGGATTAATGTTTCCTAATCTCAGTTTGTAATTTAGCTGTTAGATATAACCATAGTCACTGCTGGATATGCAGAAGTGTAAAACAGCTCAGAAATCCCAAGTCTTGTTGTTCATTGTTTTAATTAGAACAAGGAAGGATACAGCTTCAAGGGAAGAGAGGAACTTTGGTATAAGAAACTACTTAATGTGAATCAGAGCATATTTTGTGCATGAAAATTTATAGTGTTGGGGGTTCTTCTTACTGAACTGTTTGTTTCACTGAAGAAAATCCACATAAGATGTATTTTTTTCTATGAGATGTGGTATAAATTTTGGCTTGCTCTTTTATTTGCCATGTAAAATGGTGCAGTTTATATGAATTTGAGAAGCAGAAGTTTCGGGTTTTGGAATACATGTACCCATAAAAGTGAAGTGGAGGCCAGGTGTGGTGGCTCATGCCTGTAATCCCTGCACTTTGGGAGGCCAAGAAGGGCAGATCACCTGAGGTCAGGAGTTTGAGACTATCCTGGCCAACATGGTGAAACCCCATCTCTACCAAAAAGACAAAATTAGCTGGCCGTGGTGGTGCATGCCTGTAATCCCAGCTACTTAGGAGGCTGAAGCAGTGGAATCGCTTGAACTCGGGAGGCAGAGGTTGCAGTGAGCCAAGATCACACCATTGCACTCCAGCCTGGGTGTCAACAGCAAAACACTGTCTCAAAAAAAAAAAAAAAAAAAGTGAGGTGGAAAGTTTAAAAAGCCATTTCAATACATGTCTTTCCCGAAGTGAGAAAAAGAAAAAAAAAGGACAAGGTGTGATTAATATAAATTCACAGACCCTTATCTGAAACCTTGGGGACCACTTGTGTTTTGGAATTCAGAATGTATTAGATTTTAGAAAATTAATAAGGTCATACCCCATGTATTATGTAACAGTTTCTGCTGGGCTTGGGGCAGCACCCTATAATCAAGCACATTAATGTTTTCTGGGTTTTTTTTTTTTTTTTTTTTTTGAGACAGGATCTCGCTCTGTTGCCCAGGCTGAAGTGCAGTGGCACGATCTTGGCTCACTGCAGCCTCCACTTCCTGGGTTCAAGGGAGTCTCCTGCCTCAGCCTCTCAAG
Organism: Homo sapiens; assembly: GCF_000001405.40. Classification (NCBI taxonomy): domain Eukaryota; kingdom Metazoa; phylum Chordata; class Mammalia; order Primates; family Hominidae; genus Homo; species Homo sapiens. The sequence continues at coordinate 33,651,272 of NC_000003.12, read as the reverse complement.
TAGCTGGGATTACAGGCATGCGCCACCATGCCTGGCTAATTTTTGTGTTTTTTGTAGAGATGAGGTTTCACCATGTTGGCCAGGCTGGTCTCAAACTGCTGGCCTCAAATGATCCACCTGCCTTGGCCTCCCAAAGTGCTGGGATTACAGATGTGAACCACTACGCCCAGCCATGTTTTTGCCATAAATGTATGTGAATTCATACTGAGTAGAATACACATAAATAGCCTCATATCAGTTCACATCATGTTTTGTTATAAACTGAGTTCAGATGAGTTTAATGCCACCAAATGAGTTTAAAAGACAAAACAAAAGTTGGGTTTTTAGAGCTTTTTGACTTTCAGGCATGCAGATAAGTCATTGTGGGCCTATAGTGTCTCAGTGCTTGCTAGGGACAGTTTCCAAGTGTTACTTGAAGGCAACAAAAAGTAAAACCTTATCTTACTTGGTCTTCTTTTTCCTTCTCTTCTCTTTCTGCCTGTTTGTCCCCTTCTCCCTTCTTGTACTCCTTTCTTCCTCCAGTCTCTCCCTCCTCTTTTTCCTTTTATCGCTTCCTCCATCCACCTCCTCTTCCCCTCCATCTCTTCCATTGTTCTCCATTTCCTCTTCCTGTATTTCATCTCTTCTCCCTCTCCTGCCTCCTCCATTTCCATCTATTCCTACTTCATTTCCATCTCTTCCTTCTCTATTTCCATCTCTTCCTTTTCTCCATTTTCTTTCCTTCTTTCCCATCTCCATTATATAGAAAACCACTGCAGCCTGCTCACTTTAATAATTTCTATCCTTCAATATATTTTAATATGCTTATCTTGTTCAGTTTCTGCACCCAATCATACCAGTCTCTTTTCGAAACTTTGGAGCAAGAACAAAAGTGCCAATGTCAACACAGTTGTAATTTGTAATTTGCTTTTTGTGTTTAATTCTTCTTTTGTTTATTCAGTAAATATTTTAGCACCTACTGTATGTATCCTAAATGGTATCTTCTGATTTGTCTTTCAATTCACTAATGATCCCTTGAGTTGTGTCTAAGCTACTGTTATGCATGCCCACTGAATTTAAATTTCAGTTACTATATTTTTATTTGTAGAAATTGCATTTGGTTATTTTAAAAATCTATGTCACTTTTTATAATTTTTCAATTCCCAAAGTCAAGTTTGCTCAGTTATTGTATAGTCCGTGTCTGATAACTCTAGGATTTTAAGTGGGTCTTTTCCTATTGTCTGTTTCTTTTTATACTGTTCTTGGCTCATGGTTTCTTGTTTCCTGTTGTACCTGGTGCCTTTTGGGAAATTATTTGTGGGAATAATTTGAGGCCAGACACCTTCTTCCAGGGAAATTTTGCATTTTGTTTGGCTGTTGGTTGGGAGTACTACCAGTCTGAGCCCACAGAGTTTAAGGTCTTGAGTGTCTGGACCACCCAAGCAGTTGACCTTAATGAAGCACTCTATTTGATTCACTTCTCTGTTATTCTCTTTCAAGAAGAGCTTGAAAGGAATTGACTATAGGAAAATAAGATCTTACTTATGATTTACTTTAACCTCGAGGGTATAGTTGTTTGGTATACCAGCTTTTGGTGGGAAGAGTCCTCTGTTAGACTGCATCTAATGTGGGTTTTGAATTCTGTTCCCTTTGCCCCACAAGGCCTTCAGAATAGAAGTTCCACTGTACTGGTTTTATCCTTGTATTTTTTACTATATTATAAAATATTTATTGCTTTTATTACGTATAAAAATTTGTACATTATTTAGTGTGTATCATTGTTTGTGTTTGTAGTATTACTTTAAATAACTTAGTAATGCTTTCACTGGAGACTGAAAGTCTCCATACTGTGAAATGTGTGCCGTTCTAGATATTGTTCCACATGTTGAAGATATAACAGGGGCAAAGTTGACAAAAGTTTTTAATCCCACAGCTCATATATTTCAGTAGCAGGACACAGATAAGCAAAATAAGTAAAATATATAGATGATAAGTGCTAGGAAAAAATAACACAGGCAGGGATACATCAGAGTACCAGGGTGTTGGGAAGTTTGTGATTTTAGTATCCAGAGAAAACTTCTTTGAGAAGGCAGCAGATGAATAAAGACATGAAGATGGTGAGTGAACAGTATGGATGTGGATGAAAAAAGCATTCTAGGCAGAAGAAGCAAGGCAAAGGCCCTGCCATTGAATCATAGAAGGGAGGCTAGGCTGGTGGGGGGATTAGAGAGAAAGAAGTAGGAGATAAGGTTGGAGAGACCTGTGTGACCGTTAAGATCTTAGAGTTCTGGTAGACCTTTTTATGTAGTCATAGGAGGATTTTGAACAGTGATGTGATATGACTTTGTTCAACCCAGGATGCCATGTTGAGAATAAACTTTAGGGGATGAGGTAAGCAGCAGGAAGAGTTAGTTGGCTGTGACAGTTATTCCTAGACTGTTCTAGGTAATGGGGTTGCAGCATGAACAAGACAGTTTCTTCTCCTTAAGAAGCTTCCAATCCACATATAAAAATCAGTGTCTATTATTTCAGTAAGTGATAGCTGCTAGGAAGAAAATAATTGAGGCTTGTTTTGATATTTCATAGTTATTTAGAAAAAAATTCAAGCCCAGAATATTTATAACCTTTTACAAATGTTTAACAAAAATTTTAAATTTTAGGGCTAGTGATAATGAATTAGTTTTATGAATTCTTTTAGCTGATAGTAATAAAAACCATAACCTTATTGGAAGTGGGTAAAATTTTATTTCTTCCTATGTTTCTAGATTTATTTATTTTTCCTTTTTAGTTTTTCAGTTTTTGTTTTATATATATGAAGCTGTGTTACTGGGTACATAAATATTCAGGGTTCTGATTTTTTTCCCGTGGAATAACCGCTTTCTCATTATTAAACATCTCTCTTTATCTCCAGTAATGCTTTTTCAAGCTGCTTTGTTTGAAATTAGTGTAGCTACACCAGCTTTCTTTTGATTTGTGTTTTCCTTTAGTCTGTCTTTCCCTAACCTTTTTGTGACCTTATAGGTAAAAATATATCTCATTTAAGCAACCTATTTTTAAAAATTCAGCCTGGGTCTTTCACTTTTACTAGTTCATTTATATTTAAGAGAATTACTGATATCCTTGGTTTTATATTTACTATTTTATTTTCTATCGTATCCACTTGTTTTATTTTTCTTTTTGTATCTCTTCTTTTCAGTTAATCAGATATTTTAAATTTATTTTCATTTTCTTCTATGTGTATACTTACTCTTTTTTTTTTTGCAGACGGAATCTCGCTCTGTTGCCCAGGCTGGAATGCAGTGGTGCGATCTCAGCTCACTGCAACCTCCACCTCCCAGGTTCACGCCATTCTCCTGCCTCAGCCTCCTGAGTAGCTGGGGCTACAGGCGCCCACCACCACGCCTGGCTAATTTTTTGTATTTTTAGTAGAGATGGGTTTCACCGTGTTAGCCAGGATGGTCTCAATCTCCTGACCTCGTCACCCACCTGCCTCGGCCTCCCAAAGTGCTGGGATTACAGGCGTGAGCCACCGCGCCCGGCCTACTTACTCTTCTTTTAGTAGTTAGCCTAGAGCAGAGATTGGCAAACTGTTGCTTGCGGATCAAAACCATCTGCCCTCCTGTTTTTGTATATAAAATTTTATTGAAGCACAACTGCACTCGTTTGTTTACATATTGTGTGTATATAACTGCTTTGGAGCTATAATGTCATAATTGAGTAGTTGCATGGAAAGGCCGTATGTGTATGGTTTACAAAGCCTAAAATATTTGCTGTGTGGTCCTTTATAGAAAAAGAATGCCATCCCCTCCCCTAGGGGAGTGATTCTTAAACTCAATCATGCATCAGAATGACTGGGAGGGCTTGTATGTTAATACATAGATTACTCTAGAGTTTCTGATTCAGTAGGTTTGGGTTGGGGCCCAGGAATTTGCATTTTTAACAAATTGCCCGGTGATGCTCAGCTGCTGGTATAGGGGCCACATTTTGAGGACTGGTGCCATAGATATTACTATGCATCTTTGACTTATAATCTAAAATAAATTATTAATCTAAAATCTAATTATATATAGTTATAATCTAAAATAATCTAAAATAAATTATTGTGTTTACTACTTCCTCAGTAAGGCTCAAATCTTTAGAAACCTTTGACTTTGTTTGCTTACCTTTTAGTAGTACCATTTTATAATAACCTCATACTGGAACAGCCCATGTCTTGTCGGTAGTAGAATGGATATTAATAAATTGTGGTACTTTCACACAGTAGAAAACTATCAGCAATGAAAATGAATCTTCCAAACATTATCCTTCCAACATTGAGTAAAAAGAAGCTAGATACCAGAATACATATTGTATGATTCATTTTATATAATGTTCAAAAATGAACAAAACCAAGTGTTAGAATTCGAGACTAGTTAGCTTTGGTAGTAAATGTAGACTTTTAGGAGTCTCGAGGGTACTTACACGATGCTGGTAATCTGTGGATCTGGATACTGGTTATACTGGCATGATCATTTTGTGAAAATTAATTAGCTGTGTACTTATGATTTGTATACTTTGCTGTATTTTGATAAAAACTTTAAAAATTAATTTCCCAGTAGTTTGAGAAAAGAGTTAATTTTTTTTTTAATGGTAGGGACATATTTACTCTTTTCAATTCTTGTGTGTGTGTAGGAACAGAATACTGTTTCCATGGGAACTTCTGGCTGCTCTGTGTTTTAGTGCTTAACTTTCTGTAGATTTGTATGTCTACTCTTTCTTAGCTGCATTTTTTTTAACATAACAGTAGCAAAGAAGTTTATTTGGAATTGTATTAGTGTTTTTAACAAAGCCGTCTATGTACTGCATAGGTTTTAAGCTTATTAATTTATCCAAACTGACTCCCTAATAGTGTTATGCTAAAAAAATAATTTTTTAAGAGTAGAAGATAATTTTTTCCTGCAAGTTGTATTACTTAAAAACACTTTCTGAAATAGAATGTGACTTTAGAGTGTCTATTTGATTCTTTTTTCTTTTAATAAATAAGTCTTAAAACTTTCTTGGCATATTTTAAGATATATTTAATAGTTAAATAGTTATATATTAAAAATAGTTATTTTTCTTTAAAATATTTAATAATATCTCTTTATAGGAATTATTTAATTCTAGGTGATTGGGTGTTTGTTTAAGTAAAGAAAGTTCATTGAAAGGAAAAGATTCTGGCATATTCATCTGAAGCGTGTGGTAAAGCTGCTTCTCTGCCTCGCCCATGTTGTTTGTCATGGTTGATTTGTGCAGGGTCCTAGAGAAAACCATCTCTTCTCAGGAGAGTAAAATACATTGTGTGTGTGTGTGTGTGTGTGTGTGTGTGTGTGTGTGTGTGTGTGTATGCTGGGAGATGTTTCATTTGCATATAAGTAGATGATACTAGTGTGGTCATTCATATTCCGAAAGGAGCCTTGTAGAATCATTTATGAAAACAAATTGTTTTGTTTGGTTTCTATGGCTTAAATAAAGAGCAGATTTTAAGATTACAGAGTTAATTATGCACAGTAATGAGCACTGTGGCAGTCTATGCTTTACTGATGCAATAAGCATCCCAGCAGAATGAATATTGCATAAAACCTTATTTTCTATTTATATAAATTTTCATGTCAAATAAGAAAAACAGATTTCTAAGCCTTTAGTTTTGAATGCCTTTGAAATTTTGATATAGAATAAGGATTATAGCTAATAGAGAATTTTTTAGATGCATGGAGAATTTTTACCTTTCATCTGGCAGTAGCTGCCATAAGATGATGTCACCTTGTAGCTGATTGGCTGTTACAGCACCTAGGGCAGGGAAGAGAAAGAAAAATGCCGGCACAAACCTCAGTGGTGGTTCTGTGGTTGTTTCTGTCTTTTTTTGATAGAATCTTTGATTAGTATCGAATTTACTGTATTTGGCCATGTGAACTATTGGGAGCCTCCTAGGGTGAGGGAAATTAAGAGCTTTCAGAGGAATGAGGCGACTGATTTGCAAACGGATCTGTGATTGTAAGTTGCAGAATCTGGGTATAAGGAATAAGGCAGGGCGTGCTAGAAGATACACTATGGGAGGAGCTGGCAGAAAATGCAGAGTAGCAAAAACATGAAAAATACTTTTACTACCTTTAGAGTTAAAATGTTTTATGTTTTGACTTAATATGTATAAGTAAGAAGTATGAAAATACTGCATTTTGATTTTGAATTACAGAGGATTATTTTATATGGTGTTAGCCAATATATAAATGCTTATTCAAAGGACCTTTATTTCGTATTATATATCTTACCAAAGTAATGATTTTATATATGGCTTTATTTTATTTTTGAGCTTTAGGGAAAATGGAACAAAGCTTAGTTCTCTTAAATACATTTTTCTGATGCTTTGTGCAGATAAAAGCTTCGATGATGAAGAATCAGTGGATGGAAATAGGCCATCATCAGCTGCATCAGCCTTCAAGGTTCCTGCACCTAAAACATCCGGAAATCCTGCCAACAGTGCAAGGAAGCCTGGTTCAGCAGGTGGCCCTAAGGTTGGAGGTAATGTAAATCCATTTCAAATCTGTTATGCATGCTCCATGCCCTTGATATGGCCACACATACTTGGAACTTCAGAGGAATATGTTTATTCATGACTGCAGCACGATTGCAGATCTGGAGTCTGTTGCAACATTCAGAAGAATACGATGCCCTTTTGAAATGTATAAAATATTGTATACTGCTATTTCCTCTAAGAATGTATGTGAATTAGTCTCTTCTTGAGGGTATTTATTTTTCAGATGCCATTTTGAAAAAGATTTATGGAAGTTTTTTGGGGTTTTTTTGTTTTTTTTAAGCAGAGAACAGGTTTTTCAGAATTTGGCTACTAATTTTCAAGTGCAATAGCTGTTACAGAAATGTTGAATTATGTAATGTTTTTACACATTCCTCTAGGTAGTAAGTCTTAAATACTCCAGCATTTAAAAAATGGTTGAAGATACTGGGTACTGAATCATTTGTCACAATAGGAGATGGGTGGTGGTCAAGTAAAATTGCCTCAAAAATGGTTCCTGGATTAAATCATAATAGGAAAATAAGAAAAATCAGGTTTCATGCAATTTTATAATTCATAGCATATTCATTGATCATATTAGAACTGTTTCTAGCATATTGTTTATCTTTAAATTTTTTAATGGGTATTCTTTCATGTGTTAATTAGAAAGCCGTGAGTATATTTCCGGTGTTAGTTTCTGCTACATCTTTCTGATAGAATGAATCTGTGAAAATAAGGGTATTTAATTCTAAAAAGACAGTAATCTCTTTCTCTTTTCCTTTCTTTCCTTTTTAAAAATAAATGTATGTCTTAGTTGTGATATTTTGGGAAAACATATCTTTCCTTGTTTACAGTAACTGGTGAGAAAATCATGGTCTTGAGGATTTTTGTTTTTTCTTTTTGTCTATAGTTCTTTTTATTAAAAACCAAAAAGGAAAGAAAAATAAACTGTATATTTTGACCAGGTTCCATAAGGAGTTGTGTTCCCTTGATCTTTCTATACAACCCCCAGTTTTTTCCCATCATGTGAGATTCTAAATATAGAAAAACTATCATAAGTATTTCATTTAAACGATCTTCTGTGTCATATAACTAGCAATAAAGATGGTGTGATATATATACATACACATATGGGTGTATAAATATATATATAGATGCACATATAACTAAATAGCTGAAATTAAAATGTCTTGCTGATTTCTCTGGATGTTTCAAGTAATCTATACTTTAGATTTTTAATTATTTTCTTTTTGTCTTGTAATTTTATGGTTGTATTCTCATCCAAATGTTAGTTATGATATCCCATTAGAAGATAGTTTTTATGTTGCATTCCTATTTACCGCTAGTAAAAAGTATATGACATTTTTTGGTTTCTTCCTTTTATAACAAATAGCTCTCTTCAGTTATTACAAGGGGAATCTTTTTCTTAATTTTGAATTACAGAATTCTAATCTATGATATTATAATTTTATGAAGCTGTCTTTTTAGCTTAAAATGGATGAATATTTGAGATTTGTGGTGATAATATATAACATTTTATGAATTGAACCAGTGGCTTATAATTTTTTTTCGTGGTTTGGTATCTTTTTAGAAGAAAATTGAAATTTACCTATCATTCTGATATTAATCATATTGATATAATCAGATACTCCTTTGTAAAAAGGATAAACTTTCTTAAGCTCCTCCACCCCCATTCTTGTAGTTTCTATTCCTACCAGTTAAATGAAAAGGTTAAGTAGCTTTCATGAGTATAGTAATTAATCACTTAAAGATTTTATCAGCCATCTAAGCAACAGCCTTTCTGCCAAAAATAAGGTAGAAGCCTTCATTCCTTTCTCCTTTTTCTCTTCCTCTTCCTCCTCCTTTTTCTTCTTCTTCTTCGTTTTGGCAATTGCAGGTATATTCTTGTTTCTTTTTTTTATCAGAGCTCATTTAGGTTTATTGCCCATTTTTCTATCTAAGAAAAGAGCTACTGGCCAGAGGATATTGATATTACTTCTAAAATGAATGCCATTCTTGACTGTCAGTCCTTTGAAAATTTAACTTTAGTTTTTTTGGTCTTGGCAAAGACTTGTTGATTTTTAAATTGGTTGTAGAAAGTTTTCTTAGAGTTGTAGAATTTTTGAGTTGGAAAAGACCTTGGGAGTCACATAGTTTCTTTAATAAAATTCCTGATAGATGATTATTCAACTTGATTAAAGTAGTACTATCTGCTCTGAATTAAAATTTAGAACAAAAATCACCTGCCGTGCCACTACACATGGACATAATCAACTGCTAAATTATGATTTGTTTTCTTCCAGTTACTTTTCCAATTATTTTTACATATACAAATATTTTCTTGGTAGAAGAACAAAAGTGGCACTATTCATTGTGTAGTTTTTTTGTAACTTATATTTTACCCTAAGCATTTTCTCGTTGTCTTAAATTATTAATTGAAAATTATTCATGGCTAAATAATGCCTAGGTTGCCATGAGCCTTTTCTCCTTCTATAAACCGTGTCAGCATTCTTTTATATATATCTTTCAGCACATCTGCAATGATTTCTTTGGAATAAATTTCTAAAGTTCGCTGGATCGAAAGATTCAGGGATTTTTAGTGTTCTTTCAGTTTGGCAAAGTATTTTCCAGAAACAAGCCCATTTCAGTTCTGAATAAACAAATTCTTTTTTATGTTGCATTAAAATCTACCTCCTTGTAGCATATGCAGGGAAAATGAATTATTTGTCAACATGCTTTCAGATACTTGAAGATTGTTCTATTTCTCTTTATGACTATTCTGTTTTCTGGACTATACATTATCTTTCCCATGATTTTACATTGAATGGTGGTGATTCAGTCTCAATGTATTATTTGCTACTCCGAGGTATATAATAAATAGATAGATGTGATTAGCTTCTAATTAAAGGGATATAGTAGGTGGAAATGTATAATAGTGGCGTAAGCCAGACACAGCCACTGGGTTTGACAAATCTCTTTTCAAGTAAGATTACCAAAATAAAAAAAAAAAAATACAGTGAGCTTCTTTGGAATCGTGACTTAATCTGCTTTTGTAGTTTGGGAATGTATTTTACTTCTTCTAGAGATATATATCCAGATTAGGGCTGTATGCAATTTTTAGCAAAGTATCCTATCCAGTTAATTAAAGCTCATAAGTCTTGTGTTTAATCTTTAGTGTATGTTAATTTGCTTTGTTCTTTGGCCTTCGTATGCCACCCTTTTCTTCTCATATTGTATTAATAAATGTGTAGCCTTTAAGCCAAGGAGACTTGAAAAAAAGGCTATGGCTAGGTTCATACAGTATATGTATCATTGCTATAAAAATCCATATTATGTAAGTGTCGAAAGTGTTACCTTTGTGCCTTACTAATTAGAATAAGGATAAAGTAAATTCTCAAATAGTCTATTTTCTGAATAACACTTGTAACTTCATAATAGAAATTTAGATAAACACATTTTTCTTTCTTTTGGCTCAATGGTTACTAGAATTGCTGAAAGTACCTGATTATTTAAAATATTTATATCTTTACAGTATTTTAGGTAACAATTTTTAATACAATTCTTTAATGTTCTTATATATATTCTTTCATTTAAATTTCAAAATGAAAGATTCTGAGATTTAAATGAAAGAATGTATATATAAGAACATCTCTGAGCAAACTGATTTTACTGATGAGCAAACTGCAATTTGGAGAAGTAACCTGCCAGGGTCATTTATCTAATAAGAGGGCAAAGCACAAAAATCACTTTGCTATACTGCCATCATACTAATTTCTATTGGTAAATAAGGTTTCTTTTAGATTCTATAGCACTGAGATTGTAATCTACAGAAATGATCACTAATTTTCGGCATCCATAAATCAGTCGTTTTAAAGCTCAACTAGTATGATTCCCAGCAAAATAGAGCATTTGGAATAAGCAGACCTTTAATTTTTACATTGTAAATAAAAATGCTTTTCAGTATTTTCTTGTTGAAATTGCCTTCTTCAAGTTTATTTTCTGGGTTATAATATCCCTATTCCTGTATCAATCATTTTGGCTGCTACTCTTTTTAAAAAAATAAGGGTTGAATTAGATGATGATATAATTATCATTTTTAAAATAACTAGTACCAGATTTTGAGGTTAGTGATTTGTCATTGAAGCTTGTATGTAATCATTGAGACACATCATTGACCAAATCTTCAATTCTTAAAGTTCTCTTTTACTCACTCACTCACTCACTCACTCATTCATTCAAGTGGACAGTGTATTTTCTCTGTATTGTTTCTATCTAATGTCAAAGACTACTTTGAAATGGTTTTAACTTTCAGTTCTTATAATTAGGTAATTGCTGCCATTTTACATTTAGTAGTACTTACTAATCTTTATGATATTTTCTATTTGTTTTACTTCACTTTATGTCTAACCTGAGATTTAAAGAATGTCCAAATATCTATTTTCTACAAATGATGCTAGTTATTCCCATTTTTCCCATCATGCAGACAACAAAATTGTTTTTCTTTTGACCAAATAAAGATCACAAGAATCAGTATATGTAATAAAATAAATCTTAAGAATTTTGTTTTTTAATTCTGGAATCCAAAATTTTGACTAGTAGACCTTATTATTTTGTTTTTCAGCTTTCTGTGAAACCAAGTAACACTTCTGTGTTTTGGTTTTGGTTTCTTCCTCTCTTCTTCCCTTACTGAAGAAGATACTAAAACTCAGAAGATTTTCACCTTAAAGGGGCGTTAAAGATTATCTGACCCAGATTCAGGAAAAGAGATTGAGCCTCAGAGCATTGAATGATGTGCCCAAGATCACATGGTTATTAGTAACCATCTAATGAGATGAGATGAGACGAGAACTCAGTGCTTGACCCACTGTCAGGGGCTTCCTCTTGGATCATCTCCGGGTAATCTCCTAAGTAATACTGCATATCATACATATTTATTATTTTTAATCCCATATAGCAGATCACTTTTATTGAAATCTGGAATTTAGGGATTGACCAGTCGCCAGTCTGTCTGAAATTACTGTGAATCCCAGATCATTGACTATCCATCCCTGATGCTTTCTCTCCTAACGTTGATTATACAGTACGTATGATTTGAGTAAATAACATATAAATTATTTTAACTATAAAATAGTAAGTTGCATTATTTCTTACTATGTATAAGAATATGTGTTTTACTGTAATTATATTATTTGACCCCAATTTTGTTTTACTTCCTGTGCAAAAATTAAAGTGACAAAAACATTTTATTATACAAGGTTTATTTTTTGAGGAATTCAGAATGTTTAAGAAAAGAGAAATTAAGCCAACTAAAGACCTAGCCTTTCTATGGATGTTACTGTTTCTATTTACATTTGTATATAGAGCTTACTATGTGCAAGGCTCCACGTTAATCAACAAAGAGGACCATATTGGGACATGGTGGCTCACACCTGTAATACCAGCACTTGGGGAGATGGAGGTGGGTGGGTTGCTTGAGCCCAGGAGTTCGAAACCAGCCTGTGCACCATGGCAAAACCCTGTCTGTACACAAAATACAAAAATTATCTGGGTGTGATGGCCCATTCCTGTATTCCCAGCTACTAAGGAGGCTGAGGTGGGAGGATCACTTGAACCCAGGAGGTTGAGGCTGTAGTGCACCGTGATCACACCACTGCGCTCCAGCCCATGTGACAGCGAGACCTTGTCTCCAAAAAAAAGGACCATATGGAATGTTTAATTCATGGTTTTAAACTTACAAAAAGATATAGTACCTGCCCATTATTCTGCCAACTAGTGTTAATTATTGTTAGCATTTTGGTCCTCCCATACTTTATTTGCCTATACTTTTTGACTGAAATTTGGGTGTTAGAAAATTGTGAAGTCTCTTATAGGAATACAAATGAAAGTTTACCTCAGAAAAGAGTGAAATGTTATTATTATAGATCTCACATATGAAGAATTTTCCATTAGTTAGAATCATTATAGTTGATCCATATGAAGTAGAAGTTACAATAACTGCATGCTTGGCTTACATTTATCACATACATTCTAATATAGTTGACTTGGTAAGAAGCATTGTTTCTATAAAGGACATGTGAATATAAACAATTTTTTTCATCAACTGATCATTTCTGTCTTTAAAAACCAGTTTATGTGTTTCTTACTAATGAAAAGAATTGAGGCCGGGTGTGGTGGCTCATGCCTGTAATCCCAGCACTTTGGGAGGCCTAGGCGGGCGGCTAACAAGGTCAGGAGACCGAGACCATCCTGGCTAACACGGTGAAACCCTGTCTCTACTGAAAATACAAAAAAAATTATCTGGGCATGGTGGCGAGTGCCTGTAGTCCCAGCTATTCGGGAGGCTGAGGCAGGAGAATGGCATGAACCCGGGAGGTGGAGCTTGCAGTGAGCCGAGATTGCGCCACTGCACTACAGCCTGGGCGACGGAGCGAGACTCCATCTCAAAAAATAAATAAATAAAAATAAAAAAATAAAAAGAATGAAAATCATTCTCATTGTTAAATCAAACAACGGAGAGTTTTAAAAAACTTTAATAACATCTTGCCTCTCTCATCACCCTGAGGTGTAACTAATGTTAAGTTTGATATGTACCCTTCCACGTATTACTCCGTGTTTATTTATGTAGGCACTCATATTAGGTTTTATTTTTCCCATATTAAACATACTGATAAAAACTTCACAAGTTGCTTTTTTTCACAGAACATCTTTCAGCATCAAGAATGACAGCTATTGCATCCTTTTAATTAGTGATACAGTATTCCACATTATTGATGTACCATGATTTAATAAACTTTCCCTATCGATGTCATTCAGGTTGTTTGCATGTTTAAGTCATTACAGAAAATGCAGATCTTTATGTACTTACATGTTTTGAAATTCTGCTGCTTCTATTTTATAAAATAGATTCCTCTAAGTGGAATTGTTTAGTCAAAGGTTTTATGTGTTTTTAATTTTAATAAAGACAACATTTTACCTTCTGCAGCACTGAATATACCAGCCTCATTAGTTATTGCCATTGTGATGGGTAAAAAACGATGATTCGTTAATTTGCATTTTTTTCCTCCACCTATCTGTCTGGCCAACAGCTTGCAAATATTTACTGAAGGCTTTTAGTGTGCTGCTAGTTTTGAAGTCTCTGGGAAATGTAAATGAACACGAAGACCTTGGCCTCCTGGAGTTTATATTCTAGTGAAGTTCAGATTTTTTCTTTTTCTTTTTTCTTTTTTTGTTTGATACGGAGTCTTGCTCTCTTGCTAAGGCTAGAGTGCAGAGGCATGATCTCGGCTCACTGCAACCTGCACCTCCCAGGTTCAAGCGATTCTCCTGCCTCGGCCTTTCAAGTAGCTGGGACTACAGTTGCCTGCCACCACCATGCCCAGCTAATTTTTGTATTTTTAGTAAAGATGGGGTTTCAGCATGTTGCCTGGCTAGTCAGGATTTCCTGACCTCCAGTGATCCGCCTGCCTTGGCCTTCCAAAGTGCTGGGATTACAGACGTGAGCCACCACACCTGAGAATTCTATAATGTTATCTGTAAAACAGTTTCCTCATCAGTTTTTATCTCTGTGACTTTGACTTTTTGGAGTCTAGGCCAGTTGTTTTTTAAGATTGTCTTGTGTTCTGTATTTGTCTCATTTCTTTGTGATGTTATTTATTTCTGTAGCTCTTTTATTTTCTGTAAGTTTATTAACCTATATATTCACTTCCTTTTAGTCAGCTTACCTACGTATTTAAGTTTTCTCAGTTGTCCTAAGAATATTTTTTATAGCTTTTAAAATTCAAACCAGGATATACTTATTCTCTCTTGGATAGTTGGTAATTTACTGTTTATTTCTCAGGTGATTTTGTCTTTAAACAAAATTTTTGGCCAGGCATAGTGGCTCACACCTGTAATCCCAGCACTTTGGGAGGCCAAGGTGGGTGGATCACTTGAGGTCAGGAGTTCAATACCAGCCTGGCCAATATGGTAAAACCCTGTCTCCACTAAAAATACAAAAATTAGCTGGGAGTGGTGGCACGTGCCTATAGTTCCAGCTGCTATGGAGGTTGAGGCAGGAGAATCGCTTGAACCCAGGAGGTGGAGGTTGCAGTGAGCTGAGATCACACCACTGCACTCCAGCCTGGCAAGAGAGCGAAACTCTGTCGCAATAAATAAACAAACAAAAATTTTTTTCCTGACTTTAGCCAGCTGTCTTTTCATATCTTCTATATATATTCAGAATTTTTTATATTCTCATTCATCTTTCTTTTATACCTGTAATTGCTGTTTAGTTAATATTGAATTTATGTTGGAGAATTGTGTTATAGTTTTTTCCTTCTTGGTAGGTGTTTTTTTTAATTTTAGGGAGTTACTTTTATCAGCAGAAAATATTTCTGTTCCTTTGTTTTCTTATTGGAGCACAGTATAGATGTCAGATTATTTTGTTTATGATGATATATTGGATTTTCATAGACCTCAAGTAACAAGTAGATTCCGTGGGGCCAGGAAAAAAAGGTTTGCTTAGTTTTTAAGTTTAAGAGGGCCCTCTTCTGTTGGTATAGTGAAATGCACCTTCTTTACTACGTGATTTGTTGGGGGCTTTCTACTTCTGATTCTGTGATTACCATCTTATTTGAACAGAGCCCTTATTTTTTGTTTCTTCCTTTTCTTTATCCACCAGGATTCAAAAGGATACCTCCCACTTCTAATTGCTATTTACTTCTTGTCCTAGAGAGAACCTTAGTTGGTGTCTACGTTATACAACTAACTACCAGGATTCTTTTCTACACAGTTTCCTCTGATTTTTTTCAGTAAGGGCTCTGTAGTTAACATTGCTTGTCTTGGATGTTTATATTTTCCTCAATTACTTGAAATGAAATTTGAAGTGTTATTTGTCTCTTATTTGTATTAAAAGCAAGGGCTATGGGTAATTTTATTTGCTCTCTGTGGGTTTTGGAATATTTGTTTGTATATTTGATTTGAGTTTGGATGCCTATCATTTTCCTAAGGGAAGTAGAATGTCTACTGTAAGTTTTAATACTGGATAAGGAAAAACTTTTTTAAAAAACTGAATAATCCATTGTCTCTGCATTTTGTTGAATTTTGGGACATTATTATTGAATAGTTTCTACCTTCCCCTTTGATCTGAATCACTTCTTTTTCATATATCAAAATTTCTTACATTTGTGGGTCTGTTTTTGAACTTTCCATTTTATTTATTTGGTTAGTTGGTCTATCCCTGCACTAAAACCTAATTCTCCTAGTTATTTCAGCTTTGTAAGTCTTGTTGTCTGATAGCGTAAGTAGCCCCTCTTTTCTTCTGCAGGAATGTTTGGCCTATTGCTCTTCCAGACAGATTTTAGAATCCGCTTGACAAGTTCCACAAGAAACCTTTTTGGAAGCTTGATTATTATTGCAACACCTAGGGAAGACTGGACACTTCATGATACCATTCCTTCTTGTTCATGAGCCTGCAATATCTCTCCGTTTATTTCATTTGTAATTTTTTTTTTTCTTTTTTGAGACAGAGTCTCGCTCTGTCACCCAGGCTGGAGTGCAGTGGCACGATCTCAGTTCACACTCACTGCAACCTCTGCCTCCCAGGTTCAAGCGATTCTCGTGCCTCAGCCTCCCAAGTAGCTGAGATTACAGGCACACACCACCACTCCTGGCTGGGTTTTTTTTTTTGGTATTTTTAGTAGAGACATGGTTTCTTCATATTGCCCAGGCTGGTCCCAAATTCCTGAGCTCAGGCAGTCTGTCTGGCTCAGCCTCCCAGATTACAGGTGTGAGCCACTGCGCCTGGCTCTCCATTTATTTCAGTGCTTTAATATTACATTAAAAATTATTATTTTCCCAAATTTTTTCACTCTTTCAAATTTCTAACTTCGTTGCTAGTGCTTAGCAATGAAATCGATTTTTGTATATTGATTTTATTTCCAGCTACCTTAGGAAGTTGAATTTTGAATGATTTTACTATATAGACAACTAAAATTATATATATTTATTGTGTACCACATGTTTTGAAATATGTATCCATTGTAGAATGGCTAAATTGAACAGTTAATCTATACATTATCTCACTTCAGTTTTTAGTGGTGAGAATACTTAAAATCTCTCAGCAATTTTCAAGAATACAATGCATTGTTGTTAACTGTAGTCATGTTGTACAATAGATCTCTTGAAATTATTCCTTCTATCTTAACTGAAATTCTATATCCTTCGTTGGTCAAAGGATATTTTTTGACTTTTCTGTCTACACCAGTGTGTGAGAAACTGCATCTGGCAGGCCATATCTGGCTATCTGGTTTTGTAAATAAAGTTTTATTGAAACACAGCCACACCCATTCATTTGCAGAGTTGAGTAATTGCAGCAGAGACCATATAGCCCTTGACGCCTAAAATATTACTGTGTGGCCCTTTATAGATAAAGTTTGCCACTCCCTGATACCATCATACCATTTTAAATAGTAATGATGGTTTTGTTTTATTCATTAAAATGCGCATCTAATTTTTTCCACTTGTCTAAAAATTACTTTTGCTAGGTACACAGTTTAGATAATATTTTGCCAATATTTTCTTCTTTCAAAACTTGCAAGATATTATTAGTATATTCTCCCTGGCTTCCACTATTGCACTTGAGAAATCTGTTGTTCAAATTGTTGTTCCTTTCTAGGTGATCTCTTCTTTCTCTGATTACTGTCTCTGTCTTTGGAGTTGTGCAGTTACACCGCCAAGTTCTAAGTTTGGATTTCTTTTTATTTATCTTGCTCGGGTTATGTTGCACATCCTGAATTTATAAAGATTCTTGTTTCATTAATCTGGAAATTTCACAGCTGTTATCTCTTGTTAAATATCTTTAAGACACCCCAATAGACATATGTTAGTTAGATATTCTCATACTGTCCTTTGTATCTCTTTATGTCTTTCCATTTCCTTTTTCTCTTTGCCACATTTTGGGTAATGTATTCAGGTATATCTTCTAGCTCTCTAAGTTGTTCTTAAATATGTTTAATTATTTAAAAAATTTAAACTCTTGTATTACCCAATTCAGATTGTTTCATCCCCCCACCCCCAAGTTCATCTGTTTATTCCTAATGGCCTCTTGTTGATTGGTCATCTTTGTGAGTCCATCCTTCTTTGTGAGTCCATCCTTGATTTCTTTAAACATATATATTCACATCTGTTCTGTAATCTGTACTGGACAATTCTAATATCGACGGTTCTCAAATCTATTATCTGTTCCCTGTGACTCTTGCCTTCTTGTGTATTTGATCTTTGATTGTGAACTCATTGCTTGAACTTAGCTGGTGGGAGTCCTTTGGGCCTACCAGAAACAACTTTCTCCCAGAGAAGATTTATTCCTGCTTAACACTGGGGAGTCGTCAGTCAGAACTGCGTCAGCCTCTCTTGTCTCAACTCAAGAATTCTAGGGTACTCTGCCCCACTTATTGGTTGGGGACTTCGTTTTTGGATAGGATGAGCTGCAGAGTCACATTGTCAAAGGAGCCTACATTCAGGAATGAGAACTCAGGGGCTCCACAGATCTGGGACTCAGACCTCTAAGGAGAGGGTGGAGGCTAGTTGGTGCTGTGTGATGGCACAGTGAGCTGATTCAGTGAGTGTTAGAAAAACTGCAAACTGGAGTCAGGTGCTGCTCCTGGAATGAGTGGTCTACCAGAGTTGCTAGGATTCTACTGCAAATAATGGAAAGCAATCAGGAAGAAACAGTTCCCTTCCTTTAGCTTCCAGTCTCTCTCCAACACCCCCTATTGCCAGAGTTTAAGAGGAGAGGAAACCATTAAAATCAACAGAAAAATTGGTTTAATGAATACTAGGTTCAGCATCTTAAAGCAGTGTATATATAGAAGAGTAGGTTTAGAACTGAAAGAATAGCTTAGTTATTGGCTCTTCAATAACTACTGCCTACTAAGTTTACTTTTTTATTGTCAATGTGCAATAATGGAAGATTTGTTTGTGTAATTAATTTCAAGACTCTCATTTCTTTCATGCTTTCCTGACCATAGTAGCATACACAGATTTTCTGCATCACACTATCATTTATTGACATTTAGTGTCATTTTAAGTTGCTGTTCAACTTTTAAAATGTTTGTCCTTACTTATGTTTATTTGTGTTTGCTAGTGCATTGAATAGGGAGGCGGGTTTCAGGGCTGTGTTCTTAACAGTTTGAATATTACAACCCGCCTAGCCTAGTACCTTATAATGAATCGGCATTACAAAGTACATTGACCTTTCTGAAAGTTGGAGATTTTTTAAATGCTTTCTTATAAAATGGAATATCCCTTAAAATTATACTTTTGTTGATATCAAAAGAGTTTTATTTTTCATGTTGTCATTAATGTTAAGATGCTTAAAAATGAACCTTAGGAAATTAATTTCCTTTTAATTAGCAGGTGCTTCTAAGGAAGGAGGTGCTGGAGCAGTTGATGAAGATGATTTTATAAAAGCTTTTACAGATGTCCCTTCTATTCAGGTAAGGCTACCAGTGGCACTCCCCGTGAATATTGCCTGTGTGCCTGTTCATATAATTATTTGTCTCTGTCCCTTTTTAAGAATTCTTTTTTCCTTATATAGCTATATAAATGAAATATTTGACTTATTAATACCAAGCCATTATTTGTTGGTACAATTAGATTTTCAAGTGATTTTTCAGTGAGGCTGAAATAAAATTGAATCATATTGTTGAATCACATTACACTGCAGTGTTCAGATTCTTAAATTAATGAGTTTTGAGCTCAGAGAATTAGATTAGTTGATGATAGAAGTTTGGAAGTCATTCATATAGATATAATTGAAGTAAAGTGGACACATGCATAAATAAGAGTATTATTTCCATGACTTAAAAATACACATAAATGTTATATTGTACATAACATTCTACAACCTGACTTTTTACTCAGTGCTTTTTTTTTATATTTTTTCGTGATGTAAAATTTGTGATTCTAGTTCATTCATTTGGATTGATGGATGGTATTCTATTGTATGTACAGACCACAGTGCATGTATAGTTTGCTTCTAATTTTTGGCTATTCCATATCATGCTGCAATGAATTTTTTTTTTTTTTTTTGAGATGAAGTCTAGCTCTGTTGCCCAGACTGGAGTGCAGTGGCACAGTCTTGGCTCCCTGCAACTTCTGCCTTCTGGGTTAAAGTGATTCTCCTGCCTCAGCCTCCTCAGTAGCTGAGATTACAGGCGCCCTGCACCATGCCCAGCTAATATTTTGTATTTTTAGTAGAGACGGGGTTTCACTATGTTGGTCAGGCTGGTCTCGAACTCCTCACCTCAAGTGATCCACCCACCTTGGCCTCCCAAAGTGCTGGGGTTACAGGCGTGAGCCACCACACCAGCCTGCAATGAATATTTTTGTACATATGTCCTTGATTATTTGTAGGTAGGAGTTTCTTTAGGATATAAACATAGGAGTAGAATTTCATAGTTATAATCTTTAAGTTTACTTAGATGTTACCCTGTAGGGTTGTTTTACCAGTTAAAACTCCTGTGAGAAAGGTATGATAGTTCTAATTTCATCATATCCTTGCCAATACTTGTTGTTGTCACTCAAAATATTTTTACCGGTATGATGAGTATGAATACTCTTTAGCATGTCTATTTGAAAATATTCTCACATTGCTTTACTTGCAAACTACCTTCTATTGCCTGTATTACCTTTTTAGCTCTCTGAAAGGAAAATTGTCCTTAAGGTATTTAAGATCTTAAAAAGTTACAAGAAAGCCTTAAAAAGTTTTCTGATTTGACTGTATTTTATCCCTTTATTGAGATATATGTTTTTTCTTATTTTAAGATACTTTTTAAATAATAGGGAAAACATATCCCTTCCTCCTTTTGTGTTTTACAGGCTTTCATATAAGGGAAAGATTAGTGTTGTAGGAACAATCAGTAAAACTTAGTTGAACTTGAATATTTTTATTGTTTGATATGTTCTTGTCAGACTGGTAACATCATGGTATGGGCAGCCAAGGGCTATTCAACTATACGGAGGGGAAAAAGCTATTTTATAATTACTCATTGCTTTCTTCCAGCTGGCCCTCTCTGCCACCCTCACCACCCTGTAAAGGTGTTCCACACCTTCCATTGTTCCCTTGGAAACATCTTTTTCATAAGCAGCAACTCCCCTAAGTCTTTAACCCCATTTTTAAAGAGTCCGTTCAATGTTCTTGCCTTGATTAGAATCTGATTTTTTTTTTACGCTCTTTAAAGATAAAGCTGTTTATTATTCTCGGCTCTCATACTCATAGTAATTGATAATAAGTTTATTGTGCTTGCACTCCTCATTATTACTTTGTGACCATTATTCCTATACCCATTTATATGAGGTTCATGCTCCCTGACCAGCCTTCTTATTATTGGCATGTACTGATCTTGACAACATTCCAGTGCTGCCTAGGTTTGAATCCCAGCTCTGCCACACTAGCTGTGTAACCTTAGGTACATTACTTAACCCTCTGTACTTCAGTTTCCTCATCTTAAAATAGGAATTATTCGTACATATGCCGAGGGTTATTGTGAGGCTATGACAGTACAGATGAAGTGTAAGAAGTATATGTTAGCTATTATTATTTTCCTAAATTTTCACACATTCTTGATGAATTCAGTTTCTAGACCTCCTCCTCACTTTCACTGTAGCTACCCAGTTCATAGTCACACATTGGATTTTGATATCATCTGTGTGTTACCGTTACGTTTCCAAAGTCATTAATTGAAGTATCTCATTACTGACTAGGATCTCCTTGCTTTTTTAAGTACTCTAACAACTACTTCTGCACGATTTCAAGGATCGTCAGTCCATTGTTTTTTCTACTCACTCTGAATTAATCATCTGTCA
This sequence comes from Homo sapiens, assembly GCF_000001405.40. NCBI lineage: Eukaryota > Metazoa > Chordata > Mammalia > Primates > Hominidae > Homo > Homo sapiens. Next base: position 33,629,920 of record NC_000003.12, on the reverse strand, counting down.
CTTTATACTTTCCTTCTCATCTATGCTTGATTTCCTTCTTATCTAAGCTTTGATAACCATGGTTTCTTGCAGTAGGACTGTACATATTATACTAAAATCCCTTGGTTCTCTCGTTTTTTTTTTTTCATAGCAAAGTATTAAGCAATGATTTTTTTTTAATACTCATTTTGCAAAACTACAACTGTGGATATTCCCAACTTTTTATTTTCTCTGTGTCCTGAAACCGTGCTGCTAGAGAAAGTCACATGTTAGGGCTCATGATTTTTACTGGAATTCACATAAAATGAACCCTCAACAATCTGATATGCTTACTATGTTTCTGTGATCAGTTATTTCTCTGCTTAATATAGCTATCAGACATGTTTCTTTCCTTTCTATCCATCAGCCAGCCTGTCTCTGTCCTCCTCTCTTCTCTCAGTATATGACCTAGCCCCTTACTTTAGTAAATAAGTAGTCACCATCAAATGGAAACATGATCTTTCTGTTACATTCTTCTCTGCTGTGCATTCCTTCTGTCCTGTTGCTCCAGAAACATGGTCCTTCTTCAAGGGCCAGCACCTCCACCAGTGCTTCAAAGCCTAGTATTTTCTGCTTCCTTAACACATTTACACAATCAGTAATCTCATGTAGGTTCAAGCTCTTTCTGTTTATCTCTTAACGTGGCTGGGTTCTTCAGTTTAAAAAACAAAAGTCTCACTGGACTCCATATCTTCCAGATACTATTTTTTATTTTGGCCCTCACAGTCAACTTTTCCAAAAGAGTTGTCTGTACTTGGTATTTCTGTAACTTAACTTGTTACTCACTTCATCCCACTTCTTTCTAGCTTATTCTTACATTGAAACAGGTCTTGAGTAAATCACTGATCATCGTTGAGGCACCAAAATCAACCAGTTTGGGATTTTTTTTTTTCTTGTTCTTCTACCAGTATTTAGCACTGTTGACTATAGTCACTGTTTTGTTGTTTAATTTTAGGTGCTTGTGATATGATGTTCTTCCATTTTATTCCCCCTACATCTTTGTCCACTTCATCTCTGTCTCTTTATAGGCACATCCTTCTCTACTTGCCTGTTGAATATTGGAATTTCTTAAGGGTTAGTTCTGGGCCCTGTCTTCTCATTCTCTATTTTCTTACTGAGTCACCTCCTTCAAACCCCTGGCTTCAGTTCCCACGTTTATCTAGATAATGCCGAGATTTTAACCTCCAAGCCAGACCTCTCCTGAGTTCCGAAATGATTTATCCACTGTGATTGTTTACCTGACACCCCCTTTCAGATGTCTCAAAGACACCTCAAACTTATCCTGTTTGAAATTGGAATAATGGTCTTCCAGTATTCTGTGTGTGTAAACCATTACTTAATCAATTACAAAAGTTAGAAACCTAGGAATCACTCTACTGCAACAGACACCTAACTTAGTGGGTTTTCAAGCTTCTTTTGCTTGTATGCCTGCTAAAAGAATGTTTGAAGAATTATGTACCCCCTCACTGAAGTACGTTTTTGAGTTGACTCTCTTCTTCCTTATTGGGGGAAGGGGAACCTTGCATTGTGTTCCAGGGGAATGCATCATAAGATTAGGGGTGGAAGAAGGTTCTGGAAAACGGCAGAGGGGTATTGTGAAGAGAAGGTGAGAGGCAGGAAAGAGCTAGCTCAGAAGTTTCTTTAACCACATAACAGTGTTACCTGGTCACCATCTACCTCTTCAGCCTTGTCTCATGCCTTGTTCTCCTTTGCATTTACACGCATTCTTTCTTTCTCTCTTGCTCTTGCTCTTACTCTCTGTTAAGCAAAAGGTGAATTTAATAGCTGTTGAAAGTGAAAGATGTAAGGCGGTTTGATGAAGGTACTCAGTTGGTATCACCAGGAGTCTATTTCTCATTTCTAATTCCTCTGCATTGTCTCCTTCCATGGTCAACAATATGGTTATAGCTGTTCCATCCTCACACCTGGGTCATTGGCTCTTCTCCTAGTCCCTTTATACTTTTTATTCCTTACTCTGGCTTTCTTTCATTTACTTTGTCACAGAGCCTTTGCACATGCTATTAACTCTCCAGGGAAAGCAAATCTGTCCACTTTGCCTAATGATATCCTACACATTCTTTAGCTCTCAGCTCAAGCTTGACTTTCCTCATAGGTCAACCTCCTCTTATGTATAAACTTTCATTTTCTTTTGTGGGACTTGCTACTTGTAGTTTCATATTTGATGTCATTTGATTGATTTTTAAAATCTCCCTGAGTGTATTGTACTCTCCATAAGGCAAAGACCACGTCTATCTATTTTGGCTAACCATAGTTTCTCCATTGCCTAGCATAGTACCTCTGTGTTATGTGAATATTTGTTAAATGAATGAAAGAATAATGGTGAACAGCAGTTTGACAAAGGGTTGGCTCCAGAGGAAACAAAATGTAGCTATCCTGACTACAGTTTATCATGACTGAGGAGAGAAAATTAAAACTAACTTATAACATGTCCTTTTTGTAATATTGGGTAATATGTATATGAATGCAATAAGATAGGTTATACACTTGAAGTCATTTTGAGAAATTAGACTTTTATTTATTCTTAGATATTTTACATCTTGTTTTTAAAATTACAAAGCATTTTGAGAGCATATTTGAAGTTATTCATGAGGGAAGAAATAGCAAAAATGGTAACAAGTAAGGAAGAAAAATAAAGCATTTTGTGTTATTATTGTCTATAATGTATTTCTATTCTCCATTAGAAATGGTGCTAGAATGGGAAATAAACTTAATAGGTGAAAGATTATTTTAAACATCAGGGCATAATTTTGATATTGTTCATGGCAAGAAACATTGTTATAATTCTGAATCTTTTTTTTAAGATTTATTCTAGTCGAGAACTCGAAGAAACATTAAATAAAATCAGGGAAATTTTGTCAGATGATAAACATGACTGGGATCAGCGTGCCAATGCAGTAAGTTTTTGTCTTTAATTTTCTTATCTTCTTTCTTTATTGATGTTCCTTTTAAAAAACATGGAAATTCAGTAGTAGTACTATATGGTATTCACTTATAAAATAGAGAGTCTGATAGGTAACATTTCTTTCTGGAGAATATATTGATATAATACTCATTTTCTGATTTAGGATCGATTTTTATTTTGGTTTGGCTGATCAGGTGGTGCCTATCCTACACATTTGGTAGCCTCACCACGTGTGCTGTTTTTGACTGGTTAGTAAAATGTGAGATTCAGAGGGCTTTAGCCTTTCTGTGGACTTATATAGTTGCTTATTAGCACTATCCTCAAGTCATATAAGGTTTACCAATAAAGCAGTTCACTTTACCTGCATGTTCAGTGTTTTCATAGCATCAATGTAAATTCACAACAGGATATGCATTTATCTGGGTTTTTTTCTTCTCATGTGAATGTGATGAATATTTCTCCTGTGATTTCATTTATAAAGGTCAGATACCCTTGAGTTAAGAATATTTGATTTGGTCTAAATCCCTTAAGGAAAATATTTGATAAAATTTAAAATAATATTTGTGTTGACAATAAGCAATATATTTTTTAAATTTGTGAACTTATTGTTTACATAACCAAATTACATTTACCAAATGAGTACCTCAGAGTTTTCAAGAAGCCAGAGAAAAGGGCTGCATTTGAAGACTGTTCTGCTTTGAGAGGTCCCAATCTGGCTGATCATGAAAATCCCTATTTTGATGAATTAAATCAAATGCAGGGCCTTTTGACAAATATGGCTTTTATGACACTATGAACAAAGGACCATTTTTGTCTTTGTTAGGAAGTCTACATATCTTAAAACATTGAAATACTGTTTTTAACAGAGAGTATTCCTCCAAATTTGTTAAATATGGCTCCTATTCTTCAATTCTGAGATGAGTCTGATACAGAAAGATTTTTTGTCACAGGTGATCTGTAGAGAAACATGACAGATTAAGTGTTATTAGTATAAAATGTGAACTTTTTACTTAAGGGTTTTTTTGGTTTTACTTAAAAACTACCCATTTGGAAACAACAGATGGTCTTTTGATTTTTTTTTTATTAGAAAAATGACACAGGCTTATTGTAATAAGTGAAACAATGCAGAAAACTACAGAGAAAAAGTTAATAGTTTCCTGCCTATTAAAGAAACAAACTTTTGTTGAGGCTAAGATGGGAGGATTGCTTGAGTCCAGGAGTCTGAAGTTACAGTGAGCTATGATTGTACCACTGTGCTCCAGCCTGGGCAACAGAGTGAAACGCTATCTCTAAAAAAAATAAAAAAACAAACTTCATTTTAGAGTATATCCTTTTCTGTGTTATATGTATTTAAACATATATGACAAGATATGCACAATTTTCCCCTACTCTTTTTGTAAACCAAAAAAAAAAAAAGAGAGAGATCATACTTGATACATTACTTAGAAACTTGCTTTTTTTTTTTTGGCTTAACAAATGGTGCTCATTCAGTACACCTGGTATAGATGTCAGGCACATAATAAATAGTTGCTCAGATATTTATTGAGTGCAGGTTAATATGTACATATATTCCTTAGTGTAATATATATACATGTAATGTGTGTGTGTGTGTGTGTTATAGGAATCTGATCTTTGTTTGTTTTTATACTTTAAGTTCTAGGGTACATGTGCACAACATGCAGGTTTGTTACATATGTATACATGTGCCTGTTGGTGTGCTGCACCCATTACTTGTCATTTACATTAGTTATATCTCCTAATGCTATCCCTCCCCCCTCCCCCACCCCATGACATGTAATTTTTATAATCATTTACCATTTGATGGATTTTCAGTTATTTTTTATTGTTTTGCTATTTTAACAGTGTTTCAATAAACATCCTTACACACTTTTGTAACAATGGTGCTTTTATTTTTGTAGGTTAGATTTTAAAATGTGGGTTGTTGGGTAAAGAGTTGCTGCAATTTTATTTTAGTAGATGCTGCCAAAATATTTTGAACAAAGGTATTAGTCATGTATAATCTTACAGTGTTTGAGAGCATCTGTTTTCTTTTCAATTTTAAAAAATTTTTGCCATTGTGATGGGGAGAAATGTGTCTTTGTGAATTTATCACTAGTAACTTTTAACATATTTAAATGTATTTATTTTACCCAATTTAATCACAGGTTACAATAGTCTCCCCTTATCTATGGTTTCAGTTTCCATGGCTTCAGTTACTCATGGTCAACCATGGCCAGGAAATAAGAACGTACTTTGATAGAGAGAGACCCACATTCACATAACGTTTATTACAATATATTGTTATAATTTTTGTATATTACTACTGTCAATCTCTTACTGTGCCTAATTTATAAATTAAACTTTATCATAGGTAAATATGTATAGAAAAAAAAGCATATATAGGGTTCAGTACTATCTGAGGTTTCAGGCATCCACTGGGGGTCTTGGTACATATCTCTTGCAGGTAAGGGGAAACTACTATATTTGTCTTTTTCTTATTTTATTGTCGTTCTTTGTGTATCATCTTATACGTTGCAGGTAATTTTATCCTACCATATTGTGATTTTTATTTTGTTTTTAGTTATAATTTAGACACTTGAAAATTCTCCTCTGTTTGTGATAGTTTTCCCTTCCTTATATGCCCAAGATTATATAATATTCTTTTGATTTTTTTTCTAATGTCCATAGCAGGGTTTTTTTACATTTACATCTTTATGCATCTGATTTAACTTTAAAGACATATTTTAAAATTTAGAAAACCTCGAGTTAAATGTGAAATTATATACAATAATGGTGTGATAAGTAGACTTTTAGCTTCTAAGTGTGTATGAACACAGATGTACACGTGTGTGTATCTCTTTTTATCAATGTAGTTTTATTATGTATGTCTGGTTTTCATGTGGATAACATTTGGCAATCAAATATTGAAAAAGTAATGATTTTTCTTGTCTAGTTGCTCTGGCTAGGCCTTCTAGTACTCTGTTGAATAAAAGTGTTGAAAGCAGGCATCCTTGTCTTATTCCAGACCTTAGAGGAAAGGCTTTCTGTTTTTCCCTGTTCAGTAGGATATTGGCTGTGGGTTTGTATTGTATTGTATAAACCACATGCAGGGAGAACAGTATGGAAGTTTCTTAAAAAATAATAAAAATAAAAATAAAACCACAATATGATCCAGCAATCCCACTGCTGGGTATATATCCAAAAGAAAAGAAATCAATATATTGGAAAGATATCTGCACTTTCTTGTTTATTGCAGCACTATTCACAAAAATCCAGGAGATGGAATATACCTAAATGTCCATCAGTGAATAAATGGATAAAGAAAATGTGGTACATATACACATTGGAATATTATTCCACCATAAAAAGGATGAAATCCTGTGGCTTGCAACAACATGGATGGAACTGGAGGACATTATGTTTAGTGAAATAAGCCAGTCACAGGAAGAAAAAGATTGCATGTTCTCACTAATATGTGGGACCTAAAAAAAAAAAAATTGAACTTGAGATAGAGAGTAGAATAATGGTTACCATGGACTGAGAAAGGTAGTTGGGGGTTGGGTAGGGAGAATAAAGAGGAGATGGTTGAAGGGTACAAAAATACAGTTAGAGCAAGAATAAGATCCAGTGTTAGGCAGCACAGTAGGGTGACTGTAGTTAACAATAATTTATTGTATATTTCAAAATAACTAAAAGAGTGGAATTGGAATGTTCCTAACGGAAAGAACTGATTGATGTTTGAGGTGATGGATACCCCAGTTACCCTGATTTGATTGTTACACATTGTGTGCTTTTATCAAAATATCACATGTACTTCATAAAAATGTACAACTATTATGTATTCATAATAATTAAAAATGTAAGAAATTAAAAATTCAACAGCAGGCCAGATGTAGTGGCTCACTCCTGCTGGGAGGCCAAGGTGGGTGGATCCGTTGAAGCCAGGAGTTTGAGATCAGCCTGGCCAACACAGTGAAACCCCATCTCTACTAAAAATACAAAAATTATCCAGGCACGGTGGCATGTATCTGTAATCCCAGCTACTGGGAAGGCTGAGGCACGAAAACCACTCAAACCTGGGAGGTGCAAGTTGCAGTGGAGCTGCAGTGGCACCACTGCATTCCAGCCTGGGCAACAGAGCAAGACACTGTCTCAAAAAAAAAAAAAAATGTTCTACAGCAAAAATAAGTAATGCTAGAAGTTTCCAAATTTGGCACTTTTAAAAATAGGCTCCCTTAGTAGATAGTGATGGTAATGGTCACACAACATTGTGAATGCACTAAATGCCACTGAATTGTATACTTTAAAATGGTTAAAATAGTAAATTTTGTTCATTTGTATTTTACCACAATTAAAAGAAAAACTCCCTATTATCACACTGGGGATTAAGCTAAAAGACAAATGAATAAATAAATAAAATAGATTCCCTTAAAACTTTAGAATTTATATACTTATAGTTTACATTTCTCCGTCGTGCTTATAACTAAGTCTGTAATGTTATTTTTCAGACAGCTTTTTGTTGGCATATTTATTTACAAGATACATTTAATGCTACTAAGATGTCTGAATATAGTAATGTAATGAAACATTATATATGTTTCATTTATTAGAAAGTTTTTGTTTGAATAATGAAGTTTAGGTAGCTTCTTTTTTTTGCACTTCCACCTTTTTTGTCAATAATGAAAATTCTTTATTTCAGCTGAAGAAAATTCGATCACTGCTTGTTGCTGGAGCTGCACAGTATGATTGCTTTTTTCAACATTTACGATTGTTGGATGGAGCACTTAAACTTTCAGCTAAGGATCTTAGATCCCAGGTGGTTAGAGAAGCTTGTATTACTGTAGCGTAAGTATATTCCTTTTATGATAAGTGTTTTTTATGAATGAATTTAGTATTCACTGATTCATTGCTCATTAAGTCAAGCAGTAGCAAGATAGCTAAAAAAGTATATGATCCAAAAATCATTTTTATTATACATAAGGATTCAATCTGTATGATTTTTAAAAAATTCCTTAACAGCTCTTTATACCAACATTTTAAGGTTGGTATACAGATATTTAAAATATCTAAAGCCTACTGGTGGATTTTTTATCATTAATTCTTCAAGTATAAGATGAAAATGAATGGGTCTGGAAACTGGCTGTATTCACTTTTCTCACTACTAATTTGGGTATTAAACACTCAATTTCTGATATTTTAGCAATTATTCTGGCATTACAACATGCATCATTAACTTAGCAAAACCTAAACTTTAAGTTTGTAGTCTTCCACAATACAAGGATGATAGAACTTCTATTTATTACTATTTCTGACCTAAGCAGTGTTGTTGCATATGCATTCCTTTGAAGATAGGGAACAAAAAGTGCCTACTAGCAATATTTCTAATCAGGATTGTATTAGATATTCTAGTCAGAAACGAAGAAAAAAAAGGCAATATAAGGATTGCAAGAAAAGGAACAAAACTGCCATTATTAACAGATGATATAACTATCCATGCAGAAAACTGCAAGAGAATCTACAGATAAATTATTATAATAAAGGGACTTTGGCAAAGTTGCAAGATACAAGTCCCAGTATACCAAAATGACCCAATATCTCCAACTAGCAAAGAAAACCCAAATTAATACAAAAACCCATAAAACGTAACCATGAAAAATACACTTAAAACATGACTAGCTCTCTTGCAGAAAATTGGACAATATATGTAAAACATCTGTTTCCACGTAATAGACAGCAGACAGGGTAGGAGTGGATTTCTTAAAAGATGCAAGTGATGTTGAACAGTATGAATTTTGTCCTGGAGGCACTATGGGGAAGGAAGGGGGAACCTAAGCAGAGCAAGGCAGTCTCACTGAGATGAGGAAACAGAGACTAGAGTTTCAGAGGCTGAAGTGGTCACAATTGGCAGTGCAGAATACTGGAGAGAAGAGGGGAGATTCACACACACACACACACACACACACACACACACACACACACACAAAGAGCTACAGAGATCATAATATGGGAATCCATGAGTCTAGATGTATACTAACCTGCCCATGTAAAAGGTACAACTCTCTGAGGAAGGAAGGGAACGAATGCCTGGGAGCTGTAAGATAAACAATTCCCAGAGCTCATATAGGGGTAGGAGAGGTTTAAGATCTGACCAACCAGAATGGAAAAATCTTGGTGAACACCAAAGGCAGTCAGTAGAAACCCCAGAAAGGCCATTGCATAGGAATAGTACTAAACCAGCTCTAAAGTAAGGCAACTCTTGACTCTGCCTCTCCCAACAAGCTTACAAAGATCAAGCTGATTCTCAAGTACATTACCTGCCTACCAAAGTAAAACTCATGCTCTTTAAAGGAAGACAACATCCAAACATATCCACACCTCCCTGCTTTTCATTTGAGGTTCCTTTTTGCCTGTGAGTTCAGACATTGGAAAACTAATATTATAACAGTGCATAGGTCGGAATCTGAGCTCTTTGAATCAAGAACCTGAATTATTGGAGCTAACTCTATCTCAACCATGTTTTCAGTAAGATACAAATATATAAAAATTAACCAGTATTGCAAGCATTGTCAGCACTTTGAGTAGTTACAATATCCCTCCTAGTTTAACTAAAATCATACAATGAAAGTCTGGTTTAGTTGTTTAAGTACACAATTGGAAAGAGAAGTCAGATGTCCTAAAGATCACCCAATAAGATATGGTAGAGTTGTATTTTTGACTGCGGATTTGGAAATCCTACTCCAAAAAAGTGAGGGAGTATTTATGACTAAAAAAGGCGTGATACTATTAATAGAAATAAAGAATATCTTGAGGAGCATTGATTTGAGTAAGATTTTGAACTTGTTTGTAAAAATATGCTGAATTTAAGATTGATAATGGATCATCAAAATGGAAATAACTCATGGATCAAGACCAAAGGTCAGAACCATCAGAGCTGATTATTTCACCTGATGTGTCCTCAGTTAATAATTAAATTCTGAAATCAAATGGCTTCTCCAAGTGCTAATTGCAAAGAGATGAGGAAAATGCCAGATTTCAACTTTGGACTAGCCAGTTAAAGATGGGGAAAAGAAGGAAATATGTAGTATCTAGGTTTCCCTTTCTTTCTTCTGTTTTTCTGCCATTACAACTGATTAAAATACAAATTCCTAAGTTAATTCAGTAAAAGAGTATTTTAAAATTATATGGTTCTATCTATATTTAATGTTAAACTATTAAAAAATACTTTTTGTCTTCCTTTGTAGCCACCTTTCAACAGTTTTGGGAAACAAGTTTGATCATGGCGCTGAAGCCATTGTACCTACACTTTTTAATCTCGTCCCCAATAGTGCAAAAGTCATGGCAACTTCTGGATGTGCAGCAATCAGATTTATCATTCGGGTAGGTTTGCTCTCTCGTTTTCTACTGCTGCCTCCTCCCCCCACTTTTGTTTCTTCTTCCTCCCCCTTTTTCTCTCCTTTCCCCACCCCACCCCTCTCTCTCAATGTAAGTCATGGAGTTTCTTTTTGAACCCCAAAAGCAAATCATTTTTGAATTATTTTTCTGATAGTGAAAGCCACAGATGGTCATTATAGAACTAGAGGATTGCAAAGTAAACATGTTTGTATATGGAATAAAATACATACATACATGTACATATGAGTACATATATGTATCTACAGTTACGTGTGTGTATAATCACAAATGTTACAGAAAATAATAAAAGACAGGCAAATTTTTAATGTAGTTATGTGCCACCTCACAAAGTTTCCGTCAATGGTGGGCTGCATATACAACAGTGGTCCCATAAGATTATAATATTATATTTTTACTGTACCTTTACTACTTTACTACTTTTGGATATGTTCCGATACACAATACTTACTATTGTGTTACTCTATCCTAGAGTGTTCAGTACGGTAATATTTAGTACAGTATTCAGTACAGTAATTCAGCTACAGGTTCGTAGCCTAGGAGCAATAGGCCTTAACATATAGCCTAGGTGTGGAGTAGGCTATACCATGTAGGTTTATGCAAGTACACTCTATGATGTTCATACTATGATGAAATCACCTAACGGATTTCTCAGAACGTATCCCCATCATTAAGTGAGGTATGACTGTATTTCTCTTCACTCATATCTTGAGGAAGTCTGAAAGAACAGAGTTGAAAAAACAAATCTCTCCCTTTGAATTCTATTCCTTTGTTAGTAATCACTTTAGCAATTTAATGTGTACTTTTCCAAACTTCTATTCTGTGCCTATACAAATGTATTTGCTACACATATAGAACATGTAAGTATACATAGTATATTCTTTAACTTCCTTTTTTTTATTTTTTATTTATTTGTTTATTTTGAGATAGAGTCTCACTCTGTCACCCAGGCAGGAGTGCAGTGGTACGATCTCAGCTCACTGCAACCTCTGCCGCCCGGGTTCCAGCTATTTTCCCGCCTCAGCCTCCAAGTAGCGGGTACTACAGGCACCCACCACCATGCCTGGCTAATTTTTTTGTATTTTTAGTAGAGACAGGGTTTCACCATGTTGGCCCAGGCTGGTCTCAAACCCCTGGCTTCAAATGATGTGCCTGCCTCAGCCTCCCAAAGTGTTGGGATTACAGGCGTGAGCCATCATGCCCAGCCTAGCTTCTTTTTAAACTTCATGTACTTGGGCAACATCCCTTATCCATATGTGTAATTCTTTTTAATGTCTAAATTAGTCTTCTCTTAAGGATATAGCATCAAATTATCCTCACCAGGCCGGGCGCGGCAGCTCACACCTGTAATCCCAGCACTTTGGGAGGCCAAGGCAGGCGGATCAACTGAGGTCAGTAGTTCGAGACCAGCCCGACCAACATGAAGAAACCCAGTCTCTACTAAAAATACAAAATTAGCCAGGCATGGTGGCGCATGCCTGTAATCCCAGCCGCTCGGGAAGCTGAGGCAGGAGAATCACTTGAATCCGGGAGGCAGAGGTTGTTGTGAGCCGAGATTGCACCGTTGCACTCCAGCCTGGGCAACAAGAGTGAAACTCCATCTCAAAAAAAAAAAAAATATATATATATATATATAATAATAATAATTATCCGCACCATTCTTATTCCTGCAGTCTTCTTCCTGGAGTCCTTTTTCTCCATTCCTTTGCCAATATTGTCTTTTATCAGTATCTTTGGCATTTTATAATTTAATAACCATTATTTCATATTCTACTTTGCATTTCCTGCATTATTAGGGATGTTAGCTATTTTTTTCCTTCTATAATTCTATGGATTGTCAGTTTATACTCTGCATTTTTTCTCACTTCTAAGATCTTTTTATATATCAAGGATATTAATTCTGTGTTGCATATGTTGTGGTATTTTCTACAGTCTGACATTGCTTCAAATATTGTATAAGCTCTTTTGTTATATATCAGAATTTTAAATTTTTATGTATTGAGACTTGTTCATTTTGTGGGTTTTGTTATAGTTAAAACAACTTTCCCAATTTCACAGTTACACAAAAATATTCAATCATTTAGAACTTCTGTCATTTTTTTCTTAGGTTTAGATCTAACTGGATTTAATTTTTGTGTGAAATATAGATTTCTAACTTCATATTTCCCCCAATACAAAGCCAATTGAGCCAGTAGCGTGTGGTGAATTACAATGTAGCCTTTTTTTGAAATGGTGTTGTTTTCATGTAATAAATTTTCATAAATATGTAAGTCTGTTTCTTAAATGTGTTTTCAGTTTCCTTGATCAGTTTGTCCTTTCCTGTTAAAAAAAAGTAAGTTTATTCCTAATATTACTTTCCCAGGAAGTGTTCTTTTTCACTATTTTCATATTTTAAATTAAATGCTAATTTTCGTATTTTATATTAAATGCTAATTTAAAATACGAAAATGGTCCTTTTTTCCCGTTTCAGGCTTTTTTTTTTTTTAAGATTGTAGACAACCTTAATCCAGAACCTTTGTAACAATGTTAGAAAATATAGAGGCTGGGCATGGTGGCTTACGTGTGTAATCTAGCACTTTGGGAGGCTGAGGCAGGTCGATCACAGGAGTCAAGACCAGCCAGGCCAATATGGTGAAACCCCATCTCTACTAAAAATACAAAAAAATTAGCTGGGCGTGATGGTGCATGCCTGTAATCCCAGCTACTCTGGAGGCTGAGGCAGGAGTATTGCTTGAACTTGGGAGGGGGAGGTTGCAGTGAGCCGAGATTACGCCACTGCACTCCAGCCTGGGCGACACAGCAAGACTGTCCCAAAAAAAAAAAAAAAAAAAAAAAGGAAGTATAGTGGGAATTATTGAAATCTTTGTTTTATCCTTGAATTGGGTGGGATCATATTTAACGTTAATTAAATATGATTTTTAATGTGTTTCTATGGATATAGTATATTAGATTATGGAAATTTCCTGCTGTTCACATTTTGCTAAAGTTTGATCAGGAATAGATGTTGAATTTTATCAGATAGCCCTTTAATATCTTTAGAAATGATTATCTTTGTTTTTTCATTTATTCATTATACATTCAGGAACTAAATTCTGCTTGGCCATTGTACATTAAGATACTGCTAGATTCGGTTGGCTAAGTTTAGTAAGATTTTGGCATTCATTTAAATGAATAAGTATTTTGTGAATTTTTTTTCCTGTTTTACATATTTTGTTAATATATTGTTCTGCTATTAGGGTTTAATGACCTTTAAGATTATATAATAACATTTCCATTGTTTTAGGCTCTGGGCATCTTGAATCTTTTATTTTGAAATGTTGGCAATCCTCTCGCCTCAGCCTCCCAAGAAGCTGGGATTACAAGTGTGAGCTCCTGCACCCAGCTGACTTTTTCTTTTTAGAATGTTATACATTCTTTTATATATACTTGGCAGAGGCATTATTTTGGGTTCTTTATAATTCAGTTTATAGTTTTATTGATTGTAGTGAGATTATTTAATTTTTCTAATTCTTTAGTTTCTATTTTTTTTTCAACTTTTAGCTCATTTTATTTTTCTAGATTTTTGTGGTATATCTTTAGACAATTTGCACTGCTTTTTCTTTATTATTATAAGGCTTTGGGTTTTCTTCTGAGTTTGGCTTTGGCAGCATCTCAGTGATTTAAATTTACCATGTTTTATTTATGTTTTCAATCATTTGTAATTTCCATTTCAACTTCTTTGAATTACATAATAATATTTTCATTTTCAGATGGTGCTTTTGTTCTTATTGTCATTATTTTTTAGTTTCATGACATTCTGATCAGGGAATTTGGTTGTATGATTTATTCTTTAGTGAATGTCTTGAAATTTTATTTGTGTTCTAGTATGTCATCACTTTATATAGGTAGTTGGTTATCATTTACAAATGTAGAATTCTTTGGCATAGAATTGAGTACTTTGTTCATCACTAAATCTAGCTTATGTTTTATTTACGTTATTCAAGTTCTTTATGGTCTCTTTTTTTTTTTAAATCTGCTTTATCTGGTAAATTCTGGTTCTAATTTTGTCAATTTCATTTTTCTAACAGTTCTTGATATATGTACTTTATGTATGGTCAAGGTTTTTTTACTATTATCATCTTGAAATAGTATTTTTTTCTTATATTTTGTTTCCTGTTCGTTGTGCTGCTTTTCTTTCCTTTTTTTTTTTTTTTGTAATTTAGAAGTTCCTTATTGTCAAGAATAAAACCTTTGTTATGCTCCTCTCTGCCTTTTAAAAAGTATACATTTTATTTCATTCATGTCATTTTTTCCCTTACCCATTGAATTAAATTTAACAAAGATATTTTCATTTTCAGCAACTGTAATTAACTGTAGTTTTTTACTGCTTTTATTTCTGACCCATTTATTGGTATACTGTCACTTCCCTTTTTTTAATTGATTCTGGGTCATTCTTGTTTGGCTTTAGTGTTTTCTCACTTTTCATATATATTTTTATCTTTGTATAATTTGGTTTGGCTTTTCCTTGCCAATTCAGAATATGGGGACTAAAAATTTGACCGTTGAACTTCAGGTTCACTTTCCTTTTCTTTCACAAATTTTGTTGTTGTTGTTATGGAGTCTCGCTCTGTCACTCCAGTGGCACCATCTCCACCCACTGCAACCTCTACCTCCCAGGTTCAAGCTATTCTTCTGCCTCAGCCTCCCAAGTAGCTGGGCTTTCAGGCACCTGCCACCACGCCTGGCTAATTTTTGTATTTTTAGTAGAGGCGAAGTTTCACTATGTTGGTCAGGCTGCTCTCGAACTCCTGACCTCCTGGCTCACTCCTGTAATCCCAGCACTTTGGGAAAGTGAGGCGATCCGCCTGCCTTGGCCTTCCAAAGTGTTGGGATTACAGGCGTGAGCCACCATGCCCAGCCCGTTTTCTTAACTTTTTATTGTTGCCTCTAAAAATGAGACTATTTGATTATTTTATAGCAAAACAACCACCACCACTACCAAGCAACCTTTAGGAAGTTTTGTAAGACAGTCCCTTTGTGTGAAGATTTTCCCCACAGCAGGTCTAGGAGTCAATTGTCTTTCACTAATACTATTCTTATACAGTGGACAAGGATTTTTGACAGAAATTGGTTATCTTAAATTTATGTTAATTTTCATGGATCTTTTCTTTATTTAGTACTTCTGTCTTATTGGCTCAGATCTTTTCCTGCTGTTACTTTTGTTACACAAATTCTGAAATCCTTGATGTCATTTATCATTTTTTGAATAACTTCTTGTCTCTGTCTTAACAGCTGTATGTAAGGAAAAATTCCTTTAAATTCTACTTATTTGAAAGTACCCATTTTGTGATTCTCAGGCTTTACTCTTTATACTTTGTTTTCAAATTGCTCATTTTTCACGTTATTATACTAGCCTATCATCTCACCAATAATGCAATAATTTTTAAATATTACCCCTGTTTTTCTTTGCTTTGTTTATTTCCTAAGAGTCTACTTCCTTAGATTGCTGTACTTAATTTCTAATTCTCTTTTTAATTTTAGGAAGCTTTTTTTCCCCTGTTGTCAACTTATATTAATAAAGTGTAAATTGTTCTGACTTAGTGTTTGATTGAATGCTTCATCTGTAATTGATGTAAATTTTTACTTTCCTTTGGTACAGCTCCCCCTGAGTATGATGTAGCAATGGTTAGGTTAGTTTATCTCTCCATCCTTGCCACTGTCATGGATGTGATTAACCCAGCATTAGGATTTTGCAGAAGTTAGAAGAAAAATGGAGAAGTGTGGTAGGTAAGACCTCCTTTATAGTTGTTGTAGCTAGGGGATCTCCATGGGTTTTACCTCCGTAGTAATGTTTGAGAAGTGGGCTCTTGTGAATGCTGTAGGGAGCAGGTCCACAGAGTCCTTTCATGCTGAATTAAACAGTTGACTAACAGGCATGTCAGCACACTTTCTTGCATTATTCTCATCTTCAACAGCTTCAAGTCTATAGATCGTTTCTCTTTAGTGGCTGAAAAAAGGGTTTTCATTTATTTTGGTTGAGTTAGCTGTGGCAAACACTGATGTGCCATATGCACTTTCCTTCAATGAAAGACTTGTTTCCCCAATGCTAGGAGAACTGTTAGTAGACAGCCTTCTGTTGCCAGTGTCTTAAAGGATTATTTCAGCTAGAGAGCTGCCTTTCCCAAGGTGTTGCCCCTTCCCAGTATTGCCCATATCCAATAACTGATTGATGTGGAAGTATAAAGGTTTGGCCATCTTGGACCAATTCAAGAGTATTCTCAGGGACTATTTCAGTTTAGAGCTTCGTAATGGTTTTGGGCAAAGATAGCCTTGGGCTGTATCACAGTTCAATTTCTTCCTCTGCCTGCTCCACTCCTGCTTCCTTCATCTCACATCCACAGATGGTAACCCCAAGGGCATTTACAAAAAATTAATATGTAATGTACATATTTTGGGGGTACATGTGATATTTTAATGCATTCACATGTGTCAGTGTCAAATTAGGGTAATAGGGAATTAATCACCTTAAATATTTATCTTCATGCTAGGAACATTCTAATTATTCTCTTTTAGCTATTTTGAAATGTACAATAGATTGTTGTTAACCATAGTCAACCTACTGAACTATCGAACACTAGATCTTATTGTTCTAACTCTATACCTATTAATCAACCCCTTTTCACTCCCTCCTCCCCCTATCCTTCCTAGCCTCTGATCATGACTAACCTATTCTCTATCTTCATGAGATCCACTTTTGTTTATCTCCCACATGAGTGAGAACATGTGATATTTGTCTTTCAAGGGCACTTCCTAATACATATCCTGCATGCTAAACTCCATCTCATAGCCTGCTTCCTAGATAACCCAGCCTGTACCATTAGCTCAGAAGGAATACAGGAGATTTAAGGAATTAAATATGTATGCTTATGTTAATGTCTATTATGAACTTTTTACTGTTTGCTTCACTAAAGAAGGGCATAAGAATTACTAATAGAAATCAGAAGATTATGTCTTTATGGAACTTCTACTTGAATTCTAGAGAGATACGATTCAGCCAGAATGAAGTGAAAGTTCTATTAAGACCACCATTTCAAAGTGCATTCCCAATAGTTAAGGAAATAGATTCACTCGACTACCTGCTTTGATGACATGGCAATTATGATTTTTTACCAGCAGTAGCCATGGTACTTCAGAAAATGTGGCCAGTACATGCCCAGTCCCTCTTAGTGCTCCCTCTCCCCCAAAACTATATTGTCTTAACAGTTCTTTGCAGTTAAACAGTTAACTTTTCTTTGTTAGATCATATTATATCCATACCTGTCCTTTTGAAACTGTATCATCATTACATTACATTAATTCAGGAAAACTTTTCAAGACTGGTCTTAATTTCTTTCAAATCTAATATCTGGTCTTTTTGTCCTCTTGTAACATAACTAAATACTTGAATGTAAGGCAAATAGAAGAAAGGACCACATGAAGTGTGTAGTATTTTCAACCTTTTCTAAAACATCTTTTTCAGCATACTCATGTACCCAGACTTATACCTTTAATAACAAGCAATTGCACATCAAAATCAGTTCCCGTGAGGAGGTAAGTTTAATTTTTTGTTGTTGTTGTTGTTAGTATAGCTCTGATACTGCATTGTTTAATTATTTGTCTGCTGCAAGAATTGGTCATTCATTTCTTGCCTTCCAGAAAACCATAAAAAAGTGTTTTGTTTTGTTTTTTTAATCATATCTCATGTAAGGGAAAAGGGATGAAGTGATTATTATGACCACCCACTTTTCTTAGTTTTATCATATTAAGCTTTGGTTTATTTGGGCTGCTGGTTGCCTTGGTTTTCAGAGAACAAGGAGTACAGAGTCAGGTCTGGGCTTGAGTCCTACAACTGCCATTGACTGTTCTACCTTAGGCAATTATTTAACTGCTCTGAACCTTAGTCCCTGCATAGGTTAGTAGAGCTAATAATGTCAACCCCGTAGAACATAAGGATTAAATGAGATACACATTAGTAGAATGTAGCCTGGTGTTTGGAACGGAGTATATAGCCCTATCAGGTCTTTCAGTTAGTGTCTGCCTCTGTCTCTGGTTTCTACAATTCTTAACATCACACCTGTAAACCTGAATAACAAGAGAGTTTCTCTGAAAGAAAATGATATTAGTATTTATGCAGGAATGAGGATTACAGTGGTATTTTGCATACAGTAGTAAACTATGCGTATTCAGGGAGGTAAAGGAAAACAAAGGTTTTTAAAGGAAAAATGAGGAAGATTACATAATCATTTTGAGGTGGTTATCCTGGACTACAAGGATCAGTAACAAGGGTGATGCCAACTTGAGGTTGGACAGGCAGTTGCTGCGTAGATGTCCTTGCAGAATTTTTGTTTGTTTGTTTGTTTTTGTAAGGTTGCGATAGCCTTTGTGCAAGGTTGTGTTTTTTTGGAGTCTTTTGTGATAGCTCTTGTTATCAGTCATTTATTCATAAGAACTCTCCCTTAATGGCCTTCCTCAGCTCCATTTGTCAAGTGTATGTGTATGTGTGTGTGTTGTAACACAAATGACTTCATTTTGATTCTGACAACTTCACACCACTATCGCCAACAATAATAAAGACAGGAAAAACAAGATTTGTACATTTGATGTTTAAGAAGATTGTAAAGAACTCTGCCTTTTTAAATTAGGTAAATATGTTTAATTAAATACTGTGTTAGGAAGAAGCTGAATAAGACATTGTTATTTGAAGTGGTTCAAACTTTTGACAACAGTTGTTCAGTCATCTCTGTCTTATGTCAGGGGTCAGCAAACAACAGCTTGCAGGTAAAATGTGGCCAATAGTCTGGTTTTGTACAGCCTACACATGCTAAGGGGGTTTTTTACGTTGTTAAAGGGTGATTTAAAAGGTAGGGGATGGGGGTGAAGAATATGAGACAGAGACTGTATGTGGTCCACAAAGCTTAAAATATTTACTGTCCAGCCCTTTACAGAACAGTTTTAACCAACCCGTCTTACATTGAGGAAAATGGTAATTGGAAAAATAAGAATGTGACAGAAGACAAAATCAGAAAATGTACCATAGAATTGCCTTAAAAATGGGGAGCAATCCATTAACTGTAGGGAGAGTGAGTGGAGTACAACCTAAGCAGAAATGTAAAGCTATGTCATATGCTGCAGAGCCATCAGATAGGCCCCTGAGGCCAGAACATATGATAAATGAAAGGTTTCAGTGGGAAAAGAAGGTGGTTGAAGGCTGGGGAGTAGGTTGAGATCATAGTGTGGAGGGCTTTGAATGTTATGAAAAGGAATTTTGACTTTATTTCATAGATAGTAGGAATCTTTGACAGTTGTAGATTTTTGGTGAGGAGGTGATGTCCAAGCCTAATTTTTACTCCAGCTATGAAAGTGATTGAGAAGAAACAATGAAAAGCATTGTTTAATTAGATAGGAGTTGTTATAATTCATGGAAGAGAGAAGCAGAGTCTGAACTAGAACTGTGTTGAACTGTGTTGATAATTGATTGAAGGTTTTATTTAATTAACAAGTTCAAAACGTATTTCATGTGTAGAAATGAGACTTGATAATTGGATATAGATGAGGAGGGTGGTGTTAAGTGCTTCAGACTGTGAGTTCTGGAGTCAGAATGCCAAGGTTTAAGTTTAACTCCATCACTTTGAGCAAGTTAATTTAACCTCCCCATTTCTCATTTCCTAATCTGTAGTATATGAGCTAAAAGAGTAGATTTGAAAGGGTACGAATTAATTCCTTGTTTTCTATGTAGTGTTTGAGTTGACATTCACTGCCTATGTAGAGACATCCATAAACCAGTTGGAACTTTGACAGCTGAAGTGATACATCAATGCTGGAGATACAGGACTAGATGTGATAATTATATCTCATAAGCAGAACTAAGGGTACAGATTATGTTGCCTCAATAAAAAGACTATAAAAAGATAAGTGGGCTAATATTGGTACCAACCAGGTGAGCATCTGTTTAAGGGAAAGTGGAGGAAAAAGTGTTAATAAAGGAAGAAATACAGGTCAGAGCTGTGTCATCAAATGCCAAGGAAGGAGAGGAGCTCAAGTATGAGACAGTTGAAGAAACTGAGAAATAGAGGACTTAGGAGAAAATGTACACAAACTTTATGTAAAGTCATATACATACATATGTAAGGAAACAGTGTAAAGATGAAAGATCCAGATTGTTGTGGCTTTCTTGATCACCATTGTATATCTTCACTGTCAAGTGCATAGATGTTTAATAAATATTTTTAAATTAATAAATGAAACTTGTTAAATTTTATTTAATTTATTTTTGAGACAGGTTCTCACTGTGTTGCCCAGGCTGGAGTACAGTGGCAGGATCTCGGCTCACTGCAACCTCCGCTTCCCAGGTTCAAGCGATTCTCTTGCCTCCACCTCTCAAGTAGCTGGGAGTACAGGCATACACCACCATACCCAGCTAATTTTTGTATTTTTAATAGAGACAGAGCTTCACCATGTTGGCCAGGCTGGTCTCGAACTCCTGACCTCAAGTGATCCACCCACCTCAGCCTTCCAAAGTGCTGAGATTACAGGCATGAACCACAACGCCCAGCCTTAAGGTTTATATTTGACACACATTTTAAGTTAAAATTATGAGGAAGTCTTAAAGTATTTTTGAACTGTTTAGCATAACAATAATTGGATCCTGAGTAAGTTCAGTATTCACAGTTACTTGGGAGGCCGAGACAAGAGAATCACTTGAACCCGGGAGGCAGAGGTTGCAGTGAGCCGAGATCGCGCCACTGCACTCCAGCCTGGGCAAGAAGAGTGAAACTCTGTCTCCAAAAAAAAAAAAAAAAAAAAAAAAGATATCTAAAAACATGTCTTATGCTTTAATTTAGGGGGCAAAGTGTAGTAGTATAAAAGAAAGTGTTAATGTATTTCTCAATACAACATTTAGTTATCATTCAACTTTTATTTTTCAGACGTTCATTTGAATTTTTAGATTTATTGTTGCAAGAGTGGCAGACTCATTCATTGGAAAGGTATGCATTCCCTCTTCCTTCCTCCCACTTTCCTCCCCATTGTCACCAGTTCTTTAGAAGTTGATGGTATTGGTTTTACATTATTTCTCATTTTGCTTCAAAGGTTATTTGTACTGGTTTTCCTTTAAAGCTGTGGTGGTGTTGTGCTCCTCTTACTCATTACAACCATGAATAGTATGATTTTCTTCTTTGTTTGTGGGATGGGTAAGGGTTTCTCAAATAGAATGGGTTATATAAGATACTCCAAGTTGAGTTGGGCAAAAGTTTAAAAATGTATCTCTAGTCATATGATGTAAGTTTCCTGAAGTGTAATCAATCATGTAATGAATGATTTAAGATGGAAGGAGCCTCCTTTCAGAGGAAAGAGATTTTTAAGAAGAGATATTTGTTGGGAGGTTTCTCCACACCAGCTGTCAGATGTCATTGGTCAAGTATATACTGGGCAATGTCTAGTGTAACTCTGAGATGACGGAGAGGAAAATGTGGGCAGCTGATTGGTGACTGGCTATTTGCATGGCTATATTTCTCATTAACTTCAAGTTTGAAGCTTGGAAGACATTGTATTTACCTTGAGTATATTGCTGATTTTTCATTTTCATGGAAATTCTTGAATTCTTAAAGCTCATTTTTAAAAAATAGAATTTGTTTTTTAATGTAGGCATAATATAATTTCAAGTTTTCTTTGCGTTCTTCTGTGGCAGCTACTATTCAAATTTGGTCAGATCACAATTGATCACACTTAGCAAATCATTTCTACAGTGGTGGATTAGTGAGGAACCACACAGAAGATTCTTTTTTTCTCTAATTTATTAAAAATTAAAAATTTAGGTACTATGTATTTATACACTATCTGAATTCCATGTAAAAATAATTACTTTTAGATTTATAATAATTGGATTGTCAGAAGGAAACCATACATGAATAAAACATATGGGGCAGATAATTAGAAAATCTTATGGTCTTAGATTTATTATTGTACACTAATTAATTTTTATTTTCCTCGCCTACCTGTTTGTGATTAATATGTAACATATAGGCCTTAAGTACCATTTGTGGTGAAACATACAGCTATATCATAACTCTAAAGATGTATTTTATTTTATAGACATGCAGCCGTCTTGGTTGAAACTATTAAAAAGGGAATTCATGATGCTGACGCTGAGGCCAGAGTGGAGGCAAGAAAGTAAGTCAGTGTAGTATAGTTTTGTGACAGTTTAATCTTTTTTAAAAAAAAATGTATTAGGAGAATGAAAATATCAGAAGTGTCCAAGTATTTTACTTGACTAGCCCTCCAGTAAAATTAAGATTGTTTTTTCTCCATTACATCTGTATTAGACATCTAACAGCCTCCTACATGTTGCCACTGACATGTAATCATCAGTATTCTTTTTTTGTCATAACCTATTCACTTTCATCATGAATAAAAAGACTATCACTTATCAAGTTTGTATTGTGAACCTGATATTGTTTGAAGTACTTGTTATATGTTATTTTCTAATCCTTAGAATGATCCTCCGAAGATAGTGTTATCTCCATAGATGGCAACTGAAATTTGGACACTTAGGGGTTTACCCAAGGCCACACAAACTATAAGTGGCACAGCAGGTTTTGAACTGAGATCTCCTTTTCTCAAAAGCCTTCAGTCTTTCCACTGGAACTTGTTCAATTTAGAAAGTGTTCACCTGACAAATATCAGATAATGCTGAAAACCAGTGGGCTTATCTTCATCCTTCTTGAACGTACACGTTACTGTTAATGTCTAATTATGTAAAGCTATTACTTCATCTGCTTTTCTTTTTTTTTAACAGGACATACATGGGTCTTAGAAACCACTTTCCTGGTGAAGCTGAAACATTATATAATTCCCTTGAGCCATCTTATCAGAAGAGTCTTCAAACTTACTTAAAGAGTTCTGGCAGTGTAGCATCTCTTCCACAATCAGACAGGTCCTCATCCAGCTCACAGGAAAGTCTCAAGTAAGGTCATATAAATAATGATTACTAGTCTCTTCCTCTCCTCAACTCCCTGAAGTTTCATAAGTTGGATACTTGAATATCTGTTTGCTTTCACCTAAAGCCTTGAAAGAATGGTAACTCTAATACACTTATTTATTTTGGTCTACTGTTTCAAGAGTTGGATTACTTTCCAGCATAATTCCTTCTCTTTGGATAAAGAGTTCTATGATTCATATTTTGCTTCAATATGTTCACGTCTGTAGAAGCCTGGGAAGCACTACATTTTTTTTTAATACCACAAAAACAGTACTTACAATAAATAGCCCATTTAATGGAGGAATTGTAATGGAGATTCAGAAGTTATCTTGAGAATTCTACAACACTATGTGACTAGTCTGCTTTCCTTCCTAACCTGTCGCACAGCTTAAAAATTCAGGAAATCCCTCAAGGGACAACATTATCTAGTATCTGACTTAGTTCTCTGTAACTCCATTCTCATCTTGATGACGGCTACCTCAAATCCTTACTGCTTAGCAGCCATAACCCTGTTTTCTGTCTCTCTAGCCCTATGAGATTGCTAAAATTACTGATGCCTTCTCCACTTCCTAGCACTGGCCCTGTCCCTCTTCGTGACCTCTTGCCCTGTGCCATGTATCTGCAGATTTCCCCCAGGGAAGAGCAGCTCAGAGAATGTCAGCTTAGGCCAGGCATGGTAGCTCATGCCTGTAATCCCAGCACTTTGAGAGGCTAAGGCGAGCAGATCACCTGAGGTCAGGAGTTCGAGACCAGCCTGGCCAACATGGTGAAACCCCATCTCTACTAAAAATTAGCCAGGCATGGTGGCGGGTGCCTGTAATCCCAGCTACTTGGGAGGCTGAGGCAGGAGAATCGTTTAAACCTGGGAGGTGGAGGTTGCAGTGAGCTGAGATCGTGCCACTGCACTCCAGCCTGGGAAACAGAGTGAGACTCTGTTTCCAAAAAACTTCTCTGTAATTTCTTTCTTTTTGGGATCTTGACCACCACAAAGATTGCCGGTTTCCTTGGCAACTCTGATGCAGAACTGGGACCAGGGTGAGGCAAGTGAGGCACCTAGGGTACAGAATTTAAGCAGGCACTCACTGGGTCATTCAAATACTGTACTAAAGTTCAGTTGCTTATAGGTTTTCAGAGTAAAAGCAGTTATGATCTGATTTCAAAAATAATTGTTGTAGGAATAATGACCTATCTAAACTTTTATTTAAATTTCTGTTTAAACTTCTATTTAAATTTGTGATAAGTTCCTCATCTGAAATGAGCTGTCTTTGTTGCTTTTGTTCTCTTTTTATTAACTATGCTCAGACTTTAAAGTATATACAAATCACCTGAAGATCTTTTTAAAATCTAGAATCTGATTCAGTAATTTTGGGGTGGGGCCTGAGATTTTTCATTTTTTGCAAGCTCCTAGGTGATGCTAAATGCTGTTTGTTCATGGACCATATTTTGAGTACAAAGGATCTAAAGGAAGATATTTTATATTGCTCTAATGTAACATTTTTAAACATAAACAACTTTAGATTCTGTGAACCTTAAAGTGATCCGCCTCAATCTAAGAGAATAACAATTTTGGGAGACACTTATAAAAATAATGTGATGTTAGCTTAAACATTACACGGACATTACAACCTTACAACTTAGGTGAGAGAGGCTTTGGTTATGCTGAGTTGCCTATGTGCTAGTGATAACACTACCCCTTTCTTCTAAGTAAAATATCTCAGGATACAAGTGAAAAATAATAGTACTGTTATCGAGTTCTCTTTGGTGGTCACCATGATGTGTGTTGAGGAGCAGAGTGAACAAAGGCAACCTGATCCCTGTCTCTGTAGAGCTTAGTCTTTATTCACTGCCAGTATTTTATTTTTGCTTCATAGCTAATTGAGACACATTGATACCTGATGATTGGGAGGAACTGTTCTAATGCGATTTGTAAAAGGAGAATTCAAATTGGAAGTACCAGCTAGGCACGGTGGCTCACACATATAATTCCAGCACTTTGAGAGGCTGAGGTAGGAGGATCACACTTGAGCCCAGGAGTTTGAGACCAGCCTGGGAAACTTAGGGAAACCCGATCTCTATTAAAAATTTAAAAATTAGCCACGCTTGGTGGCAGGCACATATAGTCCCAGGTAACTTGAGAGATTGAGGTGGGATGATCACTTGAGTCTGGGAAGTCAAGACTGCAGTGAGCCATGATTATGGGACTACACTGTAGCCTGGGTGACACAGCAAGACTCTGTCTCAAAAAAAAAAAAAAAGAAAAAAGAAATACTTCTCAACTTTCCACAAAATTCAGTAGTATTTTATTGGTTTTTATCAGAGGAGTGTTAAATTGTCTTCTTACTAAAAGCATTTTTTATACTTTGCAGTCGCCCTTTTTCTTCCAAATGGTCTACAGCAAATCCATCAACTGTGGCTGGAAGAGGTAATTTTCTCTTTAAATAAGAGTTATAACCTATTTTATCTTTGAAACAGTAGCCTTCAAACTCTTTTGATGTGCTCCATAGTGAAAAGATCGTTTTACTTGGTAACTCAGTACCACACATATGCACTGTACCTGTATATGTATACGTGTATACATATATAATAAAACCCGAAGTTCCAGGAAGCCATACTTACTCTTACTTGTGATGCACTCTGTTTTCAATTGTTTCATTTCTTCATAATGCTTCTCATGACGCACTCAGTTGATTTTACAACCTATTAATGGGTCATAACTCACAGTTTATAAAACTCCTGACCAGCCTGGCCAACATGGGGAGACCCCATCTCCACTAAAAATACAAAAATTAGCAGGGCATGGTGGCACGTGCCCATAATCCCAGCTACTCAGGAGGCTGAGGGAGGAGAATCACTTGAACCCAGAAAGTGGAGGTTGCAGTGAGTCGAGATCGCGCCACTGCACTCCAGCCTGGGTGACAGAGCGAGACTTTGTCTCAAAAAAAATAAAATAAATAAAAATAAAAAACTGAAAAACTGAAGACCAGAAATTGAATGACTTAATTTGCATTCCCATGGAGTGGCAGAACCTCCATTAATTTTTTAATATCTCTACTCCTGGACTAGTTTTTCTTGTATTTTTATCATAGTAAAAAATAATACTGCTGCTTTCTATTTATCTTGTACAGTGCTTCCTTTGCACAAATCAGTCCTAAACATCATCTCTTCATCTACAAAACAGTCCTATGAATTTTACAGTCACAATGTCACCATTTTTCCCATTTTTATGGGAGAGAAATAAGGTAGAGAAATATTGAGAAAATTGCTGAAGACTTAGTTGTGATTGAAACTGAGGCATTCTGACTTTAAAATGCTTAATAGTACTGTCCATTTGGCCACAGCCTTTTTGTTGACCATTTGTCATCAGATTAGCTCATGGTGGTCAGGTTTATATAATTTTCATGTTTTCAGTGATTTAAATGATATAAGTTATCTTTGCTTTGTATTTCGTAGTATCAGCAGGCAGCAGCAAAGCCAGTTCCCTTCCAGGAAGCCTGCAGCGTTCACGAAGTGACATTGATGTGAATGCTGCTGCAGGTGCCAAGGCACATCATGCTGCTGGACAGTCTGTGCGAAGCGGGCGCTTAGGTGCAGGTGCCCTGAATGCAGGTTCCTATGCGTCACTAGGTAAGAGAACTGATTATGGAAAATTGTACCATGTTCTCTCCCTGATCTCTGTGAAGACAAGTTCATATACCTTAATCATTTCTATTCATTCTTGTTATTTAAGGATAGTCCATATGTTTTAATATAATTCTATATTGCGGACACACTTCTGAGGAATCTGAGCTGCCTTGTTTCTCCTTTTCCCTTGTTCTCATCATCGTCTTGATCAAAGAAACAATTCTTGAATCCATGATTGCCTGTAGAATTTTCATAACTGCACTTCTACCACATCTAGCCACTGGTTTCTAAGGGGGTTTGGGAAGGGAATTGGCTTGTATCTAACTTTCCTGTTTTCTTTCTCCTACTTCTCTTCTCTTACCAAGAATGTGAAGCCTTTTGGAGATCTGGGAGAACTGCAAAGCTCTACTCTGTCTAACCAAACCCTAAACATATATTCCAAAACTCTATTCAGTTTGATTTCTTCATGTTTTTATGTCTATCAAATTAAAAAGTTGACGTTGGTTTGCGTATCTCTTCTTCATGCTTCCATTTTTTTCTTTTGGGTAGTACTGCTGGAACACTAAGCAGGCAGATCGCCAGAACACAATACAGGTTGAGCATACCTAATCTAAAAATCTGAAATCTGAAATGCTCCAAAATCTGAAACTTTTTGAGCACCAACATGACACTCAAAGGTATTTTGGACTGAGGCGGGCAGATCACCTGAGGTCAGGAGTTCGTGACCAGCCTGGCCAAAGTGGCAAAACCCTATCTCTACTAAAAATGCAAAACTTAGCCGGGCATGGTGGCTCATGCCTGTAATCCCAGCTACTTGGGAAGCTGAGGCAGGAGAATCACTTGAACCCAGGAGGCAGAGGTTGCAGTGAGCCAAAATCGTGCCATTGCACTGCAGCCTGGGCGACAGAGTGAGACTCCGTCAAAAAAAAAAAAAAAAAAGGTATTTCGGATTTTGGATTTTTGAATTAGCAATGCCTAGGGATGCTCAGTCATTTAAGTATGAATGCACATATTTCAAAATCTGAAATCTAAAACATTTTTGGCCCCAAACATTTTAAATAAGGAGTACTCAACCTGTTAGAAGTGCAGAGAATTTAGGTATGAGTATAGTGCATGATAAAGTTGGCACAGCTGCATTCAGAACCGTGAAGAGGAATAGATCATTCAGTAAATTGTGTTTAGACACATGGTTTACAATCTGGTATAAAATTAAGTTAGAACCATGTTACACACCATATAGAAATATATTCCAGATGATAAAAACATTAAAAACATAAAGCAACTTGATGAAAACATAATAGGTGAGTATTCATCAAATCTCAGGTTGAGACAGGAATTCCTATACATAAAAGCAAATAAGCCATGAAGGAAAAAAATCTCTTGAATTTAAATCTAAAGTATGAAAATATGAAATCTTAAGCAAAAACTAAAAGGGAAAAATATTTTGCCACATAGTAGTAAAAAAGTTAAAATGTTGAGGTTTTTCAAGTCTGTTAAAAACAGATGAGCTTATTTTTATAGAAAAAATTCTACATATATCAAGAAAAGCATATGTCAAAATGGCCAACAAATACCAGAATAAATGTTGAACCTTAGCTATAATCAAACAAATACAAATTGATAGACCTGTAACTATAACACAAAAGTTAAGGGTAGTGCCCACTGTTTTCAAGAATGTGGTAAAAAGGGCCTTATCGCCGGGCACGGTGGCTCACACCTGTAATCCCAGCACTTTGGGAGGCCGAGACAGGTGGATCACGAAGTCAGGAGATCGAGACCATCCTGGCTAACACGGTGAAACACCGTCTCTACTAAAAATACAAAAAAAACTAGCCGGGCGTGGTGGCGAGCGCCTGTAGTCCCAGCTACTCGGGAGGCTGAGGCAGGAGAATGGCGTGAACCCGGGAGGCGGAGGTTGCAGTGAGCCGAGATCTTGCCACTGCACTCCAGCCTGAGGGACGGAGCAAGACTCCGCCTCAAAAAAAAAAAAAAAAAAAAAAAGCCTTATCAAGCAACACTGATGTGAATTAGTGATGGGACACTTTTTCTGAGTTCCAATTTAGGAATTCCATGAAGCATTTTTAAATCAGAATGTTTGCCCCAGTAATTCAATGTTTACATAATTATGTTTTTAATAACGTTATTAGCATCAACCTTAATGTGTAACAGAGGGGATGGTTGAGTTATATTGTATCCTTATATATGTTGTGCAGCCATTAGCAAGTCATATTTTCAACAAAGGTTGAATTATGCAGACTACCAAATAGTATGTAGTAATTTCATCATTTTGTGTAAAATTATACATAGAAGAAGGACTGGTGTGATATATACAAAGGTGTTAACAGTGTGTTGATTACTGCTTTTAATTTTCAGAAAACTTTTTGTTTCAAAGCATTACATTGCCAAGAATGCAAGGTTATTTCAGTATGTGAAGACCAGTCAACAAATGTACCATATTAATAGAAGAAAGGACCAAAACCACATGATCATCTCAGTAGCTGCAGAAAAAGCATTTGACAAAATTAACACCCTTTCATAATAAACATACTCAACAAACTAGGAACAGAAGTCATCTTTCTCAACCTGATAAAGAGAATCTGAAAAATCCACAGCTAACATCCTACCTGACGATTAAAAAACTGGATATTTTTCCCTAAGATCAGTAACAAGACGAGAATGTCCACTCTTGGCCCTATTTAACATTACCTTGAAGTAATGTTAAATTGGAGGTGCTAGACAGGGCAATTAAGCAAGAAAATAAATAGAAGGTATCCAAATTGGAATGGAAGAACAAACTGTCTCTCTTTGCAGAAAACACAATCTTGTGTTTAGAAAATCCTAAGGAATCCACACACACACACACACAAAAAAAATATATATATGAGCAAAACACATTACATTGAATATCTATTATTTTTACCGAAGAAAAATACTGTATTTAAAGTGCTTTAATGTGCACTAGAAAGCCAATTTGGGACAATTTTTTTTTGTGAGAACCTATTGTTGTTCTTTAAGGTTTGAATTTCATGTTTCATTGTAAAAAGGAGAGTGCCACTACTTTTTTCTTTTCTTCATCTGACCCAGGTTCCCACTCAGGGACAATCAGCTACCTGCCTGCGGCTTTTTCAGGGGTTGGATAAAGGATGTTCTCCTTCTTACCCTCCTTCCCTTTCTCCCTTCACCCCACCCTACCCGCTGTGTCTCATGTACCCTTCTTACACACGTAAGACTGATATAACCTCTGTTTTCTTCTACTTTGAGCCTCACTTATGGCTATACATGTATGAATTAGAGGGAGTGTTCTGTTAGTTTTCAGCACACACTTGAGCACTTAGTTTTTGCTAGGTACCAGGGATCCAGAGGTATATGCTTCTATACTGAATCTCTCTCAGTCTATTGGTAGGTTGCTGAAGGATGAGCAGCTAAAAGTTTGTTGCGTTTTATGCATTTTGAGTTTGAAGTCCCTGTGAGACTTCAAACTGGAAGTTTTCAGTGGACACTTGGTATATAGTAGTATAGAACTTGGCAGAGAGGCCGGCACAGTGACTCAACACCTGTAAACCCAGCACTTTGGGAGGTTGAGGCGGGTGAATTGCTTGAGCTCAGGAATTTGAGACCAGCCTGGGCAACATGGCGAAACCACACCTCTACCAAAATAAAAATTTAACCAGGTGTGGTAGCACATGCCTGTGGGCCCATCTACTAGGGAGGCTGAGGTGAGAGGATTGCTGGAGCCCAGGAAGTAGAGGCTGCAGTGAGCCGTGATCACACCACTGCACTTCAGCCTGGGTGACAGAGCGAGACCTTTCCACGTTCTCCAAAATAAATAAATAAATAAATAAATAAATAAGACAACAACAACTACTTAGCAGAGTGATGATGATTAGATTCGATTTGGAAGTCATTAGATGATTTTACTTACTGTAATCAATATTAAACTCAGAGCATTCCTTCTTAAAGCAGTTGCTACTGGTTTTTGTTATCTCTAAAGTACTGAATTTTTTGGCAGCAGGGATATTTTAAGTGTTTTGAAGTTCACTCTTTAACTTCAGCCTGAAGAGGAAACTTGGTGGTAGGAAACAGGAATTTAAGTTAAGGTAACCTTGATGTTTGAGTACATATTTATGAATATTTATTCTAACAATTGAGTTTATGGAATTGCTTGAGTGGAAAAGAAAATATAGTTTCAATGAGGTCATATGGACAGAAGTCAGATTTTAGTTGGTTGATATAGAAGTTGGAAAGAGAATCTGTGTAAATTATTGTTACGCCTGACGGTCAAGAAAAGGGGTGAAAGAATGGTAGGAATTATCTGTGGTTGAAAGAACTTATCATCTTATAAGATTGGAGAAGTTAATTATGTTTGTATCCTAAGGTGGCAAGTCAGTAGAGATGGAAAAGTTAGAAGTGTAAGGATGAAAGGAGATAATTAATAGCTAAGTTGCTGTGGAAGGTGTGAGGAATGGGATATGGAGCATAGCCTGGGAGTTAGTCTTGAATGTGGAAGGGTGAGCCATTTCACAGATGTAGAAGGGGAGGAAGTGATGGAAGGGAAGGAATTGGAAGAGGTAGTAGATATCAGATACGATATTTTGGAAAGTTGGACATTAAGAAGAGTGTGATTGGGGAGGTTGTTGTGACTTTCTGCCTGAAGATTCAGAGTCAGGATCATGTGCTAACAGGTGACTTGAAGTTTAGAATAGCCATTTGGGGAGAGTAGACACAAGAGGTGGGGCACTCATGGCTGACATTTGTTAGAGCAAAAGGATTTATTAGAGTGAAAAAAAAAAAAAGACCTGTGAGATAGTCTGAAGGAGTCTAGACGCAGGCTTTCAAAGTTTGTCTCCCAGAGCTAGGGTTGAGGGGCTACTCCTTCCTCAAGCAATGAAATAGAGCAATGTGGGCTGGGCACAGTGGCTCACACGTGTAATCCTAGCACTTTGGGAGGCCTGGGTGGGCAGATCACTTGAGGTTGGGAGTTTGAGATCAGCCTGGCCAACATGGTGAAACCTCGTCTCTACTAAAAATACAAAAATTAGCCAGGCGTGGTGGCACATGCCTCTAGTCCCAGCTACTCGGGAGGCTGAGGCACAAGAATCACTTGAACCTGGGAGGTGGAGGCTGCAGTGAGATGAGATTGTGCCATTGCACTCCAGCCTGGGTGACAGGGCGAGACTCTGTTAAAAAAAAAAAAAAAAGAAAGAAAAGAAAAGAAATACAGCAATGCAACATGTTCACAGTGTTTCTGCCCAAGGAAGCTAGCTTAAGACTCACGCTGGGGGGCCAGTAGGGGATTGGCACTCTGCTTGCACAGCCAGCCACAATTAGGCACATAAGGCACTCTGCTTGCACAACCAGCCACAATTACCAGAATCCCAGACTCCCAAAAAGAAAGGAGGTTTTCACCATAAACCACACTGTTTGCAGAAACAGCTTAGGCAAACTGTAGCAGAGTTCAGTGTCCCCACAACTTCTGCACACACACTTAAAATAACCTTATCATTAATACAGGGAGGATCCAAAACGATTACCAGAGGCCAGCCCCACAAGCATACACTTCTTAAGAACAATATCAGTCCTGCTATGTTAAATCCTTTTAGCACAGGCACTAAACACCAAGTCAGATATTTATTCCAGTTTCTAGTAGTGCCAGTATGCATGACTTCATGGTTGTGTAATTTTCTCTATGGGACATCTCAAGTAATAGAATAGAGAAAGTGAGTTAGATTCATCCAGATGTGAAATTTTAAAGGGGCTGAAAGTTCTAAGAAAGGATGTGGGTGGGGAAGCAACGAGGTGGTAAACAGAGGCTAATGATGAGAGGGCCTAAGTGTGGAATTTGGGGGTATATTATAGGCAAGAGAGAAAAGAAACAAGGCAATGTGACTGTCTGGGAAAAACTCACAGACTAGAGCAGGGGATTGGCATGATGGCAAAGTCCAAAGCTGGGACATGGGCCTCACTAACTTTTCTCTTTTTAGGCTAGTGAAATAGACTCATTATCAACTTTTAAAAAATTCTCTACTTAGTACATTAGGTGAAGTCTTTATCTCACATCTGGTTTAATTTCCTAGTCTGTTTTAGTTGAAAACAAGCTTGATATATACGTCTGTACTATGAATTCTGTCTTCTTAAAGAAAATGTTTTCTAGGAATTATAAAAATCATTTCTTCTAATATACTAAGTTTTCCTCTGTTCTTTGCTTGTGCTTTCATCAAAGAGGATACTTCTGACAAGCTGGATGGTAAGAACTTCCTTTCCTAATTCTACTAAAGATTTTTATGGAACCTGGATTCTATATAATATCCTTGTTCATTCTTCTCTTAATTTCTAAAAATATATTATTAATACTTATTTAGTGATAATGTTAATGTGAAAATGGCTACATAATTCTCTGAATGAATTTGGGGTTAGGGATATCTATTGGGCATACCATATCCCAGTCTGCTCAAATACTAGGTAACTATTTTGTTTTAACTTATAAAATGTTTGCCTGAGCTCTTAGAAGTTCGCCTCTGAATATTCTCGATTCGTTAAGTCTTAATAAAAAATATTGGATTCAGAAGAATGGAAAGAAATCTCCTAAGTCATTTCATTCACCTCTTTAGTCTATTAAGTGATATGACAAATGACATATTTCGTAAGTTCATATGATTGTTTTTGAAAATGAAATGCAAGTTACAGAGGCCGACTTTTTAAGAGTGCGTTGTAAACTAACATTTAGTCAAAATTGAACTTTAAACTTTGCCCTTTTAATTTCAATATTCAATTGATTACAGTTTATCTGTAGTGGCTTGGTTCAGTAACAACCCTGTATGATATTTTTTGTCTGATACTAGATAGTATATTATCCACACTTTCCCTTCACTTCAGCAGATACCATAATGTTACCTATGAGCTTGACCTTTTTTAAATAACTTAAGATACTAAACTAAATCTGTATGTCACATTATGAGATCTAGGAAAAACAGACACTATATATTTTTCTGTAAATTATTATGTAAATGGAAAATTGATCTAATATATCTTCTGTTTTAATGAGATAGAACATTTATTAAACCTTGGGTTAGGTACATGACTGCTAGTTATATTAGTGTCTGCTTTTCTATATGATTATAATAAAATATTGAATGAAATGATAGCCCATCAAGAGATGGTTTCTATGTATCAAACCCCTTAGACATCCTAATATTGATATTCTGGATCCTTTAAAAACGAACTTTTATCACTTTCCAGTTCAAAATATTTTCCTGTTTGGGTAGGAAATCTCAATCTATTTGAGAAGTCACTACTGTTATATGATGTGTTACTCTTACTGATGTTCAATCCTATGTTTAAAAAAAATACACAGACGTATATTATTGCGCTTTAGTAGTAGTGAGTTATGATGTTTGTACTTAGTCATTTTTTATAGATTTCATTGACATCTTAAGGAATGCACATAAATGTTGAATAAATAGCTAATGAATTGGATTGATAGGTTTTTGCTTTGTAGATGCTTTGATAAAAATGGGCAAGTGAGGCCTAGGTCATAGATTTTATTCCTATGTTTGTCAGTTAGCTTTTTCTGATTCCTTCATGGGCTACCTTTTGAAAATGCAGAGAAAACATTTCTACTCTGGAAAGGTCTATAAAATTTCATTTTCAAAGAGTAATTACAGAGTTACATTTTTTTGAGTGATGAGTTTCTCTAATTTTTTATACCATTTCAAATTTTAAGAATGCAATATAGCAGACAAAAAGTGTTTCCTATAGAATTTTGTTATTTTTATTTGTCTAGTTTCCGTGTGCTGTGAATCATTGGATTACCTCAAATTTTGTTTTTCTCAAAATGAACCTTCCCGCAGTTAATTTAAGGCTGTCAGACTAAAAGTTAATTTTTTGTTTTTACCCTTTCATTGTAGTGTTGGGTGGGGACTGTGAGGTAGGTCTTAATATCAACATTGGCAGAATTTGTTGAAATGTTGTTTTATTTTTCTTATTTAGGAACAGCATCTGAAGATGGTAAGAACTATACATTTTGTTAGTAACACAAATACATCTACATTACTATTTTCATTGGTAGGAATTAAATATTAGAACTAAAATAGGCTAATTTCTTTGCAACTCTTTATAATTTGCCAGTTGTAGTAAGTTCTACATTTCATATTTGGTTGTCTTAGTAATGTGTGGATTTTTTTTTTTTAATTCTTCATCCTGCTGGTTTGCTTTGTACTTTGGATCATCTCATGCTGGAAAAACATAATTGCTTAACATGTTTAATAATATCTAGTATGAAGTAAGCATATAATTCATTTTTTATAGTAGTGACATTAATGCTTTTCTTACATGTTTGTGTTTTTGTTTTTTTATTTATGCCAATTCATTTATACTTTGAGAGATCATGCACCATTGTTTTATCATTGAAGTTTTAAATGCATTTACTTAGTCTGCTTTTAAATATGTCTTCTACTTTTGAATCAGTAACTGGGGAGTTGGTCACAGATTCAAATTGAATTTGAGATTACACCAGAATTGCTATACATATCTTACTGAGCTAGTTCACCTTAAAAATAATTTTTATAGTTTTCAATTTGTAGAAAGGAAAGTAATTCAATGTTTATATTCACTCTACCTGAAGTCTGTCTTTTTAAAACCTCCGATTCAAAATATAAATTTTTTTCCTCTAAGTTTTACGTGGATGACTATTTTTTGTGACACAAAACCAAATAGATTAACTTTTTTATTTGGTCTCATATTTACTCTGATATATTTAAAATAATTTTGTATTTTAAGTTTTAAATTGGAATACTGTATAAAAACATGATTTCTGTCCAGGCATAGGGGTTCACACCTGAAATCCCAGCACTTTGAAAGGCTGAGCTAGGAGGATTGGTTGAATCCAGAAGTTTGAGACCAGCTTGGACGACATAGTGAGAACCCATCTCTACAAAAAATTTTAAATTTAGCTGGGTGTGGTGGCACCGTCCTATAGTCCCACCTATTCTGGAGGCTGAGGTGGGAGGACCACTTGAGCCTGGGAGATTGAGGCTACAGTGAGCCATGATCATGCCACCGCACTCCAGCCTGGGCAACAGAACAAGATTGTGTGTCAAGAAATAAATAAAAATAAAAACATGATTTCTCGCACTGTGGAATTGTAATTTCAAATGTTAATATCAAAATACTTAACATACTCTCATTTCTTTGTTATATACAATGTAGATAAATTCTCCATTTCAAAAATAATAATTTGGTCATTTTGTTTTACTTTTTAGTCAAGAGAACTTTGTGTCCTGCTCAAAATAGACTGTAAAAGGGTGAGAGGCCTGAACCATGGGCTCATTAGGGGCCTTGAAGTTGATAGTATGCTGGTATTCTACCAATTAAACTTCTGGTTTTGATTCTGTTTTATTCCTAGTTCTTATTACTCTCTTATCTTTTCTCACTCATTTCTTAATTTTGTAATATCTCCTTATTCTTTGAGTTTTTATTCTTATTATTTAGTATGTTTTTTCCTAATTAATATGGTCATATTGGGCTAGCCAGTATTTCATGTATACCCTACAAATTGTATCTTTTATCTAAAAATAATTCTGAGCCCTTCTTTTTGAATGACAAACCTTATTGGTTCTGATTTGATAGCAGTTGAGACTATTGCTTAAGAACACCAAAGTACCCACCAATAATATATTCTGTCCTCACTTATTTTTATTAACTGCAGCTAACTTAAGCACTTGACAGACATGCTGCTTGTAGTTCAAGAGCCCTAGAAATAGGGTGAGGATGTTTGTGGCCTAGTTTTGTGGAGGGGAATGAGGCAGAGTGGTAGAATAGAAAGGAGTGCAGTTCGGGAGGTATGAAAAGAAATATATTGAGAAAAATGCTAACTCTTATGTGATATGTATTTCCTCAAATCACTTTCTAAATGAAATAGTTGATTGGAGGAAGAGAGCAGTAAACATGTCCATATACCATATGTAGTAATCTGATATAAAGAGATTAAATCTTTTGCCTAATTATATCTCTTCCTTCAGATCCCTTTAGAAGTACATTTTCAGTCAAAAGGATGGTTTGAATTGTTTCCAAGCTTAGGCTTATATTTAAAACTGTAGGGTTGACTTGAGAATAATCTGAACTTCATGGAAACTGAAATTTCAGAATTGCAACTACCAATTGAGAAACAAGTGACATGCTTATGGTGATTATCTTAATTGTAACTGCTGGACTAATATATAAACTAAGAATGTAAATCTTTTAGTTTGATTCTTCTTATCCTTGAAGGAAAATTAGCTTATGGTATAACACGTAAAAAAAAAATTACTGTTTATAAAATTTTTAAGAGAAATAGAACCCGTAATTGATGATTACATTATTACAGAATTTGGCAGTACCTAAAAATAGTGAGATTTTCTCCTCTCATTATTAAACATTATTATAGAAAAATGTTTTTAATTATGTAAATATTTTATTTCTCAGGCCGGGTGAGAGCAAAACTTTCAGCACCACTTGCTGGCATGGGAAATGCCAAGGCAGATTCTAGAGGAAGAAGTCGAACAAAAATGGTGTCTCAATCACAGCGTATGTATTGCTTATCAGCCCTCCTATATTTGTCACTATGTTAGGATAAGTGTGTTGCTTTTGTATTACTGTATTAGACGATTGACCAGTGGATAAAGACAAAGCTAATTTAAAAAAAGACAAGCCACATACTGAGTTCTTGTTCTGTACTTTAGGTTCATCATCACCTGACAAAAATGAAGGTATTTTTTTCAATGTTTTGGATCAGTTGTTGTGCATGTTTTGGAATTTTTTGAGTGGGTGTTGTCTTGTCTTTGGTGTTTTATTAGGGCTGCATCATTGATATCTGCCACTTACAAAGAAAAACTTCATTTGCCATACAAACTTTTGCATGGAGATATTTTAAATAGCAGAAATCCTTAGCATTAAGGTGTTCACATTCTACTCAGAAACTTGCTAATGTAGAAAATTATGCTTTTTAGAGACGAAATAATTGCCATATATTAGCATCAAAATCTGGTTATATCTTAGGTAACATAATTCAAGGACAGATACATGATATCTTATTTTCCCAAAAATCTGTTAGATTATCTATTTTTGATTACCATTTTTGGCAGGTATATACTAATTTATAGTGAGGAAACATAATTTGAAATGACTGATTCTGTTTCATTCATGTTAAATTTAAGATTTACATTTTTGCTCTTTCACTGGAAGCTGAGTTTGTCATAAGCATGATTATTAAAAAGTACAATTTTGAGGTCTAGCTAAAATTAATTATTTCTATGTTTCAGAATAGTAAACATATTTATGGCATTTTTTAAAAGTATTTATTTATGAATGAGAGATGGGGTCTTACTCTGTTGCCTAGGCTGGAATAGAGCAGTGTGATAATAGCTCATTGCAGCCTCCAACTCCTGGGCTCAAGCAATCCTCCCACCTCAGCCTCTTGAGTGGCTGGTGCCACAGGCTTGCGCCACTGCCTGGCTAATTTTTTGTTTGTTTTAAGAGATGGGGTCTTGCTGTGTTGCCCAAACTGATCTTGTTCTTCTGGCCTCACGCAATCCTCCCACCTCGGCCTCCCAGAGTGCTGGGATTACAGGTGTGAGCCACCATTCCTGGCCTCATTTATGGCATTATTAATTTAAAATCATTTGTTCCTCTTCCTTCTTTATCAAGAGATTTTCATTAGTGCTTACCTCTGAAAACAGGACAGTTTTCTAGGGAAGTAATTGTAGGAGTTATTCATGTGCTTCACTATTTGTTTTTCTTTTTTTGAGACAGGATCTCACTCTTGTCACCCAGGCTATAGTGCAGTGGCACAATCACTGCCCACTGCAAGCCAGGAACTCCTGGGCTCAAGGGATCCTCCTACCTCAGCCTCTCAAGCAGCTGGGACTAGAGGTGCATGCCACCACTCCCGGCTAATTTTTTTTTATAGAGGTGGGTTCCCACTGTGTTGCCCAGGCTGGTCTCAAACTCCTGGGCTCAAGCCATACTCCTGCCTCTGCCTGCTAAAATGCTGGGATTATAGGTATGAGCCACTGCACCCAGCCTACTTGGCTATTTTTGAAAGAAATAAATTTAACTCTCTTCTGCCATTGTTTAGGTGATTTATTAGGATATGGATGTCCTATTTGTTTGTTTTTAACCTGATTCCTGAATTTTGAAATCAGGAAAGAGAATGGGGCATTGAGGGGCAGGATAGTGATTACGCAAGTCTTACCCACCAGATCCTTCTCTTTTTTCAAAGTCAGAAAATCCAGGCAGAATAATGATTAGAGCACCAAGAAGAGTCCTAAAAATAAGCGGAAGTAAATTGGTTTGCAACTTGAGGGTTATTTATGAATGGGAAAACTTTTATCTCAACTAAATCAGTAGATCATATCATATTCTTCCCTGATCTTGTATATTTTTAGAGTAACTTAATCTTTAGCAGTATATCATAGTAGTTAGAAGACGTGTGCTTCCATATGTGCTGCCCAGACCAGTATTAGCATCATCTGGGAGCTAGTTAGAAATATACAATCTCATATGCCATTACAGCTCTACTGAATCCAATCTTTAACAAGATCATCAAGTGATT
The DNA here is from genome assembly GCF_000001405.40 of Homo sapiens. NCBI lineage: Eukaryota > Metazoa > Chordata > Mammalia > Primates > Hominidae > Homo > Homo sapiens. The sequence continues at coordinate 33,590,368 of NC_000003.12, read as the reverse complement.
TATATCACAGTTAAGTCTTGAGAAGTACATACTGGTTTAGATCATAGATACTGGAGTCTGCCCAGGTTTGAATACTGGCTCTTTGAGGTTATTTGAAGTTACTGCACTTCTATAATTTCATCTGTAAAATGAAGAGGAGAATAGCATCTACATAGGATTGTTGTGAGGATTAAATGATGTAGCATATTTAATAGACATAAAATATTGCTTAGCCCTGAATAAGCACTATATATGTTGGCTAATAAAATTGTCATTATTTTTTAATTTTTTAAAATTTAAAAAAATTTTAAATACTGCAGATGATCCTTATTATTTTTAATCAAATGTCAACTGAATTTTAGACTGCTTTTGTGTACTTCTGTACCTTGTTATTCTTACTGCCTTCAGTAAACAGAGAAATAAACAATGAAGTTAGGAAAATTGAAGCATAAAGATAACCAACCAGGAATTTCCATGTCCATTGTCTAAGGATAAAAATTAATTGTGAGATATTAGTTCTTTTCTGAAACAATACTGAGGCTGATCTTAGGGCAAAGACTCAAAGGGCTTTTTTTTAAAAATACTTAAGAGACCTCCTTTTCAGGTACATTGTAAGTAAGGATCACTTCACTGGAAAATAGAATAATTTTTTGCATTTGGCTTTTCACTTTGAAACCCATTCCATAATCCTCCACATCTTCTCCTAAATTGTGAAAACACAGTAATTGACTTTCTTAGACCAAATAGGACTTTAAGATTAGAAGACTTTCCCTCTGTAAAATCATTTGGGTTTTATATTGGAGGGACTTTTGTTTGTTTGCTTGCTTATTTATTTGAATGACTATATGTTCCATTCCGAATTCTTTTGTAAAAAAGGTATTATGTAATTTGTATGCAAGTTTCTTTACAATATATTTGCACAGAAATATTACTGTGATCATCATCCTTACTTTGTCATAAAGTAATTCATTAGGGCTTGCATGGTCTTACCATATCTTTGTATCACTACTTAGAAAAAAAAAGTCTCTCAGATCAAAGCAGGTGTGTTCTGATGGCTAACCAAAATAAATAAATAAATGGAGACTCAATGGAGAGAGCACTAGATCTATATTTATGACAAAATTGTGTCTCTTTTTCTGTTGGTAGTGGCTGGTTGTATACAAATGATTGTACAGCCCGTCAGAAACTTTGTCTCCTCTCCTCCCATCTTTTGTTTTTCTTGGTGCATCTTAAGAAAGATGACATTTGTAGCTTTTTCATGTAATTTTTCTTCAGCTGTACAATATTGTAGTTGTTCCTTATGAGTAGTTTTAAATTAAATGTTTAATGAAAACATTTAATGATTTTGATTTTCGACTGTCAGTAGTAGAAAAGCTGAAGAATTTACATTTACTGTTGCAGTCTCATTTCATCTGCTTTGTACATGAGTGTCTGATTTCAGTTGATTAGCTTTAAAAACAACTAAATGTACTGCTTTTGTTAAAGACATCTGTGCTTTTGGGATTTTTTAAAGTTTGCTTTTTTTGCCTTAGGGTTTTTTAATTTTCTGAGAACTGACTAAAGCTTTCTTATTTCCATCTGCCATCCATTTAAAAACTGCTCCTTCCCTCTTCATGGATTATAATCCTTACCCTAATTCTGCCTTTACACTTGTTCAGGATCACAATCTGCTAATACCATTGGTGGTAAGAATCTATAGACTTTATGTGTGCATCTGTTGTTTGATCACCTATTTTCATTATGAAGAATGGGTTCTATTCAGCAGAAATTCTTAACGTCATAGTCTATCATTTGTAGTCATACTGGGGCAGAAATTGCCAATTGTGATTTTTCTTTGGCCTTTGTCTTATTACCAAAATTTTGATTTTTTTTAAATGACACAAGTTAATACCGTGGATATAAACATTCAAAAGAAACAGGAGCTTTTGTCATGCTTTGAAATGCTATAAAAACTATAAAATGGTAGTTTGAAAACTTTAGGTAGCACAAGAGAAAATAGGTGTTCGATGTCAAGTTTTGCAAATATGGGTATTTTCTGGTAGCATGCTATTCCTTGGATACATCATGACACTTTTCAACAACTCTGGTTTTCCCAAAAGAAATAATTAGCGTTGGTGGCTCTTTACTGGGGAAGGAGCCTTGGTATTTTTTTCCAAGTATGAATAATTCCAAAGTGGGTCATAGGTACTAGAATTATCACACTCTTGGTGGGAATCAGGAGTATTGCAGAGGAGAGGGTTAATGATTAAAGCAAAATGAACACTGACAATTTTATTTCCTAGGATAGGGCAGGACTGAATTTAAATTTGTAGAGTGCGCTTGCATAATTTTAATAAATTCAGTAAATCTAGAGTAGAAAGAGAAGTTACTCTGTTTCTGAACTACAAGTTTCCTATCTGCTGAATAGACCCACATTTCAAGAAATTCTGCAGTCTCTCCTACCAACACTTCCACCCCCCAAATTTATATTGGTTTTAATAGAATACCATATTGTATGTGCTCAGTTCATTATTTATACTTTTTATATTGTTGCGAGTTTTCCCATAAAACATTCCATTGGCCTATCTTGCATTGTGAGTTGTGGCATGTTGGGTGTTTGGATGTTTTTGGTGTGTATGTTCAGTTTAGACACTGCATGGAGAAAACAGGTTCCTTATATGAGTATCCTTAAGGTTATAACTGAAAGAAATTGGATTTAAAGATTCTTTGCTTGAAACATCATGAAACATTCAAATGAGCTATTTTAAAATACACTTGAATAATTTCCTTACAATAATTTAGAATTCCTTCTATACAGACAGTAAATTGTTAATTTCATTGGAAACACTGCTTTGTTTTACAATATTGTTATCACTAATAGGAAATAAGTTTCATTTTGTATGCTGGTAAAGTTTAAGAATTAAGCATTAATATAAATTGTATTCAGCAAGACCATTCCAAGAAAACTGTAGTAAGAATCACAGATCGGCCGGGTGCGGTGGCTCACGCCTGTAATCCCAGCACTTTGGGAGGCCGAGGCAGGCGGATCATGAAGTCAGGAGATCGAGACCATCTGGCTAACACGATGAAACCCTGTCTCTACTAAAAATACAAAAAATTAGCTGGGCGTGGTGGCGGGTGCCTGTAGTCCCAGCTACACAGGAGGCTGAGGCAGGAGAATGGCGTGAACCTGGGTGGCAGAGCGTGCAGTGAGCCAAGATCACACCACTGCACTCCAGCCTGGGCGACAGAGCAAGACTCCGACTCAAAAAAAAAAGAAAGAAAAAAAAGAATCACAGATCGCCAGCCCATGGACCATGTCTAGTCTGTCTCCATTTATGTATTATTTGGCCTATAGAACATGCTAAAAATCTGGAAATATCAAAGCTTTCATTTTTGAAAAATCCCAAGACCTATCCACTATTACCTCAAGACAAAGGTGGCTAGAACTAAAAAGTCACCTCTCACTTTAGGAAAGGGCAGGCACCCCCCCTCTTGATCAGTCATCTTACTACTCCCTGCTTTACACAGTGCCCCTCTCTTTTTTGACATCCTGTGCTTGTCCCATTGGCATTTGAGTCTCTGTGGAAATGAAGCCTGATTGGGTAAGACTGTATAACATATAATCATACAGCCCTCTTACTGGGTAGAAGTAGTGCCCACGAAGGGAAAAGGTTGCTTTCATGAAGATTTATTTAATTGCAACTTTAGTTTTTCTGTTACTTTTCTGAATCTACATTTAGATTATATCTTGGAGTTCTTATCTAGTACTTTTTCTATTCAACGTAGACATAAAGTGCTTTGATTGACAGGGAGCTTATCTCCTTAAAATTTAACCCTTGCATTTCTAGTTTAAAAACATGTTTTTAAAACTTTTTTTAAACCCATGCACAGTCTCTGAAAAGATTTTACTAACTCTACCTGTGTTCCTGACCACATGTCCACCTTCCAAAACTGAAAATTACTCATTTGAAAAGAGGCCAGGCGTGGTGGCTCAGGCCTGTAATCCCAGCACTTTGGTAGGCCGAGGCAGGCAGATCACAAGGTCAGGAGTTCGAGACCAGCCTAGCCGACATGGTGAAATCCTGTCTCTACTAAAAATACAAAAATTAACCAGGTGCGATGGCAGGAGCCTATAATCCCACCTACTCAGGAATCTGAGGCAGGAGAATCACTTGAACCCGGGAGGCGGAAGTTGCAGTGAGCCGAGATCGCGCCACTGCACTCCAGCCTGGGTGACAGAGCAAGACTCTGTCTCGGGGGGGAAAAAAGAAAAGAAAGAAAAGGATCTGATTCATTTGATGTTTTCCCCTTACTCCCCTTCTACCCTTGGGACTTCTATAACCCAGAATGTCACTACCCAAGAGCGCTTTGCTATTTGAAGACAAATAGCAAAAAACAAGTTTCTTTTTCAGCTGGCCCAATTTTGTCAGCATTTAAAATTTAATTTTGTTAAGTTTAAAAATACGTCTAATAGTAAGACAGATAGCTTTGCTGTACCATTCAGAGAAATCTCAGCAGGCAAACTATTTTAAAATGAAACAGATTATCATTATTATATACTTAACAAAAAATAGTGATAGAATTACCGGGTTTTTTTTTAATACAGTCATGCTCTGCATAACCACATTTAATCAGTGACCACATATGTGACAGTAGTCCCGTAAAATTATAATACTGGGAAGGAGATGAGGAACAAAAGACTGCGTATTGGGTACAGTGTACATTGTTCGGGTGACAGGTGCACCAGAATCTCAGAAATCACCACTAGAGAAGTTATTCATGTCACCAAACACCACCTCTACCCCAAAAACCATTGGAAATAAAGCTTTAAAAAATTATAATACTATATTTTTACTGTACCTTTTCTGTGTTTAGGTATTTTTAGATACACAAATATTTACCATTGTGTTACAGTTGCCTACAGTATTGTTAATGGCATACTGTATAGGATTTGTAGCCTAGGAGCAATAAGCTATATACCATATAGATCTGTAGTAGGCTATACCATCTAGGTTTGTGTAAGTACACTCTATGATGTTCACACAATGATAAAATCACCCAACAACACGTTTCTCAGAATGTATCCCATTGTTAAGTGACATATGACTGTATATAGCTTATTCACGTAGAACATGATAGCCATATGAAATGGATTGTCAGATAAGTGATTTCTTTGGAAATCTTGTATACCATTTGTGTTCTAAAAATTATAATAATGTTCTCCTTATTAAACATAGTGTCTTATACCTCCAAAACTGAAAGTATATTTTAGATGATTTACCATTTAGTGCTCATATATGTAGTATACCTTTTTTTTTCCAGGTTATAATTATATTTAAATCTTCCTCGGTCTATTTCCTTTGAGCGTAGAACCTGCCATACTGTCACAGTTTTCTCTGTATTATCAATATTTCTTGAATTTTTATCCTTTCAGCAAATTCTCTTGGCATTTACATGTTAACATTTGTATATGTGTTTGGTGTTCAGCTGGTAGCCGGTCTGGGTCTCCAGGAAGAGTTCTGACCACAACAGCCCTGTCCACTGTGAGCTCTGGTGTTCAAAGAGTCCTGGTCAATTCAGCCTCAGCACAAAAAAGAAGCAAGATACCACGGAGCCAGGGCTGTAGCAGAGAGGCTAGTCCATCTAGGCTTTCAGTGGGTAAGATTTTTTTTTTTTTTTTATGTGAGACATGTAACCCTTTTTTTTTTTTTTTCAGGCTTTGGCAGCATTGAAGACTTTGGAATACAATTAGGACTTACAAATTAGAAGAAAATAACTTAAAAATTCAACAATTGAAGAATAGTTTATGAGTTGAATTAGGTATCTTAAATGTGTAATTCAGGGCCTGGCACAGTGGCTCATGCCTGTAATCCCAGCACTTTGGGAGGCTGAGGGGGGTGGATCACTTGAGGTCAGGAGTTTGAGACCAGCCTGGCCAATACCCCCGTCTCTACTAAAAATACAAAAATTAGCCAGGCATGGTGGTGCATGCCTGTAATCCCAGCTACTCGGGTGGCTGAGGCAGGAGAATCTTTTGAACCTGGGGTGGAGGCTGCAGTGAGCCAAGATCACACTGCACTCCAGCCTGGGCAACGGAGACTCTGTCTCAAAAAAAAAAAAAAAAACCCAAAACAAAACAAACAAACCCTATAATTCATAGGAGCTTTGAAAAATATAGCTAGTACTTTAAAGGAAAAGGTTATTGTGGAATTTTATAACATATTTATCACATATACACATATATACACAGTTTCTTGTGTGTTTGACATTCGTGTTATAGTTCAGCCCTATTCAAATACTAGTAAACTTTAATATTTTCTCTGTGTATTGATTAGGATACTTTCAATTTCAGATAATAGTAATGATAGATGAAGCCAGCTTAAACATTAAAAATGGATTTATTAGTTAAGTTTGAAGATTGTACGGCCTTCAGGATTGACTAATTAACATTGCTATGATGAACCCAAAATCTGCCTATTTTCCCTTTCTCTCACTCTCTCTTCCTTCTTTTCTGCTTTATCAACCATGTTGCTGACTTTGTCCTTAGGATAGCTGCTACTTGATCCGTCATTTCCAGAGCAGAAAGCCCCTAATTATTCCAGTTTATTTTTAATAATTTTTTTTATTGTTTTAAGTCTTTTGCAGATTACCTATGTAACTTTAAAAAATATTCTCATATTTAAAGAAAATACTCATATTTCTATTTCTTGTTTCGTCAACCTCAATCAGTATCTCAACTTCCATACTTTTTCCTTCACCTTCCACTCTTAGAGTTATCAATTTTTACATTATTAAAGTTTACACATACATTTTCTTCTGTATCCACAAGCAAGTCTTATGTACTTGTTCCATAAGTTGGCTTTAAAAGATGAAAAGCTGTAAATAACATATACTGTGTTATGAGTAAATGAATGTTGTTTGCAGCCAAGACACCTAGTGTACTGTGAACCCATTTCTTCCCAAAGGTACAGTGAGTTCCCTAGGGACCACTTGAAGGAGAGTGTTCCTGTTATAAGGAGATGAATTCTCTTTCCTTACATTCCTACCAGTTATTTACTTATGTCATTATAACTTATACCAGTTATTTACTTATTATGCCACGTTTTCATTTGCTGTGTATATAGAAAGTGACTAAGAATAGTGTGCACTTCTCATATCCTTTAGGATTGCTTTCCCTTCAGTATTGCTGAAAGGAAATATGCAGTTCCTTATTTTTTCCAGACTTTCTTTTCAGTTCTCTCTGGATTAGTTGCATCTAGGCCTCTTGCTCAGCTATCTTCTTGAGATTCCTATTTGCTGCTTTCCTGGTTTGAATCACTCCCTCCTGGATCCTCTTTCTCTTCCTTTGCTCTTTTGCTTTGCTCGTACACATTCACAAATAATTCCTTAGAAATAGTGTGTAGGAGTCAAGCTTTTTGAAACCTTACTTGTCTGAGAATGTCTTTATTGAGTAGATGGCACCGATTTCGTTTAGGCCTACAGACTGAATTACTGTTCCTAGCGCTTTTCATTTATTCTGTGCCTGGTATTTGGCCCATGAGCCTCTGAAGTTTTCATCTAACTAATTCACTTCTTTTTGTTTTCCAGACATTATTTTAAATTCTCTACTCCACCTTTAGTCAGTCTTCACCCCTGTTTATTGTTTCTTTCGTTCCATATTTGTGGGTTTTTCATTTGTGAGGAGGTGAGAAAAAGAATGGGAATCGAAAGCATTGGCTTATTTTTTCCTCTTTTGTTTTTGTTTGTTTTAGAGACAGGGTCTTACTCTGTTACCCAGTCTGGAGTGCAGTGAATGATCATAGTTCACTGCGGCCTCGACCTCCTGGGCTCAAGCAATCCTCCTGCCTCATCATCTTAAGTAGCTAGGACTACAGGCATGTGCCACCATCCCCAGCTAATTTTTGTATTTTTTTTGTAGTGAGACAAGGTCTCACTATGTTGCCCAGACTGATCTCGATCTCCCAGCCTCAGGCAGTTCTCCCCACTCACCTACCCATGTTGCTGGAATTACAGGAATGAGCCACTGCACCTGGCATTTTTTCCTCTTTATCTTGAACTGAGAATTTAAGAATGGGTATTTTACTTTAGATTAATATTTGATAAGTATAGGGTTTTTCTCTCTATTAAAAGCAAGATTTTAACCTAAGATACCAAAAGTGTTAGAAGCCTCTATAGTTCAGTGAACAAAGAGAAAAATTGAGTTTTACTGTATTGTACAGTATGTTAAATATTTTTATTTGCAGCATTTTTAGTTTGGTAAAATATTATTTGCCCTTCTAATTTCATACAAACTAGAGGACCATATTTAAGAATTTAACTGTATTCCTGGTAATGCTTCAGCAAGAGTAATTTCTTTTCAGCCTTAGAAAAATTTAAGTTACTGTTCAGTCTTTAAGAAAGAAAAAAACAAAATTTTTTAAAATGCAAACTCTGTTCTGTTTTCTCCCTTACTGTGTGTGCTGCTGTTGCTTCACACCAGCCCGAAGCAGTCGTATTCCTCGACCAAGTGTGAGTCAAGGATGCAGCCGGGAAGCTAGTCGGGAGAGCAGCAGAGACACAAGTCCTGTTCGCTCTTTTCAGCCCCTCGGTACGTATTCGGGCAGGTGTTATGTGCATTGCTTATCCATGGTGTTATCACTATCTGTTAACTTCAGCATACCTGGGATTTAGCTTTCTTTGTCGACAGATCTTTCTCTCTACCCCTTTTCTGTCATTTTGAGGAAAGGAAATTACATGTTTGGGAAATTCCTTTGACTTGATTTACATGTCTGAAATGAATATGTTAGTCATTGTATTAACAGATTGCCTTCATAATCAAGTAAATGTCACACAGGTTTAAACTTCAGAATATTGAAGTCTAGATCTTTCTTAACAAGTAAACCTGCAAATTTAAAGATATTTAAATATTTAATCTCAAGTGAAATGCGGACTAGTTTGATAAAATACTTTTGTCTTTTTCAGCGGAAATGTTAACATTTCAGCTTAGATCATTTAACTTAGGTTACTAAAAAGAATGCCACAAAATAACATCTGAACTACTTATTAATGGTAGGGATTAACATTTTTATAATATTTTACAGTTTAACAGTCATTTCCTATGAGCTAATGCTCTTGTCACTGCGGTAAAACTTGTTTGTCCCCAACTGTATTGTAACCTTGATTGTAATACTATATTTACCTCAATTATAAAAATATTAAATGATTTTTTAAACATTCAGTATTAGGATAACTGGAGAGGTACAGTTTTGTATGTACATTGAGAATCTTTAGAATTTCTGCGTGATCCTTCAGCATTTTAACTAGTATTTTGTTTAAATGCACAAGCCTGTAGCCATTTTAGATTTTTTTTCTTCTTTTTCTTTTTTTTCTTTCTTTCTTTTTTTTTTTTTTTTGAGACGGAGTCTCGCTCTGTCACCCAGACTGGAGTGCAGTGGCACGATCTCGGCTCACTGCAAGCTCTGCCTCCTGGGTTCACACCATTCTCCTGCCTCAGCCTCCTGAGTAGCTGGGACTACAGGCGCCTGCCACCACGCCCGGCTAATTTTTTTGTATTTTCAGTAGAGACGGTGTTTCACCGTGTTAGCCAGGATGGTCTCGATCTCCTGACCTCATGATCCGCCCGCCTCGGCCCCCCAAAGTGCTGGGTTTACAGGCGTGAGCCACTGCACCTGGCCAGATTTTTTTTCTTTAACACAGTGTAGTTTACTGTAATACTTAGAAGGTTGCTCTTTGGACTTTGGAATGCTCAGGGAGAACCTAGTTCTACTTATCCAGTGGAATTCTTATTTCCTCAGATACATATGGTAGTATAGAATTTCTTTCATTGTTGTTGTTGTTGTTGTTTTGAGGTGGAGTCTCACTCTGTTGCCCAGGCTGGAGTGCAGTGGCACGATCTTGGCTCACTGCAACCTCCACCTTCCAGGTTCAATCGATTCTCCTGCCTCAGCCTCCTGAGTAGCTGGGATTACAGGCACCCACCACCACACCCAGCTAATTTTTCTATTTTTAGTAGAGATGGGGTTTCATGATACTGGACCAAGCTGGTCTCGAACTCCTGACCTCAGGTGATCCACCTACCTCGGCCTCCCAAAGTGTTAGGATTACAGGTGTGATCCACTGCACCTGGCCAAGAATTTCTAGTGGTTAATTTCTCATTCTCTGGGCCATTTGGCTCAAATATACTAGGCTTTTTTGTACTGACCTAGAAAACCCCATTAAAGCTAGAATCACAGGAATATGCCCAACCCTTGTTTGTGTTCCAGCCCCAGGTGCCAGAGAGTTTCCCTCTTTCTTTTCCCTCTGTGGGGAGGTGCCAAAGTAAAAAGAACTGTTCCACATCACTAAGGCTGTGTGTGGCAGGTACTTTGTCAGAGATATTTTTAGTTCATATGCAATAGAGTTAGTCTGCAGAATGTCTGTATGTGTGCATGTGCATGCGCATGCACATATACGTGGTGCATCCTCATGGATATACATTTAAAGAAATGAAATAAATCCTACATGTGTATAAAATAATCATCCTACTTTCAGGAGTGGAGGGAAGTGGAGTTGGGTGTGTGGTGGTTTAAGAATGTATATCATAGGGTCAGGTGGCCTGGGTTCATTCCCCAGCTACGTAACCTTTCTATGCCTGAGTTTCCTCATCTATAAAACAAGGATAATAATAGTGTGTACTTCTTAGGATTGTTTTGGAGACTCATAAATGAGAAATACGTGAAAAACTCCCTCAAGGCAGTGCTTGACACATAATGAGCACTCAGTTATCATGGTCATCATGGTCATCATCACTGCTACCACCACTGCTGCTGCTATTACCACTCTACCTCTTCCCCCTGAAACTCTAATCACTTACCCTAGAAACAGTTAAATTACACTTCAGTGGGAAGGATCTCAGATTTCTTAATGGCACCTGCATTTATATAATGTTGATATTGCACGTTCCTAGAAAACATATCAAGAAGAAACCAAAATGTGTTTCTGTACTTTGTAAACCTGTACAATAGTTAGAGATTAGAGGACCTTTATAATCTACTACTAATTACTGTGAAAGTAAACATTGTTTAATATACCAGTTCTTAAAGAAATATTTTGTCTAGTCATTAATATTCTAGTTCATCTCAAAGCTTCCATTTGACAATTTAAAATTACTTAAATTTTAATATTAAAGGAAACAGTTTTCCTGATTCTCATGAAAGTTCCTATTTGCACTGAAGATGACTAAACCTTTTAGTCATAGTTTTAGAAGAATTGGCTTTTTTATAGCCATTTTATTTACATATGGGTACTGCATAGCAAAGGCAGCAGATTAGCCCTGTTTGTTTTGCAGGGATGAAAGGTAGCATTCCCAGAGATTAAGTTGTTCTTGCTATTCCCATTCTCTGCTACATTTGCCTACATTCTTTGGTCCTTTCTATTATTTGTTTCTTTGGTGGAATCCCCTTGTTGCTTATGGCTGGATATTGTTATTCAGCAGATGAATCACAAGTTTAGCCTGAGGGCCCTAAAGCATCAGAAATAAATTAGAGCCGAGCAAAGTTTAACTTCTCTGGAACTTGCACCTTTAGTTTCCATGTATTTCTGGAACCAAGATATTTCAAAGGCTTACTTTATTTCAGACACCTATTATCTTCAAGTCACAGATAACTATTGATTCTGTAAAGTGTTTCAAAGATTTTTGTCCACTAGACATTTTTAAATTTGTTCAACTCCTCCTCATCATTTTAGAAATTATTTCTGTTAGGTAAAATTAAAACTAACAATGTATTTTAGTTTATTTTTCTAATGATACCAGTCACCTTTCGGGGCTAACTAAACATTTTGTGCAGCATTCTCTTAGTTTACATCCTCCTTTCTTTCAGTCTTCCTGTTTATTAAGGCTGTCCTGTAGCAAACAAAAGAGTGACTCATGTTAAAAGTATTTTAACTGCTCTAATATATCTGAGGAAGAATAACTTTCTAAATTAAAGTAATGTATTTTATTAAATATTAAAATGCATTTTTTGGCTATTCATTTCTGTATGTAAAAGAAAAGTTAACTTTATGGTGTTATGCAAAATATGCTAAATTTAGATTTTAGAGCAATATATAGGGAGATATGTCACAAATTTCTACATTTTGGTTAAATTATTAGTATTTTTTTGTATTCAAATGTGCCTTGATATTTAAATAATATACTGAATGCAGAATTTATGTTATGTGAACCATTATGGAAAATGTTAATGTTAACAAAATGAGGTGTATTGACTTTTCAACAATGTAAATTAAAGATGGTACATCTACTGTTTAAGGGCAGAGGAATTAAAAGAGTATAGATACTGAAATGTATCACTTACTAGTAGTGTGGCTATAATCAAATTAATTAATCTCTCTCTAGGCTTTAGCTTCCTCATCTTAGTTTGTTCAGGCTACTGTAACAAAATAACATAGATTATGTACTTTTAAATGACAGAAGTTTATTCGGCATGGTTTGGGAGACTAGGAAGTCTAAGATTAAAGAACCAGCAAATTTGGTGTCTGATGAGGACCCATTCCTTTGTTCACAGATGATGCCTTCTCATTGTGTTTTCAAATGTTAGAAGGAGCTAGCTAGCTTTCTGGGGTCTCTTTTGTAAAGGCACTAATCCCAGTCATTAGGGCAAATTGGCTCCTACAGGCCCCACCTATCTCCTAATACCATCACCTTGAGGATTAAGATTTCTACATATGAATGAAGCAGGTGTTGTAGAAGGTCAGTCAGTTAGACCATAGCACCATCTGTAAAATTGAATAGTAATTTACTGCCTCATTGGATGTCAGGATTAAAGGAGATAAGATTTTATTAGTTACTAGTTACCATAGTGGTTTTTTTTTTACACTATAATGTTCGTTTTTTTGTTTCATGCTTGTACCTTCAACATTTCCTTCCATTTGAATACTTCTTTTGTCTCCTGTAGGCCTGTCTGTCCACTTAGGTGTAAGATGTGTTTTTGTGTCAGGAATGATGGTGCAATGCTAATGTTCCATTGCCCTATTTGGCAATACTCTGATCATTAACTATAAAGAATAACACCAGTGTTAACTAACTCTCCTTGCCTGACAGTAGTGCTGCCACTATTCCTTGTTTCTGTGGTAATAGATGAGGTTTGTATGGTCCTGTTATTCCAGCCTCCAGACACCATTCCAGATCAACTGGTGCCCTCTACGCCCCCGAAGTGTATGGGGCCTCAGGTGAAGGATGAGTACATTTTCACTATCATCTGGCATTCATCTCAGATTTTATCCTTTTCAGTTTCCATTAAATAATATTCATGTTTTAAAATTGATTTTTTATTATTTAAATTTAATTTGTTGGAGAATAAACTTTTTTTTTCTTTTCTCCCAAGTAACGTTTTCCCCTTTAGCAACTGTATTGAGCATTTTTCTCACTGGTATATGGACATTTTTTTGTATAACCTGTTGTGTCATTTTTAAATATAGAATTGTTTTTATGTTCTCATCTTTGTATATATGTTTAAAAAAAAAAAAACCAAAATGGTGGATGAAGTGTTTTAATTGTAAATGATGGTATAGAAAGCAGTTGAGGGGGAGAATTCATCTCTGGTTTGTCTCTGTATGCCTCAGAATGTCGGGCACATAGTAGACACTTAACAGTTATCAAATGGATGTCTCTTAGTTGTAGAATAAAACCCACTTATCTTGAAGGAGAGGAGATAATAATTAGAGCTTATTTTCCTTGTAAATTTCTAGTGTGCCTTCATGGATCTCCCTAACCACTATTGGTTGAGGATTGATCTTTGTCCTGGGTTACTCTGTGATTCAGCCGTATGGATGATATTTGCCTGAACTGATAGAGCTGGATTACAGGGCTATAGACTTGCAAGCCCTTAGTCTGCCAGCCATGCTTCCTTCTACCTTGTGGTTGTAAATGAATAGTGACCGTTCTTTATTTTTCACACATTGTCAGTAATTTTAATTGTCTTTACCCTTTTATTTTGCCAAAAACTAAATGTGCCCAGAAAATACAATATTGCTTTTAAAATGCTTTGCCCCATTGGTTTTTTTTCCTTCCCCTGTAAAGGTCTTAAAGTTTCCCAACCTGACACTGTTATATTTATGACTCCTTCAAATCTATTTTCCTTCTTTTGATGAATTAGGTCCAGGTTATGGGATCAGCCAATCAAGTCGACTGTCGTCTTCTGTTAGTGCCATGCGAGTCCTGAACACAGGTTCTGATGTGGAGGAGGCGGTGGCAGATGCCTTGGTACTCTTCTCCATTTTCTTATCATTATAAATGTTCCAATTACGAAACTGTTGAATGAGTAGGCCAGTCTATCCATGTGGGAAAGGGGTTGGGGAAAAATCAGTGATTAAATCTAAAGATAAAACGTGGGCAGTGTAAAAAGCAGAATATAATTAATTCTTGATCCTTATTAATCAGAATTTTATACCAGGGCCAGTATTACTGATGGCCTATCAGAAATATAAATATAGATGTCTTTAATATGGTAATGTGTTTTATACACTATAGTATACTTAAGGGAGATAAACTATATAAATATGTACACTTAAAATCATGTAATTTCAACTCTAGCTTAAACTTTGGTATTTAGGAATTATTTTACTTTGGGGCTGGATTTTGTTTAGTATTTTATCTGTGTTTTTTGAACTAAAAGAAAGTACAACCTCAAGGCAAATTATAATTAAGATATATTATATCTTATAGTTAGATATAATTCTTTATGTCTGACACATTAAACAGTGAGATTTAAAAACATATTCTACAGATCCATGATAGCTTGTCAGAAGATTGCAATACATATATCGTTGTTTTTGTCACTTAAAATTATGTAAGAAGTAGCATTTTTAAAAATGTATGTAATTGGCTTTGGCTAATTTCCCAAGTCAATTCAGTATCACTTCCTCTTTCAGATTATGATATTAATCCTATGTTTGAGAAACATTTACTCAGCTTCTTACCCAGAACTTGTAAGAGGCCTCATCTTTGTTTTGAAATTAAAAAAAAATATGCTTCCTAAAATCATAGATCCCATCTTAACTAGTGTTGATATAATACAGTGTTTGCCACATAGATTTGAAAAGGCAGGTTTTTAAAAATATTCATTGGTAATAGCTATAATTTATTGAATATCACACGTGTAGTTCTGCGCTAACCATTTCGCTGTGCTGAATTTTTCCCGTTACTTCAGCCACTTGATTATTTTTTATAAATTAATATAATTAAGTAGGGACTTTGTTCTCTTCAACATGGGATATATTGATCACATCTTGTTCTGATGATATTAAATTAATGAGATGTTTTTGATTTGCTATTCCTCATCCCTGTATCTCAAATCATGTTTTCTGGGTTTTTTAAATTGGATAATTTACCAGTTAAATTCTGCTTACATAAATGTTACGAATTGATTGGGTTTTTCTTGAACTATTACTTAGAACACTGAGATGGTGTGTTTGAATTATATGAGGAATGTTTAACTACCAAGGCTAAAGTTTGACTCCCAGTAATCTGATTCTGAATACTTCCATTATTTGCAGAGCACAGAAGTTCCACTTACAACTACCAATTTTTAGGAAAAAACTTTCCAGCTAGTAAGCCTAATTTGTGCTGGAGAAAATCATAGAAATACACTTAACTTTGGAAATGACAAAAGGATCCAAATAGGAAGAACATTTAGGTTTCTTTGAGAAAACTGGTTATGGGAATATTTTTTGTAGCATCACTATTTCTCTTTGAACTAAAGAATATTGACAAGATTAAAGACACAGCCTGCTAATAAGCAGTTCTTTGTACCTATGTGTGAAAAAAACGTAATGTTTCTGATCATAGGCATTGTTAATGCCTATTTCACTGTGCTGATTAGCAAAATGTTCTTCATTATTTTCAATTTTTCTCTTTAAAAATTTACTGCTCTCAGCTCTTAGGAGACATACGGACTAAGGTATAGACATTGCTATTTTCTGACATCTTATGATACCATAACTTTTTTTTCTTTCATCAATTTAACAAATGATGGTCTTCTATTAAAAATCAAAGTAGAAGTAAAATCCTTAGACATACATCTATTTTTCTGTAAATATGGTTATCGAGAGAGATACTGCTTGAATAATGTCCTCTGGAGGTGCTCATTCTTTCAGCTTGACTACTTCATACAAATTAAATGAGGTCATTCACACTGAATTATTGTGTTTAATCTGTTTTATAGACATCTTCACCACTCATCAGCCAAAATTCAAGTATCAGATAACATAAAGATTTGTTTTCAGCTCTTTTAAGGAAATCTTAAATAAACTATTCTTTCTCATTTCACTTGAAATATGCAAGGTATAACTGGCATTTACATATATTAAACAAATAAGATTTAGATGTAAAGAAATCAAAGGAATCTGAATATGCTTTCTTATATTTATTGAATTAAACAATATAGATACATTGAGAAAAGCATAGAGGGCTCTCAAGGAGTTCGCCTCCTTAAAATAATAGTAGACTAAATAGTTTTTCATCATTCTTTGTATTTTATTTCTCTAGGAGACATGAGGGTTGGGTACAAGGGAAGGAATAGTGGCAAGAGAAGTGGTAATGGAGGTAAAAGGAGAATAAAGAAAAGATAGACAGAAAAAAATGGAACTTTATACATGGAAAATGTTTTTCTGATCCATTATACTCTTTCTTTAAAAAGGTAATATTTTCTTCTTACCAACTCAAATTTCTAGTATAGTTTCTGTTCATTTACATTCTAGTAGTTCTTGGTTTTTCGTGAAAAGGGGAAAGGAAAAACCCACATTTTTTAGCGCTTCCCACTTTACATATCTGAACTTCCATATAGTCTTACTCTGCTTCTACCACTTCCCATAGTTAAGGATTATTTTACCTTCTACTAACTTCTAAAACTTGTTTTCTGAAGAAAAACTAAATACTGACATTCTGTTATTACAATGATTAGGAGCATGCTTTGCACTGATTTTAAAACAAAAATCAATCCTTTTGTGGTCAGTAGAAATTATGAAATACCAATATATTCTTTTGGCTACTGCTAATGAGATTCTTGATGTATAACAGAAAAAACCAGCTCGAAGAAGATATGAATCATATGGAATGCATTCAGATGATGACGCCAACAGCGATGCATCTAGTGCTTGTTCAGAACGCTCCTATAGTTCTCGAAATGGTAGTATTCCTACATATATGAGGCAGACGGAAGATGTGGCAGAAGTCCTCAATAGATGTGCTAGTTCCAATTGGTCAGAAAGGAAAGAAGGCCTCCTAGGTCTGCAGAACTTATTAAAAAATCAGAGAACACTAAGGTGAGATGCGTTGTCTTAAAATGATTTTACTATCAGGTTAGCGCTTTTTGATTTTACTTTGTTTCTATAACACTTTAGAGATACTGGTGTAGAAACAGACTTGTCCTGAATTCATATGGTTGCTTCAAAGTGTTTTTCCAAAGCTTCAGTCTTTTAGGACCATCTATACTTTCATTACTAAAAAAAAAAAAAAAAAAATTATTTGTTCTATTAAGCAAAACATTTTGAAAGGAAACTTTTTATTCACACATAGAAATTAAATTTAAAATGTTATTAATTTTAATATTTAATAATAAAAAGTACATAGTGATAAAACTGACTGGTTTATTAAAATTTATTTCTGGTAAGTTTTTCAATGAGAAGAAGAATGTTTATGCTTATTTGGAAATGAAGATATATTCTTAGTGTGCATGTAATATGTGAATTTTAGTGTAATACAAAGTTGAGTTGGACTGAATTTCTTTAAGAACAGATATTTGTTAATATTTTGGGTTTGGGGTTTTGTTTCCTTTACTAATGGTATTAGCTTGTTTTTTCCCCCTACTTGCCTTATTGTCCTTGTCTGTGTGATGTTTTAAACCTATAGTTGACCCCTTTGAGAATCTAGCTTCAGATATTTCATAGGTTTAAGCATGGTGGAATGTGCAGGGTTACTTCCTGACTTGATACCTGTGAAATAAGAGTTTGATGTACTTACTTCCTGTGTATTTATTTTAGGAAGTATTAGAACTATATAATTTAAAATAAATGTTTCTGTATCACCTAAATATATTTTCATGTGTTCATATCACATGTCATGAATCATTGCAATCCACCATCATAATATTGTTCCCAGCCCATCAAGATTAAGTTAATATTAGATTCAGCGTGCCATTGTAAATGGCAAGGGAGTAGGCATAGTTTAGAATGATTTTAGCCCGTAAGTATAGCAACATTTAAGAAAATGTCTTAACACCTAAAAGGATAGGATTCATGTGTTGGTCATTTTAAATGGCAAGGGAGTAAGCATAGTTTAGAATGATTTTATCCTATCAGTAGCAACATTTAAGAAAACGTCTTAACACTTAAAAGGATAAAATTCATGTATTGGGAATGCCATATGTAAAATTTCTCCTGTCACACTCCATTAATGAAGGATAATTGTATTTTTCTTCTTAACTTTTAACCTTTAAGATAGTGTGGGTTACAACAGAATAATTGTTGTATTTGGTAACTTTGTATTTAGACCTGACTGGTACATCCCACAAATTTCTCAATTTTTAGGGTTGATTTTTTCTATTGATTTCGTTGTTGTTTCTGTTTTTAAAGAGATGAGATCTCGCTTTGTCACCCAGGATGGAGTGCAGTGGCACAATCATTGTTCACTGCTGCCTTAAATTCCTGGGCTCAAACAACCCTCCCACGTAGCTGGTACTACAGGCGTGCACCACCACACCCAGCTGATTTGTTTTTGTTTTTTTGGTTTTTTTTTTTTTGAGACAGAGTCTAACCCTGTCGCCCAGGCTGGCATACAGTGGCACAATCTCAGCTCAGTGCAACCTCTGCCCCCCGGGTTCAAGCAATTTTCCTGCCTCAGCCTCCCGAGTAGCTGGGATTATAGACGTGTGCCACCATGACCAGCGCAGCTACTTTTTTGTATTTTTAGTAGAGACAGGGTTTCACCATGTTGGCCAGGCTGGTCTCAAACTCCTGACCTCCAGTGATCTGCCCACCTCGACCTTCCAAAGTGCTGGGATTACAGACATGAACCACCGTGCCCGACCATTGCAGCTGTTTTGTTAAAAATTTATAGAGACAGGCCGGGCGCGGTGGGTCACGCCTGTAATCCCAGCACTTTGGGAGGCTGAGGCGGGCGGATCATGAGGTCAGGAGATCGAGACCATCCTGGCTAACACGGTGAAACCCCGTCTCTACTAAAAATACAAAAAATTAGCTGGGCGAGGTGGCGGGCGCCTGTACTCCCAGCTACTCGGGAGGCTGAGGCAGGAGAATGGCGTGAACCCGGGGGGCGGAGCCTGCAGTGAGCCGAGATCGCGCCACTGCACTCCAGCCTGGGCGACAGCGAGACTCCGTCTCAAAAAAAAAAAAAAAAAATTTATAGAGACAGGATCTTGCCATCTTGCCCATGCTGATCTTGAACTCCTGGGCTCAAGCGAGCCTCTCACCTCAGCCTCCCAAAATGCTAGGATTATAGGCGTGAGCCACCATGCCCAACCTAACCTTTTTTTTTTTTTTTTAAAGAAAATTATATGTAAAGTTACTTTTACATGACTTCTTGCTACAGCAAGATATTAATTAACCGCTGTATTATCTTGGCAGTCGAGTTGAACTGAAAAGATTATGTGAAATTTTCACAAGAATGTTTGCTGACCCTCATGGCAAGGTATGTTTTAGTATTTAAGATTATTTATTTCTATAGGGTATCATTTGTATATTGTCAAAGCAGAAAAACTGTAGGCCATTTTTATTTTATTGTCCCAAAATGGCAGTAATATTTTCAAGCATAATTAAAATTGTTTGGTATCATACGTAATTTAGAAATTAATCTCTGGTAACTATTTGAGCTTCTCCAATGATAGATGGTCTAAGACTGAAATAAAGGGGATACAGTTACAACTCAAGTAATTTAGTCAAGTTGGTGTATTTTGTGTTACTAAGACTGTTTTAGTGTTTGTAAAAGACATAATTGGGGTAAGTTGAAAAGGTTTTTAACATTTTATTTTGTTTTCGTCTGTGATTAATTACAGCATTGATGTAAATATGTTTCAATTTTGAAATAATAATTTTGTAGAAAAGAATTGTCATTAACACAAAGGCACAAAATGTGGTTCCAGCCATAGTTTGGTAGTAATATAAGAGACATTTCTTACATTGAAGTAGTCCATAAAAATTTTCAGAACTTTG
The DNA here is from genome assembly GCF_000001405.40 of Homo sapiens. NCBI lineage: Eukaryota > Metazoa > Chordata > Mammalia > Primates > Hominidae > Homo > Homo sapiens. The sequence goes on along the minus strand of NC_000003.12, from coordinate 33,570,205 downwards.
TTCATTTTTAATGTTGATTAAAATATATTTATTTAAGTACTTATATGTAATGTGCATGTGTACTGTGAAATTTTGGTTTACCTTGATGCATAGTACTGTTATAAAACTGTGGTCACATATTCTGTTTCCAGCAATATGTTTGATAATGGTGAAATCTTCCCTTAGGATACCAAATGTCTACAGGAGACTTTCTAACCTAAGTGAGCGGGAGATGTGGCAAGGAAATAAGAAAAATATTAATGAATTTCACTTTACTGTTTCTTTTTATTGTCTTCACTTTATTGTTGCACATCTCATTTCCTCCTCATTTTTTTCTATTTTTAGTATTTTCATTACTTACAACACTACTTAAAGATAATGAAATCCCACATTGTACATAAACTAAAATCCAGCTAAAGATTTAAATGCAGTGGGGGATATACTTAATTATTTAAATAAATTGCTTATACTTTAAAACAATATTTTCAAAGATTATTCTATCAGAAGTTATATTTATTTGAGGGTAAAATATCCCATTAAAAGACAAAGAAGAAAATACATTTGGTAAGCAGTTTACTAAAATCTTTTAAAGTTTGTAACTTATAATTGAACATGTAGATAACTATACCATTCTAGATAGATATTGCTATCACTGATTACAGCTGTTAGTCTTACTTTAATGTAAAAATTTCTATAAATCCTGAACAGATTAACTGTTGATATTTTTAGTTGGCAATATAAGCCAAAGGACAAGACAGTTATTTGGGTTAATTTGTTTTATTAAACATTTAAATTAACAGTCTGTTCAACTTTGAAATATATAGTTATTAAGCATCTTCAGTAATTCCTGCTACTGGAAGATATAAGACCAAAGCTAGATTATTTCTTGAAGTCACAGTTTTTGACTTTTTGTTAAGTCAGTAATGCAGTTTGGTTGGATGCCATGATGTATAGTGATAAAGACAAACTTTTTTAAAAAAGATCAAATAGGAAAGCTGAGTTTAACACTGGTATAGGAACTTAACTGAGCACAAATGTTTGGCCTCTCTTAATACAGGTGGAGAACCAGCTACTATTTTCCCTAGGATTGCATCAGATTTCTCTTCTTAGGGCTTTATAGCAACATAAAATTCTTATCTACCCATCTTGTTTGTTTGATTTTGGTTTTTGTTTTTTAGTCAGTTCTGTGAAGACAAATGTAATGGGAAGATTTTCTGATTTTTGTGTGGCCATTGATTGTCCATCAGAGACTCTGTCAATAATGTAATTCATTAAGGATACTAGACATGTCACCATCCTGTGCCGAGTTAAAAATGTTTGAGTTTTTGCATTGTATTCTGATATTTTTTAAATAGCTGCACCCCTCCCTTTTTAATGTATTTTTAGACCAACAGTTCCATCTTCAGAATCAAGCAACTTTTTTTGATATCTTCTTTCTGAATGCAATTTTGTTCTATATCAGACTCAGCAACTATTTTCTGTAAATAATGTGGCTTTGCAGACCATAAGGGTCTCTATCCCAGCTACTCAATTATGCCATTATAGCATGAAGGCACCCTTAACAGGCAATGAACAAACAAATGTGTGTGTTGGGTTGCAATAAAACTTTATTTATGAACATTAAAATGTGAGGGGGTGTGTGTGTGTGTAATTTTTTTTTTTTTTTTTTTTTTGAGACAAGATCTCTTTCTGTCACCCAGGCTGGAGTGCAGTGGCATGATCTTGGCTCACTGCAACTTCCGCCTCCCGGGTTCAAGCGATTCTCATGCCTCAGCCTTCCAAGTAGCTGGGATTACAGTCATGTGCCACCACACTCTGCTCATTTTTCGTATTTTTAGTAGAGACGGGTTCTCACCATGTTGGCCAAGCTGGTCTTGAACTCCTGGCCTCAAGTGATCTGTCCATTGTGTCCCCCCAAAGTGCTGTGATGACAAGCGTGAGCCACCATGCCTGACCATGTGGTTATATAATTTTCATGTATCACTAAATAGCCTTTTGATTGCTTTTAAAGTCATTTTTTAAAGTGTAAGAATTAGAAATAGCTTGCAGGCCATAGTTTGCTGACCCCTGTCATATATGATCAACTCTTTGTCGTTGACACTAAAATAGAAACATATGTTCAGGAACCTATACCCTTGGAAGATGAAATTATTTGATGTCTGTAATTTGATAAATGAACTTTTTTTCCTTCATATACCCATATAGAAATAAATAATTAACCACAATATCTGTAAGACAATAATTTAGACCATAAATCAGCAAATGTATAATTTAAAGCCTTTTAGTATTTTTTATAAGTGAAGCAGTACAACACATATTGTACTGCAAAATGGTAGGCTTTGTTTGGACATTATCTTGAGGGCAGTGAGCAGTCACTGAGTAGACAAGACGTACCTTTTGGAAGGATTACTTAAGCAGTGTGAGGGAAAATTTAAAATAACAGGTATGGATAGTGGAGCTAGATTGCTTGGGTTCAAATTCTACCTCCAATTTATTAGCAGTATGTACTTTAATTATTAATTATTAATCTGTAAAACAGTTAATAGTAATATCCACCTCATGTAAACCCTTAGAACATACCAAGTACCATATATACGTTTTTTAAAAATCAAATTTTTTAAATTAAGGAGTTTGCAGCAGATTTTTATTTTGACTGCTCTGGACCCATTTTTTGCCCCTCAAATGCAAGCAGTATCAGTTGCCAAAAGCCATCCCATATATTTCTGGCACTTGACTCTGGAAAGAACTGCCTTCACTGTGGTGCATGCTTTGAATTGGCATTTTATGGTATTTGTAACACTACCTCTTGAACCATACTCTTGAGTCTTGGACAACTACGGTAGAAATTCAATCTGTGGCTACTAAAATGAGGCACAGTTGAATCTCCTGACGAGCATTCTAGGCAGCTCAGCTGCCTGCAGTCTTTAGATCAGGAGACCATAACACACATCTTACCTAGGGAAAATAAAAAGTAGTAGTATAGTTACTTTTATTACTTCCAAGCAATAGTTATTGTTTCAAGCCTTCACAGAAATATTTTAACTTGTGAAAGTATTGCTTCTGAGAGGAGGAAAAAAAAGAGAAAAGAAAGGAAAAAATTCTATGGACTATGCTTTGGAACCAAATGTTGGCCCCATTCAGAAGTGGGAGTATGTGTCTATTATTCTTGGATTATTTTCAGATGTTTAACCTCAAGGATTGATAGGGTCTGGAAAAAAAAGAGTTTTTGTCTTTAGTTTTCTTAATTTTCCTGGCAAAGAGGTGCAAGAGAAACAAAATCATATGTTCTTCTCCCATACTATTCATTTAAGTCTTGTTTTAAAAACTATTTTGAGTTTATCATAAAACTTCGAAAAACATTTGTCACTATTATTTTCTGAGTGTTTTTCTTCCATACAGGAACTTTGCATTGATGGCGACTAATTTGTGTGTTTTTCTTTTTTTTCTTTTTTTCTTTTTGCATGCTGTCCCCTGTGTTGGAACTCTCAATAGAGAGTAAGTTGGTTCAATATTTGTTGGAAACCTAACTTTACTGCATGACTGTGAAATTAACCCTTTTTCTCTATTTTCTCTCCCAAAGAGTTCATGCAGTGTTGGAACCTTTGCAATCCACGAAATGCTATTTGCAGTTATGCAAACTATCATTCTGTTTGGAGATATGCTTTTTAATCTACTAATTAATCTAATTTGATTATGTTCTTCTGTTCTATTTGATGACTGGCACACCTAAGATATAAGGGAGTTAAAGAAAAGTCTGCCTCAATTGTAATAGCTCGAATATTTTAATTCTTTTCCAACAAATTATATTTATGAGATATGTGGGATAATAAATTGATTCTATTGAAGATTGCTTCCATTGAATTATTTTAAAATGATTCTGAAGTTTCACAATTTTTAAAAAAACATTTAACCCCTGCCTTCCCACAAATGACATTTTATTAATGTCATTCCATAAAAGCAAACAGAGTAGATTATGGGATAGTAATTCTCATCTTTGTCTTCTGAAAGAACATGTGAATCACTAGTTTTATATTAGCATAGCCACTTTCCACTTTGTTCTTTAATCATAGATTAGGAAATGGGGGCATATTAACATCTGACAAGAACCCTTTGTGTTAGGGCAATCAAGTAAGATGTTTTATATATAACTTTCAATAAATTTTGGATATGGATAATGAATGAAGATAGATATGTATGCATGTATATGTAAGTACAGTTGACCCTTGAACAATGAGGAGGTTAGAGAGGGACACAGACGCCTGTGCAATAGAAAAATCTGTATATAATTTTTAACTCCCCAAAACATAACTACTAATAGCCTAGTGTTGACCAGAAACCTTACCAATAACATAGTCAATTAACATATATTTTATTTATTATATATATTATATACTGTATTTTTTTTTCTTTTTTTTGAGACGGAGTCTCGCTCTTTCACCCAGGCTGGAGTGCAATGGCTCAATCTCAGCTCACCACAATCTCTGCCTCCTGGGTTCAAGCAGTTCTCCTGCCTCAGCCTCCTGAGTAGCTGGGATTACAGGCATGTGCCACCACGCCCAGCTAAATTTGTATTTTTAGTAGAGACGGGGTTTCTCAATGTTAGTCAGGCTGGTCTCGAACTCCCGACCTCAGGTGATCCACACACCTCGGCCTCCCAAAATTCTGGGTTACAGGCATGAGCCACCACGCCCAGCCTATATACTGTATTATTATAATAAAGTAAACTAGAGAAAATAAAATGTTATTAGCCAGGTGTGATGGCTCATGTCTGTAATCTCAGCACTTTGGGAGGCTGAGGTGGGCAGATCGCCTCAGGTCAGGAGTTTGAGACCAGCCAGGCCAACATGGTGAAACCCTATCTCTACTAAAAGTACAAAAAAATTAGCCGAGTGTGGTGGCGCTGGCCTGTAATCCTACCTACACAGAAGGCTGAGGCAGGAGAATCACTTGAACCTGGGAGGCAGAGGTTTCAGTGAGCCGAGATCGCACCAGTGCACTCCACCCTGGGTGATAGGTGAGACTCCGTCTCAGAAAGAAAATAAAATGTTATTAAAATTATAAGGAAGAGAAAATATATTTACTTACTAATTGTTAGGTGGAATGGATCACCATAAAGATCTTTATTATTGTCATCTTCACCTTGAGTAGGCTAAGGAGGAAGAGGAGGGGTTGGTGTTGCTATCTCAGGGGTGGCAGAGGTGGAAGAAAATCCACGTGTAAGTGGACCCACACAGTTTAAAAGCATGTAGTTCAAGGGTCAGCTGTGTGTGTGTGTGCATATGATCATTTACTAAGTACCATTGATAGGATATAAGCATTTTTGAAAAATAATAGTACAGGCCAGGCACATGGCTCACGTCTGTAATCCTAGCACTTTGGGAGAATGAGGTGAGAGGATTGCTTAAGGCCAGGAGTTCAAGACTAACCTGGACAACAAAGGTAGACCCCATCTCTACAAAACTAAAAAAATTAACTGGACATGATGGTGCATGCCTGTAGCCCTACCTACTCAGGAGGCTGAGGTGGGAAGATTGCTTAAGCCCAGAAGTTTGAGGCTGCAGTGTACCATGATCGTGCCACTGTACTGCAGACTGGGTGACAGAGTGAGACTCTGTCTCAAAAGTGATAACAAAATTTTTAAAATAGTACAATTTCTTATGTAGAGTACAGCAAATAACATGTCCACATTTTTATTTAGCTACTCACATTTTATATAATCAAAACAAATTTCTACTTAGGAAACTCAGAGAAGTCTTCTTGAAGAAAATGGCATCTCAGATCTTAATAGAACATAAGCTTTGGATATGTCAGAGTGAGAATAAAGGGCTTATTCGAAGTAGCTAGCCTGAGTCCAGAAAAAGAAGTGGGAGATGCTAGAAAGTTTATAGGAAATAAAAAGAAGTTAATCTTGGCTAGACTAAAGGGAAGGTCTTCCCTTGCATTGAAGAAAAAGGGTTGGCTACCAATTAGAGGGTAAATTTCACTTGATTTCATTGATAAACTTTTTATTGGGTTCTCAGCCTCTGATAACCTTAAGCCTGGTTCTAGTTCTAATTGGTGACACACAAGACTGTATAAAAATATAGTCTTTATTTTCAAATGGTATGTGTTAGAGATGGGAAAATAACATAAATACAGAAAAAGCTAAATAGCACCATAAATAGTTTGCCCCTCTGTGAGTTCTAAGTCAGGAAGATCAGTGGCCCTGACTTGCAATCCAAGAAGTTTCTTGACTAGGACTTGAATAGTAAATTCTATAGAGAGTCACATACTGTGTGTAAATGAATGGAGTGGGGATGTGTTAGGAAATCAGGGTGGATATATGAGGTGTGTTCAAGGATAAAGAGTTTATGTTTCCAGATAGCCCAAGATCAGTTTGGAGTTAGAAACTTGTCCAGGTATTTTAGACATTATCTTACAGACAGTGAAGGAACAGTAAAGGATTTTGTTTCCATCCAAAGAGTCATATCACAATCTGATGGTAACAAAGAGACATGAGTTGACAAACTACAGCCTGCAGGCCACATCTTCCCTGCTGCCTGTTTTTGTGAATAAAGTTATATTGACACACGGCCATGCTTATTTGTTTATGTGGTGTCAGTGGCTGTGCTAAATGGCAAAGTTGAGTAGTTGTGATAGAGACCATATGGCTTGCAAAGCCCTAGGATATTTACTATCTGGCCTGTTACAAAAATGGTTTACTGAACCCTGGTATACAGGAAATATAAAACTAAAGTCAGGCTACTACAGAAATCCAGACCTGAGGTCAGAAATGCTTGGTGCCTTTAGTGATGGTGTGGTAAACAGATTTGGAGAAGGCCAGGAAAAAGGCCTCATGGGATAGATCAGAGAGACTGTGTCAAGTAGGTCACACTTATGATGAAAAGAGAATCAGGATGAAGACATGCAAAAGGAGAATTCCTGGCAACCAGAAAGAAGGGAAGTAAGAGGAAAGCAGTGTCAAGTTACAGAACGGCCAAACATACTAAACTTAATGAAGAAGCTATTATACATCATGATTAGAAAGTAATTGGTGGGAGCAATAGGATGGAAGCAGAGAGATAATTTCTTGAGATGACTTCTGCATCTGTAAGCAAAGGATTTCGGTAGAGAATAAAAAGAGTAAAGATAGTAGAGGAGACCATGTTTTAGAGAGCAGGAATATAAAGTAGAAAGATTAGCCATAAAATGAAGAAAATCACTTCTTTCTTGGATAAATTAGAAGGATAGGTATAGAGGAAATCAAATTGAGGGAAGAGTCAATGGAGAATTTCATGTTGAATGACAATAATGAAGATAAGTTAGGTCATCTGGTAATAGAGTGGATAGAGCACAACTGAAAACCAAGTGACCTAGCTTTAAGTCCTGGCCTAGCTATTAACCATCTGTGAAACATTGGGCAGGTCATGTAATTCTCTGCTTCCCTGTTTCCTCATCCATAAAATAGGAGGTTGACCTAGGCATTCTAATGTCTGTGATTTTCAGAATGGATTTTCATATAGGAAAGCTAGAGGTTGTAATCTTCAGGAGCATAGACAAGTGTTGAAACAAGGGTGAAAGTGAACCAAAGAATAGGACAATGGTGTCCTAGTAAATGAGCTTTGGGGGAGAGGCAGGAAGCTCTGATATGTAGTGTTTGCCCATTTCTGAGATGTAAATACTCCTATCCCGTGGTAGATTTCAAGCTACCAACCACTTCACAAGATTCCTGAATATTTAACAATTGACTCTCTAGACAGGTGCAAACTGATGCCAGCACATGACTGAACAGATTTGCTAGGTAACAGTAAGAATGAGTACCAGATTAGTTACATGCATTTGTCATAGACTATGTCTAGTGAAGCTCCTTGACAATATTCCTGGCCCTCAGGAGAAGGCCAGAGACAGTTTAATGAAGCAGTTGGCCAAGTTTGGAATCTAAGAGAATCCAAGTTCTTGGGGGATTATGGGGGTAGTGGTGGAATGAGAGTTAAAGGAATCCACACTGTGAGTAGGAACAGTGTTGAAGCACACACTGTCTGGGGACCAGAGAATACTCAAAAATTTAATTATAGTTTCTGCTGTTACAGGTATACAGCGTCTTAAGCAAATAGCTAAAGTATATTTTTATTTTTAACTCAGTTTAAATGTTGAAGCTTAATTATAATTCTGATAAAGAAAATCCTTCATTTCTAAAGAAAAAAAAGAGTTCATCTATAACTGTATGAAGGGAATTCAAGAAATAAAATATGCATTGAGAGCAAAACTCTTAGTTCTCAAATTATCATATTTACTTTTTGAGATTAACTTGAAAAGTTAATAATTTTAAGTTTTTTTAACCCATAGTTTTTAATCTGTGATCAAAATGTTTATTATGATTTGTCCAGTAATACATTATGGCTGACAGTTTTTTCTTCTTTATCTAGAAACTAATTTTCCATTATGGTGTTGACTATCTTATAAAGAGATACAGCCTTGATAAAGGTCACTTTTCATAAGTATTTTAATGAGCTACATCACTTATAAACATTAGCTTCCCTTCACTATAATAATTTTTTTCTACCTTATAAAAATGTTAAAACAAATAGATTAATATTGGAAGTAAGTAAAAAACCCATAAATGGGTATGGAGACTAATAGTATGCCATCTAGGACTTTTTAAAAATCACTGAAATTTAAATGTAGACATTCATCTTGGATTTATTTTAGATGCAGTTACAGTTAAATCATTTAAAATTACCATTGAGGCAGTTTTAATAAATAATACATCCCATACCAAATTATTTGTGACAATTGTCATTTTGAGAAATCTGAGGATTCTCTAATTAGTCTATTATGCCAGATAAATTTTATACTTTAAGGTCATTGTAGTCATCTTCTCATTTACTCAGTGCCACTCTTCAGAAAAGCTGAGAGTTACTGAAACTATAGTTTTTTTCCCCTACATTTTACACAAAACAGATTTCACTTTACCCAGTTTAAGCTGTGGCATCATTGATAACATTAGGTGTGCCAGCCATTATGGCCAAACTTTCTTTACCAAGTGATGCTGCATGGAGTAGCTAATTGTCGAACTTCTGCAGAAGTTGGATAACAGTTCAAAGGTACTCTTGTATCACAGAGTCCAATGAAAAGCAAGAGAGATTGTTTTTCCGCTTGGCTGCCAATCGCTGTGCCTCTGATTCCTGTGTTCCTTTCTGTATTCGCTTTGAATTGAACATAGAGGTCAATATTTCCTCTTTTTTTCTCCCTACCTCTCCCCTTTATCAACTGTAGGTATTCAGCATGTTTTTGGAGACTCTAGTGGATTTCATACAAGTCCACAAAGATGATCTTCAAGATTGGTTGTTTGTACTGCTGACACAACTACTAAAAAAAATGGGTGCTGATTTGCTTGGATCTGTTCAGGCAAAAGTTCAGAAAGCCCTTGATGTTACAAGGTAATATTTTTTTCATATATTTCAAGTTAACCTGATAATAACTAGGAATATCTAACCCCTGTGTTAATAGTTCAGATTTCTGGGTCCCTTTGAACAATTTAGACTGCATGGATTCCGTTTGAAGATTGTTAATTATGCCCATTCATATTGTATATTTAAAGCAACATTTTTCCCTAGGTCAAGCCCTGCATTTTTTTTTATAAAAATTGTATTAATATTGGTTGAGTAGTTCAAGGTGGTATTTTATCTTAATTGATGTATCAGCAGCTGGGCATGGTGGCTCACACCTGTAATCCTAGTACTTTGGGAGGCTGAGGCAGGCAGATCACTTGAGGTCAGGAGTTCGAGACCAGCCTGGTCAACATGGTGAAACCATATCTCTACTAAAAATACAAAAATTAGCCAGGCATGGTGGCAGGCACCTGTAATCTCAGCTACTCCAGAGGCTGAGGAAGGAGAATCGCTTGAACCTGGGAGGTGGAGGTTGCAGTGAGCCGAGATTGCACCACTGCACTCCAGCGTGGGCAACAGAGCGAGACTCTGTCTCAAAAAAAAGAAAAAAAAAAAAGAAGTATCAGCGAAGTAAGGTTGAAGATTGAAGATTTTATTTAGTCTACTATAAAAAGTATTTTCTGTGTATTTAAACAACGTTTTATTATGCATTTAAATATTCTAAATCTCTTTTCAGAAGGTTTTGAACCAATGATATATTTCTACTTTCTTGTGTAGATTGTTGAAGTCACTTATTTCAAATATCTGTTTACTAGGTTGAGGTGAGTCAGAATTCAGATTTTAGGTATAGAGAAACATTTCTAAGAATGTTAAACTTTTTACTGAATACATTTTTCTGATTAAATCTATAGTTGAGGCAAGATAGACTATTATTTCCTATAGTGTTGCTTTTTTTTTCTTTGAGAGGGAGTTTCACTCTTGTTGCCCATGCTGGAGTGCAATGGCGCAATCTCGGCTCACTGCAACCTCTGCCTCCTGGGTTCAAGCGATTCTCCTGCCTCAGCCTCCCGAGTAGCTGAGATTACAGACATGCGCCACCATGCCTGGCTAATTTTGTATTTTTAATAGAGACGGGGTTTCTCCATGTTGGTCACGCTGGTCTCGAACTCCTGACCTCGGGTGATCCGCCCGCCTCAGCCTCCCAAAGTACTGGGAATACAAGCGTGAGCCACCGCTCCCGGCCTGTAGAGTTACTTTTTAACCCTGTACTGAGTACAAATTCAGATGTTCATATTCTTCTGAGGATGCATTTATTGTATACTATACCAGGTAGTTTATACCACATGCAGATACTACTTCATGGATGTTTTTTGGATGACATTATGTTTTGGTATTAAGCATAGTCTTTTGCTGTTACATGCGTACTTGCTAACTAAATTTTTGTTTCGTTTTGCTTTGTTCTTGTTTCAGAGAGTCTTTTCCAAATGATCTTCAGTTCAATATTCTAATGAGATTTACAGTTGATCAGACCCAGACACCAAGCTTAAAGGTAAAACTTTGAGATCTTTTGAAGACATTATAAAGAATTGAAGTATTTATTAATAAAGTTATGTTGATATTTGTATTTCTGTCACATGAGAAGCTGTTCAATCAGTGGGTTTTGTTTTTATAAACTTTCAGACAGTCAAGCCAGCACTTCGGGACCAGCTTCACTCTTTTTGGAGCTCCAAGGTTTTATTGTTTTTGTTTTCATCTGCATTATTTCTTTTCTTAACTCTCTGCAGTGTTTGCATCTGTATTCAACTACTAACCTTTGTAAGCCTTTTACGCATGCACACATTTGATTTCAAATGTTATTTAAATGCAATGCCAGACTCTAAGTCTTTTGGAGAAACTTAATGGTGATACACGTTTGGAAGGCATCACATTATTGCCATCTAACCCTAAGCTGGTAATGCAAACTCACTCTATAAAGTCTTATCTAATTTTATGTTTGTGATTTCCCATTACTTTTTTTTTTTTTAAGTGTCAGGCATTTTAACGGGTATTTTAGGCAAAATGTCAGTTTTGCCTATGTATTAACTAAGCAAAATTTTTTAAATTTAATCTCAGTCCCTTTCTTCAATTATCCTTAACTGAAATAGTAACTTTCTTTTTTTTTCTGATGTATGCATAACATTTGGAGTTATAATTAACTTTCTCGTTTGTTATATACACACATTTTTCAGTTAATATGAAAACTAAATGGATTCCAATTTGTGATTTAAAGTGATTATTAAATTTTACATAAAAGAAAAAATGTAAAAGAATAGCTCCTGAATTCTTTGCTAAAGGTTTTTTTTTTTTAGTGAGTTTTATTAAATGAGATTAAAGTCAGGGAAATAACAAGCATATGTGCTTATACGAGTCCTATATTTTTCTGCTCTATCCTGCACGAAATATATTTCTACAAGCGTTACTGCCCAGGATTGATTTTTCCCTTAAGTTTCTGAATGCAATTGTGCCTCAGAATCACAATTATGTTTCTTATCAGGGCTGACTTTGTAAACCGAAAAGTGTCTGAGACAAGTCTCAATCAATTTAGAGGTTTAGTTTGCCAAGATTGAGGATGCATCCAGGAGAAAGAGACACAAGAAGAAAGCCTGTTCATTCTTCCAGAGAGGGTTTTGAGGACTTTAATATTTAAAAGAGAAAGAGCCAGCTTGAGGGGAAAGAGGAACAGTCAGGCATTCATCTCGTGCTCAGTAAATCTGCATCTTACCTAAGAGAAAGTAAACACAGAGTAGAGGAAGAAGTAAATGTATTTGTCTCTGGGTGAGTGGGGGATGATTTCTAGTCTCATCGTTGTCCTCTACCTGTGAAGATAAACTGTTAATTTACATTGTCAGCATGAGGGAGACCACCTGAAGAACTATGTAGCCTTCTATCTTGCAGCTGTCTGTTTATGAACAAATGGGAGTCAGTTTTCTGAATGACTGAGTTCCCAAGCTTAACTTTCCTTTTGGCATAGGCCGTTTTATTTTCCTTTCACAACTTACACTCAATATAATGTTGTTTTCTTAGAGCTGCTTGGGGAAAGAGATTTCATCTGTTTGATTTTGAAAAGTGACCTGCAGAAGAATAATTTACTTGATATTATTAATAGATATTTTTTAACTCATTTTATGACCAAGGCAGTGTGCTAGGTGTTCCTGGGAATATAAAGCTTGTAATTTTATCATTATTAACTATAATATATAATAAACTCTAAACAGTAATAAAAGTTATGATATAGGTACCTGTAGTGGTGTTCAAGTGCTACTGAAATGTATGTGGAGTTAACTAGGTGTGGTAGTTCATGCCTATAGTCCTAGCTACTCAGGAGGTGAGGCAAGAGGATCGCATGAACCCAGGAGTGAGGTTACAGTGAGCTCTAATCACACCACTGCACTCCAGCCTGGGAGCCTCTTTTTTTAAGAGACAGAGTGAGACCCTGTCCATTGAAAGAGAAAGGAAAGAAAGAAAAAAGTAGATAATATATATAGAGATGTTTCATGAACCAGTGCAAATGAAGGTCTAAACCAGCTTAAGAAGTAAGGGTGAGGCTGGGCACCGTGGCTCACACCTGTAATCCCAGCACTTTGGGAGGCTGAGGCAGGCGGATCACTTGAGGTCAGGAGTTTGAGACCAGCCTGGCCAACATGGAGAAACCCTGTCTCTACTGAAAATACAAAAATTAGCCAGGGGTGATGTTGGGCACCTGTAGTCCCAGCTACTCGGGAGGCTGAGGCAGGAGAATCACTTGAACCGGAGAGGCGGAGGTTGCAGTGAGCCAAAATCATGCCACTGCACTCCAGCTTGGGAGACAGAGTGAGACTTGGTCTCAAAAAAATAAATAAATAAAAATAAGGGGTTGATAGTTGAGTTCAGAGAGAATAAGTTGCAGGAGACTTGAAGAGAAAGACAAAGCGAAGATTGAAATGAGATATGCACAAATTAAAATTAACTTTCCTATTAGAAAACATTATGCTGGAAACTGGAATCACAGATTGTTTCTCTAAAAGCCTAAATTATTTATAAATATGTATTTAATATAGATAATAGATGTATTAGCAAATCCATGAGGGAAAATCACTTTTTGGCTGGGCACGGTGGCTCACGCCTGTGATCCCAGCACTTTGGGAGGCCAAGGTAGGTGGATCATCTGAGGTCAGTAGTTTGTGACCAGGCTGGCCAGCATGGTGAAACCATGTCTCTACTAAAAATACAAAAAGTTAGCCAGGCGTGGTGGCAGGCATCTGTAATCCCAACTACTCGGGAGGCTGAGGCAGGAGAATCGCTTGAACCCAGGAGGCAGAGGATGCAGTGAGCCGAGTCTGCGCCACTGCCCTCTAGCCTGGATGACAGAGTGAGACTCCGTCTCAAAAAAAAAAAAAAGAAAGAAAGAAAATCACTTTTCAACTCTTACACCAGTGTTTAGAATAGCAGGGAAAAGTTATATTGGAGCCATACTTTATGCCAAAAATAAAACCAGCTTTCAAGTGAGTGACAGGATTAAGTATAAAAAATTTAACAGATTATAGAAAACCACATGTAACTTGAGTATCAGATCTAGAAAATTTTTTTATTGATCTTTCAGATAAATGATGGATGTTTATATAAAATTTTACATCTCTTTCAGAGTGTCATGTGATTACATGTCAAGAGGAAGCAATGGGGGAAATGGCAATACAAAGTGATTTTATTTGAATTAGTAATACTTTAAAGATAAATATAATCTTTGCTGACCTCTTTTTCTGGGTTTCACAAACAATTAAAGAATTTCACATCCTTTAGCAGCTAGATTGTTTTTCCTTCTCTGAAAAAGAATGCATGTTTGCTGTATTAAAATTATAAACTAGGTATAACCTTGTAAAATATCCTAATAAATATACATGTTCAAATGATTATATATGTATTGTGGTTATGTTGCCTATTAGTATAGTAAACACATACATTCTGTGAAACCCTTGTAAAATTTTGCATGACGATAAATTGCTAAGGCACTGCACTAGTTGAATCTCACATAGTGTAAATAAATATATTCAGTTATTGATGGTGGCAAATTATAAACAAAATACATTGATGTTCATTTTTTGATTTAACATAGTCACCTTCCAGCTATTCACACTGAGAGAGGATGACATTGCTTTAGGAATTCAGAATATTGGCCAGGGAATGGTGGCTTATGCCTGTAATCCCACCACTTTGGGAGACCAAGGTGGGCAGATCACCAGAGCCCAGCAGTTCGAGACTAGCCTGGGCAACATGGCAAAACCCCATCTCTACAAAAAATTTTTTTTAATTAGCTGGACGTGGTGGTGCACACCTGTAATCTTATCTACTCGGGAAGCTGAGGTGGGAGGGTCACTTGAGTTGGGATGTCAAGGCTACCAGTGAGCCGAGATGACACCACTGCACTCTACCCTGGGTGACAGAATGAGACCTTATCTCAAAAAAAAAAAAAAAAATCAGAATATTATGTGCTGTCATAATTTAATTGTGCCCGGTATGTTAAAACTAACCAGAAGTCTCTTTTCCTGTCTACTGCACATTTCTGATGGCTAATAGGTCAACTTTTGTTTTTTTGCAATAAATTTATTTAAAGTTATAAATATGTCTTTTAATTGACAAGTAAAAATTCTATATATTTATGGCATATAATGTTTTGATATATGTATGCATTGTGGAATGGCTAAATCAAGTTATTTAACATTTGTATTACCTCATAGGTGTATCTTTTTTTTAGGTAAGAATACATAAAATTCACTCTTTTATCAATTTTCAAATATGCAATATATTGTTCTTAACTGTAGTCACCATGATGTACAGGTCTCTTTTTGTTGTTTTAATTGTTTATTTATCAAGAGAAACTATTTCTTACCCCACATATTCATAATTCATAGTTCAGAAACACAAGTCAGTTACAAACTTCTAGGTCATTCAACCTGAAGAAATTCTTTATATTCCATAATCCCTTTGCACTCTGAAATATACCAGCCTTTCTCATCTCCTCAAAATCTTTCATGGAATCATAATTTCTGTAGAAATCTTCATGTGCCTTCTTTCCTGGTTTAGATACAGCAAACTTATAAAGAGCTGCTACCCCCAGGGATACAATGAATGCTCCTACAATATGAAATTGCAGACACTTGGCCAGAAGGCCGTGCATCTGAGGTTTTATCATAGCACCGGGAGTCATGGTAGTTACTGTCCTTGATAGCTATGTCGGCCTCTACACCAACATCTTCCTGGCTGATGGAGAAATCAAATCTCTTAAACTTATTCCTCCTGTCTAACTGAAATGTGCCCTTTGACCAACATCTCTCCAGTCCCCTGCCCTCTGGTAACCTCCATTTTACTCTCTGTTTCTATAAATTTGACTTTTTACGTGCTGCATGTAAATAAGATCATACAGTATTTGTCTTTCTATGTCTGGCTTATTTCACTTACGGTATTGTCCTCCAGGTTCATCTTCGTTATCACAAATGACAGGATTTCCTTCTTTGTAAGGCTGAATAGTATTCCATTGTGTATATATACCACATTTTCTTTATCTTTACAACCATTGATAGACACTTAGGTTGATTACATTTTTTTTTTTTTTTTTTTGAGACAGTTTCGCTCCTGTTGCCCAGGCTGGAGCGCAGTGGTGTGACCTCGGTTCACTGGAACTCCACCTCCCATGTTCAAGCGATTCTCCTGCTTCAGCCTCCCGAGTAGCTGGGATTACAGGCGCCCACCACCACGCCCGGCTAATTTTTGTATTTTTAGTATAGATGGGGTTTAACTACGTTGGCCCCGGCTGGCCTTGACTTCCTGACATCAGGTGATCCGCCCACCTCAGCCTTTCAAAGTGCTGGGATTACAGGCGTGAGCCACTGCGCCTGGCCGATTCCATATCTTGGTATTATGAGTAATGCTGCAGTGAACATGGGAGTGCAGATGTCACTTCCACGTTCTGATTTCATATCCTTTGGGTATATACCCACTAGTGGAATGCTGGATCATATGGCAGTTCTATTTTTAATTTTTTGAGGAACCTCCATATTATTTTTCATAATGGCAGTACTAATTTACATTTCCACCAGCATTGTGGAAGAGTTTCGTTTTCTCCACATCATCACCAACACATATCTTTCATCTTTTTGATAACAGTCATTCTAACAGGTGTGAGGTGAATATCTCAAATGTGGTTTTAGTTTGCCTTTCCCTGATGAATACTGATATTGATCATTCTTCCATATACCTGTTGGCCATTTGTATGTCTTTCTTTGACAAATGTCTATTCAGATCCTTTGCCCATTTTCTAAATAGTTTATTTGTTTTCTTGCTATTGAGTCATGTGAGTTTCTTATATATTTTGAATGTTAACCACTTATCAGATGTATGGTTTACAGTACAATATTTTCTCCCATTTTGTAGTTGTCTCTTCACTCTGTTGATTGTTTCCTTTGCTATGCAGAAGCTTTTTAGTTTGATGTACTCTCATTTGTCTATTTTTGCTTTTGTTGACTGTGTAAAATTATAAATACTTCTTAAAATTCATTATGAAAGAAAAATGTAATTTTATCTCTTCTTTTTTTTAACTGGAAGTAGGAAGGGAAAAATGTACAAGTGTCAGAACCTTATTTTAATATTTTACTTCCTGTGAATTTATTCAGTATGGCACTTCCCGGAGACCTTATTTCACCTGAGTGACAAAAATGACATTAAAGTCGATAGTAAGGGAAGAAAAAACATAGAAAAACATATTACCTTAAAATTTGACAATTTTTTCTCAAGTTTCAATCATACATTTAAACCTTCCTTATTCTAAGTCAGCAAATTCACATTGAATATGTGTTTAGCATCCTTGCTGTATCCAAGGACTGTGTACTATGTCATATGCTGTTTCTTAAGTGCACAGGTACAACATGGTGACTATAGTTAATAACAATGTATTGTATACTTGAAAATTGCTAATGAGGGGATGTGGAATGGGGAGATGTAGGTCAAAGTATTCAAAGTTGCAGATCTATAGGATGAATAAGTCTAGAGATCTAACAGACAACATGAAGACCATAGTTCATAATATTGTGTTATATTTGGGATTTTTGCTAAAAGAGTAGATTTTAGATGCTCTTGCTACACACAGAAAAGGGGTGACTGAAACGATGGATTCATTGATTTGCTTGACTATGAGAAACGTTTCACTATGTATATGTGTATCAAAACTTGTACACATTAAATATATAAAACTTTAAAATTGAATTTATAAAAAGAGAATTGCCAAGAGAATAGATTTTAAGTGTTCTCACCACAAAAAAATAAGTATATGAGGCATATCTTAATTAGCTCAATTATAACCATTCCACAAATATACATATTTCAAACATCTGCCTTCCATGCACCTACACATCAAGAATTACTGGGAGAATAGGCCGGGCACGGTGGCTCACGCCTGTAATCCCAGCACTTCGGGAGACTGAGGCAGGCGGATCATGAGGTCAGGAGTTCGAGACCAGCATGGCCAACATGGTGAAACCTCGTCTCTACTAAAAACACAAAAATTAGCTGGGTGTAGTGGCGGGCGCCTGTAATTCCGGCTACTTGGGAGGCTGAGGCAGGAGAGCCGTTTGAACCCAGGAGACGGAGGTTTCAGTGAGCCGAGATCGCACCATTACACTCCAGCCTGGGCGACAGGGTGAGATTCTGTCTCAAAAAAAAAAAAAAAAAAAATTATAAACCCACACATAACATTTTTATCCACGTAAGTGTTGTCTTTTCTTCAGTGGTACTTGTATAACTCATTTTTGTGACAGTTCTTTTGGGAGGCATTTCTAACAACTGGTGGACTCATTAAGGAACCTCATCTCATTGTGTGAGTCTGTGTTTTACCAAAAAAAAAAAAAAAAACTATATTGCCCACCTTGATTGCTACCTTGATTTGCCATACCTTATTTCCAAAGCACTTTGGTTCATTTTCCCAAAAACAAAATTACAGAGTTAATAAAGACTAGCTCCCTGTGAGGCTAGCCAAGAGTCAGCCATAAGCTCTGAGGGCTGATTTAAGGAAATGTTTATAATCTTGTCAAGATAGTCTTCAGCAGTTGTTCAAACTTGGGGAATGAAACACCTGGGACCTCGAAGTTCTGATTGTGTGTGAAAAACAAAAATCATCAACACTGTCATATACTTGTACCTCAGGTAGGTAGGTGATTGTAGTATTAATCACCTGGCTGGGCATGATGGCTCATGCCTGTAATCCCAGCCCTTTGGGAGGCCGAGGTGGGAGGATTGCTTGAGGCCAGGAGCGCAAGACCAACCTTGCCAACATAGTAAGACCCTATCTGTATATAAAAAAAAAAATCATCATCATCACCTGATTATTTTTGAAATGTTCTCTAGTGTCTCACAATAACCATCTTTCTGTCCTTTCTCTTTGTGCTTTCCTCTGCAGGTGAAGGTTGCTATCCTTAAATACATAGAAACTCTGGCCAAACAGATGGATCCAGGAGATTTTATAAATTCCAGTGAAACTCGCCTAGCAGTGTCTCGGGTCATCACTTGGACAACAGAACCCAAAAGTTCTGATGTTCGGAAGGTATATTTTAATATGAGGTTTAGAAGATAAATTGGGAAAGCAAGTCAGTTATTATGGATTGCCAGTGAAGGAAGCTAATATTTTCAGGACCTTAGCAATTAGCAGTGAGTTATGAAGAGCTTTTTAAAAAATCTTTAAAATTGTTTCAAATTTTATCCAATTAATGTGAGCATAATTTTCAAACCTAGAATCAAAAGTAGCTGCCTTTACCACAATCCTCCCTCTAATTTTATCACCATTCGGAATATTTCAAATCATTCCCCTTGCATTTACCTATACATTTCAAATGAGAGCTTACACTGTTGTTTGATTTATCAATTTTTAGACTTGTTTTTAATCTATTGATGAATGTAGACATTAGGTATATCCGTCTATTTTGTTAAGTGAGGACCTAGCTTTCTCATACTTTCTGTATCCTTTCTAAGGTATTCATAAACTACTTATGAATCAATTACTAGTTATCAGTAGAAAAGATTTACATTTGACTGTGCAGGTATTCACTTTTATACCAAGTGATTTGCGACTGCTTGCTTTCTTATAGAAACGTTATTTTTCCTGGAGTTGATAATTTGCCTTGCTTTTTCATTTGCCTACTTTTTTTTTTTAAGTATCATAATATTTTCAACATCTCTGCTACATGTGTATGGCTATTATTTTTCATATGCTCAAAAGCATAGATTATTATTTTATTTTCTAGAGAGCTCCTTCTTAGACATTCTGTTGTTTTCTCCAGTTTTGACATGTTTCTCCCCAGGCCTGCTGCACACACGTCTGTCTGGAATTTCTCTTGAGCATCTTCCTGAGACTTATCTTCATCCCTGTTTACTTCTTCTATCTTTTTTTTTTTTTTTTTTTTTTTGAGGCAGTCTCGCTTTTTCACCCAGGCTGGAGCACAGTGGCATGATACTGGCTCACTGCAACCTCCACCTTCCAATTCAAGTGATTCTCATGCCTTAGCCTCCTGAGTAGCTGGGATTACAGGCACCCACCACCACACCCAGCTAATTTTTATATTTTTGGGGTTTCTCCATATTGGACCAAGCTGGTCTCAAACTCCTGTCCTCAAGTGATCTGCCCACCTTAGCCTCCCAAAATGCTGGGATTACAGATGTGAGCCACTGCACCCAGCCTGTTTCTTGCATCTTATATTTACTTCTATTTACTTTCTTTTCTGGTGAATTATTTCCATCAACATTTGCTGCAAAAGGAGTACACATAGGCCGGACGCAGTGGCTCACGCCTGTAATCTCAACATGGTAGGCTGAGGCAGGCAGATTGTCTGAGCTCAGGAGCTTGAGCCCAGCCTGAGCAACGTGGAGAAACCCTGTCTCTGCTAAAAATAAAAAAAAATTGGGTGCATTGGCATGCACCTGTAGCCCCAGCTACCTGGGAGGCTAAGGTGGAAGGATCACTTGAGCCCAGGAGGTCGAGGATGCAATGAGACAAGATCATGCCACTGCACTCCAGCCTGGGTGACAGAGTGAGACCTTATCTTAAAAAAAAAAAAAAGAAAAAAAGTACACAGAATATACATTTTTTGTGATCTTTATTTCCAGTGATGAGCACTGCACCTAACAACAGCAGAATATTCTTCTCAACTACACTAGGAACATTCTGCACGCTAGGCCATGAAACCTCAATAGATTAAAATGATAGAATGAATACACAGTATGTTCTCTGACCACAATAGAATGAAATTAGAGTCAATAATAGAAAGGTATTTAGAAAACCCACAAACAGCTCACTCTTAAATAGTCAGTGGGCCGAAGAGGAAATCAAAAGAGAAATAAGAAAATACACTAAGAAATACATTGAGATGAATGAAAATGAAGACATGGCATACCAAAATGTATGGGATAAAGCTCAAGCAATGCTTCTAGGGAAATTTATAGCTGTTAATGCCTACAATAAAAAGAAAGCTCTCAAATCAGTAATCGATTCACCACCATAAGACACTGGAAAAAGAAAAGCATACTAAACCTGAAGACAGCAAAAGGAAGGATGTAATCAAGATTAAAGCAAAAGTTAATGAAATAGAGACTGGGAAAACCAGTGAAACCAAAAGCTGGTTCTTTGGAAAGATCAACAAAATTGACAAACCTTTAGCTAAACATATCAGGGTAAAAAGAGAAAACATTCAAATTACTGGAATTACAAATGTGCTGGGTGTGGTGGCACACACCTGTAATCCCAACACCTGGGTGTGGTGGCTCACACCTGTAATCCCAAGGTGGGAGGATCACTTGAGGCTGGGAGTCTGAGACCAGACTGGGCAATATGACAAGACCTCATCTATGCAAAAAAAGAAAATTCAAAATTAGGTGGGTATGGTGGTGCATGCCTGTAGTCCCAGATACTCAAGAGACTGAAGCAGGAAGATCACTAGAGCCAAGGAGTTCAAGGGTGCAGTGAGCTATGATCATGCTGCTCTACTCCAGCCTGGATGATAGTGAGACTCCCAACTCAAAAAAAAAAAAAAAAAAAAAAAGAAATGAAACCGTAGTCGTTACCTATTGTGGCAGGAAATCACTAGAAAATGTCTCAAGCTGATAATGAAGAGATAATTGTATAAGCCTGTCAATCCTATCAGTAAAAACAAGCATTACAAAAGGGAACTCTGGAGAGCTGAAAAAGGGAATTAAGATTTATAAAATGATGGCTGGGCACAGTGGCTAACGCCTGTAATTCCAGCACTTTGGGAAACAGGCGGGTGGATCATGAGGTCAGGAGATCAAGACCATCCTGGCTAACATGGTGAAACCCTGTCTCTACTAAAAATATGAAAAATTAGCTGAGTGTGGTGGCACGCACCTGCAGTCCCAGCTACTCAGGAGGCTGAGGCAGGAGAATGGCTTGAACCTGGGAGGCAGAGGTTGTAGTGAGCCGAGATTGCGCCACTGCACTCCAGCCCGGGCAACAGAGGGAGACTCTGTCTCAAAAAAATAAAAATAAAAATAAAAAATTATAAAACATTTTCTAAAACTTTTTTTAAAAATCTGTAAGTATTTGATTTAAAGACTTAAAAATTATTTTAACTACTGAGCTTATAAAAAAACTTAGATGAAATGGACAAATTCCTAGAAAAATACAAACTACCAAAACTGACTGAAGAAGAAATAGATAGCATGAATAGAACTATAACAGGAAATTGATCTAGTATTCAAAAACTATGCACAAGCCAGGCACGGTGGCTCACACCTGTAATCCCAGCACTTTAGGAGGCTGAGGCAGGTGGATTGCCTGAGCCCAGAAGAGACCAGCCTGGGTAACATGGTGAAACCCTGTCTATACAAAAATTAATTGAGTGTGGTGGCATACACCTGTAGTCCCAGCTACTCAGGAGGCTGAGGTAGGAGGATCATTTGAGTCTGGGAGGTCGATGCTGCAGTGAACTGTGATTACACCACTGCACTCCAGCCCGAGTGACAGAGCAGCACCCCATCTCAAAAAAAAAAAAAAAATACATAAAATAAAACTGCACAAAGAAAAGCCCAGGCTCAGATGGCGTCACTGGTGGTAAATTCCACCAAACAATTAATATCAATTCTTCACACATTCTTCCAAACAAACAGAAGAGGAAGGAACACTTCCCAGTTTATTCTATGAGACCAGTTTTATTCTGATACCAAAACTAGACAGAGACATCGCACATCAAAAAAGACACTACAGACCAGCATCTCTTTATGAATATGAATGCCTTAATCTTCAACAAAATGCTGGCAAGCCAAATTTAGCAACATATGTAAAAGAAGTATATACCATGACTGTATTAGTTCATTTTCATGCTGCTGATAAAGACATACTTGAGACTGGGCAATTTACAAAATAAAGGTTTAATTGAACTTACAGTTTCATGTGGCTCAGGAAGCCTCACAATCATGGCAGAAGTCAAGGAAGAGCAAATAATGTCTTACATGGATGTCAGCAGGCAGAGAGGGAGAATGAGCCAAGTGAAATGGGTTTCCCCTTATCAAATCATCAGATCTCATGAGACTTATTCACTACCACAAGAACAGTGTGGCAGAAACCACCCCCATGATTCAGTTATCTCCCACCAGTCCCTCCAACACGTGGGAATTATGGGAGTATAATTCAAGATGAGATTTGTGTGGGGACACAGAGCCAAACCATATCAATGACCAAGAGGGATTTATCCCAGGAATGTAAGGTTAGATTAACATCCAAAAATCTATTAATGTAGTAGACCATATCAATAGTAAAAATACAAAAACCACATAATCATCTCAATAGATACAGGAAAATAAAACACTTAAAACAGGAATAAATCTTCATGAACTCCGATTTGGCAGTGGATTCTTGGATATGGTATCAGAAGCTTAGGCAACAAATGGAAAAACAGATAAGTTGGATTTCATCAAAATTTAAATTTTGCAGTATTCCAAGAACAAGAATACTGATGTGACTGTAGAAATTATTGGCACATTTTTAACTCACAGAGTAATATGATTTATGTTTTTAAAGATTATGCTGTCTGATGTGACAAAAATGGGCTAGTATAAGGGAGAAGAAAGAAGAAAGGTAGAGCTGATGTTGAAAGGAACCTAAGTCCTCATCTATTGTAAGAAATCACTAGAAAATGTCTCAAGCTGATAAATGAAGAAATAATTTTATAAGCCTATGAATCCTATCAGTAAAAACAAGCATTACAAAAGGGAACTCTGGAGACCTGAACAATGGAATTGAGATTTATAAAACCTTTTGTAAAACTGGTTTTTTAAAATCTGTATGTATGTATTACTTTGATAGACTTCAAAAATTATTTTAAAAGAAATATGAAATCTAGTAAAACAAATATGACATTAGGAAATTTAAAACCGCAAGAAAGGAAGGATATGATCGAAATATACTAACGGTATAGTATTTTAAGTCATGTGGTGTTAGTACAGAAATAGACAAATAGATCAATGGAACATGAAGGAAGGTCCAGAGATACTTAGGTTTATATAGGAGATTAGTTCATTATACAGGTGTCACTTCAAGTCATGAGGAAAGGATATACTCATTGGTAAATGGTTTGGGAGCAATTGGGATGTCTGTCCCTACAGGGGAAATAAAGCTGAATCTCCAAACCAAAGTAAACTAGATGGAATAAAGTATATATTAACAATTACTAGTTCATTTGCTCAAGTTTACTTGTGGTCCATTCAATGTGGTGGTTCCAAAAAAAAGTATGAGATCGTAACTTTTGTTTTCAAACTGCAAATATTAATAGCTTTATTTAAGCACTATTAACATGTTAGATACCCAGAGTATATACCCACACAACTTACACTTCTTTGTTTTTAACAAAATGTGCTCATAACACTCTTTTTTTTTTTTTTCCTTTTAAGTCTCACTTTGTCTCCCAGGCTGGAGTGCAGTGGCATGATCTCTGCTCACTGCAACTTCTGCCTCCCAGGTTCAAGAGATCCTCTGGCCTCAGCCTCCCAGGTAGCTGGGATTACAAGCACACACCACCACACCCGGCTAGTTTTTGTATTTTTAGTAGAGACGGGGATTCATCATGTTAGCCAGACTGGTCTCGAACTCCTGACCTCAAGTGATCCACCTGCCTTTGCCTCCCAAAGTGCAGTGTGAGCCACTGCACTTGGCCTGTTACAGCAGTCTTATAGTTTTTCTTCAGCAGTGTATAATAGACCTTTCTCAATTTCTACATTGAGAGCTGTATCATCTTCCAAGATTGTGTTGTATAGTATTCCATTGTTCCAAAGTAACATAATTTAACCATTCCCCCTAGTGTTGTATATTCAGGTGTATTTTTCATAGAGTGGGTTCAGAAAAGTCCAAAATGAAGTGTGCAGATTTGGATACAAGTCATGTGATCATAAATGATTTGAGTTTCTCTCTCCTTAATTAAGTCTCTATATAATTTGAATTTCAAAGTTTGTCTTTTAGTAATGCAGTTGATTACTTCAGAAGCGGAGAAGAATTGTATAACTTTTCTTGACTGATCTGAGTAAGCTTTATTTTGTTCCCATTTCCACAGAACGGACTTACTTTAGCTTCAAATTGTAGAGTTGTTTAGTTAACTGCTTGTGAGAAGATTAGATATTATTTCTCCTTGTAATCGTTTATTAGGAAAACTAAAATACTGTAGTAGTATGTAACAGAGTAACCCTGGAAACCGTCATGGTTAACTTTTCCATTGTCTGTTAGGTCATATTTGTTATGCTTTTCATATTCCCTTCTTACCTTAAAAAAAAAAAAGGTAGGTCAATATTTTTTTTTTATCCTTCCAGCAAAACAGTTTGAAAGCAAATAAGAATATCTTCCTTTTCCCTGGGAAAGATGGTCAAGCTTCGTGCTATTGAACAGAAATGTAGGGGAAGAAAACGGTCTTGTTTGAGTAACAAAAATATATTCATCTACTGTATGCCTTTGTTTTTTAGGCAGCACAGTCAGTGCTGATTTCATTATTTGAACTCAATACCCCAGAGTTTACAATGTTATTAGGAGCTTTACCAAAAACTTTTCAGGATGGTGCTACCAAGCTTCTTCATAATCACCTTCGAAACACTGGCAATGGAACCCAGGTAATTGTTACTTATTTTCTTGGCTATCATATAATGTGATGGTTGATTTAATAATAATTGCTTTCTTTTATACGAAGTAAACTTGATCCTTAATATATAATTTTTGCATCTTTATTTGGCAGCATTTCCTGAGCAGAATTAAATATTGTCTTGGAAAGAACAGAGTCCCTATTCCTGTCCTGTTTATATTATATTATAATTTGTGTGCATTAGGATAGTGGTAAACAGTGGCCAGGTATGAACAAGAAAAGCAAAACGTGAGCAAAACATAGATGAGAGCACCAGCTGGAAGCCATTAGAATCAGGACATGCTCTTTAGATGAATCAATTCTTATTTGAGGACTAACAAGGATGACTTATTCCAGGGTTAACAAATAAGATTCAAAGGAGGTAGTGCTTTAAGAAGTGTGGTCACATTAAATGATCACAGGCTTGTCAGTCCATTTATACTTGGATGTGCAGGAATTTGTTTTGAAGAAGTAAGTTCTGAGTAAATGAAACATTGAAATATGTATATTTGTGTGTTTGTGTATACATATATATATTTTTTACTGGTATGAAATAACTTACATTATATGCCTAAAGAATTGAACTGAAGCATTAAAAAGAAAGACATTTAATGGCAAATAAAGGAGACACACTGATGGCAGGCTTAAGGTAAAGTCTGAGGAGGGTTAAAAGTAATTCTAAAACAATTTCTTGTGAACCAGAGTCAGTCATCTTTTTAAAAGGAGTAGGGATTATTTCATCATATCTTAAGAATAGACATATTAATAGTATGACAAGATTTAACTCCCTTGGTGTAAAGCAAAGTCAAGGAGGGATAAAATTTGAGCATTAGTAATGGTTAGAAGAAGGAAATTAGCTCAGAACAGGAAGCTAATTTAAAATTACATTCAATCCTTGAGGGAAATGATGTTGATAATATTTGAGAGCAGGAAGCAGGTGAGAACAGAAAAAGACTAAAGAGTTACATTCCTAAGTAGGGAGAAATTTTCCCCCTGGAAACCAGACGTAAGTACATGAATATTTAAAATATTGACCTGTAAATATGGCCCTTTAATATGGTTCAACCTAATGTTTGTGTGGCTTCCTTAAGAGTTTTTTTAAGTGAACTTACCTGTAATATGTTAATATTTCTTTGACTCCCTTCATCAGAGTTCCATGGGGAGTCCTTTGACAAGACCAACACCACGATCACCAGCTAACTGGTCCAGTCCTCTTACTTCTCCTACCAATACATCACAGAATACTTTATCTCCAAGGTAATAAAAGGATGATTTTTCATGATGGTTTGTATTTGTAAATTCCCATTCTTTCTTTTTGAGACAGAGTCTTGCTCTGTCGCCCAGGCTGGAGTGTGGTGGTGTGATCTCAACTCACTGCAACCTCTACCTCCCAGGTTCAAGCAGTTCTCCTGCCTCAGTCTCCCAAGTAGCTGGGCTTACAGGTGCATGCCACCACACCCCGCTGATTTTTGTATTTTTGCTAGAGACAGGGTTTCACCATGTTGGCCAGGCCGGTCACAAACTCCTGACCTTAGGTGATCTGCCCGCCTCGGCCTCCCAAAATGCTGGGATTACAGGCGTGAGGTACCACCCTTGGCTGTAAATTCCATTCTTAAAAAAGCAAGCACTAATATAATTCAAGTCAGTTCCCACTTGACTTGAAAGGTCTTAGAAAAGTAGAAACTTAGCAAATGAAAAAAATTTTATTTGAAAGCCAACTACTTAAATGATAATATATAGGATATGGAATTTTTTAATAAGTGGAAAGAAAACCTGACAGCCTTTTTAAATAAATTACTGCTTATTACATTAAATGGCATAGTTATATTTCTCAGAGATGCTGTATAAATCCAGTAAATTGCAAACTATGTCTTTCAATTACATTATACTACTCAGTATAAGTGGTGATGAGGTCAGTTATAATGATGAGTTTAAAAAATTAAGCTTGCAAACAAAACATATAAATAACAAATAGGGGAGTGTTAAATATATAATGAATATATGACATTATATATGTATCATATATAATGAATTACATATATGTCATATATAATGAATTACATATATAACATGTCATATATCATAAATATGACATTAGGTCATACTATGGTTTTCATATTCAGAATGATGTATTTCATATTCAGAATGATTATAACAGAATGATTTATATTCATATATATTTATTACATTTTTATATAATTAACCCTGTTTTTATATTTATTATATATTTAACCCTTCCCTATTTGTTATTTTTATGTTTTGTCTGTAAGCTTAATTTTTTTCATTATATATGTAATGAATCATAGTTATTATAATTCATTACATATATATGTAATTCATTATATATATAATGATATATGAATTATATATATAAACATATATAATAAGTAAATAGTGAATATATACCTCTGAGGAAAAAATATGACTGACTGAGAGATTGGTCCTTAATGCAAAATAAAAGATGTGTACAATTTTCACACACTTGTATGATTCAAGCATGAGCTAGATTTCAAATGACATTCTTGACTGCTTAGTAGACTAAAATTTTATTTCCTTTTCCTAGCCTTTTGGAAAATTATTTGCATAGAAGTTCAGCATCACTGATCATCAGAGAAATGCAAATCAAGCCCACAGTGAGATACCATCTCACACCAGTCAGAATGGTTATTATTAAAATGTCAAAAAATAACAGATGCTGGCAAGGTTGTGGAGAAAAAGGAACACTTTTACACTATTGGTGGGAGTGTAAATTAGTTGAACTATTGTGGAAGATAGTGTGGCAATTCCTCAAAGACCTAGAGACAGAAATATAATTTGAGCCAGCAATCCCACTACTGGGTATATACCCAAAGGAATATAAATCATTCTGTTATAAAGATACATGCACATGTATGTGCACTGCAGCACTGTTCACAATAGCAAAGACATGGAATCAACCTAAATGCCTATCAGTGATAGACTGGATAAAGAAAATGTGGTATCTATACACCATGGAATACTATGTGGCCATAAAAACAGAATAAGATCATGTCCTTTGCAGAGACATAGATGGAGCTGGAGACTGTTATCCTTAGCAGACTAACACAAGAACAACAACAAAAAAATACTGCATGTTCTCACTTACAAGTAGGAGCTAAATGATGAAAACACATGAACACATAGAGGGGAACAAAACACACTGGGGCCTACCAGAGGGCAGAGGGTAGGAGGAGGGAGAGGATCAGGAAAAATAATTAATGGACACTAGGCTTAATACCTGGGTGATAAAATAATCTATACAACCAAACCCCCATGACACACGTTTGCCTATGTAACAAGTCTGCACATCCTGAACACATACCCCTGAACTTAAAAGTTTTTTTAAGAAGGAGTTGGGGCTGGCTGTGGTGTATTCCGTGGTGTATAGATACCACATTTTCTTTATCCAGTCTATCACTGATGGGCATTTAGGTTGATTCCATGTCTTTGCTATTGTGAATAGTGCTACAGTGCACATACATGTGCATGTGTCTTTATAACAGAAAGATTTGTATTCCTTTGGGTATATACCCAGTAGTGGGATTGCTGGCTCAAATGATATTTCTGTCTCTAGGTCTTTGAGGAATTGCCACACTATCTTCCACAATAATTCATTCACACCTGTAATCCCAGCACTTTGGGAGGCAGAGGTGGGCAGATCACTTGAGGTCAGGAGTTCGAGACCAGCCTGACCAACATGGCAAAACCCCATCTCTACTAATAGTACAAAAATTAGCCGAGTGTGGTGGTGCATGCCGGTAGTTCCAGCTACTCAGGAGGATGAGGCAGGAAAATCACTTGAACCCAGGAGGCAGAGGTTGCAGTGAGCTGATGTCGTGCTACCGCACTCCAGCCTAAGTCACAGAGCAAGGCTCCGTCTCAAAAAAAAAAAAAAAAGAGTTGGTATTTATAGTTAATAGCTTGATTTTTGTCATTAGCCATATATTATAGTGTGCTTCATCAAGTTATTCATTAACATTATTGGATAATACATCAACATCTAAGAAAAATATATTGCAAACATTTCCTAGCCTATTTTTTCCATGTTCTACATATATGATAAATTTGGTAGCTAAATTCCAGCTTCAGTTGAATTTCAGCATTTGATTTTAAAGTTCATGTCTATAACATATAGAGCAGAATGGCTCACACTTGCAATCCTAGCACTTTGGGAGGCCAAGGCAGGAGGATCACTTGAGGCCAGCAGTTTGGGACAAACCTGGGCAACATATTGAGACCCCATCTCTACAAAAAAAAATTTTTTTAAATCAGCCTAGCATGGTGGTGTGTGTTTGTAGTCCTAGCAACTTGATAGGCTGATGCAGGATGATTATTTAAGCCTAGGAGTTCAAGGCTGCAGTAAGCTATGTTTGCACCACTGCACTCCAGTCTGGGCAGCAGCAAGACCCTGTCCCTTAAAAAAAAAAAAAAAAAAAAAATTTGGCCAGTCACAGTGGCTCATGCGTGTAATCGCAACACTTTGGGAGGCCAAGGTGGGCAGATCACCTGAGGTCAGGAGTTCGAGACCAGCCTAGTCAACATGGTGAAACCCCATCTCTACTAAAAATACAAAAAATTAGCCTGATGTGGTGGCAGGAGCCTGTAATCCCAGCTACTCGGGAGGCTGAGGTGAGGCTGAGGCTGGAGAATCGCTTGAGCCTGAGAGGTAGAGGTTGCAGTGAGCCAAGGTTGCGCCATTGCACTCCAGCCTGGGCAACAAGAGTGAAACTCCATCTCAAAAAAAAAAAAAAAATTATATTCAGTATTAAAAATCCTCTATCTTCTTACAAATTTGTGTTAAAATACATTTATCTCTTTGTCAAGCAGTACCATTACTGGGAGTTGATCACAGAGATTGATAAACTTTCTGTAAAGGGTCAGGTAGTAAATATTTTAGGCTGTTTGAGTCATGGTCTTAGAGTCTCTTCTCAACTCTGCTATTGTATGAAAACAGCCATCAACAATAGAAATAGAAAACAGCCATAGACAATACCTAAATAAATAGGCACGACTATGTTTAATAAAATTTTATTTATGGGCTGGGCGCAGTGGCTCACGCCTGTAATCCCAGCACTTTGGGAGGCCGAGGTGGGCGGATCACCTGA
Source organism: Homo sapiens (assembly GCF_000001405.40). NCBI lineage: Eukaryota > Metazoa > Chordata > Mammalia > Primates > Hominidae > Homo > Homo sapiens. The sequence continues at coordinate 33,539,566 of NC_000003.12, read as the reverse complement.
GGTCAGGAGTTCGAGACCAGCCTGCACAACATGGTGAAACCCCATCTTTACTAAAAATACAAAAATTAGCCAGGTGTGGTGGCCGGCGCCTGTAATCCCAGCTACTCGGGAGGCTGAGGCAGGAGAATCAGTTGAACTCGGGAGGCAGAGGTTGCAGTGAGCTGAGATCACGCCATCACATTCCAGCCTGGGGGAGAAGAGTGAGATTTCGTCTCCAAAAAAAAAGAAAAAATTTATTTATGGACACTGACATTTAAATTTTATCTAATTTTCATGATTTTTTTTGTTTTTTTCCAATCTTTTAAAAATGTGAAAAACGTTCTTAGCTTACAAGCCATCCATAGTTTGTTGACCTCTGGTTAATCAGAACATTTTTCAAGGTGGAAAGACAAACTAGTTATTAAGGTCTGTGCATTCTAGAGTAACTGTAAGGTGTCCTTGGTGGAAGGACAAAGAGACATGTACTTTAATGATATATAGCTGCTATTTTTTATTTTGCTAATTATGCTCTGAGAATATACATTCTCTAATCCTGTCTTTATAAATATCCTTATATAATCTCCTCAGATGTGTTTGTATTTTAAAACTACACCTAAGTAAAAATTAGTGTCGTCTTTTTCATAGTGCATTTGATTATGACACAGAAAATATGAACTCTGAAGATATTTATAGCTCTCTTAGAGGTGTCACTGAAGCAATCCAGAATTTCAGCTTCCGTAGCCAAGAAGATATGAATGAGCCATTGAAAAGGGATTCTAAAAAAGATGATGGCGATTCAGTAAGTATTTTAATATCCTTACTTTCCAGACTATTTTATTGTTCATTAATAATTTTTTAAATTACATTTTGCTTTCTGTCATTTTTGAATATACTTTTCTAGGGATCAGTCACTCTACAAGTATTTACTGAGTATCTACCACATACCAGGCACTGTTTGAGGCATTAGATTTATACAACAAAATCACTGCCTTCAAATTCCTTTTAGATTTTCATATAGAGATGAGTATTATAGAGTTTTAGGATAGAATGTGCTTTAGAGGAAAGTGAATCTTAGATTGTGTGGTCTAAGATGCATTAGATTTATACGACAAAATCACTGCCTTCAAATTTCCTTTTAGATTTTTCATATAGAGATGAGTACTACAGAGTTTTAGGATAGAATGTGCTTTGGAGGAAAGTGAGTCTATTTTAGATTGTGTGGTCCAAGAAGGCCTCACTCCAAAGGTAGCATTTGCATTGAAACCTAAATAAAGCCACATAAAATCTAGAGGAGAATTCCTTGAAATAATTAGCAAATCCAAAGACATTTAGATGGGAACAAGCTTTGTATAGTTGAGGACTAGGAAGAAAACCAGTGTAGTTGGACCATTGTGAGAGAAAAGGAGTGGAACATGGGCCAGATCACATTGAGTCTTTTTTTTTTTTTGAGACGGAGTCTCGCTCTGTCGCCCAGGCTGGAGTGCAGTGGCGCAATCTCGGCTCACTGCAAGCTCTGCCTTCCGGGTTCACGCCATTCTCCTGCCTCAGCCTCCTGAGTAGCTGGGACTACAGGCGCCCGCCACCATGCCCGGCTAATTTGTTGTATTTTTAGCAGAGATGAGGTTTCACCGTGTTAGCCAGGATGGTCTCGATCTCCTGACCTTGTGATCTGCCCACCTCGGCCTCCCAAAGTGCTGGGATTACAGGTGTGAGCCACTGCGCCCGACCCACATTGAGTCTTGTAAGAACACATAAGGAGTTTAGAGTTTTTTTTGCCTGTTAGGTGTAGTGATAGTAATTTGCATTGTCAGTTTATGCGGCTACAGTTAAGAATGTGTTTTGTTTTGTTTTGTTTTTTTAATAATGTGGCAAATGTTTTATTTCTCTTGTATGCAAGTAACTGACTCTCAAGTATTTTTAAAAACACATCATTACACTTAAGTAAGAATGTTATAACCTACAACATTCTTACATATTTAATATTATTGACATATTTGAATATTGTTTATTGCTTCTGCCATTATACACAGAATAGTTTTTTACTTTCCTGCTTCTTAGACTTTTCTCTGACAGCTTAGACTTTTCACAAAATGAGCCATCCCACCAGTTCCTGTGGAATTCATTGTTTCTCAGTGTTTGCAAAGTTACAGAACATTGTAGTGCTTCAGCACATCTCCAAAGGGCTCCTTCCTCTGCCTTCCTGCCATCTTTCCTGCTGTTGTTTTTCTCACTGTGCCTATCTGGCAGAGCAAGATTGTGGTGAGCCTAGTATACTGGCTGCCAAAACCAGCTTATCACTGATATTTGAGGTTCCCTACCCTTCAAAGCTGCATGTGGTAGCAATAACAGATTAGTAGGAATCACTGCTTCATTGAGACTCAGTTTTTTTTTTGGTTTTTTAGACACAGCATGGTACAGGGTAGGGAACTCAAATTGTGAATTTTGGGAAATGAGTTCAAATCCCGGTTCCTGGCAGTTATTAGCTAATCAGGTGATCACCTCTAAGCTTCAATGTCTTCATTAAGAAAATAGGGATATCACTGCTTACCTTAAAAGTTGTTGTAAGTATAATAAATCCTATGACTCTATTCAGCTCAGACCTCTTTCCTGAGTTCCACATTCACATTCAGCTGCCTGTTTGAACTCCTGGTCTTCTCCCCTAAAGCTGCTCTTTCCTATCTTAGTTAATGGCAACCCTAGTTGCCTAGCCAAAATCCATGGACAAGAGTTGTTGAGACCTCTGTTTTTCTCATCCTCCATACCAAATCTGTCAGGAAATCTTTTGTCTCCACTGCAGAATGTATCCAGAATTCAGCCTATTCTCACCACTGCCTTTCTGGTTTGAGCCATCATCTTCATCATTTCTCTCACCTGGATTATTAAAATTTGGCCTCCTTGATTATGCCCTTGACCTCCTATAGTCCACTCTCACTCTCACTCAACTCTATAGGAGGTCTCTGTCTCAGAGTAAAAACCAAAGTCTATACAATAGGCTTTTTTTCTGTTACCTCTCTGGCCTCATCTCCTGCTAGTTTCCTCCTTGTTCACTCTGCTCCTGCCACACTGGCCTCCTTGCTATTCCTTGAACTTACTATGCACGTTCCTGCTTCAGGATCTGTGTATTGGCTGTTTTCTCTACCTGAAACACTCTACCTCCAGATAGCCCCTTGGCTGATTCCCTTACTTCCTTCAAGTGTTTATTCAAGTGGCTTCTCAGTGAACCCTACTCATCCTATTTAATCTGTGAACTCCATCCTCCCACCTCAGCATTCATGATTCCTTCTTCTAACATGTCGTATACTTTATTCGTTCATTAAGTTTTTTTTTTTTTTGGTCTGTCCCTCCACTAAAATATAAACTCCACTGGGGTAGGCATCGTTCTCTCTTTTGCTCACTGATGTATTCCCAATGCTGTGAACAATGCCAGGCATATAATATGTGCATAGTAAATATTTTAAGAATATTTGTAAAGTGCCTAGCAAATGGCTTGGCACATAGTTGCCCAGTGGATGGTGGTGATGCTGATACCCATGGTAGTAATTATTTTGATACCAGTATTTGTATCAATATTCATATTCATATTTTGATAAGTATGTACCCAAATTCTTTTGGCATCCTTCCAAAAGTTATGCAGGCCTTTTAAGCCTTTCTTTTTTTTTTTTTTCTCCTTAAAGCAAGCCTTTTTAAATTTGATTTTATTATGCTTTTTTGACATACTGTTGTATGATATACCATTACCTTAATAATGGAATCTGGCAGCTTGTAGTACTGTATTGCTTATGAAAGTTCTTTTGTATCTTTAACTGACATGGAGAAGTTGCTGGTAATCACACTGTACATATTGTCTGGTCAAGTTGTTTGCAAGGGAACTGTAATAATCATTAGAGGCAGCATTCTTTTACAGTTCTTATTTGCCTTCACAGCTGTAGTTTATATTTTTAAGCTTTGACGTCTGGAATATAAATTGTAACTCATAATGTTGATTGCCATTACTTAAATTTTTTAGCTGGTTATTGTTATCTTTTTAAAATTGTCTTTTAAGCAGTAGAGAAATATCTTTTTAGAATGTTAAATAGATACTTGAAAAATGAGTTAATTTGCTGTGGCTTTCACTTCCCATTGATAGATGTGTGGTGGTCCTGGGATGTCTGACCCAAGAGCAGGAGGTGATGCTACTGACTCAAGTCAAACAGCTCTTGATAATAAAGCTTCATTGCTCCATTCAATGCCTACTCACTCCTCTCCACGCTCTCGAGACTATAATCCATATAACTATTCAGATAGCATCAGTCCCTTCAACAAGTCTGCCCTCAAGGAAGCCATGTTTGATGATGATGCTGACCAGTTTCCTGACGGTATGTTCTGGGTCACACTGCTACTGTCTGTTTTGGAGAACTTGGTAATTGATGAAGTAAAAGAAATGCATATGCTTTTTTATTATAACTCCCAAAAAGTAACAATTTTTAGAATAAGAATGTTTTCTCCCATCTTCTAGGAACTCATCTCTAGTGCTTTGGTCATTTTCTTCTCCTGAATGAGAAACAGGGTAGTCATCTTGAGATCATGATCAAAATCAAGAAAACCTTAGTTACCACCCAGAAATAACTAAAACCAATTGTAGCTTATAAATTTACTTTACCTCTAGACACAATTTATTTGGTCATTAATTTTTATACCACGATGACAAAACCTTTGAAGAAATACCCATTCTTTATAGTAGCCCTTTAAGCATGAAGTCATAAACTTTTTTATTAATAAAATACATTTCAAGGACGAAATATAAGGAAAGTTACCATTAGGATTTGAATTTGGGTGAAATGGGCTTAGTTCTAAGCTCTAACACTTACTAAGCTGCATAGCCTGGCAAGATGGTTAACTTTCCCGAGTCTCAGTTATCACCTCCAAAAGAGGATGATGATGATTATACTACCTAATCCCAGTGTGCAGTAAGATGCAGGTAAGTTGTATAAAAACTGATGATATAGTACAAAACACTACAAATGTTTTAGTGTTTTGTTTAAGAGACTGGGTGTCACTCTGTTGCCCAGTCTGGAATGTAGTCGCTCAAACATAGCTCACTGCAGCCTTGTCCTCGTAGGCTCAAGCGATCCTCCCACCTCAGCCTCCTGAGTAGCTGGGACTACGGACCACCATACTCAGCTAATTTTACCTTTTTAAATAAATGTTCTATAGAGATGGGGCCTCCCTATGTTCCCTAGGCTGGTCTTGAACTCCTGGCCATAAGTGATCCTCCCACCTCAACCTCTCAAAGTGCTGGGATTGTAGGTGTGAGCCACTGTGCCTGTCCTAGTTATTTTTTATAATAAGGAAACATATTTTTTCTTAATTACTTAATTCATTAATACTTTTCTTAAGATTCTAGTACTATATAGTAATATATAACTATACACAGATAAACTTGAAAGTCTTTCTCTCAACACTATCCCATGATTCTATATTCAGGTTTTTCTTTATTCCCATAATGTTGCTGTCAGTGAACATATTTCTGCATAAACCTTTATGCCCATAAATAATTCTTTTTGTGTGTGTCAGGCATCGTAAGAACAGTCAGTGGCCAGGCGCAGTGGCTCACTCCTGTAATCCCAACACTTTGGGAGGCCGAGGTGGGTGAATCACTTGAGGCCAGGAGTTCGAGACCAGCCTGACCAACATAGTGAAAACTTCTCTACTAAAAATATGAAAATTAGCTGGGCGTGGTGGCACGCGCCTGTCATCCCAGCTACTCGGGAGCTGAGGCAGGAGAATCGCTTGAACTCCCTGGGAGGTGGAGGTTTCAGTGAACCGAGATTGCACCACTGCACTCCAACCTGGGCAACAGAGTGAGACCCTGTCTCAAAAAAAAAGAGCAATAAAGATAATTCACTTTTAAGAGATTTCTAGAGATGGAATTGCTCACTTAAAGGATAGGTGAATTTAAAGTTTTAAACTTACTACCTATTTACATCTCAGAATAGTTGGCTAGTTTAAGTAATGCTGATTTTCTCACCAACACAGAATGTTTAAAAATTTTTCTGATTGTGATGAATGTACATTTCCTTGATTATTAGATATTGAGGAATTAAATATTAGAGATATTTTTAAATTTTTAAAATTTTTATTAACAAGAAATAGCTTCACTTGTAGTTCTTTGATTACTAGCAAAGTTGAGGAGTGTTTTTGTTACCTTCTCTTTAATATATTCACAAATATCAAAAAGCCAAAATTATGACAGTTTACCAAACTAAGTCCAAATTGCATAAGGATGTAGAAAATTGCCACAATTATAGACTTTGATGTGTTTTAATCTGTCACAAATAGTTGACTGTCTTTCTGAGGTTTAGTCATGATAGTGGTGTAACATTGGTGAATAAATTGGACATAGCATGAAAGTATCCATTGAATACTATGTAGTAGCAACAGCCTGGTAAATTGAGACTTAGCTTCAGTAGCATTAATTATTTAAAAATCATTTATGCACATGGGTCACAAACTGTCAGACTAAATGTCAACTGACTTTTCTTGCCTTGATTGTACTATAAATATGTATTTTTTAATCTTAAAATGATCAAGAGCTTAAAAATTGGGAGTACAGTACAAAGAACTTTTTCTTCATGAAACATTTGAAAGTAAATTACCAACCTGATGCTCTGTCACGTTAAACACTTTAGGATTTATTTTCTACAAAGACATTCTCCTGCATAACAACAAAATACTCATCAAAATCAAGAAATTAGCCAGTGCCAGTAGTCCCAGCTACTCAGGAGGCTGAGCCAGGAGGATCCTTTGAGGCTTGGAGTTCAAGGCTACAGTATACTATGATGATGCCTGTGAAGAGTCCCATACTAAAGACTGGACAACAAATGAGATTCTGTCTCTAAAAAACTAATAATTACAAAAAATAAAATTTCTTTTCTTCCCCCTAAACCACAGAATTTTTTAAATCAGGAAATTATCATTGGTACATTAATAACCACCTAATCCTTAAAACCCCATTAGAATTTTGCCAGCTGTCCCAATAATATCTTTTTTCCAATTTGTTTTGCTGTGTTAAAATACACATAACATTTATTATCTTAAGCATTTTATATATACAGTTTAGTGATATTAAATATATTCATACTGTTGCACATCCATCAAGACCATCCATCTCACATAACTCTTTTCAGGTTGTAAAACTGAAACTCTATACCAATTAAATAATAACTCCCCAATTCCACCCCCACTCCAGCCCCTGGCAACTACCATTCTCTTGTCTCTCTGATTTTTGTCTACTCTTAAGTACTCTATAAGTGGAGTCATACATTACTTGTCATTTTGTGACTGGCTTATTTCATTTAGCGTGGTATCCTCAAGGTTGATTCATGTTGTAGCATATGTCAGAATTTTCTTCCTTTGTAAGGCTGAATAATACTCCATTGTGTGTATATGCCACATTTTGCTTATCCATTCATCCACTGATGGACACTTGTGTTGCTTCCAAGTTTTGGCTGTTATGAATAATGTTGCTATGAACATTGGTGTGCACATACCTCTTCAATACCCTGTTTTCAATTTTGATGGGTAAATACCCAGAAGTAGAATTGCTGGATCATATGGTAGTTCTGTTTTTAATTTTTTGAAGACACTGTACTGTTTTCCATAGCAGGTATACCATTTTACTTCCCCACCACCAGTGCAGAAGGGTTTCAGTTTCCCATATCCTCACCAATACTAGTTATTTCATTGTTGCTGTTGTTGTTTTATAGTAACCATCTGAATGGATGTGTGGCGATATCCCATTGTAGGTTTTGTTTTTGTTTTTGTTTTTGTTTTGAGACAGAGTTTCGCTCTTGTCGTCTAGGCTGGAGTGCAATGGCGCGATCTTGGCTCACTGCAACCTCCACCTCCCAGGTTCAAACAATTCTCCTGCCTCAGCCTGCTGAGTAGCTGGGATTACAGGTGTGCACCGCCATGCCTGGCTAATTTTTGTATTTTAGTAGAGACGGGGTTTGTCCATGTTGGTCAGGCTGGTCTCGAACTCCTGACCTCAGGTGATCCACCCTCCTCGGCCTCCCAAAGTGCCGAGATTACAGGTATGAGCCGTTGCACCTGGCCGTCATTGTAGTTTTGATTTGCATTTCCCTAATGATTAGTAATGCTGAGCATCTTTTCCTGTGCTTATTGGCCATTTGATTACCATCTTTGGAAAAATGTCTTTTCTATTCCTTTGCCCATGTTTGAATCAGGTTGTTTATTTTTGTTGTTGTTGCAGGAGTTCTCTGTATATTCTGGATATTAATATCTTGTCAGATATATGATTTGCAAATATTTCTTCCATTCTGTGGGTTGCCATTTTACTCTGTTGATATTATTTTTTGAGACACAGAAATTTTTAATTTTCATTAACTTTAATTTGCCTATTTTTGTTGTTGTTGCCTGTGCCTTTGGGGGCTGTATATTCTATTCTTGTTCTATGTGTCTGTCTTTATGCCATTAAAATGCTGTTTTGATTACTGTAGCTCTGTAGTAAATTTTGAAATCAGGGAGAAGTATGAGTCCTCTAGCTTTGTTCTTTTTCAAGACTGTTGTGACTATTTGCTGTCACTTAAGATTCCTTATGAATTTTAGGATAATTTTTCTATTTCTGTAAAAAGTGTCATTGGGATTTTGGTAGTGATTGCACTGAATCTGTAGATCTCTTTGGATAATATTGGTATCTTAACATTATTAAGTGTTCCAATCCATGAAAATGGGATGTGCTTCTATTTATGTGTATTTTCTTTTATATTTCTTTCAGCAGTCTTTTCTAGTCTTCATTGTACAAGTCTTTCACCTTGGTTAATTCCGATGTACAGCCATGCAGTACATAACATTTCATGCAGTGTCAGACTCCATTTATGACAGTGGTCCCATAAGATTAAAATGGAGCTAAAAAATTCCTATTACCTAGTGGTATCATTGCTGTCATACCATCATAGTGCAATGCATTACACGTTTGTGATAATGCTGGTGTAAACAAACCTGCACTGCCAACTGTATAAAAATATAGCACATACAATTATGTGAAATACATAATACTTAATATCCTTAATAAACAACTGCGTTACTGGTTTGTTTATTTATTTGTTTATTTATTTTTGAGACAGGGTCTTACTCTGTCACCTAGGCTGGAGTGCAGTGGCATGATCTTGGTTCATTGCAGCCTCACCCTCCTGGGCTGAAGCTGTTCTCCTACCTTAGCCTCCTGAATAGCTGGGACAACAGGTACACGCCACCATGCCTGGCTAATTTTTTTTTGTAAAGTTAGGGTTTTGTGATATTGTCCAGGCTAGTCTAAAACTCCTGGGCTCAAGCAGTCTGCCTGCTTTAGCCTTGCAAAATGCTGGGATTACAAGGCATGCACCACCATGCACAGCCTGGTTTTAGTATTTACTATACTGTACTTTTCATCACTATTTTAGAGTGTACTCATACTTATTTTTTTTTTTAAGTTAATTGTAAAACAGCCTCATTCGGGTCCTTCAGGAGGTATTCCACAAGAAGGCATTGTTGTCATAGGAAATAACAGCCCCATGCATGTTATTACCCTTGAAGATCTTTTTTTTTTTTTTTTTTTTTTTTTTTGAGACGGAGTCTCGCTCTGTCGCCCAGCCCGGACTGCGGACCGCAGTGGCGCAATCTCGGCTCACTGCAAGCTCCGCCTCCCGGGTTCACACCATTCTCCTGCCTCAGCCTCCCGAGTAGCTGGGACTACAGGCGCCCGCCACTGCGCCCGGCTTTTTTGTATTTTTAGTAGAGACGGGGTTTCACCTTGTTAGCCAGGATGGTCTCGATCTCCTGACCTCATGATCCACCCGCCTCGGCCTCCCAAAGTGCTGGGATTACAGGCGTGAGCCACCGCGCCCGGCCGAAGATCTTTTAGTGGGACAAGATGTGGAGGTGGAAGACAGTGAAGTTGATCTTGACCCTGTGTAGGACTAGACTAATGTGTGTGTTTGTGTCTTAGGTTTTAACAAAAAAGTTTAAAAATTTTTAAAAACTTTGATAGAAGATGGCTCCTCAAATATGAATGTAAAATGGCTCACAGATTTGCAGTCTAATTTCTGGCTCTCTATTCTGTTCAGTGGTCTATGTGCCTGTTTTTGTGCTAGTACCATGCTGTTTTGGTTACTGTATCCTTGTAGTATAGTCTGAAATCAGGCAACGTGATGCCTCTAGCTTTGTTCTTTTTGCCTAGGCTTGCCTTTGCTATTTGGGCTCTTTTTTGGTTCCATATGAATTTTAAAATAGGTTTTTCAAGTTCTGTGAAGAATGTCGTTGGTAGTTTGATAGGAATAGCATTGAATCTGTACATTGCTTTGGGCAGAATAGTCATTTTAATGATGTTGATTCTTCCTATCCATGAGCTGGGATGTTTTAACATTTGTTTGTGTCTTCTCTGATTTCTTTGAGCAGTGTTTTGTAATTCTCATTGTAGAGCTCTTTCACTTCTCTGGTTAGCTATATTCCTAGGTATTTTATTCTTTTTATGGCAGTTGTGAATGGGATTGCCTTTCTGATTTGACTCTTGGTTTGGCTGTTGTTGGTGTATAGGAATGCTAGTGATTTTCGTATGTTGATTTTATATCCTGAAACTTAGCTGAAGTTGTTTATCAGCTTGAGGAGCTTTTGGGCTGAGACTATGGGGTTTTCTAAATATAAAATGATGTTGTCTGCAAACAGAGATAGTTTGACTTTCTCTTCATGTTTGGAGGCCCTTTATCTGTCTATCGACCTCTCTTTCTTTCTCTCTTTCTTTCTTCCTTTCTTTCTTTCCTTCTTTGTTTCTTTCTTTCTTTCTTTATTTCGAGATGCAGTCTTGCTCTGTCACCCAGGCTGGAGTGCTGTGGCGCAATCTTGGCTCACAGCAACCTCTGCCTCCTGGGTTCAAGCAATTCTCCTGCCTCAACCTCCCAAGTAGCTGGGACTACAGGCACACACCACCACTCCAGGCTGATTTTTGTATTTTTAGTAGAGATGGGGTTTCACCATGTTGGCCAGGCTGGTCTCAAATTCCTGACCTCAAGTGAGCCACCCATCTCGGCATCCCAAAATGCTGGGATTACAGATGTGAGCCACCATGCCTGACCTGGAAGCCCTTTATTTCTTTCTCTTGCCTGATTGCTCTGGCTAGGACTTCCAAAACTATGTTTAATAGAAGTGTTGAGAGAGGGCATCCTTGTCTTGTGCCAGTTTTCAAGGGGACTGCTTCCAGCTTTTGCCCATTTTGAATAATGTTGGCTGCTGTGGGTTTGTCATATATGGCTCTTATTATTTTGAGATATGTTCCTTCAATACCTAGCTTATTGAGAGTTTTTAGCATGAAGCAGTGTTGAATTTTGTCAAGTCTTTTTTTGTGTCTATTGAAATAATCATGTGGTTTTTGTCTTTAGTTCTGTATATGTGATGAATCACATTCATTGATTTGTGAATGTTGAGCCAGCGTTGCATCTAGGGATGAGGCCTACATGACCATGGTGGATTAGCTTTTTGATGTCCTGCTGGATTCGGTTTGCCAGTATTTTCTTGAGGATTTTGCATTGATGTTCATCAAGGATACTGGCCTGAAGTTTTCTTTTTTGTTGTTGTGGTTTTTTTTGTTTTGTTTTGAGACAGTCTCGCTCTGTCACCCAGGCTGGGGGGCAGCAGCATGATCTCGGCTCTCTGCAACTTCCACCTTCTGGGTTCAAGTAATTCTCCTGCCTCAGCCTCCTGAATAGCTGGGATTACAGGTGCATGCCACCACGTCTGGCTAATTTTTTGTATTTTTAGTAAAGATGGGTTTTAACTATGTTGGCCAGGCTGGTCTCAAGCTCCTGACCTCAGGTGATCTGCCTGCCTCAGCCTCCCAAAGTGCTGGGATTACAGGTTGTTGTAATGTGCTGGGGTACAGGTGTGAGCCACAGTACCCAGACTCTGCCAGGTTTTGGTATCATTCTGTGATGCTGGCCTCAAAATGAGTTGTGAAGGAGTCTTTCCTCCTCACTTTTTTGGAATCATTTCTGTAGGAATGGTACCAGCTTTTATTTGTACATCTGGTAGAATTCAGCTGTGCATTCATCAGATCCCATGCTTTATTATTATTATTGGTAGGCTGTGTTTTACTGATTCAATTTTGGAGCTTGTTATTAGTCTGTTCAGGGAATCAGTTTCTTCCTGCATCAGTTTTGGGAGGGTGTATGTGTCCAGGAATTTATCTGTCTCTTCTAGGTTTTCTAGTTTATATGCATAGAGGTGTTCGTAGTAGTTTCTGATGGTTTTTATTTCTGTGCAGTCAGTAGTAACATTCCCTTCATCATTTCTAATTGTGTTTATTTGGATCTTCTCTCCTTCTTTGTTAGTCTAGCTAGTGGCCTATCTATTTTATTAATTTTTTCAAAAACAACTCCTGAATCCATTGATCTTTTGAAAGATGTTTTGTGTCTCAATTTCTTTCATTTCAGCTCTGATTTTTATTTCTTGTCCTCTGCTAACATTGGGGTTAATTTGTTCTTCCTTCTCTAATTCTTTCAGTTATGAAGTTAGGTTGTTATTTTGAGATCTAACTTTTTGATGTTGGCATTTAGTGCTATGAATTTACCTCTTAACACTGCCATAGCTGTATCTCAAAGATTCTAATGTCTTGTATCTTTGTTCTCATTGTTTTCAAAGAACTTCTTGATTTCTGCCTTAATTTCATTATTTACCCAAAAGTAATTCAGGGGCGTGTTGTTTAATTCCATATAATTGCATGTTTTTGAGCAATTTTCATAGTCTTGACTTCTATTTTTATTGTGCTGTGGTCCAAGCTTGTGTCTGGTATGATTTTGGTTCTTTTACTTTTCTTGAGGATTGTTTTATATCCAATTATGTGGGCAATTTTAGAGTATGTGCCATGTGATGATGAGAAGAATGTATATTCTGTTGGTTTGGGGTGGAGAGTTCTATAAAGGTCTGTCAGATCCATTTGGTCCAATGTTGAGTTTAGTCCTGAATATCTTTGTTAATTTTCTGCCTTGATGATCTGTCTAATACTATCAGTGGAGTGTTGAAGTCTCCTGCTGTTACTGTGTGGGAATCTATGTCTCTTTGTAGATCTCTAAGAACTTGCTTTATGAATCTGTGTGCTCCTGTGTTGGGTGCATATATATTTAGGATACTTAGGTCTCCTTGTTGAATTGAACCCTTTTCCATTATGTAATGTCCTACTTTGTCTTTTTTGATCTTTGTTGGTTCGAAATCTCTTCTGTCTGAAATTAGGATTGCAACCTCTGATTTTTTGTTTTACATTTGCTTGGTAGATTTTCCTCCATACCTTTATTTTGAGTCTCTGTGTATTATGACATCTGAGCACTTTGGGAGGTCAAGGCAGGGCAGATCACTTGACACCAGGAGTTCAAGACCAGCCTGGCCAACATGGTAAAAACCCATCTCTACTAAAAATACAAAAATTAGCTGGGCATGGTGGTGCACACCTGTAATCCCAGCTATAAATTAAAAAAAAAAAAAAGAAGAAGCAGCAGCAGCAGCCTGCCCACGCTTTGGTGGAGCAGCTATGCTGGAGGAATCCCTTCCGCCCCCTGGTCAGATCAAACTCTATAAAGCCGGAAGACTGGATCAGCCAAGTCACCCAAACAGCAAAGATGGCAGCCTGCCCCTCCCGCTGGGAGCTCCTTCTTAGGGAGGTGCAGTGCCGTTAACGGTGGCTGTCTGGAATTCCAAGCCAGTGGGTCTTATCTTGTGAGGTGCTGTGGAAGTGGGGCTGCAGGCTGTCACTGCTCAGCCCCCTAGATTCAGCCTCTTTCCTAAGGCTATGTACAGGGGTCTAACCTCCCACTTTGCCGGAGCTGTAGCTACCTTTGCCTGAAAGCCCGAGTATCTGAGGCTCCAGGGTTTCCATGCATGCCTGAGTGGCTCCTCTGCCAAGACTCCACATAGTTCTGACAGACTGAAGGCTAGTGGAGTGGGTTCACAGGGAGATCTCCTGACCTGAGGGTTGCAGAGATCTGTGGGAGAAGCATGGTCCCTGGAGTCACATATTCACTCACCGCTTTCCTAGGCAGGGGAGGTTCCCCTGGCTCGGTGTTGCTCTCTAGTGGGCTGCTGTCCTGTCTTACTTTTCTTTGTTCTCTGTGGGTCAAGTTGTTTCCTTGATTAGTCCCATTGTGAGCACCTGGATGTTTGAGTTGAAGGTGTGTGTGTTTACTCACCCCTTCCCTTCCTCTCTGTGAGAGCCATGTACACTAGCTACTTCTGGTCAGCCATCTTGCCCCTTTATCCTTTCTCATTTTTAAGTTAACACATTTATAGCTATAAATTTCCCCCTTAGCACTGTTTTCACTGTGTTCCATAAGTTTTGGTATGTAGTTGTTTTTATTCAGTTGTCTCTCTATATTCTAGTTTCTCTAATTTCTTTGATCCATTAAGAGTGTGTTGTTTAATTTCCTCAAACTTGTGAATTTTCCAGTTTTACTTCTGTTACTGATTTGTAACTTCATCATGTGGTGGGAGAAGATACTATGTTTTATATCCATATTTTAAAATCTGTTGAAACTTACTTTGTGTCCCAACATATAACCTATATTGGAAAATGTCCTGTGTGCACCATATATGTCTGTTGGATGTAGTTGTTTTATTGTATTAAGTCCTCTGTTTTCTTACTTCTGTCTCTTTGTTCTATCCATTATTGAGAGTGAGAATCCAATAGTGAGAGTCCAACTATTATTGTAAAACTATTTTTCCCTTCAATTCTGTCAGTTTTTGCTTCATATATTTTGATGGTCTGTCATTAGCTGCATACATGTTTATAGTTGTTATTTATTCTTGATGCATATTGAATCTTTTTAATATATAATGTCCTCCTCCTTTATCTGTTGTAACCTGTTTTTCACTTAAGGTCTATTTTGTCTGATTATTATTATTTTTCTTTTTTTTATCCTAAGACAGGGTCTCACTTTCATTGCCCAGGCTGGAATGCAGTGACTCAATCATGGCTTACTGCAGCCTCAACTTGTGGGCTCAGGTGGATTCTCCCACCTCAGCCTCCCTAGTAGCTGGGATTATAGGCACATGCCACCACGCCTGGCTAATTGTATGTATTTTTAGTAGAGATGGGGTTTCACTGTGTTGCCTGGTCTGGTCTTAAACTCCTGAGCTTAAGTGATAAGTGATCTGCCTCCTTTGGCCTCACAAAGTGCTAGTATTACAGGCATGCACCAACGCACCCAGCCTATTTTGTCTGGCATTAGTATAGCCACCCCTGCTCTCTGACTATTACTTATTGATATACCTATTACTATTACCATTGATATACCATGCAAATAGTAATAGTTTTACTATTATTGATATACCTATTACTATTACTATTGATATACCAGGCAAATAGTAATTACTATTTGCAAAAGGATAGAATATCTTTCTGTCCTTTTTCATCCAGTCTGCTAATCTCTGTCTTTTGACTGGGTGATTTAATTCGTTTACATTTAAAGTAATTACTGATAAGAAAGGACTTACTTCTGTCATGTTGCTATTTGTTTTCTGTATGCCTTATAGCCTGTCACTTTTTACATTACTTTCTTTTGTGTTTAGTTGTTTTGTAGTGAAATGTTTAAATTTCTTATTTCCTTTAGTGTATATTTTATAGCTATTTTCTTGGTTGTTTCCATGGGGGTTACATTTAATATCCTAAATTTATAATGCTACTTTAAATGTATGCCAGTTTAATTTCAATAACATACAAAAACTCTGTGCTTTTCCAGCTCTGACCCCACCCTTTTCAGTTGTTGGCATTATAAAATTACGTCTTTATACAATTGTCTCCAGAAATATAAACTGTCTTTTACTATATTAGTCTCTTAGATTATGTAGAAAACAAAAAATGGAGTTACAGTCTGTTATTACAATAATAGTAGTTTTTATAATTGCCAATGTATATATTTACGTTTATTGAGATCTGTATTTCTTCATATGGTTTCAAGTTACTGTCTAGAGTACTTTTAATTTCTCCCTCGCTTTTGAAGGACAGTTTTGACAGATGTAGGATTCTTGGTTAACAGTTTTTTTCTTTTAGCACTTTGAATATATCAGCCTACTACCTTCTGACCTCCAACGTTTCTAATGAGAAATCTGCTGATAATCTTACTGAGGATCCTTTTTATGTCACTGGTCACTTATCTGTTGCTGCTTGCAAGATTCTGTCTTTGCCTTTTGAAAGTTTGATTATCATGTGTCTTGATGTGGCTCTCTTTGAGTTCATTTTACATGGAATTCATTGAGCTTCTTATATGTTTATGTTCATGTCTTTCATCAAATTTTGGAGGTTTTCAGCCATAATTTTTTCAAATAGTTTTTCTGTCTTTCTGTTCTCTTCTGATACTCCCACAATGAGTAGATTTGTTCACTTGATGATGTCTCACATATCCCTTAGGCTCTGCTCACTAATTCTTTTGCCTGCTCAAATATGCTTATTAAGTAATTACACTAGTGAATTTGTTTGTTTGTTTGTTTTTTGTTTTTGAGATGGAGTCTCTCTCTGGCTCCCAGGCTGGAGTGCAGTGGCGCGATCTCAGCTTACTGCAAGCTCCGCCTCCTGGGTTCGTGCCATTCTCCTGTCTCAGCCTCCCCAGCAGCTGGGACTACAAGCGCCCACCACCACACCTGGCTAATTTTGTGTGTGTGTGTTTTTAGTAGAGACGGGGTTTCACCGTGTTAGCCAGGATGGTCTCGATCTCCTGACCTTGTGATCCGCCCGCCTCAGCCTCCCAAAGTGCTGGGATTACAGGCGTGAGCCACTGCGCCCGGCCACTATTGGATTTTTTATTTCAGTTACCATACTTCTTAATTCCAGAATTTCTTTTTGGTTTCTTTTTAGGTTTTCTATCTCTTTACTGATATTTCCATTTTGTTCATACATTATTTTCATGAATTTATACACATCTTAACTTCTTAGAGCATCTTTAAGACAGGTATTTTAAAATCTTTGTCTAGTAGATCTGCCATCAGATCTTTTTCAAGGGCAGTTTCTGTTTATTTATTTTTTCTCTGAGTATGCTGTATTATCCTGGTTCTTCATATGCCTTGTGATTTTTTTGTTGAAAACTGGATATTTGAATCTTAATAATGTGGTTACATTGGAAATCAGATTCTCTCAATACCCCAGAGATTGGTGGCTTTTGTTATTTTTGCTTGTTGATTCTGGTTCTGATTGTTGCAGGCTTTCTCTATGCCAAAGATCAGCCTCAGCCTGAGGTATAAAGTCTTCTCAGATCCTTTCTGAGCCTGTACCTTTTTCTGGGCATCCATTGTCACTTTCTAACTCTCCATGTGTATGCAGTTGTTTTTGAATATGCTGGTCTTTAATGTCTGGCTCCCAAAAAGGAAAAAGAGAAAAATGAAAAAGGAGGGGCAGGACCTTTAAGCCCCTGGAAGTCACTTTAGCTAGAGGGGGAAGGGCTTGCAATAGTGAGGAAAGGTGCAACAATAATGGCTGCCAGCCTCTTTGTCTGTACCTCTGTTATCAGAAGCAGCTGTGACTAGGACTTGGAAAGGGTCTTTGGAAGAAAAAAAAAAGCAGCAGTCAACAGTGCACAGGTCCTCAGTATCCGCAGGATAAGGTTCTTTTTTCATGCCCTGATTCCCACAAGCTGTGTGCAAGCTGCTCCAGCAACATGTGCACAGCTGCCTGTCAAGGGGCTGGGGCTGGTGGAGGGGGGAGTGGGTAGTTGCTACTGTACTGAGAGCTGAAATTGATAGAAATTAACCACACTTTACCATCCAAGACCTTCCCTAGAAGTTCTAAGCCTTCAGTAGACTAGAGTTCCAAAATAGTTACATCAGACAGATTCTGTTGTCTGGTTGAGGAGACAGAGTCCTGATGCTTCCTAATCTACCATCTTCCCAGAATCTCTCAATAATATCTTACAGCTAAAGGATCCATTTCAGAACCACACATTGCATTTAATCATCATGTCTCCATCAGTGTTCTTCTCCTCCAGTGTTCAGTCTTTCCTTAGCTCTCATGACCATGACACTTTTGAAGTTATTTTGTAGCATTTCTCTGAATGTAGTTTTGTCTGATGTTTTCTCATGATTAGAATCAGGTTATACATTCTTTGCATCAGTATTGCAGAAGTGATGGTGCATTCTTTTCATTGCACCCTATCTAGTAACACATGGTTTCACTGTGCTCCATCACTGGTGATGTTAACTTTGATCTCTTGATTATGGTGGGGCTTACCAGACTTCTTTACTGTGAAATTACTTTTTCTTTTTGTAATTAAGTGTTTTATCAGGAGATACTAATATTTTTAAACAGGTTACATATTCTTTTCATCAAACTTGAATTCATTTATTTAGGAAATTTTTTATTTTCTATTCTAGAAAATTTATTTGAGAAAATTGACATACATTTTTGTAACAGTAGGGACTCATAGTTTCCCATTATAACAATCATTATTTATTTATTTTGAAGCTCAAATTGCCCTTGATTTGACCAACAGGATTCCATTCAAGCCGGCTTTTGTTGTTCTTCTAACATGTCCCCATCCTTGCATTCTGGTACTGTTGTACTATCCCTGTGCTTCAGTCCTGGAATCAATCATTTCTTCAGGGATCCATTGTTCCTATTAAGGGAAGATGATTTTAAAGGCTAAGATCTGGACTCTAGATGTACTCACTGTTAGTGATATGTCACTGCTCCCCAGACCTCTCAGTGGGCAGAGCTAGGGAGTGTGTGTGTGTGTGTGTGTGTGTGTGTGTGTGTGTGTGTGTGTAGAGATTTACATCTCTGTTTCCATATCTATCAAAAACCATGTTTTTACACTAGTAGTTCCATTCTGGCACCAAGGAAATTCTAATTTCCAGATTGATAACCCACTTTTCTGACAGAAACCTAGCTTTCGTTATCTTTAATATGTTTACCAATTTGATCAGTCCTCTGTATGCTACCAGTTTTTCTGCTATCTCTGCTATTACCTCCTTACTTGCACAGATCTACTCCTCATCCTGCTAGGCTTTGCCATTCCATCCTCACTCAAAACCATGAATGCCCTTCTTATTCCACTTTGGCTCCAGCAGCTTACACCTGATTACCACTCTATGTGGACAGCCTTCCTACCTGTCTGGGCTGAAAGCTGATACATTCACCAGTGGATACCCTCCTTATAGTTTGTTTGGGAATCTGTGTACTAATGCCTGGTCATTTGTAATTTTGATAACTTTTTAAAAATTATCCTTTGCATTTCTTTGATTACTTTTACCAGCTTCTCATGTCAAGAGACAATATATCAGCCAGCTGCAGTGCCTCACGCCTGTAATCCCAACACTTTGGGAGGCCGAGGCAGGCAGATCACCCGAGGTCAGGAGTTCGAGACTAGCCTGGCCAATATGATGAAACCCCATCTCTAACAAAAATTAGCTGGGCGTGGTAGCAGGTGCCTGTAATTCCAGCTACTTGGGAGGCTGAGGCACGAGAATGGCTTGAACCTTGGAGGTGGAGGTTGCTGTGAGCCAAGATCACGCCAGTGCACTCCAGCCTGGGTGACAGAGCAAGACTCTGTCTCAGAAAAAAAGAAAAGAGAGAGATAACATATCAAAAATATCATAAAGCCAAAATTATGACAGTTTATCAGGATCACTCCCTTGTTCTGTAATTCTCTTCTCCTTTACTAAGGATCACATATTTTATATTTGGTAAAGGAAGACGTTTTTGGAAACTATAACTGAAATCTAAATTGGGTATAGTATTTTTGAGCTTGGGAACACTACTTCATCATAGTCTAATGTGTGATTTACTTCTGAAACATAGGCAGCCATTTTATGTTGAGTAAACATTCTTTGAAGATGGATAAGCCCTCAGTTAAACTACTGTAGTACAAAGAAAAGAAAAAAGAAAAAAAACTAAAGCAGTAGTAGTCCCATGCTTTGTATGGCAGTTGTTTTCATTTATTATCTATTTTCATTTTTAATGTTGAGATGAGGAAGACCCTGTTTGACATTATTTTATTATGAACATTGTTAACATTATTCTTTTTTAAATTGTTCTCTATTTCTGTTCTGATTTTTCTTTTATTCTCCTCCCCCATGCACTTTCTCCTCCTTTTTTGTTTTTAAAATCTAAAATTTAGCAAAAGATAATTATTCAAGTCAGAATTTCTATAACTTTTATAGAAATTATTTCAATATCTGATACCTATTGATTATGTCTCTCACCCAGTGTTTCTGCCCACATTACAATCGGGCACACACATTTATCAAAGTTAACAAGTCCAAAAAAAGCCACTGATAACCTTTGTAAAGTTTACTAGGAACTATAATATTCTAGAATATTACCTCTAGTGAGGATAGTGCAGTTATTCAGGAAAGATTCATATAAAAGTTTGCCAACCTGAAAGACTATTTTGTACTTCTTGAGCACTGCCACAAAAATATTATCAGAATTGTAATTGTGTCAATATTTGTCAGAAGGACACAGGAAAATTAATATTAATGATCTTACTGTATTCTAGGCCCAAGTCCTCACCATGACCCTAGGAGGCAGATGCTATTTTCCCATTTTACTGATAATAAAACTGCACCTTGGCAATAATTAGGAAACTGCTCCAATCACAGAGTATAAGAAGCAGAGATTTAATGAGACTACAGAGCCTATGTTCTTTTCACTTGACCATGGTGCTGCTCTCTGTCAGAAGAGGAAAAATTCAGCAACTTTGGATTATCTCATTCATATAGATAATTCAGTTTTGTAACAATCTGTGCTTTCTCTGGAAGAAATTATTTTTCTGCCAGTCATCTGTCCAGATCATTATATGTCAGGTCATTTCTAATTATCTGCTAGAGTAATTACAAAGCTTACTTTCATGGAAAAGATAACTGACTACCGTGAAAAGCATTTTCTTGTGAATCACATTCATCCAGCTGAAATAAAAGACACTCTTAGAATGATCCTTTAACATCTTTGAAAGTCTGATAAGTTATAAATTTCCGGGAGTGATTTTTTGTGGGGTTTATAGAGACACATTCATCCTGCTGGCAATAGTTCTTGTTAAAACCAGCAATAGTGTTATATTGGTCTGCAGCGTGCTCTGTGGTTGTTTCATTCCAGAGAGATGGGAAGGAAATTAGTCTATGGCCCAAGCCCAGGGCACTACCTGCTGAAATCCCTCAAGGTCTGAATTTATAGTGTATTTGATCATAAAAAAATTTAAGAGGAACTCTGGTATTTTGTTACATTCAAATGTGGATTCTTAGATTTAACTGTTATTCCTACAAAAATGATTTAAAGCACTGTCTGATAAGTTGTTTAAAAATAAGCAGTGAGTGACTTTTCATGGTTATAAAATCCATGAGTTTGTAATTATGCTTTTAAAAAGAAGGCAAAAACAAATCAAAACTCCTTGGTAACCACTGGGCCCAATTCTTGATGCTAAAATTTAAAGAGAACTATATTAAGAATCTGTTCTGCTTTTTCTATAAAACTGTATTTCAGGATAATCAGAATAGGTCTAGTTGATAAAGTTATTCTCTACAGAAGAATTCTACCCCATGGAAGGAGTGGTATGATTAGATAATCACCATTTTTAACTCATATTAAAATAACTGATTCAACAACAATCAGTGACTGAAACCTTTGGTTAAAAGATTGATAGTCTGGGCATGGTGGCTCATGCCTATAATCCCAACACTTTGGGAGGCCAGTAGATCACTTGAGCCCAGGAGTTCCAGACTGGCCTGGACAACATGGCGAAACCCCGTCTCCACAAAAATTAGCTGGGTGTGTAGGTACACACCTGTAGTCCCACCTACTCAGGAGGCTTAAGTTGGGAGGATCAATTGAGCCTGGGAGGTGGAGACTGCAATGAGCCATGATCACACCACTACACTCCAGCCTTGGCGACAAAGTGAAACCCTGTCTCAGAAAAAAAAGGGGGATGATTTATGGAGAAGTTTACAATGGTGGGATTAGATTGTCACTACCTAAATCCAGTGGTCGTTTTTATCATCCCTAAAAGCCATTTAAGCCTCCTGGCATGAAACCATAGAAATACATACTGAAGTATATAAAGAGGAAATGACATATATGGGATTTGCTAGAAATACTTCAGATAAAAGGGAAGAGGGGACAAAGATGACGTAAGAATGGTAAAATCTTAAAAACTGTTAAATCTGGGTGATGGGAATATAAGGGTTCATTATACTGGTCTCACTTTTGTGTATTTTTATTATACAAAGTTTTAAGATAGCACCAGTGTTTTGGGAATGACAAAATTGAAAAGAAGATTACTTAATGTCTTTTTTCTTTGTCTTTTTTACAGCAAACATGATGGTTATATCTGTGTTTCATCATATAAAGTTGTTATCCCCATACTTGTGAGAGTCACCCTATAAAGTTATAGAACTAATACCATGTCCTTTTGACAGATCTTTCCCTAGATCATTCTGACCTAGTTGCAGAGTTGTTGAAGGAGCTGTCTAACCATAATGAGCGTGTAGAAGAAAGAAAAATTGCCCTCTATGAACTTATGAAACTGACACAGGAAGAATCTTTTAGTGTTTGGGATGAACACTTCAAAACAATATTGCTTTTATTGCTTGAAACGCTTGGAGATAAAGAGGTAAATGGCAAAATATGTAAACAGTAGCCTTTCCTTCCTGTCTCTTTTACATTGCCTGTTAATCTAATGCTACACGGATTTAGCAATTGGGAGAATGAATCTCTTCTGCTGCTGCTTTCTGCATGAACTTTTCACTGTGAAGTACTTTTTCTTCTAAACCAAGTAGCTCAACAATTTTGAACAATTAACAGGAAAAATGAAAGGTCGCAGGCTGAATTCTTATAGAAAAGTACATGTTACTTGTTTTACATATTTAGATTAGTTGTTCAGGAGCAACTTTTATTTATTTATTTATTTATTTATTTATTTTGAGGAATAATCTCACTCATTCTCAAGCCCAGGCTGGAATGCAGTGGTGTGATCTCAGCTCACTGCAACCTCCATCTCCCAGGCTCCAGTGATTCTCCTGCCTCAGCCTCCTGAGTAGCTGGGATTATAAGCACGTGCCACCACCCCCGGCTAATTTTGTGTTTTTGGTAGAGATGGGGTTTCACCATGTTGGCCAGGCTGGTCTTGAACTCCTGAACTCAAGTGATCCACCCACCTCAGCCTTCCAAAGAGCTGGGATTACTGGCATGAGCCACCGTGCCCAGCTCCAAAACTTCTTTTTATAGTCTGAATGTAGTTCTTGATTTCTTGCAAATAAAATAAGTATAATATAAATTTTCAATTAGAGATAAGAAAACTTAATTACATAGTATACCGCATACTTTATGCAGTTATCTACAACTCCTCCCCCAATATTAAGACCCTTAAGTTACAAAAATTGAAAATGTTAAAGATTATCTACAACCCAAAATATTAAAAACATTTAAATGTTTCTTCTTAGCCTACAATCAGGGCTTTGGCATTAAAGGTTTTAAGAGAAATCCTAAGGCATCAACCAGCAAGATTTAAAAACTATGCAGAATTGACTGTCATGAAAACATTGGAAGCACATAAAGATCCTCATAAGGAGGTAAGTTACCTGGCCGGTAAAGTATTATTCCATTATTTTATTTCATGAAACATGTAACCATTGTGTAAAATGTAGCCTTATTAATGATTTTCTTGAACATTTGCCTTGACATTCAGGGTAATACCTGATCGAGATGCAAGCATATTTTTTTCTATTAAATGAATTAAACAGTGATATCATGACCTTTCACCTAAAACAGGCCAGCTCTAGGAAATAATTTATTTTATTTTGTTTTCTCCTTCACTTCACTTTTAGTTTTCTACTTAGAGTTTAGCAATCTTATTTTCACTTTTCATTTAGCAATAAGAATTTGATTTTTTAAAATAACTAATGAAGATAAGAAATCATTGTTTTGGGGGGGTTGTTTGTTTGTTGAATCAGGATCTCACTCTGTCGCCCAGGCTGGAGTGCAGTGGTGTGATCACAGCTCACTGCAGCCTCAGCCTCCCGGTTCCAGTGATCTTCCCACCTCAGCTTCCCGAGTAGCTGGGACTGCAGGCATGCACCAGCACAACTGGCTGATTTTTGGTATTTTTTGTAGAGATGAAGTTTCACCATGTTGCCCAAGCAGGTCATTGTTATTTTTAAGTGATAAATTGCCTAGAGGAGCTATATATCTGTTGCAAGTTTATTCACCAAAGTAGTGAGGATAGCTTTCATGGAAGAGTTCCGTGAACCTGTTTCATAGTACTTGGTAGCCATGATATCTCTCTCCCCTTCTTCACCAGTGACATCGATTAGGTAACTATGAGGATTGAAAGAATTAGAAAAAAAATGTTCAAATAGGGACTATTTTTTTTATTTCAATAGGTTTTTGAGGAACAGATGGTGTTTGGTTATATGAATAAGTTCTTTAGTGGTGATTTCTGAGATTTTGGTGCATCCGTCACCCTAGCGGTGTACACTGTACCTAATGTGTAGTCTTTTATCCCTCACCCCACACCCACTCTTTCCCCCAAGTCCCCAAAGTCCATTGTATCATTTTATACCTTTGCACCCTCATAGCCTAGCTCCCACTTATGAATGAGAACATATGATGTTTGGTTTTCCATTCCTGAGTTACTTCACTTAGAATAAAAGATCGCCAATTCCATCCAGGTTGCTGTGGATGCCATTATTTCATTCCTTTCTATGGCTGAGTAGTATTCCATGGTGTGTGTGTGCGTATATACACATACACATGGTGTGTGTGTGTGTGTGTATATACATATACACAATTTCTTTATCCATTCATTGATTGATGTGCATTTGGGCTATTTCCATATTTTTGCAATTGCCAATTGTGCTGCTATAAACACCTGTGTGCAAGTATCTTTTTCATATCATGACTTCTTTTTTTCTAGGTAGATACCCAATAGTGGGATTGCTGGATCAAATGGAGTTCTACTTTTAGTTCTGTAAGGACTGTATTTCTAAGAGAAAGCAACTGAGCAATAGCATTAGGTATCTATGGTAGAACCAAGACAGAAGCAAAAGACAAATCAAAAAAGGAAGGTTAAAATAGCAGTGAGATAAAATGAATGAGAGCCAAATGCAAGAGCTAAAGCTATAAACCTCTCCGAAGAAAGCAGAGGTATAAATCTTTGTTACCTTGGATTAGGCAGTGATTTCATAATATAACTAAAAGCAGAAGCAACCAACAACAGAAAACACAATTTGGACTTCATCAGCATTAAATCCTTTTGTGCTTTATTAGCTTAGTGGTCAGCTAGAGGTAACATTTAAAAAAAAAAATTGGCTGGGCATGGTGGCTTACGCCTGTAATCCCAGCACTTTGGGAGGCCAAGCAGGTGGATCACTTGAGGTCAGGAGTTCGAGACCAGCCTGACCAACATGGCAAAACCCCATCTCCACTAAAAATACAAAAATTAGCCAGGTGTCATGGTGGACACCTGTAATCCCACCAATTTGGGAGGCTGAGGCAAGAGAATTGCTTGAACCAGGGAGGCGGAGGCTGCAGTGAGCTAAGATCATGCCACTGAATTCCAGTCTGGGTGACAGAGCAAGACTCTGTCTCAAAAATAAAAATAAATAAAAAATCAAAGGAAATCTTTTCTGTCCTTCAAAGGACATTATCCTGAAAGTGAAAAGGCAACTCATAGAATGGGAGAAAAATTTTGCAGACATGTATCTCATAAGGTACTAATATCCATAATATATATTCTTACAACTCAGCAATGAAAAGATGGCCCAGTTTTTTAAATGGACAAAGGATCTGAATAAACATTTCTCCAAAGATATACAAATGGCAATAAGCACATGAAAAGATGTTCAACATCATTAGTCATTAGGAAAATGTAACCAAAGCCACAGTGAGAGACCACTTAACACCCAAAAGAAATATAGACAATATGTTGGTGAGGATGCAGGGAAATTGAAACCCTTGGGGTAATTACTTTTTTAAGAGATTTCACTGTGACTCTTTTAGAAGAGTGAATCATAACTTTTAAATATATCTGGATTTTTGCAGGGGTTTTGGGGTTTTTTTGTTTTGAGACCGAGTCTCGCTGTCACCCAGGCTGGAGTGCAGTGGCACGATCTCAGCTCACTGCAACCCTTGCCTCCTGAGTTCAACTGGTTCTCCTGCCTCAGCCTCCCAAATAGCTGGGATTACAGGTGTGCACCACCATGCCCAGCTAATTTTTGTGTGGAAACGGGGTTTCGCTGTGTTTGCAAGGCTGGTCTCGAACTCCTGGCCTCAAGTGATCTGCCTGGCTTGGCCTCCCAGAGTGCTGGGATTACAGACTTGAGCCACCTTGCCTGACCCAGTTTTGTTTTCTGTTTTTGTTTTTGTTTTATTCAACCGTGTTTGGTAGTGGTACATCTATGGCATTTCACTGAAAGTTTAAAAATGATACCTAATATTTGTAGTTTAGTTATCTACCTTTTGACCCAAATAAGGCCTGTAGCATCCCTACAAAATATAAAATTGACACCCTTAAGGTATTAAAGCTGAAATTAGCCCTGGGTCTTCTAACGTCCAGTGTATTTTCTTGTTTTTTGTTTGTTTGGTTGGTTGGTTGGTTGGTTTTTAGACGGAGTCTCACTCTGTCGCCCTGGCTGGAGTGCAGTGGCACGATCTTGGCTCACTGCAATCTCTGCCTCTCTGGGTTCAAGCGATTCTCCTGCCTCAGCCTCCCTAACAGCTGGGACTACAGGTGCATGCCACCACACCATGCTAATTTTTTTCTATTTTTAGTGGAGACAGGGTTTCACCATGTTAGCCAGGGTGGTCTCGATCTCCTGACCTCGTGATCTGCCTGCCTCAGCCTCCCAAAGTGCTGGGATTATAGGCTGAGCCACCACTCCTGGCCTTTTTTTTTTTTTTTTTTTTCCAGTGTATGTCCCACTGTACCTTTCTAAGCATTTTTCACCTATTGAGATCTTAAGTGAGAGACTGCCAAAGTAGCATCAAAAGCAGTTATTTTTACGTGTTCTTTTTTTTTTTTTTTTTTTTTTTTTTTTATTATACTCTAAGTTTTAGGGTACATGTGCACATTGTGCAGGTTAGTTACATATGTATACATGTGCCATGCTGGTGCGCTGCACCCACTAATGTGTCATCTAGCATTAGGTATATCTCCCAATGCTATCCCTCCCCCCTCCCCCGACCCCACCACAGTCCCCAGAGTGTGATATTCCCCTTCCTGTGTCCATGTGATCTCATTGTTCAATTCCCACCTATGAGTGAGAATATGCGGTGTTTGGTTTTTTGTTCTTGCGATAGTTTACTGAGAATGATGGTTTCCAATTTCATCCATGTCCCTACAAAGGATATGAACTCATCATTTTTTATGGCTGCATAGTATTCCATGGTGTATATGTGCCACATTTTCTTAATCCAGTCTATCATTGTTGGACATTTGGGTTGGTTCCAAGTCTTTGCTATTGTGAATAGTGCCGCAATAAACATACGTGTGCATGTGTCTTTATAGCAGCATGATTTATAGTCATTTGGGTATATACCCAGTAATGGGATGGCTGGGTCAAATGGTATTTCTAGTTCTAGATCCCTGAGGAATCGCCACACTGACTTCCACAATGGTTGAACTAGTTTACAGTCCCACCAACAGTGTAAAAGTGTTCCTATTTCTCCACATCCTCTCCAGCACCTGTTGTTTCCTGACTTTTTAATGATTGCCATTCTAACTGGTGTGAGATGATATCTCATAGTGGTTTTGATTTGCATTTCTCTGATGGCCAGTGATGATGAGCATTTCTTCATGTGTTTTTTGGCTGCATAAATGTCTTCTTTTGAGAAGTGTCTGTTCATGTCCTTCGCCCACTTTTTGATGGGGTTGTTTGTTTTATTTTTACGTGTTCTTAAGACTATCTTTAGAGATTACAGACTCTGGTAAGAAGATAGACAGCCATTTCTTGTCTTCATCACAAAACCAGTGTTTTACCCTCCCCAAGCTCAATACAGAAGGAAGAAAATATTAGGAAAACAAGGAGGAATAGTATGTTAACTTTTGACAACACATTAATCATATTATTTTTATATTTTATTTCTCATTAATGTGATACAGAGGGCTCAAGGACTCCTAGAGATGAGAGTACTAATAATGAGCAGGGCTTCAGCATGGCTTATGCAGGGGACTCCAGTCACATTGTAGTCTAAGTAAATAGAGCCTCCTCACACTAACACAACTAGACCACAATTTGATTTAAAAACTACTTTAAGGCCGCTCACGGCAGCTCACATTTGTAATCCCAGCACTTTGTGAGGCCGAGGCAGGAGGATTGCTGGAGCTCTGGAGTTTAACATCACCGTGGGCAACATAGCAAGACCTTATCTCTACTAAAAATAAAAATAAAAAAAATTAGCCGGGCATGATGGTGCATGCCTGTAGTTCCAACTACTCAGAAGGCTGAGGTGAGAGTATCACTTGAGCCTGGGAGTTTGAGGCTATAGTGACTGATGATCAAGCCACTGCACTCCTTCCTGGGTGACAGAGCAAGACCCTGTCTCAAAAAAAAAAAAAAAAAAAATACTTTAGCCAACAGCAAAAAAGAACACAAGAAGGGAGAATAGTGTAATAAAGCCCATGTATCCATCATCTAGCTTCAGCTGTTACTGACATTTTGCCAATCCTTTTTATCAGTAATCTGTACCCTCACTTTTCATGTTTGTTTACTGTAGCATTTTCAAAGCAAATTCCATATATTATATTGAATACTTCATGAAGTTTATACTTCCAGGATGTAGTGTAATATTTTAAAAATTACTTTCTGGCTTAATTTCCTATTTTTTTTAGGTGGTGAGATCTGCTGAGGAAGCGGCATCAGTGTTGGCCACTTCAATTAGTCCAGAGCAGTGCATCAAAGTGCTTTGTCCTATCATTCAAACTGCAGACTACCCAATTAATCTGGCTGCAATCAAAATGCAAACAAAAGTGATAGAGAGAGTGTCCAAGGAAACCCTAAACCTGCTTTTGCCAGAGATTATGCCAGGTCTAATACAGGTAAGCAACAAAGCTTGGAGAGGAATAAGCCATGATACATTTGGGATACAGTTATTTTAGGTACTTTCCAGGCATCATTACTGGCATGATCAAGCCTTCCTCCCGTTTGTCTGCAATATTCAGGACAAAGACTTTTCATAACTAGCCAGGGGGTTATAGATGTGGGTGTGGTAAAATTTACATAACATAAAATTAACGATTTTTAATTGTACAATTTAGGAGCATTAACTACATTCACAGTGTTATGCAACCATCACTACTATCCACATACAGAAATTTTTCATCATCCCAGACTGAAACTCTGTACCCATTAAGCAATAACCCCATTCCTTCCTCCCTTCATCCCCCCCAGCACCTGGTAACCTCTATTCTATTTTCTGCTAGATTCCTTATAAGTGGAATAATACAATATTTGTCCTTTTAAGTCTGGCTTATTTCACTTAGCATAATGTTTTCAGAGTTCATCCATGTTGTAGCTTGTATTAGAATTTCATTCCTTTTTATGAATGAATAATATGCCATTTATGTATTTGCCACAAATTGTTAATCTGTTCATCTGTTGATAAATATTTGGATTATTTCCTTTTTATTGACAAATATTGTAATAATTTCCTTGTAATATCTTCATGCACTTATATATATACATCTAGAAACAGAATTTCTGGGTGTTGCCAGATTTCACTCCAAAGTGGTTATACTAATTTATAGTCATAGATGTAATGTGTTTCTCTTTAGCTACATAAACCCCATCATAGAAACATTTTAACAAAAATGAGATGTGTTTTATAACATGCTTTAAAACTTAACCATACATTGTGAACTCTTTCCATCCAATAAATAATATTTTACAATATGATTTTAATGGCTGACTAATATTACATAGTATGTATATTAAGAACCCTCCTAAAGAGAACTAATCATTATGCATCTATAGTATTGTATTTTTTATTCTAGTCTAAGCTTAATATTACTAAATTGGGAGGTCCTAACATAAGATCTAGATATCTTTGTCTATGCCTTAGTACTAAGAACAGAGTATAATAGGCTGGGCACAGTGGCTCACACCTATAATACCAGCACTTTGGGAGGCCAAGGTGGGCAGATCACCTGAGGTCGGGAGTTCAAGACCAGGTTGACCAACATGGAGAGACTCTGTCTCTACTAAATATACAAAATTAGCCAGGTGTGTTGGCACATGCCGTAATCCCAGCTACTCGGGAGGCTGAGGCAGGAGAATTGCTTGAACCCGAGAGGTGGAGTTGGCGGTGAGCCAAGATAGTTAGGAAAGATGCTGGTATGGTTATTTTTTAATAGTAATAACATCAATACACATATCAGATAGATAAGATAGATTAGGACAAAGCAAATAATGATGTCATAAAATGAAGTAAATCTTAAAACCTTAACTTTGAATTGGGTATGTCAAAATGAAAATATTATTTAATTTCTTATCTCAAAAAATGTTTCCTACTAGCCTCTGAATCAGTATCAACTCAGTAACACTGAGCATCCCTACCACCCAGATTGTGGTCTTCAAATACCATTTTCCACTCAAAAGAGTCAGGTGTCTTTGGGAAAATGACTGAGTCCAGGTTTGGAGCAGGTAATGTATAAAATGAGCCTGAGAATTATTGACTGAAAGCAAGGAAACTATTCATGTTTGAGGGTCAAAAAGAATAATGCTACAATGAATTAAAATACATCAAATTTTAAAGTGAAATTCATGAGTTTATATTGATACTTTAAAAACTGGCCAACTTTGAAGATTATTGGTTATTCCCAAAATTGGTTAATAAAGAGAAAGAATCAAAGCTCATAGACTACCTATCCTATTTTCAGGATAACCAAATATTTGATGAGATAAAGTACTTTTAGAAGGATTCCAGCTAGTAAATTCAGAAGAAATTATTGACTTACAAAATTATTTTTGGCCAGGTGTGGTGGCTCATGCCTGTAATCCCAGCACTTTGGGAAGCCAAGGAGGGCAGGTCACTTGAGGTCAGGAGGTCGAGACCAGCCTGGCCAACATGGTGAAACCCCATATCTACTAAAAATACAAAAGTTAGCTGGCTGGTGGCAGACGCCTGTAATTCTAGCTACTCAGGAGGCTGGGGCGGGAGAATGGCGTGAACCCGGGAGGTAGAGGTTGCAGTGAGCCAAGATTGCAGCACTGCACTCCAGCCTGGGAGACAGAGTGAGACTCCATCTCCAAACAAAAAATATGTATATATATTTCTTAGGCAGTGTGTGGTAGCTCACACCTGTAATCCTAGCACTTTGGGAAGCCAAGGTAAGAGGATCACTTGAGCCTGGAAGTTCGAGACCAGCCTGGGCAACATAGTGATGCCTCGTCTCTACAAAAAAATTGTTTTTAATTAGCCAGGTTTTCTTACCTGGGTTGGTGGCTCACAGTGGCATGCCTATGGTCCCAGCTATTCAGCAGGCTGAGGTAGGAGAATCACCTGAGCCTGGGAATTTGAGGCTGCAGTGTGCTGTGATCATGCCACTGCATTCCAGCCTGGGTGACTAAGCAAGAGCCTGTCTCCAAAAAATATATATATATATTATATATATACACACACACACATATATATATATATATTTGGCCTCATTGAAACAATGGATATATGAAGTGATTTTCAGTAGCCACCAACATCGTTAGGTAAAAAGATGTTGCGGCAGGGTATATAATGGAGGAGTTAGACTAACAACATCTGAACCTACTGACCAATCTTAACATCACTGAAGGTGGGACAACTAGACAAAAGTTTTCTTGCCTGGCTTGGTGGCTCACGCCTGTAAACCCAACACTTTGGGAGGCTAAGGCAGGAGGATTGCTTAAGCCCAGGAGTTGGAGACCAGCCTAAGCAACATAATAAGAAACTGTTGCTACAAAAAAATTTTAAAAATTAGCCAGGCGTGATGGCATGTGCCTGTAGTCCCAGCTACTTGGGGGGCTGAAGTGGGAGGATCACTTGAGCTCAGGAGGTAGAGACTGCAGTGAGCCACAATCATACCACTGCACTTCAGCCTAAGTGACAGAGCAAGATCCTGTCTCCAAAAAATAAAAATTAAAAGTTTTCTTTTCTAAAGCAATTGAACCTAAATCTAATCCAGTCTTCAGTTTAACTGTCAGTTTAAAGGAAGTTCAGAGAATAGAGAAGCATGTTAAATTGTACCTTAAGGGTATATTCTGTCAAATTCAGAATGTAGGAAATTCTATGAGGAAAACTGCCAAATTTCTTTAGTAAAGAAATGGCATGAAGAAAGAGGAAGAGGAGGTTATCAACTGTTAAAGAGTCTCAAGAATCTAATCAACTTGGCTGGGTGTGGTGGCTCACGCCTGTAATCCCAGCACTCTGGGAAGCTGAGGCAGGCAAATCACCTGAGGTCAGGAGTTCAAGACCAGCCTGGCCATAGTGAAACCCCGTCTCTAGTAAAAATACAAAAAATCAGCCGGGTGTGGTGGTGCGCCTCTGTAATCGCAGCTACTCGGGAGGCTGAGGCAAGAGAATCACTTGAACCTAGGAGGCAGAGGTTGCAGTGAGCTGAGATTGAGCCATTGCACTCCAGCCTGGGCAACAAGAGCGAAACTCCTTCTCAAAAAAAAAAAAAAAGAATCTAATCAACTTGAAAAAGAACAAAATTGGAGTACTTACACTCTCAATTTTAAAACGTATTACAAAGCTATGATAGTAAAGACAACATGGTACTGTCATAAAGGTAGACTTAATAGATCAATGAAATAGAATCCAAAAATAACCCTCACATTTATAGGCAATTGATTATCACAGTTTTTTGTGGGGAAGAAGAGTATTTTTAATAAATGTGATGCTAGGACAACTGGGTTTCCACATGAAAAACAATGAAGTTGAACCCCTACCTCACACCATATACAGAAATTAACTCAAGGAGTGATGCACAGAAAATGGCAGACAGAGTAGGAAGCTCCAAGAATTGATCCATCTACTTAAGCAACCATTGAGCTGGCAAAAAATGAATAGAATCAACTTTTTTGGAACTCTAGGATCTAACCAAAAACTTATAGTAACCAAGAGAGTACTTAATGAAAGAAAAAGGCTTACTTTCAGTACTTTAGAATAATACTACAATGAATTAAAATACATCAAATTTTATTTCAAAGCAAATTCTTTTTTTTTTTTTTTTTTTTTTTTTTTTCGAGACAGAGTCTCACTCTGTCACCCAGGCTGGAGTGCAGTGGCACAATCTCGGCTCACTGAAACCTCTGCCTCCTGTGTTCAAGCAATTCTCCTGTCTCAGCCTCCTGAGTATCTGGCTGGGACGACAGGTGCCTGCCACCGTGCCCGGCTAATTTTTGTAGTTTTTAGTAGAGACAAGGTTTCACCATCTTGGCCAGGCTGGTCTTGAACTCCTGACCTCATGATCCACCTGCCTCGGCCTCCCAAAGTGCTGGGATTACAGGCATGAGCCACTGCACCTGGCCTATTTCAAAGCAAATTCTAAGTATCATGTCATATTAAATACTTCATGAAGTTTACACTTTCAGGACATAGGATAATGTTTTAAAAATTACTTTCTGGCTTAATACTTCCAGGACATAGTATAATATTTTAAAGATTACTTTCTGGCTTAATTTCCTGTTTGTTTTAGGTGGTGAGTTGCCTGGATAATTTTTTTAATTTTTTGTAGAGATAGTGTCTTATTATGTTGCTTAGGCTGGTCTCCAACTCCTGGGCTTAAGCAGTCCTCCTGCCTCCACCTCCCAAAGTGTTGGGATTACAGGCATGAGCCGCCAAGCCAAATAAGAAAACTTTTTTAGGTGGCATCTCATTGAATGACACATAATGTCTAGTTGTCCCGCCTTCAGTGATGTTAAGATTGATCAGTAGGTTCAGATGTTATTAGTCTAATCCCTCCATTATATACCTTGCCCCATCATCTTTTCACCTAATGATTTTAGCAGCCACTGAAAATCACTTCATATATTATTGTAGCATGATTCTATTCATTTTGGCCAGCTCAGTGGTTGCTTAAGTAGAGGGGTCAATTCTTGGAGCTTCCTACTCTGTCTGCCATTTTCTGTGCATCACTCCTTGAGTTAATTTTTGTATATGGTGTGAGGTAGGGTTTCAACTTCATTCTTTTTCATGTACTGAAAATACTTTTTTATTTTCAGTAAGAAACTTACCTAACTGCCTACCATCCCCCATGCTCAGTAGCCTTGATGATGGTGGCCCATATTTGTGGTGTAGCTTGCTGGTGCCAGGAGGGACATGGACCTTGTTCTCAAAAAATTGTGGTTATGTTTTGTTGTTGTTGTTGTTGTTGTTGTTGTTGTTGTTGTTGTTTTTATCTCTGGCATTCCCTGAGAGGCTGGCACAGAGACTAGCCTTTGTTTCACCTCCCATCAGGCTGAAGTGGCTTCCTAAGTGGAGTCTATTGAAAAGATTTAAAAACATACTACCCATAGCCACCTGAGGCAAGGGAGAGCAGACAAGACAAGCAGCAAACAAAAGCCTGGGAAGGAGGAAGCTGATGAAGAAGATAATTTGTGAAATAAGGGTTTTGCTGGGCCCACGTGTACTGAGGAATCCACCAAAAGTATGCTCAGAAAAGACTTTAGAGCAGGGGTCCCTAACCCCCAGGCCATGGACTGGTACTGATCCATGGCCTGTTAGGAACTGGGCCACACAGCAGGAGGTGAGCAGTGGGCAAGCGAGCATTACCACCTGAGCTTCGCCTCCTGTCAGATCAGCAGTGGCATTAGATTCTTACAGAAGTATGAAGCCTATTGTGAGTTGCACATATGAGGGATCTAGGTTCCATGCTTCTTATGAGAATCTAATGCCTGATGATCTGAGGTGGAACAGTTTCATCCTGAAACCATCCCCCCATCACCCTTCCCCATCCGTGGAAAAATTGCCTTCCACAAAACCAGTCCCTGGTGCCAAAAAGGCTGGGGACCACCGTCTTAGAGGGCCCTAGGCTTGGACCTCTGGATGTTCTTTGGGCTCCATGCAAGTAGGAGTTGGGCTAAGACAGAATTGTAGGCAGCCTAGCTAATTGAATGATTACGCAGCTCAGAGTCAATCTGCAAAGACTGGGAGAGTTTGTCTTGTTTTGTTTTGACCCCAGGCATTTAAGGAAATCTCTGTCAGGTCACTGGCTAACTGCTGAGGTAACAAAGAGACTTCAGTGACCACATACCGTAAACAAAATTTACTCAAACAAATCAGTGATCTAAATATAGCTACTAAAACTACAAAACTCATAGAAGAAAACATAGCGATAAATCTTTATGACCTTAGATTTAAGTTCATCCTCTATGGCAGTGGATTATTAGATATGACACCTAAAGCATCAATGATAAATAAAAAATAGGTTAATTGAACTTCATCAAAATTAATAACTTTTGTTCATCTCAGGACCTAATCAAAAAACTGAAAAGACAACCTATAGTATGGGAGAACATTCTTGCAAATTATATATCTGATAATGGTCTACTATCCAGAGTATATATAAAGAACTCTTATAACTCAACAGCAAAAGGATAAATAACTTTTAAATGGACAAAGGACTTGAATAGCTATTTCTTCAAAGAAGATGTACAAATGGCCAGCAAGTACGTGAAAAGATGCTTGGTGTCATTAGTAATTACGGAAATCAAAACCACAATGAGATACCACTTCATACCCACTGGGATGGTTGTGATCAAAAGAACAAAAATAACAGGTTTTGATGAGGATGTACAAAAATTGGAACCCTTATACATTGCTTGCATAAATACAAATTGGTGGTACAGCTGCTGTGGAATGCAGTTTGGCAGTTCCTCAAAAAGTTAACATAAAGGCCGGGCACGGTGGCTCACACCTGTAATCCCAGCACTTTGGGAGTCCGAGGCGGGTGAATCACTTGAGGTCAGGAATTGAAGAGCAGCCTGGCCAACGTGATGCAACCCCATCTCTACCAAAAATACAAAAATTAGCCAGGCATGGTGGCGGGCGCCTGTAATCGCAGCTATGTGGGAGACCGAGGCAGGAGAATTGCTTGAACCCTGGAGGTGGAGGTTGCAGTGAGCTGAGATCACATACTGCAGTCCAGCCTAGGCAACGGAGCAAGACGTCATCTCAAGGAAAAAAAAAAAAAGGAAAAAGATAAAGTTAACACAAAATTGTCATATAACCCACCTATTCTATTCCCAGGTATATACCCAAAAGAAGTCAAAGCAAATATTTAAATAGTTATACATGAATGTTCATAGCAGCACTATTCACAGTAGCCAAAAGGTGAAAACAACCCAAATATCCATTAATAAATGGATAAACAACATGATATATCATACAATGGAATATTATCCAATCATAAATATTACATTCCTATTCCACTCCTTGCCCATAATACCTCATTCTGCCATGCGATTCCCTAACTGTTCTGGGAAGGGACAGTGCGTGTCTTTTTGGACACTGAACATTATTTACCTGGCCTGTTCTTGTCACATACCAGGCACTTAAATATTTAAACATTGAATGCCATACTCTTTGCAGTGTTATTTGTAATAGGAAAAATTTAGCAGGAAGGAGGTTATTGGGGAGGAAGATGTAAACTTACAATACTCTAGAATGGTTAAATTAGGAAGCATACTAAATGAATGCCTCATATCATTATTATAAAGACCATATAGAAAAATTAATTTACATTATAATTGCAATTATATTAAAATGATGGAAAATAAAATTAACAGTTTGATTGCATGACTTAGGAATAATGTACTTCTTTTAGCTAGATATCTATTGATATTTTAATGTTTCTGCAGTTGTTTTAGAAAGATAAAATGATTAGGATTTTAGTGGAGATGAGCTCTATTTTTTCCCTGGAGTAAAATGTGCATATTCATTCAGATAATTCATTCAAAAATATTTCATGGATAAGATTGCTGTAGAGTATTGAAATAGAGTAAGTAGTGTGATCAAAAGCGTAAGTGGGAGAGATGGACAGAGAAAGGGAAGATGTTGGTCAAAAGGTACAAAGTTTCAGTTAAAGAGTATTAGGTTCTAGCTACGTATTACACAGCACAGTAACTAGTTAATAATGTATATTTCAAAGTAGCAATTATAAAAGAAAATGCATTTTAAATGTTACCACAAAGAAATGATAAGTATCTGAGGTGATGGATATGTTGATTAGCCTGATTTGGTCATTCCACAGTGTACATGTATTGAAACATCACATTATACCCCATAAATATATACAATTATTATTTGTCAATTAGAAACAAGTTAATTTTTTAAATAAAATTAGGTTATTAAAGGCACAGTAAAAGCATAGGGGAATAGTTTACATAGACTAGATTTATTAGAGAAAGTAATTGCAGGGATGGAACAGATGTAAAACTTAATCGGGCCTGGATTATGTGACTACCTTGAGCTACCAAACCAATGAATTTAGGTTTTATCGGATAGTGAGGAGTGCTGACTGCCTTAAAACCTAATGCTTTAGGAAAGTTAGTCTGGAGACTTTTTTCAGGGTGAATTGGCAAGTGAGCAGCCTCAGAGTCAGAGAAGTGCAGCTTTCCAGACTAAGTAAGAACCTGATATAGAGGGCTAACAGTGAGGGCGCAGTAGGGGAAGTGAAGGGAGAGAAGGGCATTGTCTATGCTTGAAAAGGTTAAAAAGTTAACTTTGATCTGCACTTTTCTCTCCTTAGTATGCTCGAGATTTCATCTTTCAGCTGCATCTTCTGACCCTGTTAAAAAGGGAGTACTAACAGTGGACTTCTCTGGAGTACTAACAGTGGACTTCTCTCCGTAGGGTTATGATAATTCAGAGAGCAGTGTTCGGAAAGCTTGTGTCTTCTGCCTGGTGGCTGTTCATGCGGTAATTGGTGATGAACTAAAACCACATCTCAGTCAACTTACTGGCAGTAAAGTAAGTAGTGCTGCTGTGTTTTAGAGATGGTGGCCATAGTACATCTTTCAAAACTTAGTTACATGTCTGTAACAGTAAGCTTTTTATTTGGCATTTAATAAGTCAGGCTTTGAGCATCCAACTTGCCCTTATTATTTCTGTTTTGTATTTTATCTTTTTCTACTCTAACATTTGTTAGATGTTCACTCAGGTGAAGTCAGCAGTTTGTTGGGGTGATGGGTAGGTTTCTGTGAGAGAAAATGCCTGCAGCTTCTGGTTATTTATAATAGTTAGCTGACTCCTTACCAAATCCCAGACCCAAATCTTTACCCCTGACCACTGTTTTATTAAGAATAAATAGACTGTTGTGGTTATATATATTAATGGATTACTGTATATCTCTCCAAATATAGAATACTTGCACATTTAAAAATTTTTCCCCTTAAGAACTATGATAATCAAATATTTGTT
This sequence comes from Homo sapiens, assembly GCF_000001405.40. NCBI lineage: Eukaryota > Metazoa > Chordata > Mammalia > Primates > Hominidae > Homo > Homo sapiens. The sequence goes on along the minus strand of NC_000003.12, from coordinate 33,501,201 downwards.
CTTCTCTTTCTATTATCCAAATTAATGTGCAACTTTAACTTGGTGTGTTAAAATAAAAGTTTTCTAATTCATTGTTCAGACTTAAAAAAATAAGTAAGTCTTGCCTTTCTCATTTGATTGCTACTACCAGTACTTTAAAATTCATTCTGCTAAGGTGGCCAGGCAAAGTGGTTCATACCCGTAATCCCATCACTTTGGGAGGCCGAGGTGGGAGGATCACTTGAGACCAGGAATTTGAGACCAGCCTGGGCAACATACTGAGAAGACCGTGTCTCTAATAATAAAAATGATAATAATTGTTTTGAATTAGAAGTTTGTTCTCAAGGGTGAAGATAACTTCTGATTGTTGAATCATGGCTTATGAACCATTTAGCAGAAAGCACTCACCGTCACTTAAAGAATTTCTGAAACCCTAAGGATTGTCTTACTGTGGTCAAATTTATCTTTTAATAGCAAAAAAGCAGAATATACATATAATGGAAAATGAGCCTAGGTAACACACTTTACATTAAGTTATAGATAGATTTAACAATAATTCTTAACTCGGGTTATAAACCACCTCGAGACTTAGGTAAAATCTCATCTTAAGAAAAATGCATTCAGATAAAACCATGAGAGACAAAGTTTTAAAAAAAATAGAAAAATGCACAATGGAAACAATTACATGTCGTTTCAGAGGGTTCTGTGATCCCGTGAATCCCATGGCTAGCAGGTTAAAAACTCTTGGATCAAAGAGTTAATGTTTAAAAAGCAAACCTTCCAAAACAATTAAAATTCAGCACTTTATCAGAACAGTAGGTAGCCAGTAATAATGTTACATGTGAAGACAGTAGGTAGGTGGAAAAAATATTTTGGAATAACGTTAGATGAAACAAGTAGGCCAGATGTGGTAGCTCCCACAGCACTTGGGAGGCCAAGGTGGGAGGATCACTTGACCTCAGGAGTTCAAGACCAGCCTGGTCAACATAGGAACACCCTGTCTCTACAAAAAAAGAAAAAAAATTAGCCAAGCATGGTTGCATGTGCCTGTGGTCCCAGCTACTTGGGAGGCTGAGGTGAAAGGATTGCCTGAGCCCAGGAGATTCAGGCTGCAGTGAGCCGTGATCACACCACTGCATTCCAGCCCAGGCAACAGAGCAAGACCCTGTATCAAAAAAAAAAAGTAGAACACAGAATTGTATATTTATTGATTACAAACTTCATAAAGTCATGATCTCATACAAAGACTGCAGAATGACACAGAGATATTTAAAACATTCTTGGTAGGATGACAGTGGCTTCATGGTCTAAGATCTTAGGTCCTGTAACCCAAATACCTGAATTCCTATTTTTGCCCACTTCTTACCCACCCCTGTGACCTCAGGCAGTAACTTAACCATTCTATATTGTTATTTCCTCATCTATAAAATATAAAGATAAAGATATAATGTAAAACAGCATATCGTGTAACACCTAGTACTCAATTGTTTGTTATTATTGCTTTAATGGTGACTTCTGAGTTTACTTTAATGTTATATTAGTCTGTTTTCATGCTGCTATAAAGAACTGCCCTAGGCCAGGTACGATGGCTCACAACTGTAATCCCAGCACTTTGGGATGCCGAGGTGGGTGGATCACAAGGTCAGGAGATCAAGACCATCCTGGCTAACACGGTGAAATCCCATCTCTACTAAAAATATAAAAAATTAGCCAGGCATGGTGACAGGCGCCTGTAGTCCCAGCTACTTGGGAGGCTGAGACAGGAGAATGGTGTGAACCTGGGAGGTGGAGCTTGCAGTGAGCTGAGATTGCGCCACTACACTCCAGCCTGGGTGACAGAGTGAGACTCCATCTCAAAAAAAAAAAAAAAGAACTGCCCTAGACTGAGTAATTCATAAAGAGATTTAATTGACTCACAGTTCCGCATGGCTGGAGAGGCTTCAGGAAACTTACAATCATGGCAGAAGGGTGAGCAAACATGTCCTTCTTCACATGATGGCAGGAAGGAGAAGAATGGGAGAGCTGCAGAGCGAAGCGGGCAAAAACCCCTCACAAAACCATCAGATTTTGTGAGAACTCACTATCACTAGAGCAGCACAGGGGAACTGCCCCCATGATTCAGTCACCTCCCACAAGGACCCTCCCCCAACACATGGGGATTACAATTCAAGATAAGATTTGAGTGGGAACACAGAGCTAGACCATATCAAAAGTTTTATATGTGATCCCTACAATATATTTTGAAAAGACATGATAAAATACTCTGTCATGAACAACTTTCAAGACTTAGAAACTTTTTTGACTTTTTATATTTTTTTCAGATGTGCTAGGCAAAAAAAAAATAATTTGTTATTCCTAATTATCAACAATAACTTGGGCATTATAATAACCCCCAGCCTAAAATCTATCTTTCAGAGCTCACATATATGTATATAATATTTTAATGAGTATCTTATAATTTGGAGCAGCTTGCTCAAATGACATTTATTTGGCTTGAATCTGCAGATGAAGCTACTGAATCTTTACATCAAACGTGCACAAACAGGTTCTGGAGGAGCTGATCCCACTACTGATGTTTCTGGACAAAGTTAGTGAAGCTCATCACAGCGAACCAGGTCTCTCAAAAGAAAGGACAGATAGACCACCCTCATCAATGAAAGGAAGTTCTCAAACACATCCTTTGGAACTTACTATTGTTTCCCAGTTTTAGTTTTTTGTTTCGTTTCGTTTTGTATTTTCTGTAACAGAGGACTATCCTCAGTCTGCATGTAACTTTTATGATAGTTATTCCAAATTCAAGAAGAAGCAGTATTAACATCAATTGATCGACACAAAGTAATTTTTAATTTAATTCATCATTTCACATGTTTGTACTTTGTCTTCCCATTAACCTTTGCCAGTGTTATGATTGTATAAATTTTTTTAAATGCTGGTTAAACAGGAATGCTTAAAGCTTTAAAAGTTTAACAGTCTAAAACATTTTTGCTTTTATTCAACTGCAGAATAATATTTTTATTGCTACTTTGAGTTTTGTTTCGTATCATGTCCTATGCTAGAAATATTTAAATGATGTGAAACAAAGCAGGACTAATTTGAACTACAGCTGGACTCCGTTTGTGTGATGGTGATACATGTCATTAGTTGCAACTTCTTTGGGGTGATCTATAGTTTGAAAACTAAAACCTCAAAGACAGATGTTACAGAATCAGCCAGTTCTGTAAAACTGATATTGTCTATTGGTTATTGATCTTGCCATCTTTATTTAAAACCATGTCCCTTCTATGATCCCTTAAGAAAGCTGCACCAAATCATCTGCCTGTTTTTTCTTGATACTTACTGAAATAGAAGGTTTTATTGCAGGGTTTATTTTGGTTTGTTTATATCTTTGTTGTGAATGATGCTTTTTTGTATTTATTAATATCAAATTCACTTATGAATAAACTTGATAATGGAAACGGACAAAAAAAATCAAGTGCGTGTGTGTCCTTGACCGTCTTCTGTTTCTCACGTAATAAACAAATTATCGAGACATGGGAGTGACCAGCACCTTTTCTTTAAATGGTGGAACCTGGTTTCCTTTTACCATGAAATTGTCTTACTTGAAAATATTGATCCTGATGAGAGAGAAGATGGTGCCAAGGCTGTCTTTGTATAATGGGCTCAAATTCTCTACCTCTTCAGGGCTAATACTTTTAACTGAGCTGCTGCCTATAGTGTCTTTTGGAAAACTACTTAAAGGGTGATTTTCTGTTACTTTTTAGCAAATTTTTTTAATCACCTCTTGCTACACCCATTCTTTTCATGTGCAGCCGACTCAAAAATTACCAGTTTTGGTGAAAGGCTAAATTAGATAATTTGGAACCAGGATACTAATGATTTCTCATCTTTACTTTTTTTTAATCCTAATATAAAGTGAATTTGATTGAAAAGGCAAATAGCTATTAGGGAAGCAGTTTGCCATTGTTGCAGAGTTATCTGTACTTTGTTTAACTGAAAAAAATGTAGAAATATATGTAAAGAATTTAAGACAAGAGTACTGAATGGATGATTTGTCATAGGCTTTCCCCTTTCTTTCTGTTCTAGCAGCAGGAAAAGTTTCTCTATATCCTCTCCCTCTACCTGTAACAATTTTGTTTTCTACTGTTAATTACATTGTGTATTTATAGTTCTATGCTTACTGTTGTGCATATACTGGCAATAAAACTGTACATAACATTACTTGAAAAAGTTAATAATGTATATCAGTTTTTCTGTCTCACTGTGTAACAAGTCACTCAGTTTTATTTTAACTTTAGACGGTCTTGTATCAGTGGTGGTCTCTTGAATTTTGTAAGTTCATCTGAGGAGAAAAGATTTTTCAGGTGTAGCTACCACAATCAAAGGTATATAGCTACATACGCATGTATATATTACAGCTTATCTGTAAGAAGAAAATGCATTTTAAACACAACTCTTCTCAGTAGCATTTTATGACCTTTGGATATGTTTGTAATCATTTCGAATCAAAATATTGATTTAATTTTGACCTCTGGTTTAAGATACTGCTTTAACTACTGTTGACAACCAAGTAGAGTGACTTAAGCTGAACAGTAACTAACTGGAAAATTAGATAAGCACCTGGCATCTAATGGCAGGCAGGCACTCAAGAAATGAATTAACTACATAATGGAAAAGTATGGTTTAATGTGTCCAAATGAAAGCTAGTAGATGTAAACATGGAAAAATTGTGTTTACAATTTTATAATCTCAGTTGATAAGACTATAAGAAAGCTGATTATTTAAATCACTATATACAATACACCCTTAATTTGTTCATTCCAGAAACATACTGAGATGTCAGCTACTTAAAAATGGTCACAAAAAGCTACTGTTTATATTTTTCCTCCTGCTATTCTCTCCCAAATTAATTATTAATAAGTGTTGTTCATTTACTGCACTGCTGAGAACTAATTAAAATTATATATTCCAGATTGTAAAACATGTTTATTTCTTCTGGGTTTCAAAATCTATAATATACTTCTGACATTTTCAAGTAACACGTGGTTTGAACCTGAGGCTTCAATTTTGTAGTTAATCTGCTGTGTTCCTTCATATTTTGTTCTTACAGACTTTAAGTCAAAATTACTTTTATTATTAAGTTATGTCTTACAGTAAAAGACTGGAATCTTACTGATAACATCATTGATAAGGCCAGGTCTATTTGTTAATTCAAATGTAGCTTATAATTGCTCAATTAGAATAGCATTTACAGTAAATAGAAATGATAATTAGCATATTACTCCATAATACATGAGGCTTTTTAAACTTAATTTTTTATATCTTTGCTTCTGGTATTAGTTTAATTCATTTTGTTGCAATTAGTACAGTTTTGCAGCCATATAAAAGGTTTGGAATTCCGTTGTTGAAAAAAAAAAAAGAGAAAGGCCGGGCACAGTGGCTCACACCTGTAATCCCAGCACTTTGTGAGGCCGAGGCGGGCAGATCACGAGGTCAGGAGATGGAGACCATCCTGGCTAACATGGTGAAACGCTGTCTCTACTAAAAATACAAAAAATTAACCAGGCGAGGTGACGGGCGCCTGTAATCCCAGCTACTCGGGAGGCTGAGGCAGGAGAACAGCGTGAACCTGGGAGGTGGAGCTTGCAGTGAGCCGAGATCACACCACTGCACTCCAGCCTGGGGGACAGAGCAAGACTCCATCTCAAAAAAAAAAAAAAAAAGAAAACCTATCAGTTAAAAAAATTATCCATCTTTATTGTAGGATATTTGGAAAATAATGAAAAACTGAAGAAGAAAAAAATTATTTTTAATATCACCACTAAAGATAATCTGTATTGCTTGCTGTTTTTTAGAATACTAAGATAATGAGTTTGATGTAATACTGAAAACTGAAAGGAAACATTAAATTTTGTTCACTGGAAGAGTGACAGGATTAGAATTAACTAACATTTTGAATACTTTTGTTCTGTGCATGTTATTTAACAATACTTTTGGGGGTTTTGTGGGGTGGGGTTTGTTTTTTGAGATGGAGTCTCACTGTCTCCCAGGCAGGGTGGAGTGCAATGATGCGATCTCAGCTCACTGCAACCTCAGCCTCCCAGGTTCAAGCAATTCTGCTTCAGCCTCCTGAGTAGCTGGGATTACAGGCGCATGCCACCACGCCTGGCTAATTTTTGTTTTAGTAGAGACAGGATCTCACCATGTTGGCCAGGCTGGTCTTGAACTTCTGTCCTCAAATGATTCACCCACCTTGGCCTCCCAAAGTGCTGAGATTACAGGCGTGAGCCACCATGCCTGGCCCTTAACAATACTTTTGAATATATTCTTTGTTCTAAAAGGTAGCTTCTAATGGAGCAAAGTGTTCCATTCTATGTGTGCAGCATTAATACTTGGGTTGTTAATATTCACTGAATATTCTTATAACAAATAGCTACATCTTTGGCAAATCTACAATTATTTCATAGTAGGCAATTTTATACATGACTTTAATATGGAATTGCTAAGTGTAGAAAGTCATTGTTTATTTGAAGATGACAGTAGTTGCTTAAATAGCAATGTTTATTATTATAATGGTAATCTACAGTAGAACAGGGAAACAAGATTTTTTTACTTTATACAGACCCGATTTTCAGTATTCAAATTTACCTGCATTCATTCATGCAACAGATATCTGAGTACCTCCCTTCAAGGACACAGTAAAGCACATAACTATAATACAGTGTGGTTAGTGCTATGATGTAAACAAAGGGTACAATGATGGGAGCTAGGAGCTGGGGCTGGAGGAGTTGCAAATAAGGTATAATCATTAGACGCTTCCTAGAAAAAGAGGTGATGCTTAAACCTAGTCTAAAGGCAGAATGTATCTGAGATACATTGGGGGTTATAGAGTGAGCAGAGAAAAGAAGCAAAAGTAGCAAGGCAGCGATGTATAAAATGGCAAGAGGCATTAGGGCATGTCACTGGAACTTTATAAACCACTGTTTATTTTCATAAATTTAAAAAATCTCCCTCCCTTCTCCTTTAAAAATATCTGCAACAAAAACAGCCACGAGTGGTGGCACATACTTGTGGTCCCAGATACTCAGAAGGCTGAGGCAAGAGGATCACTTGAGCCCAGGAGTTTGAAGCCAGCCTGGGCAACATAGTGAGACCCCATCTCTAAAATACAAAAGAAAAAAAAAATCTGTGCATCCTTGCAAGCAAGCAAACTTGGATATAGCTTTTCTTTTATTGGTTAGTATTTCAAAAGTTTTTCTCATCTTGTAAAGTTATACTATTGAATTTCCTTTTCCAAACTGAACATAGTATCTCCCCAACTGGCCACTGTTAAACACAACTTGGTTTGACTAGAACATGAGATAGTGGGGAATGGCCCAAGATGGAGTCATAGATATTCTAAGATATATATTCTATGGTATAGTCTGTGAGCTAAGGATTCCACTGAAGACTTCAGCAGAATAATGCAATTAGAATTAACATCTCAAACACTTCAATTTTACATAATCTGAAAACTTCAGAAGTGAGATGGTTTAGACTCCAGTTTTTTACATATTGGCCTCTACTACTAACCTGGTTCTGATGTCCTTCATTCACTTATTAAATATTTGAGCACCTGCTGTGCATCTGACACCCCTAAAGTCTGCATGCTATAAATATGTAGTTGTGGACCTGGTAATGGGAAAAACGTGTTAATGTGTCCTCGGAAATTAGAGTGATATGGGAGGGGCTGGCTTGTTACTCGGGGTAGGAAAGCGCCCAGGGATGCTGCTTTTTGCAAACCATGCTGACCAGCATGCTTTGTGCAGCTCTGGTCTCCCTGTATTCATTCAATGTTAATGGCAGACTCATGGGGCAGTATTTTTCCCCTTAAGAAACTGTAAATCTATTATTTATTGGAAGTGAATGCAAAAAGAGATTGCCTGACAGTTTTGCTAGTTTTAGTCTAAAGCCACATTTACAATAATTTTCATCAAAGTTTAGGTCAGAGTGGAGATGTAGAATCAAAGTTAGATTACATCAATAAAGCAAAAAATGTGCTTTTTCTTCTCTATCTTCCTAAAGCAGTGGTTCTCAACTGCAATAACTTTTGCCTGCTAGAGGACATTTGGCAGTATCTGGAGACATTTTTGATTATCTCAATTTGGATGTGGAGGCACTATTAGCATCTAGTGGGTACAGGCCAAGGAAGGTGCTAAACCTCCTACAATACACAGGACAGCCCTCCACAGCAAAAAATTATCTGGCCTCAAATGTCAATAATGCACAAGTTGAGAAACCTTGCCCTAAAGCAAAGGAATTCCCATAGATAGGTCCTAATATTGCCCTGGTTAAAAGCACTGAATCAGTTTTGATTTCTTACTTTGTCTAGAGATATGTTCTCACTTTGTCACACAGGCTGGAGTGCAGTGGCACAATCAGTTCATTGTAACCTGAACTCCTGGGTTCCGGCAGTCCTCCCACCTCAGCAACCTGAGTAGCTAGGACTATGGGCACGCACCACCATGTCCAGCTCATTTTTTTTTAATGTTTATTTTTTGTAGAGACGGCGTATCACTATGTTTCCCAGACTGGCCTTCAACTTCTGGCCTCCAACTTCTGGCCTCAAGCGATGATCTGTTCTCTGCCTCCCAAAGTGCTGGGATTACAGGTATGAGCTACCACACCCAGCCTGAATCAGTTCTTTTACACTAATAAATAGAAAGGTGAACAATTTGGAGATCACTTCTAGCTGATTGATTTTAGGATAAATTTTCTCATTTTTAATGATGAACTCACATGTCAAATATTCAACACAAATCATTGATCCTCAACTCAGGCCAAACTGTCACTGCTCATTTTCTACTATAGCTTATTCAATTTTGAAGTTTCTGTTTAATGCTATGCTAGTCCCTCAAATTTTGGTCTCATAAAAGTGATTTTTATTTCAAAAAACTGATGTTCGGCCCCAGAGGTGAGAGAATTTCCTTACAGTGAGGTTTACTCCAAGCAGGTTAGCAGCAGTGAACGACTTTGGGGTTGGCTGGGCAGTATTAAACATTAGATAGTCATTCATATATTGTATGTTTATGCTTATACGAAGTACCTAGAGTAGTCAAAGTCATAAAAACAGAAAAAAAAAATGGTGGCCTATGGCCATACCATCCTGAACACGCCCAATCCCGTCAGATCTCAGAAGCTAAGCAGGTTTGGGCCTATTTAGTACTTGGATGTGAGAAAATAGGATGGTGGTTGCCAGGGGCTGGGGGCAGGGAGAAATGAGGAGGTATTTAATAGGCACAGGGTTTCTGTTTGGGATGATAAGAGTTCTGGAGACGGATAGCAATGATGGTTGCACAACATTGTGCATGCACTTAGTACCGCTGAGCCAAACACTTAACAATGATTAAGATGATAAATTAAAATGATTAAGATGACAAGATGATAAATTTTGTTACATGTATTTCTCCACAGTTAAAAACAATAAAATAACTTGATAGTCATTAAAATGAGTTCAAGGCCAGGTGCAGTGGCTCACACCTGTAATCACACCACTTTGGGAGGCCAAGGTGGAAGGATTGCTTGAGGTCAGGAGTTTGAGTCTAGCCTGGCCAACATGGTGAAACCCTGTCTCTACTAAAAATGCAAAAATTAGCCAGGCTTCGTGGCACAGGCCTGTAATCCCAGCTACTCTGGAGGCTAGGGTACAAGAATCACTTGAGCCCCTGGAAGCGGAGGTTGCAGTGAGCTGAGATTGTGCTACTGCACTACAGCCTGGACGACAGAGTAAGGCTCGGTCTCAAAAAAAAAAAAAATAACCATGCCTGTAGTCCCAGCTGCTTGGGAGGCTGAGGCAGTAGGATCACTTGAGCCCAGGAGTTTGAGGCTGCAGTTAGCAAAGATTGAGCCACTGCACTTCTGGTGACAGCAAGACCCTGTCTAAAAAAACAAAAGTTAAAAAAAATCTTAAATGAGTTCAAAATATAAAAGTGATTAGAACCCTGTTTACTACCTAACCTAATGATTATATGTAAGGATGTTGAGACAGAATATATAGAATATCTACATAGATGATTTTATATGCATATGAACACAGTAGGCAAATTGAAGCAACTTTTTTAAAAAGCAGCTGTGTTGAGAGTGTTTGCCCACAGGAATTGTGAGATTTCTGTCTTTGCTTCCTCTCTCACTTTCTCTCTGCTTACCTTGTTCCTAATGTCAATTTCACTGATTCTGACTTCATCACTGATCTCTTTGTTTTTCTAAATTTGGCACATATGATCAGACCCATTTTATCTAAACCCTACCTCCTTTAAGTTTCATACCATAGGCAGATCTACCACCTCCCTCTCATTATCACCCTTGCATTCTGCTGTTGCTTCAAGGACTTGGCATCTGGCCCACAAATTTCCCTATCTCCCCAAGGGAGGTAGAGCAGAGTGGTTAAGAGAATGGGTTATGCATTGGAACTACTCTAGTGGAAATCACTGTTTCCACCAGTTGGACAAGTTACTTAACCTCTGAAAACATTGAGTTTTTCATCTACAGAACTGCAAAAACAATAGCACTTATCATATAAGATTGGTTGTGATAACTGAAATAATGTCTGTCTCTTGAGCATAGCCTGATATCTGCAAGTGATGGCCTTGAGGACTATAGTCTTAATGGATGGTGGTAGCCATCCAGCTGACGTCCCTGACTGCTGCTGCCTTCCTTCAAGCTCAGTTATTTCCCCAGCCTGGCCCTGAACTGTTCCACCTTAACGATCGTAAACCCAGCAGTTCATTTGCCAATTGCACGCTTTAATTTTTTAATTGTGATAAAAAATACATAGCATTAAATTTGTCATCTTAACCATTTTTAAGTGTAAAGTTCGAGTGTTAAGTATATTTACATTGTTTTGCAACAGATCTCTAGAACTTTTTTATCTTAGAATACTGAATCTCTATACTTTCATAAAATACTGATTCGGCCGGGCACAGTAGCTCATGCCTGTAATCCCAGCATTTTGGGAGGCCGAAGCAGGCCGGTCACAAGGTCAGGAGTTCGAGACCAGTCTGACCAACATGGTGCAACCCCGTCTCTACTAAAAATACAAAATTTAGCTGGGCATGGTGGCACGCACCTGTAATCCCAGCTACTCAGGAGGCTGAGGCAGGAGAATCGCTTGAATCTGGGAGGCAGAGTTTACAGGGAGCCAAGATCATGCCACTGCACTACAGCCTGGACGACAGAGCAAGACTCCATCTCAAAAAAAAAAAAAAAAAGCACTGATTCCTCTTTCCCACTTCCCTCAGTCCTTGGCAACCACTTTTCAACTTTGTTTTCATGATTTTTGACTACTTTAGATACTACATATAAGTGGAATCATATAGTATTTATCCTTTTGGGACTGGCTTATTTCACTTAACCATAATTTCTTCAAAGATTCATTCATATTGTAGCACATGACAGGAATTCCTTCTTTTTTAAGGCTGCATAACAGTTCCACTATATGTATTTATCACATTTTCTTTATCCATTCATCCACTGATGAATATTTGGATTGCTTCCACCTCTTGGCTATTGTGAGTAATGCCACACAGGCATTTGTTGTTGTTGTTGTTTTAACCATTTATGTGTTTCCAGCACTGTGAACAATACTTGGAACATAATAAGTACTTAATAATCATTTAATAAACGAATACAGGAATGAATTAGTGCAGTGAGCCTTTAGAATATCCAAATCCTGGATGGGCAGGGTGGCTCATGCCTGTAATCCCAGCACTTTGGGAGGCTGAGGCGGGCAGATCACCTGAGGTCAGGAGTTCGAGACCAGCCTGGCCAACATGGTGAAACCCTGTCTCTACTAAAAATACAAAAATTAGCCAGGCGTGGTGGCACACGCCTGTAATCCCAGCTACTTGGGAGGCTGAGGCAGGAGAATTGTTTGAACCCGGGAGGCAGAGGTTGCAGTGAGCCGAGATCATGCCACTGCACTCTAGCCTGGCCAATAGAGCGAGAAAAAAAAAAAAAAAAGAATATCCAAATCCCCTAAAAACAATAAAATTGTCCTATGGCTTTTCACATTCAGACTTTTGTTGCTGCTTTATATTTCAGCAAAAAAATACATAATAAATGCTTTATGCTAATTGTTCTTTCCTATGTGGTCTTGCACCAAGTACATTAGATGCATTACTTCTTTTAATTAGAATATTTAAGGCAGGTGTTATTATTATTATTATTTTATCATCATTCCTACTTTACAGAAGAAGAGACTGAGACTTAGAGAAGTTAACTGATTTGCCCAAGGTCTTGTAGCCTACAAGTTGTGTAACCAGTCTTTAAACCCAGACTGTCTGAGGCCAGAGATAGAAAACTTAATCTCTGTGTGTGCTATAAATGCCCTAGCTATTCTACATGAACATTTTTAAGATTTTTCCCTCTTTATGAATATGAGTGTCCATTAAGACCTTAAAAAAAATCCTATGGCATTTCAAAATTGCTTTTGAATGACTGGTGCATGAAAATACTGAGTTTCTAAAAATGTACATATGCGACCTAGGTAAGTACTCAAGTAAAGTAATATTCATAGTTGTTAAAGAAGAAGATGCAGTTTCTATATCCTCTTTTTTACTGGAAGCATTAATATAATGAGGCCTCACAATGCAACTCAAACAACATTTGTCTTGGAGGTAGATGTTGAATAACCTAAAGCAGGGCTGGTCAGGGCAGCAAGAGCTCCGTGGTTGCAGCTCCCTCACCTCCAATTCCCAATGTTCCAGCAGCTCACTGAGACTGCTGATCCTTCTGATTACATCATCCTTTCCCAATTGTCCTTTCTCGCTTTGCTTGTCTGTCTTCAAGACTGGATGGTGAAGAGAGTCTCAGGAAGACATCATACAACATCCTGATGGAGGAGTAGCCAGCCCAGATGAGAACTGGGTATAGTTGATTCTAGGAGGAAGGTCTCCAAGGGAAAGAAAGAGGAGGATTTACTTGATGAGTGGATACATTGAGGGTACTTCTTCAGATTTGGGAAGTGAATTAACATAGGTAAACTTCACAATAAAGCAAATGAAAAGCAAAGGCTGTATCACAATACACTATATCCTCATGTATGACTAATATTTAAACACACATAACAATAATGGAAGCTGACTTAACCAAAAAGTTGATATAACCGTGATGATGCAGGAGGTATGTAGAGTTGAATCCTCACCTTCCACTGTAAAAAGCCAATAGAGCCGGATGCAGTGGCTCACACCTGTAATCCCAGCACTTGGAAGGAAGCCAAGGCAGGCCGATCACTTGAGGACAGGAGTTCAAGACCAGCCTGGCCAACATGGCGAAACCCCGTCTCCGCTAAAAATACAAAAAAATTAGCTGGGTATGGTGGCACGCGCCTGTAATCCCAGCTACTCAGGAGGCTGAAGCACAAGAATTAGTTGAATTTGGGAGACGGAGGTTGCCGTGAGCCAAGATTGCACCATTGCACTCCCGGCTAGGCCACACAGTGAGACTCTCTGTCTCAAAAAAAAAAAAAAAAAAAAAAGCTGGCCGGGCACAGTGGCTCATGCCTGTAATCCCAACACTTTGGGAGGCCAAGAGGGGCAGATCACCTGAGGTCAGGAGTTCGAGACCAGCCTGGCCAACATGGTGAAACCCCATCTCTACTAAAAATACAAAAATTAGCCAGGCATGATGGTGGGTGCCTGTAGTTCCAGCTACTCGGGAGGCTGAGGCAGGAGAATTGCTTGAACCCAGGAGGTGGAGGTTGCAGTGAGCCGAGATCACGCCACTACACTCCAGCCTGGGTGACAGAGCGAGACACCTTCTCAAAAAAAAAAGAAAAAAAAAAAAGCCAATAGATATTGTCTAGAACAGAATACCAGATAAAATCACTAAGAGTTAAAAGCGACTCCTTTTTGGAAAGTAGCAATCTCATGAGCCAGGAGAGTGGGACAGTTTTGTTAAAAGCCTAATGGTATTAATGGATATTCTAAAGGTTTCTAAGATTTTCCTCTCTTTGATTTTCTTTAAAAAATAGATAAATTACACCAGCACTTCCAGATGTGTGCTGTTCATGATGACAAAAACAATAACCAAAAAAAATCAATGCATGTGTGAATGATATATGATTTTAAGTTTGGGAAAAGATGCAAGGATACATTCAAGATTGCAGACATGCAACATGGAGGTGGGGTAGGAGGACTAAGGAAGAGAGAAGAAAGAGTGTTTGACATGTGGGATATATTAATAATTTCATTTATGTAAATATAGATTTGTATTTATGAAAGTCTTACCCTATGATATTGTTTGGTTGTATCCCCACCCAAGTCTCATCTTGAATTATAGCTCCCACAATTCCCACATGTTGTGGGAGGGACCAAGTGGGAGATAATTGAATCATGGGGATGGTTTCCCCCATACTGTTCTCGTGGTAGTGAATAAGTCTCATGAGATCTGATGGTTTTATAAGGGATTTCCCTTCACTTGGCTCTCATTCTCTCTTGTCTGCCACCATGTAAGACATGCCTTTTGCCTTTCGCCATGATTGTGAGGCCTCCCCAGCCACATGGAACTGTGAGTCCATTAAACCTCTTTTTCTTTATAAATTACCCAGTCTCAGGTATGTCTTTGTCAGCAGCGTGAAAACAGACAAATACACCCTACAAAAAATTAAGTAGGCGTTCCAGTCTTTTCTTCTGCTTCCTTGATCCCTCGCCACTCCTCAGTCTACTTTTCCACAGTCTGCCTTTTTCCCTGCCTTCATGTTTAAACCAGCCGTTATACATCACAAATGTCAGTCTTCAGTGCATGATGTTTGGTCAAAGGAAAGTGATATTTCAGTTCAGAAAATACCCTATCACATCAGTAACCCATGATGGTACGATTTGATCAGACTGATTCTTGCTTCAGATTCCCAGACTTCAGCTTTTAACATCTTTCCTACAAAAGAAAAAGTATTACTTTTGAAATTTCTGGTTTTAATGTCATGAAACATTTTGCTATTCCACAGAACAGCTGCATCAACATCACCCAGAAACTCAATACAGAATGCCAGACCCTACCTCAGACCTACTGAGTAAGAATCTGCATTTTTGACAATGTTCCCAGGTAATTTATATGCACATTATAGTTTATGATTCATATGCATATTAAAGTTTGAGAAGCACTAATCTAGAGTTATTTATGATAACACAAATTTTAATATTGCATGATACTCTGATTTCAAAATTCTTTATTTTAGCAACTAACAAGCAGTTCATGGATTCCACTTTTAATGCTTCCAGTTAGCAGCTTCTTTTTTTCATTACACATTCCCATAGGAAATCTATATACAAATGTATTAACTGCAATAAGGGAATTCCAGTACTGCATCCCTAAGATTACACACCCTTTGTTAATGAAATTTCATGTTGTATCATCATGAAATACCAACTAGCCTGACTCAAGTTACCAATCAAGTTTATTCTTCTGAGAAATAAATACTACAAATATAATTACATTCCATTAAAAATATATATATTCAACTGTACTTGGACATCTATTCAAATGTCAAGCATTGTTCTTGGCACTAGGAATACAGCACTGAAAAAGTAGACAAAAATCTGTTCTCTCATGGAATTCATATTCTGGTTAGAGACAAAAGATAAATAAGAAAAATATAGCATACATGAGATAGTAGTGAGCACTAAAAAAACGGGGAAGGGGGATTTTTTTTTTTTTTTTTTTTTTTTGAGATGGAGTTTTGCTCTTGTCGCCTAGGCTGGAGTGCAATGGCGCCATCTCGGCTCATTGCGACCTCCACCTCCTGGGTTCAAGCAACTCTCCTGCCTCAGCCTCCTGAGTAGCTGGGATTACAGGCACCCACCACCATGCCCAGCTAATTTTTTGTATTTTTTAGTAGAGATGGGGTTTCACCATGTTGGCCAGGCTGGTCTCAAACTCCTGACCTCAGGTGATCCAGCCACCTCAGCCTCCCAAAGTGCTGGGATTACAGGCGTGAGCCACCGCACCCGGCTCAGGAAGGGGGATTTTTTAAAGGCAGAGACATAATGCGATCTTATGAAGGCTGGTCAGTGAAGACCCTACTGAAAGGGATATTGAGCAAAGACGTGAAGGTAGTGGAGTGTGACAGGCAAAATAATAGCTCCCCAACAACGTCCATATCCTAATGCATAGAACCTATGAATATGTTACCTTATATAGCAAAAGAAACTTTGCAGATGCAATCGAATTAAGGACCTTGAGAAGGAGAGATTATCCTGGATTATCCTTACAAGTGAAAGAGACAGGCAAGAGAGTAATTACAGGGATCCTTACAAGTGAAAAGAGGCAGACAGGAGAGTCAGAGAAGAACATGAGATGGCAGAAGTAGAGATTGTGATAATGCAGACATGGAGGCCGCTTCTGGAAGCTGAAAAAGGCAAGGCAGTCGATTCTCCCCTAGAGCCTCCAGAAGGAAGGCAGCCCCTCCAACATCTTGACTTAGCCCATTAAAACGAACTGTGTGCCGGCGCAGTGGCTCATGCCTTTTTTTAAAGTGGGATGGCTTTTATTAGCATTTCAATGGAGGAAGTATAACATAGGGCTATAGAGTGAGACTGTCTGGGTTCAAACACTGGCTTGAGCTTGGATAAACAGTCTGGCAGTTTCTTAAAAGGTTAAGCAGGCTGGGTGTGGTGGCTCACGCCTGTGATCCCAGCACTTTGGGAGGCCAAGGCCGGCGGATCATGAGGTCAGGAGATGGAGACCATCCTGGCTAACATGGTGAAACCCTGTCTCTACTAAAAATATAAAAAATTAGCCGAGCGTGGTGGCACGCACCTCTAATCCCAGCTACTTGGGAGGCTGAGGCAGGAGAATCGCTTGAACCTGGGAAGTAGAGGTTGCAGTGAGCCAAGATTGTGCCACTGCACTCCAGCCTGAGCGACAGAGCGAGGAGGCAACAGAGCGAGACTCTGTCTCAAAAAAAAGGTTAAGCATAGAGTTCCCATATGATGCAGTAATTCTGCTCCTAGGTATATATGGAAGAGAATGGAAAACATGTTTACACAAAAACTTCTACATACATAGTCCTAGCAGCATTATTCTTTTTTTTAACCCTCCCTAGTCACAGCTAGTAAGTATTATTCTTAATAGCCAAAAGGTGAAAAAGTGAAAACAACCCAAATACATCAACTGATGAATGAATTAAACAGAATATTGTATATCCATACAATGGAATAATTTTTCAGCCATAAAAAGGGATGAAGGCAGCCATAATAAAGGATGAGTTCATGTCCTTTGCAGGGACATGGATGAAGCTGGAAACCATCATTCTCAGCAAACTATCACAAGGACAGAAAATCAAACACCGCATGTTCTCACTCATAGGTGGGAATTGAACAATGAGAACACTTGGACACAGGGCAGGGAACATCACATACCGGGGCCTGTCAGGGGGTGGGGGGCTGGGGAAGGGATAGCATTAGGAGAAATACCTAATGTAAATGATGAGTTGATGGGTGCAGCAAACCAACATGGCACATGTATACCTATGTATCAAACCTGCACATTGTGCACATGTACCCTAGAACTTAAAGTATAATAAAAAAAAGGCATGAAGTACTGATACATGGTACAACATGTATAAATTTTGAAAGCATAAATGAAAGAAAATATAATAAGCCAAACTCAAAAGGCCATATATTATACTGTGAAAGTTTTCAGAATAAAAATGAAGTCACTAATATTAAAAAACACCCCGACAAATAGAACTGGGAAAGGCTATGAAGAGAAGGTTTGTATGCCTGATAATGAAAGCTATCGAAAAGACTGCAAAAACCACTGCCTTGCACAAAGGCCATTGCGACCTTATACAAAAAATACTTCAGCAAGGATATTTGCCCAGCAACTGCCTTATTGTTTATCTTTGTAGCCAAGAATAACTATTTCAAAACAATTATGTAATCCTCATTTTCTTCCTTTAAGATTCTTTGTCAGCCAGGTATGGTGGCCAGTGCCTATAATCCCAGCACTTTGGGAGGCTGAGGCAGGTGGATCACCTGAGGTTAGGAGTTCGAGACCAGCCTAGCCAATATGGTGAAACCCCGTCTCTACTAAAAATACAAAAAACAAAAATAATATAAAAATAGCCAGCCGTGGGAGCAGGTGCCTGTAATCCCAGCTACTCGGGAGGTTGAGGCAGGAGAATCATTGAACCCAGGAGGTGGAGGTTGCAGGAAGCCAAGATCACACCACTGCACTCCAGCCTGGGCAACAGAGTGAGACTCTGTCTCGAAAAAAAAGAAAGAAAAAAAGCCTTTATCTTCCTTCCCTTACCTCCCTAAATATGCACATAGTTTACTATGGCATGTGTATTTTCATTGCAATGCTCTATTCCCAAAATAAATACCCTTTCTTTTAGAGAGCCTCTCTGTTTGGAATTTAGGTTGAAATATATGGTGTCTGAAAAGGGACCTGAAAAAGATCATTCTTGGAAAGAATCAGTGATATTTGGAACTGGCATGTGTTACACGGTTCACCTTTTATTCCCTGGTGAGTTTTCTCTCAGGCTGAGCCTTTCTCTTTTTTGGTAGAGGCTTTTTGATATTATTTGGGATCTGATTTGGATTAAGCCATCTAAATAAAGGACTGTGCCTACCTCCTGGGATGATACAAGGCCTTTTAGCTTTTCTAATAAGTCCTTTCTGGTGTAAAGACCTATGTCTTTCTGGACTGAGAACAGTGATTTCTACAGAATTCACATTCCATTTGTGAGGCATGTCTTTTCTGGTGAATTTACTTTCTGTTTGGTCTGTGCACCTAGTTTAATATTTTGTTTGATCTGCATGCCTGTGCTTAAAATTTTTGTGATTACTCTTATCTGATTTTTGTTATTTGGTTTGGCTCTTTTCCCTTGCTTATTTCTGAAAATTGCCCAAGAGCAAAAATAAACATTCTAAATGGCAGGCGCAGGATGGATAATTAAAAGCCACTAGTGCAGTTGCCACCATCTAAAACACCAGTTTAAACTCCTGACATTCCCTGGCAAGATTTATAAGATTTTCATTGCTCTCAAGAGATTATTAAGAAATAAAATGGGATTCTCAAACATTAAAGTATGCCAGATCTTCTGGGACTCCAGCCAGCTACATATTATGGCCTGTTCTTATGCACATTTTCATTTTTAAATATATATCTATATATATATATATATATATATATTTTTTTTTTTTTTTTTTTTGAGACAGCGTTTGGCTCTTGTCACCCAGACTGGAGTGCAATGGCGCAATCTCAGCTCACTGCAACCTTCGCCTCCTGGGTTCAAGTGATTCTCCTGCTTTAGCCTCCCGAGTAGCTGGAATTACAGGCATGCACCACCATGCCCAGCTAATTTTTGTATTTTTAGTAGACACAGGGTTTCATCATGTTGACAAGACTGGTCTTAAACTCCTGTCCTCAAGTGATCCGCCTGCTTTGGCCTCCTAAAGTGCTGGGATTACTTGCATGAGCCATCATGCCTGGAACTTATGCACATTTATAAACTGATGGGCAAAATTACATCAAAAAAAATTCAGAGCTCAAATGGTCATTATTTGAAAAATCTGCAACTATACATTAACATGTAGAGTGTTCTAAATTCTTTGTCTATTTTTTTCTGCCTACTTTAAGTCAGCTGACTTTTCTACTGTGTTGAGATAAAACTCATTGCATATGCCATTCCAGCCAAGATTTAAAATAGAAAAGTTTTAAGGACTTTTAAGTTAATGGCTTTACAAGTTACAATAGCTCCATGGTAACCAATAACCTAGACACCTTTTAGGTTTGCCTGACTAATAACTGTATATGGTGATGGAACACTTAATTGAAAAATTAGTTATCTAAAAGAAAAAGAACTACAACAATGTTTATAACAGTTAGGCTCTCAGATCAAACAGGTCAAAATCTTGAGCTCAGAGTAATGATATAGGGTATCTCTCCAACATAATTTTTTTTCTGCCACATAGAGGCCAAAATGAAAAAGCAGAAAGTCCAAGCATGTCATCAACGTCTAAGTCATGATAAATGTTACGAAAAGAGAATACATCATCAAAGGAATTTTGTGTATGATCAAGTTGGCTATAATTAGAAGGGGATTATTTATAAGTCTTTCTAAAGATTGAACTTTGTAAGTTTATTTTATTTTTTAAACTGACATATAGTAGTCTGGGCATGGTGGCTTATGCCTGTAATCCCAGCACTTTGGGAGGTCTCTAAAATAAAAATAGAAAAAATTAGTCAGGCAGAGTGGGACACACCTGCAGTCCCACTACTCAGGAGGCTGAGGTGGGAACATCGCTTAAGCCTGCAAAATCAAAGCTGCAGTGAGCTGTGATTGTACCACTGCACTCCAGCCTGGGTGAGAGAGCCAGACCCTGTCGAGAAAAAACAAAAAGACATGTAATAATTGTATATATTTATGAGGTACATAGTGATGTTTAAATACATATAATGTATAATGACCTGATCACTGTAAGTAGCATATCTACCATTTCAAACATTTATCATTTCTTTACATTAGGAAACTTCAATATCCTCCTTCTAGCAATTTGAAACTATACATTGATAAGTACAGTCATCCTAGAGTGGTATAGAACACTAGAACATATTCCTCCTATCTAGATATAATTTTATATTTTTTAACAGATCTTTCCCTATCCCCCTACCCCCCCAATTTCCCCTACTCTTCCCAGCCTCTAGTATCCTCTCTTCTACCTTTTACTTCTATGAGATCAAGTGTTTTTATGTTTTTAGCTTCCACATGTGAGTAAGAACATGCACTGTTTAACTTTCTGTTCCTGGCTTTTTTCACTTAACACAATGTCCTCCAGTTCTGTCCATGTTGTTGCAAATGACAGGATTTCATTATTTTGATGGCTGAAGAGTGTTCCATTATGTATATATACCACATTTTATTTATCCGTTCATCTGTTGTTGAACACATAGGTTGATTCCATATCTTGGCTATTGTGAATGCTGCTGCACTAAACATGGAAGTGCAGATGTCTCTTCAGTATATACTGATTTCGTTTCCTTTGGATGAGTGCCAAGTAGTGGGACTGCTAGATCATATGGTAGTTGTATTTGTATTTTCTTAAGGAATCTTCATACTGTTCTCCATAGTGGCTGTTCTAGTTTACAGTCCCACCAGTGGTATGTAAGGGTTCTCTGGGAATGCATATACACTGTTGATGGGAATGTAAATTAGTTCAGCCACTGTGGAAAGCAGTATGGAGGTTTTGCAAAGAACTAAAAATAGAACTATCATTATTCAACCCAGCAATCTCTTTACTGGGTATATACCCAAAGGAAAACAAATTGTTCTGCTAAAAAGACACACACAGTCGTATGTTCATTACAGCGCTATTCACAATAGCAAAGGCATGGAATTAACCTAGGTGCCTTTCAAAAGTGGATTGAATAAAGAAAATTTGGTACATATATACCATGGGATACAACACAGCCATAAAAAAGAATGAAATCATGTCCTTTGCAGCAACATGGACAGAGCTGGAGACCATTATCCTAAGCTAACTAACACAGGAACAAACCAAATACCACATGTTCTCTCTTATAAGTGGGAGCTAAGGGTCGGGGCATGGTGGCTCATGCCTGTAATCCCAGCACCTTGGAAGACCAAGACAGGCAGATCACTTGAGGCCAGGAGTTTGAGACCAGCCTGGCCAACATGGTGAAACCCCGTCTCTACTAAACATACCCCTCAAAAAATTAGCTGGGTGTGGTGGTGCATGCCTGTAGTCCCAGCTTCTCATGAGGTTGAGGCAGGAGAATTGCTTGAACCTGGGAGGCAGAGGTTGCACTCCAGCCTGGGTGACAGAGTGAGACTCTGTCTCAAAAAAAAAAAAAAAAAAAAAAGGCGGGAGCTAAACATTGAGTACACATAGACATAAATATAAGAACGATAGACACTGGGGACTACTAGAAAGGGGAAGAATGAACAGAAACCATTTTGAGTTGTGATTTTTGTATAGAATGAGAGGTGGGGGGGGGTCTAATTTCATTCTTTTGCATATGGATATCCAGTTTTCCAGAGCTGCTTATTGAAGATACTCTCCTTCCCCCAGTGAGTATTCTTGATGCCTTTGTAAAAAATGAGTTGGCTCTAGATACATGGATCAATTTCTGGGATCTCTGTTCTGTACTATTGACCTATGTGTCTATTTTTTCTTTTTTGTTTTTGAGACAGAGTCTTGCTCTGTCACCAGGCTGGAGTGCAGTGGCGTGATCTCGGCTCACTGCAACCTCCGACCCCCTGGTTCAAGCGATTGTCCTGCCTCAGCCTCCCGAGTAGCTGGGATTACAGGCACACACCACCACGTGCAGCTAAGTTTTGTATTTTTAGTAGAGACAGGGTTTCACCATGTTGGCCAGGATGGTCTTGATCTCCTGACTTTGTGGTCTGCCTGCCTTGGCCCCCCAAAATACTAGGATTACAGGTGTGAGCCACCATGCCCGGCCCCATACAAATTTTAATATTTTTTTCTATTTCTGTGAAGAATGTAATTGATATTTTGATAGGGATTGCATTGAATCGGTAGAATGCTCTGGGTCGTAAATATTGAGATTTTTTAATATTAATTTTTTTTTTTTAAGAGACAGTGTCTCACTCTGTCATCTGGCCTGGAGTGCAGTGGTATGATCATGGCCCACTGCAGCCTTGAACTGCTGTGCCCCAGTGGTCCTCCTGCCTCAGCCTTCTGAGTGGCTGGGACTACCAGTGCATACCACCATGCATGCCTGGCTATTTTTTATTTTTATTTTTTATTTATTTATTTTTTTGAGACGGAATCTTGTTCTGTTGCCCAGGCTGGAGTGCAGTGGTGCAATCTCCACTCACTGCAACCTCTGCCTCCCGGGGTCAAGCAATTCTCTGCCTCAGCCTCCCTATTAGCTGGGATTACAGGCACCTACCACCACACTCAGCTAATCTTTTTTGTATTTTTAGTAGAGACGGGGTTTCACCATCTTGGCCAGGCTGGTTTTGAACTCCTGACCTCATGATCCACCCGCCTCAGCCTCCCAAAGTTCTGGGATTACAGGCGTGAGCCACCACGCATGGCCATGTCTGGCTATTTTTTTAAATTGTTTTGTAGAGATAGGATCTCACTATATTGCTCAGGCTAAGATTGAGCTTTTATATTGAAAACACACTCGTACAAAATTTATTTATTTATGAAATGGAGTCTCGCTCTGTCGCCCAGGCTGGAGTGCAGTTGTGCCACCTTGGCTCACTACAACCTCTGCCTCCTGGGTTCTAGCGATTCTCCTGCCTCAGCCTCGAGATTAGCTGGGATTACAGGAGCATGCCACCACATCTGGCTAATTTTTTTTTTTATTTAGTAGAGACAAAGTTTCACTGTGTTGGCCAGGCTGATCTCAAACTCCTGACCTCGTGATCTGCTTGCCTCGGCCTCCTAAAGTTCTGAGATTACAAGCATGAGCCACTGTGCCCCACCCACTCATACAAAATTTAAAAATTTCATCTCCTGTGTTAGAACAACAAGGTTTTCTTTTTCTTTTTTTTTTTTTCTTTTTTTTTTTTTTGAGACAGGGTCTCGCTCTGTCGCCCACGCTGGAGTGCAGTGGCATGATCTCGGTGCTCACTGCAGGCTCCGCCCCCCCGGGGTTCACGCCATTCTCCTGTCTCAGCCTCCCGAGTAGCTGGGACTACAGGCGCCCACCATCTCGCCCGGCTAATTTTATGTATTTTTAGTAGAGACGGGGTTTCACCATGTTAGCCAGGATGGTCTCGATCTCCTGACCTCGTGATCCACCCGTCTCGGCCTCCCAAAGTGCAGGGATTACAGGCATGAGTCACCGTGCCGGCCTTCTTTTTTTTTTTTTTTTTTGAGACAGAGTTTCACTCTGTCACCCAGACTGGGTTGCAGTGGCTTGATCTCGGCTCACTGCAACCTCTGCCTCCCTGGTTCAAGCGATTCTCCTGCCTCAGCCTCCTGAGTAGCTGGGATTACACGTGTGCGCCACCAGGCCTGGCTAATTTTTGTATTTTTAGTAGAGCAGGGGTTTCATCATGTTGGTCAGGCTGGTCTTGAACTCCTGACCTCGTGATCCGCCCACCTTGGCCTCCCAAAGTGCTGGGATTACAGGCGTGAGCCACCGCCCAGCCTCAGAGCAACAAGGTTTTCTTAAAGTATTTATTTGTTCTTAGTAATATTGCCAGTGGTTTTGATTTTGCTTCTAAAATGTTTCTTTAAAAACCATCTTCTAAAAACTGTAAACAGTTTCTATTTCTGCCACATTTCTTCCTGAGATCTATTTAATTTTCTTAGTTTCAGGTTGGAAATGCTCTATTTTTCATTCGGAATAGTAATTTCATTTCTTGAGGTAAAATTTTCTTTTTGAAACTTCTCAGATGTCTGTCTCAGAAGTTCAACTTTTGTGTACCTCGCTGCACATGATGAAGACATCATTGCCTTCTCTTTTCTCCTTTATAAAAGATATATCTTTTTGCTTGGCTGGGTTGATAACTTTCTCCTTCATTTTTCATCAATTTCAGCAACTTTTTTTTTTTTTCTGATTCTCTGTCTGTTGTTATGGCCTGAGGCTGAAATGTTTATTATAAAGGCCTAGAAAAGTAATGTTTTCTTCAGTATAACTTGATTCTGTACTCATGGCTCTTCTTGCTGTGTCTGAATTGTTCCATGTAACAAAGAAACTTCCCATGCTGTTACCAACAGCCGTGTATTGCCCTACTCAAGGTATCAGTTTTCTTGTTTATATTTCTCTATATAGTGTATACTCACAACCCTGGAGATGTTCTTCTTGTGTATGATTAATTTCAAGCACCCGTTCCATTAGGTTTGACTTCCAGTTTATATAAATGGGCTTCCTATAACGAGAAGCAATCACACTGCAGAAATTAAAAAATATATATTTCTGGTAATTGGCCTAAGAACAACAACAACAACAAAGATTTTATGTTTTAACAAGATAATTCCTGTGTTGTCTTTATTAGATCTTTGATTATTCAGAAGAACTGGGCTTTGAAGGGGTTAAGATATTTACATCCATGTAACTTTCTGTATTGCTTCTGAGAATTCTTGATATCATTCTGCTTAAATGAATGACAGTTATTTTACAGTAACCTGAGAGTCTGTTTGTATCAAGTGTTTTGAACCTTTTGATATCTTTGGTAGGCTCTGCCCACCAAATCAAAATCCTAAATTAAGTCTTTTTGACATGATGTTAACTCTGAGATTTTCCAGTTGGGCCCCTGGAGAGCATCAAAAAATGTATCTCTCATCTTGTAGAGATGTAAATGATTGGGCTTATTGGGTAAATTGTATGAGAGGCATTGTCAAATGATAAGTGATACTATATCTTTCAGTTACATGTATGGGTATGTTATTGATATAAATGTTTCTAAATTATATAAATTCATAGAAACCTACTATGTTATCAGCCATAATTTTAATAATGTTACATCTTTTGTGAAGTTATATTTGTATAGATATTATTAATGTGAATATTCTAAAGGTTATACGAAATTTATAAAAGGCTCATGGTCCTATCAGTCATAATTCTGGTTGTTATCATAAAATGCTACCTGTAATAAAAATAACTCGACTTCATTATCAATTGAGAACTTCCATCAGATTTTTAACTTTAAATATTCTGAGTTTTTGTCATCCACCGTTATTATTTGAATTATTCTCTAAAAGCATTTGTGATTAGCTATAGTCCGAAATTGTTTTTCATGAAGAAGACATGGACAAATACTCTTGAACACAGATTGCTAGTAATTTTAGGATCAGTGGAATAAATCGTAATTTTCAGAGCTCTAATAAAGAAACCGATGGGTTCATGAAATTGCTAATGAAGGTCAAGCAAAACAAAAAATTAATTACATGAAGTTAAGTAATTGATTAAATGATGTTTTATGACTTTTATTTAAAACAGTGTTGATTCTTTACTTCAATGTTTTGATTTCCAGATTTAAGGACATTGTTTTCTCATAAGCTATTTATAGTTTACAACAATTTGGTAAAATATACTTTTGTTTTGTTTTGGTTTGATTTTTTTTGAGACAGGGTCCCACTCTGTCACTCAGGCTGGAGTGCAGTTGCACAATCACAGCTCACTGCAACTTCCATCTCCTGGACTCAAGCCATCCTCTGAGCTCAGTCTCCTGATTACCTGGGACTACAGGCATAGGCCACAACGGCTGGCTAATTTTTTTTTTTTTTTTTTTTTTTGGTAGAGATGGGGTTTTGTGATGATGCCCAGGCTGGTTTTGAACCCCTAGGTTCAGGCAGTCTGTCCACCTCGGCCTCTCAAAGTGCTGGGATTACAGGTGTGAGCCACTGCTCTAGGCCTAATTTGGCAAAATACATTTTTGTGAACAAAGGTAAAAGCATTTGCTTTGTCTCTGTACATGATTCCTCCAAAATTCAGAAAGTATTCGTGTGGTTTTTTTGCCTTTTTTTTTTTTTTTTAGATGTAGTCTTGTTTTGTCATCCAGTCTGGAGTGTGGTGGGGCGATCTCGGCTCACTGCAACCTCCACCTCCCAGGTTCAAGCGATTCTCTTGCCTCAGTCTCCCAAATAGCTGGGATTGCAGGTGCCTGCCTCCACCCCTGGCTAATTTTTGTATTTTTAGTAGAGACGGAGTTTCACCATGTTGATCAGGCTGGTCTCGAACTCCTGACCTCAAGCAATCCACCTGCCTCACCCTCCCAAAGTGCTGGGATTACAGGCATGAGCCATAGCACCCGGCCTATTTATGAGTATTTTTAATTTGCGACAATATGGTTTAAATAAGTTCAATAAAAATCTATTCTCTCTCTCTTTTTTTTTTTTTTTTAAATGAGACGGGGTCTCACTCTGTCATCCAAGCTGGAGTGCAGTGGCATGGTCTCAGCTCACTGCAACCTTGACCTCCCAGGTTCAAGCAGCCCTCCCACCTCAGCCCCCCAAGTAGCTGGGGACTACAGGTGTGCACCCCCACACCTGGCTTTTTTTTTTTTTTTTGTATTTTTTTGTAGAGACAGGGCTTCACCAAGTTGCCCAGACTGGTCTCAAGCCCCTGAGCTCAAGTAATCCACCTGCCTTGGCTTCCCAAAGTGCTAGGATTATAGGCGTGAGCCACTACGCCTGGACTTTTGTCTCTCTAGAAGCAGAAAACAGCTGGAAATGTTGGTGATATTACCAAGGCTTGGATTGAAATGTCTTATTTAAGAATGTGCATAAAATGCCTGACTTCAAGAGTTCCCAGCCTTGCAGCAGTGAGTAAAAATTGTCACTTCCTGACAAGTTCAAGAATCTTAATATTGTAAGTAAAATCTGAAGTCTGCCTTGGTTGGGCTTCCTAACCTCTAGAGGTTTTTAAAATCTGAGATCCCTATATGACCAGTGTAGAGTAAAAAAGTTATGTTTCTAAGGAAAAATTATAATACATCTGTTATTAGATTATAGCCCTATGCATTGTTTTCAAGTTCTGATTATCTACCTGTAGACTGGACTAGATCCTGAATTTTCCTACTTTCTTCTTGGCTACAACTCTTCAACTAAAAACAAAAGCTACTCTGTTCCTAAAGCCCTGTAAGCTGAAACTAGATGAAGTTTAAGGAATTAGTTTCATGCTTGATGTATGGGCTACTCAAAATGTTTACCAACCCAACTGATGTCTTGACCAGCGATATTCAAACTGCAAACCAAAAGTTGATGTTTTCATGCTATAGCCAGTTTTTCCAAGACATCAGAGCAAGACCTGTGTCTGTTTTTTTTTTTTTTTAGATGGGGTCTCGCTCTGTCGCCCAGGCTGGAATGCAATGGCGCACTCTTGGCTCACTGCAACCTCCACCTCCCAGGTTCAAACGATTCTCTTGCGTGAGCCTCCCAAGTAGCTGGGATTACAGGCATGCACCAACATGCCCGGCTAATTTTTGTATTTTTTATTTTTTAGTAGAGATGGGGTTTCGCCATGTTGGCCAGGCTGGTCTTGAACTCCTGATCTCAGGTGATCTGCCTGTCTCGGCCTCCCAAAGTACTGGGATTACAGGTGAGCCACCGCACCTGGCCAAGACTCTGTATCTTAATATGACTTTTCCCCACCTTAATGCTACCTTTCACTTGGCAGGATAACAATAGTTTAATTGAAGTTTCACAACCAATAGTTTCTGGCTGGTAACTTAACAGAAACTAACCTAAGAAATCCTTCAGTATTCATTGGTTAAATAAGAAAATGTCTAGGCTGTTGCTAACACTACATGCTGTACCTGGATAAATTCCTTTGGAAAAAGGTGAGACCAATATATACAAAATTAGAAAACAGGCCACATGGTTACAAGAGGTCTCACTCAATTCTCTATGGTCATTTGATTTCTTCAATTGGTTGTCTTTAAGCCTAGGTTCATGGCTCAAAACAATTATGCAAACTGGAATGGTCATATTACTATTAATTTTACTTTGTATTTTCCATTTTTAAACTTTGTATCTGTTACTTGTTAAAGTTTTGAAGAAGTACAACTCCTAGAAAAATAATTCTGGCCTAGCACTTTGAAATGATAGCAAAATACTATCAGACAGAGAAAATTAAACTTAATAGTGGACTCCAGACTCTCATGGAACCTGAGAGCCACGCCATTCAAACCTCCCTATTGCTCTAACGTGACTAAAATGGTTTTGACACTGATTCCTAGTCACCAGTCCCTCTCCCCAACATGACATGAGGCCAATACATAGGACAGTTTCATCTTGCCACTAAGGGACATCAAAATCTAAAGGACGATTGACCAGTGACAGTTTTGGGTAAAAAATCTTGATCAAATAGGGGAAACATGAAAGTTGTCAGAATCAAAATGGAATCACAAACATTAAAAAATATCCTGGCTGAGGCCAGGCGCAGCGGCTCACGCCTGTAATCCCAGCACTTTGGGAGGCCAAGGCGGGCAGATCACAAGGTCAGGAGATCGAGACCATCCTGGCTAACACGGTGAAACCCCGTCTCTACTAAAAACACAAAAAATTAGCTGGGCGTGGTGGCGGGCACCTGTAGTCCCAGCTACTCAGGAGGCTGAGGCAGGAGGATGGCGTGAATCCGGGAGGCGGAGATTGCAGTGAGCTGAGATCGTGCCACTGCACTCCAGCCTGGGCGACAGAGCGAGACTCTGTCTCAGAAAAAAAATAAGAATAAAAATCCTGGCTGAGTGCAGTGGCTCACGCCTGTAATCCCAACACTTTGGGAGGCTAAGGCAGGTGGATCACCTGAGATCAGGAGTTTGAGATCAGCCTAGCTAACATGGTGAAACCCCATCTCTACTGAAAACACAAAATCAGCCGGGTGTGGTGGCATGCACCTATAATCCCAACTACTCAGGAGGCTGAGGCAGGAGAATCGCTTGAACCTGGGAAGTGGAGGTTGCAGTGAGCCAAGATTGCGCCACTGCACTCCAGCCTGGGAGACAGAGCGAGACTCCATCTCAAAAAAATATATAGATAGATAAATAGAAATGTATATATATCCTGACAAATAGATTTGGGGAAGGCCATGAAGAGAGGGTTCTCATGCTTAAATGCCTGATAACAAAAGACTGCACAAAAACCACAATCTTGCACAAAGGCCATCACAACCTTACACAAAAAATACTTCAGAAAATACATCTGCCCAGCACCTGCCTGTCCAGCCTCAGACTGATGTCACCCTTGTTACTGATCTTTGTAGCCAGGGATAATTATTTCAAAACAATGATGTGATCCTCTTCATTTTGTTCCTTGAAAAAAAAAATTTTTTTTTGAGACGAAGGCTGGCTCCTGTCCCCCAGGCTGGAGTGCAGTGGCACGATCTTGACTCACTGCAACCTCCACCTCCCGGGTTCAAGCAATTCTCCTGCCTCAGCCTCCCGAGTAGCTTGGATTACAGGCATCTGCCACCACGCCCGGCTAATTTTTGTACTTTTAGTAGAGACGGGGTTTCACCATGTTGGCCAGGCTGGTCTCGAACTCCTGACCTCACGTGATCTGCCCGCCTCAGCCTCCCGAAGTGCTGGGATTACAGGCATGAGCCACTGTGCCCAGCACCTTGAAAAATTTTTGTCTTCTTTTACCTCCCTGAATATATTAATACACACAGTTTACTATGGTACATGTATTCCCATTGTAATGCTCTATTCCCAAATAAATACCTTTTTCTTTTAGAGAGCCTCTGTTATTTAGATTGACAGCATGATTCTATTTATATGAAATATCCAGAACATTCAAATCCATAAACATGTGAATTGTATTAGTGTTTGCAAGTAAATGGAGAGAGGTGGGAGTTCTTTTTCAGGTGTTGGAAATATTCTGGAATTAGGTGCATGGTATTACAAATAAAATAAAAACAATTACTCATGCATTTTAAAATGATTAAAATGGCAAATTTCTGATATGCAAATTTTATCTCAATAAATAAAAATAAATTTAAAACCAGAACAAAACACTGGATATGCCAATAGATGTAGATTTTTGCAAGTGAGAATATCTTAGCATGTGTTTACCCATTTTGGGCCTTTTCTTTCCCTTTATGTCTTGACTAGAATTTTTTTTCTAAATTGTTATAGATATAATTCATAGATACATCCTATTTACAAAACAGAAATATTTACTGGTTTATGTATTTATCCTTCTTTTCTACATATCAGGGTGGCCCCTGGATTTATCTCATTGTTGAAGGACTTCCTCTGATTATTTCAAAGGTAATCTTTCTTGGTAAACCTTTTGATGCTTTGTGTGCCTGAAGATGCCTTTATTTAACCCTTAGAAAAATGGGAATGAAGCACAAAATTTTGGGTTCAAAGTTCTTCTTCTTGGCTGGGCACAGGGGTTCATACCTGTAATCACAACATTTTGGCACGCCAAGGAGGAAGGATCACTTGAACCTGGGATTTGGAGACCAGCTTGGGCAGCATAATGAGACCCCATCTCCACAAAAAGAAAGTTTTTCTAATTAGCCAGGCGTGGTGGTACACACCTGTAGTTCCAGCTACTTGAGAGGCTGAGGCAGGAATATCACTTGAACCCAGGAGTTTGAGGCTGCATTGAGCTATGATTGCACTACTGGACTCCAGCCTGACTGACAAGGCAAGGCCCTGTCTCTTAAAAAAAAAAGGGGCGGGGTTGGACACAGCGGCTCATGCCTATAATCCTAGCACTTTGGGAGGCCAAGGCGGTTGAATCACCTGAGATCAGGGGTTCAAGACCAACCTGGCCAACATGGCGAAACCCTTGTTTCTACGAAAAATACAAAAATTAGCCGGACGTGGTGGTGCGTGCCTGTAATCCCAGCTACTCCAGAGGCTGAGGCAGGACAATTGATTGAACCCAGGAGGAGGAGGTTGCAGCGAGCCAAGATCACGCCATTGCACTCTAGCCTGGGTGACAGTGAGTCTCTGTCTCAAAAAAAAAAAAAAAGAAAAAAAATTCTCCTTCTTCAGTATTTTGAATTGCTCTCTTACTGTTGAACATTCAGTGTCACAGTTGAGTAGTCTGATGTTAGTTAAGCATCATTCCTTTAGAGAGAATCTGCTTTCTCTCTTGGTAGGTTTTAAAGAAAAGTTTAATTGTGGCTTTAATGTGGCTTTTAAGTTTTTCCCCCTCTAATTTATTGTGTTTAGCATTTGAAGAGTCCTTTCCCTTCATAGCCTTTTTTATTTTAACCCTGGAAAATTCTAAATACTTCAAATATTTCCTGAAAAATTTTAAATTCTTCAAATAAGCCAAGCGTGGTGGCTCAGGCCTGTAATCCCAGCATTCTGGGAGGCCAAGGCAGGTGGATCACCTGAGGTCAGGAGTTCAAGACCAGCCTGGCCAACATGGTGAAACCCGACTCTACTAAAAATACAAAAATTAGCCAGGCATGGTTGTGCATGCATGCATGTAATCCCAGCTACTGAGGAGGCTGAGGCAGGAGAATCGCTTGAACCCAGGAGGCAGAGGCTGCAGTGAGCTGAGATTGTGCCACTGCACTCCAGCCTGGGCAACTGAGCAACACTCTGTCTCAAAAATAAGTAAAATAAAATAAAATAAAATAAAATAATTCAAATATTTCCTATTGTTAAATTAAGTCTAAAGTTGTCTCTATAAATTTGGCCTAAACATTCTTTTGTATATGGTAAACTGTAACCTAACTGGGTGTATAAACAGACTATAACTTGCTCTTGTACTAACCAATGAGTTTTGGCCAATCACAGGCAGCCAACTGCTTAAATTAGACAAATGCCAAGCTGTAACTAATTTAGTTGTTTCTGTATTTAACTTTTGTTTTCTGTATGTCATTTTTCATTTTCTGTCCATAAATTATCTCTGACCATGTGACAGGGCTAGAATCTCTCTGAACCCATTCTGCTTTGGGGAGCTGTCCCATTCACAGATAGTTTTTTGCTCAATTAAATTCTGTTGCATAAAATTTGTTTAAACTTTTTCTTTTAACAGATGGCATCAAAAGTGGAATCTGAAGTACAACTTATAGCAGTCCTCAGGAACATCAAGTGACCAAGTGAGAAATCCACCAGGCCATTATGTCCATTACTCTCTTGCAGCAACTGGGATCATTGGTAAGTTCTCTGTTAGATTCTGAAGCTCCATGGATTTGTGTTTTAAGCTTTCCAAGTTTCTTTGAGCAAATGTTTTATCTGAACTGGATTTGGAAGTCACAGTAGAAACTAGACTGGGTCCAGGGTCTGATTTGCTCTCATAATTAACTGGCTTGGATCTATTTGGAGGCTTCAGATTGTTGTCAACCAAACTTGGGTCGGCCTGCCCAGCACAGGAAAGCCAAATACTGACATTGGGATTTGCAGCAAGAGAAAGTGAGGCATTTATTGCAAGGCACCTACCAAGGAGAATGGGGCAGGTCATGCTTCAGATCTGAACCCTCTCATGGCTGACATGTACGAGTTTTTAGAGGTGGGGAGACAGAGGTTACAGGCAAAGTCATACATCAATACATGGAGGCTATACATTAGTTTGGACTAAATAGGCAGGAAACCTCAGAGTGGGGGCCCACAGGTCATAGGTAGATTCAAAGATTTTCTGGTTTGCAACTGGATATTGTTTGTTTAAAAACTTGGGATCAACAGAAAAGAATGTAGAGCTCTGGCCTTGTTACAGATAGTGATAGAGGCAGGAGGCAGACAAATGCCTAGGCAGATAAGGAAGGGTCCCTGGAGAATCTCCACCCTTCCCCCCTACCAAGTATTTACATCAGAAGTTTTTTTGCAGATAAGGGAACATGCACAGGGTCTTGCCTGGGCATGCCCGCAATGGACTGTAGCCTACATGAACTGGGGGAATGGGATGGAGCCACCAGAAATTCACGCCTTATGCAGGGGAGGGAGCCTGGCTTCTTCAGCTCGTGTGTGGTGGCCTGGTATTCAATCTGTGAGGTGGGAGGCTGCTGGCAGGACCACTCTCTTTGCTGATAGCTGCCCCCCTCCTTTTTTTTTGAGACGGAGTTTCTCTCTTGTTGCCCAGGCTGGAGTGCAATGGCACGATCTTGGCTCCACGCAACCTCCACCTCCCGGGTTCAAGGATTCTTCTGCCTCAGCCTCCCGAATAGCTGGGATTACAGGTATGGACCATCACGCCCAGCTAATTTTGTATTTTTAGTAGAGATGGGATTTTTCCATGTTGGTCAGGCTGGTCTCAAACTCCCAACATCAGTTGATCCACCTTCCTTGGTCTCCCAAAGTGCTAGGATTACAGGCCTGAGCCACCGTGCCTGGCCGAGAGCTCCCCTTTTGTATTATAAATTCCATCCTCCTCACCCTTCAATGTGTCTGTGTGCCTAATTCTTCGTGGTCATGAGACAAGAACCCAGATTTAGTTGAGCTAAGGAGCAAACAATCCTCCATCATTTCATTGACCCATAAGGGGACAAGAGGAAGGGTGAGTATAATGTGGACTCAAAAATCTCTTTCCCTTTTGTTTCCGAGCCTTCTTTTCCTCAGACTTTTTCTAAAAGCAGAAGAAACGGCCCCCACCACTGTCACTCTTGGGGGTTGGGAATGTTGGCCTCAGTCTAATCCAGTCTTTTCTCTGGGATTTTTCTTCTTTTTTTCAGGATTATAATGGCACCTATCTTTGTTTTACAATATTAGGGGTGTTCCACCCCCACCCCAATGGCCACAGGTGCACACAGAGGATAAATGGTTGAGTGGCGGCTCCCAGCCCCCTCCCCCTCCCACACAGGATGCATAGCCCAAGAGCCCTGTATGGCCAGCTGGCCAGCATCTCCCACTCACAGTGCCCTCCCACCACGTACTAGGGAGAGCCAGGAAGAAGGAAACAGCAATTAAAAGTTTCTTGGGTTGGGTGCAGTGGCTCACACCTGTAATCCCAGCACTCTGGGAGGCCAAGGTGGGCAGATCGCCTGAGGTCAGGAGTTTGAGACTAGCCTGGCCAAAATGGTGAAACTTTGTCTCTACTGAAAATACAAAAAAAATTAGCTGGACATGGTGATGTACACCTGCAGTCCTAGCCACTCAGGAGGCTGAGGCAGAAGAATTGCTTGAACCTGGGAGGTGGAGGTTGCAGTGAGCTGAGATCATGCCATTGTACCCGAGCCTGGGCAACAAAGCCAGACTCTGTCTCAAAAAAAATTTTTTTAAATTAAAAGTTTATCTCCCTGTTGGAGAAACCATTTGCATACGAATAAGAGGTTTCTTCCCCAGGCATTTCCCCGCCCTACACTTAAGCTGTTTCTTTTTCTTTTCTCCACCATATCAGGAGTTGGTGTGTTGGTGCAAAGGTAGTTGCGGTTTTTGACATTACTTAGAATGGTGGGGACTGCACTTGCTTTTGCACTAACTTAATAACCCATCCCTGCGAGTACAGGGGCTTCTCTGTGCCAGAGGCTTTTTCTTGAAAGGCGTTTTACTAGGCTGGGACTCCAATTCACAAGACTCCCTTTTCTCTCCTTGTTGGAAGAGGACCCAGTTCCACAGCTTCACCTGGGACTTAATGAGTCCGTGCACCCTGCTGAGACAAATTTTTGTCCCAACCTAAATTCCAAGCTTTGGGTTGAAGCTCTAGGAAAGAAAACTGGATCTGAGGGATCCAGAGGCATAAGACAACAGAAGTCAAAAGGGACAGCTCACATGAGCATGATTAATTCTTGCCGATTAAACCAAGACTCCCATTTCAAGGATAGAGGTCATGCTAGTATCCATGGCATAAATGAGATATAGGGAACCTGAAGGCTACTGACAGCAGGGAGAAAGGCAGTATGTGGGTAAGAGTGGATAATCCCACCCCCAGCCCCTCTGTTAACATGGGTGAAAAGCCACATTGACACCCATGGGTTGCACCCTGTTGTGGTCGCCAGGACTCAGGGATATAAGGACAGAAGAAAGAAAATGAAAGCCTCTTCCTTCTCTCCCTCACATAAGCTGGATATTGTCTAGGAAGAGAAAAGAATAAGGGACGCTTGCTCCTCTCATTCTAGATGAGTAGCCATTCATCTTCAGTCTGTGCCCCTTTTGAATGCATCCTGAGTCCTGGGCTCCTTTAAAAACAATGCCTTCTTTTCCCTTTTTCCCCCTCAGTCCTCTCTTCACAGATGGGTAATCACGTCCCCGTACTATAGGACACTCCCCTGGGATGCATCCTTCACACTTGGAAAAGTTAATTTCCCAAACCTTAAACTGGTTGGCTCAGAATTGAGCCTAGGGGAAGGGAACCCAGAAGCCTGACATGCCGGAAAAAGGGTACAAGTTTTTTTTTACCTGTTGGACTTGTGGCCTCCCTCTCCCCATGCAAACTGGTAAAAGGAAAGGTAAGGATCATGGTTTATATTCTCTGAAGTTTTGATTAACAAAAAAGGACTTATGAGGTTGGTGTCAAGCTGTAGCCAACCTGGTGTGTTTTGCATGTCTTTCTGTTTGGTTCTGTCAAAAAGAGGAGCACCTTAGAATAGGATGTGGGCCCAGGACCCCATAAGCCTGCTGTTCAAGTCAGCCCAGCAAACTGGCAGTAACAAACCTTGCTGTAGGCCTCTATCTTGTTTTGTGTCCTTGTGAGGGTGACCTAGAGCCATGTGGCAGTAGTTTGTTTTGGTCTCTGGCATTCTACAATGGTGGCCTGGGTTCAGTCTTGGCTTAGGGGATGAATACTTTCTGGTTAATATCTGTGTGACTTTTACCATTTGCTGATTCTCTTCCGCTTCATGAACAACTTATAGCTTCCTTTCTTGAAACTTCCTTTCTCTGAGCTACCTTTAAAATTTCTAGATTTTGTAAAAACTGCTTACTACCTCTTTGAAAATACCTCATACACTGGTGATAAAGTCATAAACTTAATTGAGTTTTGTGGATTTCACCGGTGAGGTTAATTTTGGTAAAGTTCAAATGCCAGAAATATTGGCCGCTTGGCATGGCTAAAGTCGCATAACAAGGGTAGTAAAAGTGTCAATGGAAAGAGTCAAACTGTAAAATATTAGAAGAGATTTATTGTGAGCCAAATATGAATGACCATGGCCTGTGACACCATCCACAGGAGGTCCTGAGAACATGTGCCTAAGGTGGTCAGGGCGCAGCTTGGTTTTACACATTTTAGGGAGGCATGAGACATCAATCAAATACATTTAAGAAATACATTGGTTTGGACTAGAAGGGTGGGACAATTCAAAGCAGGGGCTTCCAAGCTATAGGTAAATTTAGACATTTTTCTGGTTGACAATTGGTTGAGTTTATCTAAAGACCTGGGATCATAGACAGGAAATGTTCAGGGTAAGATAAAAGACTGTGGCTGCCTGCCTGTAATCCCAGCACTTTGGGAGGCCAAGGCAGGTGGATCACCTGAGGTTCAGGAGTTCAAGAGCAGCCTGGCCAACATGGTGAAACCCATCTCTACTAAAAATACAAAAATTAGCTGGGCGTGGTGGCATGTGCCTGTAATCCCAGCTATTCAGGAGGCTGAGGCAAGGAGAACTGCTCAAACCCGGGAGGTGGAGGTTGCAGTGAGCCGAGATTGTGCCACTGCACTTCCGCCTGGGCAACAGAGCGAGACTCCATCTCAAAAAAAAAAAAAAAGATAAAATATTTTTAT
The DNA here is from genome assembly GCF_000001405.40 of Homo sapiens. Classification (NCBI taxonomy): domain Eukaryota; kingdom Metazoa; phylum Chordata; class Mammalia; order Primates; family Hominidae; genus Homo; species Homo sapiens. Next base: position 33,464,176 of record NC_000003.12, on the reverse strand, counting down.
CTTTTTTAAAGGTTAAAAAGATAAAAAAGCTGAGGCTGAGGCGCAATGGCTCACACCTCTAATCCCAGCAGTTTGGGAGACCAAGGCGGGCAGATCACCTGAGGTCAGGAGTTCAGGACCAGCCTGGCTAACATGGTGAAACCCTGTTTTCACTAAAAGTACAAAAAATTAGCCAGACGTGTGATGCACGCTTGTAATCCCAGCTACTCGGGAGGCTGAGGCAAGAGAATCATGTCAGGCCTCTGAGCCCAAGCTAAGCCATCATATCCCCAGTCACCGCACATATACATCCAGATGGCCTGAAGCAACTGAAGATCCACAGAAGTGAAAATAGCCTTAACTGATGACATTCTACCATTGTGATTTGTTTCTGCCCCACCCTAACTGATCAATGAACTTTGTAATCTCCCCCACCCTTAAGAAGGTTCTTTATAATCTCCCCCATCCTTAAGAAGTTTCTTTATAATTCTCCCCACCCTTGAGAATGTACTTTGTGAGATCCACCCCCTGCCCCCAAAACATTGCTCTTAACTCCACCGCCTATCCCAAAACCTATAAGAACCAATGATAATCCCACCACCCTTTGCTGACTCCTTTTTCAGACTCAGCTCGCCTGCACCCAGGTGAAATAAACAGCCATGTTGCTCACACAAAGCCTGTTTGGTGGTCTCTTCACACGGACACATGAGACAAATCACTTGAACCCAGGAAGCGGAGGTTTCAATGAGCCAAGATTGCACCATCGCACCATTGCACTCCAGCTTGGGCAACAAGAGTGAAACTCTTCTCGAAAAACAAACAAACAAACAAAAGGTTCTTTTGAAGTCTTATAGTGGCTGCTGGTTAGAGATAATAGATGACAAATTATTTCCTATTTAGATCTTTAAAAGGTGCTAGACTTTTAGTTAATTTCTTTAGGATTGGGAGGGCCTGGAATAAAAGATCTAGCTATGTTAATAGAGATTCTTTACAGATGCAAAATTTCCCCCACAAAGCACAGCTTTGCAGGGCCATTTCACGATATAGCAAAGAAACATGTTTTGGGTAAAATATTTTGATTTTCTTCCTTGTCTCATAATGTTATGCCAGAGTCAGGTTGGAAAGCAAGTAACAATATATACAGTCAAATAAAACCCATCTGATGAGAATTTATTATTTGTAGGGCATGACTCCCCAGACTCATTAGATAGGAATTTGGGCAAGATAAAAAAAATCAGAGTTTAGTCCTCAAAAGGATTTTCTTAAAAAGTGCTTAGCTTAATTAAAAGTGGATATCCAAGCTATAGGTACATTTAAAAGGGCTTTATGTTTTTCTCTTTCTGGATCTTGTTTTTCTAGAAAAAGTTTTTTTTTCTTCTCAGTCGATTGAATTCTTTTTCTCCATTTTGTCTTGGCACTCTTAATGCATGCATGAGAGGCCCTAAGTTATAATTTCAGATGGCCTGGGACTTCTTGGGAAAAACAGAAAAGGCGCCACTGATTCCATTTTGGGTGAAACCTCTGTTTTCCTCATGGAACTCCAGGAATTAGAAGTTGATAGGTCCCTCTCAAAATCTATTTTTTGTCTTCCAGCTATACCTGATTATTAAGCCTTAGAAACTGCATGGTTTCCTAGACTATCTCTTAAAAGGCTCCACCCTGAGGCCAATAATCCAATTAGGAGAATGGCAAATAAAAAATCTTACAATTACTGGATCTTTTACTGTCTGTTTGTGTAGTTATGTATGTGTTATATGTGTGTGAAGTTTACATAAAAGAGCCCTAGGCTGGGCCCAGTGGCTCATGCCTGTAATCCCAGTACTTTGGAAAGCTGAGGTGAGTGGAACACCTGAGATCAGGAGTTTGAGACCAGCCTGGCCAACATGGTGAAACCCCATCTCTACTAAAAATACAAAACGTAGCTGGGTGTGGTGGTGGGCACCTGTAATCCTAGCTACTCAGGAGGCTGAGGCTGGAGAATCACTTGAACCCAGGAGGTGGAGGTTGCAGTTAGCCAAGATCACGCTATTGCACTCCAGCCTGGGCAACAAGAGCAAGACTCTGTCTCAAAAAAGAAGAAGGAAAAAAAAAAGAACTAGTTAATTGGCCTAAAGAAAAATAAGCACTTATGGTCAGGCATGGTGGCTCATGCCTGTAATCCCAGGACTTTGGGAGGCTGAGGTGGGCGGTTCATGAGGCCAGGAGATCAAGACCATCCTGGCTAACATGGTGAAACCCCATCTCTACTAAAAATACAAAAAAATTAGCTGGGTGTGGTGGCAGGTGCCTGTAGTCCCAGCTACTTGGGAGGCTGAGGCAGGAGAATGGCATGAACCCAGGAGGTGGAGCTTGCAGTGAGCCGAGATCACACCACTGCACTCCAGCCAGGGCAACACAGCGAGACTCCATCTCAAAAAAAAAAAAAAAAGAAAAGAAAAAGAAAAAAGAAAAATAAGCTGGGCGCGGTGGCTCACGCCTGTAATCCCAGCACTTTGGGAGGCCGAGGCGGGCGGATCACGAGGTCAGGAGATTAAGACCATCCTGGCTAACACGGTGAAACCCCATCTCTACTAAAAAAATACAAAAAATTAGCCAGGCGGGGTGGCGGGCGCCTGTAGTCCCAGCTACTCAGGAGGCTGAGGCAGGAGAATGGTGTGAACCTGGGAGGCGGAGCTTGCAGTGAGCCGAGATCATGCCACTGCCCTCCAGCCTGGGCAACAGAGCAAGACTCTGTCTCAAAAAAAAAAAGAAAAGAAAAGAAAAGAAAAATAAGCACTTAAATAAAATTTTTTTTGAAGGAGAAGTAAAAGCTGTGAAGGTTTTTACTTCACATGACTTTAATCTTTGAGAAATAAAAACAGTCTTAAAGATTACTGGTAAAATGCAACTGTCATCAAAATGTAAATAGGTGATCTAAATTCTGCAGATCAGATACTAGGTTTGCTATATGTTTTAAGGTTATAAACTGCTTCTTTGGCTTTCGAGAACTGTTTGATTTGCCTGCTTTACAATTGCTAAGGCCTAGGTACATATGGAATTAATCACGCCCTTAACTATGCAGGAAGGAGTCAAACTTTGTTGATGCTAGTGCATAATTAAAACAGCTCACTGGATTTTACATTACAGTTAAAAATTGCTAAGAGTTACCATTAAATCATGTAACTGAGACCACTGAAAATGGATTTATATGCAAGGTGTGTAAAAACAGTGAAATGTGATTTTAGTAAAAGTTTATAAGAAGGCATGGAAGTGTAAATTTTGGCCTAGGGTTAAAGAATTGTTTTAAACTAGATAAGAAAAAGCTAAAGGTTTAACAAGTTGTGGAAGGTTTCTAAAAATTAATCTTGCAAAAGAAATTCTATGTGTTAACACTAACTAAATTCAAAACGGTCTTATATTGGGTTTTCTGTAAATTGAGCATTAAAATAAAAGCACAAGTTTTTCTTAAGGCACTAATTTGCTTTTTAGCAAAATTTGTAAAGGGTTATAAAAGGATTATAAGAATCTCACCTCATGGTCCAACCAGTTAAGATTGGATAGAATTGTCTATAAAGTTTCATTAGAAAATTGGGGTTGACATTAATAGTAAGCTAATGGAAGGGTAAAATTTGGCTTTCTCTCCCTTGTACAAGATTCTCATGTAATAATGAAGGATAAGGAAAGATTTTAGTTTCCCTTGTGGATAGGCTGCCAAGAAAGAGAAAGAGAAGACAGGAGACAAATTGTTTGGAAAGCTAAGTCTTCACGCTTAATAAGTGAAGTTTTTTGCCTTTTAAAAAATGGTTGAGTCACTGGGCACAGTGGCTCACACCTGTAATTCCAGCACTTTGGGAGGCCAAGGCGGGCAGATCACCTGAGTTCAAGAGTTCGAGACCAGCCTGGCCAACATGGCGCAATCCCATCTGTACTAAAAATACAAAAATTAGCCGGGTGTGGTGGCAGGCATCTGTAATCCCAGCTGCGTGGGAGGCTGAGGTAGGAGAATCGCTTATAGCCAGGAGGCGGAGGTTGCAGTGAGCCGAGATCATGCCACTGCACTCTAGCCTGGGCAACAGAGTGAGACTCCATCTCAAAAAAAACAAAAAAAAGAAATATGTGACTGGGCGCGGTGGCTCATGCCTGTAATCCCAGCACTTTGTGAGGCCAAGGCAGGCAGATCACAAGGTCAGGTGTTCGAGACCAGCCTAACATAGTGAAACCCCGTCTCTACTAAAAATACAAAAATTAGCCAGGCATGGTGGCACGCGCCTGTAATCCCAGCTACTCAGGAGGCTGAGGCAGGAGAATCACTTGAACCCAGGAGGTGGAGGTTGTGGTGAGCCAAGATCACACTACCGTACTCCAGGCTGGGTGACAGAGGAAGATGCCATCTCAAAAAAAAAAAAAGAAAAAAGAAAAGAGTTTGAGTCATCATTTTGGTAAAATAAATAACTTGGTAATCTAGAATTGCATTTTATAATTTCAAGTGTTTTAAACCTCTAACTTATTAAACAGGTTTCCCAAAATCAGTTTTGAAATTTTCTTTCCTGGCCCCTAGCTTTTGGATGCTACGGAGGGCCCCTGAAGCATCCAGAAGAGAGGTAAACAGGATTATTTGACATGTTTAGATATGTGGGATTGCCAAAATGATGTTTAATCTTCTTCAGGTTATATTTTAGAGAAGAATATTAATAAATGTTCCAAAATTTTATGGGATGCCTAAAATTCTAACATCTGAGTTCTGAGTTTATGCTCTCAATCATAATTAAGGTTATTATGTTGAGTTATTGTAAACCACAGAGATAACCAAATTTCTCTGCCAATCATATTTTTAACTGTAACTACCCTGGACATCTTGTTATTCACAGACAATTCTTGTCTTGTTTTGATCCTTTTCAAAAGATGGTTTATAATCAGCTATAGAACTTTGGTGCTCTAAAATGCAGATTTCTGATAACTTTGGAGATTGTGACACTGGAATAAAGGAAAAATGTACAGAACTTATGAAGAGTTGAAATGTTTATGAATATCAAGCAGAATAAGAGTTAATGGACTGAATTGAACAAACAGAAAACTGAAGTAATCTTTTTGTTTGTTTGTTTACTTTTGCTTAAAACATTGCTGATCCTTGTTTTGTTTTTCAGAGTCAAGGAAACTTATTTTGGGCTATTTATAGCCTTTAATAATCGAGTAAGTTAACTCCTGTGAACAAAATTTGGAGCCTATTTGTTTCTCTCTGCCTGGCTTCTCTAAAATTTGGAAACTAGTTGTAAGTATTCTTAACTTATGGCAGTATGGTTATTTGCATTAGTGCAAAAAGAATGCATTTTCTTTTGCAAGAGAACACAATTGGAGAAACTGGTTGTTTTACCAAGGCTTTGACTGGAAGCGTGTGCTTCCCTTTAAGGAATCAAGCTTGACTTGCAGAGCCGATTAAAGCCCCTTGGGAAAACTGGCCTCATACCATGTCTACACTGTCCCCACACAGGGTTCCTAACTTGTGGTGAATAAGAATGTCACTTTCTGGCCCCAGAGAATCTATAATACACCCCACAAGCATTTATACCAGATGTTTTTGTGCAGATAAGGGAACATGCACAGGGTCTTGCCTGATCATGCCCACAGTAGACTGGAGGCCCACATCCACTGGGGGATTGGGTTGGAGCCACAAGAAATTCATGCCTTATGCAGGAGAGGAGGCTAACCTCTTCAGCTCATGTGTGGTGGCCTGGTATTCAATCTTTGAGGTGGGAGCCTGCTGACGGGACTCCTCTCTTTGCTGAGAGCTCCCCTTTTGCTTAATAAATTCCATCCTCCCCACCCTTCAGTGCATCTGTGTGCCTAATTCTTCCTGATCCTGAGACAAGAACCCAGATTTAGCTGAGCTAAGAAGCAAAAAATGCTGCATCAGTAATTAGGCATCAGCTGGGCAGGGGAGGGCTCTCCCCCTACCCACTATAAATGTCTGGTGATGTTTCAGCAATTATCTCATTGCCTCTCTAAAAGTGATAATTTGGCAGCACCAGGGAGAGGCCGTTTCCTGATGGTCTACACCTGTTAATATCAAAATGTGAATTGAATGCAGGCCCCAGCAAGAAACAGCTTCCTGGGCATGCATATTAAGAGACAGAAATGGCAAAGTATGATCTTCTGGGTACACTACACCAGATAAAGGAAGAAAGCCTCAGATAGGCATGTGTATAACTCCCTAAATACACTGTGTGTGCTCACTTCCCAAGGGTAAGGAGGGTTCTGCGCATGTGGGCAGCTCATCCTAAGGGAAGAATCATGGGAAAGAGGCGAGGTTGTAAAAGTCCTAGGATCGGCTAGGTGCGGTGGCTCATGCCTGTAATCGCGGCACTTTGGGAGGCTGAGGCGGGCGGATCACAAGGTCAGGAGATCGAGACCATCCAGGCTAACATGGTGAAACCCTGTCTCCACTAAAAAATACAAAAAATTAGCCAGGCATGGTGGCGGGTGCCTGTAGTCCCAGCTACTCGGGAGGCTGAGGCAGGAGAATGGCGTGAACCCAGGAGGTGGAGCTTGCAGTGAGCCGAGATCGCGCCACTGCACTCCAGCCTGGGTGGCAGAGCGAGACTCTGTCTCAAAAAAAAAAAGTCCTAGGATCACGGTTAAACAGGGCACTTGACCTTCTCTCTTTAACCTTCACATCCCTGCTTGGATCTTTTCCAAGTGCACCTTCCTTTCTTTCCTGTTCTAAAGCTTTTTTTTTTTTTTTTTTTTGAGGCGGAGTTTCGCTCTTGTTGCCCAGGCTAGAGTGCAATGGCACGATCTCGGCCCACCACAACCTCTGCCTCTCAGGTTGAAGCAATTCTCGTTCCTCAGCCTCCTGAGTAGCTGGGATTACAGGCATGTGCCACCATGCCTGGCTAATTTTGTATTTTTAGTAGAGACAGGGTTTCTCCATGTTAGTCAGGGTGGTCTCAAACTCCCGACCTCAGGTGATCCGCCCACCTCGGTGTCCCAAAGCACTGGGATTATAGGCGTGAGCCACCATGACTGACCTCTAAGGCCTTTTTAAATAAACTTCTATTCCTGCTCTGGAACTTGCCCTGGTCTCTTTTTCTGCCTTATGCCCCTCAGTCGAATTTTTTCTTCTGAGGAGGCAAGGACTGAACTTGCTATGGACCCACAAGGATATGCCACCAGTAACTTTGGGCATCTTGGATCTCTTCCACCAGTAACTGCCTATGAGCATGACTTCCTCCAGGCTCCTCAAGAAGAAATTCAGAACAAAGAATGGCAGTCAGCCAGCCTGGGCAACATGGCAAAACTCTGTCTCCACAAAAAATACACAAAAAATTCAGCCAGTCATGGTGTTGCACACCTGTTAGTCCCAGCTAAGGGAGCCTGAGCTGTGATTATCTTCTGAGCCCCGAAGAGTAAGGCTGCAGTGAGCCTTGATCACATGACTGCACTCCAGCCTGGGCAACAGAGTGAGACTCTGTCTCAAAAAAAAAAAAAAAAATAGTGGTCATCATTCAGTTCTCAATTCCCCCATATCTGAGGTCTAGGTGCCAGTGGACAGCATTTTCCATTTGGTGGGGATCTGGATTTCTGAAAACAACCCAGAAACATATGTTAAGATGTTATCTTTTGGCCAGGTGCAGTGGTTTATGCATGTAATCCCAGCATTTTGGAAGGCTGAGGCAGGAGGATCATCCTGGAGATTGAGACCATCCTGGCCAACATGGTGAAACCCCATGTCTACTAAAATACAAAAAAATTAGTCGGGCATGGTGGCACACAACTGTAGTCCCAGCTACTCAGGAGGCTGAGGCAGGGGAATTGCTTGAACCAAGGAAGTGGAGGCTGCAGTGAGCCAAGATCACACCATTGCACTCCAGCCTGGGCAACAAGAGAGAATCTCCAGTTTCAAAAAAAAAAAAAAAAATTAAATCTACTAACCTTTTTGACTTAGTAACTATCCCACTCCAAAGGCAAGAGAACAAAAACAAAGAACAACAACAACAAAAAAAACAAACTATCCTAAATAAAATATTCATAAAAGATAGGCCCTCAGATAAAGTAGACTTCCCTTTTTTTCAGACCTATCCATATTTAGACCAGACATAGAGAATACTTTATTTGCCCTATTCCTTTCCACTCTAAACTCAATAATTTTAGCTAAAAAACAATAACGAAGTTAAAAACACCACCTATTAAACCAAACCAGTCTCCAAAATACACCTTTCTGACATTTAACTATTTTAAAACCCTTTTATTTAAAAAATGTATGGCCATGCACAGTGGCTTATGTCTATAATCATATCACTTTGAGAAGCCAAGGTGAGAGGATCACTTGAGATCAGGAGTTTGAGAGCACCTTGGACAACATAGTGAGACCCCATCACTACAAAAAAAATTTTTAAATAGCTGGGCATGGTTTCGTGTCCCAGCTACTTGGGAGGCTGAGGCAGGATTGTTTGAGCAGTCAGCTATGTTGCGCCACTGCACTCCAGCCTGAGTGACAGAATGTAACCCTGTCTCAAAAAAAATAAAAAATGAATGGCCCCGTAAACAACAGTAACTAAAAGGCCCATGTTCCTAATAATAAAATTTCATGACTGGGAGCAGTGGGTCACACCTGTAATCCCAGCACTTTGGGAGGCCAAGGTGGGCAGATCATGAGGTCAGGAGATCCAGACCATCCTGGCTAACACGGTGAAACCCCGTTTCTACTAAAAAATACAAAAAATTAGCCGGGCGTGGTGGTGGCACCTGCAGTCCCAGCTACTCGGGAGGCTGAGGCAGGAGAATGGCGTGAACCCAGGAGGCGGAGCTTGCAGTGAGCCGAGATCGCACCACTGCACTCCAGCCTGGGTGACAGAGTGAGACTCTGTCTCAAAAACAAACAAACAAACAAACAAAAAAAAACAAGACAAACTTCATATAGCTTCCACTGTTAAACTCTATTATGACTAAATACTACAAGACTTTAGTACATTATACCAAAATATATTTTCACCAAAAAAAACCTTTTCATAGTCCACTAAAAACCATCAAACCCTTCCTAATCTGAAACCCCAAAATTGGGTCTTCTACAGATGATATCAAAAAAAGACTACTCTTATCATTCACACTGCAACAAAACTTCAGGACCTCAAAATTTAAGTTCATAATATTACAACTCAGAAGGGCCCTTCCAGACTCTTTTTTTTTTTTTTTCGAGATGGAGTTTCACTCTTGTTGCCCAGGCTAGAGTGCAATTGTGTCCAGAATTGGTGGGTTCTTGGTCTCACTGACTTCAAGAATGAAGCCACAGACGCTCGCAGCGAGTGTCACAGTTCTTAAAGGTGGTGTGTCCAGAGTTTATTCCTTCTGATGTTCGGCTGTTTTCCTGAGTTTCTTCCTTCTGGTGGGTTTGTGGTCTTGCTGGCTCAGGAGTGAAGCTGCAGACCTTCGCGGTGTTACAGCTCTTAAGGCAGCGCATCTGGAGTTGTTTGTTCCTCCTGGTGGGTTCGTGGTCTCGCTGGCTTCAGGAGTGAAGCTGCAGACCTTCGCGGTGAGTGTTACAGCTCATAAAGGCAGTGTGGACCCAAAGAGTGAGCAGCAGCAAGATTTATTGCAAAGAGCGAAAGAACAAAGCTTCCACAGTGTGGAAGGGGACCCAAGCGGGTTGCCACTGCTGGCTCAGGCAGCCTGCTTTTCTTCTCTTATCTGGCCCCACCCACATCCTGCTGATTGGTCCATTTTACAGAAAGTCAGTCTGTTTTACAGAGAGCTATTGGTCCATTTTGACAGGGTTCTGATTGGTGCATTTACAATCCCTGAGTTAGACACAAAAGTTCTCCACGTCCCCACTAGATTAGCTAGATAGAGTGTCGATTGGTGTATTTACAAACACTGAGCTAGACATAGAGTGCTGATTGGTCCATTTACAAACCTTGAGCTAGATACAGAGTGCCGATTGGTGCATTCACAATCCCTTAGCTAGACATAAAGATTCTCCAAGTCCCCACCAGATTAACTAGATACAGAGTGCTGATTGGTGCATTCACAAACCCTGAGCTAGACACAGGGTTCTGATTGGTGTGTTTACAAACCTTGAGCTAGATACAGAGTGCTGATTGGTGTATTTACAATCCCTTAGCTAGACATAAAGATTCTCCAACTCCCCACCAGATTAACTAGATACAGAGTGCCGATTGGTGCATTGACAAACCCTGAGCTAGACACAGGGTGCTGATTGGTGTATTTACAATCCTTGAGCTAGATACAGAGTGCTGATTGGTGTATTTACAATCCCTTAGCTAGACATAAAAATTCTCCAAGTCCCCACCAGACTCAGGAGCCCAGCTGGCTTCCTGCACTGGGGCCGCAGGTGGAGCTGCCTGCCAGTCCCGCACCATGCACCTGCACTCCTCAGCCCTTGGGCGGTCGATGGGACCAGGCACCGGGGAGCAGGGGGCAGTGCTCGTCGGGGAGGCTTGGGCCACGCAGGAGCCCACGGCGGCAGCAGGGGAGACTCAGGCATGGTGGGCTGCAGGTCCCAAGGCCTGCCCTGCGGGGAGGCAGCTAAGGCCTGGCGAGAAATCGAGTGCAGTGCTGGTGGGGTGGGCCAGCACTGCTGGGAGACTCAGCGCACCATCCACAGCTGCTGGCCTGGGTGCTAAGCCCCTCACTGCCTGGGGCCAGCAGGGCAGGCCAGCCGCTCCGAGTCTGGGGCCCGCCAAGCCCACAACCACCCGGAACTCACGCTGGCCCGCAAGCGCCGCATGCAGCCCCAGTTCCCGCCTGCGCCTCTCCCTCCACACTTCCCCACAAGCTGAGTGAGCTGGCTCTGGCCTTGGCCAGTGTTCCCACAGTGCAGTGGCAGGCTGAAGGGCTCCTTAAGCATGGCCAGAGTGGGCGCCAAGGCCGAGGAGGAGCCAAGAGTGAGCGAGGGCTGCGAGGGCTGCCAGCACACTGCCACCTCTCAATCCCCCCTCTAAACAGGACACCCCAACTGCTGTTGGGAATTTGGCCGATGACTGCTCTAGCTACTTCCTGCTGGATAGAAGTGAAGAAGGGGCCCTGCAGTTGTAGTGTCCTCCAAGGGGGAACTCTCTAGGCCAGTGGAAGTGCCAGCGGGTCGGTCCAGGGGTCCTCGGTAGAAGTTGTTAGTTGAACTCATTTGGGGTTCCATTTGTAAGACCATCTGTAGCTTGATGGCTTCGATTCTAGAGGAAACAAATTTGACAAGAAGGTTAAAAATACAGGGCCCAAAGGCAAGTAACAGCAAGATGGCTGCCACGGGACCTAGAAAGGGGAGAAACCATGTTGCCCAACTCCAGAGGTTGGTATAAGAGTTTGAAAGGTGTGGTCTGATTTCAGAAGCCTTTTCCTGTAAATGTCGGGTGGCATCTCATACCATCCCCGACTGGTTAGTGTAAAAACAACACTCTTCCCCTAAGAAGGTGCAGAGTCCTCCTTTCTCAGCAGTGAGGAGGTCTAGGCATCGGCAGTTTTGTAGAGTCACTGCTGCCAAAGAGTCTATTTGGGATTGTAAAGTAAGAATAGATTTCGTTATTTCTTGCAAACTGTCTGAGAAATCCTTTGAGAGTGTGTGGTAGTAGGATAATGAAGCAGATAAACTGGCTATTCCAGTTCCTGTAGCAGTAGCCATTCCTAACCCTATAAGTAGGTGTATTAGTTGTATGGCTCTGCACTGATGGACTTGAGCTTTGAGGGGTACTGATAAGGTCTGATTTCCTGGGGCAATGTTAATGTTGGGACTTAGAAAGACTAAGGTGCAGGTGTCTGTCCAGTTAGTGGAGAGGCAGATATAGGTCGATGTTCCACATAAGAAAAATATGCCTTGGCTGGGTAGACAGAAATTTACCCTGGCTTTTAAAGGAATGGGATACACTGTTTTTTCTTTACTACTTCCATCTCTCTTTCTCTTTGACTTCTTCTTTGTCTCTTCCTCTCTTTCTGACTCTCTGACTTTCTGTGTCTGTCCCTCTTTCTCTCTGACTCCTTCTCTTCGTCTCTTTCTCTTCAACTCTCTGTTTCTTCCTCTCTGTTTCTTTTTCTGTCTCCTTCTCTTTGACTCTCTGTTTCTGTCTCTCTGTTTCTGTCTCTCTGTCTCTTCTTCTCTGTCTCTTTCTTTGACTTCCTGTCTCTTTCTCTCTTTCCTTGCTGCCTCTGCCAGCTGCTTATGCTGCTGTTCTCCCCTCTCCTTCCCATTTTGATGGCTTTGGCAGTGTAAGACTCCCACCTCTTTGGGTTTTTGCACTGTGTGCAATAACCCTATAATTTCCTTGTGGTATTTAATGGGGGTTCACCCAGAGGTTAGGAACTCCCTGTCTTTCCATATTGCAGCATGGGCATGTAGGATTAGATAAGCATACTTGCTATCTGTATACACATTTATTCTTTTTCCCTTTCCCAGTTCTAAGGCTCGGGTAAGTGCCACTAGTTCTGCTAACTGGGCACTGGTCCCTGGGGGAAGAGGCTTACTTTCAAGTATGGTTACCTCACTAACTATGGCGTAACCTGCCCTTCATATCCCATTCTCCACAAATTAACTTCCATCAGTATATAGGTTAAGGTCAGGATTAGTTAAGGGGAATGCTAAGAGATCATCTCAGGTGGCAGAAGTTTGGACTATAATTTGTTGGCAGTCATGCTCGATTGGTTCCCCATCCTCTGGGAGAAAAGTGGCAGGGTTGAGGGCCACGCATATGCATATTTGAAGCACCGGTCCCTTAAGGAGTAGCGCCTGGTATCTAAGTAGGCAGTTGTCTGATAGCCATAACTTCCTTTGGCACCTAGTAGGCCATTTACATCATGAGTAGTCCAGACAGTGAGATCCTTTCCTTGTATTATTTTGATAGCCTCTGACACTAAGATGGCCACTGCTGCAACTACCCTTAAACAGTGAGGCCAGCCTTTTGCTACCATGTCAATTTCCTTACTTAGGTATGCCACTGGTTGTGGGGTTGTACCGTGAGTCTGAGTAAGGACTCCAAGAGCTATCCCAGCTCTCTCTGTGACGTATAAAGAGAAGTTTTGTCCTGTGGGAAGGCTTAAAGCTGGAGCTCGTACTAGGGCCTGCTTTAAGGTTTTAAAGGCTGTTTCTGCCTCTGGTTCCCATTCTACTAGATGAGTATTTGCCTTCTGGGTTTCCTTGATTAGAGTATACAGGGGCCTGGCTATCTCCCTGCATCCAGGGATCCATACTCGGCAAAAGCAGGTAATTCCAAAGAACCCCCGCAACTGTTTTAATGTTTTAGGGCAAGGATAAGCCAGTATAGGCTGTATTTATTCCTTGCTGAGGGTCCTGGTCCCTCTGGCTAAGACTAGGCCTAGATATTTGACCTGATATAGGCAAAGCTGGGCCTTCGACCTAGACACCTTGTACCCTTGATTAGCTAGAAAGTTCAAGAGATCTAGAGTAGCCTGCTGGCACGAGGCTTCCGAACTGGTAGCCAAAAGTAAATCATCCACATATTGAAGGACCAGAGTGCCTGGACTTGAGAAGTGGCCTAGATCTTGGGCCAGTGCCTGACCAAACAGATGAGGGCTATCCCTAAACCCTTGGGGCAAGACCATCCACGTAAGTTGGGACATGTGGTCTGTGGGATCCTCAAAGGCAAAGAGGAACTGGGAGTCAGAGTGCAGGGGAATACAGAAGAAGTCATCCCTGAGGTCCAGAACCGTGAACCATTCTGCTTCCTCTGGTATTTGAGAGAGCAGGGTATAGGGGGTTGGGTACAACTGGATATAGAGGAATTACTGCCTCATTGACGAGTCTAAGATCTTGCACTAGTCTCCACTGACCATTTGGTTTTTGTACTCCTAGAATTGGGATGTTGCAGCGACTGCTGTATTTCCTTCCTAAGCCTTGAGCTTTTAAATGTTTAACAATATTCTGTAATCCTTTATGAGCTTCAGGCCTTAAGGGATATTGCCTTTGATAAGGAAAAGTGGTGGGATCTTTTAACCTGATTTGGATTGGGCAGGCATTTCTTGCCCTTCCAAATTGTCCTTCCAATGCCCAGACTTCGGGGTTGATTCCCTCCTCAAGTAGGGGACAACAAATGGGTAACTTGTTCCCCATATTCATGTAGATAATAGCTCCAGCCTTGGCTAATATATCCCTCCCTAATAAGGGTGTGGGAATTTCAGGCATAACTAGAAAGGCACGTGAAAAGAGCAAAGTCTCCCAATTACAGCTGAGGAGGTGGGAGAAATACCTGGTTACAGGCTGTCCCAGGATTCCTCAGATGGTAACGGACCTTGAGGACAGTCGTCCAGGACAGGAGATTAACACTGAGAAGGCCACGCCAGTGTCCAGGAGGAAGTCAATTTCCTGGCCCTCAATAGTTAAACATATCAGGGGCTCAGTGAGGGTGATGACATGAGCTGGCGCTTGCCCCGGGCACCCTCAGTCCTATTGTTGGATCATCTGGTTGGGGGCTTCTGACCCAGAGAACCTTCATCCTCTGGGGCAGTGCACCTTCCAGTGATTGCCTTGGCATAGTGGACATGGATGAGGGGGCAGCTTGTTTCTCATTGGACAATCTTTTTTAAAGTGTCCTAGTAAACCATACTGGTAACAAGTCTTACCGGGTGTTTGGCCTGCTCCATTTTCTGTCCTCTCTGAACCACCAAGGTTTGTTGGTCTGAGGGCCATGACTAAGGCTGCGGCCTTTCTCTGATCTCGCTTTTCCTTTTGGGCCTGTTCCTCTTGGTCCCTATTATAAAACACTGAGGTTGCCAGGTTTAATAATGCCTCTAGGTTTTGTTCAGGACCCAGGGCTTGCTTTTGGAGCTTTCTCCTGATATCTGTGGCTGATTGGGTAATAAACTTATCTTTTAGAATCAATTGACCCTCAAGTGATTCGGGTGACAGGGGAGTATATTTTCTTAAGGCCTCTCGTAGCCGCTTGAGGAAGGCAGAAAGATTTTCTTCCTTTCCCTGAGTTATGGTGGACATCACTGAATAATTCATGGGCTTTTTTCTAATTCTCCTTGGTCCTTCTAGAACACAGGTCAACAGATGTTTACGACTCCAGTCCCCATGATCTGCATCAAGGTCCCAGTGGGGATCCATAGTGGGGATGGCTTGCTGACTGGTAGGGAATTTGTCCCTTTCTTCAGCTGTCATTCTATCATTTACTGACTTAAGATACCAGGTATCTCCAAACTCTCAGTCTGCAGCTAAAGCCGCATTCTTTTCATTAAAGGCCAGGGTTTGATCTAACAGTAGCATGACATCTCTCCAAGTGAGGTCAAAGGTTTGCCCTAGACCCTGTAGGACATCTATGTACCTATCAGGATCATCTGAAAACTTCCCCAGGTCTGCCTTGATCTGTTTTAAATCAGAGAGGGAGAAGGGGACATGTACCCGGGTTGGGCCAAATTCCCCTCCCTGTACAGCTTGAAGGGGCCATAACCAATAGCCCAGGGGTTTTTGTGGTCCTTTGGAGATTTCTTTGCTTATTTCCTTCTGGGCAGGGGAGATTAGAGGAGGCTTATCATTAATAGGAAGGGGAGCTATAGGGAGGCTAGGATATGGGGGTAAGCTGAGAGGTCCTCCTGTGGGATGTAAATTGTAAGCTTTGCATAGTTGTGTATTCTCCCTCAATGAAAAGAAAGCTTGGACATAAGGTATTTCACTCCATTTGCTTTCCCTCTTACAGAAAAGGTCAAGCTGCAGGATAGTATTGTAATTTGTACTTCCCTTAGGTGGCCATTTTTCCCCATCAGAGAGAGAATATTGGGGCCAAGCCGTAGTGCAGGAAAAAATGAGCCACCTCTTCTTCAGGGTTTGTGGGTCAAATTGGTCCCAGTGGCTTAGTATGCATTTCAAGTGTGAGCCTGTTGATGCCTGAGTGTTTCCCATCTGAAAGACAAAACCGCCTGCAGTTTTGGTTTTTTTTTTTGTTTCTCCCCCTGCCCAAGAACCCTCAATGGTCCCTGGCCCCTGCTGATCTGAATAGTTGCGCTCACTGACGCAGCAGCAGAAACAACCCCTGTCCAAGAACCCGCAACAGTCCCTGGACCCTGCTGATCGGAATAGTTGCCCTCACCGACGCAGCAGCAGAAACGCTAGTTTTCCTCCCAGACCACATGGAGGACCGAGGAAGGTCAGATTTAGTGTCCCTTACTGACGCATTCTCGAAAACCTGCACGCTTGCATGTCCTCCTGGACCACAAGGAGGCCTGACCAAGAAAAATCGGATTTAGTGGCCCTTACCGACGCATTCTTGAAAACCTGTTAGAGTCCTAAGCATTGTCCTGTTAGTACTGGGGCTTTACCCCTCTCCTATAAAGATGTTATGCCCCAAAAATGAAGTGGAGGGCCATACCCTGTGGGAGGGAAGGGATCTCCAGGGTTGGAAGAGTGACGCCTTTTGTCCTCACTTATGTGAATAGGAAGGATACAATTTCTGAGGCTCCCCATATCCTAGCTTCAGGAATAGCTTTTGTTAGGCCTATTAGTCTGAGGAGGGATCCTAAAATTCCAGGTAGTCCCCACTATGACGGGCTTTGGGCAAAAATTATGTCTTTCTGATTGGGGAGCCCAGGTGCCTAAAGAAGGTAACAGAGTCCTGGAGTTTATACTAGAAATCATTCTTATAGGAGAAATGAGAAAAGCACCAGAGACAGGTAGCAATTTTTAGAAGTGGGACTAACCTCAGAGAAGAGAGGTGAGAGGAAGTTTGTCTGGCAGGCATTAGGACCCAGGGGGCAAGAGTCAGGATAGATAGGATAGATGGGCGAGTCTCGCTTGGGCGACATGCCTTTGAGAGTTCTGCTCATGGCCCCAGGGTCAACCAACTTGTTGTCAGGACCCTGGAGTTGCATACTTTCCTCTCTGTCTACCCTCGGCTCAGCCCAGAAGTACAGGAAAAGCGGAAGCTGGTTTTAGGCAAACCAACGCTCCCAACTCCGAAGAGTCAGGGGTTGTTAGAGAGCCCTTTCTCAGAAAGCCTGACACCCATGTCTTTAGTCCGGCGGCCGCGCTAGTCACTTTTAACTGGCTGACAGATGCCCAGTATTTAGCCCCCAAATTCTAAGGAAAAATAGGACAGAATAGCAAGCGAAAGGGGTCCGATGGTACTCACTGCTTGGCGATAGGCGATTGTTTTGCTGCTCAGCGATAGACGATGGTCTCACCACTTGGCGATAGTCTCACCGCTTGGCAATAGGTGATAGTCCCTTTGTGGTTGCCAAAATGTGTCTGGAATTGGTGGGTTCTTGGTCTCACTGACTTCAAGAATGAAGCCACGGACCCTCGTGGTGAGTGTCACAGTTCTTAAAGGCGGCATGTCCAGAGTTTGTTCCTTCTGATGTTTGGATGTGTTCAGAGTTTCTTCCTTCTGGTGGGTTCGTGGTCTTGCTGGCTTAGGACTGAAGCTGCAGACCTTCGCGGTGAGTGTTACAGCTCTTAAGGCAGCACATCTGGAGTTGTTTGTTCCTCCTGGTGGGTTCGTGGTCTCACTGGCTTCAGGAGTGAAGCTGCAGACCTTCGCGGTGAGTGTTACAGCTCGTAAAGGCAGTGTGGACCCAAAGAGTGAGCAGCAGCAAGATTTATTGCAAAGAGCTAAAGAACAAAGCTTCCACAGTGTGGAAGGGGACCCGAGCGGGTTGCCACTGCTGGCTCAGGCAGCCTGCTTTTCTTCTCTTATCTGGCCCCACCCACATCCTGCTGATTGGTCCATTTTACAGAGAGCCGCATGGTCTGTTTTGATAGGGCACTGATTGGTCCATTTTGACAGGGTGCTGATTGGTGCGTTTACACAATGGCACGAGCTCAGCTCACTGCAACCTCCACCTCCTGGGTTCAAGCACTTATCCTGCCTCAGTCTCCCAAGTAGCTGGGATTACAGGCATGTGCCACCACATCCGGCTAATTTTGTATTTTTAGTAGTGACAGGGTTTCTCCATGTTGGTCAGGCTGGTCTCGAACTCCTGACCTCAGGTGATCCACCCACATCAGCCTCCCAAAGTGCTGGGATTACAGGCATGAGCCACCACGCCTGGCCCAGACTCTTAAAACTATATACCCATTAGAGACCTAAAACTAACAAAAACAAAAAACCAACCAGAAAAAAAAAAAAAAAAAAAAAAAAAAAACTTTCTCTGAAAACAGACAACATCCTAGACATGGACAACTTTCCCAAGATCACAAATCAAGACTTCTCTACCATCATGAGACTCTTACCTCTTAATTTTTTCCTTACATATGCCTCTATAGACAATAAAAATAAATAAAAGTCTTATATGCACTCATAGAATATAGTTTTATTTATAAAAGATTTCAAAGCCAGTCTTCTAACAAACAACCTTGTGCCTTAATAAATTAAAAAATAGGCTGGGTGCAGTGGCTCATGCCTGTAATCCCAGCACTTTGGGAGGCCAAGGCAGGCAGATCACGAGGTTAGGAGGTCGAGACCATTCTGGCCAATATGGTGAAACCCCGTCTCTACTAAAATACAAAAAAATTAACCAGGCATGATGGCGGGCACCTATAGTCCCAGCTACTCAGGAGGCTGAGGCAGGGGCATCACTTGAACCCAGGAGGAGGAGGTTGCAGTGAGCCGAGATCGCACCACTGCACTCCAGCCTGGCAACAGAGCAAGACTCTGTCTCAAAAAAAAAAAATTAAACAATTAAAAAACCCCAATATAGATAACTGATGTTAATACCTTTATTACCTCATAATCAGTCAAAAACTTTAGTCCACTCCTCTTAACCAATATCATAAATTTAAAAAAAAACATTGCCAGGAGGCCTTCAGTCTTGTAGATACAGACATCATTTATTGTCTCTTTTTCCATAATTTAGAATAAATGAAGCAATGATTAGAAATTTATCCCTCATGGCCAGGCATGGTGGCTCACACCTGTAATCCAACACTTTGGGAGGCTGAGGCGTGTGGATCACATGGTTAGGAGTTCGAGACCAGCCTGGCCAAAATGGTAAAACCCTGTCTCTACTAAAAACACACACACACACAAAAAAACAAAAAAACCTGGGCATAGAGGTGCACGTCTGTAATCCCAGCTACTCAGGAGGCTGAGGCAGGAGAATCACTTGAACCCAGGAGGTGGAGGTTGCAGTGAGCCGAGATTGTGCCACTGCACTCCCGCCTGGCAACAGAGTGAGACTCTCTCAAAAAAAAAAAAAGGAAAAAAAAAGAAATTTATCCCTCATGGCCGGGCGCGGTGGCTCACACCTGTAATCCCAGCACTTTGGGAGGCCGAGGTGGGTGGATCTCCTGAGGTCAGGAGTTCAAGACCAGCCTGGCCAACATGGTGAAACCCCATCTCTACTGAAAAAAAATATACAAAAAATTAGCTGGGCATGGTGGCGGGTGCCTGTAATCCCAAAAACTCAGGAGGCTGAGGCAGGAGAATCACTTGAACCTGGAAGGCAGAGGTTGCAGTGAGCCAAGATTACACCATTGCACTCCAGCTTGGGCAACAAGAGCAAAACTCCATCTCAAAAAAAAAAAAGGCCGGGCATGATGGCTCACGCCTGTAATCCCAGCACTTTGGGAGGCTGAGGTGGGCGGATCACAAGGTCAGAAGATCGAGACCATCCTGGCTAACATGGTGAAACCCCGTCTCTACTAAAAACAGAAAAAAATTAGCTGGGTGTGCTGGCGGGCACCTGTAGTCCCAGCTACTCGGGAGGTTGAGGCAGGAGAAAGGCATGAACCCGGTAGGTGGAGCTTGCAGTGAGCCGAGATCGCTCCACTGCACTCCAGCCTGGGTGACAGAGCAAGACTCCGTCTCAACAAGTAAAAAAAAAAAAAAGAAAGAAAAAGGAAATTTATCCCTCATAGTAGACTCTATAGCTGACTCTACTGCAAAGGCCATGGCACAACAGACTTTAAGTTCTCTTGCTAAAGTTGTGCTAGATAACGGAATTGCTGTATATTACTTACTGAGATACAGAGAAGTATGTATCTCTGTATGCAGATACTTCTCTGTATCTGCATACAGAGAAGTATGTATCTCTGTATGCAGATACAGAGAAGTATCTGCAGTTGCTCACACTTCTTGTTGCACAGAGATGAACATATCAGGTATTATAGAGATTCAGTTACAGGGGATTAATAAACAAGCTGCTTGGTTAAAACAGCTTGATCTTTTATCTAGCTCTTTCTTTGATCTATTTGATTTTAGTTAGTTTAGTTCATGTTGACCCTGGCTAAGGGGCATACTCCAAAGTCTTGGTATTATCCTCTTGGTAATCTTAATAGTAGTCTCCTATGTGCACTAAGGACTTTCAAAAGTTTTAAATGTTTACATACAATCATCCATAAAATGTCCATAAAATTTAAATAAATAAAAATTCCAACATAATAAAAAAAAAGTATCCTCTACTCTAACGCTTACCAGAAAATAACCTAAAGTCCTTATTCGCACCTTACAAAACCCACTGTTGTACTATTTCCCAATGGGATTTGCGACCAGATAAGTACATTTACAATGGTCAGAAAGTAATGTCAATGTCTAGGATTTTGGTCAACCTCTCTATTTTGGTCAAGTTGAGAGGTTGAACAAAAGGGGAGAAATTGTTAAATTGAGTTTAGCCTAAAGTTGCCTCCTTATAAGTTCAGCCTAAAGGTTTCTCTGTACACAGTAAATTGTAACCTAACTGGATGTATAAATGGTCTATAACCTATTATAACAATCGCTGAGTTTTGGCTAATTACAGGAGGCCAACTGTTCAAATAATACACTCAACCAATCAAGCTGTTTTTATATCTCACTTCTGTTTTCCGTACATCACTGTCCTTTTTCTGTCCATAAATCTTCTTCCACCATGCAACAGTGTTGGAGTCTCTCTGAACATATTCTGGTTCGGGGTGGCTACCTGATTGACAAATCTTTTTTTTGCAAAATTAAACTCTTATATTTAATTTGTCTAAAGTTTTCTTTTAACACTATCCTTCTTTTATATTTTGGTCTCTTTATGACATTACTATTTAGCGCTGCTTGATACTTCTATTTTTTTTCCAGACAGGGTCTCATCTGTCACCCAGGCTAGAGTGGCATTATCATGGCTCACTGCAAGCCTTGACCTCCTGGTCTCAAGTGATCCTCCCACCTCAGCCTCTGGAGTAGCTGGGACCACAGGTGCAGGTCACCATGTCTGGCTAATTAAAAAAATTTTTTTGGCCAGGAGCGGTGGCTCATGCCTGTAATTCCAGCACTTTGGGAGGCTGAGGCAGGCAGATCACGAGGTCAGGAGATCGAGACCATCCTGGCTAACACAGTGAAACCCTGTCTCTATTAAAAATACAAAAAATTAGCCTGGTGTGGTGGCGGCCGTCTGTAGTCCCAGCTACTCGGGAGGCTGAGGCAGAAGAATGGTGCGAACCCCGGAGGCGCAGCTTGCAGTGAGCTGAGATCGCACCACTGCACTCCAGCCTGGGCAACAAAGCAAGACTCTGTCTCAAAAAAAATTTTTCTTTTGTAGAGGCAGGGGTCTCGCTCTGTTGCCCATGCTGGTCTCAAATTCCTAGCCTCAAGAGATCCTCCCCTCTTGGTCTCCCAAAATGTTGGGATTACAGTTGTGAGCAACCATGACCAGCCAACACTTTTATTTCTATCCTCCAGAACTCTAATTTTTTTTTTGTTTTTTGTTTTTCGTTGTTGTTGTTTGTTTTTCTAAGGACAGGGTCTCATCTTGTCATCCGGGCTAGGGTGCAGTGGCACAATCATAGCTTACTGTAGCCTCAAACTCCCAGGCTCAAGTGATCCTCCTGCCTCAGTCTCTCTCAAGTAGCTAGGACTACAGGAGCGTGCCATCATGCTCAACTAATTTTTTTTTTCTTGTAGAAGCGGGATCTTGCCATGTTGCCCAGGCTAGTCTCCCAATTGCTGGCCTTAAGCCATCCTCCCAAGCTTTAAGTCTTGGTCTCCCAAAGCGCTGGGATCATAGGCCTGAGACACTGCCCAGCCTGAGGCTCAATTTCTAAATATTTGACCCAGTACTTCCTTAGGGCACAGCCTGATTGAAAAATTGATGGTAGCTTGTACTTTTACACTCTCTCCAAAAACCAGAGAATTATCTTCCCCCAATTCCATTTCTCCAAATTTTCCAACAACTAATAGTAGGCCTGGCTAATCTGGTTATAGACTAGGTTATGCAAGTGAGGTGAGATCATGGAATGAAGACATATCTGAGACCCCCAATGAGACCAATGTTTCCCTTGACTATCCAATTGTTTGTGCAGATTTATTTGTAATAGTGGAATGGAGCTTCCTGAACTGATGGCCAATCTAATGTTTTCGCCTGGAATCAGAGAAATCTGGATTAGTCAAATAGCCCCGGTTTACCTGCTTACTGTGTGACCTTGCACTGTGTAATCTTTACACATTTTCACCTGAATTACCTCATCTCTAAAGTATGGCTTTATCAAATGAAATGTTTGCAAAAATGTTGTGTAAAGAGAAAAACATTCTCCAAGTTAATTTGTGGTTTTTTTTTTTGGAGACCGAGTGTTGCTCTGTCTTCTCCCGGGTTCAAGCCTTACTCCCGCCTCAGCCTCCTGAGTAGCTGGGATTACATGGGCGCGCCACCACATCCAGCTAATTTTTGTTATTTTTGGTAGAGACGGGGTTTCACCATGTTGGCCGGGATGGTCTCCTGACCTCAACTAATTCACCCGCCTCGGCCTCCCGAAGTGCTGGGATTACAGGCGTGAGCCTGTAAGTTAGTATCTAAATCACACAGGCGTTGAGACTATTTTTTTCTGGCTCAGTGCCACTGCTTTATTAGGCTGACATTTTAATCTATGTATTTTTGCACTTAAACTGGCAAGTTGGGGCGGGGCGCTCAGCATTTGGGTCTTATTCTTAGGCAGTAAGTTCGATGCAGGGCGAAGCCCGGGCCTTGACGTTCTCTTCAGCAAGGATTCCGCCCGTCAAGCGCCAGCAGCCGCTCCTAAGGAACTCTGATCCGCACACTGGCTCTGTAAGTCAGCCTCTGGCTCCTGCTTTCTATTTCATCTCTTCCGGTAAAAAGATTTCTGTCTTTTGGCCGCAGTGGCGCGTGCCCACGCTAGGTCGCTGAGGAAGACCCTTCGGGCCTTCTGAGCAGCGTAGCTGTTACTGTGGCACGTCCTAATGGTTCGGTCCAACTTCAGGAGACCGCCTGCCCTTAGGATGACCAACAGCTAGTTCAACTCAGGATAGCCAAGCTGCTCTCGGCAATGCAACCAATAGGGGAAGTCTTTCCAGAGCTCTTTCTCAGGAGCGTTGATTGGCTTATTCTCACGCCAATCAAGGTTTTCTGCACAACTGGCTTTTCTGTCACCAGATGGGGTGCAAACCGCTCACTCCCTCGGTAGAGAGGGCATAAAGCAGAGACGACCGGGAAATACCACAGAGGAGCAAATCACCTCCGGAAGTGGCGTTTTGGGTCGCTTTCTACCATGCAGTCCAATGAACTCTTTCTTTTGGCAACAAATTCCGTCTTCGAGCCCGCCCAAGGTGAAGAACATTTTGATTGGTTGTTTAGTCGGGGGACACAGAGACTCACGGGAGCTTCGTCCAAGCCCTTGCAGGTATTGCTCAGTTGGCCTGTCAATCATCTCGCTCGCTAGAAGGGGCGGAAACTGGCAGCCCTTTTGGCACCGCCTCTTCCTGGGCTGCTGTGCGGGGACGCAGCGAGGCCACCCCGGCTGGGAACAGCCGCGTGGGCGGGGCCGCATTGCACTCTCTGGACAGTTCCTGGGCCGCGAGGCGCGGGGAGTGGCCCTAAGCGCGGGGCTGTACGGGGAGGGCCGAGGCGTGGGGCGAACGCCGGGGCGGGGTCGGGGCGGGGCCGGGGGAGGCGGAAGCGGCGCGTGAACCTAAGTCGGAGTCGCGTTGAAGCCAGCGTCCGGCCGGCAGAGCGGCGTCGGCGGGGTTGGCCGGGGCGGTGTGGCGCTAGAGCCTGGGCGGGCCGGGGGCAAGGAGTCAAGGCTTGGGGGCGGGTGACGGGCGGGCGGAGGGCTTGCCCCCGTGTGGTCCTCGGAGCGGCCCGAGGTCCAGCCTCCCAGCGGTCCCGGAGGAGGATGCGACCGGGGGGCCCCGGGCGGGGCGGTCGGCGGCGGCTGCAGCGCTAGCGGCGCGGGGGCTGGGCGGCGGCGCCGGCATGAGGCGCAGGGCCGGTGTCCGCGGGAGGGTGGCGCTGCCGGCGGCCCGGCCGCTCCCGCTGCAATTGCTCGCTGGGCTCGTCGTGCCCTGCCAGTGGGGCCCCCGCAGCTCTCGTCCCGGCCGCCGCTGGTGACCACTCGCCGCCCCTCCGGAGGCTTCACCCGCGCCCTCCCCCAGGACGCGCCAGCGGAGCTCCGGCTCCTTCGCCCTGGACGCGGAGGCCGCGGTGTGCGGGGCGACGGCGAGGCCGGAAGATGGCCTGGGTGCTCAAGATGGACGAGGTGATCGAGTCCGGGCTGGTGCACGACTTCGACGCCAGCCTCTCGGGCATCGGGCAGGAACTGGGCGCCGGCGCTTACAGCATGAGGTACTGGGCTCCCTGGGCGGGGAGAAGCCTCTGTCTCCTTGGGGAAGGCCTGCGCAGCCCTGAGTCTCTGCCAGATGCGGCTGCTCCCAGAGGTGCGCGGGCCTCCTGGGCTGCGGGGTCGGAGTCCTGCCGCGTGGCGGTCGGGGGCCATGGAACCCCAAAGGCCTCTGCTCGCCCTGGTGACGGGCGGGTGGGGGAGGATGGCCCCGCAAGCGTCGGCCTCGGACCGCTCCTGAGTGCTTCATATTTGCTGTAAAACACGCCCAGCTATTAGGATGGCTTGGGTTGGTGGGGGAAGGGGCTTCTTTTCCTTATAAGTGATTTACAAGTCCCATTGGAGCTAGAATACACTGTACGAAAAGGCAGCACTTATATTGGGAGAATACTGTCTAGCGTTTTGGGATCAGTTCCTACTTTGTTGTCCTACATTATGATCTTTTCTGGCTGCAGATTTTAATCACTTGATGTTAGTAAATTATAATTGAAAGAGCAGCGGTGGGAGTAGCACTGTGACTTCGTTTTGTTCTTTTGATTGTCTCAAAGTGAAGTTTCTCATTTTGGAGACTACCCTCTCAGGCTGTTTCCTCTTGAGGGTTTTAAGATGCAGTGATTGCACCACAAATAATTGTTTAGTCTCTGCTGTCTGTACCAGCAGTCATTCATTTTAATATGGAGAGATTGAAACAGATCTGAGCTTAGTCTCCGCCCTTTATCCTTTTTAACTGTTAGGAATTTGGAAACTCTGTATTTTTTTAGTGGCTTTATTGAAATATAGTTTACCATAGCGTTGACTTGACTAATAAAGTCTAAAAATCAGTGGTTTGGCAGCTTTTCAATAATGTGAATTAAGTGTAGCTTTCTGTTCTTTAGAAAATGTCTGATGTTTTGGAAGTGCTCTACAGTTTCCCAGTAGCATTCATACATCTTACTGCAGCTCTAGAGGAGGACTTCTGGGTTAAAGCTGGCCTGGAATCTTGGTGGCTGCTCCTTGAAGTAATTGGGTCTTTAAATCTTAAGGAGAAATTCTGAGCCATAAAGAACTCTCAGAAAGGTTGGAGACATTTCTTGGAGTGTGGAAGTGAGTAGTGGAAGGCATATTAAACCTGGAGTTCCCCAGCGTCTGGCTCTGATTTGGTCTCTGTTGGGCTTCCTGAACTTGGCACCTCTTCTCTCTGCAGTTGTATAACTTAAGGCCTGTAGATGAGTTGGCTTATTTTCTAAAACAGCTGTTTCAGTTGTTGAGGAAATTGAGCTACTGAAAGTCATGGAGTCACCCCAGAGGGGAGTATTAGAGGCAGTGCTTCTCTAGTGAAAACGCACTCCTCTAGTGCCATTCTGCTCCTTAGCTCTCTACTGGAAACACGAGGCTTATAGTCAAGGCAAAGGAGGCACGTGAAGCAAGTTCAATATGTGTCTCTCCTCAGTTGCTTCTCTTTTATGGTAAAATGAAAGTTTGCTGCTGAAAAGTTTACTTATTGATAGCTATTTTGAGCTTTTACTTTTTTCTAGGGTTTTATTTGACCTGTACTTTGATTTAGTGATTCAGCCAACTTATTAATGTAATAACTTCTGTGTATGGTTTATTTCCATGAAAAGGAAGTACAATCTTGATGATTTTAAACCTTTCCCTGACCATGTATTTTTAAAGTAATGTGTGAGATCTTTGTAATTCTGTGTAACCTACAGTACTCTTTACAGGGATAATTTTCCCTTGAATTCTTTTTTGGTTGTGTCATTTAATCTAAATTTTCAAAGAAGTTTGAAGGTAATTACCATTTTTAAGAAGGTTTTTTTTTCGTATTTAATTGAGTCCTCAAAAACTAAGAGATGAGAGTGCTTGCCTCTTGCAAATTCAAGGCCCTTTGTTTGAAATTCTCAAACTAAGGAAATTCCAAAATTGACTCGATAAGGAGAAAATCTGAAGAAGGCGTTAGCTGCTGCAGGCCTCCCTGGACTGCAGTTGTACTTTCCATGCCTGGCCCTGGAGCCCTGAGAGGGTTGGAGTGCCTATGAATGGCCAGCTTGAGCATTCAGTCACTTCCTCTGGCATCCAGTGGGAAGGAAAGCTTATCTTTCAAAGTTCAAGAAGTAAACTTGAAGAAATTACTGGAAAAATGACTTCTTGATACAAATTGATTTTGTAGGCAGCTTTCTATTTTTCTTTCAAAATGAAACATGCTTACTGTATTTGCTTTTTGGATGGCTTAAAACAAGAGGTATTTCTTAAAAGACTTCTCTTAGGGAATGGTTTCCTCATCTTTTGGGAGGATAGTTTGAAAGGAAGAAATGGCTTCTGTCAGTGGTCTGACTTAAAATTAGGCAGGTGTGATGTTTGGTATGCTTGTAGACCTAGCTACGTGGGAGATTGCTTGAGCCCAGAGGTTCAGGGGTGTAGTGTGTGCTATGATTGCACCTGTTAATAGCCACTGCATTCCAGCCTGGGCAAGAATGAGACCCCCTTCTCTTTTGTTGTTTCCCCCCACCCCTTTCTCTTAAAACAGTAGGAAAAATATGTTTGTGTAAAATAATGTAGGCTGGTAATATTGGGAATATATTGGGGCTAATTACTAACATTACCTTTGCTTCTCTTTTTCTTTTGGCTCTGGTTCTCATGTGTTCTGTGTGTGCTGTTGTATTATACTTTTTTGTTGTTGTTTTTGTTTAGTCTTTTTTGGTGGTTATATTTGGATGTGAGATGTGAACTGCAGCAGATTCTATTTGAAATGAGGCAGGTCATAAATGTTTTTAAAAATCTTGGTTACAGTAACAGGATTTTAGAGATGGATAGAGACCTTCCTTAGAAACCTTTTAGAGTCTAGACCACTCCTTTTCTTATACTGTAAATGCATTATCTGAGGGTCATAGATGTTAAAGTGATTGGCTTAAACAGATGAAGGCTGATTTTTCCCCCACACAGAGTGAAGACTGAAACTCATGGTAACTTGAAATCTGGGTCATTCTCGTTTTGTGAAGTATGGAGTAGATAACCAAATGACTTTAAAAAATAATACTCATTAAAACTCAAAGAGGGTCTTTGGACCACCTGGTAATTTTCTTTCCATCTCACTGTATGAAATTTATCATCTGTAGCCAAGTTAATTTTTAGGATTTGGGGGCTCAATATTGAAATATTTTTGAAGGTTATAGGAAGTAATGGCTTGTATAGCTTACTCTTTTAAAAATTTTGATATTAAATTATTACTTTAAAAAAGGTATTGTCTGAGCCCTGTTTGTTAAACTTCGCTGTGGTATAAATCTCTTGAAACAAAAGATATACATTATGTATTTTGAAATGGGAGGTACATCCATAGTTTACAAATAATTTGCTAAATCAAAACTGCTTTGAGCTAATGACAGATTTCCTATGTTGATTGAAAGGTAAAATGTTTATTTAAGAAATCTATTGTACAACAAGGTTACTGTAGTTAATGATACAATGTATTCTTGAAAAATGCAAAGGGTGGATGTTAATGTTCTCACCACAGTGATAACTGAGGTAATACGTTTGTTAATTGGTTGAATTTAAACATTGGACAGTGTATATATGTCAAAACATCGTGTTGCACATGGTAATGTACACTATTATCTGTCACTTTTTAAAAAGTTAAAAAAAATTAATGTTATAGATCCTGTAAGGTAACAGAATTTCAACTTAGATCAGTATTAAGTTAGTACAAGATTAGCAAGGGTAGGGTTTATTATGTAGCTATTAATAATTGATGATTTTCTTTTGGTCTCATGCTAAAATAGAATGTCCCTGAGTAGGTGATATATATCTTGGAAGTACAGATGATCTCCAACTTATGATGGTTTGACTTAAAATTTTTGTTGTATAAGCCATATTCATTCAGTAGAAACACCTTCAGTAGACACTGTATGTTGTATTTTGAATTTTGGTCTTTCCCAGGCTCCTGATACATGGTATGATGCTCTCTTGTGATGTTGGGCAGTGGCAGTGAGCCATAGTTCCCATTCAGTATACTGTGTTGCCAAGTGGTTTTCCCCGACTGTAGGCTAATCTAACTGATCTGAGCATGTTTAAGGTAGGCTAGGTAAGCTATGATGTTCAGTAGGTTAGGTGCATGAAATGTTCGTTTGAGACTAGGTCTTGCTCTGTCACCTACACTGGAGTACAGTGGTACAATCATGGCTCACTGCAGTCTTGACTTTCCTGGGCTTATGCAGTCTTCTCACCTGAGCCACAGAGTAGCTGGAACTACAGGCAGTGCCACCATGCCTGGCTAATTTTTAAATTTTTATTTTTAGTAGAGATAAGGTCTTGCTATGTTGGCCAGGCTGATAAATTTATCTTTGATTTATATTTTCAACTTACAATGGGTTGATTGGGACTTTATTATATGTCGGGGAACATCTGTGTAGAACAATTTTAGGATTAGTGAAATTTAAAAATGGGTTCTTCAGAATACTCCCAGAATTGGCAGTAATTTCTGTTTTTTTTCCTTAGAATCTTTTCATGAAGCAATTTCTATAAAACTTCTAATTTCAAGGTTTAACAACTTTTTCCTGGATTTAATCTTGGCTGCAGTACAGGAAATGATTTAATAAATTAACTCATTTAAAACATTTATTGATTTAAGATTATAGTGTCCACATTTTAAAATTTATTACTGTAAAGCTAAGGTTGGCAAACCTTTCTGTAAAGGGCTAGGTAGTAAATATTTTAGGCTTTGTGGGATGTATGGATTCTGTCACATTTTGTTTTTTACAACCCTTTAAAAAATGTAAAACCAGATCGGGCGCCATGGCTCACGCCTATAATCCCAACACTTTGGAGGGCCAAGGTGGGCGGATCACGAGGTCAAGAGATCGAGACCATCCTGGCCAACGTGGTGAAACCCCGTCTCTACTAAAAATACGAAAATTAGCTGGGCATGGTGGCGCATGCCTGTAGTCCCAGCTACTCGGGAAGCTGAGGCAGGAGAATCGCTTGAACCCGGGAGGTGGAGGTTGCAGTGAGCTGAGATCGCGCCACTGTGCTCCAGCCTGGTGACAGAGAGAGACTCCATCTCAAAAAAAAAAAAAAAAAAAAAAAGTAAAACCATTCTTACCCCATAATTGTGTAAAAACGGGCTGGTTGGATTTAGCTCTTAGGCCATAGCTTGTCAACCCCTGCTCTAAAGGATAGAGTCACCGAGCGCAGTGGCTCACGCTTGTAATCCCAGCACTTTGGGAGGCTGAGGCAGGTGGATCACCTGAGGTCGGGAGTTTGAGACCAGGCTGGCCAACATGGTGAAACCCCATCTTACAAAATTAGCTGGGCATGGTAGCGCATGCGTGTAATCGCAGCTACTGGGAGGCTGAGGCAGGAGAATTGCCTGTGCCCGGGAGGCGGAGGTTACAGTGAGCCGAGATTGCTCCACTGCACTCCAGCCTGGGGTGACAGAGCAAGACTCTTTCTCAAAAAAAAAAAAAAAAAAAAAAAAAAGGATTTGCTGACTACTGAAACCTTACTTTCAAGAAATTATTTTTATGTAGTCTAAGAACTGTCTCAGCTAATTTATGTAATTCCATTGTTTGTCTATAGATTTTTATTGTGTTCAGTTTTTAAAATTAGGGTTCCCCCGCCCCTGTAAGATATAGTACAGTTTATATCCTTCAATTAGGACTGTTTGAAACTTGGTGGTTTATTGATATGGTCTCCTAAACTTGATGTTTCATCATAGTGGCATTTGTTGGTTTGCCAGTACACATTTAAACGTTTGCTTTGGCTGGAAATACCATCTGATGCTTTTTTCTTTTTTTTTCTTAGCTGTAGGTTCTATGACTGATACTATTATTATTATTATTTTTAGAGACAGGGTCTTGCTTTGTTGCCCAGGCTGGAGTGCAGTGGCTATTTGCAGACTTG
The DNA here is from genome assembly GCF_000001405.40 of Homo sapiens. Lineage (NCBI taxonomy): Eukaryota > Metazoa > Chordata > Mammalia > Primates > Hominidae > Homo > Homo sapiens. The sequence continues at coordinate 33,433,866 of NC_000003.12, read as the reverse complement.
ATCACTGCACACTACAGGCTCTAATTCCTGGGCTCAAGGGATTCTCCTGCCACAAACTCCCAAGTAGCTGGACCCACAGGTGGGCCACATGGTGCCCAGCTTCATGACTGAATTGAAAGGAGGCTCTGTATTATTTACTTTGCTTGTTTTGGGACAGATCTAATAGATGAATATGAAATTGTCAGCCTTTGGTGGTAGAGTCTTTTTTTTTTGAGATGTGGAGTCTTGTTCTGTTACCCAGGCTGGAGTGCAGTGGCACTGTCTCAGCTCACCGCAACCTCCACCTCCCAGGTTCAAGTGATTCTCCTGCCTCAGCCTCCTGAGTAGCTGGGATTACAGGTGCATGCCACCACGCCCAGCTGATTTTTGTATTTTTAGTAGAGGTGGGGTTTCACCTTGTTGGTCAGGCTGGTCTCGAGCTCCTGACTTCGTGATCTGCCCGCCTCGGACTCCCACGGTGCCCGGCCTATGGTAGTCTTTTTTTTTTTTTTTTTTTTTTTTAAAGGCTGGGTGCGCGGTGGCTCACACCTGTAATCCCAGCAATTTGGGAGACTGAGGTGGGTGGATCTCTTGAGGTCAGGAGTTCGTGACCAGCCTGGCCAGCCTGGTGAAACCCCGTCTCTACTAAGAATACAAAAATCAGCCAGGCATGGTGGCATGTACCTGTAATCCCAGCTACTCAGGAGGCTGAGGCAGGAGAATCGTTTGATCCCGGGAGGTGGAGGTTGCAGTGAGCTGAGATCGCGCCACTGCATTCCAGCCTGGGCGACAGAGTGAGACTCCGTCTCAAAAAAAAAACAAAAAACTCTGAGTTTTTTGGACATTGTGAAATTGTTGCCTTGATATGAACTATGACAAAACTAGTTATTACTCATTCATGTATTCATAGTTGAACTTTTAACTTAAAACTCTTCATTTTGAAATTTTTCAAGTTACAAAAGTAGTATGGAGAGTTCACATGTACCCTTCACCCAGCTTCTCCTACTTATACAACCAGAGTACTATTGTCAAAATCAAGAAATTAGACTTGGTGCAATACTGTTATCTAAATTACAAAATTTATTTGGAATTCACAGTTGTCTCCCTTTTGTCCTTTCAGATTCCAATCCAGGATTCTGTATTGCATTTAGTTTTTGTGTCCTGTAACAATTTTTAGTTTTTCCTTCTTTTATGATTTTGACACTTCTGATGTGTAGTGGTTAAAACTGTTTTAGAAACATGTAATTTTTTGGTGTGGGTGGGGAATGCAAAGATGAGACACACTTGTGAATGCTATTTAGCCTTGAAAGGATCTCTTATTTTTAGCAGTGATTTTGAGTAGAGTAGGACCACAGTTGCTTGTATTTGTTTAGTTACTACTTTGTCTCAATTTATCTAAATATAAATAGGATGCTGTATATGTTGTAGTAACTTCATAATGTGAAAGTATCAAGAAATTTGAAAACATTAAAAAATTTATTTAGAATAACAATTACAAACCATTGTGTTTTAACCAAAAAATTTTTTTAAATTAAAAAACTTTGCCAAAACAGAGAACTTAGCCAGAAGAGGGTCACACTGTGTTACCCAGGCTGAAGTGCAGTGGTGCAATCATGGCTCACTGCAGCCTCGACTTCCTAGGCTCAGGTAATTCTCCTACCTCTGCCTCCCTAGTAGCTGAGTTTATGAGTATGCGCCACCATGCCTGGCTAATTTTTTTGCTATTTTTTGTAGAGACGGGGTTTCACCATGTTACCCAGGCTGGTCTCTGGGCTCAAGCAGTCCGCCTGTCTCGGCCTCCCAAAGTGTTGAGATTACAGGTGTGAGCCACTGCACCCAGCCAGTTTTAACTTTCTTTGGATGAGTAAATGTTTGACTATACATGTAATTTATTTAATGGATATGAGAGTATTCAGATTTTGTTAATAGTGGTTGGTTCATGACCTTGGCTGTCAAGTATGTCTTTCCTGCTGCTCTGTAGTTTATACCATAACATTCTCATCCATTTCCTCCCCTACTCATCTAGAAAGCTTAATGACACCTCCTCAGCCTCACAACTCATCCTTGCCATGCCTATTTTCAACTGATTCCCTTAGTTATTTACTGGGAAAATGGAGCTGTCTTTTTTCGTTTTTTTTTTTTTTCTTTGAGACGGAGTCTCACTCTGTCGCCCAGGCTGGAGTGCAGTGGCGCAATCTTGGCTTACTGCAACCTCTGCCTTCCAGATTCAAGCAATTCTCCTGCTTCAGCCTCCTGAGTAGCTGGGACTACAGACGTGTGCCACCATGCCCAGATAATTTTTTTGTAGTTTTTTAGTAGAGACAGGGTTTCACCATATTGGATAGGCTGGTCTTGAACTCCTGATGTAATGATCCGCCCGCCTCAGTCTCCCAAAGTGCTGGGATTACAGGTGTGAGCCACTGCACCCGGCGGAACTTTCATATGCTGTACTGGCTTGTGAGTTTTTCTATGGTGTATTTAGGTGTGTATTTCTTATTTATTCTGGTTTGGTCATTTGGGCTTCTTGAATCCATGAATTGGTATATTTCACCAGTTCTAGAATTTGCTCAGCCTTCCTGTCTTCAGTTTTTGCCCCTATTCCGTTCTTTGCTGAGACTTGAATTTAATGCAAAATCTTCTCACTTGGTCCCTTCTTAACTTCTTCATTTTCCTCTCTGTGCTGCTTTCTGAATAACTTCTTTTTACCTATATTCCAGCATTCCAGTCTCCTAATTCAGTCTTCACTTCTGTCTGAGCTGCTATTAAACCTGAGTTCTTAATTTGGACAGTTTTATTTTCCAGTTCTAGAAGTTCTTTTTGCTCTTTTTCAGTTTTGCTGTCCTTTAAAGTTTCCTGTTCCTTCCAGATACTTTCAGGCTTTTCTTTTATTTCTTTAAATAGAGTAAGTACGATTTTATAATTTGGATCTGATAATTCCAGCATCTGAAATCTCTGGTGGTCTGTGTCCAGTCAGGAAAATAGAAATCAGTGAGATGTCTCAAGCAGAGAGGGATTTAGTGAAGTATTTGATTGCAAAGGAGCTGGAAGGGTTGGAGGAGGAGGCCATGTTACCTGGTTGTTCTTGGGCTTGTTGCTGGAGGCATGGCTGCTGATCCCCTGAAATTTTCCGCAGCTGCATTCCGTGTGGTTGCCTGTTTTTGCATCTGGCTTTTCCCTTTCCCGCTCTTTCAATTTTCCGCCAGTGTTTGCCTTTGGAGAGCCTGACAAGACTGTCTAGCAAGAATTCTTCTATATGTAGTTTTCAGGCTTCTAACCTTCTGCAGTAGAGGCAGAAAAGATCTGAATACCAGCAGACAAAATCTGGAACTGGATATATGTCATCTGTTGTTTTTGCTGTTGGTTTTTGCTTCTAGAGTCTTGTTTGTCCTTTTATGCCTGGTTATTTTGGTGTACTGGCATTTCAGAATTACTTGGAATAATTTGATGCCTAAGTCTTTTCACTTGCTTGTCAGACCCCTGGGAGCCCTACCTGTCAGTGGTTCCCCGGACCAGGCTGGAGAAGCTAACCAGTACTTTCCCTTCACCCTTACCCTGAGCATCTAGTTGTTCTCATTCCAGTTTAATGTGGATGGCTGTATCCTACACCCACAAGGCCACTAAAACTACAGTACAGCTTTGCAGTTCTTTCCTCAGTTTGGGTAGGTAAAAGCCACTTTCAGTTCTAGGCTTGCTTGGACTTACTGCACTTTTTCAGATTTCAGCCTGTTTCTTTATCTTGTTAGTTCTTTAATACTTTCAAGAATATATGTGTTCTCTGACAACTTTTTTCCCCCCTATCCTCAGTGAGGGTGGATGGGGTATAGGTTCATTTAAATTACTTAGCCTGCCATTACTAAACAGTTCTCTATGTTGTTTTTTCTATTTTGTTTCTTTCATGTCTCTTTAGAATTCTCATTTAGCTTCCATATATGTTTTATCTATCTTGTCCTTAAGAAAAATTCAAATTTTCACTGTTTTTGAAAATCAGTACATTCACATAATTATTTTCAAAGGCTATGAGAGGGTGTACAGTGCAGTCTCTGCCTCACACTAGGGTCTTGCAGTCATTCATTTGTCCTCCCTGAAGGCAGCTTACATTGCTGGATTTTTAGATGTCCTAGTAGATTTTTATACTTCATTTGATCAAGCTTGTTGTGATTTCCAAGTCTTTTTTAGCATCCTGATTTTTGGTGCTAAGCTACATTAAAATTTACCAACATGTAGATCTTTCAGTTTTGCCTTCTAAAATGCATCATTTGGGCCTGGTGCAGTGGCTCATGCCTGTAATCCCAGCACTTTAGGAGGCCGAGGTGGGTGGATCACTTGAGGCCAGGAGTTCAAAATCAGCCTGGCCAACATGGGGAAACCCCACTCTACTAAAAATACAAACATTAGCCAGGCATGGTGGTACAAGCCTGTAATACTAGCTACTTGGGAGGTTGAGGTGGGAGGTTGAGGCTGTAGTGAGCCATGATCATGCCACTGCACTCCAGCCTGGGAGACAGAGCCAGACCCTGTCTTAAAAAAAAAAAAATAAAGAAACACCCTACTTTTAGTTCCGTTTAACATTCTGTCTTTAGTACTCAAAAGTCTGTTTCCATTTATGGGATTACAAAAACCATCAAGGTTTTAGGACTTTCAACATAGTAGAAATTATAATCTTGTCTGGAGACCTAGTTTTCAATCTTAATACTAATTGGTTGATTATTAATGCAGCAATCAGTTCATTGATTTAGCAAGTATTTGAGCTCCTTTGTGCTAGATGCTGGCATCAGTCATTGAAGAAACACGTATTTGGAGTTACGTGCTTATAGCAGATACAAAGTTAGTAAGTCATGTATATTTTTGGAAAGTGGTAAGAGCTGTGTATAGAGCTAGGGTAGGGAAATTGGGAGTGTGGGTGGGAGGACTCCAGTGTCATGTTGTCACTGAAAAGATGACATTTGAATGAAATGAGCCATTAGGATATCCAGTAGAAGAGTAGAATCAGGAGGCCGGGGTAGTTGGAGCAGGGGGAATGAGGGTGACGAGAAGAGGGGTTGAAGAGCAGGTTGCGTAGGGCTTTTTTTTTTTTTTTTTTGAGACGTAGGATTTCGTAAGGACTTTGGTTGAAAGTGAGCTGATGTAAGGATTCAGAGAATTGAAATGGTTTAACTTCTGTTTGAAAAGGATCACTGGTTGCTGTGTTGACTGGAAGGCATTTTCTTTCTAATTAAGTAAAAAATTAATTGGAAATTCAATAGCAAATAATCTTTACATGTTTATATGTTTGTTCAGGAGTCGTTTAGCACTTACCATGAGCATAGTATTTTCTGTGTGGATCATGGAGACTATAACCAAGTGAATAAAAAAGTGGTTGTCTTCTAGGATCTGAAGCATATAAAATTGTCTTCCATATGTGACAATTTATTAAAAAAAGCCATTCTCATGCAGTTATACATCTTATTTTGATGATCTGTATCTAATGATCAACCCAAGCAGTTAGCATTGAAATGTTAAAATTATTCCCTGTGTTATTTTTCGGTATAATTAATGGTTCTGAGTCACAACTCTCATTCTTGTTTTCTTTCTCTCTGAGAGGGTTTTAAATGCTTACATATACACAAAATGCAGTATATATTTTTATCTTCCCTGGAGCCAATTTGACTGTTATGACTGATTTTTATAAAGAGGTGATCTGATTCTTTTTTTTTTTTTTTTTTTTTTGAGATGGAATCTCGCTCTGTCACTGAGGCTGGAGTGCAGTGTCACGATCTCAGCTCACTGCAACCTCCGACTCCCAGGTTCAGGCAATTCTCTTGCCTCAGCCTTCCAAGTAGCTGGGACTACAGGCGTGCCCCACTACGCCCAGCTAATTTTTGTATTTTTAGTAGAGACGGGGTTTCCCCCGCCATGTCTCGAACTCCTGACCTCAGGTGATCACCCACCTCAGCCTTCCAAAGTGCTGGAATTATAGGTGTGAGTCACTGCTCCTGGCCTGAAGTCTTCTGAAAAGTTTTTATATCTGCCCCCAAGGCAGGAGCTTAGGTGGGGCAAAATCCCTAGGTCAAGGTGTTGAGAGAACTCTGTGGGAGTGTTGGGACCATTGCTAACCGTGTGATCCTTGGTTATTACTTGTGTACGTAGGAGTGTTTTGACAATTCCTGGGTATAAATAAGAGAGGGAGAATTAGTGGATAGTTAGTATCTTTGAAAATCAGCACAGTGCTTTAATAGAAATGCATGGGGGGAGTAGGGACTACTGGTGGGATAACGTTCTCTCCCAGGGTTTCCGTCCCATTTCACTTGTTTTCACATTCTGTTTTTGAATTGAATTGAATTGACCTGGCTACCCAAGTATCTTAGTGAACAGCTTGTAGGAAAAAAAGAGAAAATAAGCAGTTCAGACAAGTCCCTATTATTGGTGTTGATACAGTAGTTATTCATTTGATGTTTTGTTGTTGCTGTTATTATCATTTTACTTTTTATTGAAGAATGAGTATAGAAAAGTTAAGATACAAACGTACAGCTCAGATAATTATCTCAAAAACAAATAATCACCTTCCATACATTAATAGGGGAAATGTAAAATTATTGCAACCACTTTGAAAAACAGCTTGGCAGTTGCTCAGAAAGTTAAACAGAGGCGGGGCGTGATGGCTCACGCCTATAATCCCAGCACTTTGGGAGGCTGAGGCGGGCGGATCACTTGAGGCCAGGAGTTTGAGACTAGTCTGGCCTACATGGCGAAACCCTGTCTCTACTAAAAATACAATTACCTGGGTGTGGTGGCACATGCCTCTAATCCCAGCTACTTGGGAGGCGGAAGCATGAGAATGACTTGAGCCCAGGAGTCAGAGGTTGTGGTGAGCCAAGATACCACCACTGCACTCCAGCCTGGGTGACAAAGTGAGACTTTGTCTCCAATAAAATAAGTAAAATAAAGTTAAACAGAGTTACCATGTGATCCAGTAATTCCAGTTCCAGGTGTATACTTAGCAGAATTTATCTACACAAAAACATAGAAAAGTGTTCATAGCAGCATGATTCATAATTGCTAAAAAATGGAAACCACCCAGATGGCCATCATCTGAATGGATACAGAATACGGTATGCCTATACAATGGAATGGAGCCATTAAAAAGAATGAAGCATTGGTACATGTTAGAACACGGATGGTCCATGAAACATGCTAAGTGAAAGAAGCCAGTCACAAAAGACCACATAGTCATATGATTCCATTTAAATGTCCCAAATAGCAAATCCGTAGAGATAGAAAACAAATCAGTGGGTGCCAGGGGCTGAGTGGGTCTGGGATAGTATGGTGAGTGACTACTAATGGGTATGGGATTTCTTTTTGAGGGGAGAAAATATTTTGGAATTCAAGAATTAGATACTGATGATGTGAATATACTTAAAACCACTGAATTTCAGACTTTAAAAGGGTGACTTTATGATATGTAAATTATATTTCAATAAAGCTGTTAAAACCAAACAACATCCAATAAAAACAGTGTCCCAGAAGACCCCTCATCATTCTCCCAATCAGTGCCCCAGGTTATTCTTAGGGGGAGAATAGCAGCTGCTGCGACTGCTGCTGCTCCTGTTTACCTCTCAGTAGGAGCCATTGTTTTAGATTAGGCATGAAGCTTCATGTTCTTAACACTTGCCAAGGCACAGCAGGGAACTTTTTGTAAAACCCCATTTTAATCAGATGCTTCTTTGTAATTCTATGGTGTCAAGTGTGACCTACCTTTGGCAGCAGTATTATTTCTTGCCTTTCAAATCAAGTAGCTAGGTACTCTTGACTTGCTTTTTTTTTATAGAAAGAATCTGGACCTTAAAGTTTTAAAAGAAGTTTTTAAAGTGCTATATATATATATATATATATATATATATATATATATATATATTCAGAGCTGCCCTGCCGCCCTCCCCCACTTCCCACCCCGAGATAGGGGTTGTTAATGCCATCCTTTAGATGAACCACATAGCATTCATAGTTCTTTTATTCTACATATAATTTCTGATCTTAAAAAAAAAACTATCCCTAAATGTTTATATGCTTTTAAATATTTCAGACAAGATTGGGTGCATTCAGGATGATATGGCTGTAGACAAATATTTCAAACCCAAAGTAAGGTCAGTGTTGATTTTTTGCTTTTCAGTGATGTCTTGGCATTGCCCATTTTCAAGCAGGAAGATTCCAGCCTTCCATTGGATGGTGAAACAGAGCACCCACCCTTTCAGTATGTGATGTGTGCTGCAACGTCACCAGCAGTAAAACTGCATGATGAAACGCTTACTTATTTGAACCAAGGTTAGTGTGGTTATGTCACATTTGACATGTAAGAATTTACAGAAATACAAAATAATATTTTGGCATTGTAGCCTAGATTATTGGTAATAATTAAAAATTAGGTTCTTTTTCTTAAATTTTACAACTTAATGAAAATTGTAGGAATTTTACTGTGAGCAGCTGAAGTACAGTTTGTGTAAACTGATTTGCATTAAAGAGGGTCTGAGGAGGAAGATTTATTACAGGATTTTTAAGACATAATCCAAAGGACTAGCAAGTAGGAAAGGAAGTCAGTTATTTTTAGGGACAGTGATTTCAATATGGAACTTGAGAATGAATCAGAAGTCCAGCTAGCAAGGAACCTGGATTTTGAACATGAAGCAGTTCTGTGCTGAAAATAGACTTAAGCTGCACCAGGATGGAGTCTGTGGCTAAATAAACATCAAATTTTATCCCCTATATCTTGTTTGTAGTTTATGTCAGAGTGTTACATTTCAGTGATATGAAAGGGTTGGTGGGGAAGGAGGGAAAATAGAGATGTGGGGGTAGTTTACCTTTTTTTTTTTGAGACTGAGTTTTGCTCTATCGCCCAGGCTGGAGTGCAGTGGCGCAATCTCGGCACACTGCAACCTCCGCCCCCCAGGTTAAAGCAATTCTCGTGCCTCAGCCTCCCAAGTAGCTGGGATTACAGGCACACACCATCACACCCAGCTAATTTTGTGTAATTTTAGTAGACAGGGTTTCACCATGTTGGCCAGGCTAGTCTCAGACTCCTGACCTTAAGTGATCCGCCTGCCTCGGCATCCCAAAGTGCTGGGATTACAGGCGTGAGCCATTGCACCCGGCCGAGTTTATCTTTGGAAAGAGGAGAGTTTGCCCTTTGCAGTTTGGGCACAGGCTGATGTGACTTACCCCTGTAAACAAAAGTATTTTGAATGCAGGAATTAATTTGTTGGATACATATACTGAAAGCAGGTTGAATTCTGATTTTAAACAATTTTTTGAACATTTTTACTGTTATATGCTCATTGTAGAAAAACTGGGAAATATGTGAAGGGATAATGCCAAAAATTGACTAATATTTTTGGTCTGTTTCTTGAATGTATATACATTTTCTTTCAAAAAATTAGAATTATACATCTGTTCACTTGAGTATATAGTGTTTATTTTTCTGTCATTAAATAGAATTTTTACTCGAAGTTTTGGAAAGAGCAATAGATTTTAGACTTTTACATGTGATTAATCTGAAATGTGGAAGAATAACTTATTTCTACCTTTTCATTTGATATATAAGTTTAGAATCTATAAGGTTTTACCTTCAGGTAGTCCTGTCTCTGGCACTTGTGACAATTCCCTGTTTGTTTTTATATTTAGTGTTTGGATAGGCAATCACTTATTTGAGAGTTAAGTTTTATATTTGAAAGAACCTTAATAACTTATTTGGTAATCTGTTGTAGACATAAAAATAACAGAAGAAACAATGTAGGGGCAAGGATATTCACTGTAACTTTATTTCTAAAGATAAAAAAGGAAATAACCTGAATTTTCCTTACTTGTGGAATAGTCGATTAAGTTCTGTTACATACATACCATGGAATGAATTAGTACACATATACACCCTGTTTAAAGCAACATGTAGGATGTGCATTTATTGGCCTGGGGGAATGCCCATAATTTATCATGGTTGTTCTTAAACCAGATAAAGATATTTCATATCGATAAAAGTCATAATCCACCATCTGTAGTAGTGATATAGTAGACTGACATTAATTGATACTGTGCATCTAGCATTGTACTAAATACATGTGTTAACCTTATTCAGTTCTCACAGTAACTCTAGGAGAGATTTATTCATTTATAGATTAAACTTAGAGCAGTTAATTACCTTGCTCAGTGTCCATTTGGAAAGCTTAGGTTTTAACAAAATTTTTTTGAAGTATTACAGTAATGTGCACAAATCTTAATGAATTTTTACATATATATTCCCTTGAAACTACTACCTATTTCCATCTTTTCCAGTACTCCAGCAGGCTCCCTTGTGCCTCTTTCTCAGGTGATACCTCACTTGAATATAATCAATGTAAGGGCAGGTGATTTTCTTGTCCTTTATTCTGCTTACTGCAGTATTAATGTTGAGTATTTTCTTGGTTCTGGAATTGTGTTCATTTATTTCTTGATTTTTTCTAGTCTTTTCAGAAAAAAGGTAGAAAGCTGAACTGTATATGTAGACATGTTTAAAACAACATACATTTTAGTAATTTTAAAAAATATGGGCCGGGCACGATGGCTCACGCCTGTAATCCTAGCACTTTGGGAGGCCAAGGTGGGCGGATCCATGAGGTCAGGAGATCAAGAGCATCCTGGCCAACATGGTGAAACCCCGTCTCTACTAGAAATACAAAAATTAGCCAGGCATGGTGGCACACACCTGTAGTCCCAGCTACTCAGGAGGCCAAGGCAGGAGAATCACTTGAACCCGAGGCAGAGGTTGCAGTGAGCCAAGATCACACCACTGCACTCCAGCCTGGGTGACAGAGCGAGACTCTGTCTCAAAAAAAAAAAAAACAAACTTTTTTTTGAGTAATTTTAAAGGAACTGTACTTTTATGTACCCTTTTAAAAGAAATTATAACTTTCAAAATAATACCTATATGAGTATCATATATAATATAGTGTGTTGTGCTTTGCACAGACTGTATCTTAGCATTTATCATCTTGACAAAAAGTTTTAAACCCAAAATTTTCCATGAATCCTTAAACAAGTTTTTAATTTTCTATAAATGTATATTTTCTTCCTTCCCTTCCTTTTCTTTTTCTGCTCCCTTTCTCTTCTCCCCCTTTCTCCCCCCCTCCTCCTCTCCCTCCCCCTCTCCCTTCTTTCTCCCTCTCTTTTTGGTCTTGCTCTGTCACCCAGACTGGAGTGTAGTGGTACAATCATGACTTATTGCAGCCTTGACCTCCCAGGCTAAAGTGATCCACCCACCCTAGCCTCCTGAGTAGCTGGGACTACAGGCACAGGACACCATGCCTGGCAAATTTTTAAAAAAAATTTTCGTAGAGATGGCGGATCTCACTATTCATTGCCCACGCTAATCTCCGACTCCTGGGCTCAAACGATCTTCCTGCCTTGGCCTCCCAAAGTGCTGGGATTATAGGCGTGAACCACTGAACCTGGCCTTTTTTTCTTCTTTCCTCCCTCCTCCCTTCTTTTCTTTTCCTTTTATTTGTTTGTTTTTAGAGACAGGATCTTGCTATGTTGCCCAGGCTGTTTTTGTACTCCTGGGCTCAAGCAGTCCTCCTGCCTCAGGCCTTCTGAGTAGCTGGGATGTAGTCCTTAAAGGTATATTTTTCTAATGAGAGGATTCATAGCTTTTTCTAGATTTGGACAAGGATTGGACCAGACTGAGACATTTCTGAGTATCTTTCACCCTACCTCTTTGTCTACTGAATAATAGAAGCTTGCTAATTTAAAGTAATAAGACAAACAAAGATCCAGACTAGCAAAGTATCTTCAGCTCACTAGACTTGCTTTTCTTTTTCTTTTTAATTTTATTATTTATTTATTTTTTGAGACAGGGTCTCACTCTGTCTCTTAGGCTGGAGTGCAACGATGCAGTCTTGCTCACTGCAACCTCTGCCACCCAGGCTCAAGGGATTCTCCTGCCTCAGCCTCTGGAGTACCTAGGACTATGGGCACATGCCACCATGTGTGGCTAATTTTTGTATTCTTAGTAGGGATGGGGTTTTACCATGTTGGTCAGGCTCGAACTCCTGGCTTCAAGTGATCCACCCACCTTGGCCTCTCAAAGTGCTGGGATTACAGGTGTGAACCACCACTCCCAGCCGAAATGGTCATTCTTGATGAAGAATATTTGCCACTATGTAATGCTGTAAAGAAAATAAAAATCAAATTTGGTATAGTCTTCACTTTGTCAGTAGAAATTGGAGCAAGTTTTCCTAGTTGTATTGATGTCTTAGTGTCATTTTTTGAGTTCTTTTTGAACCTCAGAGGGACTGAGTTTAAAAACTTATTTGTGTTTAAGGCTGGGTGCGGTGGCGCATGCCTGTAATCCCAGCACTTTGGGAGGCTGAGGTGGGCAGATCACGTGAGGTTAAGAGTTCGAGACCAGCCTGGCCAATGTGGTGAAACCATCTCTACTGAAAATACAAAAGTAGCTGAGCATGGTGGCGCACGCCTGTAGTCCCAGCTACTCGGGAGGCTGAGGCAGGAGAATCACTTGAACCTGGGAGGTGGAGGTTGCAGTGAGCCAAGATTGCACCACTGCACTCCAGTCCCCCGCCCCCGCCCCCTGCAAGAAAAAAAGCAACCTGTGTTTGTGTTTCCCTGGTTATGCCTGAATAAGAAGAGGAGTTAAGTCCCTGACTTTAACTCTGGAGTAAAAACTGTAGTCCCAAAATGGAGCCACCAGAGGGTGGAGTACACATAGCTGGCTTTCCCTTTGGGCAGAGATCTGGCTGGAATAGGCTGCCTTTTGTCTTAACAGCTGGGGGCTGAGCCTGTGATGCTTCCACACCTGATAAATATGAGTGAGACTTCTGATCTTACCCCCTTGCTGACTTGCTACTGCTGGATCAGCCCCTAACTCTTCAAATGAAAAGAATTTCTCCTTGTTAGTCCCCAAATACATTTTCATTTGGAGACCAAATTCTACTTGGAGAATACGCTGCTAAGAATGTTAATTAACCCACCTGTAATCCCAGCATTTTTGGGAGGCCGAAGAGGGTGGATCATCTGAGGTTGGGAGTTCGATAACAGCCTGGCCAACATGGTGAAACCCCATCTCTACTAAAAATAGAAAAATTAGGCTGGGCATGGTGGCTCACGCCTGTAAACCCAGCACTTTGGGAGGCAGAGGCGGGTGGATCACGAGGTCGAGAGATCGAGATCATCCTAGCCAACATGGTGAAACCCTGTCTCCACTAAAAATACAAAAATTAGCTGGGCGTACTGGCATGTGCCTGTAGTCCCAGCTACTCAGGAGGCTGAGGCAGGAGAACCGTTTGAACCCAGGAGGCGGAGGTTGCAGTGAGCCAAGATTGTGCCACTGCACTCCAGCCTGATGGCAGTGTGAGACTCTGTCTCCAAAAAAAAAAAAAAAAAAGCCAGTATGGTGGCACACACCTGTCATTCCAGCTACTTGGGAGGCTGAGGCATGAGAATTGCTTGAATTTGGGAGAGGGAGGTTGCAGTGAGCCCAGATTGCACCACTGTACTCCAGCCTGGGCAATAGAGTGAGACTCTGTCTCAAAAAAGAAAAAAGAATGTTAATAAAGTACAGCTATAAGTCCCTAGAAACAGCATGTTTATTGGATTAAGAATTCCGTTAAATATTTCAGAAAGTTCTTTTTGCTTAGTTTCATTTTTCACAACAGTAGATTTCCTCCTGGTTAGTTTCAGTTCATGTTACTAAAGTTTCATGATAGGAATAGGACTTTAGAAATAAGGTTTCTAAAGCATTGAATTTAGCAAAGTGGGGGCTGTCACATCTTGGGCTCCATGTTGCCCTGGAGTCCCATTTGATGAAGCTAGACTAGAGTATGTGTCTTCAAAGGTGGGTGGGGACATGAATCACAACAGTTATATTTTTCAACTCTGGCAGAATTTTTGCATTTCTGAGCCAAAAATGGAACAAAAAATAAAACATGAAAAGTAAATTGAGAAAATAAAGCTAAAAATAGGACTAGCATCTCACAGAATATTACTGTTGGACTATATTAACTTTATATTTCATTAATACTGGATCCTTCTTTATATTTCAGTTACAACCTAGACTGTTGTTTCAGGAAGCCGTGGTATTAAAAATTATGGATTGGGGACAAATTAGGAAATTTCTAAAAGTCTGGTTGTTCTCTCAATGGATATTACCATTGAAGAATATAATAGTTTCCAATAGGGAAACCACTTTAAGCGTAGCAAGTGTTATAGAGTCTTTTCTTTTCTTCTGGTTTTTTTTTTTTTTTTGAGATGGAGTCTCCCTCTTGTTGCCCAGGCTGGAGTGCAATGGCGCGATCTCGGCTCACCGCAACCTCCGCCTCACAGGTTCAAGTGATTCTCCTGCCTCAGCCTCTGGAGTAGCTGGCATTACAGGTGCCTGCCACCACGCCCAGCTAGTTTTTGCATTTTTAGTAGAGACGGGGTTTCACTGTGTTGGCCAGGCTGGTCTCAAACTCCTGACCTCGTGATCCGCCCACCTCAGCCTCCCAAAGTGCTAGGATTACAATTGTGAGCCACTGCGCCCAGCCTAATTTTGTATTTTTAGTAGAGACGGGGTTTCACCATGTTGGTCAGGCTGGTCTTGAACTCCTGACCTCAAGTAATCTGCCTGCCCTGACCTCCCAAAGTGCTAGGATTACAGGTGTGAGCCACTCCACTTGGCCAACTCTTGATTTTTCTGCCTCAAGTCAGCTCCTGGCTGTCTTTGAGGTCAGGAAATGGTGACTCTTCTTCAATTCCTTGATCAAAAATCAGGAGTAATCCTCAACTCTTCTTTCTGTTACACTTTACATCTAATACAGCAGAAAACTGAGGGATTTATACTGTTCTGATAGGTGAAAAATGATTTCAGTGTGGTTTTAATTTGCATTTCTCTAATGGAAGTTGTCTTTCAATATGTTTAAGAACTGTTGGCATTTCCTTTTGTGAACCCACATGTCCATTTCATTTGCTCATTTTTTTCTTCTAGGGATACTGGACATTTGTTAGCAATTTTTTTTTTTTTTTTTTTTTTTTGGAGACAGAGTTTCGTTCTTGTTGCCTGGGCTGTAGTGCAGCGGTGCAATCTCAGCTTACTGCAACCTCCGCCTCCCAGGTTCAAGCGATTCTTCTGCCTCAGCTTCCCAAGTAGCTGGGATTACAGGCATGCACCACCACGCCCAGCTAATTTTTGTATTTTTAGTAGAGATGAGGTTTCTCCATGTTGGTCAGGCTGGTCTCGAACTCCCAACCTCAGGTGATCTGCCCGCCTCGGGCTCCCAAAGTGCTGGGATTACAAGCGTGAGCCACTGCGCGCAGCCTAATTAAATACTTCTTATGGCCGGGTGCGGTGGCTCACGCCTGTAATCCCAGCATTTTGGGAGGCTGAGGCGGGTGAATCACCCGAGGTCAGGAGTTCAAGACTTGCCTGGCCAACATGGCGAAACCCTGTCTCTACTAAAAAATAATACAAAAATTAGCTGGGCGTGGTGGCGGGCACCTGTAATCCCAGGTACTCAGGAGTCCAAGGCAGGGAGAATTGCTTGAACCTGGGAGGTGGAGGTTGCAGTGAGCCGAGATTGCGCCACTGCATTCCAGCCTGGGCGACAGAACGAAGCTCCCTGTCAAAATAAATAAATAAATAAAAATTAATGTTTCTTATTGATCTGATAATCAGCATAAACCTTTTGTTGATTTTTATTTCCTAAATTCTTGTGAGGTTGAGTGTAATTTTAAACATAAATGGTGTATTTTTCAAAACTTTATATTCTTCATTTTGAAAATTATTTCTGTTTTCAGAATATAGATCCATTGTTAAATATAGTGCATATATCTTCTTCCAATCTGTGTCTTAGTTTAACTTTTTAAAAATGTCTCTTCCCATACAGGTGTTTTTTAGTGTTTCTCTGTCTGTTGAATGAATGTAAGCAACTTTTCTTTGTAACAGACTATATATATGCTGTTTTCCTTCACCAGCCTTGGAGTGATGTAGTTGTATTTTGATAACCCCTTGTTGAATTTTGACCCTATAATCTAGAATCCTTTGTATATTTTTCTGTAAGCCCCCTGGGAGTATGGACAAGGTGTTGGTAGTTATAAAGATTCTCAACTTCATGTGATATTATAAGCATTCTTTAATTTTTACTGATTTTCTGCATGCCAAATTATACTGTCATTTTTATTATTTAATAACAGATAATCCAGAAATCATTTTTTGTGGATTTGGAGTACATTATTAATTTTTTTACAGCAGCATTTTCCTAATTATCTAGATTGATGTGTGAATATCTGTGTTTTCTAATAAACACTAAAAGTGGAAACAACCCAAATATCCATCAGCTGATGAATGGATAAACAAAATTTGGTTTAGTCTTTACACAGTGGAATAGTATTAGGCAATAAAAAGGAATGAATATTATTTGGCAATAAAAAGGACTGATATATACTACATATGGGTGAACCTTGAAAACATTATGCTAAGTTTAAAAAGCAAGGCACAAATACCCACATATTGTATGATTCTGTTTATGAAAGTATCCAGAGTGGGCAAATCGTAGAGGCAGAAAGTGGATTGGTGATCGCTAGCAGTTGGCCAGGTGGGGGGTGGGGGAGGGATGGGAAGTGACTAATAGAGGTTTCTTCTTAGGATGATGCGAGTGTTCTAAAACTGGTAGTGGTGATGGTTGCACAACTCTGACTATACTGAAAACCAATGATTTACACACTTTTTAAAAATGTGAATTTTATGGTATGTAAACTATATCTCAGAAAAGCTGTTACAAAAATTAGTCTTAGGTAATGCAAGCATAATAAAAGTTTAGTGTAAGAGAGTGGCAGATGAAGATAAATTGACAGAGAAACTCTTGTCTCCTGTAATAATGTTAGAACAGAAGGTTGGTGTGATTTTCAGGGAAGAGAAGGATCAACCTGAATTTGCTTCCGTAGCAAATTAACAAACTATCATTGTGTAATGTATGTTCTGAGAAACATGCATTTTGAATTATGTTAAGCAAAGTGATGTTCTTTATAAGGATTGTTTTTTATACACAATTTCTTTAAATAGGTCAGTCATATGAAATTCGGATGCTGGATAATCGGAAAATGGGTGATATGCCTGAGATCAATGGAAAATTAGTAAAGGTAAGGACAGTCCATTTTAATTCCCAATGGATATTGCTGTGATTGAATGAGTTTTTGTTTAAAAAAAAATTAATTTCACTTCAATAATTGTTGTATTACAACTTTTTAACTTTATGAGCTATATTTTGTTTATTCACCTGTAAAATGGGAATTATAGCAGTTATTGGGTAGAGTAATTTTGAAAGACCCTTGGAAATCAAGGAGCAATAGAAAAGTTAGTTGTAGTTATGGGGTAAAAAACTCATCACCACAACAAAAACCTATAAGCCTCTCTAAAAGTAAAAGATAATATGGGGAAGAATGTCAATGTTGGCATAAAACTTTAAAAAATCCTTTACCTTGTAAAGTTTCATTTAAAAAATAGAAATCTCTGTTCACCCTACTCATGTATCTGAATGAAGAAGTCAGTCATCCTAGGTATAGGAGGCATAGCTGTTTTCCAGCTAACCTGTTCTTTTAGGATGTATCCTCAGAACCATCCCTGCCCCCTGGCCCCTCCTAGCCTGTATCCATCATACATCATGGCTAGTTATAAATTCCATAGCATTACAGGGCAGGGTTAATGAAAGAATCTTAATTGGGGAAAGGTAAAACCTCATGTGGCTAACTAAGTGTTAGCAAGAGACAAGTTCTCTTGATCCTTCCATCTTCCCACAGAGTGGCATGTCAGGGCCCAGGTGCTGCTGGGCCCTCAGTGTGGAGGGGCATTCTATTGGAAAGACCTGCCCTCTGTGGATCTGCCTTTTTAGTGGGTAAGCATGGGAAGGGCAGCCTTGTGGTGGGAATTGGATTCAGGCAATCTAAATTTGGTGTGTTAACTAATTTGGCATGTATGGGAAAGCCAGCTGCCCAGTACCTGGAGGGCACCTGGAAGGTTACTTAGGGATCAAATGATGGGTTACCAAAGGTGCTTTGGAACTTCTTGAATGTGCAGAACATATTCAGCAATGTGCTTTCTCTGATTGTTCTGTTTTTGTCTTTCTTTGTTCTGTGTTTTTTTTTTTGTTAATGTATCAGTGTAAAAGGGTTGGAAAGTTGTTTTAATTGTGAACTCCATAATAAAATTTAGTAGGATTTGATGGGCCCTATACTGAGGTCTTTAAAACTGGATCCAAAAATGTTAGAACAATTTTTTTAACTTTTTATTATGGTAAAATTTGAACATACCCAGAAGTAAAGAGAATGGTACAATGAATCCACATATATCCATCATATGGTGGTATATAATAAATATATCTGGTATATATCATGAGTTCTCATAAGTTCTCATGCCAACTTCAACATTCTCCACAATTTGCCAGACTTGTTTCATCTATTCCCCTTGTGCTTTTTTTGTGTATGCCGGATTATAGAATTTACTAATTTGTAATTTTAACTCAGTTCTTCATTCATGACCATTCAGTGTTCTGAGGAAAATATAACAAACTTTGACATCCAGACCAAATGCCAAAATTCAGTGTCCATCAAGGCATTGAAGAAAATCAATTCTGAAGCAATTGTCTTTGTCATTTATCAGTGGAGACAAGCTGGCTTTCCAGGGCAGTTCCCTGAATAGGTGGTAGGATTTAGAAATAATTAGTCTGATAGGTGATACCTAATGTTTAAAATATTTTGGCAAGCTGGTTAAAATACCTGTCAGATTAACTTGGGATGGCAGGGTAAAGTTGTATGACTGCTTTAAGTTCAACTTCCTTGTATTTACTTCCAAATTAAAACATGTAAAAACATTTAATATACAAAATTAATGCAAGCAAATAAATTAAGGGAAAAATGACACCTCATTATGACGTAATGAACTACTGTTAGTAGCAAAACCATTAACTTATAAATGCACAGTGAATGTTTTGCTGACATAACACTAGTATATTCCACCTAGACAAGGTTACTTATTCTGAAGGCATCAGTATCTAAATATTTAGCCCACTGATTGAAAAGGGTTCATTTTTAAAGCATTTTACATTGGCTTCATCTTCTGTTTGATAAGCCAGCTGTGTGATTTTTGGTGGATGTGCCAGGCATGCAGTTATATTCTGTAAGCTTGTCTGGGATTAAGAGCTACTGTCTGCTACTACCAAAGACTGCAGGATGAGTTTCTTGGAAATTACATCCTTTTTTTAGCTAGAGAATCCCTAAAATATGCTTCAAATTTCTAGAGTTTTATTTCCTGGCCCTAGGATCTTTGACTATACTACTTAAATTTGTGGGGGAACCTTGGGGATCAAGTGATAGGTTTGCGAAGGTGCTTTGGAACTTCTTGAATGTGCTGAACATATTTAGCAATGTGCTTTCTCTGATTGTTCTGTTTTCGTCTTTTTTTGTCCTATTTTTTTCTTTTAGTCTTATTGTTAGGGCCCCATCACATGTTGCTAGTTCTGAAAATGCAGTCAATCTCCTTTTAGGGAGAACTTTCAGATAACGAGATTTTCTCCCTGTTTCATATAAGAAGTTCCTTTCCTCTCTCCCGCCCTCCTCCCTCTCTTTCTTTTTCTTTCCCTTCCTCCCTTCCTTTTCATTCCTTTCTTTTTTCCTTTCCGTTCTTTTTTGGGTAGGGGTTTCTGGTAGAAACTGGAAAACCTGCTAGACAAATTCTAAAAGCTATATAATGCTAGAATTTTTCTTATATATCTTGTAATTTCCTAACTTTGGTCCTCCTTTTATCTTTAGTATTTTAGTCCAACCTTCTAGAATGGGGCTTAGTAAAGCTCTGAAGTCTAATACCTGTATTCTAATACTGTTTTCATCTGAATATGTGTAGTTAGTATGGTTCTTACTGAGTATGGAACAATTAGAACTGTGATATTTTCTGTGCTGTACTTTTTTCTGGAGACGAGCTGGCTAGCAGATGTGAACCACTGGCATTGGTGTCTTAGGGGCCACCACTAGCCTATGCACCATCACTATGAGAGCTTTGCTCTGGTCAGGTGATGGTGTGAAGTGGGTGCTGGGTAATTGCTTGGACAGGCCCTGCAGGTGTGGGTGCAGGTAAGGAAGATGGGAATAAAGCAGCCACTGAGCCCTATAAATGTCTCCCACATGGTACTCTTTATCTCAAAGAAAAAAATTGCTTTTAATTGGCTGCTGGGATTACAGGCATGAGCCCCACCGCACCTGGCCTAAGTTCACTTTTTCAAGGCAGCGGGCAGTGTTTCGGATTTTTGTTTTATGCCAGTTCTTTTTTTTCAAAACTCAAAGTTTTTTTTTTTTTTTTTTTGTGATGGAGTCTCGCTCTGTCACCTAGGCTGGAGTGCAGTGGTGCGAACTTGGCTCACTGCAAGCTCTGCCTCCCGGGTTCACACCATTCTTCTGCCTCAGCCTCCCAAGTAGCTGGTACTACAGGCGCCCACCACCATGCCTGGCTAATTTTTTGTATTTTTTGTAGAGATGGGGTTTCACCGTGTTAGCCAGGATGGTCCCAATCTCCCTGACCTCGTGATCCTCCCACCTCAGCCTCCCAAAGTGCTGGGATTACAGGTGTGAGCCACCGCACCCAGCCAGAAGACTCAATTGTTAACTGTTATTTTAAATTAACAAAGTTTTACCATTGTTTCTGGGTTTCTCTGTCTCCATCTTTTCATTTTTAATAACTCCTGTGTGCATCTGGTATTTTCTTTATAGGAATGTAATTCTTGCTCATTAATTTTAGTGGGAAGAACCTTAATTTTGAATTGCAATAACAAATCATTTTATAAAATCAATACCTAAGTTACCATTTTATTTATAATTTTAGTTTTTGAGTTATAATTCTTTGCACCAAATAATTGTACCGTAATCCAGGTATCCAAGGGCAAAAGAGTTCACTTACAGAATGTTTAAAACAGAATCTAGTTGTATGTGTTCTACTGCTACAGGTTAACACATAAGAAGTAGAAATGGTCCTGCATTTTAGCTGGAGCAGTTTAAAAGTACTCATTTTCCGCACTTATTCCACAGAGCATCATAAGGGTTGTATTCCATGACAGACGGCTACAATACACAGAGCATCAGCAACTTGAAGGATGGAAGTGGAATCGCCCAGGAGACAGACTTCTTGATTTAGGTACAGGCAGTGATCAAAAGACCATGGAGATGAGGGTATTGTTTAGCTATAGCCAGTAATGTGTTGTGTTGGCATCATGAATTACTTGTGTGGGGAAAGTTTTGGTGTTTGTGGATTTTGTGTCTTTTTTTTTTTTTTTTGAGACAGAGCCTTGCTCTCTCGCCCAGGATAAGTGCAGTGGCACAGTCTTGGCTCACTGCAACCTCTACCTCCCGTCTTCAAGTGATTTTCCTGCCTTAGCCTCCCAAGTAGCTAGGATTGCAGGTGCGCGCCACCATGCCCCTCTAGGATCTTGTGTCTTGAGAGTTGTTTTCTATATATACATACGCACACACATACATATATATGTATGTATGTATATACATTATTTTCTTTTTATTTTTTTCCCATCCTCGTATTATAAAGAACCGAGAGAGTTGTTTTATAGTTAAAACGTCAAGTAGCTTTTTGGTGCTAAACTAATGTGAACCTGGAATTTTATGATTTTGAAACCGTTTAATTGTAAACCATCTATCTTTTTTTTTTTTTTTTTTTTGAGACGGAGTTTCGCTCTGTTGCCCAGGCTGGAGTGCAGTGGCGCGATCTTGGCTCACTGCAACCTCCGCCTCCTGGGTTCAAGTGATTCTTGTGCCTCAGCCTTTTGAGTAGCTGGGACTACAGGCACGCGCCACTGCGTCTGGCTAATTTTTGTATTTTTAGTAGAGACGGGGTTTCACCATGTTCGCCAGGCTGGTCTCAAACTCCTGACCTCGGGTTATCCACCTGCCTTGGCCTCCCAAAGTGCTGGGATTACGTGAGCCACCACGCTCAGCCTTATCATATTCTTAAAAAAAATGAAATACAAACCATGGTAGGGGAAACGATGATATTCGTTTAGGGTGGGTTTCGATGTTGAAGAAGTTGATCATGGAGACCATTGAAAGACAGAGTTCAAAGCAGTTACAGTTATTTCATTAGAACATAATATAGTAAGTTGTAAGTTTTTTAAGTTATTTAAAGTGGATGTTTTTATGTAACTTCTTTTTAAAACATAGATATTCCAATGTCTGTGGGAATAATTGACACAAGGACGAATCCAAGCCAGTTAAATGCGGTTGAATTTCTGTGGGACCCAGCAAAACGCACCTCTGCTTTCATTCAGGTTTGGATTTTTACATTATTAGAAGCTTACTAACCTAGTTATTTAGGTCATGGTAGGATTGAATTTTTGATACAGTATCATTTCCTTTAAATGTCTATTTATAAACTATGTTGTAGTGTCTTTCTATATACATAGTTAGGTTTAATCTAGTAAGTTCACCCTATTTTAAACTAACATATATGAAGACATTCTATGATATGTAAAGCATTATTCAAATGTTATTTTTACCACTAGTAGTCCCAATAATGAAAATGTCTATTTTTCATGAGATGTATTTCTCTTGAACACAAGCTGCTATTTAAAAGGATACGATTGAAAAAAGATTGAGGTTTTAAAATTCCTTCTAGCATTATTTTTAAAACATTCTAATACTGAAAAATTCAAACCTCTACAAATAGGATAATAATGATGACTAATTGTCCATGTAACCATCACCTGGCTTTAGCAGTTTTTAGTAGTTTCCGCCCCCTTTTAGTTATTCTTGGAGCACTTTTTTTTTTTTTTTTTTGAGATGGAGTTTCATTCTGTCACCCAGGCTGGAATACAGTGGCATGATCTCGGCTCACTGCAATCTCCGCCTCCCAGATTCAAGCTCTTCTCATCTCTCAGCCTCCTGAGTAGCTGGGATTACAGGTGTGCACCACAATGCCTGGCTGATTTTTGTATTTTTAGTAGAGATGGGGGTTTCACCATATTGGCCAGACTGGTCTTGAGCTCCTGACCTCAAGTGATCTACCTGCCTTGTCCTCCTAAAGTGCTGGGATTACAGGTGTGAGCCACTGTGCCCAGCCTGTTAGAGTACTTTAAAGCAAGTTTCAGGCATACCATTTCATCCATAAATATCATGTCTCTAAGAGATGAGTTTTAAAAAGTAACTATAATATCATTATTCTGTGTTTAAAAAAAATAGTGATTCTAATACCCACAATGTTCAAATTTGTATGTGGTGGAATTTAAACTACCAGGTAGGTAATATATAGAAAAGGAAAACCACTTACTTGCTGACCAGCCTTCATAAGCTATGCTTTGCATGAACTGTAAAAAATCATTTGTATTTTGCATTTTGGTATTCTACCAATATTATTCTCCATCAGTTAATCCCTGGGGGCATGGTTTATATCCGTTGAATATTGATGTAAACTCATACTGTTGGTGTTTGTCTATAAGGCAACTAGTTATGTAGTAAATCAAAGTGATACAAGACCTGGCTTTACATATCAGGTTGTGTTGTCATATTGCAGAGATCAGTTTTAATAGTGAGTCATTAGAAGAGGGGGATGTGCAGCAGTCAGAAATGACCAAGGTCTTGCTGTTAACTCTGTGTGAAACCCTAAGGCTGTCATCCAGGGTGGGTATTAGGAGACAGGGCAGGAGTGGTGGAAGATGAGTATTGCCCTCTGGATCCTGAATGGACTTTGAAGAGTTGACCAAAGAGTTTAGATGGATACAGAATAGGATGGGTAGTGGGTTTTCTGGACTGTAAAATTTCCCCAGGCAAAGTATCACAAATTGGCATCTGTAGGAACAGCAGTAAGATAGTTGGCTGGGTAGAATAGGGGTAATGGCAGTAGAGGGCAAACAACAGAAGCTCTAAACAATGAAGTGAAGATTGCTGTGGATTGAACAGGGCTTAGTACCCTGGGTCTGAGATGAGCAGACAGTCCAAGGTGGAGGTGGGCAGTATACATAGGAAGCTACTGTAGTGTTGTACCCCTGATTGGACCCAAGTCCTGCATTAGAGGAGAGGCACTGTGATGGGCAAGAGCTCAGAAAGTCTGGAGAGGCTCAGTTGGATTTGTGAGAGGGAAGCCATATCTTAAAAACAATTAGGTTCATAGATAATTTGGCTAATATGTGTGATGAGTTTATTTTAAAGGATCTTGAATTTATAGTGGTGTCAGGTCACTCAAGAGGGAACAAAATAGAAAAATAACCAGTGGAAGTTCTTTGAATCCATTTCAGCCTGAATCGTTTTATAGGTACACTGCATCAGCACAGAATTTACTCCACGGAAGCACGGAGGTGAAAAGGGAGTGCCCTTTAGGATCCAGGTTGACACCTTTAAGCAGAATGAAAATGGAGAATACACAGATCATCTACACTCAGCTAGCTGCCAAATCAAAGTTTTTAAGGTAAGACAGAGAACCCGGGTTTTCTGTAATTAAGGCTCAGTTTTGCCTGTAAAGCTGTGTGTCTGCAGCCTGATAGATGAAATAGTATACTTTGTTTTTAAGCCTAAAGGTGCAGACAGGAAACAAAAAACTGACCGAGAGAAGATGGAGAAGAGAACAGCTCATGAAAAAGAAAAGTATCAGCCGTCCTATGATACCACAATCCTCACAGAGGTAATGTAGTAAAGCATTTGGTTTTGGAAGAGAAGCAAAGGTTGCATATTAGTCTATTTCTAAGATGAGTTCTGCTACAAAAGGGTTGGGGAAGATTGGGTGGCAGTTTGACATGTTATTCTCTGTGAAATTTCTGGGGAAAATATTTAAATTTGGGGATTTTGATAGACTGTTTCCTGGGTGGGATCTTAAATGAAGATGCTGAAATCCCAATGAGGTCTTAGAAACAGACCTTAAAAACTTTGAAGTTGGCAAGAGACTTAAGTTGGAGCCTAGAAAGTCCAATTTTTGTCACTGCTGGGGTTTTGCATTTTTTTTAACTTTGAATCCTGTTAGTCATGCATTTGTTTAATTGGACTGAAGAGACATGAAACAGGGTGTTAGATCTTTCTTTGTATAATGAAAAGACATTGATCCCAATCTTTGGTGTTTGTCCAGATGAGGCTTGAGCCTATAATTGAAGATGCAGTTGAACATGAGCAGAAAAAGTCCAGCAAGCGGACTTTGCCAGCAGACTACGGTGATTCTCTGGCAAAGCGAGGCAGTGTAAGGGACTTCTGCTTCTCTTTTCATTGTGCAAGAAACCTTGTGCAGTGTTAGATATAGGACCAACTTCCACCGCAAAGTAAAGCCAAAATTGTTTTTGATGTCCATGTCTTGATTTAATTTGCTTTTGTTTAGACTTCCTGCTTCTGTTTGTTCCTCACTGAGGAAAATTTCCTAAATCTAACACTTTAAAACAAAGCAAAAAACAATGTTGACCATATTGGGTGGTTTTGGAGGGAAAAAAAGACACTCAGAGATATGTATTCCCTCCCTGACTCCTTCCCTTCCTCCTTCCCTCCCTCTCTCCTTCACACACACACCTCCTTCAAGAGCACTGAAATTAATTGAAAATACTTTCTTTAGTAAATTAGCTATTATTTTTGTGTAACTGAAAAGGGTCTTGCTTTCTCATGTGTATACTTGATAAAATTTTGTGGACAGTTAGATGATGGCAGCAAGCTTGACATTAACACGTGCAGTTCTTTGTTACATTTTTCTGCATGTAGTATAAAAATGTGTGTCTGTCTATGCTTCTAAGAGCCTGTTTGGCAGCACTGGTAGAAAAAAAAAAACTCTGATGGGATTCATGTTTCTTCTTGGCAGTTGCATTGTGAATTAATGCTTCAGGCCAAAGTAGTGTACCTTGCTACACCTAGACCTGGGCCGCCCCCAATATGCAGTCAGGGGGCATCTGGTTGAATATGTGCTTTGTCCAGTTAAGTATAGCAAATCTTTATTTTATGACATGACTCTTCATCTATTAGTCCACAAACGATGATCCTGCTTTGCAAACTTAGATCAGCTACATACCTTCAGTAAATATAAACACAGAACATTAAAGAATCATTTAAAATAATTGTCATCATATGTATTCGTGACTGCTGTATTCACTGTTGCAGTCTTTGCACTATTAAAGTACCAGAGGATTTTTCATTCTTACACATATCGCAATTGCTGTGGTTAAATGTAGACTTTGAATGTTACTGTCACAAGCACTATCACAAGAAACTCATTTCCAATTATAGTATCGAATAAAAATGTTTTAATGCTTCTCTATGCAATGAAACTGAAATTGTACTCATCCTAGTGCCACTGGAAGCACACGTTACATTTTCTTTAACTGGGCTTTTTTTTTTTTTTTTAAATAAATTCGAATCAAAGATTGTTAAAACAGCTGTATATTCTTTCCTAAAACACCCGCCCCAGCAATTTTGTTTTTATCCTCTTCTGATTTCTCAGCTGAAGACCCACCAATGGTTCTTAGTAAACTTCTTTGGGGGGGATTCTGGCAACTCACTTTTCCTCTCCTGTTATAAACCATTTAACTAATAAAGAAGTAGGTTCTGGTAATTCCTAAATAAAAGAAATTCATTATAGCCCAGAGGTAATCTGAAGATGGGAAAACTGTTGGTAAATTCTTAATGATTCTTAAGTCTAAAGTATGCAAAACGTCAGCAGTTCACTGGCCTGGGATTTCACATCTTCCTCATGTATTGCTTACTGCCCTGGCTGTATTTGATTTTGTTCAGATGCTTTTAGGGGTGGTTAGAGCTCATCTTGAAAACCTGTTTTTAAAAATGCAGGGTACAGATTGTCACTTAAAAAGGAAAGTTTGCAGAATTTCATATGTTTCTTCAAACTCCTACAAAGGAAGGCCAACATTTCATAGAGTTTTTGGCTAGTTACAATTGGCTTTCAGTAAAAAGGGATATCCAGACTTACTGTTAGAGTCGAAAAGATGCCGAATGAAATGGTGCCACACTGAATAGTCACTACTGTTGGTTACCAGGAGATGCCGTACAACAAAACTCTTAGTGTGTCTGTTGGTCTTCATCTCTGAGCTGTATATGATTGGCTCAAATGATGACTGCCAATTTCTACAGCCTAAAATGGGTGATCATTCTTTACCTGGGGAGGGACTGTGTTCACAGTGTACCGAAACCATAACTATGAGCCCAGGCCAGGCATTGCTAGCGCCGTTATGAATTCAGGAGCATAGGCACTGCACCATCGCTTGCTTTTCGAATGTTAGAAGAATCTAAATATCTAAAAGCAAAATGGGTATTTATGGAGTTTTGGTAAACTTGGTGTTTCTACATTACTCTGCCATGCTAACTTGAAGCTTTTTGATGGCTTCATTTCTTCAAATGGCTGGCAATAATTACAAAAAGTTTAGAGAGACTTGATACTTTTAATATTAAATGGTTTACATTATTTATACATGTATGTTATGCTGTGTTATGTTTTATATGTGCAGGGGGATGTTGTAGCAGGAAAATCTTTCAGATAGTAGAGGTGAGGTGACAGTGTGTGATACCCATGATTAGATTTGCTAGTCAGCTCACAGGGTCTTGGGTTCATCAAACAGTGTAAACTGAGGAGGTGATACTTTGTAAGGTGGAAAGAAAAACAAGGGTCTAGTTTTTTAGTTATTTATTTATTTTTTTGAGATGGGCTTTCACTGTATTGCCAAGGCTGACCTCAATCTCCTCAAGCAGTCCTCCTGCCTCAGACTTCTGAGTAGTTGGACCACAGGTGTGTGTGTGCCATCACACCTGGCTTAAAAGGCCCTAATTTTAAAAGAATGGGCATTGTTGTGTAAAATGTAATTTATAGCAAAGTTGCTATGCCATGCAATAAGTTTATTCAAAGCTCTCCAGCTAAATTAGATTTCTTTTTTGAAAGCTGACTGATAATAGAAGTAATAAGTCTGCAATCATTTTTCTTTTTTAAGGAGATACATAATTGGGTAGTTGAGATTATTTTCCATGTATCCATTGCTTTTGATGGATGTCAGACAAGCGTTTTAAGCCCCTGTAGCCATTGGTGAGACTTAATTTCTGCCCTCAGTGTGCTTCACAGTTTCTTAGCTCCATTACACCAGTGGTCTTGACACTTACCTACTCAAAATAATTTTTAAATTTTTTTAGAGACAGTGTCTTGCCCAGTCACCTGGGCCTGGAGTGCAGTAGTGTGATCAAAGTTCACTGCAACCTCAAACTCCTTGGCTCAAGTGATCCAAGACACTTGAGACAGGTTCTCGCTGTGTTCCTCAGGCTGATCCCCAACTCCTGGCCTCAGAATGATCCTCCCACCTTGGCCTCCGAAAGTGCTGGGATTATAGGCATGAGCCACCATACCTGGCCTCAAAAGAATTTTGAAAAAGGATATACTTGCACCTTTCCAGATTGACATCTGAAAGTTTTCATCATAAAGTTTTTTCATCATAAATTTAAATAGCTGCAAAGGAGGCAATGTTCTGGCGTGGTGGTGATTTGCGTTTACAATTTAAGATAAAACTGTGACATTACTCTTGAAGTGCATCCTATGGAATCTAAATGCCATGGCAGTTTGACCACTGCTATTGTTCATTCAAAAAATTCATTAAATCCAAGATTTTACTCTGTTCTTCCTTCTTGGTCTCATGTTTGTATTTCACTCCCCTTAAATTTTATCCTAATATGACATAGTTTTATGCCTGAAAATCTTTAAAAATTTTTTTCTTATTTATTTTTATTTTTTATTCCTGAGGCTTCAAATGATGAAACTGAAATTTTTAAATGATCACCCTAAAAAAATTGCCTTACAACAAATTTACATAAATTGAAATTTAATTTTTAAAATTTGCTGTGACCATAGCCTCTTAACTCAGTCAAGATATTTAAAACTTATTAGTACCAATTTATCAAAACAACAAATCCTACAGATTTTGATGAATATTTATTACATGTAAAAATAGAAATATTATTGGAAATGCATCTTGAATGATGAGACAGGATAGAATATAACTTCTAGAATTTTATACATATGAGCAATTTTGTTTTTTCTTTCGGTAGTGTCATTCAGGTCCTGGAAGTCCTTTTGAATCATCTGTCAAAAATCCCAGGGACATTTTTATGTGATCTACTAGATTATTTCAATATATGTCAGTTGACAATAGGTCCATCCTCCTGAATTATTTTGATAGCAAATAATTGAAAATCACCTGACTTACAGAAAAACTTAGTCATTAGAGTTATGTACTTTTTCTTTCCTTTTTTTCAAGATGGGGGTCTCACTCTGTTACCCAAGCTGGAGTGCAGTGGTGTAGTCATGGCTCACTGCAGCCTCCCCTTCCCAGATTCAAGCAATTCTCCTGTCTCAGACTCCCAAGTAGCTGTGACTACAGGTGTGCTCCACCATACCTGGCTATTTTTTTTTTTTTAATCCTATTATCTTTAGCTTGGCTTTGGGAGAGTCTTCATTATATTTACTTATTTATCTATTTTCATTTTTTTTGAGATGGAATCTCGCTCTGTCACCCAGGCTGGAGTACAATGGCACGATCTCGGCTCACTGCAACCCCCGCCTCCCAGGTTCAAGCGATTCTCCTGCCTCAGCCTCCTGAGTAGCTGGGATTACAGGCACACGCCACTACGCCCAGCTAAGTTTTTGTATTTTTAGTAGAGACGGGGTGTCACCATGTTAGCCAGGATGGTCTCAATCTCCTGACCTCATGATCCACCCACCTCAGCCTCCCAGAGTGCTGGGATTACAGGCGTGAGCCACCGCGCCCGGCCTCATTATATTTATTTTATTGTTTTTATTTTTTGGTAGAAACAGGGTCTCACTGTGTTGCCCAGGCTGGTCTTGAACTCCTGGGCTCAAGCTATCCTGGGCTATCCTGGGCTACCGCCTTGGCCTCCCAAAGCACTGAGATTAGGGGCATGAGTCACCGTGTCCAGCCTGGGACAGTCTTAAACCCCAGGGCTATAGTTAGATGTGATGCCTTTCTTGTGTAAAATGAGAGAAGGATGATTATGAAAGGGGACCCTTGAAACTGAGTCCTCAGATCCATTGGTTTTTAGAAAGAATACCTGTAAAGTGAAATCACACCATGTGATGTCTGTATCTCAAGTCTGAAGACTTGTATTTGAGATTACTCTGGCATGCTTAGCATGCTTTTGACTGACTTTTTCAACCTCCTAATTGTAATAGTGTATCTCCGTGTCTTTGTTCTGTTTCTGGTCAGAATTTTGCCTGGAGCTGAAAAATATTAAAGTTCACCATAACCCTTCCAGAAAATATAAAAGAAAGAAAGAAGGAAAGATAGATAGATAGATAGACAGACAGACAGACAGACAGACAGACAGACAGACAGACAGATAGATTAGATAGACAGACCAGACAGACAGACAGATAGATAGATAGATAGATAGATAGAGATAGATGTAGTACTGTACACAGTTGATGTATTTTGATGCTGGGCCTGTCTGGTCTGTCTTGAGGATTATTAACCTTTAGAGGTATCAGAGAAGCAAATGGGTACTGGTGAGGCTGCTCATTAGGGAAGAGGGCAAAAGGAGCACTAGCTAGGTCAGAGCCATGTTTCAGGTCACCATGTGATGTCAGATGTTGCTTATAAATCCTTTCTTGTCTTCGCCATTCTTAAATCTTGATAGGTGCCTGTTGGGAAACTGATAAAGAGGATACTGGTAAAGAGGGAGGAGAAAGCTCTTCAAAGCAATTATACTTAAGCATATATTTTAAATGCCTTTATAAATTTTTGCTGCTGTCATCACTTTAGGTCTTCTCTAAGATTAATCAGTGTCTAGACGCACACAGCAGGTAAAACTTTTCTTTGCCACACAGAAGTAAATTTGACATGTGTCTGTGAGGTTGCTTGATAAATGTCAGCTGTCTCGCATTTTATAATCTTGCATTTGGTTAGTGAGTGAATTACAAAAATATTTCTTCCACATATTTTAAAAGCATATCACTAATTTATTTCTGTTTCTGTCCTTAGTGTTCTCCGTGGCCCGATGCCCCCACAGCCTATGTGAATAACAGCCCTTCCCCAGCGCCCACTTTCACCTCCCCACAGCAGAGCACTTGCAGTGTCCCAGACAGGTATCTAGTTTGTGTGATCGTGTGCCTGCAGCTAACTAATGCTCATGTGCCTTCATTTCCCCATCTCTCCATGTACAGCAGCCTTTTGTTTGTATTGTACCTAAAGGAAACAGTAAGGGGAAGTATCCTGTATCTTGGTGGCAGAGGACAATCATTGTCTTTTCTTCACCTACCAGCCTTTTTTACTCCGAGCCCCTTGTGCCTTAACATAGTCACAACTATGGTAATTGTAGACAAGGCGCCATTTTCAAGACATAGCCAAGATATATTCTTTGTAAGATTAAAGACAACATTAACAGTGTCTATAGGTAGAGAGAGAGGGACAAAGTGAGTTTATTACTAAGTTCATTCACTTGTCTGTAATGCTTATATCAAATGGGTTATTTTCTGCAGTATTTCTTTTCTCTCCCAATAGATATGCTATTTTTTTAATTAAATCTTTAAAGGAAGACCTTTCGGTTTCTACAGACTTGCTGTGGTTTTAGAAATGGAAATGGTGGACTCTTTATTCTGTTATCCAGCCTTGACTGGCAAGAGTCTAGAGTAAGCTCAGGGTGGGAGCAAGAGACTGCATTTGGGGCATCTTGAAGGTACAGCAGTACCCCATGGCGGCTTTCCATTCTAGGGCTTTGCTGCAGAACTAATGCAGAGTAGTTAGCATCAGAAGTTCCCTATTTTTAGGAAGTTTCTTGTTGGGGAGGAAAATTATGAAAGCTAAGATCACAAAGAAAAAGGTTCTCCGGTCATGCTGACAAGGTCTGATGAGAAAGCAAGCAAAAATGTGCTCTCCCCCTGAGGAGATGGATAAACTGAGAAGGCAGCTTGTTGTCATGTAGGCTATTATGCTTTAAGAGTAGAAAAATAGCCTTGGACTCAGAAAATTAGAGGAGTGACCAGAGGACCAGTAGGTTACCATGTCTGAGGGCTTAGAATAGTTTCCTAGTCAGTCAGTCCGGTCTGAATAATCTTAGAAAATGCTTATGGCTTTAAAGGTGAGCTGTAAGTTTATGTACTCACTAGTAGACTGGAGAACTTATTGTGTTCCCAGCACTGTTCTAAGTGTTCTGATACATTAGTGCCCAAACAGACAGACCCCCGTCTGAAGGAGCTTAAGTTCTTATGGGTAGAAAGGATATAAATAATCAAGATAATAAACCTAAGCAATTGAGGCACGGGGGCTAAGAAAGGAGTCGGTGCTCAAGAGCCAGAAGGTAGCCCTATTCCCTGTGGAGCTGTTTTTCATTTCATTTTACTTAGAAGCACAAGGATAGTGGTACAAGTTAATTTCTTTTGTTCTCTTGAAATTCACCCTCATCAATCTTGGATATATGTATTACTTAAAGGAGTATCATTTTATATTTTTGCTTAGGGTCATTGTACTATTTCTTGTAGCTCATTTTTTTTGCAATTATTTTCAACTATTTATCTAATTTGATGTTTCATATTTTTTCCCCTAACTTTTAAAAATTAATGTGTATCCTTCATTTTCCTTGGCATCCCTGAAGATAATTGGGGAAGCCCTTTTGTTTCACAAAACTTGAATTTCTTACTAGTACAGATGAAGAAGGCACAAATTAAGACACAGTCTTCTGTGTCTTAATTTCGTCATCATGTCCACACCCTAAGCTGTTGCGCTTGCATTTTGTTGCAGACTTTCATAGCTGTCTCCCACTGTTGCCTTACTTGAAATTTGCATAGTTACAATGCAACAGCTTTTAATGCCTTGATTAAAACATATATGTATTATAAAAATCATCATTTCCTTCTTTCTCCTTTCTCCCCAGCAATTCTTCTTCCCCAAATCATCAGGGAGATGGAGCTTCACAGACCTCTGGTGAAGTAAGTATCTTTCTCCTAAAACTATCTGATGCTTTCAGGGTTCTACATTTTAAAGTTTTGGTTTTTGTGCAAATGTATGGAGTAGGTGAGAAGTTTTGTTACATGTATGGTAATGTGTGGTAATCGAGTCAGGATATTTTGGGTGTCCATCACCTGAGTAGAGTACATTTTTTTAGGTATAGTCATCCTACTCTGCTACGAAATACTGAATTTACTCCTTCTGTTTTATTGTATGTTTGTTTGCACCCTTTAATCCAGTTCTTCTCATCCTCTCTCTTATCCCTCACCCATTCTTCCCGGTCTCTGTTACCTATTTTTCCACTCTCTCCCTTCATGTGTTCAAATTTTTTTAGTTCCCACATATAAGTGAGAATATAAGTCTTTCTGTGCCTGGCTTATTTCACTTAAGACAATGAAATGTTCATGTTGTCCATGTTGCTGCAAAAGGTGATTTCATTAGCAGCGGCATGATTTTTCTCTTTTTTTATGGCTGAATAGCATCCCATTGTGTATCATGTTTAAGTTTCTGACAAGGGCCTGCATCATTTGGGTTGCTGGAGTCAGACTCATGCTCTTTTTGGGTGTTTTTTACTTCAGACTCCGAGGCTTTCTGTGTTTTGTTTAAATGTTCTAAGTCTGAATGGTTCCTTTTATTTATGTTCATTTTCATTGTTAATAGCAAATTCAGCCTTCAGCTACGATCCAGGAAACACAGCAATGGCTGCTCAAAAACAGATTCTCTTCCTACACAAGACTGTTCTCTAATTTTTCAGGTATGTGTATGTGTGTGTGTATCTGTGCATGAGAATGTTTTGTTTTTGTTTCTGTGCTTTTATTAACTTTATATTTTTAAAATTTTGAAATAACTATGGATAGGAAGTTGCAAAGAAAAATGTACAGAGAAGTTCTTTATATCTATCCCCCAATAGGAATATCTTGTATTTTTATTATATGCTATTGAAGCCAGGCAGTTGACATTGGTTCAGTCAGCAGTTTTACCAGACTTACGTGACCTCATTTGTGTGTAGGTGTATATAGTTTTACATGATTTTTTTCATTTTAACTTTATTTTGAAATAATTTTTGTTTTACAGTAAGTTACAGAGCTAGTACAGTGATATTTCGGTGTACTCTTCACTCCGTTTCTCACATAATTATAGTACAATAGCAAAACCAGGAAACTGACATTGGCACAACGTATGTTATGGTATAGATATTTGTAACCACCACCACAATTAAGATGACAGGATTGTGCCATCACTACAAGGATCTCCCTCCTGCTACCCCTTCGGAGTCACACCCACACCCTTCCCCCACCATCCCTAGTCCTTGGCAACCACTTTACATTCTGTCTATAATTTTGTCATTTTGAGAATGTTATATAAATGCAATCATATAGTATATAGCCTTTTGAGATTGGCTTTTTTTCACTAGCATAACGGCCACCTAAGTTGTTGTGTTTATCAGTAGTTTAATCCTTTTTACTGCTAAGTAGTGTTTCATAGTCTGAGTGTACTCAATTACAGTTTTTATATACTTATGGGTAAGTTTTTTTTCTTGCACAGTAAGCTAAGGGAATGTTAAGAAGGAATTTTAAAAGGTATCAAGCACTGCTTCTCCAGGTAGTGCTATAGGAAACCTGTTTAGAGGGACAGTAATAGATAATGACAGGTGGGGCAGAGGTAGCATTTCCCAAATATATTTGGCTCTGGGACTCTTTTCCAACATGACCACCTAGTAACATGGCCTGGCCAAACATCCTGAGAAGTGCTGGATCACAGTAAAGTGGTAGTTAGCATTCCTTCACCTGCAGTGCAGTAGGGCCATTAAAACACAACTTTGTGAATCCCTTTAAGAGGACAGAACTTGTGTGTGCACACACTCAGCCTGAAGAAAAGCTTGATTTTGCTAAGAACATGGTTTCTTACTATGCCACGTATTGTAATGTTTGTGCAATGAGTAGTTATTCCCCGTGTACTTCTTTGTCTCTTTAAAGTTCCCTATGGAGGTCATTTGCTAGCTGGGGACTACATTTTTATATGATTAAGTAAAGCCTTTTATGTGTGAAAAACTAGAAATTGTAAAATTTCAGGGTCGGGGAGCTGGGGTTTGTCTTGCACTGTTGTATGGAAGGCAGATGAAAAGCATAGCACATAGAAAAAGCGCCGACATTTGGAACTGAAGGAGGCCCCACATTACTCCTTTTACATCAGGCAAATCCATGTTTCTATCTGGTGAGTTTTAATCCCTTTCGCTGTGAGCAGTGATCACATGGCGTGGCCTTCTGCCTTTTCCTTATCCTGGGGGCTTCTTCCAAGAAAGTGGGCGAGGAGCTAGCCATGGTACCCTTTGGGCACATCTCCTGAGTCACAGCACTGACAGTAGCATGGTGAGGAGGACAGTGAGTCTTCTTGCTCTGATCCTTGGGGGCATTCACATTTCAGGAAGGGTTGTACATTGCAGTTATCTGTCCAGTTCTCTGTATGGGTTAAGGGTGTGCACACACATACACAGTACTCTCTGGTCACAACTGTGAGGTGCATGTAGTAAGCCCTAGTAGAGAGATGAAAGAGAGCCTCTTTGCTTACCTGACTCTATAAAATGACTCTATTAATGCTCATGTCTCATGGGAGATGTGCTTCTCTGATCTTTGTTTTACAGACTAGAAATTTAGTAGGCTATTGCATTTGAGCCTTTAAAAAATAGAAAGATGACTCCATTATCTTCTACATATGTAAGTGGCTATTTATCATATGGAAGTCAAGCCTTCATCCCAAAGTTCATCTTAATTCCCCCAATAAACTGTATCCTGGGTGTTAGAGAATAAAACAAAAGATTATGGATACATTCAGACATTAAAAAGTAGAGAGAATATGATGAACTCCCATGCAGCCATCTCCTACCTTCAAAAACTACCAGCATTTGGTCAGTCTTGCTCTCCACTATTTCCTCTCCTGCCTTCTGTTGTATTTCAAAGCAAATCCTAGATGCCATATCATTTATGCTTGAAATACTGAATAGTAGTTCATGGTGTGTATGTACTCAGGTATGGCTTTTTTATACTTATATGTAAGTTTTTTTTTCTTGTATGGTAAGCGAAGGGAGTGTTCAGATAGAATTTTTAAAAGTGTCAAACACTGCTTCTCTAGGTGGTGCTATAGGAAACCTGTATAGAGAGACATTTACACTTGTAAATGACATCGTAAGTAGGATGTGCTTGGGGGAAATCTTAGGGTATAATGTGTGATTCTCTGCCATTCTTCTGTTAAAATTAGCTGCTGTGACAGAGTTGTTTATGTTATAAAATTTAACATGTTTGACTTTACATTGCACGTTTCAGAATAAAGAGGCCCAGTCCTAGTTCGGCTACCAACTCTTACAGACTTTAGGCAAGTCCCACAAACTCTGGACTTCCATTTCCTTTTTTTTAAAATTAAAGATTGACTGGCCCGGGTGATCTCAGGGTTTGTTTCTGTGGGGTGGGTTAGAATCATGTTTCTTCACATAGCCACAACCCAGTCACTAAATAAGGTAGATGAGTGAAATCCTATATCGGGAAGAGTTCTTTAGGCCCTGCTCTCATTGATTTGATTCATCAGCCTCAGGACTTCTAAGCTCCTTCTTGATACAGGACATGGAAAAGCCAGCATTTTCCTTGGCTCTGAAGGACAGGTGTCTGTTTGTCTTCTTATATTGTTCATGTGTATGTGTGTATTCAGGATATCTGATTATTTTGAAGGACATTGGACTGCATGAAGACAGATGCCTGTAAAGCAGTTCTGTTCTTTTTCCATTTATTTGAGAAAAATATTTTTGCTCTTCTCTAGGTGCCGACTTATTAAAACTGACAAAGGAGGATTTAGTTCAAATTTGTGGTGCAGCCGATGGAATTCGGCTCTATAATTCACTGAAGTCAAGGTAAAATACTGTGAACTGTTTTGCTTGAAATAAGAATGTACCTTTCTTCGCGTGGGGAATTTGGGCAGAATGTGTTTCCACGCTAGGTTGGCGTGTGTGCCTGTGTGCGCCATCGAGCATTGGCAGCATTGTGCTCACAAGAAGACTGTTTTGTGTACACCTTCAGGGCAGGCCCAGATATGATGCAGGCACTGATGAGGGCAGAGGTAGACTGTAAGACTGGTAGAAATGCACATGGGCAGTACTGATTTCTTGAAGACGACTGGGTTTGTTGCCAAGAAAACAAAACTTCTAATTTAGGTGAGCTATACAGAATCTATGGTTTTCAAGGTCATGACTATTACTAAACAGTTATTAAAAATGTAAACTAATTGTGAATTAAAATGACAGAAACTGTAAATTGTGCTGGCTTGTAAGAACCATTTACTATCATTGCTCTTTCTATACTTGTGGTGTGAGAATTCCATTAAAATTGAATCTTACTGATTTTTAATTTGCTGACTTAATCTTGAAACTTAAATTTACCAGCATCTGACAGACCATCTCAATGGTTTAGAGTCTGGATCATCATATTAGACCACCTGTGATAGTTGGTGTGAGGTGTGTGGTTTTTATATTTTTATTAGTAAATTACTTTGTATAACGAAATAACATTATAAAGTTCTCATAAGGAAATAGAACTTAGATTCCTGTAGTTGTCATATTTGTACATGTGTAAGGCAGCTTTCTCTCCCAGGCTCATCAGTGGCATCTTCTGATTGCAGGTCGGTTAGACCCCGTTTAACCATCTATGTCTGCCGGGAGCAGCCAAGCAGCACAGTGCTGCAAGGGCAGCAGCAAGCTGCAAGCAGTGCAAGCGAGAATGGCAGTGGGGCACCCTATGGTAGGTATTGAGGGCATCTCAATTCTGTCACTTCTGAGACTGTCAGACAGAAACGGAAAGGACTCGATTGAGCAGGCTTTGGAGAACTCTTGCTGTGTTAGGAATGCCAAGTTGCTCATGTGGGAGCCTTGACAGCAATGAGAGGTGGCAGCTCTAGGGTGAAGTCCTTGGGAGAAGAGGAAACTGGCATTCTTTCTCAGTCATTGCAGCCACACTATGGGTCTGTTTTTCATGTGGCCCTTCATGCCGGAAATATCTAACAAGTGGAAAAACTAGCTTGAATGCATTGAGTTCTGGCTTTTTTTTTTTTTTGGTCAGATTTACTGAAATGATGAATATAACACTGGCAGCTTAACAAAAAAGCAGGAGGGTTTTTCTTTCCTTTTTCTTTTTTTTTTTTTTTTTTTTTTTCAATTTTCCTGACTAGGTATGGGGAGAACTCTTAAAGCATAACATATGTGCAACAGTGCCTGCATGTAATAGTCCTAAGTGTGTGGACTTGTCACTGACAAGTGTTCGGCCAGCATTGTGCACCTTGTGTGGCGCGTCTGGTGCCGTGTTTTTATGTCACTGTAAATAATACTACCCAGTACGTTATCTTGGGAGGGCTTCTCATCCTGAGCATTTAATTGTACGGTATAGTGCTGGATTAGGACAGAGATAATCTTGGCTTCTCCCTCTTCTCACCTCTAAATATGGCCCTTAAAAAAAGCAAGCATTTTAAAAGGCATATATTTTCTCATTTATTGTATGGATATATGGTAACATTTCCTTCTTTCCATACTCTGAAGTAGAACAAAGGCAACATGCTCAGAACTTTAAAAAAAAAAAGATGTGTTAATGGCATTCAGAGATGCAGTTATTTGCCCTAAGAATAGGTAGAGCTCTGAAAAATGTCTTGTGGTTTGAATTTTACTGAAAAATTGGAAGGATAGCATCACTACTGTGAACTTTTCTATTTGGTATTATTTTGACTTCAAAAGCTCTGAATTTTGAGATTAAGTATACAAATTCTTAAAGGATAAAAATTTAAAGGAGATCTCCATGTATCATCAAGAGCTTATACATCACTTAGATATGGCCAAGATTATAATATTTTGGAAGGTGTATTCTCAAACATGAGTGTTTGTGGAGGGATATGGGGAAATATTGGATATTTTCCCATAATCAGCAAACTTTTTCTGTAAAAGGTCAGGTAGTAAATATTTCCATCTCTTTAGATCATACATAGGGTCTCTCACATTCAACTCTGTGATTGTAGTGCTAAAATAGCCATAGACAATATGTAAATTGTAGATAAGGCTGTTCCAGTAAAACTTTATTTAAAAAAAAAAAAAAAAAAAACAAGTGGAGGGCAGGAATTGGCCCATATGGGCTGTGGTTTGGTGACACCTGCTCTAGATCATTTCTATATTCTTACTGTAATTTTAGTTCCAGCTTCTTTTATGTAATGGAAAATTCTGGGTTTCTATACTCACAGACCCCTTGTTTGGGGAAGCAAAGTTCTCAGTAATGATATTCCTGATCCATGTCTGGCTTTAATCAGTAATTGAGCAGGACGTACAAGAGTGAGACTCACTACAGATGTGCACTGTGCAGATGTCTGCTGATAAGTTCTGTGTAGCAAAAATGCAGAACACTGGAATGTGGCTGGGGCTTTCTGTAAGGAAGCATCACACTTCATTGTTTATATTAGCTTTTCATATAGTATCTTTTATTTAAAATTTTTTGTGGGGGAGGGGCATATACAGATAGCTTTTATTCCTTAGGATAAATTCCTAGTAGTAGGATTACTGGATCAAAAACTATAATGCTTAACTGGGCGTGCTGGCTCACGCCTGTAATCCCAGCACTTTGGGAGGCCTAACTGGGCAGACTGCGTGAGCCCAGGAGTTTGAGACAGCTTGGGCAACATGGTGAAACCCTGTCTCTACAAATAATAATAATAATAATAATAATAATAATAATAAAAATTAGCCAGGCATGGTGGCGTGTGCCCCCACCATAGTCCCAGCTACTTAGGAGGCTGAGGTGGGAGGATTGCTTGAGCCTGGGAGGCAGAGGCTACAGTGAGCTGTGATTGTGTCACTGCACTCCAGCCTGGGCAACAAAAAAGGACACTGTCTTAAAAAAATAAACAAAAAGAACTATGACTCTTTTAGGGTTCTTTTTGTATATTGCTAGAAATACATGAAGTATATATTATTTTTAAAAACAGCTTTCTTCAGGCATAATTTACATACCATAAAGTCCTCCCATTGTAAGTATATAATGGTATTTTAGCCAATTTAGAGAGTTTGGCAGCCATTGTCAAAATTCAGTTTGAGTTCCATTATTTCAAGAAGATCCCCCATGTCCATTTGCAGCCAATTCCTGTTTTTAAATTTTGAATACATGAAACTATATTCATTGAATAAAAATATGAAGAAAAATTCAAACCTCAAATCTTTTTGTCCAGGGATTTCTGTTAATGTTTATTAAATTATATTTGTGGATATAAATAATGTATTCTTACGTTTTAGATTGGTAGTTCAAGATTTCAAGGTAGTAAGATGGGGGAAAGAAATAGTTTATTCCCATTTAAAATGTTTTTTTACTTTTTTGGTACTTTGAAAGGTGTGACCTTCGTACAGATCCTACAGATCAGGCAGAAAACAGATCAAAGATTACTGTTAAAATGCTTTTCTTTTTTTTTTTTTAATTTCAGTTTATCATGCAATCTACTTGGAAGAAATGATTGCCTCAGAAGTTGCTCGAAAACTTGCGCTGGTGTTTAATATCCCTCTCCACCAAATTAATCAGGTTTACAGACAGGGTCCCACCGGTATTCACATTCTTGTTAGTGATCAGGTAAATCAAATCATTTGTTTTTCCTTTTCAGACTGGTATTTACTTTTATACATGTAATTGTAGAACTGTAGAAAAATTCTGTGACCTCTTTTGAAAATACTTATGAGAATCATTTTCAGAGAGTTGGGAATCACTTTGGAAGAACTTATAACCAAGAGTTTCAGGCATCCTAGTGATAATATGGAATACAAGCCAAGGAAAACTGGCTTAGCCTCCCCCCAGCCCTTTAGGATGCAGCCAATCACTGGGGCACTCTAGGGATAGTGGCAGGCTTTGGCCCTTTTTATGAGGTGAGTCACTGGATGTGTTTTCCTTTTGTCTATTATTTGATGACTAATTTAAAAAAACATGTAAGATATATAATTTTTCCCCTAGTGATTGGTGGCAAGTAATAATAGAAGAGCACTTTATGCAATTTTTGTTCGAGTCATCATCCACTGGAGCCGGCAGGGAATGTGCCCCTGTGGGTCACATGGGTGACTGACCAGGTCTCTCAGGGACCATTATGGACAGGCATAGTGAACACAAGGCAGTGCAGCACGTGTGCATCTTTGCTGCCTCACACTGCCTTCATGAATTATCGTTTTGGCCATTGAGTCCTGTGTTTGTTTGAGAAGAATATTTACTGTTTTAAAATCATTTTAAGAAACGACAGTTGGATCTTAATTGTACTTACGCATTTACTTTATCCTTCCAGATGGTTCAGAATTTTCAAGATGAGAGTTGTTTTTTATTCTCCACAGTAAAAGGTACTTTGCATGTGTGTGTGTCTTAAAATGCTGGAATCATGAGAGATGGTGTGTGCCTCTAATTAGTGCCTCTCGTGTTTATTCTTTAAAATGATTGCTTTACTCATTTTAAGAAGAAAGTTTGATAAATGAGAATATTTCTAGTGGTTGTAACAGAAATTAGCATATAAGGAAGAGGAGTCAGTCTTTCTAGATGACTGGAAAAAAAAATCTCAATTCATTCAGCCAACGTCTTACTGAGCACTTTGTGTCAGACACCGTGCTTCTGTCGCTCAGTGGATCTATTGAATAAAACAGAATCCATGAAACTCCTATTGGGGAAAGCAAACCAAAATTGGCCAAGAGATACACAAAATTCCCAATATGTTAAGTTCCATGAAGGAACAGGAAAGTGTGGGGGTACTTATGGATAAGGGAGATCTGGGTTGAGGGGAATATGAAACTGTAAGGCAAGGCTTCTCTGAGGAGGTGTTATTAATCCTGAGACTTGAAGAATGAGAAGAAGCGGGAGCTGGCCATTGGATTAGCATCCCCAGGCAACGTGGGGCTGTGTGCAAAGAAAACACCTGGCTTCTTGGAAAGCCTGGCAGTGGGCCATGTAGGTGCCATGCAGTGTGTGAGGGTGAGCGGATCAGGGCAAATCAAAGCAGGAGGCCGGGTCTGGCATGCGGGGACCGGATGATGATGGTAGTTCGGATTTACTTGAAATGCATTGGGTTGTCACTGAAGTTGTTTAAACAAAGGAGTAGTAATGTGACTAGATTTTTCTTTCACTTTCACAACTCTGTGGAGACAGATGAGAAGGTGGCAAAACGAGGCAGGAGATATCCAGGTGAAAGGTGATGGTATCTTACACGTTTATAGACAGGGTCCCAGTGGGCTCCACTTTTGAGGGAGGAATAGTTCTGACACCTTATTTTCTGTGGAAAGTAACTGGGCAGATGGTGATCTCATTGAAGAGGTAAGTATGGTTGGGGTAAATCAACCAAGAGTTTGATTTTGGATATGTAGAAATGTCAAGTAGGCAGTTGACTATTACCAGTCTGGGGCTCAGAGAAGAGGCCTGGGCTTGAGATGTAAATTTGGAAACCTTCAGCATATCAGCAGTGACTCAAAGCTGTAGAAGTTGTTAAGGTCATTTAGGGAGAGAATATGAAAAGAGCCAGGACCAGGCTTAGGTGGCTCCAACATTAAAGAGGAGGGATTCCTAAATGTAAAATTATTTGAGAAGAGATCATACATTCATAGACTGTTTTAAAAGTCAGGTGAGCTAAGATCCAAATCCGGTCTTAGCAC
Source organism: Homo sapiens (assembly GCF_000001405.40). Taxonomy (NCBI): domain Eukaryota; kingdom Metazoa; phylum Chordata; class Mammalia; order Primates; family Hominidae; genus Homo; species Homo sapiens. The sequence goes on along the minus strand of NC_000003.12, from coordinate 33,391,266 downwards.
AAAAGCTGCCCCTAGAAGAGGGAGATGTCATGTGTGTCAGGTGTCCCCAGACTACTGAAATACTGATTTTATTTTGCGCCTCACATGTTGCGTATGCCATCAGGTTACCTGCAAGGCTGAGTTTTAACTCTGAACTGGTTCACTCTTTCAGAAACATCTTTAGCCTAGTACCCTTCTGCTCAGTCTTTTGTTTTCACAGCAGTACAGTTTTTACCTTGCATAACTGACATTGTCTGAAAAAGAAGACATATACTATAATTGCATAGTTTTGTTTTGTGAAACCAGCAGACATTTTTTGGTATTAGAAATCATAGGATCTCCCCTCTAATCTCAATTTACTGTTTTGTTTTTTTTTTTAAACTTTGTCGTCATGAGAAAAATCATTTTTTTATGAATGCCTATATTGCTTCTCACTATTTACTGAGAAACACTAGGCAAAAGGAATGATACAGTTTTAAAATGTTTGAAATCTCTGTGAGTAGCTCAGAAATTTTTCTGGAAAAGGTAGATGTACACATTTGCATTTACTCCCTCAGGTCCTCTGCCCTGACACAGTATATTTCACCTGTTCTCCTTCTAGCTCTTGCTCCCCTTATGGACAGCACTATTATTGTGTGTCTTGATAGATGTCCCCCTACCCCCAGAACTGGCAGACAGTGTTGGAATGCGGGCGTTGATAGTGGGCCAGGCTTCGCAGAATGTCTAAAAAGGGAATGTGTACATGAAGTTTTTTGGGGGAAGAGGAGCTAGAGCAAGTTAATCTGCTTGTTTCTCTAGAATCATTTAAAGGTAACCTCTGAATTGGGAAGGGAGGTTGTAGTTGGCAGGGAGTTTTCCATTTAATAGGCTTAATTTCCTAAGCCTGACTGAAGAAATACTGTCTTTCCTTTTTCTGCAGCTGAAAGTAGTGATGGCATCCACATAATTTTGAAGTGATGTCTTATATAGACTGAACTGTATTCAGTACCAAATAGTCACGCTTAAAAGTGTGTGAAGACTGAATCCAAGAAGTCTTGGGATTGGATTTTACCATATGAAATGTTTCATATTGAAAACACAAGATGACCTTTCTAATGAGCTGTATGAGAGGTGAATCTCCTCACTGTCACTGCCATAGCCAAGCATCCTCATGAGAGTGAGCACATCGGCACAGCATGCATCCAGCTCTGGAGGCCACGGTGCAGGCATAGCTGCCTGCTGCTCTGGCAGAGGCCAGTAAATACAGTTCCTAGAAGCAGCCTTTGCTGTCTTTTTACACTGTATGCGGTTTGGAAATGAATGTAGAAACTTACTGTGGGCATTTACCTTTCTGTGCCAGTTTGGCTTTTATTGCCTGAACCTTATGCTGACCTGGAGAGGAGATGGGGGACAGTGCTGTTGTGGGGCCAGCAGTGAATCTGTATGCGGAGAGTTGTGTTGTGCTGATGTGGCCGTTGGTGGTCAGGTAAGAGGCTCGGCACCTTCTTGGAAGAAATCATGTCTGAGGGTGTACGTTTGATATGATCATGCCAGATTGGAGAAGATCCAAGCCAGGAAGATGGGCTTGAAGCAAACTGCATTATCAGGAGTACCTTGGTGAGAGGATCAGTGTAAATCCTAATAGGTACAAAGACTTTTGTGTTTTGGCTTTGTCACAGATTTATTGAAAAACTTTTTTGCTTCTGCTTCCATTTTTAGCATTTTAGTTTCTGGTTTTCATTTTTGGAGATTCCTTGCCTTTTAAACTCGTGGTTTTTCTCTCATTTTCTTCCCTCTCTCCCTCCATCTCTGACCACCCCCACCCTAACCCCCCACCCCCACCATCCTATTAAACATTTTTAAAGCCCTACCCCAGACATTGGAAATAGGTGACCCAAGTAGGGGGAGAAAGTATTATTGTTGATAGCTTCTGACTAGGTGTTAAGGGATCTTCATTATGAACAAGATGAATTTTTTTCTGGAAACACTAGATGTTATCAATCAAACACTAAAATGTACCATACAAATCCCTTAAGCCTCTCAAATATTGAGCTTTAGTACAATCATGGATAGACATTCTGGTGATGATTTAGGGGCTTTTTATACACCACATACTAGCTTCTTTCTCTATAAGAGTGCCTCTTTCATAAAACCAAATGCTTGTCTGCTAGCATACTTTTCAAAGGGAATCCACTGTTTTCTCACTTTCCTCCCATATCTCCGTCCTTCATCCAAAACCTTCCCAGAATCCATCAGCAAGCATGTTTGAGGCCTGTGGTGTAGGGGACTGAATTTTTTTTTTAACTTCTATTCCATTTTAATTGTAGGATATCTTTGTCCATATACCCAGGTGTCCTGATTTGAATGTACTATTTGATCCTCATTGTGTTCAGGCAAAAAATAGGAAATGAGTAATTTTGAGTTTGAAATCTCTCCCAGAAGACAAACTACTTCAGTGAGTAAAAGCTTTGACATTTTATGTTTTATTCATAAAGGGGGTTAATTATTTGCTACAAAGAAGCACGATCTATTTTCATCATCGATTTGAAAATATCTGTAACTCCTATAGATCCTATAGGCAGAGAGTTTTCCTTTCTGACTTTTTCCCTTTGCTTTCGTGTGACCACATGTTTTCTGTACCAGTCACTGGGGAAAGAAGTGAGTTTATCTCGTTTGTTTTAAAAGTTTTGCTTGTCTATTTAGCATTCCTTTTTGGGTCTCAAGATTTATGGAACAATAAATGTCATTTAATGCTGTGTGCTTATTTTGAATTCCTCATCAGGTTTTAGAAGCGGGGTAAAAATACTTAGATGCTTATCAGACTTGAAATTATACTGAGTGGCATTGAACGTGAGTTTGTCCCAGTGAAACAGGCTAAATAAATTTTGGCACCAGCAAATTTGTTACTTTGTTTTTTTAATAGTAGGATGTACACATTTCAGTATAATAAATGTTTTCTGATTGTTTTGCAAATGTGTGTCTCATTTAAAATCCCAGTTCCTGCTACTGTCACTTCGTGTCATAGAATCAAGGAGTTTCCCTGTGTGTATTCTGAGCCAGTCTAAATGTAGTAAGAGGTTAGGCTCATAGTTTTTTCCTTTTCAGTTTATTTTCTGAAAGCTGATGCAACTGAGGATATGTTGTTATTCCATTAACTAACTAACTAACTAACTAACTAACTAAACTATTCCAGACTTTAAAAGGAAGCAAACCTGATTTTCTTTTTTTTTTTTTTTTTTGAGACGGAGTCTGGCTCTGTCACCCAGGCTGGAGTGCAGTGGCGCAATCTCGGCTCACTGCAAGCTCTGCCTCCCGGGTTCACGCCATTCTTCTGCCTCAGTCTCCTGAGTAGCTGGGACTACAGGCACCCGCCACTATGCCCGGCTAATTTTTTTTGTATTTTTAGTAGAGACGGGGTTTCACTGTGTTAGCCAGGATGGTCTTGATCTCCTGATCTCACGATCCGCCCGCCTCTGCCTCCCAAAGTGCTGGGATTACAGGCGTGAGCCACCGTGCCCAGCCTGCAAACCTGATTTTCTTACAAGAGGTTCTCCTGTTTTGTAAATGAGGCCATGGATCATTGAGCATCAAGTCCAATAGCTGTGACTGATGATAGGTTGTATCCTGGCTCAAAAGAAATCAATCATGTATAGAAGGCTCTGGTGGTTTGTTTTGTTTGTTTGTTTGTTTTGTTTTGAGATGATGATGGAGTCTCACTGTTGTCTCCTGGGCTGGATGGAGTGCAATGGCACAATCTCGGCTCACTGCCACCTCCGCCTCCTGGGTTCCAGCATTTCTCCTGCTTCAGCCTCCCGAGTAGCTGAGATTACAGGTGCCCAGCACCACGCCCGGCTAATTTTTGTATTTTCAGTAGAGATGGGGTTTTACTGTGTTGGCCAGGCTGGTCTCAAACTCCTGACCTCAGGTGATCCACCCGCCTTGGCCTCCCCAAGTGCTGGGATTATAGGCATGAACCACCGTGGCCAGCCTTAAGTTAATTTTTTTTAATAGAAACTAAACTAATTCATAATCACTGAAGCAAGTCTGTTATATGCTCATTTATTGAAGTTGCTTCCTGCATCAGTCCTCCTCCCCCATCATCTCTTCCACAACAAACAGTGGGTATAAATGTATATTTAACTAACTGCTATGGTATCCACACAATTTTTAGACCAAGGAATACTGGAATATATCATAAGGCAATAAAATGACTTTAATGCTTACTCTGATGATAATTGTGCTAAGTCCGTTTATGGGGAGATTATATATATATATAATCTGCTTCTCTTCCTAGAATGCAGCTGACATAATATATCCTTAAAAACACTTCTAAAACTGCCTAATAAAGGTATTGGTAGTCATGGGAACACATCTTGCTTTTGCCGTTTCACTTTTAAGTTTCTCATGAGCTCTGGCCCTTCAGTTTGGGGGAGTGGTTGTTTGGAAGGGCCAGCCACCATGAACACCTAAGTTTACAATGAAGGTGGTGATGACTGATTGACAGGTTCTTAATAAAGATCATAAATATGGACAGCATGGAGCAAGAATGAACCACAGCAGAGAGTAGGGTCATTTTATCAGATTTCAGATAACATCAGGAAGGTCTGCATTTGGAAAATGGTTTTGCTTGGATGTGTCTGCCATAAAATCATAGCAATAAAACCCTCTGACTTAATTTTTTTTAAAGCATTGCAATGGTTTATTCAATTTTATGAGTCTAAAAGGTACCAACACTTACTGATCTGAGTTTTAAGTGTGTAAAACTTTTGAGTAGCTATGGTGTAACCTGATTTTTAAGATTTCAAAATAAGCTTGAAAAAAAATCACATCCATTTTACATGCATCCATTCATTACTTCTAATTGATTATACTACAGATAACTTAAGCCTTAGTTCTTTCTCTTTAAGGTTCCCCCCAGTTTTACGAGAGGCATGGACATAATTAGCTTTTTTCCTTTAGTAAAAATGTGTTATGTGCTGTAGCATACACCAGAGCTTCTACTTTCCAATCAGGCAACACAGACTCCGAGCTGCTTTTGTTTTTGGTCCCTGGAGGTGTATATGACAAGTTGACAGAAACAAAAAGGTGAAGACCCTGCTCCACCCAGTATAGAGTCCTCTTTTCTTTGGTGTCTCATGGAAACCTATTAACATGCCTTCCACATAAGTCTCTATATATAAAACTATCAGGCATTATGAATTAATTTGCAGTACAGTCACTTTGATAAAGTTGCTATTTATCTTCAAAGTGGAAAAGTCCTGCTAATCAAAATGGAATTGTGAATTAAAGTAGGCCACTGGCTTAAGTATCAGGTAGAAAATCAACAGCTTATTTTTTCTGCTCAGTTTGTGCTAACACTGATGGTCTTTTTGAGGAATGCTGAGTATGCCAAGGGTAGAACTTTCGTACCTAGGTAGGTACCAATCTCTTAAGAGATCCAGGTTTCTGGCATGGTCCTAGCTGCATTGAGACCACTTGTCATGTGTTAACTGACACAAGGCTTTGATTTGATTGTTTCACAGCAGAATAAAGGTGAAAACTATCACCAGAGTAACTGCAATCCATACAGAAGTCTTTTACCTGTAAATGCCTTTCCCAATGGAGAATCAACAGATTGGGTGATGGTGGAGTCGGTCAGGAAGACTCAGGTCTTCTAGAGGAAAGGATGCCTCATCACCCCTTGGGCCCAGGCAGCTGCTGTCAGAGAATGACACAGCACCTGCACAGTCGCTGTCCACTTCCTGCCACTGCTGTCGGTGGGGTGACGGGAGCAAAGTAGGCGTGGACTTTGACATGAGGGAGCTGAGCCTGGAAGGATGAAGAAAAAAGTGGAGTCTTTACACATTACTATTTTTAGGATTATAGTCATAATTCTAGAAAAACCTATAGTCCTCTATTAAAAATCTTCACCTTAGTTGAAGTAGAATTTATGCTATAGATTAGAGCTACTCCTGTTACTCCCCGCACCGTCTGCCCCCCATTAGTACCTTCTAAGGATAAGTGAAAACACTTACGTTGATACGTTTCCACCCAGGGGTAGTAACCAGCCCTGTTTACAAACTAAGTGAATGTTCTCTACAGCTGTAGCACCCTGGATGGGGCTGTTAAATGCAGTTGCCTAAACTTAAAGCATAATCAAGAAAACAGTGTAGGTGAACTATATGGAAAAAGCCAAATTCTGTTAAGCTCTCTTACCTGGAAATTAGCCAAGAGAGTTCTACCTCCCACTCATAATGACCTTAAATTGCTTGCCTTTACCATAGGCCTTTTTTCTTTTTTTGAGACAGAGTTTCACTCTTGTCGCCCAGGCTGGAGTGCAATGGCGCAATCTCAGCTCACTGCAACCTCCACCTCCCGGGTTCAAGCGATTCTCCTGCCTCAGCCTCCCAATTAGCTGGGATTACAGGCACGCAGCCAGCTAATTTTTATATTATTAGTAGAGACGGTTTCACCATGTTGGTCAGCTGGTCTCGAACCCTTGACCTTGTGATCCGCCCGCCTCGGCCTCCCAAAGTGCTGGGATTAGAGTCGTGAGCCACCGCGCCCATCCCAACATAGGCTTTCTTATAAGGGCTACGATCACCAGACTATGTGGAATCTCCAGCCCAGACCCAACTCAAGTTGAATCTTCCAGGGTGGAGTCTAAGCAAGAACATTTTGAAGAAGTTTAAGGTGACACTATTGTACCAGATCAGTTTGCATAACTATTGCATAACAGGAAATGAGTGTTGATTGATCGATTTATTTTGAGATGGAGTCTCACTCTGTGGTGCAGGCTGAAGTGCAGTGGTGCAGTCTGGGCTCACTGCAACTTCTGCTTCCCAGGTTCGGGTGATTCTCCTGCCTCAGCCTCCCGAGTAGCTGGGATTACAGGTGCCCACCACCACACCTGGCTAATTTTTGTATTTTTAGTAGAAATGGGGTTTCACCATTTTGACCAGACTGGTCTTGAACTCCTGACCTCAAGTGGTCCACCCACCTTGGCTTCTGAAAGTGTTGGGATTACAGGCGTGAGCCACCGCGTGCCTAGCCCCGGTCTGATTCTTGATGTTTTCCTTTGGTGCTTAGAAATGTCAGGTGTGACTGACTCCCCTGCCCCATACCTACCCGCATCCGCTTGATGCCTGCACGGGTAACCTGCTGGCAGTCGTACAGCTCGAGGCGCTCCAGGCCTCGGCAGTTCTCTAGGTGTTCCAGGGCCACATCAGTGATGAGGAGGCAGTTGTCCAACTCCAGTACCCGCAGCCTCTCATGGCCACAGGTACTGTTGCTCAGGTGCAGGATCCCATCATCTGTGATGAGTTCACAGTGGGACAGGCTCTGGAACAGGAAGACATGAGTAAATGTTTGCAGGACCCTTATTCCAAGGCTCAAGTCCTAAAAAAAAGCTGGAAGCTAGCCTTTTTGCCCTTCTGCAATGGGATGACACAGCAAGAATGCCCTCAGCAGATGCCAGCCCCTGGACTTCCCAGCCTTCAGAACTATGAGAAGTTTCTGTTCATTACAAATTATCCAGTCTGTAGTAGCAGCACAAAACAGACTGAGACATTTAATCAGGCAGTGAGGACCAAACACAAAGCCTTGGGGCCCTTTGGTTATGGGTTTGCTACACTGGGAGTGGCTTCTCTCTTCTAATTGTGTAAAGATGGAAATAAAATCTTCAGGGGAGATTTCAGTTTACCCCCTTGAGAGCAGTTTTATTGGCCAGTTCTCCATTTGAGGGGATGCCAGTGAAATCAATGCATCTAATGTCCTTGTTCATTTAGAAAATTGCACAAATAGCTGAGACCCAGAGATATACTGAGCATCTTTGAAGGTTATAATCAAATAGACCTTGAACAGTGTGATCTGACATTACTGACTTCTCTTGGGTAAACAGTAATGGTTGCAAAAGATAAATTCAGATGAATATTATATAGCCAAATGACATTTATGTAATTCTCTTAAGTTCTCTATATCAAAAACAGTTTCAGACCTGACAGTTTCCCCCAGTGCATATCAAATGTAAGATTCACCCCACCATAAAAACTAGAGAGGCAAAAGTACTGTATCAATTCCCATTTGTTCATTTGTTCCTTCAAATAAATGAGTTCTAACTCTGTCCCAGCCCCCACGTGTGCAATGATGAGTAAAAGTATACTTCTCTGCACTGGCAGAGCCCAGACTGGAGAGTCTATAAAATCAAATAATGCTAATCTTTTAAACTGAAGCTGAGGTGCTTTGAGAGCATATGATAGCAGGATTTGTCCTGGGGAACAGACCACTGAGTTGATATTTGAAGGATTAGGAGCTAATCCTAGGAAAGAGAGCAAAGAGTTTGTTGTGTGCAAGGCCCAGGGGTAGCAGGAGAACGGCAAGTACTGTTTAGGAAGAAGGTCAACATATAATAGGTGGGAAATAAGAGGACGCATGTAGATGCAGATGGAATTGGGGAGGTAAGGGCCAGATCACAGAGTTGTGTAGGTTATGTAAAGAAATTTAGTTCTGATTCCAAGGTCAGTGGGAGGAGTTGTAAGGAGAATGTGATGTTACAATTGTTTTTCAAAAAAGATGGAAAATAAGTGTTGGTGAGGATGTGGAGCAATTGGAAGTCTCATATGCTGCAGGGGTTATTTCGATGTTTCTGACTGAAATGCATACATGTGTTAACCAAAAAACAGGAATACTGGCTGTAATGGCCCCAAACTAGAAGCAGTACTCAAATATTCAAAAGTAGAGAAAGGATAAATAAATCACAGTGTACCCATTCTATAAAGCAGTGAGAATGAACAATATACAACTACATGTAACAATATGGATAAGGAAACCAGATGAGTATACATGATAATTCCATTCATATCATTTAAATAAAATACAAAGAGGCAAAACTAATATATACTATTTGGAAGTCACGACTTTTGGGGGATCAGTGATTGAAAGGGAGCAGAAAGGGCCTTTCCGGGGTCATGATAATGTTGACCTTTGATCGGGGTGTATTCAGTTTATGGAAATGCATTGATCTATACACCAATGATAAATGTGCTTTTCTACATGTATATTTTACTTCAGTAAAGTTAAAATTTGAAAAACCACTCTGCCAAATTTTTTAGTGCGAAAGTGGATACAGTTTAGAGCAAGTGAATGGCTACTGCAGTCTATGAAGCAAGGAAATGTCTGAGAGTTTGGACTTGACAAGTCCTGGCAGAGGAGACCTGAGTGGATGGGTGTAAGGTATTCCTGCAGAATAAAAAAATCTAAGACATTGCAGTACTGGTTGTAACAGCCCCAAACTAGAAACTACTGCTAGAAACTAGAACTACTGGCTATGTAACTAGGCAGCAGAGTACCACCTCGAGGGAAGGGAAGCTAGAGGAGAGGAATTCTGTTGGACCTTGATGCTTTAAAGATTCTTCTCTGAGCTTGATCTTAACAATGTGGAATATATTTCCTTTCTCATGAATCGAATCACTCTACATGGTTTACATCAAATAGTATTTATGTAATCAATGCTGTTCATTGGTTTTTAGCTTTTAGAATTAAGAGTAAAGCCAGAAAACTGGTTCTTTAGGAGGCTGTTTAAAATTGGTAAATAAAAAAATAGAAGTTTGATTACTTACAATAAAATGGAATGAGAAAAAAAGTGTCTCTCTGTGTATGTATATATTTCATTTTCTTTTTTTTTTAAATTTTTATTTATTTTTTTTTGAGATGGAGTTTCACTCTTGTTGCCCAGGCTGGAGTGCAATGGCGCAATCTCGGCTCAACGCAACCTCCACCTCCCAGGTTCAAGCGGTTCTCCTGCCTCAGTCATGCATGCGCCACCACGCCTGGCTAATTTTGTATTTTTAGTAGAGGCGGGGTTTCTCCATGTTGGTCAGGCTGGTCTCGAACTCCCGACCTCAGGTGATCCACCCGCCTTGGCCTCCCAAAGTGTTGAGATTACAGGCGTGAGCCACCGTGCCCAGCCAATTTCATTTTATTTACATATGGATTCACACGTATATACGTGTATATTTACAAACACAGATTGGAGAAAGATGATGGAGATGGTGTATGAATGTCAATTTCTCCATTGTTTTAATATAGGGAAATTCAGAAATCAAGAAGTTAACAGTAACATATGAGACTGAGGAGATACTGTTATATTAATTGAAAAACTTATGTACTGGCATATTCAAGTATTCATAGAAATTTTTAAAAACTGATTTAAGGAAAATCAGAGGGTGCTTGACCTGTTCTGAGTTAACAGGAAAATCCGCTGCCAACATGGTTCACACAGCAGTGGGGCCTTCTATATTAACACTAACAACGTAGTCAATAGTCAAAGCTGTCTGGTTCGGGCCAATTCTGCAGAGTAAGTGTCATTATTCCCTTTTTACAGATGACAGCATTGTGGCTCAAAGAACTTGAGACTTGCCAATTATACCCAGCTCAGGTTGGCCTTAAAGCCTTTTCTCCTGTCATGCACTGTCACTCATCCCTGGCAGGAGTGATGCATTCTGGAAGCGAGCAGCTTATATCACATTCCTGACTCAGAGGTGGTTACTTTTAATTGCCATCAGCAGGTGTCTTCTGCTCCCATGGATGTGGTGTGGATGTGTGTGCATGAAAGAGACAGGGAGGAGAGGGACAGAGAAAGACAATCACTTTTCATTGCACAAAGAATTTCTCAAAAAGGACAGAAACTGGCCACAGTGATAGTTATCCCTGTGTAGGGAACATGGCAACTGGGGATTTTTCTCATATTCCTGGTACTTTTTTTTTTTTTTTTTTTATGGAGTTTTGCTCTTGTTGCCCAGGCTGGAGTGCAATGGCGAGATCTCAGCTCACAGCAATCTCCCCCTCCCAGTTTCAAGCAATTCTCCTGCCTCAGCCTCCCTAGTAGCTGGGATTATAGGCATGTGCCACCATGCCTGGCTAATTTTTTGTATTTTTAGTAGAGACAGGGTTTCTCCATGTTGGTTAGGCTGGTCTCGAACTCCCAACCTCAGGCAATCTGCCTGCCTCGGCCTCCCAAAGTGCTGGGGATTACAGGCATGAGCCACCGCAGCCGGCCTGGTACTTTTTAAAGTAACTTTTTCTTTTGAATTTTTTTTTTTTTTTTTTGAGACAGAGTCTCACTCTGTCGCCAGACTGGAGTGCAGTGGTGTGACCTTGGCTCACTGCAACCTCCGCCTCCCAGGTTCAAGCAGTTCCCCTGTCTCAGCCTCCAGAGTAGCTGGGACTACAGGCGTGTGCCACCACGCCCAGCTAATTTTGGTAGTAGAGATGGGGTTTCACCATCTTGGCCAGGATGGTCTCAATGTCCTGACCTTGTGATCTGCCCACCTCAGCCTCCCAAAGTGCTGGGATTAGAGGTGTGAGCCACCGTGCCCAGCCCTCTTGAATTTTGTCAAATTCTTTTTCTGCATTAGTTGATGTGATCATGTAATTTTTCTTCTTTAGTTAATATGGTTGATTACATCAGTCAGTTTTCAAATATTAAACTACACTTGTGTCTCTGGAGTAAACCCTGCTTGGCCATGGTATTATAATTATTTCTATATATTGCTACATTCTATTTGCTAATATTTTGTTACAGATACTTGCTTCTATGTTTATGAGGAATATCGGTCTGTAGTGTTTTTTTTTGTTTTTGTTTTTTTTTTGGTACAATTTTTGTTTGGTTTTGATAACAGGGTATTACTGGCCTCATTAAAAAAAAAAAGTTGTTTTGGGAGGCCGAGGCAGGTGGATCACTTGAGGTCAGGAGTTCGAGACCAGCCAGGCCAACATGGTGAAACCCCGTCTCTACTAAAAATACAAAAATTTGCTGGGCGTGGTGGTGCACGCCTGTAATCCCAGCTACTCGGGAGGATGAGGCAGGAGAATAGCTTGAACCAAGGAGGCAGAGGTTGCAGTGAGCTGAGGTCGCGCCACTGCAGTCCAGCCTGGGTGACAGAGCAAGACTCTGTCTCAAAAAAAGAGTTGTAAAATGTTTTACTGTCTTATTTCCTAAAACAGAGTGTATAGAATTGATGCTAATTCAGGTCAGGTGCGGTAGCTCACACCTGTAATCCCAGCACTTTGGGAGGCTGAGGCAGGCAGATCACCTGAGGTCAGGAGTTCGAGACCAGCCTGGCCAACATGGTGAAACCCCGTCTCTACTAAAAATACAAAAATTAGCCAGGCATGGTGGCGCATGTTTGTAATCCCCCCGCAAGGCTGAGGAGGAGAATTGCTTGAACCTGGGAGGTGGAGGTTGTAGCGAGCTCAGATTGTGCCACTGCTTTCCACCCTAGGCGATAGAGTGAGACCCTGTTTCAAAAAAAAAAAAAAGATGTTCATTCCTTAAATGTTTGGTAGAGTTCCCCAACAAAACCATCTGGATCTGGACATTTCTCTTTTGGGAATCTTAAAATTGCAAATTCAATGAAAGCAGTAATCAAATATTTAGATACCTTGCCTCCCAAGTTAGCCCAATTAATAGATTTTTGAAATCAAGAGAGATGATACCTTACAGAAAGAGAACCCAAACAGCTTCTTGTTGTGGTGGGAGGGCTCTTTCATCTTTAACAGGTGAATAATGTCAGAAAAACTCAGACTCACCAGGGCTTGCAGTTTAGGACAGTGAATGGAGAGCTGGATGAGTGTGCTGTCGGTTATCTGGAGAGAAACATGCTGTGTCAGTGTGGCTTCTACACCAGAACTTAATACCTAATCCTGGCTTCTCCTGAACACGAGAATCAAAAGGTGTAAAAGAATTAAAAACTCATCTCAAACACTCTGGGGCTGGGAGCTCCTCTCTTCACCAGCACTCTAAAATCTGCCCACTTCTAGAGATGCAAAACTGTTCTTTGTCTCTCTTCTGGTACCCCAAGGAGGCTTGGGGCAAGGGACAAAGAGGGAGTGGGCAAGGAGGGTTCCCAGGATTCTCCTCTTTGGAGTCACCCCATCACTGGACATGCAAGCTTATTTTATAGAGCTATCCTGAACTTCTCTTCTGTAGTTCTGTCTGATGACTGAGAATGGCCAAAAGTTCACGCATCCACTGCCATGGCCTTCACAGGTTTCCAAGCCCTGCCACTGAGGTTGATCAAGGAGGGTCAGGATGATAGCGAGTCAGTGTCTCTGGCTGTGCTGCACTGGCCAGCAATGACTAAGGAGCAGGCTGCCCTGCAGGGCTGTCAGGAGTCCACTCACCAGGATGCATTCTTCAAGATCCATCTTCTCCAATTCGTGGCAATTCTGGAAGAGTCCACAAGACACACCCCACATGTGAGTCAGTGGTGACAGCAACAATGGTGGCTTGCCCTATCCCTCTGAGTATTGGCCCAGTGTCCTTGTTCTCTTCTGTTAAGAAGTATGCCCTCTTCCTAAAGCTACCCAGTAAACCAGCACTTCTGAACAGCTGCCTTTTGAGTTACAGTGCTTTGGAACTGGGAATAGGGCTGCCTCTGGCTGCATTTCCTTCTCTCAACTTGTAAAGAGAGTTGTCTACAACCTTCCCAGTGGCTCGCAGACATCAGCAGGTAAATTTTAGCCATAGCCTAGACTCTGGGAGGGCATGGGGATGGGGCACTAAGCCACACTGTGGGGGTTGGGTGGAGGTAGCCAAGTATATCAGCAGCCCCAGGAGGACATGGGTTCCTGGCAGCAGGTCCAGAGGGGCCCCCAGTGGTCAGTGTTTGCAGGACAAAGGGCAGAGTACAGCCCAGTTAGGGGGAGCTGCTGAGAGGCCAAGTTGGGGTCCAATGAGGAATGGAGTCTCCTGCCAGGAGGAGGCTGGTCCCACTTGACCACGCGTGAGGCTCAGACTCTTTACAGAACCCTCTATAGGACTTCCCTAGATTTCTGGCTAACTGGAAAAACTGCAGTACACACCCCAAGGGTTCTACTCTACTTTGTGCCTGTCTTTTCTGAAGGTAGTCTTTTGCACACCCAAAACCACTCCAAGTCACTTTGAATTCGGGAGGTGAATTAGAGTTTGGTTGTATTCTTTAAATCTATGCCTTACCCGAGCTAAAAGTGTAAAACCTGCGTCAGTCAAATGGGAGCATCGGGCAGCCTCCAAAATTCTGAGGAGAAAGTGGGTACAGGGGAGAAAACGGTACCAACTAGTTAATAATGGAAACACATATTTTATGATGCATACTTGAGTCTTTTCTGCTCTTTGACATGCTTTTGCCTCTGTTAACAGCCCTTAGGGAATGTGACCTGCCCAAAGCCCCGAAGTTCCATCCCAAACTTGGAAAGTAAATCCAAGAATCTTCCTGCTTTACCAGCATGTTGTTTTTAAATAGTATTCTAATATTTGTTTTTTGGTTTTGTTTTTGTTTTGTTTTGTTTTGCAAACAGCGTCTCATACTGTCACCCAGGCTGGAGTGCAGTGGAGCATCTTGGCTCACTGCAGCCTCCGCCTCCCAGGTTCAAATGATTCTCCCGTCTCAGTCTCCCAAGTAGCTGGGACTACAGGTGCCCGCCACCATGCCCAGCTAATTTTTGTACTTTTAGTAGAAACGGGATTTCATCATCTTGGCCAGGCTGGTCTCAAACTCCTGACCTCAGGTAATCCACCCACCTCGGCCTCCCAAAGTGCTGGGATTACAGGCATGAGCCACCATGCCCAGCCTTGTTCACTTTTTAAACACATTTAAAATGAACTTTTCTCAACAAAATCATCTTGAGATTTACTCCATTTATGGAAATTCCCAGGTACCCTAAAGGAAATTTAAAAAATTTGTGGACAATGAAAAATAAGTTAATTCTCAATTACCCATGCTTAATAGGGATGGGTGCATGAATAACATTTCTAAGTTAAACACTCCCTTACAGCAATAATTTTGACCTCCTTTCTGGCCAGTTTTGATCACCCAAATTCCTTCTACTAAGCAGAAATATCTAAATGATATAGTACCTTCTCTACAACAGTAAGAAAAATTGGTAAAAGCAGAAATATACAATTCTTAAAAGATACAGAACTGGTGTGAGCGTGGGAATGGATCAGTTTCATTGGGAAGTAGAGATTTTTAAAAAGTATCTTTTTTTCTGCCTCTTGGATAAAGTTAAAGGTTGCTGGTTCTGAAGTCAACTATTGTTACCATTGTTAAAATTTTAATATTCATAGCTGGTAATGATAATCTATTACCTTGAGGATGAGAATACAAATTATTGTTTTTTTTGTTTTTTTTTTTGAGATGGGGTCTCACTCTTGTCACCTAGACTAGAGTGCAGTGGCACAATCTTGGCTCACTGCAACCTCCGCCTCGCGGGTTCAAGCAATTCTCCTGCCTCAGCATTCCGAGTAGCTGGAATTACAGGCACCTGCCACCAACCAGACTAATTTTTGTATTTTTAGTAGAGACGAGGTGTCACCATGTTGGCCAGGCTGGTTTCGAATTCCTGACCTCAGGTGACCCACCCACCTCAGCATCCCAAACTGTTGGGATTACAGGCATGAGCCACCATGCCTGGCCTAAATTATTATTTGTTAAAAACTTTTTTTCCTACTGGGGAAGAAGCTAAGTAAGAAGGTGATTGTGATATTCCCCTCATTCTGTCCATTTGGCAGCAGTTCTGGAGGAGAAGCTCATGTCCTTTGGATGTGAGGCTATCACTCTCCTCACTATGTGCTCACTCGGGTGCTTAAAGCAATAACATGATGAGGTAAATTAGGTGGGAAACTGTGTGACATTCATTAAGAAATTAAAGTTTGGATTCACTGGTGGTAGACATTTTATACTCTCCCAGTACATCCTCCAATGAACTGGATTTATACACGCCCCACCCCAATTTACCCAACAAAAGCCAACAACAACATAACTACTGCCTCCACCACCACTACCTGGCAAGCCTGTCCTCTCCTGAAGGAAGCCCTCTTGGTTAACTCAGCCAAACTCTGAGCTGCAAAGCAAAAAGTGCAGTGTACTCACTGCAGTCGCGGACAGTTCAAACCCAGGGCTGTAAGAGAGGCATCTGTGAGGTTGCTGCAACCCGAAAGGCAGAGAGCCTGTAGCCGGTGACAGCCCCTGCATATCTGCACCACACCTTCATCCGTGATACGCTGAGGAAAAGCAGCACAGAAAGAAAAGTCAGAGGACACCAGCAATACCAAAACGGGAGCAGCAGAAAAGTATCTGCTGTTGTTCAGTTTTGGTTGCTGATTACTAGCATTTTATCCAAATAACTTCAACAAAATAAGTAGAGGGTAGACAGGTACTTGTGTTATCTCTGCACAGCTTTAAAATATTTCAGCAATTTAGATAAGATACATGCATCCAGGAAAAAATAAAGTAAAAATTTTAAATAATATAAATGGAGAATAAAAGTTTAAAATTCCATTTCTCCCTCACTAGTCATCAAAATATAGATTTTTTCATAAAATTTATAAACTCATAATTTAAAAATCTGATTAAAGAACTTTTGAGGCTTTCCTAGTTTAACTGACATTAATATTT
Organism: Homo sapiens; assembly: GCF_000001405.40. Taxonomy (NCBI): domain Eukaryota; kingdom Metazoa; phylum Chordata; class Mammalia; order Primates; family Hominidae; genus Homo; species Homo sapiens. The sequence continues at coordinate 33,374,893 of NC_000003.12, read as the reverse complement.
GATTGGATTTCTGCAGATTAATGCTTTAGATATTTACAATATACACATATATTTATATTTCATCAAATGTTTTAGACAATAGGAAAATTAAATAAATCACAAAATTATTGATAAATACCTTAAATTCTATGAATTTGGCCATGAAGATTCAAAATAATATGTTCACTTAAACAGACTACTTCATATAGAAATAAACACGCACATCTATATTATACTTCAAGCCATCAGCCACTGCTATGCTACACGTAAGTCAAGGTCCTATTTTTGAGTAGTCCTGGCCCATATGGTCAACGTTTGTCCATAAGATAGTTTCTGGTTTTTTTCCCCACCACTAGGGACTCTAAAGATTTATAATATATTCATTTAAAGCTGAATGCAAGGGTTTTCCCTTACCTTTCTCAAAATCTATGTTCCCCTTGAAAACCTGGTAGGATGTAGCAAGCATCCTCTTCAATTATCAACATTTACAATGGCAGTGGAGAAGGACCAATAGTTTTTCATAGGCTAATGTCCTGATGAAAATGCCACCTTGCTCTTGCCTATGCGTTTTATTCTTTAAAGCATTTTTGCATGTGTTATTTCATTTTATCCACTGAAACAACGTGAGAGGAGTCATCATCCTTAATTTATAAGTTAAAAAAAAAGACACTTCATGTCTTAAAACTATTTAGTGACCAATTCACTGCATTCCTCAATAGCGTCCCTAATACTCTATTCAACAAAATCAAGACCTAGTCTGTATTATTTTTAGGGGAGATGTCAGTGGCTTTATATTGAGTATGATTCCTTTTTGTTGTTGTTGTTGTTCCAGCTTGTGACAAATTGGTAGGTTATATAAGGACACAGGATGGAAATCAGGGTGTGGCAACACAGCCCATCTCAGGTGCCTAGGGGGCTGCAGGGAGGCCTGAGGCAGACTGCTTTGGGAGACAAGATAGAGCAAACAGTGTTCAGGAAAGGCACGCTACTTACTGAGCAGGACTGCAAGTTGAGGCTCACAAGCTCATGGCAGTAATTCTGAATGTGTTTCAGAGCTTCATCTTCTAACTGAGTGGACAGAGAAAACAAAAGACAGCTGGAATCCAGGTGAGGGAACAGTGGGACACCAAGAAAAATGCAAAAGCAGCTTTCTGGATGATGTGCCCACACCTGACACATAACACAAACAGCTGTATCAACCCTCTGGTACCTGTGTGCAGCCCCTCAGGAGCAGGGCTTTCAGGCCTCGACAACCTCGCACCAGTGCCTCGATGCCATCCTTCGTGATCTGATCACACCAAGAGAGGTTCAGGTACTCCAGGTTTCGGCAGCCCTCACTGAGAGAACAAGAAACAAAAACTTATGTGCAGTCTCTCCTGTAGAGAGTTAATGACCAACTCTGAGTTTAGTACATCACAAGAAATTCCGAAGGGGAGACCATGCCTGGGACCTCTTGGAGTCACCTATTTCTTGCTGGATCCAACGTGACCATTAAGAAGGTTTCCAGAATGTTCATAGCTTTGGGTATTTCTCTTGACACAAACAATGGGCACTCTTACCTGATCCCCTTCAAGGAGCTGTTTGTAATAGACACACAGGAGGTCAGATCCAGATGTTTCAGCTTGGAACAGAATCTGCTAAGGCTATAACACGTGCTGAAAAAGAGCAGACGCACTAAAGATATTTTCAACCACGTTTCTCTCCCTTCTCTCTCCCCGTGGCTATTTGGTCACCAATTAATCTTCATTACTTACCTGTCAGTGATTTTTGTGCATCCATTGAGGTTCAAATGTTCAATGTTTCGGCAGTTCTGTGCAAAGGTCCTAAAATGAGAAAACATTTTAAAGCTCCCTGCAAGTTGCTGGACAGCCACTAGAGGGCATATGAAACCATTCACGCTTAGAACAGCGCTCCCTCAAACTTAATTAAAGCGCGTAACAATCAGCTAGGGTTCTTGTCACAGTGCAGATTCTGATGATAGATCTAGAATGGGGCTCGACAGTCTGCAGTTCAAAGAAACTCCCAGGTGATGCCAGTGCTGCTAGTCTAGGGACCACGTTTTGAGAAGCAGAGTCCTAGACTACCTATCAATCAGTTCTCCTTTACCCACAGCTTGGTGAGTCATCACCGAATCATGAGAATAGAGGCCTAGCTCCCTGCTCCCTCCGCTCTACAAAAAAATCAATTTGAACCAAGGGGGCAAATCTTCTAGTACTGTGCCATGCTGTCACTTGCTTACCCTAGAGCCTTTCCAGAGAAACCATTTCTGGCGATTGATAGAAGACGTCTAGCAGTTAATCAGTATCAAGACCCACTCATTTTACTGGTGAGGACATTCAGTCATGAAGAGGAACTTCCTCATTGATCTGTGGGTTGGTAGCAAGGCCAGAAGCAGCACATTAAAACGCCCTATTCACCACTCACTGCTTAACATATTCAGCAAGGACTAGCTCAGGTCGTCTCCATCATTCTGAAATACAGCTTTGAGATTTGCTCCTTCCAACCTGCCCTGGTACCGGTAGGGGGAACCAAGCCTGATGGGACTGTCTGAGATGAAGAAATGGGGCTGAAATTCTAGGAAGACCAAGGCAGCTGGAGTTATCTGGCAAGAGCATTGGAGTAGAGAGAACGTCACAAAGAGAACTCCAGAGATCTGTGGAGGGTGCCCCTCAAGAATTAAGTACAGGCCAGGCATGGTGGCTCATGCCTGTAATCCCAGCACTTTGGGAGACCAAAGCAGGAGGATCCCTTGAGCCCAAGAGTTTGAGACCAGCCTAGGCAACACAGTGAGACTCTATCTCCAAAACAACAACAACAACAAAAAGAATTCAGTACCACACTGATCAATGTATGCATGTGATGAAACTACCCAAAGCCCAAGGCCAGGGAATCAGAATGAACAAAAAGCATTAAAGGAAACAGTAGCCAGAGCTCACCGAGGGCAAGGAATAGTGCCCATTTCTACCAACCAAGAGTGAAAAATGCCACAATTCTTGGGGCATTGGGTAGAGTATTGAGAATAGTCTTCCTTTAGGAGTGGCGCATAATTAGCCCTAAACACTGCTTTGGTACAACCTAACAAATCTTAAAAACAAGACCTAACAGGAACTATTCCCAATTAAGTCAACTGTATCCCAGAACAAAACCTGAGTATTTATAGGAATACAAAAATATCTGCACCCAACAAAGTAAAATTCAAAATGTCTGGCATTGAACAAAAAATTATCATGTTTTCATAGAAGGAGGAAAATATATCCACAATAAAGAGAAAAGGTAATCCACCAAAACCTACTCTAAACTGACACAAATAGCATAAACAACAAAGGTATTAAAAGTTATAATGTTATTGCCTAGAATATATTTCTATGAAGCTAACAATTAAACATGTTATGTAGACACATGGAAAAATAAGAGATCCAAGTTAAACTTTTAGATATGAAAACCGGCCAGATGCAGTGGCTCACACCTGTAATCCCAGCACTTTGGGAAGCTGAGGCAAGCAGATCACTTGAGGTCAGAAGTTCAAGATCAGCCTGGCCAACATGGTGAAACCCTGTCTCTACTAAAAAAAAAAAAAAAAAAAATTAGCTGGTATGGTGGCACATGCCTGTAGTTCCAGCTGCTTGGGAGGCTGAGGCAGGAGAATCACTTGAACCCGGGAGGTGGAGGTTGCAGTGACCCTTGATCACACCACTACACTCTAGCCTGGGCCACAGAGCGAGACTCCATCTCAAAAAAAAAAAAAAAATGAAAACCACAATGGCTGATATAAAACTTTACTGGATGAGATTAACAACAGATTAGATATGGCAGAAGAAAAGATTAGTGAACTTGAAGACATAGCAATAGCAACTATCAAAAACGAAACACAGAAACAGAAATAGAACAGAGCATGAACGAACTGTAGGACAACTTCAAGCAACCTAATATACATGCGATTGGAATCACTAAATAAGAGAGACAGAGGAAGAAGGAAAAAATACTGAAGAAATAATTGCCAAAATTTTCCCCAAACTTTATGAAAACAATAAACCCATAGACCCAAGGAACTCAAAGAACCACAAGTGCAAGAAACATGAAGAAAAACACACCAAGGCATATAATAACCAAATTGATCAAAACCAGTGACAGATTAGCCATGCGTGGTAGTGTGTGCCTGTAGTCCCAGCCACTTGGGAGGCTGAGGTGGGAGGATCACTTGAGCTCAGGAGGTGGAGGTTACAGTGAGCCAAGGTGGTGCCACTGCACTCCACCCTGGGTGACAGAGTGAGACTCCAGAGAGAGGAAGAGAGAGAGAGAGAAACCAGTGATAGGAAAACCCTAAAAACAGCCAGAAAACAAAGCCATGTTATGTACAGAGAATAAAACATAAGGGTGACAGCAGATTTATCACTGGTAATGAAAAAGCAAGAAAACAGAGGAGCACCATCCTTAAAATACAAAAAACAAAAAATAGTCACTACAGAATTCTAGACTCAGCAATTTTTTTTTTTTTTTGAGACGGAGTCTCGCTCTGTCACCCAGGCTGGAGTGCAGTGGTGCAATCTCGGCTCACTGCAAGCTCCGCCTCCCGGGTTCACGCCATTCTCCTGCCTCAGCCTCCCAAGTGGCTTGGACTACAGGTGCCCGCCATCACGCCCGGCTAATTTTTTTTTTGTATTTTTAGTAGAGACGGGATTTCACTGTGTTAGCCAGGATGGTCTCGATCTCCTGACCTCATGATCCGCCCGCCTCAGCCTCCCAAAGTGCTGGGATTACAGGCGTGAGCCACTGCACCTGGCCCAGCAAAAATATTTTTTTTAAGTGGAGGAAAAAACAGATTTTTTTAGACATAGAAGAGCTGGAAGAATTAATCAGACTTGCAGTAAAAGAAATGTAAAAAAACTTCTTTATGCAGAAAGAAAATGATACCAGATAAAAATATGTGTCTACAGAAAGGAATGACTGGACATAGCAACTACTTGGGTGTATACAACTTTTAAATTTAAATCTCTTAAAAATAGGCCGGGCACTGTGGCTCATGCCTGTAATCCCAACACTTTGGGAGGCTGAGGCAGGCAGATCACTTGAGGCCAGGAGTTTGAGACCAGCCTGGCCAACTGGGCAAAACTCTGTCTCTACTAAAAGTACAAAAATTAGCCGGGCGGGGTGGTACATGCCTGTAGTCTCAGCTACTTGGGAGGCTGAGGCACAAGAATCACTTGAACCTGGGAGGCAGACGTTGCACTGAGCCTAGACCATGGTACTGCACTCCAGCCTGGGTGACAGAGTGAGACTATCTAAAATAATAATAATAATGATAATAATGATAATAATAAATCTCTTAAAAATAATTGGCTGTTAAAGATACTAAATCTATTATGAAGTTTATGTAAGTAGAATTAAAATGTATGACAACCGAGTGAGGAGAAGTGGAAGTGTTATGTAATACAATATGAAGGTAGACTGTACTAAATCAAAGATGCAGTCAATAAACTCTAAAGCAACAACTAAACATATGAAGAGCTATAGAAATGAAGCTAAAAAAGAATATAAAATGAAATCATAAAAAACACTTAATCTCGGCCAGGCATGGTGGCTCATGCCTGTAATCCCAGCACTTCGGGAGGCTGAGGTGGGCAGATCATTTGAGGTCTGGAGTTCAAGACCAGCCTGGGCAACATGGTGAAAACCTGTCTCTACTAAAAATATACAACTTATCCAGGCAAGGTGGCCCATGCCTGTAGTCCCAGCTACTTGGGAGTCTGAGGCACGAGAATCGCTTGAACCCAGGAGGCAGAGGCTGCAGTGAGTCGAGATTGTGCCACTGCACTGCAGCCTGGGCAACAGAGCAAGACCCTGTCTCAAAAAAAAAAAAATCTAAAAGAAGAAAGAAAAAGAGGAAAAGAGAAAAAAGGATGTATGGGACAAATAGAAAACAAACAGCAAGAGGGTAGATTTAAACCTAACCATAATAATCACATTAAATGCAAATGGTCTAACACAAATTAAAAAGCAAAGATTGTCATATTGGATAAAAAGCAACACCCAGCTGGGCACGGTGGCTCACGCCTGTAATCCCAGCACTTTGGGAGGCCAAGGAAGGCGGATCACAAGGTCAGGAGATCAAGACCATCCTAGCTAACATGGTGAAACCCCATCTCTACTAAAAATATAAAAAATTAGCTGGGCGTGGTGGCACACGCCTGTGGTCCCAGCTACTCGGAAGGCTGAGGAGAATGGCTTGAACTCAGGAGGCAGAGGCTGCAGTGAGCTGCACTCCACTGCACTCCAGCCTGGGCGACAGAGCAAGACTCCATCTAAAAAAAAGGAAAAAAAAGCAACACCCAACTATAAAAAATCAACTTTAAATATAGATACAAATAGATTAAAATAAAATGATGGAAAAACATATATAATGCCAACACTAGTCAAAAGAAAGCTGGAATGACTATATCAGACAAAGAAGATTTTATAGTAAAGAAAACTATCAGGAATAAAAGAAGGACAATCAATGAAAAAGACATAGCAATTCTAAATGTTTATATACATAGTAACAGAGCTTCAAAATACTTGAAGCAAGAGCTGATAGGACTGTGAGGAGAAATAGACAAATGCAAAATTATAGGCAGATATTTCAATACTCCTTTTATTAGTTGATAAATTAGTAGTCAGAAAATTAGTAAGAATATAGAAGATCTGCTCAACACTATCAACCAACCTGACCTACTGGCATTTATGGCACACTTCATCTAACAGCAGAATATACATTCTCTTCAAGTGCACATGGGACACTTGCCAAGACTGGCCATATTACTGGCCACAAAACAAGTCTCAATAAAATTAAAAGGATTCAGGGTATAACTATGTTCTGTGATCACAACTGAATTGAATTAGGAATCATTAACGTGCTCTTCTGGAAAATGTCCAAATATTTGGAAACTAAATAATATTGTTCTAAACAACCCATGGGTCATGGAAGAAATCAAAAGGGGAATTAGAATGCATTTTGCATGAAAATGAAAACATAGCATATAAGAATTTGTGGCATAAATTTTCCCCAAAGTATTGACTTAGTTTATGTCATTAAACTCCCATACTAGAAAAAAAGGTCTCAAACCAATGACTTCAGCTTCCATCTTAAGAAACTAGAGAAAAAACAAAAACAAAAACAAATGAAGCCCAAAGTAACCAAAAGGAAGGAAATAATAAAGATCAGAGTGGAAATAAATGAAGTAGAAAACAGAAAAACAATGAAAAATGGGTGAAAACAAAAGCTGGTTCTTTGAGAATATCAATAAAATTGATAGACCTCTTAATAGCCAGACTGACGAGGACCAAAAAAAAAAAGACAACAATTACCAATTTCAGAAATGAGAGGGGATATCACTGCAGATTTTACAGATATTAAAATAAGAGGATATTATAAACAACTTAATGCTAATAAGTCCAGGAACTTAGGTGAAATTGACAAATTCCTTGAAAGACGCAGACTACCAAAACTCATTTATGAAGAAATAATCTGAAGAGTTCTATACATATTAAAGAAATTGAGGCCGGGTGCGGTGGCTCACGCTTATAATCCCAGCACTTTGGGAGGCCGAGGCAGGCAGATCACCTGAGGTCAGGACTTCAAGACTAGCCTGGCCAACATGGTGAAACCCCCGTCTCTACTGAAAATATAAAATTAGCCAGGCATGGTGGTGGGTGACTGTAATCTCAGCTACTTGGGAGGCTGAGGCAGGAGAATCCTTTGAGGTTGCAGTGAGCCAAGACTGTGCCATTGCACTCCAGCCTGGGCAACAAGAGTGAAACTCCATCTAAAAAGAAAAAAAAAAAGAAACTGACTTTGTAATTAAAAACCTTCCCCCAAAAAAACATGTAGGAGCAGACGGCTTCAATAGTGAATTCTACAAAACATTTTTAAAAAATACAAATTGTACATAAACACTCCCAGAATTTTTTAAAATTGTTTTTTTATTTAATTTATTTATTTTTGAGATGGAGTCTCGTTCTGTTGCTTGCTCACTGCCAAGCTCCACCTCCCGAGTTCAGGCCATTCTCCTGCTTCAGCCTCCCGAGTAGCTGGGACTACAGGCACCTGCCACCACGCCCAGCTAATTTTTTGTATTTTTAGTAGAGACAGGGTTTCACTGTGTTAGCCAGGATGGTTTCAATCTCCTGACCTAGTGATCCACCCGCCTCAGTCTCCCAAAGTGCTGGGATTACAGGCATGAGCCACCGCACCCAGCCAAATTGTTTTTATTTTTCAGAGATAGAGTCTCACTCTGTCACCCAGCTTTGAGTATGGTGGTGTGATCATAGCTCACTGCAGCCTTGAACTCCTGGGCTCAAGTGATCTTCCCACTTTAGCCTCCCAAATAGCTAGGACTACAGGTATGCACCACCACACCCAGCTACTTAATTTTTTTTTAGAGATGGGGTCTTGCTGTGTTGCTCAGGCTGGTCTCAAAATCCTGGGCTCAAGTGATTCTCCCACCTTGGCCTCCCAAAGCACTGGGGTTATAGATGTCAGCCACTGAACACACCCCCAGAAATGTGAATAGGAGGAAATACTTCCCAATTCACTCCATGAAGCCAGTATTACCTTGATACCTACACCAGACAAAAGCATTATAAGAAAATAAAATCATAAGACAATATTCCTCATGACCACAAATGCAAAATTTTTTAACAAAATTGTAGCAAATAGGATCCAATAATATATAAAATAAATAATACATGGCAATTCAAGTGTGCTTTATATGAGTGATGGAGGGTTGTTTAAACATGTTTAAAAGAGCCAATCTAATTCATGATTTAAAGAATTTTCTTCATTTAAGGAAAATCATTTTGTTCCATAACATTTAAAGTGAGTGTTTTTATACTTAAAAGATGTTGTGAATCAATTTTTTTTCAGCAATGGTATAGCAGATGTTTGAATTATAAATTCTACTGTCTGCATTCACTGTATGTTGCACATTCTTACTGGAAGTCTGTGATTGCTGTACATTGTGGTAATATTTAGGTCTGCAAGAACACAAAGTGTATTCCAAGGTTATGGGGGGTATATCCTAATTTTAGCCAAACTCATAAGCAATACTAGAGGCCATGAGGATAAAGACATGAAGGTTTTAATCATCTCTGTCTCCAGAAATCCTCAAAGCACAAATTGTTGTTGGTTTGTTTGTTTGTTTGTTTGTTTGTTTGTTTGGTCGAAGAGTCTCATTTTGCTGCCCACACTGGTCTCAAACTCCTGGCTTCAAGGGATCGTTCCACCTCAGCCTCCCAAAGAGCTGGGATTACAGGCATGAGCCACTGTGCCTGGCCAGTACACATCCTTAGCATTGATAACATTCCCAATAGCCTGGGTGCAGTGGCTCACACCTGTAATCCCAGCACTTTGGGAGTTCAAGATGGGTGAGCTCAGGAGTTCAAGACCAGCGTGGCCAACATGGTGAAATCCCATCTCTACTAAAAATACAAAAATTAGCTGGGCATGGTGGTGCACGCCTGTAATCCCAGCTACTCAGGAGGCTGAGGCAGGAGAATCACTTGAACCTGGGAGGCAGAGGTTGCAGTGAGTTGAGATTGTGCCGTTGCACTCCAGCCTGAGTGACAGAGTGAGACTCGGTCTCAAAAAAAAAAAAAAACCCCAATAAATAATGGCTATCCAGTAAGAGATGGGCAAATATTTGGTTGTATAGGATATATTGCTAACTGTAATAAAATTAATGTAAAAATCACATCTCATTATGAGTAAGCAAAATTCTAGCTTATGCCAAGGAAATTTTTGAAATAGTTATTTTATCAATTAGTAAAATTTATATATAAAGGTAGCTAATATTATGAGAGGAAAACTAGGAAGATGCCGAAGTGAAGAAGGGAATAGAAAAGAGGTAGGCACTTCATACATGTTATTTCTTGTTATGCCTATGACAGTCCTGTGGGAGCTATAGCTGCCCTGACTTTGCAGAAGAGAGAACTGACACTCGGCCGGGGGAAATAATTTGTCCCAAGGTCACATCCCTAACAACAGTACAGCTCGGTTTCCAACCCAGGTTTGCTATTCCAAAGTCCTGGTCCTCTCATTACTCTATGCAAATTACCACAGAAAGAATTTTAACAGAAGAAGAGCATGTAATAGGCTTGGTTTATTTTTGCTGATGAAAATGCTACAAGCTGCCATGACAGTGAGTCACTGGATTTGACTTACTTCAAGGAGGAATCCCCAACACCAATGCAGCCTCGCAAGCTGAGCTTCCTCAGGAATCCACCGCATCGCTTCGAGATATTTTCCACCACTCGACCCTTTAATCAAGAAAGTTCGGGAGGAAAAAATACTGTTTTTTCATGCTGCTTATCTAACAGCAAAATAACCTGAAATCTAGGAACTGAATATATTTTTCCAAGTGTAACAGAAAATATTTTGGAACATTCCTGTAACACCTCAGTTCTATCCTTAATGCATACAGGGGCTGCAAGCACTGAAAAATGGTCCAATTAAAGCATTAAGTATTCTAAAACCAACCAACAAACAAAAACAAACACAAATGCAAAAACCAAAACCTGTACACTGCCTTTTGAAAGCCTTAGCCCTGGGGTTAGGCCCTCCCTACCCAGGTCACAGCTATTCCACCAACCAAAAGGCTTTTTGAGGTTAGCTGTGGGAATACCAGCCACTGAGCAGAGATCTAAGACAATGCTGCTTTAAAAAGAAAATCCTACTTGAGCTAAGCATTACCACTTCAAAAGTATAACAATATATTGCAAAAGCTCCCCCTCATCCTCCTTAGCTGTCCTCTGCTTAAACACATTTGCTTTGAAAAAGGAACTTTTGTTGAGTACTGGCAGAGATATTAGAGGAAGCAAAAAGAAAATGAACAATGAACAATGATTAAGCACCTCCACTTTTTAAAAAATGTTTTCTATTTCAAATCACTTTTTTTCTTTAGAGACAGGGTTGGTGTTGGGGGGTCTCGCTTTGGTGCCCAGATTGGAGTATAGTGATGTGGTCATAGCTCACTGCAGCCTCAAATTCCTGGGCTCAAGTGATCCTCCTGCCTCAGCCTATGGAGTAGCTAGGACTACAGGAACATGCCATGGCACCTGGTTTACTTCCACTTTTTGAGGAACAATTTCTTGTACCTATTATGGCTCATTTAATAGTCAAAAAACTTCATGAACACTCCCAAAATGGAGGTAAGAAAGAGTATGTGTGGAATACAGAAGATCCCTTAGGGCATCCTGTAGTACTACCATGCCCTGTGATTTATGTCAGTAGCAAACTACAACAACCCAATCCAAGCACGACTATTAATGACCAGACCTTCAGGAATAAAGGTCTGAGTCATTCCACCAGGTAAAGAACCATCACCAGCTGAGGTGCTTGCTGAAGGCAAAGGAATACAGAAATGCATTGTGGAAGAAGGTAGTTATAAATACTAACTACAACCTCTACCTCCACAAGGGAGGAAAAGTTCAAAGGGACAATTTGATTGGTTTTGAATAATGTTATCCTCATTTTATAAAACAGCAATCTTGGCACTGAACTGTAAGCATGATGAATTCACCAGGATACATCAAAACCACAGGGGCCAGGTGCAGTGGCTCACGCCTGTAATCCCTGCACTTTGGGAAGCTGAGGAAGGTGATTCACTGGAGGTCAGGAGTTTGAGACCAGCCTGGCCAACATGGTGAAACCCTTTCTGTACTAAAGATACAAAAATCAGCAGAGCATGGTGGGGCATGCCTGTAGTCCTAGCTACTTGGGAGGCTGAGGTAGGAGAACCGCTTGAGCCTGGGAGGCAGAGGTTGTAGTGAGCCAAGATCATGCCACTGCAGTCCAGCCTGGGTGACAGAGCAAGACTCTGTCTCATAAAAACAAACAAACAAAAAACCCCACAGGATACATATTGTTACCTAGCTAACATCTTAATTATGTTGAAAATCCAATCTTTGATACTGCTAGCATTTATTTATACTTTCTTGAGACTACTTGCATTAATGATTATTAATATTTTTTGAAGCAAAATTCCAGACAACTGTAAAATAAATCTTTGTCACCAGGGGGAAAAAGATTATGACTTAGAAATCAAAGATATATATTTAAGTACCTAATAAACAGGAAAAAAAAAAGCAGCTCTACACCAATGTCTACAAATAGAGCACCTAATATACTCTTCTCCATTTCAAGTTAGTAACATTTTTTTAAATTTTATTATTATTATACTTTAAGTTTTAGGGTACATGTGCACAATGTGCAGGTTTGTTACATATGTATACAGGGAATTGAACAATGAGAACACATGGACACAGGATGGGGAATATCAAGTTAGTAACATTTATATAAACTTTCTAGTCCTCCCCTTTTGGGGCAAAGTTCTTGTACTGGAATACAAAACTACATACACAATTTTCTGTTCCACTGTTTCCAACTAAGAGGGGGAAAATGCAAATCCATTTCAGTGCAATATTCAAGCCAGTGACTCTGTGTCTTATCTACTAGACAATATGTTATAGGCATGCTTTTAGAATGAAGGGCTTTAGAGAAAAATAAGCCCTAAAATGGGCTAAAGACCCCTGGAGTTATCACTTTTAGATTCACACACTACTTAGTTATTTCTCATTTTTGGCCTAGCACAATCTTCAATAACCATGAAGACACTGACAACAAAATGTCCAAGTTTTAAAGGCACAGAAAATGCCAACCCAAACTTCAGGTAAACTACACGTATTCAGGAAAGAGTGATGAGGAAGGAAGGTACCGTGTGCACTTGTCACCTAGATGCTTTACTCTGCCTTTTCTTCATGTGCCAGTCATGCAACCCACCGTTCAAGATACCTACAGTCTCCTCTTAGTAGGTGAGTGACCTTGGGTAAGTTACTCAACCTTTTCTTTGCCTCAGTTTCTTTAATATGGTACTTACAACAGTGTCAGGCACACAACAAATATTATTAGTGTGTTGATCCTGATCCTTGGCAACTTCTCTTTTCTCTCAACCATATCCAAAAGTTACCATTTCCTTCCCAAAGTGCATATTTTTAAGACTATCCATAAAATGCTTCCTAGGGCAAGCATCCTCCAAAGGGTCTTGTTTAAGGACTATGGCAGACCCCAAGACTGGTTCATAATCTAGGGTGGACCAAGGGGGCTAGCCCAAAAGGGAAGCTAAGTGTTATGACTAGATTGAAACTCTGGTGCCAGCTATTTTAGGTTTTCACATACAATTCTTTATATAACTGGTAAACCATAAACTGGCTTCCCCTTTGGTGGATATACTTTTAAGTATTTCTGGGATGTGTTTATATGGCAGTTAGCTGAAAGTCAGCAGTCAGCTAAAATCTTGTAATCAAATAATGCACAAGGTAGTGATATTTACTTGAAATAGTAGTACTTTTTAATATCAAAATAATTTTTTTTTTGAGACAGGGCCCCACTCTGTCACCCAGGCTAGAGTGCAATGGCACAATCAGAGCTCATTGCAACCTCTGCCCCCTGGGCTCAGGTGATCCTCCCACCTCAGCCTCCTGAGTAGCCAGGACTACAGGCATGTGCCATTGTGCCTGGCTAACTTTTGTTTTTTCATTTTTTTGTAGAGACGCAGTTTTGCTATGTTGCCCAAGCTGGTCTTGAACTCCTGGGCTCCAGTGATCTGCCCGCCATGGCCTCCCACAGTGTTGGGATTTCAGGTGTGGGCCACTGCACCCAGCCTGACTTTAAAAGTTCATGGGAGGCCGAGGCGGGCGGATCACGATGTCAGGAGATCGAGACCATCCTGACTAACATGGTGAAACCCCGTCTCTACTAAAAATACAAAAAAAAAAAAAAAAAAAATTAGCCGGGCGTGGTGGCAGGCGCCTGTAGTCCCAGCTACATGGGAGGCTGAGGCAGGAGAATCGCATGAACCCAGGAGGTGGAGTTTGCAGTGAGCCGAGACCACGCCACTGCACTCCAGCCTGGGTGACAGAGCGAGACTCTGTCTCAAAAAAAAAAAAAAAAAAAAAAAAAAAAAAAGTTCTTCATGTGCTTTCCAAAAAAGTTGTATGGTTGGAAAAGTCATCAAAATTGAGGAGACATGAAGAACCACAGAAAAAGAGTAAGTATTTTGCTCAATTTTTTCAAAACAATAACTCTACTTTGTGGTCAGTAGAAATGACTACAATTTTTAGAAATTAAATGTCCTCCACATCATCACTAAGTAAACATAGTGAACAAAGAGTTAGGTATGATCAGTTTGAAGGGCAATTATATTCACTGGCATGGAATGCTGGCATGTTTAGGTGGAGTACTATTGTAATCACTGCTGTTAAGTCTCAAAAGAGCACTAAAGAACACCTAATTCAGAAACTACAGTGTTAAGCCAGGAACTAGAGCTTATCTTTCCAGGATGGGCGTGAATCCTTGAGGTCCCTGCCCCCTTCCAAGAGCAGAGCACCACAATATGACAGAAATAAGGGGTTTCCCCCTTTATTTAATAAAGGGAAATCTTCTGCTCTGCCCCACTTACTGTAAGTATTGTGCTCCACTGGTTTAAGATGAGAACCAGAGACTCTCAGGCAGTAAGTAACCTAGAGAAGGAGGTGAAGAGTCTCCACAACTGACCTAGATCATTAGTTTGTCTAGGTCAAGCCAGGTTAAGTAGCTAGCAGGAAATTGCTTAGCTCAATCCTACTGTTAAACACATTCATTTCCTTATCCAAAACAAACAAAAAAAAACCAATATATACATCTTGGTAAAAACACATAGCAAACATACTATGTGAGTAACTAAATTAAAATGCATTTCCACTACTGTAAGTTTGCTAAACTGGAAATCAATTAGGTTTTATATTAGGTAGAAAATAAACTTCAGAATCTCAAGACCCTCAAACCAGCACTTCAGACAATTCCTAAGTACAATGCTCTTTTTTTATTCCCTGCCTAAACTTTCTTTTTGGTTAGAAATTTAGTATTGAATATCAAAGTTGTTTTAACATAAACTTTCCTCATTTCATCAGGTTTACCACACTTAAATGGAGATATTTACATATTTACAGATAAATATATCAGAATCTTATATATTCTGTATATAATAATTGTATAAGACTTAATTATTACTTTATTTTATAGATAATAAAACAGAATACTGAGAGATTATATGACTTAAGTGGCCAAGCTAGGGTGACACTTTAGATCTCCAGCCTCACTCTTGGGCTTCTGCTTCTGCCATTTCTCCACTTTTGATGCTGAATTAGAATTCTCGGTGGATTTTCTAGATCAATAAGTATTTGTCAAGTCTCCTAAGGTTAAAGCACTGAACCAGGTGATAATGATGCAGGTGTGTGGCTTTAAAAAGCTGAGTAGTAAAATTCAGACTATAAACATAAACAAGGGAAAAAAATCTGTTACTGATACAATTTAAAATGCAAGCAGGGTTTTGTTTTGATGTATGCAAATCCCTTCCAGTTTTTCTTCTTTCTGTTCTACCTCAGCACTTTAATATTAGATCTAAATGCAGTAAAATAAAAAGTCAGGAAAGGGGGAACAGCTACTCATATTTTTAAAAAGTTTTTTGTCTAAACCAAAGCTAACTTACCTCTACATCTGTTTGAAAGTTAAAAAGATCTATTCTTTGCCAGTTGCTTCCATCCAGGGCTAAGATGTTCCAAGCCTGGAAGGTGGGAGGTAAAGGAAGAGGGATTGGGATGAAAGAAACACATTTATTGAGACTATTAAAGAAAGTCTTGATTAACCTTTATTTCCAAACTCCTATTTTTGATGTATATTAAGTTAATCATCAAATGCAAAATTATACCATTATGTTATATTAAGTATAAAAGATAATAAAATTTTAATTTTCAGTAATTTGAACTAAAACTCATTCTAATAAAACTTGATATTTATTGATTAAAAAATCTGGTGAATACTCTACCTTGGAAATCTGTGCACATCGGCACAAAGTTACTATATCCAAGAAGGAAAATATTCTACAGAGAGAGGAAAAAAACACAAAAACGAGATGGTGTTAACATTTCAGGATAATTATAACTTGAAAGATAAACTCTAATCCGCCACCTGGATACATAAGTTTTTTCAAGATTCCTCAATCTGAAATATACAAGTGCACTATAACTTTACATCACTACAGTGAAATATTAAGTGTTTGCATGTTCAGAAGCTATTTTGGACACACAATACAAATTACCTTAGAACTCATTAAGCTTATATTTCCCTTGTTCTAAGTAATGGACACAGGAAAGACCATAACTGGTTCTATTTGAAGACCAACTCTCTAGCATAAGCCCTCTTTTGGTGGTAGATGCACTGAACAGGCTCAGATGCCTGAGCCTCAAATAACACTGTCAAAAAAAGCTTGATGACAAAGCCCATTTGGTTTGAAGTATTTGTTTGCCTGGCAGAAAGATGGAGCTCATTAGTTGGCAAAGTCTATAAGTGATCAGTTTTTCCTAAGCAAAAGCCAAGGAGCCAGAGAACATAGGAAAGATGGGGCGGGAAGAGGTGGGGGGAAGAAAAGCAGACAGAAGCAAACAAAATCTTGGTTGGCATCAGTAATGCCTTAGAGGAAGCAGTAGCTGCCAGCATGGCAGGGGACTGAGTGAAGCCTCGACATTCTGGCAGTCAAGGAGAGGAGCTGCTGCTCATAGTATGTGAGCAAACAGCCGTGTGCGCCTCAGCACTGCAGAGTGACAGCTAAAAACAAAGGGCAGCTTTTCTGTGAGAAGAAGGGTGGACAGGGTTGAAGTCAGGAACAAGAGTAGTGCCTCAGTTTTCAGAGTCCTGGAAAGTAAATATGAGAGTCTGTGCCTCTGAGTGTGGAAGGGGGAGAGTGGTTAAGATGGCGAACAGCCACCTATAATGTTCCTCAAAATTCTTCAAAGGCAACAATCGGTGGTGAGATAAAAATCCACGGACTCAGGGAAGAAGAGTAGAATCATAAAACATGAAAGTGTTGTACCCTACAATAATGCACCCACATGCAGTACCATGGGATACTGACTGCATAGATGCCATCCTACAATATAGGCTACAATCATTTTCTAGTGAAAAGCAAAGGATAGAAGCATAATAAGGGCTACACTGACTTTAAAAGATTCAGTGGATCTTGGCTGGGCGCGGTGGCTCACGCCTGTAATCCCAGCACTTTGGGAGGCCGAGGTGGGCGGATCACGAGGTCAGGAGATCGAGACCATCCTGGCTAACACGGTGAAACCCCATCTCTACTAAAAATACAAAAAATTAGCCGGGCGAGGTGGCGGGCACCTGTAGTCCCAGCTACTCAAAAGGCTGAGGCAGGAGAATGGCGTGAACCCGGGAGGCGGAGCCTGCAGTGAGCCGAGATAGCGCCACTGCACTCCAACCTGGGCGACAGCGAGACTCCGTCTCAAAAAAAAAAAAAAAAAAGACTCAGTGGATCTTTGTACATAGAAAAATGCTGGTGGCTAAAATATGTGTACTTAAACATACATATTCAATATATTTTAGGATATCTACACATCTACCTTGCCCAACACAAAGGCTCTCCTGCCCCTAATAGCTGTGTTCTGTGACATATGACCATCCCACAGCTAGCCACATCTGATTATCAGCTCCCTACAGAAACAAACACCAAACAGAGAAACTAGCCTGGTACAGTAGAATCATATTTCATGCAGGGATTGGGTTCTAAAAGCATAAGCCAAAGGTAAAAAAAGAGTTAGCTGTTTCCCTTGAAAATACCTTAAGAGCATACCACCTTTATCACGTCTCAGTAATAACAATACTGGTAATAACAAAAATAGTTAACATTGATTATGCACCAACTATGTGCCAACCATGGTTTATATGCTAGTTCACTGCTATGAGGTGTTGTGCTATTACTATCTCCATTTTACAGATAAGGACACTGAGCATAGAGGTTAAGTAACCTGCCCAGGGCACACTGAACTAGGATTTGAACCCAGGTAGTCTGGTTCAAGAGCACAAGCCATGACCACTACATATACTGCTTTGGAACGCTTAACACAGCTGCTTTTCCCTCAGGATTGGGCTAGATCCTGAGAAAGAAAAGAAACTTTTAATCTAAGAGATGTGAGCCGCTATGTGGGCTCTAGAGTGACTGACACAAGTAGCTATAAAGTAACCTAACAATACCATATGCTTGATACTCTAACTCCTACCCCATAGTTCAACAATGTACGATCAATCACTAATCAATGCTACTTCTGGAAACCCGTAAGAGTTCCCAAAAACAACTTTTGTAATTGCCCCTCTCCTGATTCATCCTTTTTTCTTTAGAAACTCGAGCAGGATGGGCACAGTGGCTCACACCTGTAATCTCAGCACTTTGGGAGGCTGAGGCGGGTGGACCACAAGGTCAAGAGATTGAGATCAACCTGGTCAACACAGTGAAACCCCATCTCTACTAAAAATATAAAAATTAGCTGGGCGTGGTGGTGTGCACCTGTAGTCCCAGTTACTTAGGAGGCTGAGGCAGGAGAATCGCTTGAACCCAGGAGGCAGAGGTTGCAGTGAGCCGAGATCCGCCACTGCACTCCAGCCTGGCGACAGAGCGAGACTCCATCTCAAAAAAACAAAACAAAACAAACCAACTCGAGCAACTCCTTTATTCTCGGGATCACTTCCCAGTGTTACCTGAGCTGCAATCTCAAACTTGCCCCAAATAAACTCTCTAGATTAATTTTGCCTCAGTTTCCTTATTTAGGTCGACAGTGCTATTTCTTAACTGATAATAATAAATGAAGTAGTTTTCGTTTAGTGAGTATGTTGTTTGGAACAAACTGGACTCATGCTTCACTCACAAGTGAAGCAAGAGCTCACACGCTGAGACACATAGGAACCAACAGGTGCAACAGGAATTCACATTTCTCATCTCATCTCATACCTAGTTTTATGATTACTGAATGAAAAAATAGATTGCCTAAAGTATTTACATTATTTCCCATCTCTCCCCAACCTTTTAAACTGAAAGTAGTTGAATTTGCACAAATAGGCGTGGCAATACTCCAAACTACCACACTGACACCAAAGCCAATTCCTGACTCATGTTTCGACGAGTAAAAGTAATGCCCTGAATTACACAGCCTGGGATACTGTCAATAGAAACGGAGATAGCGACATGAGTGGCAAACTGAGTTCTGACTCCTTCAAAACATTCTTTCCTAGAAAGTGCTTCCTTATCTCAAATGTGATAGCCTCAGCTTTACAAGGCAAGCACTGCAATAGCACCCTGGTTATAAATAATCACAGGGGAGTAAGGGATTGGATATACTTTTGGACTTTGTATTCTGCTCCATTAGTCTGTCTTTGTGCCACTAAGGCTGTTTTAATTATGAAGCTTTAATAATAAGTCACAATGTCTGGTAACGTAAGTCCTTCAACTTTGTTCTTCTTCATCAAGATTATCTTAGTTATTCTTGATCCTCGGAATTTCCTATTAAGTTTCAGAATCAGCATATCAATTTCTACAAGAAAACTTTCTGAAATTTTTACTGGGATTGCACTGAATTTGTAGAAAATTTGGGAATAATTGAGATTTTTACAATATTAAATCTTCCAATCCAGAAACATGATCCATTTCAAAATTTATTTAGGATTTCTTTAATTTTTCACAGTAATTTTTGTAGTTTTCCAGATAGATACCTTGCTCATCTTTAGATTGTTTTTCCTGGTTATTTGACGTTCTTATTAAAATGGAATATTTTTTGGCAGCGAGTGGTGGCTCATGCCTATAATCCCAGCACTTTGGAAGGCTAAGGGAGGAGGATCACCCAAGCCCAGGAATTCGAGACCAGCATGGGCAACATGGTGAAACCCCATTGCTACAAAAAATACAGTAATTAGCCAGGTGTGGTGACGCATGCCCATAGTCCCAGCTACTCAGGAGGTGGAGATGGTAGGACTAACAGAGCCCGGGGAGGTCAAGCCTTCAGTGAGCTATGAACCTGGGCAACAGAAGGAGACCCTGTCTCAAAAAAAAGGAATATTTTAAATGTCATTCTTTAATTGCTGCCAGTATATAATGTTAATTTTCATATACTGACCCTGTACCCAACAATATTTCTAAATTTGTCCATTCATTCTGATTTTCCACATAAAATATCAATTCACCAGTGAATAATGAACTAACTTTCCTCCTTTCCAATAATTATACTTTCTATTTCTTTTGCTTATTACAGTGGCTATGATCTTCTCTAGTACAATGATAAATACAACCGATAATGAAATACATCTTTGTCTCATTCTCATCTCAGAGAAAAAGCTGCCACTATTCAATTATGATGTTTACTATAGGTTTTTTTTTCCTGCCTTTCAATTATTTTATAATTCCTTTGTTACAGACTGTAAAATATTTCCATTTGGCACATGCACAATTTTAACACCTTTCACATTTGTTTATCTCCCCTTTAATTTTTTTTTTTTCCAGATGGAGTCTCACTCTGTCACCCAGGCTGGAGTGTAGTGGCGTGATCTCGGCTCACTGCAACCTCTGCCTCCAGGTTCAAGCAATTCTCCTGTCTCAGCCTCCTGAGTAGCTGGGATTACAGGCGCCCACCACCACACCCGGCCAATTTTTGTATTTTTAGTAGAGACGGGGTTTCACTATATTGGTCAGGCTGGTCTCGAACTCCTGACCTCAGGTGATCCACCCGCCTCGGCCTCCCAAAGTGCTCGGATTACAGGCGTGAACCACTGGGCCCAGCCTAAAATTTTTATTTAAAATAAGAGCAAGTAGTATAGAGAGTTACTATATACACCCCCACCAACAGACACACATAGTTCCCCCTATCATTAACATGTTGTATTAGTGTGGTACATTTGTTACAATTAATGAACCAAATTGATACATTATTATTAACTAAGGTCTATAGTTTACAACAAAGTTCACTCTGTATTATATAGTTAGTTCTAGAGGTTTTGCCAAATGCATGTCATGTAGCTGCCATTACAGTATCACATAGAATAGTTTACTGTCAACAACATGTTTCACCTATTCATCCCTCCTCTCTTTCTCATGAACCCTTGGCCACTACCGATTTTTTTCTTCCCAGACATGGTCTCATACTGTCACCCAGGCTAGAGTATGGTGGTATGATCATGGCTCACTGCAGCCTCAACCTCTTGGGCTCACTCGATCATCCCGCCTCAGCCTCCCAAGCAGGGGAAAGTAAAGCCACACCACCATGCCCAACTAATTAGAAAAAAAAATTTTTTGAAGAGATGGGGTCTATGTTGTCCAGGTTGGTCTTGAACTCCTGGCCTTAAGCAATTCTCCTGCCTTGGCCTCCCAAAGTGCTGGGATTACAGGCGTGAGCCACTGTGCCCAGCCCCACTGATCTTTCTAATGTCGCTATAGTTTTGTGTTTTCCAGATGCCATATGATTGGAATCAAACACTACGTAACCGTTCAGACTGGCTTCTTTTACTTAGCAACATGCATTTATGGCTCCTCCAAGTCTATTCATGGCATGATAACTTACGGTGTTTTATTGCTGAAAAATATCTCATTGTGTGAATATACCAGTTTGTTTATCCATTCGCCTATTGCAGGACATCTTAGTTGCTTCTAGTTTGGGGTGATTATGAATAATTCTGCTATAAACATTTGTGTGTAGGTTTTTGTGTGGATATAAATTTTCTACTCATTTGGATAAATACTTAGGTATGTGACTGCTTGACTAAATGATACATTTATGGTTAGCTTTGCAAGAAACTGCCAAGCTGTATTCTAAACTGGCTGTACCATTTTGAATCCTCACTAACAGTGAATAAGTGTTCCTGTTGCTCTGCATCTTACCACCATTTTGTATTTAGATTTTTGAGATTTACCCATTCTAATAGGTATACAGTGGTATCTCATTGTCTTAATTTTCAATTCTCTAGTGACATATCATATTAAGCATCTTTTCTTATGCTTGTCATCTGCATATCTTCTTTGGTAAAATATCTGTTCAGATTTTTTGCCCATTTAAAAAATTGAGTTATTTCTCACTATTGAGATGGGTTTTTTTGTTTTGTTTTGTTTTGTTTTGTTTTGTTTTGAGACAGAGTCTCACTGTGTTGCCCAGGCTGGAGTGCAGTGGTGTGATCTCAGCTCACTGCAACCACCGCCTCCCGTATTCAAGCAATTCTCTGCCTCAGCCTCCTCAGTAGCTGGGATTACAGACACACATTACCACACCCAGCTAATTTTTGTATTTTTAGTAGAGACGGATTTTTACCATTTTGGCCAGGCTAGTCTTGAACTCCTGACCTTAAGTGATCTGCCCACCTTGGCCTCCCAAAGTGTTGGGATTACAGGCGTGAGCCACAGAGCCCAGCTGATTTTCTCACTGCTGAGTTTTAAAAGTTCTTTACATATATTGCACACAAGTCCTTTATTATACATTTGGCAAATATTTTCTCTCAGTCTGTGGTTTTCATTCTCTTAATAGTGCCTTTCTCAGAGAAGATGTTTTAAATTTTAATAAAGTCCAATTTACTCACTTTTCCTTTCATGAGTAGTGTTTTTGGTGTTGTATCTAAAAGTTCATTGCCAAATCTAAGGTCACCTAGATTTTCTCCTACACTTCTTCTAGAAATTTTGTGTTTTACTTTTAGGTATATGATCCATTTTGAGTTGATATTTGTGAAAGGTCTGTGTCTACCTTCATCTTTTTAAATACAGATGTCCAATTTTTCCAACACCATTTGTCGAAAAAAATGTATACTTTCTCCATTGACTTGCTTTTGCTCCTTTGTCAAAGATCAGTTGACTATTTATGTGGCTCTACTTTTAGGCTCTCTATTCTGTTTCATTGGTCCATTAATCTATTCTTTCACCAATGCTACATGTCTCGATTACTGGAGCTTTATACTAAGTCTTAAAATTAGTCCAATAGTGTCAGTCCTCTGACTTTTTTCTTATTCAGTACTGTGCTGGTTCTTCTCAGTCTTTGGCTTCTCCATATTAACTTTTTTTTTTTTTTTTTTTAAGTGATGGGGGTCCCACTATGTTGCCCAGGACAGTCTCAAACTCCTGGCCTCAAGTGATCCTCTTGCTTCAGCCTCCTGTGTTGCTGGGATTATAGGCACAAGCCACTGCACCTAGCTTGCTTTTCCAAGCAGGTTTTACGAACATCCACAAAACCAGTTTTGTGACTTAAATATACGACCGCTTGACTAAATGATACATTTATGGTTAGCTTTGTAAGAAACTGCCAAGCTGTATTCTAAACTGGCGGTACCATTTTGAATCCTCACCAACAATGAATAAGAGTTCTTGTTGCTCCTGTTGCTCACAAAGTAATTTAGTAAAATTTTGATTTGGATTTTGGTGAATCTATATATCAACTTGAAAAAAGTTAACATTTTAGCAATACTGAGTCTTCCTATCCATGAATATGTAATATCTCTTCACTTATTAAGATATTCATTGATTTCTTTCACTGGAATACTGGAGTTTTGTAGTTTTCCTCATATAGATCTTACAAAATTTTCTTCAGAATTATACTTAGGTATTTCATTTTTTTGATGCTAATGTAAACAGTATTATTTTAAATTTCAAATTCCAGTAGTTCATTACAGGTATATAGGAAAGTAATTAACTTTTGTAATATTAATGTTAGATCCTGTAACCTTACTATAATTGCTAATTAGTTACAGGAGGAGGTTTATTTATTTTATTTTTTTGAGACAGAATCTTGCTCTGTTACCCAGGCTGGAGTGCAGTGGCGCAATCTTGGCTCATTGCAATCTCTGCCTCCCGGTTCAAGCGATTCTCCTGCCTCAGCCTCCTGAGTAGCTGGGATTACAGCTACCACCACCATGCCCGGCTAATTTTTGTATTTTTTGGTAGAGATAGGGTTTCACCATGTTGGTCAGGCTGGTCTCAAACTCCTGACCTCAGGTGATCCACCTGCCTCAGCCTCCCAAAGTGTTGGGATTACAGGCGTGAGCTACCACGCCCGGCCCAGGAGGAGGTTTATTATTACTATTTTTTTTTGTCAATTCTTTGGGGGTTTCATGACATGGGCAATTGTGTCAACTGCAAACAAAGCCAATTTTATCTCTTTCCAATGTATATCTTTTCTTTTCTTGCCTTATTACATTAGATAGGACTTCCAATACTGTGATTAACAGGAGTGGTGAAAGGGGACATCTTTTTCTTTCCCAATCTCAGGGAGAAAGCATCTAGTTTCTCATCATTAAGTATGATGTTGGCTAGGCACGGTGGCTCACACCTGTAATCCCAGCACTTTGGGAGGCCAAAGTGGGTGGATAACTTGAGGTCAGGAGTTTGAGACTAGCCTGCCCAATATGTTGAAACCCCATCTCTACTAAAAAATACAAAAAAATTAGGCAGGCATGGTGGCGCAGGCCTGTAATCCCAGCTACCGGGGAGGCTGAAGCAGGAGAATCACCTGAACCTGGGAGGCAGATGTTGCAGTGAGCAGAGACTGCACCACTGCACTCCAGCCTGGGCAACAGAGCTGGACTCTGTCTTTAAAAAAAAAAAAAAAATTATGATGTTAGCTGTAGGTCTTGTGTAGATGTTCTTTATCAAATCAGGAAGTTCCTCTCTATTCCTAGTCTGATAAGTATTTTTATCACGAGTGGGTGCCACAATTTGCCAAATATTTTTTCTGCATTTTCTGATGTGACCACATGATTTTTTTCTTTAGTCTGTTGATGTAATAGATTACACTGACTTTTGAATGTTAAAATATCCTTGCATATTTGAAATAAATTCTGCTTTATTGTGGGATATAATTATTTTATACATCACTGGATTTGACTTACTAATATTTTGTTAAATATTTTTGCATCTATTTTTATGAAAAATGTTGGTCTTGAGTTCTCCTTTTTTGTAATATTTTTATATGGTCTTGGTATTATAGTAACACTGGGCACCCAGAATGAGTTAGGGAAGTCTTCTGCTTCCATTTCCCGGACAATATTATAGAGAACTGGTATCATTTCTTTCTTAAATGTTTGGTAGAATTCACCAGTAAAACCACCATCCGGGTCTGGTGCTTTCTGTTTTGGAAGGTTATTAACTATTAATTACATTTCTTTATTATATATGCCTATTCAGTTTACTTCTCTTTGTGTGAGTTTTTGGTAGTTTGTGTCTTTCAAGGAATTAGTCCTTTCCATCTAAGTTATCAAATTTGTGAACATGAGATCAAAGCCATAATAAAAAGTCACTAAAGTAAAGAAAAGCTCAGGACTTCATGGCTTCACTGCTGAATTCTGCCAAACATTTGAAGAAAAATTAATACCAATCCCACTCAAACTATTTCAAAAAACAGATGAAGAGGGAATACTTCCAAACTCATTCTACAAGGCCAGTATTACCCTGATACCAGAACCAGACAAGACCAAAAATAGAAAACTACAGGCCAACATCTCTGATGAATATTGATGCAAAAATTCTCAACAAAATACTAACAAACCAAATTCAACAACACATTAAAATGATCATTCATCATGAACACGTGAGAGTTATCCCAGGGATGCAAGGATGGTTCAACATATGCAAATCAATCAATGTGATGCATCATATCAACAGAATGAAGGACAAACACCATATGATCAATTCAATTGATACTGAAAAAGCACCAGATAAAATTCAACCTAACTTCAGGATAAAACCCCTCAACAAACTAGGTATAGAAGGAACATACCTCAACATAATAAAAACCACACAGAACAGACTCACAGCTAGTATCATACTGAATGCAGAAAAACTGAAAGCCTTTCCTCTAAGATCAAGGATGACCACTTTTACCACTGTTATTCAACATAGTACTGGAAGTCCTAGCTAGAGCAACAGATAAGGGAAAGAAATAAAGGGCATCCAAATTGGAAAGGAAGAAGTCACATTATCCTTGTTTGATGATGATATGATCTTATATTTGGGAAAACCTAAACATTCCACCAAAAAATGATTAGCACTGATAAACAAATTCAATAAAATTGCAGGATACAAAGCCAACATACAAAAATCAGTAGCATTTCTATATGTCAACAGTGAAGAATATGAAAAAGAAATTTAAAAAGTAATCCCATTTACAAGTCACAAATAAAATTAAATAACATTAAATAAGGAATCAGGCAAAGAAGTGAAAGATCCCTACAATAAAAATATAAAACACTAATGAAATAAATTAAAAAGAACACACACAAAAAAACAGAAAGATATTGATATTCCATGTTCATGGGTTAGAAGAATCAATTGTTTTGTTTTGTTGTTGTCACCCAGGCTGAAGTGCAGTGGTGCGATCTCAGTTCACTGAAACTTCTGTCTCCTGGGTTTAAGTAAGAATCAATATTGTTAAAATGTCCATATTACCCAAAGCAAATGACAGACTTAATGCAATCCCTATCAAAATATGAATGACAATCTTCACAAAAATAGAATAAAAATAATCCTAAAATTTATACGGAATCACAAAAGACCCAGAATATAGCCAAAGCTATCCTGAGCAAAAAGAACAAAACTGGAGGAATCACATTACCTGACTTCAAATTATACTACAGAGCTATAGTAATCAAAACAGCATGGTACTGCCATAGAAACAGACACATATGGAACAATAGAGAAGCCAGAAACAAATCCATATACCTATAATAAACTCAAAGTTCCCAAGAACATATCCTGGAGAAAAGACAGTCTCTTCAATAAATGGTGTTGGGAAAACTGGATATCCATATGCAGAAGAATGAAACTAGACCCCTATCTCTCACCATATACAAAAATCAAATTAAAATGGATTAAAGACTTAAATCTAAGACCTTTAACTATGAAAATATTACATGAAAGCATTGGGGGAAATGCTCCAGGACATTGTTTTGGGCAAACATTTCTTGAGTAATACCCCACAAGCACAGGCAACTAAAGCAAAAATGGACAAATGGGATCACATCAAGTTAAAAAGCTTCTGCACAGCAAAGGATACAATCAACAAAGTGAAGAGAAAACCCACAGGATGGGAAAAAATATTTGCAAACTACACATCTGACAAAGGATTAATAACCAGAATATATAAGGAGCTCAAACAACCCTATAGGAAAAAAAAATCTAACAATCCAATTTAAAAATGGGCCAAAGATCTGAATAGGCATTTCTCAAAAGAAGACACAAATGGCAAACAGGTATATGAAACGGTGCTCAACATCACTGTTCATCAGAGAAATGCAAATCAAAATACAACGAGATATCATTTCACCCCAGTTAAAATGACTTATATCCAAAAATCAGACAATAACAAATGCTGGCAAGGATGTGGAGAAAAGGGAACCCTCACACACTGTTGGTGGGAAAGTAAATTAATACAACTGTTATGAAGAACAGTTTGGAGGTTCCTCAAAAAAACTAAAAACAGAGCTCCCATATGATCCAGCAATTCCACTGCTGGGTATATACCCAAAAGAAAGTAAATCAGTATATCGAAGAGATATCTGCACTCCCATGTTTGTTGTGGCACTGTTCACAATAGCCAAGATTTGGAAGCAACTTAAGTGTCCATCAGCAGACGAATGGATTAAGAAAATGTGGGACATATGTACAATGGATACATTCATCCATACATATCCAACATATATCCATCCAACATCCAACATATATACATTCAGCCATACAAAGAATGAGATCCTATCATTTACAACAACATGAATGGAACTGGGGGTCATTATGTCAAGTGAAATAAGCCAGGCACAGACAGACAAACTTCACATGTTCTCACTTCTTTGTGGAGGCTGAAAATTAAAACAATTGAACTCATGGGGGTAGAGAGTAGAAGAATGGTTACTAGAGGCTGGGAAGGGTGAGGGCAGGAGGATGTGGAGGGGACATAGGGATGGTTAATGGGTAAGAAAAGTAGTTAGAAAGAACGAATAAGACCTAGTATTTGATAGCACAACAGAGTGACTATAGTCAATAATAAATTCTACACTTAAACATACAAGAGTATAATTGGTTTGTAACACAAAGGATAAATGCTTGAAGGGACGGATATCCCCATTTACCCTGATATGATTATTATACACTGCATGCCTGTATCAAAGTATCTCATATACCCCATAAATATATATGCTTACTGTGTATCCACAAAATTTTTTTTTAAATCTGAACACAGAGTTGTTGATAATATTCCTTTATTATCCTTCTAATGCCCATGTGACCAGCAACAACAATCCCTTTCATTTTTGATCTTGGTACTTCAGTTCTTCTTTTATCTTGGTTAGTCTGACTAAAGGATTAGCAATTTTACTGAACATTTCAAAGAACTGGCTTTTGGTTTCACTTATTTTCTCCATTGTTATTAATTTCCTTAATTTCTACTCCTTTTTATTTTTTAAAGCTTATTTATTTACTTATTTATTTATTTTTAGAGACGGGGTCTCGCTATGTCACCCAGGATGGAGTACAGTGGGGTGATCATAGCTCACTGTAACCTTGAAATCCTGGGCTCAAGGGATCCTCCTGAGTAGTTAGGACTACAGGCACATGCCACCATCCCCAGCTAATTTTTTTTTTTCTTGATAGAGATGGGGTCTCACTATGTTTGCTTGGTCTTGAACTCACGATCTCACACAATCCTCCTGCCTCAGCCCATTATTTCATTTCTTTAGCTTGCTTTAGACTTCTATTGCCCTGTTTCCTCTAATTTCCTAAAATGGAGGCTTAGATTCTTGATTTTATTTTTATTTTTTATTTTTTTGTGAGATGGAGTTTCACTCTTGTTGCCCAGACTGGAGTGCAATGGCACGATCTCAGCTTACTGCAACCTTCGCCTCCCAGGTTAAGCGATTCTCCTGCCTCACCCTCCCAAGTAGCTGGGATTACAAGCACCTGTCACCACACCTGGCTAATTTTGTATTTTTAGTAGAGACAGGGTTTCAACCATGTTGGCCAGGCTGGTCTCAAACTCCTGACCTCAGGTGATCCACCCACCTTGGCCTCCCAAAGTGCTAGGATTACAGGCATGAGCCACCACACCTGGCCAGATTCTCAATCTTAGATCTTTATTTTTTCTAATGTATTCATTCAATGCAGTAAATCTCCCTCTAAGCACTGCTTCCTACAAAGTTTGGTAAGTTGTATTTTCATTCTCATTTAAAAATATTTTTGCTTTTAAGACCTTTTCTTTGACCCATGTATTATTTAGAAATGTGTTGTTTAATCTCCAAATATTTTGGGAATTTTTGGCTTTCTGTTATTGATTTCTAGTTTAACTCATTGTGGTCTGTAGGAACATTTTGTATGCTATTCTTTTAAATGAGTTGAGTGTTTTATGACTTAGAATGTGGTCTATCTTGGTGAATGTTCCATATAACCTTAAGAGGAATGTGTATTTTGTTGTTGTTGGATAAAGCATTCTATAAATGTCTATCAGTTCTAGTTAACTGATGTTACTGTATATTCTTCAGGATTTCTGCATTATGTTCACAAGAAAGTCTGGTCTGTATATTTCCTTTCTTATAATGTCCTGGTAGGTTTTGATACCAGAATTATCCTAGTCTCATAAAATGAATTAGAAAATGTAGTAGGTTGAATGATGTGTGCCCCACTACCACCAAAAAAAGATGTATTTGTGACCTAATCAACAGAACCTGTGAATATTACCTTACTTGGAAAAAGGGTTGTGCAAACGTAATTAAGTTAGGGATCTTGAGAAGAGAAGGAGGCAATGTGACCACAGAGGCCCAGACTGATGAGTGACACAGCCAAAAAAAGAATGGATTCTCCCCTAGAGCCTTCAGAGGGGGCATAACCATGCTCACACTTTGAATTCAGACTCTGATCTCCAGAACTGTTGTTTTAAGTCATCCAGTTTGTGGCAATTTGTTAAAGCAGACATAGAAAATGAATATAGTAAATGTTCTTTTTCTGTTTTCTGGGAAAAGTTAACATAAGACTTTCATTGTTTCTATCTTAACATCTGAAAGGATTCCCAAGTGAAGCCATCTGGGCATGGAGGTTGCTTTGTGGATTCAATTTCTTTAACAGATACAGGAATCTTCAGACTTTGGTTTCTTCTGGTGTCAGTGTTAGTAATCCTGTAGATGTTATAGTGATGTCCCCCTTTTGTTTCTGGTATCAGTTATTTGTGCCTTCTTTCTTTTCTTAATCAGTTTTAGTAAGAATTTATCAATTAATCTTTTCAAAAGACCACTTTTGGGCTTTGTTAACTTTCTCTGTTGTGTTTGTTTTGTATTTCCTTAATTTTGGTTTAATTTTCTTTCCTACCACTTTCTTTAGTTTTAATTTATTTCCTTCCAATTGATGCTCAAGTAATTGATTTTCAGTTTTACTACTTTTTCTTTTAATAGTGTATAATTTTACTTACCACATTTTTGGTTTTCAATCCATCTGGAATTTATTTTTGAACACTTACACATTGATTTATGATTTTATCTCAATCCTATACTAAGTACCTATGTGTGAATAGATCTGTTACTATACTCTTTATTCTTTTCCATTGTATTGTTCCAATATAGCATCATGATAATTACTATAGATTTATAATGTTAGTATGCAAAAGGATAAGTCCACTCAATTTGATCTTCTTCAAAACTGTATTAGCTATATGGCCATCTTCACTACTATACACAAATATGAAAATCAATTTGTTAAATTATCCAAAGCTTCCTCCCGAGATTTTGACTGAAATTACATTTTTACAGTGTTGAGTCTTCACATCCAGGAATGTGGTTTACTTTGATATTTATTTGCATTTTGTTTTTAGTCTTTCAGAAAATTTTAATTTTCTCCATAAAAGTCACATTTTTTGTTCAGTTTATTCCAGGGTATTTTATAGCTTTTTTTCTTTTTTTTTGTATTATGAGTGTTATCTTTTTTTGTATTTTTTTCCTATTAATTGAAACTGATTGTTAGATATTAATTGTATATCCAATAATATTACCATACTCATATTTATTGATTCTTTTGATACTGCTATGTAGAACAGATTGTCTCAATTAATGATACCTTATAAATGCTTATATATTTTTTATTTCTGTTTCTTGTCTAATTTCATTGGCTAGTATGTCTGGAAAACACTATGTAACAAAAGTAATAGACTATCCGTAACATTTGCAGGCCCAAGGGCAAGAGTACAAATGAAGACCTACATACCACAGGTTTAAATATTTTAAAGTTATAAAAATCAAGCTAGCAAACTCTTAAATATGCTCTTTCTTCCCTCCTTGACAGATGTATCTTCATAATGACAAAATTTTTTAAAAACTGGAAAATTACACTATATAATTGGAAGTAGGCAAAATACTAAAGATTGAATATAATTATTATTACACATGACTAGGTGTCCTGCTGAAGAGTTTGTAGTATTTGAATAATAGAATAAAGATACATAGACTCCTAAATATTGTATTTCTAATCAATAAAATATTTTTATTGCTTCATTATGTTGTTATAATTAAGGTTTTTACATAATTTTTGTTCCATTATTATTAATGCCAAATTAGACAACTTTTCTTGAGTCATGTAGTTTTTAAAGTTTTTTATTAATCTAAATTTGGAGAAACTTCACTAGGCTGAAGTTTCAGTTGGGGACAGCAACTGAAATCTATAAAAATAATACTTAAGATTAGAAAGTATACCAAAAGTGTCTGCATATATGTTCAAGTTTAGTAACAAAGTAGCATAAGAGAAATTAAATTGTTATTGCACAAAATTATATTGGTATTATGCTACATGTTAGAACTAGACCTACATATACATAGATTTAAGTGTCATATGAATATTACAAAATGTTCTTTAACTATCATATATATATAATTGCTTTGAATACTATACTAATTCATGAGTACCTGCAAAATCATAAATTATAACATGCATATAAGCAAAAAAAACAGATGGCTGAAAATATTAAGAAGTTATATTTGTTGGCCGGGCACGGTGGCTCACGCCTGTAATCCTAGCACTTTGGGAAGCCAAGGTGGACGGATCACGAGGTCAGGAGATGGAGACCATCCTGGCTAAAACGGTGAAACCCCGTCTCTACTAAAAATACCAAAAAAAAAAAAAAAAAAACAGCTGGGCGTGGTGGCGGGCGCCTGTAGTCCCAGCTACGCTACTCGGGAGGCTGAGGCAGAATGGCGTGAACCCGGGAGGCGGAGCTTGCAGTGAGCCGAGATCGCGCCACTGCACTCCAGCCTAGGTGACAGAGCGAGACTCTGTCTCAAAAAAAAAAAAAAAAAAAAAAAAAAAAAAAAGAAGTTATATTTGTTTTGCAAGAATCTAATGGCTGTAAATAAATCAAAATAATTTTATTCTGCATTTGGTCCTCAAGTTGGGAAACAAAGTATTAAAAAGAATTGTTAGAAATTTACTCTTCGTCATAAATACCTAAAAGCAAAAAATGCTTAGAGTGTTGGTTCAGAATGGCCGTATTTAAAATAAACACAGTAACAAATGCTAACATTATCAGAAACTCTATTTTTTCGTAATTGAGGAATTTTGGTTAAAAATGACTTATGAGAGTGAAAAAAGTAGAACAAGTCTACTAAAAGCAAGTCTTAATGTTTTTTCTTCTTTATCATTCATAAGCTTTAAATTTTTAATATATATATATTTTAAATCTTCCTATTAGCAATATAATGGATATAAAGAAAACTGCATAGGCCGGGCACAGTGGCTTATACCTGTAATCCCAGCACTTTGGGAGGCTGAGGCGGGAGGCTCACGAGGTCAGGAGATTAAGACCATCCTGGCTAACACGGTGAAACCCCGTCTCTACTAAAAAATACAAAAAATTAGCCGGGCGTAGTATCAGGCACCTGTAGTCCCAGCTACTCCAGAGGCTGAGGCAGGAGAATGGCGTGAACCTGGAAGGCGGAGCTTGCAGTGAGCCGAGATCGTGCCACTGCACTCCAGCCTGGGAGACAGAGCAAGACTCCGTCTCAAAAAAAAAAAAAAAAAAGATAAAGAAAAGAAAGGAAAACTGCATAAATGAAAAATGAAATGTATAGACCAATGACTTATAAGGCAAACATCTTATTATAACACCTACCCTGGTCAAGAAATAGAACTTTGTCAGCAACCCCAGAGCCCCAGAGCCTTCACCTGTCCTTTTTTTTTTTTTTTTTTTTTTTCCTGAGACGGAGTCTTGCTCTGTCACCTAGGCTGGAGAGCAGTGGCGCCATCTCAATTCACTGCAACCTCCACCTCCCGGGTTCAAGCAATTCTCCTGCCTCAGCCTCTCCAGTAGCTGGAATTACAGGCACCCACCACCATGATCGGCTAATTTTTGTATTTTTAGTAGAGATGGGGTTTCACCATGTTGGCCAGGTTGGTCTCAAACTCCTGACCTCAGGTGATCTGCCTGCCTCAGCCTCCCAAAGTGCTAGGATTACAGGCGTGAGCCACCATGCTGGGCCCCACATGTCCCTTTCTAATCACAGTACTACCCTCCATTTCTTCTAAGTGTAGGCACCATCCTGCCACTTTATACTCTTCACTTTCTTTTCTGTATTTATTATTCAATTTATCATCTCTAAACATTATAGCTCCTGGTTCTCATTTGTCCTTTTAAATCTTTCAATCTGCAGGCACCCTCCTTCCATCCCTTCTTTCTCCCCCATGCAAGTTATTTGTTGAAGAAATCAGATTATCCTGTAGTTTCTCACAGTCTGGATTTTATTAATTGTACCCATGTTAATGTTGTTTAATATTCCTCTGGCCTCTGTATTTTCTACAAATTGGTAGTTGGATCTATAAAATTGATCAATTTCAGGTTTGACTTTTTTGTCTGAGCAAGACTACTTCACAAATGGTATTTTTCATCAGGAGGCACATAATATTTGGTTACTTCTCCTTTTGTAATAAGAAGCATTGAAAGCTCAGTGACTAGATCTATTAATTTATTAAGAGCTGTAAAATGGTGACATTCTAAATTCAACATTCTTCTTTCATTTGGAGTTCCTCACTAAAGAAAAGTCTCATCCACTGTTCTTTTACTTACTAGTACAGTTTGCATAAGATAGGCAATTTAAATACTTCCTCTTCTTTTTTTTTTTTTTTTTTTTTTTTGGGCAAAGGAATCTCACTTGGTCACCTAGGCTGGAGTGCAGTGGCACACAATCTCAGCTCACTGCAACCTCCATCTCCCAGGTTCAAGCAAATCTCCTGCCTCAGTCTCCCTAGGATCTGGGATTACAGGCATGTGCCACCACACCCAGCTAATTTTTGTATTTTTAGTAGAGACGGGGTTTCACCATGTTGGCCTGGCTGGTCTCGAACTTCTAACCTCAAGTGATCTGCCTGCCTCGGCCTCCCAAAGTGGTAGGATTACAGACATGAGCCACAGCGCCCAGCCTACTTCCTTCTTTTTTTTTTTTTTTTTTTTTTTAATCAAAATAACCCATTTTGGCCAGGGGGAGGCTCTTCATGTTGGTTCCTGAGTACCTTTCAAAGAACTCTTTCAGTTTACTTGGCTGTCTTTTACAATAAGGTGTTCTAGTTCCATCTCATACATTTTCTGCCTCAGTCCTACAATCAGCCTTTGTCCAAGCCCTGGTTTCTTTTTGTGGAAAATAATATTTCAAGACCATAATATGGATGCTAAGGCAGCACAATGATATCGGATGGTCATTATTGCATGTTCAGTAGCCAGATCTAAAATACGCCCCCACAAAAATGATTTTTTATTAAAGTATAACATTCATCCACTAAGGTATACAAATCCTAGGTATAAAAATACATATACAAACTTATAATACCACTATCTCACTCTCGACATAGAACACATTCAACACCAAAAGATTCTGTTTTGCCTTTTTATGCACCCAGAGATAAACAAAATACATCCCCTCCCAGAAGTAAACACCTCTGAATTTTATTACCATAGATTAATTTCAACTGATATTGCACTTCACATAAATGGAATCAAACACTATGCAGTCTTTGGTTTTACTTTTTCACCTTTAACTGTCTGTGAAATTTGTCCATGCTGTTGCATGATGCAGCAGTTTGTACTTTTTGCTCTGTAGTGTTCCCTTAATGAATATACTACAATTTATTTTTCCATGCTGTGGTTAAGTGACATTTAGGTTGTTTCTAACTTTTAGCTATTATGAGCAAAACTGCTATAAATATCCTTGTGCACATCTTTTGGTAGACACATACATTTATTTCACCTGAACATATACCTAGGAAGAAACTGTTAGACTAAAGGGTTGGAGAGTATTTACTTTTAGCAGTGTTTTTTTTCCTTCCAACTTTCATTTTGGGTTTGGTGGGGTACATGTGCAGGTTTGTTACATGGGTAAATTGTGTGTCACTGGAGTTTGGTGTACAAATTATTTTGTCATCCAGGTAATGAGCATAGTATCCAACAGGTAGTTTTTCAGTCCTCACCCTCCTCTTACCCTCCACCCCAAGAAGGCCTCCATGTCTCCTGTTTCCTTTTCTGTGTCCACATATGCTCAATGTTTAGTTCTCACTTATTTAAAAAAATGCAGTATTTGGTTCTGTGTTCCTGAATTAGTTTGCTTAGGATAATGGCCTCCAGCTGCAACCATGCTGAATGGTAGTTCTGTTTTAAGTTGTTTGAGAAATCTCCAAACTGCCTTCTACAGTGGCTGAACTAGTTTACAGTCCCACCAGTAGTGTATAAGGATTCCCCTCTCTCTGCATCCTCATCAGCATCTGTTTTTTGAATTTTAATAATAGCTGTTCTGACTGGTGTGAGATGGTATCTCATTGTGGTTTTGGTTTGCATTTCTCTAATGATTAATGATGTTGGGCTTTTTTTCATATTCTTGTTGGCCACATGTATGTCTTCTTTTGAAAAGTGTCTGTTCATGTCCTTTGCCCACTTTTTAAAAGGGTTTTTTTGTTTGTTTGTTTGTGAATTTATTTAAATTCCTTATAGGTTCTGGATATTAGGCCTTTGTCAGGTGCATAGTTTGCAAATATTTTCTCCCATTCTGTAGGGTGTCTGTTTACTCTGTTGATAGTTTCTTTTGCTGTGCAGAAGCTCTTTAGTTTACGTAGGTCCCACTGGTCAATTTTTGGTTTTGCTGCAATTGCTTTTGGAGCCTTCGTCATGAAGCATTTGCCAGGGCCTATGTCCAGAATGGTATTTCCTAGGTTTTCTTCAGGGATTTTATATTTTTAGGTTTTACATTTAAGTCTTTAACCCACCTTGAGCTGATTTTTGTATATAGTAAAAGGAAGGATTCTAGTTTCAATCTTATGTATATGGCTAGCCAGTTATCCCAGCACCATTCATTGAATAGGGAATCCTTTCCCCATTGCTTGTTATTGGTGGCTTTGTCAAAGATCACATGGTTGTAGGTGTGCAGCTCTATTTATGGGTTCTCTAACCTATTCCATTGGTCTAAGTGTCTGTTTTTGTATCAGTACCATGCTGTTTTCGTTATTGTAGCCTTGCAGTATAGTTTGAAGTCCATGTGGGTGATACC
Source organism: Homo sapiens (assembly GCF_000001405.40). Lineage (NCBI taxonomy): Eukaryota > Metazoa > Chordata > Mammalia > Primates > Hominidae > Homo > Homo sapiens. The sequence continues at coordinate 33,338,499 of NC_000003.12, read as the reverse complement.
TCCAGTTTTGTTCTTTTTGCTTAGGATAGTTTTGGCTACTCAGACTTTTTTTTTCATTCCATATGGATTTTATTTATTATTATTTTTTGAGATGAAGTCTCACTCTGTCACCCAGGCTGGAGTGCAGTGGCGTGATCTTGGCTCACTGCAACCTTCACCTCCCACCTTCAAGTGGTTCTCCTGCCTCAGCCTCCCATGTAGCTGAGATTACAGGTGCCTGCCACCACATCAAGCTAATTTTTGTATTTTTAGTAGAGAGAGGGTTTCACCATGTTGGCCAGGCTGGTCTTGAACTCCTGATCGCAAGCGATCTACCTGCCTTGGCCTCCCAAAGGGCTAGGATTACAGGTGTGAGCCACCATGCCTGGCCCCACATTAACTTTAGAATATTTTTTTCTAATTCTGTGAAAAAAAAGGCATTAGCATTTTGATAGGAATAACATTGAATCTGTAAATAGCTTTGGATAGTATGGCCATTTTAACAATATTGATTCTTCCCATCCATGAGCATGAAATGTTTTTTTGTTTGTGTCATCTCTCATTTCTTTCAGCAGTGTTTTGTAATTCTCATTGTAGAGATCTTTCACTTCCCTAGTTAGCTGTTTTGCTAGGCATTTTATTCTTTTTCTGGCTATTGTGAACAGTATTGCGTTCTTGATTTGGCTCTCAGCTTGGACGTTATTGGTCTACAGAAATGCTACTGACTTTTGTACATTAAGTTGGTATCCTGAAACTTCGCTGAAGTTGTTTATCAGATCTAAGAGCCTTTGGGCAGACACTATGGGGTTTTCTAGGTATAGAATCAAATTATCTGAGAAGACTGATAGTTTGACTTCCTTTCTTCCTACCTGGATCCCTTTTCTTTCTTTCTTTTGCCTGATTGCTATGGCTAGAACTTCCCATTTAGTAGTTATTGCTAAAAGTTTTCTAAACTATAACAGTTGTGCCAATTTATCCTTCCATGAATAATTTACAAGAGTTTCAATTATTTCACACCTTTATGGATACTTGGTATTGTTGGTCTTCTTAACACCATCCTTCTAATAAGGATATAATGATATTGTATTATTTAAAATGTATTTCCCTGCTACAAGTGATGATTGTGAGCACCTATTCATATAATTATTGGCCATTTTGGGGGTTTTTGTGAAGCACTCATTTTTTTAAATTGGGTTTCTTTTTCTGATAGATTTGTAGTTCTTTTTATCTTTTGGATATGAGCACTTTGTTGGATAGGATGTCTTCTCTGTCCTTTCACATTATCTTAAGGTTTTTTTGTTTGTTTGTTTGTTTTTGAGACGGAGTCTTGCTCTGTCGCCCAGGCTGGAGTGCAGTGGCGCAATCTCGGCTCACTGCAACCTCCACCTCCCGGGTTCAAGCGATCCTCCTGCCTCAGCCTCCCGAGTAGCTGGGACTACAGGCACACGCCGCCACGTCCAGCTGATTTTTTGTATTTTAATAGAGATGGGGTTTCATCGTTTTGCCCAGGCTGGTCTCGAACTCCTGAGCTCAGGCAATCCGCCCACCTCGGCCTCCCAAAGTGCTAGGATTACAGACGTGAGCCACTGCGCCAGGCCAAGGTTGTTTGTTTGTTTTGAGACAGAGTCTAGCTCTGTCACCAAGCTGCAGTGCAGTGGTGGGATCTCGGCTCACTGCAACCTCTACCTCCTGGGTTCAAGCGATTCCCCTGCCTCACCCTCCTGAGTAGCTGGGACTACAAGTGCACGCCACCACACCCAGCTAATTTTTACATTTTTAGTAGAGATGGAGTTTCACCATATTGGCCAGGATGGTCTCGATCTCTTGGCCTCGTGATCCACCCACCTCGGTCTCCCAAAGTGCCAGGATTATAAGCATGAGTCACTGCGCTCAGTTGTTTTTTAATAAACAATTTCCTACTTCAGTGAAGTCCAATTTATCAATTATTTTAAATGGTTATGAAGATACAGTATGTCATGTTGACGAAATATTTGCTTACCCTGAGATTATAAAGATATTCTTGTGTATTTTCTTCTAGAATCTGTTTTACCTTTCACATTTATATCTATGAACTATTTCAGATTACTCTTTGCATATGTTCTGAGGTAGGTATCAAGGTTTGTTTTTCTTTTCCATGTTTTTTTTCAATTGACCCAGCACATTTTACTGAAAGGTCATCCTTTCCCCATAGAAATGTAAGGGTACTTTGGTAAATCAGGTGATCCTTATATGGGGGTCTGTTTCTGGAATCTTTTGTGCCAATAAATTATGTATTTTTCCTCACACTAATATACTACTCTGTGTTGATTACTGCAGTTTTATAATATGCCTTTACATATGGCCATGTAAGTCCTCAACTTTGCTCTTGTTCTTTGTGATTGTGTTGGCTATTCTAGGACATTTCTATTTCCATATAACATTTAGAAACAGTTTACCAACTTCCAAACAAAAAACTCTGCTAGGGTTATGATTAAAATTGTTTCGAATCTGTAACTCAGGCTCCCAATCCATAAACATGACGTACCTCCTGATTTATTTAGGTTATTGAAATTTCTCTCCAGCAACATTTTTTAGGTCTTAAACTTGCAAATCTAACAAAGTTATATTTAGTCTTAGGTAATTTTATGCTAGTGTGAATAGCACAAAATTATCTCCCCTGCCCGCTTCTTCTGAGACAGGGTCTCACTCTGTCATCCAGGCTTTTAATAGGAGTGTTAGACTCATTTACATTTAATCATGAATATGGTTCAAATCTAACATCTTGCTATTTGTTTCCCATTTGTCCCATCTACTTTTTGTTCCTTTGTTCCCCTTTTCAGACCTCTTTTGAAATAATTAAATATTTATGCATATTTTATGGTTGTTCTACATGAAATACGTCCCTTTTGCAGTCTACCTTGAAATAATATTATGCTTCTATCACCAGAATAACAGTGTATTTTCCTCTAATCCTTTCCTGTCTTTCTAAATTTTTATTTTTTGAGACAGGGTCTCGTTCTGTCACCCAGGCTGGAGTGCAGTAGTGCAATCTTGGCTCACGGTTTTTCCTATCTTGTGTGCTACTGTCAAATATTTTACTTGACAACAATACATCATTATGATCTTTGCTTTAAACAGTTAATTATCTTTTAAAGGACTTTTAAAAAGAGGTAAAAGGGATTTCATATTTATCACATACTTAGCATTTATGGTGTTCTTCATTCCTTCCTACATATCTGGGTTTCATTTCTCTTCACCTAAAGAATTTCCTTTAGTATTTCTTAGTTGTGGAAATGTTAGTGATGAATCCTCTCAGTTTTTTTTTTCACCTAAAAAGCTTTTATTTTTAGAAGAGAATTTTGAATATATATATAATTTGGCTTTCAATTATTTCTTAAAGGTCAGTGAGTATTCTTCTTCTTATTATTATTATTATTATTTGAGACAAGGTCTCACTCTGTTGCCCAGGCTGGAGTGCAGTGGCGTGATCTCAGCTCACTGCAATCTCTGCTTCCCAGGCTCAAGTGATTCTCCCGCCTCAGCCTCCCAGGTAGCTGAGACCACAGGTATGCACCACCATGCCCGACATACATATTTTTTTTGGTGGGGGGAGGGGTATTTTTGGTACAGATGGGGTTTCACTATGCTGCTCAGGCTGATCTTAAATTTCTGAGCTCAAACATTCCACCTGCCTCAGCTTCCCAAAGTGCTGGGATTACAGATGTGAGCCACTGCACCCAGCCTCCCCCCAATTTTTTTAGCCTTCCTTCTTCTGTCGTCTTAAGCTTTCTCTTTATCGTTGGTTTCTAGTAATTTAATAGTGTGCATAGGTGTTTCATATTTACTCACTGAGCTTCTTGAATCTGTGGGTTGTCTGTCATCAGATTTGGAATTTGGGGGACATTATTTGTTCAAACACTTGTATGCCCTATTCTTTCTCTTCTCTTTTTTGCACCTCCAATTATATGTATGTTAGACCTCTTAATATTTCCTTACACGTTGCTGATGATGTGTTAATTTTTTCTATCTTTTTTCTCTTTGTGCATCAGTTTGAATAATTTCTGTTAACCTGTCTTCAAGTTCACTAATCCTTTCTTGTGTAGTGAATAATTGCTGAAATGCCTATTCAATGATTTTTAAAATTTGAGATTTTTCAGTTATAGAAATTCTATTTGATTCTTTTAGAACTTCCATGAATCCCTTGAAATATCTCATCTCTTCAATCCTTACATCCATCTTTCCTGTAAATTATTTAACATATTTGTCACAGATGTTTTAAGGCCCTCATCTACTAAATTCCAAAACTGGGTCACCAAAACATCAGACTACATTGACTATTTTCTCTTGTTAATAGGTCACATTTTTCTGCTAATTTGTGTAGCTCATAATTTTAGAACACATTCCAGACAGAATAGTTAAGAATGTAGTATAATTTTATTTTGGCTTGTTATTTCCCAGAGTACAAGCCCTTCCCTCTGTCCGGAAGTTAAGGTTAGTGTCTGCTCATTTGTAATCCTTCTAGAGTTGAGCTGGAGCTGGGTCACAGCTAAAAGTACACTTAGATCAGCTGTGTTTGGCTCAATACCCAAACCCTTGAGCCACTATATTAAAAAAAAAATCTTGTTAGTAAGTGATATAGAAGGGTTTAGCTGCAGTTTCGATACTTTTTGTTTGCTTTTTGGTTCAAATGTGGCAAGTACACTGAATCAATCTCTGCGAGAATGTGAAGAACTAGACGATTTCTCTCTAGAGAAATCTCTATGGGTTGGTGGGGTGGGGAAGGGGAAGAATTTCTAGGCTAAATGATTCCTCTTTGCATTTGGGCCTCTAGGGCATGGGTGATTTAGTGTCTAAGTCAGACCCACTTGTACCATGACCAGGCACCCACCCCTAGGTATGAAGCTGCTGTGGCTCTCTACTCATTTATGAAGGCCTTATTTTTCTGTGAAATTCAGACTTTTCAGACCTCCTCTTGTCTGCTGCTCTTTACTTGCCCTATAACAAGTATGATTTTAAAACTTGGTAACTTTTATGATTATCATGGGAGCAAAAGTCTTTCATGTTCTTCTGAAGTAGAAGCAGAAGTCTTTGTAATAATGTCTATTATCTTAAGTTCTATTTTATGTTAATATTTCTAAAGTCTAAAGTTAATCAATACCTATATCCAACAACCTTAATTCATTTTAATCACCCTCTTCCCATCATCCAACTAAGATTGTTGACTATTTTGGCTCCATCTTGTTTCATCAAATCCTCGACATAGTTATTATCAATATTTTCTCTTTTAAACAATCAATACTTATTTTTACCCAAATGGTTACATTTTGTTTTTTTAAAAAGTGTGCAATTTAATCCATTCAGAATGTTGTGTAACCACATTTCAAAATATTTTCATTGCCCCAAAAGAAAACACTATACCCATTAAGCAGTCACTCCCTATCCCCCACTCCCCTCAGCCCCTGACAATCAGCAATATGCTTTCTGTCTCCATGGATTTATCTACTCTGCCTAGTTCATGTAAATGTAATTAGGCAATATGTGACCTTTTGGGTTTGGCTTCATTTCTTCATATAATGTTTTTGAGGTTAATCCACATTGTAACATGTATCCGTAGTCCTTTCCTTTTTATGGCTGAATAATATCCCACTGTACTTATATACAATCATGCATTGCATAACGATGTTTTGCTCAACGATCAACCACATATATGATGGTGATCCTAGATTATAATACTGCATTTTCCCTGTATCTTTTCTATACACAAATACCACCGTGTTACAATCACTTATAGTATTCAGTACAGTAACATGCTTTTACAGATTTGTAGCATAGGAGCAATAGGCTACCATATAGCCTACATGCACAGTAGGCCATACTATTTAGCTCTGAATAAGTGCACTCTGTAGTGTTCACACAACTGCAAAATCACCTGACACATTTCTCAAAATACAGCTCCACTGTCAAGTGACGCATGACTATACCACAATTAGTTCATACATTTATCCGTTGATGGACATTTGGATTATTCCCACATTCTGGCTATTGTGAAAAATACTGCTATGCATATTTGTGTACAAGTACTGTTGGAGTTTTCAGTTTTTTGGGGTATATACCTAAAAGTGGAATTTCTAGGCCACATAGTAATTATATGTTTAACTTTTCAAGGAACTCCCAAACTGTTTTCTGCAGTGGCTGTACCATTATGGAAAAGGTTTTTATTTCATCTTCATTTTAGAATAATTTAGCAAAGTAAAGAATTCTAGGTTTACATTTCCATTGGCACATGGAAAATATTTTTCTATTCCACTTCTACTTTGGCTGATGAGAGATTTGTTGTCAGTTTAATTGCCGACCCTTTTGGGTAATCTTATTCACCTTGCAGATTAATTTAGGACTTTGTCTTTAGAGTTCTTCTATTTTATTATATTGTATCTAGGTTTTTTTAATTTAGGTATTTATTTTTATTAATCCTTTCCAGAACCTGATATGCTTTTTCAATTTGGTGATTTATATATTTAATCCATTCTAAAAAATTGCAGCCACTATTGTTTCAAATATTATCCTTCCCACATTCTCTCTCTATTCTTTGTCTATAATTTCCTTTAGAAATCATCTAATCCCATCATCTGGGTCTCTTAACCTTTTCTATATCTCTGTATCTTCATCTCTCTATGCTACATTTTGTATAAATTCCTCATCTGTGTTTTTCAGCTTTCTAATTCCCTTTCAACTTGATCTAATAGTTATTTAATCCACTTACTCTCCCTTAACAAGGATCATTTCCATAAGTAACTTATAAGAACTATCATGATCTCATTTTCATCCGATTAGTGAGGTGTGGAAAGCTCAGGAATCTTAGTTTGTGAAATGTCCCTATAAAGTTGTTTTACATTTGATTCTGCCAAGTTCTCCCAAAGGTTTCATCCTTCTAGCATCAGTTTTAATTTAATTTCTTAGCTTGGAATTTCTGAATCATCTATAAATACCACTAGATTTCTCAAGACAAACTTCCCCCGCTTCACCCAGAGCCCTGAGAAGAAACAGGGATTTCTCTGTTTAAGAAGAACAGGGGGAGGGAGCCTTTCCAGGGTCCCTGCATGGTGTAGTGGTCACATATCCAATTCCTCAGGCTCAAAGACCTCATCTCCTTTCTCTGTGAGGGCCACTAGCCATTACAGACAGCCTGGTATCTGCTTTGCCTAATCTTAGGATACCTGTAACTGGAATGTTACAGGTATCCTAAGATGACTTTCTTTAACAACATATTTACTTCTCTGTTTTACTTGATTGTAACCATTTTTTCTATTTATGCTTTCATGCTAGTCCCATTCCAAAGTTACAGAATCCTAAATTCAGGTGTTTTTTTCTTTTATGACAATTAATAGTATGGTACATAGTCTGGTCTATAGGTTAGAATATCAACTACCCTGTACTTCCATTATTATAGCAAATGAAACCGGGTGCATTAGCTAGTTCATTTAAAGTATTTAAAAACCTTTTATTGATACATAACAGATGTACATATTTTCAGGTACATGTAAGATATATATATTATATATATACAACATAGAATATTTTATAATATATACTTTATATGATATAGATATATTTGTGTGTGTGTGTGTGTTTGTGTGTGTGTGTGTTTGTGTGTGTGTGACAGAGTCTCGTTCTGTTGCCCAGGCTGGAGTGTAGTGGCATGATCTTGACTCACTGCAACCTCCGCCTCCCAGGTTCAAATGATTCTCCTGCCTCAGCCTCCCAAGTAGCTGGGATTACAGGCACACGCCACTACACCTGGCTAATCTCTGTATTTTTTAGTAGAGACAGGGTTTTGCCATGCTGGCCAGGCTGGTCTCAAACTCCTGGCGTTAAGTAAGCTGCCTGGCTTGGCCTCTCAGAGTGCTGGGATTACAGGTGTGAGCCACTGCACCCGCCACATGTCGTATTTTAATACATTCATATAACGTGTAAAGATCAAGTCAGGGTACTTGGGATATTCATCTCCTTAAATATTTATATTTTCTTTATGCTAGGAACATTTGAATTATTTTCTTCCAGTTATTTTTAAATACACAATAGATTATTGTTAACTATAGTCACTCCACTGGTCTATCAAAAAACAGGTATTATTTCTTCTAACTGTATATTTGTACCCATTAATCAATCTCTCTTCATCCCCAGAACTCCGTACCCTTCCCAGCCACTGTTAACCATCAGTCTACTCTCTATCTTCATTAGATCAGCATTTTTTTTTTTTTTGGACAATGTCTTGCTCCATCACCCAGTTTGGACTATGATTGGTGCAATCACAGCTCACTGCAGCCTCAACCTCTGCGGCCCAAGAGATCCTTCCACCTCAGCCTCCTCAGTAGCTGGGGCTAAAGGCATACAAGACCACAGCTGGCTAATTTAAAATTTTTTTCTAGAGACAGAGTTTTGCCATGTTGCCCAGCCTGGTCTCAAACTCCTGTGCTCAAGTGGTCCTTCTGCCTTGGCCTCCCAAAGTGCTGGGATTATAGGTGTGAGCCACCACACTGGACCAGATCAACTTAAACAAACAAACAAAAAACAGGGTCTCACTCTGTCACCCAGGCTTGAGTGTGATGTCACTATCAGCTCACTGCAACCTTGAACTCCTGGGCTTGCTTAACTGATCCTCCCACTTCAGCCTCCCAAGTAGCCACCATGCCTGGCTCATTTTTTAAAAAGTTTTGTAGAGATGGAATCTTGCTACGTGGCCCAGGCTGATCTCAAACTCCTGGTCTCAAACGGTCCTCCCACCTTGGCCTCCCAAAGTGCTGGGATTACAAGCGTGAGCCACCATGCCCATCAACTTTTTTAGCTCTCACATATGAGTGAGAACATGCAATATTTGTCTTTCTGTACTTGGCTTATTTCACTTAACAACCTCTGGTTCCATCCATCTTGCTGCAAACGACAGGATTTCAATTTTTTATGGCTAAATAATATTCCATTATGTATATATAACGTATTTTCTTTATCCATTCATCCACTGATGGACACTTAGTTAATTCCATATTTTGGCTATTGTGAATAATGCTGCAATACACATTGGAGTGTAAATATCTCTTTGATATATTAATTTTCTTTCTTTCGGATATATATCCAGTGGTGGAATTACTGGATCACATGGTAGTTCTATTTTAAAATTTTTTTAGGAACCTCCATACTGTTCTCCATAGTGGATGTACTAATTTACATTCTCACCAACAGTGTATGAGTGTTCCTCTTTCTCTACATCTTTGTCAGCATCTTTTACTCCATCATCTTTTTGATAAAAGCACTTTTAACTGGGGTGAGGTGATACCTCATTGAGATTTTAATGTCTATTTCTCTGGTGATTAATGATGTTAAACATTTTTTCATATACCTGTTGGCCATTTATATTTCTTCTTTTGAGAAATGTCTATTCAGATCTCTGGCCTGTTTTTAATTGGACTATCTGGGTCGGGGGAAGGTAGGTGTTTGTTTTGTTTTGTTTGTTTTGCTACTGAATTGTTTTGAGTTCCTTATATATTCTGGCAACTAATCTCTTGTCAGATGGATAGTTTGCAAACATTTAGTCCCATTCTGTGGGTTGTCTCTTCACTTTGGTTATGGTTTCCTTTGCTGTGCAGAATAGTTTTAGCTTGATGTAATCCCAATTGTCTATTTTTGCTTTGGTTGCCTGTGATTTTTGAGGTCTTACACACACACACACACACACACACACACACACATGCACACACACAAATTTGCCCAAACCAACGTCCTGGAGTGTTTCCCCAATGTTTTCTTCTAGAAGTTTCACAATTACAGGTGTTAAATTTAAGTCTTTAATCCATTTTGGGTTTTGCATCTGGTGAGAGACAGGGGTCTAGTTTCATTTTTCTGGATAGGGTTATCCAGTTTCCCCAGCACCATTTATTGAAGAAACTATCCTTTCCCCATTTTATGTTCTTGGTGCCGTTGTCAAAAATGAGTTGGCTGTAAGTACAGGGATCTATATCTAGGTTCTCTATTCTGTTCCACCGCTCTATGTGTTTGTTTCTATACCAGCACCATACAGATTTGGTTACTATAGCTCTGTAGTACATTTTGAAGTCAGGTAGTGTAATGCCTCCAGTTTTGTTTTTTGCTCAGGATTGTTTTGCCTATTTGGAGTCTTTTGTGGGTCCATATAAATGTTAGGATTTTTTTCTATTTCTGTAAAGAATATCATTGATATTTTGATAGAAATTGCATTGAATCTATAAATTGCTTTGGGCAGTGTATTCATTTTGACAATATTAATTCTTCTGATCCATGAGCATGGGATGTCTTTCCATTTTTTGGTGTCCACTTCAATTTCTTTCATCAATGTTTTAGATTTTCCTTGTACAGATCTTTGATTTCTTTGGTTAAATTGATTCCTAGGTAATTTTTATTCTTTGTAGCAATTATGAATGGGATTGCTTTTTTCAGTGTCTTTTTCAGCTTGCTCACCACTGGCATATATAAATGCTACTGACTTTTGTATGCTGCCTTTGTATCCTGCAACTTTAGTGAATTTGTTAATCAGTTCTAACAGTTTTTTTTTTTTTGGTAGATTCTTTAGCTTTTTCTAAATATAAGATCATGTTGTTTGTGAACAAGACTAATTTGACTTCTTCCTTTCCAATTTGGATGCCCTTTCTTTCTTTTGCCTAATTATTGCACTGGCCAGGATTTCTAGTATCATGCTGAATATAAATGGTGAAAGTAGGCATCCTTGTTTTGATCTAGATCTTAGAGAAAAAGCCTTTATGGTTCAATCTTTGTAGATTGTATATGTCCCAAAATTTATCCATTTCTTCTAGGTGTTCTAATTTGTTGGTGTTTAGTTGTTCATAATTGTCTCTAATGAGTCTTTGTATTTCAGTGGTTTTGGTTTCTATATCTTCTTTTTCTATTCTGATTTTATCTGGGTCTTCTTTTTCTTAGTCTTGAGCTAGTTGACTTTTGATTAGACACATGACCTGTAGTGGTGAATAATCTGTAAAACTGGAAGTTTGTGCTTTCCAGAACAGAATAAAAATTATATGCCTTATCTTTTATAGGTAGATAGATAAAACCTATGAGGGATTTTTGGGGGTGGATTATAGGACAAACAGTTTCAAAACTTTTTTTTTTAAGAAGCAATAACGTATAGAGGAAAGAACAAGATATTTGAAGTCAATAGGCTATGGTTCAAGTTTCAGACCTATGCAGACCCTTTAAACTCCAAGTTTCATGTTCTTCCCAGCTGTGGAATCTTGATTATGCCATTCAACTTTTGAGCCTCCAGATTTTCATGTATAAAATCAAGATGATTATAACAGCTTTACCTTACAAAAGACTGTTTTGAGTATCAAGCAATGATTATAAAAGTGCTGCAGTGTATTCAAGAAACTTTTTTTAAGATAATAATCATTAGTAAACATTAGACAGAATATATGGTACACATCATGAATTAACAGAACTATCAGCAGTTTCTCTCAAGCTGGAGGCAGAATCTTAACAGGACTTTAGAAAATTCTGGGGACCTTTAAATTGTTACATGAACATCAGTTGTTCTGCTTAGAATTACTGAGTGTTAAGGGTAGCAGAAAGCTTCAGAATGTGACAACTTTCAGCATTTTTATTTTGTATTTACACACATTCTCTATGTCTTTAGATCAATAGGATAACAAAAAGTGATGCCAGGCCCTAGGTTCTTGAAAGAACTACCTAACTTAGGGTAATACCTCCAAAGATGAAACTACAGCCTCAATTCTTTTGTGAAAACATCTAGAGTCTTTGAAGTTTGGATATGGAAGATAATTTTTTTTCAAAAGACCATTAAGCCTGTGCTCATATACCAAGGTGCACGGCTGAATAAAAAACCATTATTTTACCAGAACATCAAAGATATTGATGTGTTCTTTAAGCAAAAGTTAAATTGGAGGTTTCACTGTATTAGTTTAATAGTATCATTGAAAAGAAAAAGAAAAAACCTTGAATTCTATGCGGTATTTTCTTTTCTTTTTTTTTTTTTTTGAGACGGAGTCTCGCTCTGTGGCCCAGGCTGGAGTGCAGTGGTAGAGCGATCTCGGCTCACTGCAAGCTCCGCCTCCTGGGTTCAAGCTATTCTCCTGCCTCAGCCTCCCCAGTAGCTGGGACTACAGGTGCCTGCCACCACGCCTGGCTAATTTTTTTTTGTATTTTTAGTTGAGACGGGGTTTCACCGTGTTAGCCAGGATGGTCTCAATCTCCTGACCTTGTGATCCACCCACCTCGGCCTCCCAAAGTGCTGGGATTACAGGCGTGAGCCACTGCACCTGGCCTCTATGAGGTATTTTCTTTAAGGGCAGCTTCAAAGAATTCAACTAAGAAGTATAGACACTATTTACATTTGTTATCTCAGAGTGTGAGAGCTAAGGGATGCTGAAGGGAGATTTATATTTTTCCTTATGTACTTTTGTTGTTTGATTTGCTAAAACTATCATGCCTTTGAATTTAAAAGGAATCTAATAAATAAATATTTAAAGAGAGAAAAATGACACCAGAATAGCAGAATTAGCCTGATATGTATGCACAATCTCACTTTGGTTTTGACTCTCTATATTTTCAAGGGGAAGTTAGAGCTAAATTAACTAGCACATTTTTAAAATTTGCAATCATTATATTTTTTGGTAGAGAATAGAAATTTTTATGGCTGGGTTCCATTTATTCTATTACTAATTCATGAATAAAGGTTTCATGATAAATATTGAACATTAGTTACAAAAATAAAACACACTATAAATCAAATTAACTTCTGATTAAATTTTTTTAAAAAAACATTTTAACAAGAAGAGTATATTCAAAGGAAAGACCAATGATTTAATGGAAATCCAAGAGGCTTAAACAATGATTAATCCACTTTATCTATAATGCTAGTACAATCTTAAAGAATACATAATTGAATCCCTAGATGAAGAAAGATTTGGTTCATCAATGACAAAAACCACATGATTATCTCAAAAGATGCAGAAAAGGCCTTCAACAAAATTCAGCACCCCTTCATGCTAAAAACTGTAAGTAAACTAGGTAATGATGGAACGTACCTCAAAATAATAAGAGCTATTTATGACAAACACACAACCAATATCATACTGAATGGGCAAAAGCTGGAAGCATTCGCTTTGAAAACCAGCACAAGACAAGGATGCCCTTTCTCACCACTCCTATTAAACACAGTATTGGAAGTTCTGGCCAGGGCAATCAGGCAAGAGAAAGAAATAAAGGGTATTCAAATAGGAAGAGAGGAAGTCAAATTGTCTCTGTTTGCAGATGACATGATTGTTTATTTAGAAAACCCTATCATCTCAGCCCAAAATCTCCTTAAGCTGACAGGCAACTTCAACACAAAAATCAATGTGCAAAAATCACAAGCATTCCTATATACCAATAACAGACAAACAGAGAGCTAAATCATGAGTGAACTCCCATTCACAACTGCTACGAAGAGAATAAAATACCTAGGAATCCAACTTACAAGGGATGTGAAGGACCTCTTTGTGGAGAACTACAAACTACTGCTCAAGGAAATCAGAGAGGACACAAACAAATGAAAAAACATTCCATGCTCATGGATAGGAAGAATCAATATCGTGAAAATGGCCATACTGCCCACAGTAATTTATAGATTCAATGCTATCCCCATGAAGCCACCACTGACTTTCTTCATAGAATTAGAAAAAACTGCTTTTAATTTCATATGGAACCAAAAAAGAGCCCGTATGGCCAAGACACTCCTAAGCAACAAGAACAAAGCTGGAGGCATCACACTACCCGACTTCAAACTATACTACAAGGCTACAGTAACCAAAACAGCATGGTACTGGTACCAAAACAGATATATAGACCAATGGAAAAGAACAGAGGCCTCAGAAATAATGCCACATATCTACAACCACCTGATCTTTGACAAACCTGAGAAAAACAAGCAATGGGGAAAGGATTCCCTATTTAACAAATGGTGTTGGGAAAACTGGCTAGCCATATGCAGAAAACTGAAACTGGACCCCTTCCTTATACCTTACACTAAAATTAACTCAAGATGGATTAAAGACTTAAAGGTAAGACCTAAAACCATAAATACCCTAGAAGAAGACCTAGGCAATACCATTCAGGACATAGGCATGGGCAAAGACTTCATGACTAAAACACCAAAAGCAATGCCAACAAAAGCCAAAATTGACAAATGGGATCTAATTAAACTAAAAAGCTTCTGCACAGCAAAAGAAGCTATCATCAGAGTGAACAGGCAACCTACAGAATGGGAGAACATTTTTGCAATCTACCCATCTGACAAAGGGCTAATATCCAGAATCTACAAGGAACTTAAACAAATTTACAAGAAAAAAAAAATCCATCAAAAAGTGGGCAAAGGATATGAACACACACTTCTCAAAAGAAGACATTTATGTGGCCAACAAACATATGAAAAAAAGCTCATCATCACTGGTCACTAGAGAAATGCAAATCAAAACCACAATGAGATACTATCTCACGCCAGTTAGAATGGCGATCATTAAAAAGTCAGGAAACAACAGATGCTGGAGAGGATGTGGAGAAATAGGAACGCTCTTACACTGTTGGTAGGAGTGTAAATTAGTTCAACCATTGTGGAAGACAGTGTGGTGATTCCTCAAGGACCTAGAACCAGAAATATCATTTGACCCAGCAATGCCATTACTTGGTATATACCCAAAGGATTATATCATTCTACTATAAAGACACATACACACATATGTTTATTGCAGCACTATTCACAATAGCAAAGACTTGGAACCAACCCAAACGCCCATCAGTGATAGACTGGATAAAGAAAATGTGGTACATATATACCATGGGATACTATGCAGCCATAAAAAGGATGAGTTAATATCCTTTACAGGGACATGGATGAAGCTGGAAACCATTATTCTTAGCAAACTAACACAGGAACAGAAAACCAAACACCGCCTGTTCTCACTCGTAAGTGAGAGCTGAACAATGAGAACACATGGACACAGGGAGGGGAACATCACACAATGGGGCCTGTTGGGCGTCGGGGGGAAGGGGAGGGATATCATTTGGAGAAATACCTAATGTAGATGGCAGGTTGATGGGTGCAGCAAACCACCATGGCATGTGTATACCTATGTAACAAACCTGCAAGTTCTGTACATGTATCCCAGAACTTAAAGTATAATAATAAAAAAAGGAAGATTTGGTTCATTTTAAAACTGTAAGTCAACTGATAGATGAGAAATGTGAAATTTTCCAGTTAGAAAACTGCACCATGAAGCTGGAGAGGAAAAATTTGCAAAGTTAACATTATGAAACTATATTAAGCCTAAGAAAGAAAGACTTTTGCAAAGAAAAACTAGGTAGAATGTATTCTTAAGATCAAATCAAATTACCATAAAGGACAAAATAACTTTAGATTTTATTAAAAGTCATTTGAGGAATTAATAGTGAACTTAGTAAGGTAGCAATTCAAGAGGCTGGAACACAGCAAATGGGAATCATTCTGAATGAGAAACAGAGAAACAAAAGATTAGGGACACCTATTGCTAAA
Source organism: Homo sapiens (assembly GCF_000001405.40). Taxonomy (NCBI): domain Eukaryota; kingdom Metazoa; phylum Chordata; class Mammalia; order Primates; family Hominidae; genus Homo; species Homo sapiens. The sequence continues at coordinate 33,322,955 of NC_000003.12, read as the reverse complement.
GACAGCAAAGGGAGATACAGCAAGACTGTGAGGCACAAGAACAAAAAACAGTAATCAGAAGACATCAAGGAAAGAATAAAACATAGTAGACTTCATCATACCTTTCAAATTTTTAACAAATATTATATTAAATACATTTTGACACACACACAATATATGACACCTTATAATAAAACAGTATGATCACCCCTCAAACTTAACCAAAATGTTACCAGTAATTGCATCTACTTTGTGTCTCTCCCTTATTCCCTTTCTCTACGTCTCCACTAATATACATGCTCATGACTTCTGTTTTTAATTCTTTATAGTTTTATCACAAGGTACACATTCCTAAATGACACATCATGTAGTTTTGCTTGATTTTGAACTTTATAAAAATGGTACATGCTGTATATGTCTTCCACAACTTTTTTTTTCACTCAGCATTAGAAGACTAAGATTTATCCAAGCAACTGTGTAAACCTCTAGTATATCTCACTGCTTTCCAACATTCCAGTCAATGAACATTTGGTTATTTCTAGGATTTTTGTTATTATGAATACCACTGCTATAAACATTTTTATAAACATCACCTAGTTGGCCAGGCGCCGTAGCTCACGCCTGTAATCCCAGCACTTTTGGAGGCCGAGGTGGGCAGATCACGAGATCAGGAGATCAAGACCACTGTGGCTAACACGGTAAAACCCTGTCTGTACTAAAAATATAAAAGAATTAGCCAGGCATGGTGGCAGGCACCGGTAGTCCCAGCTACTCGGGAGGCTGAGGCAGGAGAATGCTGTGAACCCGGGAGGCAGAGCTTGCAGTGAGCCAAGATGGCGCCACTGCACTCCAGTCTAGGCGACAGAGTGAGGCTCAGTCTCAAAAAAAAAAAAAAAAAAAAAAAAAAAAAAATCACCTAGTCACCACGTGTACATTTGCAGGTTCCTAAGGGTATACTCAAAAGTGGCAATTCAGGTCACAGAATATGCCAATGTTTGATTTTACAGGGCAGTGACAAACTGTTTTCTGAAGTGGTGGTACTGACCACCTTCCCACCAGCAATGTACAGTCATGCACTGGATAATGACATTTCAGTAAATAATGGACTACATATACAATGGTTGTTTCATGAGATTATGATACCATAATTTTACCGTACCTTTTCTACATTTAGATACACAAATACAATTCTGCTACAAGTGCCTACAGTATTCAGTACAGTAACATGTCATACAGGTGTGTAGCCTAGGAGCAACACGCTATACCATACAGCCTAGATATGCAATAGGCTATACCATCTAGCTTTGTGTAAGTCAACTCTACGATGTTCACACAATGACAAAATTGCCTAACAACAAATTTCTCAGAACATATCCTGGCATTTCTGAGGACGTATCTCCATTGTTAAGTGACACATTAACTGTATAAAAGAATCTTCATCCTCTCCAACTGTGGATAATGTCACATTTCTTAATTTTTGCCAATCTCACGAGAGTAGATGGTCACTTGTAATCTTTATTTTGAAATTCTGTGATTACTAGTGATGTGAAGTATCTTTTCATATTTTTTTCCACCATTTATGCTTCCTCTCCTTTAAAATACTAGTTAATGCTTTTTGCACATTTTTCTTTTTCTTTTTTTTCTTTTTTCTTTTTCTTTTTTTTTTTGAGATGGAGTCAGGCTCTGTCACCCAGGCTGGAGTGCAATGGTGCAATCTCAGCTCACTGCAACCTCCATCTCCTGGGTTCAAGTGATTCTGCTGCCTCAGCTTCCCAAGTAGCTGAGATTACAGGTATGTGCCACCATGCCTGGCTAATTTTTGTATTTTTAGTAGAGATGGGATTTTTCCATGTTGGGCAGGCTGGTCTTGAACTCCTGACCTCAAGCAATCCATCTGCCTCGGCCTCCCAAAGTGCTAAGGTTACAGGTGTGAGCCACCACACCCAGCCCCATTTTTTAGTTAGATTGTTTGTCGTTTTCTTATTGATTTGTAAGAGTTCTTTATAAATTCCATAAATTCTGGATACTAAGAATATGTTGGTTTTATGTACTACAAGTATCTTTTAGTTTGTGGCTTTCCTTTCAATTTTCAGGGTGTTTTTTGATGAATAAAGTTTTTAATTTTAATGTAGTAATATATAACAATCTTTTCTTCCATGGTAAACAATTTTTGTGTCATGTTTTAGAAATACTTTCCTGGCTAGGTGTGGTGGCTCACGCCTGTAATCCCAGCATTTTGGGAGGCCGAGGAAGGTGGATCACCAGGTCAGGAGTTCGAGATCAGCCTGACCAACATGGTGAAACCCCGTCTCTACTAAAAATACAAAAATTAGTCAGGCATGGTCGTGCACGCCTGTAGTCCCAGCTACTCAGGACGCTGAGGCAGGAGAATCGCCTGAACCTGGAGGCAGAGGTTGCAGTGAGCTGAGATTGCGCCACTCCACTCCAGCCAGGGCGACATAGCAAGACTCCGTCTAAAAAAAAAAAAAAAGAAATGCTTTCCTACCCCAAGATCATAGCCTCCAATACTTTTTCTAAATGTTTTAAAGTCTTTCCTTTCACATGCAAGTTTTTAATTCAATTATGATTTTTTTTGTATGTGTGAGGTAGGGATCCAATTTCTTTATTTTCCCCATATAAATAATTATCCCAGAACCATATATTGTCCCTCATTTCCCTGTGTTATATCCTGTACCCATGCATTGGTCTGTTTCTGGTTCTCTATTCCATGCCAAATACCTTACTGTTTTACTTGTTATAACTTCATAATAAATTATGATGGCTTATAGAGCAGTCCCTATATCTATTTTTCTTCAAAATATCTTGGCTATCACTTGATCATATACATTCAGAGTCAGTTTTTTAAATGTCCCCCCCAAAATTCCAGATGGCATTTGAATTAGAACTGCATTGAATCCATAGATCTAGGGAGAATGGGTATATCTGTAATACTGGGCCTATCTATACATGAATATATTTCTTGAAACTTATTAATATTTCCTCTAATGTCTGTTAATAACACTGAATCACTATCTCCATATAGGACTTGCACATCTTCTGTGAGATTTTGTCTTTAGATATCTTACATATTTTTTGGATGTCTGAATTTAGGTAAATGAAACAAAAATAAAGTGACATTTTCCTAAATGACATTAATTTCCTTCTTGTGCCCCTAGAAAAGTGTGTGAACCAAAATAAGCACCAAATATCAAATGAATAAAGAAATGCTTTGATATTTCAATTTTTTAAAAAAATAAAAGTTATTCATGGTTAATATGATACCTTCTTTTGGAAATAACTCATACATTAAAATACATAATCAACTGTATAGATGCTAAAGGTATTATTTCTTACATTTAAGAGAACCACTTAAGTTCCAACAAACACATTCTATTTCCCCAGGCAATGATACAGTTTTCATGATTGTGATATTGCTCATCGAAGTAAATATGTAAGAATTCAATAATTCAACATTCTAAGCACAGTGGTGTTCAGGAAGTAGCTGTTAAATGAAGGAATGTCTTCAGGAATAATTTCCATAATTATTTCTTAAAGTTAAAAATTCATAGATACTTCATGTATATTACATCATACATCCACTTGATGAATTACTTTATTTTTTAATTTATTTAATAGGCAATACATTCAAATGGTTCCAATAATAGTTAAAATAATAAAGAGATATATAAAAAATTATTTTCAATAAGTCCTCACTAAAAAAAAAAATCATCCTTAGGTTAGATAAACTTGCCATGGGCACTCCCACAAGGGGGCTCCCATACTTGAAGTTTGTGCTGAACCACTGCAGTACCTAGTTTGTAAAATTTGAACAAGATACAAAAGGGATGATCAAAATTATAATTCTGTCTTGATATATCCCAGGACTGTGACGTCTTAAAACACCTAAAGGAAAATCTAGAAAACTCCCATCTTGCCTGGGATTCGTGCTTTACAAATAATGAAGTTCGTGTTAGAAACTGCTAGCTGCTCACCAAATCCACATTCCCTTCTCCTTCAGGAAACACACCTATACTACATTTCCCAAACCCCCTTGCAGGTACGTACAGCCATGTAACTGAGATCTAGCCATGAAAAGTAAGCTGGATAAATGGAAGCCATGGTTGAAGACAGAAGGGTTTCTTTCAACAAGGTCCTCAATAACTACAGAGAGGAGGATTGCCCTGCTGACCTTTCACACACCGAATTCTATTAGTTGAGCAATAATAGATGTTTAAAAAACATCAGTTATGTTTAAAAAATTAGATGTATATGCCACATTAGCCTACTCTAACTACACTAATTTAGAAACAGATATCTTGATGTGAGGTGCTACTTCGAACAAAAATCTAAAATATGTGACATCTGTCTAGTGTGTCCATCTAGTGGGTAACAGCACAGGAAACATGCATCTGAAGCTGGCAAGATAAAGACATGTTATGTAATATAATTGCTTATGATTATCTGGACAGCAGACAAAGAATGCAGATCTAGAGAAGAGATTACGAAGTGCCAAAAGGTTAGCAAATAATGGTTTCTCCTTCCTATATTTATCAAGGCATTAAAAGAAAGAGTACTCAACAAATAACTAGTTGGTTTGCAAGCAGAAATAAAAGGGAAGAGAAAAGAGAAACTTAGAGCCTCAGATTGTTAGAAAAGTCAACTATTTCTAAATGCCACATAGTAAAAATAAGATTGAAAAGCACTTTGAGCTGCAAATCTCTGTTAAACAGAACAACCAAGACCTGTAGCAAAGATCAGATTAAAGTTGCTCTCCTTCATCCCACACCTATGTTTCAGATGTCTCAAGATAGATACCAGTGAGAAACAGCCATGGGGAACAGGAAACAAAACAAAACAAAACAAAAGACGTCTGGGGCTACAGTCTAAGAATGAATTTAGAGCGTGGTAATTAGAAGACTACTAAGTTCTTAAATTCTGTCAAAAAAACAAAAAAAACCCAGAAACCTGGCCCAAAACATGCTGTGATTATCAACTAATCCTAAGGTTCCCAAAACTACACAGGTAAGAAATGGCTGTGAAATAAGTATGGGCTGAGTATCCCTAATCCAAAAATCTGAAATCTAAAATGCTCCAATGATTTCCTTTGAGTTTCATGTCTGTGCTCAAAAAAGTTTCAGATTTTGGAGCATTTCAGATTTCTGATTTTTGGATTAGGGATTTTCAACATGTACAGTCCCCAGTAAGGGCATATTCCCTAACATCCACTTCAGATGTAGTCATGGAAAATAATGAGCAAGTAAGACCTTTCTGAGGCTGGAGTTAAAAGTCACCAAGACCAATGGTAAGGGAGCCCCCTCCAGTAAACAAAATAGGGAATGGAATGGAATAGAACAGAAACATACCCCTACTGCTAGGATAAGGCGGGCTTCATAATATCTGTTTAGCAGAATCTCATCATTGCTACAAAACAATGATGTGTGTCTTCCATTCTTCCTTTTTACAAGTTTTATTGTTTATTGTTGTTATCCTGTCCCTGCTCCTGAATATGGGGTGAGAGACAGTAGTTGAGGGAGAGTAACAAAACCATTAAGTACCACATCCAGATCTGATGGAGAGGAATGCATATCACCCACAGACCCTGAACTATGAATTGGATGCAGTGAATGAATGGGATTTGGGTTTTCTCTCTTGAGGTTGAGGTGTAAGTGTATTCTCTGTGAAAAGAATAATCACCAACACGGTGCGAGAGGCGGGGAAGGGGAACTGGTACACAGGGGCACTGGGGAACTTTGGGGGGTGATGAAAAATTCATATATTAGGCTGAGCATGGTGGCTCAAGCCTATAATCCCATAGCTTTGGGAAGCTGAACCAGGAAAATTGCTTAAGGCTAGGAGTTCAAGACTGGCCTGGGCAACATAGTGAGACCTGCTGTACAAATTTTAAAAATTAGCCAGGCGTGATAGCATGCACCTGTAGTCATATCTACTTGGGAGTCTGGGGTGGGAGGATCGCTTGAACCCAGGAATTCAAGGTTGAAGTGAGTTGTGATCATGCCACTGTACTTCAGCCTGGACAACAGAGTGAGATCTTGTCTCAAAAAAAAGAAGAAGAAAAAAGAAAAACAGAGAAAATTCTATACACTGACTGTGGTGATAGTTACATGTTTGAAAATGTTTGCCCAACTCATAGAATTGATTACCTTAAAAGGCATATTTTATTGTCTGTAAATTATACTTCAATAAGTAATGCATTTGACTGCTGAAAAAAGCCTAAGTGATAAAGTATCCCCACAAACCTCAAAATACAGGTGGATGAGGGCCAAACCGCCAAGTGCCACAGGACCCACTATTATCAGTGTCTATGCAGGAGGGAGCCAAGGGGCCTTTGACCTCAGGAGAATCCCAAAACAGCTAATATACCCTAGAGAGCACAGGTAGCTAATGTGAGAACAGCAGCTGATGATACTGGGAGGAAATTTTGACTAATCAAATAGCACATGAGTGGAGGGGTCCACACTAATTTCTAAAAGGGGCTGAAGCATTCTGAGCCATAGGAACTCAAAAACAACTGCCAAAGCTACCTTTTAGGATGGGATCCCACACTTAGGAAACTGCTAAGGGTGGAATAAAAACATTACGCAGGAGGCTAGGCGTGGTGGCTCGGCGTGGTGGCTCATGCCTGTAATCTCGGCACTTTGGGAGGCTGAGGTGGGTGGATCACTTGAGGTCCAAGAGTTTGAGACCAGCCTGGCCAACAAGGTGAAACCCCATCTCTACTAAAAACACAAAAATTACCCAGGCATAGTGGGGCACACCTTTATTCCAGCTACTCAGGAGGCTGAGGCAAGAGAATCACTTGAACCCAGGAAGCAGAGGTTGCAGTGAGCTGAGATCACGTCACTACACTCCAGCCTGGGCAATAGAGTAAGACCCTGTCTCAAAAAAAAAAAAAAAGTAAGCAAAACAGAGAACAAAGAAGTAGTAAAGTCCATGTAAAGGTCAAAGGCTGGGGATGAGAAGAAAGTCAGGAAATGAGAGCAACCTGCTGCTTTCTTAAACACTTAAACAACAATGGCGATGACTAAGAGGAAACTTTATGAAATTCCAAAGGCTTTCCTCACTTACATCTCCATTAAGAAAAACTAATTTCACAAATCCCATGCAAAGTTTTAAAAGAAAAAAAAAGAGCAGAATAATATCCCTATGATTAAAACATACCAGAAAGATATGTCCACAAAACAGATTAAAACTGTAACCTACTATTTCAAAATAAGTTAAATTTAAGAAAATGATAAGCGACATGAAAGAACAGTGTAAATCAGAATTAGAAAAATTTAAGATGACATAACAGAACTCAAGAATAGAATTATAAATGAAAGAAAAATTTTCTGAAATAAAAACCACAGAAGAACACCAAAGTGAGTAAACAAAAAAGACAATGCCTTAGGGCAGCAGTCTCCAAAGTGTGTTCCAGTCCTGTAGACCCTCTTAGGGACCCTGTTCACAGTTAATACTAAGATGTTACTTGCTTTTCCAACTTTGGAAAAAGCACATCTTTTTTTTTTTTTAAACTGACATTTGCATTGATAATACAAAAGAAATGGCAGGTAAAACTACCTTAGCACTAATCAAGAAAGTGACACCATATCATATTTAGAGTCTTCACTGCCATGGCAAAAGAAAGAAAGAAAGTAAGAGAGAGAGAAAGAGAAAGAGAGAAACAGAGAAAGAGAGAAAGGAAAAGAAAGATAAGAGAAAAGAAAGAAAGGAAAAAAAAGAAAGAAAAAAAAGGAAAGGAAAGGAGAAAGAAAAAGAAAAGAAAAGAAAGGAAAGAATGAAAGACAGGGAAGGGAGGGAGGACAAAAAAGCTGATTTCACTTTAAGCAGAAACAAAATAGTAATTCTAATGAATCTTGACTTTTGAGCACACATCTTTTTAATTTCTGTGTGACAAATTTAAAAGTCTCAAGAAGAACTTAAAATGTTTGTCTTAAGGAAAAGCAATTGTTTGCAGTGCAAGCTAAACTAGCCACTTTTTTCATGAAACACATTTTCACATGTAAGAACAACTGACATAAATTATGGTAATTCAGACAAGGGTACTTGGCAGACATTTTTTAAAAATTAATGAATTGAGTATGTCACTTCAAGGAAAATTATACCAATAATAAAATTCAAGTTCTAAGAAAAAGTTAGAATTTTGGAAAACTTGTATTGGCTTCCGAGTTGTTAGCTTCTCAATTCTTAAAGACTTTTCTGATGAGATCAATGGTGATATTAATGAATGTGATATTTTAATATTATAAAATGTATTAACAAGGGGAATATTTGCATAACTTAGTGAACCATATTATCCAAATGACTGATACATGTTTCAAAATCAACTTTAAATGGGAAAAAGATCCATTGAAAGTACCAAGAAAAGTAGAGTTCAATGTAACGGAATACAAAAAGTTCATTACCATGGTTTTAGATTCCACATTTTAACTATACCATAGAATATTCTCTAGCCATAATAGAGCCTGCCTGCCATTTGTGACAACATGGATGAACCTGTAGGACACTATGAAATAAGTCAGACATAGAAAAGACAAACACTCTATGATCTCACTTATACGTGGCATGTAAAAAAGTTGAACTCATAGAAGAGGAGAGTAGAACAGTGGTTGCTAGGGGCTGGGAAAGCAGGGGAAATGGGGAGATGTTGGTCAAACGGTACAAACTTTCAGTTATAAGATTAGTTCTGAGGATCTAATGTACAGCATGAGTGGTGACAGATGTGTCATTTTGATTGTGGTAATCATTATAGAATATATACATATATTAAATCATCATGTTGTCATGTATACCTTGAATATATTCAATCTTTATTTATCAATTAAATATTTCACAATAAGTAAAAAGCAAAAAAAAATTAAAGAGGATATCAAGGATATATAAACAATATAAAAAAGCATATAGAGACATAAAGGAATAAAGATTAGATCATCATCAGAGTTTTAAACAGCAAAGCTTTATGCCAGAAGAAAATGGAATAGCATAATTAAGATAATCAAGAAAAGAAAATATGAACCACTAGTTAATATCCAGCAAAATTGACCTTCAAGTATAAAAGGCACAAACTATTATCAATGTATAAAAACTCAGAGAATATTGTTCCCATTAACACCTGAGATATCTTCTGGAGAACAAGCATCACAATCACAAAACAAAATGACAACATGGAAATTGAATATGGACTGATAATGAGTACTGAATAAGTTAAATGAGGCTGGATGCAGTGGTTCATGTCTATAACCCCAGTAGTTCAGGAGGTAAGGCAGGAGGATGGCTTGAGGCCAGGAGTTTGAGACCAGCCTGGGCAACATAATAAGACCCTGCCACTACAAAAAAAATAAAACAATTATCTGAGCATGGTGGCATGTATCTGTAGTCCCAGATGCTTGGAAGGCTGAGTCAGGAGGATTGCTTGAGCCCAGGAGGTTGAGGTTGCAGTAAGCCATGATCACACCACTACATTCCAGCCTGGGTGACAGAGTGAGACCCTATTCTCTAAACAAACAAGCAAATTTCTGGAAGAGTTTATGTAGAATCTGATGTTTGTTTTGTTTTTTAATGTTTGACAGAATTCACCATTGAAACCATCTGGTTTTGCATGTTTTTGGAAGGAAAGGTTATGTAACCACCAATTCAATTTCTTTAATATGTATAGAAATCTTTAGTTTACCAGGACTTGATGGAGTTTAAAATTAAAAAAAAAAAGAATTCTTTAGATTATCTATTTCTTTGCGAGTTTTGGTAGGTTGTGACTTTCAAGGAATTTATTTCATCTAACTTCTTAAATTTATTGGCATAAAGTTGTTTATAATATTGTCTTATCTTTTTTTTTTTTTCTTGGAGACGGAGTCTCACTCTGACACCCAGGCTGAGTGCAGTGGCACAATCTTGGCTCACTGCAACCTCCACCTCCCGGGTTCAAGCAGTTCTCCTGCCTCAGCCTCCCAAGTAGCTGGGACTACAGAGGCACAACACCATGCCAGCAAATTTTTTGCATTTCAGTAGAGACGGGGTTTCCTTGTGTTGCCCAGGCTGGTCTCAAACTCCTGAGCTCAGGCAATCCACCTGCCTCAGCCTCCCAAAGTGCTAGGATTACAGGGGTGAGCCACCACTCCTGGCCTATCATTTCAATAACTGCAGTGATATCTCCTCTCTTATTCCTGAAAATGGTAAATGTTGTCTCTTTTTCCTCCTAGTCAGTCTGGCTATTAGGATAATAAATAATTTATGTTAAGTAAGTTAAATAAATAAAATAAATAAATAATAAGTTAAATAAGCGTTAAAGAGAGAGTATAATATATAGTAGCTAAAAGCTTTAACAATGTAGATTTAACACAACCATTAAGAAATGTGGGCTGGAAGCCAGATAGCCTTCCCAGAATCTCCGGATGGGCTGACTGGTGATAAGCTCTCCCTGCTAAAGCCACTCTGCCAAGATCAAAGTAAGTCCCTACTTCTTCAAATGCATAGACACCAATGCACAGCCACAAGAATCACAAAAATCAGGAAAACATAACACCATCAAAGGAACAAAATAAAGCACCAGTAACCAGCCCTAAACATGGAGATTTACAAACTGCCTGACAAATAATTAGAAATAGGCCAGGTGCAGTAACTCATGCATGTAATCCCAACACTTTGGGAGGCTGAGGCAGGAGGACTGCTTGGAGCCCAGGAGTTGGAGACCAGCCTGGGCAATATGATGAGACCCTGTCTCTACAAAAAAATTTAAAAATTAGCCAGGTGTGGTGGCACGCTCCTGTGGTCCCATCTACTTAGGAGGCTGGGGCAGGTGGATGGTTTGAGCTCAGGAAGTCGAGGCTGTAGTGAGCTATGATTGCACCATTGCACTCCAGTCTGGGTGACAAAGTGAGACCCTGTCTCAAAATAAAAATAAAAAAAGAATAAAAAATAGTTGTCTATCTATATTGCATAGCTCACTGAGCTACATTAAGACAACTAAATGAAATCAGAAAAACAATACATAAACAAAATTAGTTCAACAAAGAGACAGAAATCATAAAAAGAACCAAACAGGATGGATGCAGTAGCGCATGCCTGTAATCCCAGCACTTTGGGAGGCCAAGGCGAGGGATCATGGGGTCAGGAGATCGAGACCATCCTGGCTAACACGGTGAAACCCCGTCTCTACTAAAATACAAAAAAATTAGCCGGGCATGGTGGCATGCGCCTGTAGTCCCAGCTACTCAGGAGGCTGAGGCCAGAGAATTGCTTGAACCTGGGAGGCGGAGGTTGCAGTGAGCCGAAATAGTGGCACTGCACTCCAGCCTGGGCGAACAGAGCAAGACTCTGTCTCAAAAAAAAAAGAGCCAAACAAATTCCGTAGCTAAGAACACAATGACTTAACTGAAAAATTCTACAGAGAGCTTCAGCAGCAGACTTGATCAAGCAGAATAAAGAATCAGTGAGCCCAAAGACAGGGCATTTAAAATTCATCACTCAGAGGAACAAAAAGGAAAAAAAATGAAAAAGAGTGAAGAAAGCCTATCAGAATTATGAGGCACCAACAAGTGAAGTAATATATACCCATTATAGGAGGGTGGATCCCAAAAGGAGCAGAGAAAAAGAAAAGTGGGGGCGGGTAGAAAGCTTATATAACTAAATAACAGAAAACTTCCCAAGTCTGGGAATAGATATGAATATTCACACACAAGCAGCTCAAAAATCTCCAATCGGGTTCAATCCAAATAAGACTACACCAAAACACAGGATTGGCAGACTGTCAAAAATTAAAGAAAGAGAGGATTGTGAAAGCAGCATATCACATACAAGGAAACTTCAATACACTTATCAGCAAATTTCTTAGCAGAAACCTTACAATCTACAAGAGAATAGGATGACATAGTCAAAATATAGAATTTGGCTGGGTGTGGTGGCTCATGCCTGTAATTCCAACACTTTGGGAGGCCGAGGTGGGTGGATCACTTGAGGTCAGGAGTTCATGACCAGCCTAGCCATCATGGTGAAACCCTGTCTCTACTAAAAATACTGAAAAATTAGCCAGGAGTGGTGGTGTGCACCTGTAATCCCAGCTACTCAAGAGGCTGCGGCAGGAGAATCACTTGAACCCAGGAGGCGGAGGTTACATTGAGCCAAGATTGCACAACTGCACTCCAGCCTGGGCAACAGAACTAGACTCCATCTCAAATGTTTTTTTAAATATATAATTTTTTTTAAAAAAACCCTCCCTACTAAGAATACTTTACCCAGGCAAAGCTGTCCTTCAGAAATGAAGGAGAGACAGACTTTTCCAGACAAATGAAAAAAAGCTTCAGGAGTTCATCACCATCAGACCTACCTTACAAAAAATAATTAAGGATAATTCTTAAAGATAAAAGAAAATATATGTTAATAAGATAAAAACATGAAAGTATAACTCACCGGTAAAAATACATAGTAAAATTCGGAATACTCTAACACTATAATTATGGCATATATAAGTCACATATGTTTAGTATGAAGATTAAAATATAAAACTATTAAGAAGCAGGGCATGGTGGCTCACGCCTGTAATCCTAGCACTTTGGGAGGCTGAGGTGGGCAGATTACCTGAGTTCAGGAGTTCGAGACCAGCCTTGGTAACAATGGTGAAACCCCATCTCTACTAAAATACAAAAAATTAGCCAGGCGTGGTGGCGTGAGCCTGTAGTCCCAGCTACTCGGGAGGCTGAGGCAGGAGAATTGCTTGAACCCAGGAGGCAGAGATTGCAGTGAGCTGAGATCGCACCACTGCACTCCAGCCTAGGCAACAGAGCGAGACTCCATCTCCAAAAAAATAAAATAAAATAAAATAAAACTATTAAAAATAAATATAGCTACAATAATTTTTAAGTGATACACAATGTTTAAAAATGTAAATTATGACATCAAAAACCTAAAATGTCAAGGGGAGGAAAGAAACAATGTAGAGTTTTTGTATGTGACTTTTTTTTTCCTTTTTGTAGAGAAAAGGTCTTGTTATGTTGGCATGCCTGGTGTCAAACTCCTGGCCTCAAGCGATCCTCCCTGCTTAGTCTCCCAAAGTGCTGGGATTACAGGCGTGAGCCACTATGCCTGGCCTGTATATGATTAAAGTCGTTAACAGCTTAAAATAGCGTGCTATAACTGTAAGATGTTTTATGTAAGCCTTGTGGTAGCTACAAAGCAAAAGCTTATAGTATATACACAAAAGATAAAATGTAAGGAATGAAGGCATACCACTACAGAAAAATCATATAATCACAAAGGAAGATATCAAGTGCGTGAAAAAGAAGAATGAAGGATCTATGAAATAACTAGACAATAATTAACAAAGGGGCAGTAATAAGCCCTTACCTAGCAATACTTATCTTTAATGTAAATGTGTTAAATTCTCCAATCAGAAGACATAAAGTAGCTGAATGTATTTTTTTTTAAAGACCCAACTATATGCTATCTGCAAGAGACCCACTTTATCTGCAAGAATACACATAGACTGAAAGAGATGGAAAAAGATACTCCATGCAAATGGAAATCAAAAAGAGAGACAGAGTAGCTATATACTTATATCAAATAAAATAGACTTTAAGTCAAAAACTGTAAAAAGAGACAAAGTGATTATATAATGACAAAGGGGATCAATTCATCAATAGAATATAACAATTGTAAATATATAGGCACTCAACATCAGAGCACCTAAATATATAAAAGCAAATATTAATAGATCTGAAGGGAGCCATAGACTGCAATATAAAAATGGCAGCTGGTAGAAGACTGCAATACAGAAATAGTAGATAGAGATAGTAGATATCCCACTTTCAGCAATGGCACATTATCTAGATAGAAAATCAATAAGGAAATATTGTACTTGAACTACACTTGAGATCAAGAGGACCTAACAGACATATTTTGAATATTCCACCCAACAGCAGCAGGATACACCTTCTTCTCAAGCACACACAGAACATTCTCCAGGATAGATCATATGTTAGGCCACCAAGTAAGTCTTGACTAATTTAAGCAGTTGGAAATCACATCAAATACGTTTTCTAATCACAATGGTATGAAACTAGAAACCAGTAAAAAGAAGAATTTCTAAAATTAAACAACATGCTTCTGTACAACCAATGGGTCAAAGAAGAAATTAAGAGGAAACTATCAAAAATCTTGCAATAAATGAAAATGGACACACAACATACCAAAACTTTAAGGATGCAGCAAAAGCAGTTCTGAGAGGGATTTATAATATTATAATATAGCATTAAACACCAACATCAAAAAAGAAGAAAGATCTCAAAAAATGGGGGCTGAGAGAAATAGGAAGAAGAAAAATTATTGCCTGTTTTTAGTACTCATGTTGATGACAACTGTGTTAGTGTCATTCTGAGGCTGTTATGTGTGTAATGTAGAATAAAGCAAATGAGTACTTACAGGATATTCTAATTCTACAATCTCCTGTGCCAGAACTAGGACTATCAGTGTGGATGGAAGAAGATAGAGACATAAGATTGATGACATTAAGTGATACCTGTAGTCCTAAATTGGAATGAGCAATATAAGTATGAAATTATGAGTTTCTCATATGATATAAATTCAGTGTACTGAAAATGCCTAGAAATAATAACCAGTCCAATAATCATGAATATCTCTAGCAACCAGACTATAATCTTGAAATACCCTTTCCCACAGAAAGAAACCAATACTTCTAAAGAAATGGCTAATTCCAGGTCTGGGATAGGGACTATATGAGATGAGCCTGGTATATCCTATCTTAGATAGGAAGTAAACCAGAAAAAGCTACAAGAAGCCAGGTGCAGTGGCAGGTGCCTGTGGTTCCAGCTACTGAGGAGGCAATGGCAGGAATATTGCTTGAGCTGAGGAGTTCAAGGCCAGCATGGATAACACAGTAAAACCCTGCCTCAACAAACAAACAAACAAAAATAACAACAAAAAACTAAAAACAAACAAACCCTACTAAGATCATGTAAATGGACTCAGGAGCCAAAGACAAGACAATGTGATTTTCAATAAAGGTAATTTCAATGGACTGAAAATTATCAAATATGTTTAAATTCATAAATTTATAACTTTTTAAAAAAATCTATGTGGTCACCTTCAGAGGATGAGAAACCAACTAGTTTTTATTTTTAAATAATTTCTGATTTACAGTAAAGTTGCAAAAGTATGACAAATAATTTTTGCATATTCTTCACCCAAATTTGCCAAAGCTAAATTATACTGCATTTGCATTATCGTTTTCTCTACATATTTAATATATTATATATATATCTCTCATTTTCTCTGAAATGTTTGAGAGTAGGTTGTAGACATGATGCCCGTTTACCCTTAAATTCTCAAATATTTCCCCCAAACAAGAATATTCTTTTACAAATGCAGTATAATTATCAAAATAAGGAAATTAACAGTAATATATTACTATTATCTAATCTACAGATATTATTCAAAATCTGCCAACTGTCCCATTAATGGTCCTAATGCAAAAGAAAAAAAAATCTGACCCAGGATCCAATTCAGGATCATATACTGCATTTGGCTGTCATGGCTTCTCTTCAGTACCCATTAATCTGGAACACTTCCTCAGCCTTTATCTGTCATAACTTCAATATTTTTAAAAGCAAATAGGCCAATTACTTTGTAGAATGTCCTTGTGTGTATATCTGATACTTCCTCATGATTAGATTCGGGTTATAAATTTTTGTCAGGAATGCCACAGATATGATATTGTGCTCTACATCGCATGAGCAGGCATATGATGTCTATCTGTATTGTTACCAGTGATGCCAACTTTGATCATTTGCTTAAGTGGTGTCTGCCAGACTGCCCTATTATAGTTAGCATTTTTCCTTTTGTAATTAACATTTATCTAGTGGAAAGACTATTTGAAACTATGTAAATATTTTGTTTCTCATCATACCTTTATATATCTCATTATTTCTAAAACTGGCAAATAAAAGGATAGAATCAAGCATTTCCCCCACCTTTCCTATATAAAATATAACACTAGGCACTCAAATAGAACTGAAGTGCCTGTTTATAAAAGTATTCCACTAAGTGGGAAGAAAAAGAATTAAGAGTATCACCACTTTGCAGCCCCAATAAATTAATGATGTAGACAATAAGCATCGACACTAGCATCTGAAAAAAGATAAAACCAAACATTGTATGACTCCTGATGAACAAATACAGCACCACAGAAAGTCCTACCAAAGGGGTAGAATCAATCTTATAAAGTCTCTGGATCCAACTGTGAATCTTCCAAGAAATATAAAGGATGGAAGAAACTTGAAATTGCACTGTGAGGACACAATAAGCATCCAGACTGTGGGAACTTCTACAGGCCAAATAACCCAAGTTCTTCAACAGACAAATGTATGGAAGAGAAAGATATGGAGAGGGGACCTGCAGATTAACTGAGACTTCAAAGATTTACAATTTTTTTTAGATGGGCAAGACTAGCTGTAATGTCTAAGGATGCACATATAGGTGATAAATCTACAAAGAAATGAAACATAGTGATAGCTATAAGTCAAGATAGTGGTTCCTTCAGAAGAGGAAAAAAGCAGTTGTGATTTGGGCACAGAGGTGCTTCTTTGGTGACTGGCAAAGTTTATTGACTTACGTGGTGTCTACAAGGATATTTGTTTCATATATTTGTTTTGTGTAGTTCTCTGACTATATATTGTATTTTATGATAAAGCTTTTTAAAAAAACACGTATGGGTCAAAGAAGCAAAAGCGGTACGTGATAAATATTTGAAACTGAATAAGAAAAACACTACAGTTCAAAATTTGTAGAATGCAACAAAAGAAGAGCTTTGAGTTAATTGTCTAAGGCTCAAAAAATAAGCAATTAAATGTCCAACTTATGAAGGCAGCTAAAGAAAACAGAATAAAACGCAAAGAAAAAATTTTTACAGAGACATGAATGGAAACTATTAAAATAGAAACGAAGAAACAATAGAAAAGAATGAAGCCAAAAGCTAGTTTTTGAAGACTAATGAAATAGGTAAACTTCTAGTGAGATTAATCAAGGAGGGAACACTTGAGCATAAACTAACGATATTAAGGAAGAAAGTAACATTACAACAGATACAGCAGAGTTTACAAAGAAAATAAAAAGACAGCTACCAAGAGTTTTACCAATGTAAAACTCAAAGTGGACACACTCCTAGAAAAATAAAATTAGTAAAAGTGACTCAAGAAAAAACAGAAAAAAAGCTTGAAAAATACTATTCATTTCTAACAAATTAAAGTAATAATTAATTTCCCAAAAAGAAAATTCTAGCCTCACATAATTTAATAGTTCTAACAGACTTTCAAGGAACAATTAAACCAAGACAAATAGATGCTTTTGGAGGACAGAAAAACACGTGCATACTGCTCAACTCAATTCTTTGAGGCTTATATTAATTCAAAAAAAAATCAGATAAAGATAGTATGAGAAATAAATTTGTGGGCCCTGGTCACTCAAAAATACAGATGCCTTACCAAATATGTAGTATTGACACACAGAAAATACTAAATACTAGAAATAGACTCATAAATACATGACAGAGGTGATAGGGCATTTCTATGTAGAAACGAAAGGATCATTCAACAAACGAACCTGGAAAAAATTGATAATCCATATGCAAAAGAAAACAAAAATGTATTCTTATCTTATATATAAACATATGTACCACAGTGATTAAAAACTGAAATATCAAAAACAAAATTTTTAAGCTTTCAGAAGAAAATACATGTGACTATCTCTTTGTCTTCAGGGTAAGGAGGAAGTTCCTTAAGAAAGCACAAAAAACGCTAAGCATAAAAGAAAAGATTGATACATTTGACTTCACAAAAGGTATTCATTAAAAAATGCCTTAGAATGTGAAAAAAACAAGTTAGAAGATGGGATAAAGTATTTGTCAGCTAAACATTAATATCAGTACAAAGATTATACTGAGAATATAAAGAACTACAGATCAATAAGCCGATAACCAAATAGGCCAAAAACAAAAATACGTGTTTCACTGAAGAGGAAACACGTGTGACTAATAAACATATGAACAGATGCTCAACATTACTAGAATCCAGGGAAATTCAAAACAAAAGCACAATAAGGTGCCATTCTACACTTCTTTGGCAAAAATTAAGACATGCGACAACACTAAGTGTTGGAAAGAGATTCAGTTTGGCACTGAATCTCTTATCCACTCTTTGTATGAACATAAACTGGTAAGACCTCTTTGGAAAAATGATTTAATATTTCTTTATAAAGTTAAATATCTGTATAGCCTATAACCCTCAGAAATTCTACTTTCAGAGAAAATTGTGTACTTGTGCACCAGGAGACATCTACGAGGATGTCCAAAGCAGCACTGCTCTTACTGATAAAACACTGGAAACAACCAAAATACTCAGTAAAGGGGGAAAAAATAAAATTTTAGTACATTCACACAGTAGAATATTATACAGCAGTAAAAATGAATGAGCAACAGCCAATCAGAGCAACAAGAATCACCTTTCATAACAGAATTTTGAGTGAAAAACATTTCTAAGAATATACCATATACTTTTTTTACGAAGTTAATAAACAAGCAAAAGTAAACATATTGTTTAGTCAAAATATATTTAAGATAAAAAGTTTTAAGAAGCAAGAAATCATAAATACAAAGTTGTTGATAATATTACCTTTATGGTGGGGAATGAGGAGGGGCAGCATTTATGTACATTCCTTATACTACAAAATGAATAAAAGAGGGCAATGCATGGATCAATGGTAAAATGTATCATTAACCAAGAATTATGAGTAATCCAATTCTGCATAACTGAAGTTTTTAAAATGCTGCAGTAATCATCCTGTATATATGCCTCAGTGTGCTTTTGCAAATATATGTTAGTAAATTTCTAGAAATGGAATTTGTGAATACATACATTTAGCATTTAAAAAATTTTTTCCAGTGGCCCTACAGAATGGCTGCTACAGTTTATATTCCCACCTAAAGTATCTCGTATCTCCTTGCCAAAACCTAATATTATCAAACTTTTGGGTAATATCTTATTGTTATTTTGATTTGTATTTAAATATGGGCCTTGTTGAGCATCTGTTTATACATTTATTAGCCATTTGTATTTCTTCTTTTGTTAGTGGCCTCTTCAAACTGTATTTCTAATAAAATCAATCTACCTTTATCTTAATAATTTTGATTTTCTTTGCATATTGAAGAATAATGCCCTTGCTTATAATGTATATCTAATTATTTCATCCACCACTGTACTATTTATCTTTAGTATGGTATAATTTTACCATACTTCACGATTCATACAGTCAAATTCACCAATCTTTTCTGTTACTGAATTCACAGTTTTTAAATGAATAGATCTCTAATATAATTTGCTAGGAATAAGGCTCTGAGGCAAAATGTATCTAGTTTCTATCCTTCCTATCAGAAAAGCTCTATTGATGTTTCATGGCATCTCAATATAGATATAAAATCCAAAGTCATCCTCAGAGTTTTCATATACAAGCATAACCCCAACCTAGACTAAAGAAAATTTGCTTCTGCCAATTTGGACCTTGGTGCCAACCTTAAAACAGTACATAACAGTTTAGGGAGGTAATGAAAATGAGGGCTTTTAAGCTTCTGCATTTGATTTCAACATACACATTTATTCAGTCCCACACTGCCACACACAAGTCAAAAAACAACCACGAGAGCGAGCAAACCAACCTAAAAAAACTCTTCGGCAAAGAGGGAAAATCTGCATAGATGCTTAAATTTGAAATTGAAGCATGTACCCCCAAAAGAGCATCTTACCTGTTAGGATGCCCTGGTATATAAGGCAGCAGGCACCACAGACAGCAGGAAATAGAGGCAGCAGTCCTTTAAAAAGCCCATGGAGTGCTGAAACCAACCAGCAGGCAACAAGACCTACTCAATGAGACCCATAGCAGGAATGAGCCCTTTACTGTACTGCTTGCCAAGGACCTATGATAAGCACTGGGCTATATCTTAATGATTCCAACAAAAACCATAATGATTTTCACTCATGGGATTGGCTTACAAATTTAAGAAAAGGAAAATTTGAAAATGATGTGCTAGTCATTTTATAATTTTCCCAAGCAAATTCAACTACTAAAACTGTTGTATTATATGAAATTGTGTCTTTGATTTCATATTGCCCAGAATTATTAGGCTCAAATCCCTCATTTGGGGCAATGAAATCTTCCTTTATCAAGCCAATAAATTTTATCATGTATCCACACAAATTTAAAAAGGAAAGAAAATTACATCAATAATAGTAATTTAATGTTTTAAATGTGTCTAGTAATTTTCTTTCATTATTATTTATGACTAACTAGAGCTTTGTCTCCTCAGGATGTTTTAAGCTGTTTACTGCAGGTATCACTTGCTGTCTCCTATGAGGGGTTTTACATGTGCTTTTACTTCATCACTAACATCTGAAAGCAACCATAGTAGAAATTAAAACTTAAAGTCAAATTACTATTATAATTTATAATCTGAGTTTTAGGTCAATATTCAATTCACAGAAGACATTTTTTTTTCTCAAAAAGGGAAGAGTTCCCTCCAAGAGACTATCTTTTTTTATAATGCAAGGTAATTGCAGTTGTAAATCAGGTGTCACACCACCACACATTTGCTTAAGCAACAGTAATTGTCAGTTTAATATAAGATAGTAGTATGCAATTTCTACTGAGATTGAATTCGTCCAGTTTAATGAAATGAAGCATTGGGCCTTCACAGAGTTACTTAATAATCAGGTACTTTACTGAGATATTGTTAGCAGTAGCATATATTAAGATCCATATTAAGAGCTGGATTCATCAGTTGTTTGCATTAAAGCTGACTGCATTGTCAAATAGCATTTATTAAATATTCGGGCATCCAAAAATTGATATTAATATACAATAAGAGCGAACATTTATTTAATACTTACATGCCAGGTACTCTAAGAACAACAACCCCATAAGGTAAGAACTATTACTATTCCCATTTTATAGATGGGCAAATTAAGGCCCAGAGAGTTAAGTAACTAAGGTCACACAACTAATAAATAAGAAGAGTTGAAATCTGAACCCAGAAAGTCTGATTCCAACAGTAATATGGACAATAACAATGTGAAAAAATATATGCAAGGATACTCCAACTCACTAATAGATAATGGTTGCAACAAATTAAGTACTTCCACTGTTATAAAAATTATGTGACTGACTCCCCAGGAAGAATAATACTAAAAGCTGTTTGTTGGGCTATGTGAGAGCAAAGGGTAGGGAAAAAACTTCAGTAGCCTTAATTTATGAGCAAGAGCTGGATTTTAAAAAGCAAAACTGTAAAAACTTGTTCAGTAACAAACTAAAAATGGGTAGTAGAGAAGGAATCTGTAAATAATATATATTCGTAAAACTATCAATAAAATCAGATGAAAAGAAAACATAGATTTTTCTGAGTGGATTCAAAGTGATAACAGAGAGATGAAAAGCAGCATATTATTCCAGATTATGCTTGTTAATGGTTCCAAAGGGGAAGCTGAAGCTTCGGTTGATGTGATCAGTATTGGAAGCTAGTTGAGAATTAAAGATGGCAGTAACAGAAGCAGTCAAAAGTGGCAGAAGAGAAAATGATCTGGACTGAAAGCAAATAGGTCTGTCTCAAAGTCAAAGAATTCACATGTATTGAGGAAGTAAGACTGAAGGTGAATAGGAATTCAACAAGATTAGGAACAACAGACTACACTGTCCCAAAGAAGTCTACAATATGAAATAAAAATATAAGCCAAGGGTAGACAATGAAGACATAATTTAACTGAGCAGAAAATAATAAAGATTTAAGCTTCATGAGGTGGGGGCTTTGTTACACCCAATGTTGTGGAATTAACTAATGATGAAGATGGATGCTTAGGAAATCTGGTTCAAACCCTTCTTCAACATTTTTCTTAGAAAGGGTAGCTAGGAAAGGCCGGGCGCAGTGGCTTACACCTGTAATCCCAGCACTTTGGGAGGCCAAGGCGGGCGGATCACAAGGTCAGGAGATCGAGACCACGGTGAAACCCTGTCTCTACTAAAAATACAAAAAAAAAAAAATTAGCTGGGCGTTGTGGCGGGCACCTGTAGTCCCAGCTACACAGGAGGCTGAGGCAGGAGAATGGCGTGAACCCGGGAGGTGGAGCTTGCAGTGAGCCAAGATTGCGCCATTGCACTCCAGCCTGGGCAACAGAGCGAGACTCCGTCTCAAAAAAAAAAAAAAAAGAAAGCATAGCTAGGAAAAGGGGGAAAGCTACACAGAGAATGGAAAGTCTGAAAGTAAAATGACAGAAATGATTTAAAGGCCAGCAAAAAATTCTTAAATTAAAATACATGGTTGGCTAGAGTTAATTTTGAGACTCACAAGTTGGAGAAGATCTGTAGTGGCAATATTTTAAATTCCCCTTACAGACTCTGAAATAAGAATACAAGTGGGAACATAAGTCTATGAAGAGACATTAACATTTGCTCACAAATGGCAATTCTTTCTGAAAAGTGATCTATGTATGAGCTTTATGGCATGATTCAAAAGCTATAAGTAGTGATGACAACCTCCAGAATTCCTAACAGCTGAGTCCATCATGGATCTTTAAAAGAACTGAAGTTTCCAAGACTGCAGTTTAGAAATCACACTACCATAGAAAGTGATATAATTCCTTTTTATTTTTTTGGTATCAACAGACAGAAACTGTTCTATGGCTCAGTGGAGTACAAAAGCAAACCCCACCAGAAGGAAAAAACCATTCAGTTAGTAGCCTTGAGTCACAGCAGAAGTATGCATGAGAAGGGTGGAGTTTAATCACACCCTAATGTTTAGTGACCAACATGGGCCTGCCTGAAGCTGCTTATGATTCCCCAGGGTAAGAATACCATATTTAGATTACAGCTTGATGCCCACTCTAGAGAAATGTTCAGACCCAGACTGCAAGCACTGCATAATCCTAGGGGGCACCATCTACACTGTAGTCAATGTGGATGGCATCCGTGCAGTTGTATAGTGACAATCTGCCCACCGGGACACAGCGGTATTGCTTCTAACAACTTACTGTGCTTGAGCAAAGCCTTTTGGGTTTATATGGCAAACATACATTTCTTTCTTGTCACCACTTTCTTACCTTAAACTTGTCAAAAATGCCAAAGAACATTCTCTCTTATCCAAATATTTGTCTTATTGGAAAATATAATTGATATTTTTCATACAATCCTGTCTCAGTTTTTTTAATCAACTGAGAAGGAGCTCATGACAACAGTGTCAAACAACACCTGATGACTAATGAAACACCCTCTGAAGTCCCTGAAATGTGATCACTACCACAAAGAAGCTAAGTCCTTACCCCATTTCTAACTGAAGGAAAAATGTCTTAATAACCTGATGACAGCAAATGTGAGTAATCTGTGGCATCTACAAAGTGGTTCTGTGGTGAACTTGGGAAGAGATGAAAATAATTATTCCCAATATTTAAACAAAACTCATAGTCATTCCCCAAATGTTAAAGTGAGATTTAGTACAGCCAGGGAATGGAGTCATCTGGTCAATCTCTTATTGTATGTCAGCATTTCCCCCAAATTTTCTGTGGAATATTAAAAGGATTCCGGCCGGGCGCAGTGGCTCACGCCTGTAATCCCAACACTTTGGGAGGCCGAGGCGGGCGGATTACCTGAGATCAGGAGTTCGAGATCAGCCTGGGCAACACAGTGAAACCCCGTCTCTACTAAAAATACAAAAATCAGCTGGGCGTGGTGACACATGCCTGTAATCCCAGCTACTCAGGAGGCTGAGGCAGGAGAATCGCTTGAACCTGGGAGGCGGAAGATGCGGTGAGCCGAGATCATGCCATTGCACTCCAGCCTGGGCAACAAGAGTAAATCTCCATCTCACCAAAATAAATAAATAAATAAATAAATAAAATTAAAAAAATAAAAGGATTCCATTGTCAGTAAGTTTGAAATGGCACAATTACCCAACTTGTATCATCGCCATGCACATTAGCCTATTAAGGCCCTGTGAAGTCCTATAGGTTTTGTTAACCCTATAGGACTACAGTTTGTTTCCTATAGTTATTTGATCACAAAATCTGGTTTCTGTTGCTGTTGTTTTGTGGAGTATCAGTGATAAGAGAAACAGTTAGGGGAATGACTATCAAGGATTACCATGTGTACACCTATTAATTCCTCATAAAGAATTAAAATATAACAACATCTAAAACAAAAATAAGCTTTTTTTTTTTTTTTTTTTTTTGAGACAGAGTTTCACTCTGTCACCCAGGCTAGAGTGCAGTTAGCACAGGCTAGGCTCACTGCAACCTCTGCCTCCTAGCTTCAAATGATTCTCCTGCCTCAGCCTCCCAATTCTTATGCCTCAGCCTCCCCAGTAGCTGGGATTACAGGCGTGCACCACCACGCCTGGCTAATTGTTTCGTATTTTTAGTAGAGACAGGGTTTCACCACATTGGCCAGGCTGGTCTCAAATTCCCGGCCTCAAGTGATCTACCCACCTCAGCCTCCCAAAGTGCTGGGATTACAGACATGAGCTACCACTCCTGGCCTTAAAATAAGATTTCTTTTGATGATTGCATAATACTAAAGAAAACTGAAGTGCCTCCAGGCCAACAAATGTTTGCTGATAGCTTTACTTAGTAAAAACAACAACCAAAATAACATTTACTGTATATTCAGTGATGCCAGAAACAAAAGACAAAAAGCCTATTTTATACTACTGTCACTTATACTTCTCATATGAATAAAAACATACCAATACTTGGGGTTGACAGCATTTTAAGTGCTAAGAACATATCATAACTGTGCTTATTTTTTGCATTTATTTTAAAACTCATTTGTCTGAAAACATCAAAAACTTTATGACTTCAGGAGCTCACAACCTTGCAATAATGTCTCCTCATATTACTGACTTCATCACGATTATCTACTGAAAACAAAACAATGGCACCTACTGAAGATTATTACAATACTTACCACATTACAAAAAGAATCCAGACCAATGCTATGTACATACTTAGTACATTCTGGATTAGACCAAGTAAAATTTAACAACAAGCTGAACAGCATTCTATAAAACAAAAACAAAAAGTCAGTTAGGCTAATTCTGTCTGTTTTTCTATGCTATGGACTCACAGTGAGAAAGAAGATAGTCTTGGAACTTGATGACTAAATCAGATCTAAACTCTTCATCCAGAATTTATCTACATTTACCTTAACAGAAGTTCTTTGGGTAACTTTTTGTTAATAAGGCCTTCATCATTGTTTGAGAAAACCTGGAAAGAAAAAAAAAAAGGAAATTGTGAAAATGTTCTTTAATCAATGTGGAAAAAATTAATTGTTTTTATACTACTAGATCAGAACGGCCCCAATTATTGTCCTACAAATAGGGTGTGACTAATTTCATGCAGCCACCATATTCTAATATTGAGTAATATAAAATATTTTATGTCCTATCACTGTTTCATAAAAATGGCAATACATGGCCATTTGATACTACATTGTACTAGAGGTTCTAGCCAAAGCAATTAGACAAAAGATAAAAAAGACATCCAGATTGGAAAGGAAGAAGTAAAACAACCTCTATTTGCAGATGACATGATCTTGCATATAGAAAATTCTAAAAATGCACAAAAATCAATTAGAACTAATCAAGGAGTTCGGCAAGGCTGCAGGATACAACACATAAATATACAATATAGTTATATAAAAATAAACTGTATTTCCACATAGTAGCAATGAACATCCTGAAAATAAACTTCAGAAAACAATCCCATTTACAACAGCATCAAAATGAACAAAATACTCTGAGATAAACTTAACAAAGGAAGAATAAGACTTCCATATTGAAAACTTATACAATACATTGTTGAGAAAAATTAAAGAAGGCTTAAATAAATCAAAAGACATCCATGTTCATGAACTGAAAGACTTACTAGTGTTATGTTAGCAACGCTTCCTAAACTAATCTATAGATTTAATGCAATCTTTCTCAAAATTACAGCTGCCTTTTTTACAGAAATTGAAAGGCTGATCAAAAAATTCATATGAAAATGCAAGGGACCCAGATTAACTAAAATCATCTTGAAAAGGAAAAACAAGAGTTGAAGGACGCAAACTTCCAGATTTTGAAATTTACTACAAAGCTACAGCAGTTAAAGCAATGTGTTCACTGGCATAAGGGTAGACATATAGATCAATGGAACAGAACAGATAATCTAAAATAAAATTATAAAACTGGCTAAAATAAAGAGAATCCAGAAATAAACTCTTAAATTTATGAGCACTGATTTAAATGGAGAAAGAAGTCTTTTCAAGAAATGGTACTGGTACAACTGGATATATACAAGCAAAACAATGAATTTGGACCCCCTATCTCACTTCATATAAAAAAAAATTCAAAATGGCTCAGCGACTTAAATAAATATAAGAGCTAAAATTATAACCCTTAGAAGAAAACATAAGCATAAATCTTGGTGGCCTTGGATTATGCAATGGTTTCTTAGATATGACACTGAAAGCATAAACATCCAAAAAAAATTGATAAACTGGACTTCATCAAAACAAAAGACCTGGCTGGGCGTGGCAGCTCATGCCTGTAATCCTAGCACTTGGGGAGGCCAAGGCAGGTGGATAGCTTGAGGTTGGGAGTTCAAGACCAGCCTGGCCAACATGGTGAAACCCCATCTCTACTAAAAGTACAAAAATTAGCAGGGCATGATGGTGCATGCCTGTAGGCCCAGTTACTCAGGAGGCTGAGGTGGGAGAATAGCTTGAACCTGGGAGGCAGAGGCTGCAGTGAGCCAAGATCACGCCACTGCACTCCAGCCTGGGTTACAAAGCAAGACCCTGTCTCAGAAACACAAACAAACAAACAAAAGACCTTTGTACTTCAAAGGGCACCATCAAGAAAGTGTAGGAAAAAAACCCACAAGATTGGAGACAATATCCGCAAATCACAGATCTGAGCAGGCACTTGTATGCAAACTATAAAGAACTTCTGAAACTCAATAAAAGACAACCCAATTTTACAATGGGCAAAAGATTTGAATAGACATTTCTGCAAAGAAGATATGTAAATGGCCAATACATACATGAAAAGATGTTCAACGTAAGGGTAAGACAAGGGTAAGTCAAAACACAGTGAGATGCATCATACCCATAGGATTGGCTAAAATAAAAAAGATACTAATAAGTAATGGTGAACATGTGGAGAAACTGGAACTCTCATACACTGCTGGTGGGAATGTAAAATGGCATAGCCACTTTGGAAAACAATCTGGCAGTTCCTCAAAGGTTAAAAAGAGTTACCATATGACCCAGCAACTCCACTTGTAAGTCAAGACTAAAGAGAAATGAAAATATATGTCCATACAAAAACTTGTCCATGAATGTTCATAGCAGCATTACTCTTAATAGCCAAATAGTGGAAACAATTACAAAATGTCCATCAGCTGATGAAGGGATAAACAAAATGTGGTATTCCAAAATGTGGAATATCAGTCAGCAATAAAAAGGAATTAAGTAATGATACATGTTACAACAGGAATGAGTCTTGAAAATATGCTATTGAAAGCAGACAAAAAAGGGTACATATTGTATGTTTCAATTTACATTAAATGTCCAGAAAAGGCAAATCCATGGAGACAGAAAATAGACTAGTAGTTGCCTAGGGCTGGAAAGTGACTGTGAGTGTATATGAGGTTTCTTTTGAAGGTATGAAAAAATTCTTGAATTAGACAGTTGTAACAGTCACACAACTTGGTGAATATACTAAATCCCACTGAAGTGTACTTTTTAAGTGAGCAAAATTTATAGTATATGATGAATATCTCAATTTTTAAAACCTGGATTAAAAAAACAATCCACCAAAACAAACTGCAGAAGTGGAAATAGTGCCATAAATAGTAACTTACATTTATTTTCAAAGTAGTGTCAATGATGAATCTTTGTGTTGGATATATGAGACTAATATTTAGTAAGTGCCTACTGTATTCCAAGTTCCAGTGAGCACTATGTTAAATAGCTAAATTATCTAATATATTTCTAGTTCCTTGAGGTGCAAAGTTACTGACTGGACTTTTTTTTTTTTTTTTGGAAACAGGGTCTCACTCTATCAGTCAGACTGGAGTACAGTGGCATGATCACAGCTCAATGCAGTCTCAACCTCCCTGGCTCAAGCAATCCTCCCACCTCAGCTTCCCAAGTAGCTGGGACTACAGGTACATGCCACTACACCCAGCTAGTTTTTAAAATGATTTTTTGTAGAGATAGGATCTCCCTATGTTGCCCAGGCTGGTCTTGAACTCCTGGGCTCAACTGATCCTTCTGCCTTAGTCCCCAAAAGTGCTGGGATTATAGGTGTGAGGCACTGTGCCTGGCCTTTCTTCTTTTTAATGTAAGCATTTACATTTATAAAGTTCCCTCTAAGTATACTGCTTTCATTGCATCCCATATGATATATTTTCATTTCTATTCATCTCAAAGTATTTTTAAATAGCCATTATTTCTTTCACCTATTGATTAATAATGTGTTAATTTGGGGCCAGGCACAGTGGCTCATGCCTGTTACTCAAGCACTTTGGGAGGCCAAGGCAGGAGGATCACTTAAGACCAGGAGTTCAAGGCTAGCCTGGGCAACATAGTGAGACCCGACTCTACAAAAAAATTTAAAAATCAGCAGGGCATGGTGGCATGTCCCTATGATCCCAGCTATCCAGGAGGCTAAGGCAGGAGGATAGCTTGAGCCCAGGAGATTGAGCCCACAGTGAGCTATGACCACGCTACTGCACTCCAGCCTAGGCAACAGAGCAAGACTCCGTCTCAAAAAAAATAAATGTTATTTTCACATATTTGTGAATTTTCCAGTTTTCCTTCTATTATTGATTTCTAGCTTCATTCCATTGTTATCCAAGAAGATACTTAGTATTATTTCAGTCTTTTTACATTTATTGGAACTTGTTTTGTGGTCTTACATATGTCTGTCCTGAAGAATGTTCCATGTACACTTGAGAAGAATGTCAATTCTGGTGTGATTGGGTTAAGTGTTCTACATAACTCTGTCAGGTTTCATTGACTTATAGTGTTGTTCAAGACTTCTGTTTCCTTATTCTGCTGTCTAAATGTTCTATTATTGAAAGTATGGTACTGAAGTCTCCAACTGATGCTGGGGTTAGTGGTGAATGACATGAAAACCTTCACATATCTCAACAGTCAGAACAATTGGCTTATTTTCTGTTATTACAAAGACTAGTGAATCAAAGTTGTGAGATTTCACCCCAATACAGGAAAAAAAAAAACTTTCTAGCAATTAGAATAGGCCATACTAGAATGTCTTGCTGTTGAAGCAGTGATTCCCCCATCTTCAATGCTCCTGTAGAGTCTACAGAACCAGTATTGTCAGAGAAAGGAATCCCTTCTTCAGTGGGAAATGAGACTAGGAAACCTCTAAGGATCAAATCTAATTTCCCAAAAGAGTCTTATAATCCAAGATCTTCCACTTACACCTTTGTAAACCTTGGGCATGTCATTTAACTTTTCTATGCCATAGTTTCCTCTTCCTCAAAATGGGGATATTAATGGGACCTGCCACTTTTCTATGCCATAGTTTCCTCTTCAGCAAAATACGGATAGTGATAGAACCTGCCACAAGGGCAGTTGTGAATGAAATGAGTCCATAAACGTAAAGTGCCTAAGACAGTCTTGGCATATAGTAAGTGCTTAACAAATGGTAGCTATGATGACAGCTGTGAAGTCTCCAATTACTATTATAAAACCACTTCTCAGCTAGGTGCAGTGGCTCACACCTGTAATCCCAGCACTTTGGAGGGCCAAGGTGGGAGGACTGCTTGAGGCCAGGAGTCCAAGACCAGCCTGGTCAACATAGACAGACCTCCATCACTAAAATAGAAAAAAGAAGAAAAAATTCTCCCTGCATTTGTCACTTTGCTGCATATATTTGTGGCTCTGTTGTTTGGTGCATATGTGCTTATAATTGTTATGGTTCCTGTAGGAATTAACCTTTCATCAACATATAATCACCTTTGTCTCATGTAACAATTTTTATTATAACTTAGTCTATTTTGTCTGATATTAGTATAGCCAACCCAGCTCACTTTTAACCTGTCTTTTGATTGATCTAACAAGGGTCTCTTGCAGACAACATAAAATTGGATCATGTGGGAAGTTTTTTGCTTGTTTTTTTTTTATCCATTCTGCCAGTGTCTACATTTTAGTTAGTAAATTTAATCCTTTTGTACTTATAGTAATTACTAATAAGGAGGGACTAACATCTGCCATTTTGCTGTTTTTCAAATTCTGTAGTGATGTGTAGTGCTTCATAAATGCCAAGGATCAAGTTGGTTGATAGTGGTGTTCAAATCTTTTATATCCTTACTGACTTTTTTTTTCTTCACAAGTTCTGTCAATTAGTGATAGAGGTGTTATATTCAACTATGATTGTGGTTTTGCCTCTTTCTCTCTTTGGTTTTGCCAATTTTTGTTTCATGTATTTTGAAGCTTTGTTGTGAGGTACACACAAATTTGTTTTGTTTGTTTGTTTGAGACAGAGGATTGCTCTGTCACCCAGGCTGGAGTGCAGTGGCATGATCTTGGCTCGCTGCAACCTCTGCCTCCCAGGCTCAATGATCCTCCCACCTCAGCCTCCCAAGAAGCTGGGATTACAGGTGTGCACCACCACACCCAGTTAATTTTTGTATTTTTAGTAGAGATGGGGTTTCACCATGTTTGCCAGGCTGGTCTCAAACTCCTGAGCTCAAGTGATCCACCTGCCTCGGCCTTCCAAAGTGCTGTGATTACAAGCATGAGCCACTGTGCTTGGCCTGTTATGTATTTTTAATAAATTGATTATTATAGATGATCCTTTTTTCTAGAAATGATCCTTGTTTTAAAGTCTACTTTGTTAATATAGCAACATCAACTTTCTTATGCTTTTTGCATGGTATATCTTTTTCACCCTTTTTCAATCTGTGTTTCATATTTACAGTGATTCATAAAGACAGCACATAGTTGTACCACACTACTTTATCCAGCCTGACAATTGCAAACTTTTAATTGGAGATGATGGTCTTTACATTTAATGTAATTACTGACATGGTTGATTTTAAGTCTGCCATCTTTATATTTATTTTCCATTTGCTTCTCTTCTTTGTTCCTCTATTCTGCTTTCCTGACTTTTTCCATAATGTGATATTCATTCTGTTTCCTTCACTGATCTTACAGCTATACCTCTCTGTATTTTTTTTCAATGTTTGCTTTAGTGATTATAGAGTGCATCTTTAACTTATCACAGTCTAACTTCACTTGACTTCCCCTGCTTGTTGTGCACTTACTGTTGGATAGCTTACTTCTACTTCTACTATATACCAAATAATATGTTATTATTTCTACTTTAAATAGTCCATATTTTTAAAATAAATGTATGTATTAAAGAAACATATTTTAAAAGGTCCCTTATATTTATCCATATATTTACCCTTCCTGGTGTAATTCATTCCTTCAGATCTGAACTTCCTTTATTATAACTTCCCTTCAACTTAACTTCTTTTAACATTGTAATATAGGTCTGATGTAGACAAATTGTTTTTGCTTCTGTCAAAAATATCTTTATTTCTCCTTCACTTTTGAATATTGAATTCCAGGTTAGCAGATTTGCTTAAGAAAAAATACAGCACTTTAAAAAAGTTCTTCCAGGCCAGGCACAGTAGCTCACGCCTGTAATTCCAATACTTTGGGAGGTAAGTCAGGAGGATCACTTAGCTCAGGAGTTTGAGACCAGCCTGGGTAACACAGTAAGACACTGTCTCTACAGAAAATTTAAAAAATTAGTCGGGCATGGTGGCATGCACCTGTAGTTCCAGCTATTCAGGAGGCTAAGGTGGGAGAATTCCTTGAGCCCAGGACATTAAGGCTATAGTCGGCTATATTCACACCACTGCATTCCAGCCTGAGCAACAGAGTGAGAGGGTCTCAAAAAAAAAAAAAATTATTTCATTGTCCTCTGACCTGCACTGTTTCTGACAAGGTGTCAATTATTCATATTACTGTTCACCTTTATATATATTTTTCTTTTCTACCTCCTTTTAAGATTTCCTTTATAAAAATTTTTGATTTTCAGAAAGTTGAATCTGATGTACCTCAGTTCAGACTTCTGTCCCTGCTCTTCCTCCACTCCTTGAACTCTAGTTACAGGTATATACTAGACAATTTTGTATTGTCCCACAGATCTTGAATGCTGATTTTTTATTGATCTGTCCCTAAGTTTACTGGTGCTTTCTTCTGCTGTGTGCAGTCTGCTATTAAGCCTATCAAATGAATTCTTCATTTCTAATATATTTTTCATTTCTAGCATTTCTACTTGGAGAAATAGTTTACATCTTTATCTTTCACACTTTACATCTTTCTGCTGAAATTTTCTCTGTTTATCCATGTTGTTCAACATCTGGGCCATCACTGAGACTGCTTCTGTTGCCTCTTTCTTCCCCTGACCATGGATCACATTTTCTTGTTTCTTTGTATATCTCATAATTTATTTCATGCCAGATACTGCGTATAAAAGAACATTAATTTATCTCCATAAAGGAAAGTTCCTTCTTCAATTAAGTTGCTGGGAAACTGGGAGTGGAGGCTCAATCCTTTTAATCTATAGTTGAGCTGGGTTTGAGATTGTAGTGTTAGTCCATGATTGCCTTATAATAATTTCAGGGTGAAATCAGAACTTTACCTTCAGGAGAAGCTAAAATCTGAGCACTGTTGAAGCTTCACAGATCTCTGAGCTTCATAACCTATGCAAGGTTTCTTAACTGTGAGATATCTTCCCTCCTCTCTGCCCTCCCCTCACATTCCAGCTTTCAGCTAGGGTGTTGTCCTTGGTCTCCAGTAGCACCTTCTGCTTTCTGTGCCTTGAGGAGATCTCTCTTTGCTCTGTTACCCTGACTATGCCTTCTCAAAGGCTGGCTTGTCCTCAGTAAAAGCCTAGATAATCATAAAGAGATTTCTTAGCTGTCTTGCCATGCCCCCAGCCTGTTGCACGCCCAGGCTTAGATTTCATAAACCCCCTGGTGCACTACAGGGATTTCTCTTAACTCTCCTGCCCTGCCCCCAACCTTCAGCAGAATCCACCCACCTCAGCAGGACCCTTCTTAGCTCTCTTTCCCTTGCCCCAGCATCCGAACTCCTATTCCAATGTACTAATTGAAGGCCCATGGGAAAAGTTGGCAGGTAGGTGTAGTCCTGCACTGTAGCTGGAACTCCTCAGGATTCCAAACTGTCACTCCAGCCTATGTGCAGTCAGTAACTGTTGACTTCTCTTTAACTATCTATTGCAAATTCTTCCTCTTGCTGTTCCACCATAGATGAAAGTACCTATGTATCTCTTTTTTTTTTCTCTTGAGAAGGCTCACTCATTACTTTCCAGATTTTTGTTTCTTTAGATTTTTTTGTGTCAACTCTGATAGGTTTTTTAAAATTATGATTTTGTACCTTCTCTGACTTTTCTCACTACCAGAGTGGGAGCAATAATGTCAACTGTTGCAATTTGCAACATCGTAACAGGAAATGGAAGTCTTTATTATCCTTTTTGATGGAAGAAAAACAGACTTGGAGAAAATAAATGACTTGACCAAGGTTCAGAGCTAAGAAACAAAAAAGCTACAATTTGAACTTACATCTCATGACTACAACTCCAGGGCTCTTTATGCTGCACAACAGGTAGTATAGGCTGTTTGACTCTGGGAAAGTCATTTAACCTCTCAGTATTTAGTATTACTAGCTTGTAAAAGGAAACGACTGTACTAGATAAACTCGAAGTCTCTTCCAACTCTAACACTTCAAGAGTCAATGAAGTCCAATTCCTGCTTTCTTCATCCCTACTCCAAACTTTCTCCTTCCATGGTCTTCATCTCAGCAAATGGCAGTTCCTTCTTCCTCTTGCTCAGGCTCAAATCATCAAAATCATTTATATTCCATAACCAATCCATCAGCTAATCCTATGGATTACTGCAACAAAAATGCCACAGTCACCCTGCTTTGTCCCTTCTCCCCTAATTTTACTCCACAATGGTTCTCTTATAAAATATAAGTCATATATGCCACTTCTCTACATAAACCCCACCAATCCCTTCCCCTTCCCTCACAGGAAAAGTCAAAATCCTTTACATAGGTTAAAAGTCCTACATGATTTGACTCCCTTAACTACTTTGATCTTACTTCCTACCACACTACCCTCTCTTACTACACTCCAGCCCCACTGGTTTTCTTGCTGTTCATCCAACACACCAGGCATGTTCTTGCCTCGGCACCTTTGAGTAGTGCCCTCTCTTGACACAGTCTTTCTTCAGGCATTCCCATGGCATATCCTCTGCTCAAATGTCACTTTATCAGAGAGGCCTTCCCTTCTATTCTACATTAAAAGCAACACATCCCTTCCCTCATTCACTCTCTAACCCTACCCTAGAATTCTTTCTCTCCTACCCAGCTTTATTTTTCTCCAAAGTACTTTTCACCACCTTATCTGTTTATTATCTGTCTCCCTGCCACTAGAATATAAGTTCCATGAGAGAAGAGCCATACTCGGTTTGCGCACTGCTGGATATCCACTGACTAGAACAGTCACTAGCACACAGTAGCACACAATAAATATGTGTTGGACAGAAACCCAAAGAACAAAAAAAATCAATGGAAAGACGCAGCTGTAGAGGCAGCACTGAGAACTGGGAAATCTGAGTTTGAACCTTGATTCTGACTCTATTAAAAACTTCCCAGTAAATGCCCTGTTCTGTCTCCTTAGACTTCCCTGCTCCATCCCTGTCTCTCTCATGGCCACCCTAGTGCTGGAAGAGGAAGTGGCTGATATAGACACTACACAGGATAGCAGTGAGATTCAAAGTGAGGTAGAGAAAACAGCAATAAAAGTGTAGCCAACCCATAGCTGTCCATATCTGAGCTTTGGTTGTCTGAACTGGAAAACCAAAAAAAAACCCAGTAAATCCTTCAGGATGTCATTAGACAACATGACAACAGCTTGTCATAAAATTTAAAAGAGACTGCTGACTCAGCTAAGACATTAAGACTCTTAATCTTGGTGTAATTAGTACATTTGTGCCAGGCACTGGGCACAATCTTTAGTTTGGCAAGAAGCCATAATGTAATGGTTAAGAGCCCAGGCTTTGGAAACAGACTGGTTGAGTTCAAATCCTGGCTCTGCCACTCACTAACTATATGACCTTGGGCAAACTGCCTACTCAATTTAGCCCTATTAAATGGGAATAATGTCAAACTCAGGCTGGGTGCAGTGCCTCACATCTGTAATCCCAGCACTTTGGGAGGATGAAGTGGGAGGACTGCTTGAGCCCAAGAATTCGAAGTTGCAGTGAGCTGAGCCACTGTACTCCAGCCTGGGTGGCAGAACGAGGCCCTGTCTCCAGAAAAATTAATAAATAAATAAATAAAATTAAATAACAAATGCCAATTTCTTAGGGACATTGAAGAATTGAGTAAAATAAATGTGATCAGCCCAGAACTGGATACAGAGAATGGGTTCTATAAAAGAAAGCTATTGTTACAATTACTAAAAATTACTCCCTACCACACAATAGTACAGACAAAAGGGAGATGAATATTGTCAAGAGAAAGAAAATTAATAGAGAAATCTCTACTTTCCTTGATCTATTAACATAGATCTCATATAAATTCTCTTAACTGTGTCATATAATGACAAAAAACTGTCTGTAAACCTTGAGTTAAAAAAAAATCACTTTAGGGTGGGAGGTTCCAAGATGGCGGAATGGGAACAGCTCCAGTCTATAGCTCCCAGCGTGAGCGATGCAGAAGATGGGTGATTTCTGCATTTCCAACTGAGGTACCAGGTTCATCTCACTGGGGCTTGTCGGACCGTGGGTGCAGCCCATGGTGCAGGGTGGGGCATTGCCTCACCTGGAAAGCGCAAGGGGTCGGGGAGTTCCCTCTCCTAGCCAAGGGAAGCCGTGACAAATGGTACCTGGAAAATCGGGACACTCCCACTCTAATACTGCGCTTTTCCAATGGTCTTAGCAAACGGCACACCAGGAAATTATATCCCGCGCCTGGCTCAGAGGGTCCCACACCCACGGAGCCTCACTCATTGCTAACACAGCAGTCTGAGATTGAACTGCAAGGCAGGAGAGAAGCTGGAGGAGAGGGGCCCGCCATTGCTGAGGCTTGAGTAGGTAAACAAAGCAGCCGGGAAGCTCGAACTGGGCGGAGCCCACTGCAGCTCAAGGAGGCCTGCCCGCCTCTGTAGACTCCACCTCTGGGGGCAGGGCACAGCTGAACAAAAGGCAGCAGAAACTTCTGCAGACTTAAATGTCCCTGTCTGACAGCTTTGAAGAGAGTAGTGGTTCTCTGAGCACGGAGTTGGAGATCTGAGAACAGACAGACTGCCTCCTCAAGTGGGTCCCTGACCCCTGAGCAGCCTAACTGGGAGACATCTCCCAGTAGAGGCCGACTGACACCTCATACAGCCAGGTGCCCATCTGAGACGAAGCTTCCAGAGGAAGGATCAGGCAGCAACATTTGCCGTTCTGCAATATTTGCTGTTCTGATGCCTCCGCTGGTGATACCCAGGCAAACAGGGTCTGGAGTGGACCTCCAGCAAACTCCAACAGACCTGCAGCTGAGGGTCCTGACTGTTAGAAGGAAAACTAACAAACAGAAAGGACATCCACACCAAAACCCTATCTGTACATCACCATCATCAAAGACCAAAGGTAGATAAAACCACAAAGATGAGGAGAAACCAGAGCAGAAAAGCTGAAAATTCTAAAAATCAGAGCACCTCTTCTCCTCCAAAGGAACACAGCTCCTTGCCAGCAACAGAACAAAGCTGGATGGAGAATGACTTTGAGAGAAGAAGGCTTCAGATGATCGGTAATAACAAACTTCTCCAAGCTAAAGGAGGATGTTCGAACCCATCGCAAAGAAGCTAAAAACCTTGAAGAAAGATTAGACGAATGGCAAACTAGAATAAATAGTGTAGAGAAGACCTTAAATGACCTGATGGAGCTGAAAACCATGGCATGAGAACCACGTGATGCATGCACAAGCTTCAGTAGCCGATTTGATCAAGTGGAAGAAAGGGTATCAGTGATGGAAGATCAAATGAACGAAATGAAGTGAGAACAGAAGTTTAGAGAAAAAAGAAAAGAAATGAACAAAGCCTCCAAGAAATATGTGACTATGTGAAAAGACCAAATCTACGTCTGATTGGTGTACCTGAAAGTGATGCGGAGAATGGGACCAAGTTGGAAAACACTCTACAGGATATTATCCAGGAGAACATCCCCAACCTAGCAAGGCAGGCCAACATTCAAATTCAGGAAATACAGAGAATGCCACAAAGATAATCCTTGAGAAGAGCAATACCAAGACACATAATTGTCAGATTCACCAAAGTTGAAATGAAGGAAAAAATGTTAAGGGCAGCCAGAGAGAAAGGTCGGGTTACCCACAAAGGGAAGCCCATCAGACTAACAGCGGATCTCTTGGCAGAAACTCTACAAGCCAGAAGAGAGTGGGGGCCAATATTCAACATTTTTAAAGAAAAGAATTTTCAACCCAGAATTTCATATCCAGCCAAACTAAGCTTCAGAAGTGAAGGAGAAATAAAATCCTTTACAGACAAACAAATGCTGAGAGATTTTGTCACCACCAGGCCTGCCTTACAAGAGCTCCTGAAGGAAGTGCTAAACATGGAAAGGAACAACCAGTACCAGCCACTGCAAAAACATGCCAAACTGTAAAGACTATCAATGCTAAGAAGAAACTGCATCAACGAACGAGCAAAATAACCAGCTAACATCATAATGACACAATCAAATTCACACATAACAATATTAACCTTAAATGTAAATGGGCTAAATGATCCAATTAAAAGACACAGACTGGCAAATTGGATAGTCAAGACCCAACAGTGTGCTGTATTCAGGAGACCCATATCACATGCAGAGACACACATAGGCTCAAAATAAAGGGATGGAGGAAGATCTACCAAGCAAATGGAAAACAAAAAAAGCAGGGGTTGCAATTCTATCTTTGATAAAACAGACTTTAAACCAACAAAGATCAAAAGAGACAAAGAAGGCCATTACATAATGGTAAACGGATCAATTCAACAACAAGAGCTAACTATCCTAAATATATATGCACCCAATACAGGAGCACCCAGATTCATAAAGCAAGTCTTTAGAGACCTAGAAAGAGACTTAGACTCCCACACAATAATAATGGGAGACTTTAACACCCCACTGTCAACATTAGACAGATCAATGAGACAGAAAGTTAACAAGGATATCCAGGAATTGAACTCAGCTCTGCACCAAGCGGACCTAATAGACATCTACAGAACTCTCCACCCCAAATCAACAGAATATGCATTCTTCTCAGCATCACATTGCACTTATTCCAAAATTGACCACATAGTTGAAGTAAAGCACTCCTCAGCAAATGTAAAAGAACAGAAATTATAACAAACTGTCTCTCAGACCACAGTGCAATCAAACTAGAACTCAGGATTAAGAAACTCACTCAAAAGTGCTCTACATGGAAACTGAACAACCTGCTCCTGAATGACTACTGGGTATATAACGAAATGAAGGCAGAAATAAAGATGTTCTTTGAAACCAATGAGAGCAAAGACACAACATACCAGAATCTCTGGGACACATTTAAAGCAGTGTGTAGAGGGAAATTTATAGCACTAAATGCCCACAAGAGAAAGCAGAAAAGATCTAAAATTGACACTCTAACATCACAATTAAAAGAACTAGAGAAGAAAGAGCAAACACATTCAAAAGCTAGCCGAAGGCAAGAAATAACTAAGATCAGAGCAGAACTGAAGGAGATAGAGACACAAAAAACCCTTCAAAAAAATCAAAGAATCCAGGAGTCGGTTTTTTGAAAAGATCAACAAAATTGATAGACTGCTAGCAAGACTAATAAAGAAGAAAAGAGAGAAGAATCAAATAGACGCAATAAAAGATCATAAACGGAATATCACCACTGATCGCACAGAAATACAAACTACCATCAGAAAATACTGTAAACACCTCTATGCAAATAAACTAGAAAATCCAGAAGAAATGGATAAATTCCTGGACACATATACCCTCCTAAGACTAAACCAGGAAGAAGTTGAATCCCTAAATAGACTGATAACAGGCTCTGAAATTGAGGCAATAATTAATAGCCTACCAACCAAAAAAAGTCCAGGACCAGACAGATTCACAGCCAAATTCTTCCAGAGGTACAAAGAGGAGCTCGTACCATTCCTTCTGAAACTATTCCAATCAATAGAAAAAGAGGGTATCCTCCCTAACTCATTTTATGAGGCCAACATCATCCTGATACCAAAGCCTGGCAGAGACACAACAAAAAAAGAGAATTTTAGACCAATATCCCTGATGAACATCGATGCAAAAATCCTCAATAAAATACTGGCAAACTGAATCCAGCAGCACATCAAAAAGCTTATCCAACACGATCAAGTTGGCTTCATCACTGGGATGCAAGGTTGGTTCAACATACACAAATCAATAAACGTAATCCATCATATAAACAGAACCAAAGACAAAAACCACATGATTATCTCAATAGATGCAGAAAAGGCCTTTGACAAAATTCAACAGCCCTTCTTGCTAAAAACTCTCAATAAACTAGGTAATGATGGAACATATCTCAAAATAATAAGAGCTATTTATGACAAACCCACAGTCAATATCATACTGAATGGGCAAAAACTGGAAGCATTCCCTTTGAAAACTGGCACAAGACAGGGATGCCCTCTCTCACCACTCCTATTCAATATAGTGTTGAAAGTTCTGGCCAGGGCAATCAGGCAGGAGAAGGAAATAAAGAGTATTCAATTAGGAAAAGAGGAAGTCACATTGTCCCTGTTTGCAGATGACATGATTGTATATTTAGAAAACCCCATTATCTCAGCCAAAAATCTCCTTAAGCTGATAAGCCACTTCAGCAAAGTCTCAGGATACAAAATCAATGTGCAAAAATCACAAGCATTCCTATATACCAATAACAGACAAACAGAGAGCCAAATCATGAGTGAACTCCCATTCACAATTGTTTCAAAGAGAATAAAATACCTAGGAATCCAACTTACAAGGGATGTGAAGGAACTCTTAAAGGAGAACTATAAACCACTGCTCAACAAAATAAAAGAGGACACAAACAAATGGAAGAACATTCCATGCTCATGGCTAGGAAGAATCAATATCGTGAAAATGGCCATACTGCCCAAGGTAATTTACAGATTCAATGCCATCCCCATCAAGCTACCAATGACTTTCTTCACAGAATTGGAAAAAACTACTTTAAAGTTTATATGGAACCAAAAAAGAGCCTGCATTGCCAAGACAATTCTAAGCCAAAAGAACAAAGCTGGAGGCACCATGCTACCTGACTTCAAACTATACTACAAGGCTACAGTAACCAAAACAGCATGGTACTGGTACCAAAACAGATATATACACCAATGGAACAGAACAGAGCCCTCAGAAATAACACCACACATCTACAAACATCTGATCTTTGACAAACCTGACAAAAATAAGAAATGGGGAAAGGATTCCCTATTTAATAAATGGTGCTGGGAAAACTGGCTAGCCATATATAGAAAGCTGAAACTGGATCCCTTCCTTATACCTTATACAAAAATTAATTCAAGATGGATTAAAGACTTAAATGTAAGACCTAAAACCATAAAAACCCTAGAAGAAAACCTAGGCAATACCACTCAAGACATAGGCATGGGCAAGGACTTCGTGACTAAAACACCAAAAGCAATGGCAACAAAAGCCAAAATTGACAAATGGGATCTAATTAAACTAAAGAGCTTCTGCACAGCAAAAGAAACTACAATCAGAGTGAACAGGCAACCTACAGAATGGGAGAAAATTTTTGCAATCTACCCATCTGACAAAGGGCTAATATCCAGAATCTACAAATAACTTAAATAAATTTACAAGAAAAACATCAAACAACCCCATCAACAACTGGGCAACGGATATGAACAGACACTTCTCAAAAGAAGACATTTATGCAGCCAAAAAACACATGAAAAAATGCTCATCATCACTGGCCATCAGAGAAATGCAAATCAAAACCACAATGAGATACCATCTCACACCAGTTAGAATGGCGATCATTAAAAAGTCAGGAAACAACAGGTGCTGGAGAGGATGTGGAGAAATAGGAACACTTTTACACTGTTCGTGTGACTGTAAACTAGTTCAACCATTGTGGAAGACAGTGCGGCGATTCCTCAAGGATCTAGAACTAGAAATACCATTTGACCCAGCAATTCCATTACTGGGTATATACCCAAAGGATTATAAATCATGCTGCTATAAAGACACATGCACACGTATGTTTACCGCGGCACTATTCACAATAGCAAAGACTTGGAACCAACCCAAATGTCCAACAATGATAGACTGGATTAAGAAAATGTGGCACATATACACCATGGAATACTATGCAGCCATAAAAAAGGATGAGTTCATGTCCTTTGCAAGGACATGGATGAAGCCAGAAACCATCATTCTGGGCAAACTATCACAAGGACAGAAAACCAAACACCGCATGTTCTCACTCATAGGTGGGAATTGAACAATGAGAACACTTGGACACAGGGTGGGGAACATCACACACTGGGGCCTGTTGAGGGGTAGGGGGAGGGCGGAGGGATAGCCTTAGGAGATATACCTAATGTAAATGACAACGGGTACAGCACACCAACATGGCCCATGTATACATACGTAACAAACCTGCACGTTGTGCACATGTACCCTAGAACTTAAAGTATAATTAAAAAATTTAAAAATTAAAAATTAAAAAAATCACTTTAATGGGCAAAACTATTTTTGCAGTGTTCCCTCCATCTTCTGCTTCCCAATACCTGTGACAAGTCTTGACCACAAATACAGAGAGAGAAGTGTCAAAATAGGAAAGTCGAAATGAACAAATTAAACTGGAAAATTATATGATAAAATATTATTTATTTCCAAAAACTAAATCTGCTTTACACAATAAAGTGTTAAACAATAACAAAAACTTGACAAGTCATATATATCCCAATAGATTTTGTTCCATATGAATTAAAATTTAAACAATTATTAGATGCCTTTTTTTCTTTTCTTTTTTTTTTTTTTTTTTTTGGATACAGGGCCTTGCTCTGTTGCCCAGACTGGAGGGCAGTGGTGTGAACACAATTCAGCACAGCCTTGAGCTCCTGGACTCAAGGGATCGATCCTTCCGCCTCAGCTGCCCAAATAGGTAGGACCACAGGCGTGCACCACCATGCCTGGCTAATTTTTCAAATTTTTAGTAGAGATGGGTCTCACCATGTTGCCCAGACTGGTCTTGAACTCCGGGACTGAAGCAGTCCTCCCATCTCAGCCTCCCAAAGTGCTGGGATTACAGGCGTGAGCCACTGAGCCCAGCCTTGAAGTCTTTTCGTAACAATTGTAGAATATGAAACTAAAATCTAAAAATTAGGAAAATCTCAGAGAATACATTTTTTAAAAACACTGTTAAATCCTCCACATCCAAAAGGCTTTATGTAAAACACTTGTCTTTGTGATTCACACAAAAAGCGGATGCCAATTCCTTAACTGAACTGATGTGACAGGAGAAACTCAATGCTAGTATAGCTGTGAGTAAGAATGCTGATCTAATTCATGTCTTTATTAATTCCTTCTCATTTCAACTTTGTGAAAGAAGGAAAGAAGAAAGAGGGGAGAGAAGACTAAGCATGCCTACCCTGTTCCGTAGTATCTAACCCAGTGCCAGGAACAACAAAACACAAGTCATTTATAAGTGCTCAAAAACCTTAAGTCCTAATAAGAAAGAAAACTAATTTCCTAACATATATATGAGGAAACATATAAAGATACACTATACATTACAGTACAATCCATAAACAGGTTGAGAGAAACTGCCAGGTTTTAAAAGTGGCTCAATTTATCAGTGGGGTGACCTAGGCAAGTTACTTTACCTCTCTGTGCCTCAATTTCCTCATCTCTAAAATAGGATAAAGGTATCTTCATCACAAGGTTGTTGTGATCATTTACGACTCTTAGAAAAATTTCTACTGCCTCTATAGTAATAACTATGTACATATGTACACAATAAATATTAGTTGTCATTATTATTATAGAGTAGAAATAAATGGCTTAATTGAAGAAATTTTCATTGAGAAATAGTTCCAAAATTAATGTGCCAAGTCATTTATATCAACGGCTAAAGTTTTGTTTAGATTCAAGCAGTTAAGGAAGTGTAATGTGATTTAGAACACAGTTCTGGGGGCCAGGCATGGTGGCTCAAGCCTGCAATCCCAGCTTGGGAGGCCAAGGCAGGAGGATCACAAGGTCAAGAGATGGAGACCATCCTGACCAACATGGTGAAACCCCATCTCTACTAAAAATACAAAAATTAGCTGGGCGTGGTGGCACTCGCCTGTAGTCCCAGCTACTCGGGAGGCTGAGGCAGGAGAATGGCGTGTACCCGGGAGGCGGAGCTTGCAGTGAGCCGAGATCGCACCACTGCACTCCAGCCTGGGCGACAGAGCGAGACTCCGTCTCAAAAAAAAAAAAAAAGAATACAGTTTTGGGGATGACATATATATGCAGCCGCTTCATCCCTCTCCCTCCTGTACCAACCATTCCCCACTTCCATGGAAGCCTGGACACCTTATCAATCAATTAAGCTCCTGTGAGTTAAATTCTTAATGCTTAAAGACAAACAAAAAGCAAAGCATTATTAAGTTCAGCAAAGCAACCACTAATACAAAACTACAGTAAATGCTTTTATTTTAAAGTAAAACTCTAAAATTCACAATAGTGAATGAGGGTGGGCTGTGGGTCAGAACGAAAGAAGTGGAAGAAGTAAAAATAAAGGAAAATGGATGACAGGAGGAATATGAGACTTCAGAGAGCTGTGAAAAATTAATTCCTGGATATTCTTTCTCCTTGCTACAATTGTTAGGGCTTTTCTCACATATAACATATTACAGTAAATTACTGCAATATTTGAAACACTTATATCTTCATAAAATTCAGTTTCTGAAACTCTTGCCAGCTCCATTAATTTGTCACTTAAAAAGCAATTCGCAATTTAAAAAAGAAACATACACAAAATAAAGGCATTACATGGTACTGTGATTTATGGGTGATGTTTTT
Source organism: Homo sapiens (assembly GCF_000001405.40). Classification (NCBI taxonomy): domain Eukaryota; kingdom Metazoa; phylum Chordata; class Mammalia; order Primates; family Hominidae; genus Homo; species Homo sapiens. Next base: position 33,278,691 of record NC_000003.12, on the reverse strand, counting down.
CTCCTGCCAGCAATAATGCCACACATTTGGAAGTTGCTTTTCCAGAGTCAATGAGAGACACCATCCACCTCCCACCACCATCCCTCTCCTTGGTTATTAAGAAAAAAACTGAGCCAGCCAGGATTCCTAATGATAGTTTTTTCTCCATGAGGCCAGCTGGCACTCGGGGAGCACCCTGCATTCTCAGCTCATCAGCACTTCCACTAAACTCCTGCAGATAAGGAGAAAATCTCCACTTAATTACTCATGGTTAAAACAAAACTAAGTATTTCCCTATTACCTACACCTACCGCCATACCTCCTCAAGTATTCTATACCAAGGGTGTGTCCCCAAGCAAGGAGTCTAGCTCCTCTCTTCTCTTACACCCCGTGAAGGCCTCTGGAGAATTATGCCTTCGGTTGGCAATTCTCTGAACTTGTCTGTTCAAGCCAGCACCTCCGCCGAGTGAAACCGAGCAACGTTTTTAAAACGAGCTTAAAGGGGGCCAGGTGTTATGCCCACGCCGTCTGAAGTTAACTGAACAAAGGTAATGATTTAAGACGTTTACAATGCACTAATTATGAATTAATTAAATCCCTTAGTGAGGGTGCGGCACTCAGAAAAAAAAACCCTCCAGCTTAATGCCCTCTATTTTTTAGAAAGGAGGGGAGGGGTCTCTAAAATCAAAAATTTTAATTTCCACGTGCTAAAAAACCTATCAGAATGCTGATTTTGAAAGGAAGATATATGTCTTATATTAGTTACACATAACTGCATAGAAACAAAACTGGAGGCATATAGACTGCTTTAGTGTAAATATAAATACATATGATATCCATATACAAGATTTTTTTTTTTAACCACACCCTCCTTGGGTGGCTTCCCAGGCTCTCTCGGGCCAAACAGCGTCACGTCGTCCGGCGGCCCACTGGGTGGGGGTCCGGGCTGTCACCCCGACTCCAGCGGCAGGGAACGCTGCATCGCGGTCGCCCCCCGGCAGGCGGGCGCTCTGAATCCCCCAGGTTACCCCTCCCCGGGCCCGCCCAGCCCTGCCCTGCCCAGCAGCCTCGCAGGCCGCGGCCCGGCCTCTCCACGACCCCTGCGCCGCCTGCCCGACCCTAGCGGGCGGCGGCGTGCGGACCCAGCCCGGTAGGGGTAGGGCGGGGCAGCTAGGCAGACGCGGGTCCCAGACTCACCATGGCCGAAGAGCCGCGAGCGAGCCCACAGCCCGAAGTCACACGGCGCCGGCGACGCCCGTTGTCCTGGTGACGCCAGCCAGGCGCCCCGCCCCGTCCCCAAGGTGGGCTCGGAGGCGGCCATTGGTGGTCGGCGAGCACGTGACCCGCAGGGGCGGTGCCCTTTGGACCGCCCACCCCTCGCCCCCGGCCCTGGAACTGGGCCTCTTCGCCTCTCCCACTTCGTATCTGGTCCATCCTCTCAGTCTGATCACCTTGATGTCCCTCACCTGACAGATTACCCAGCCGCAGACTGCCCAGCTGAAAGAGACCATGGATTTTTTTTTTTTTAAAAAAAACGTTATACAGGTAATGCATGATTATTGAAAACATTTTAAATTACCAATAACAAGAATTTAAAAGGATAAAACGACACTCACCCCAGCACCTGAAGTAGCTACTGCTCAGATTCCATTCTATCTGCTTCAAGCTTCCAATGAGTTGTTATAATATACTGTATTCTTAAAAATGGTGGCAAACCATAGGTAACTGTTTTATAATCTACTTTTTTAGATTAAAAATGATTATCTTGGGGCCAGGCGCAGTGGCTCACGCCTGTAGTCCCAGCACTTTGGGAGGCCGAGGCGGGCGGATCACGAGGTCAGGAGATCAAGACCATCCTGGCTAACACGATGAAACCCCATCTCTACTAAAAATACAAAAAATTAGCCAGGCATGGTGGGGGACGCCTGTAGTCCCAGCTACTCGGCAGGCTGAGGCAGGAGAATGGCGTGAACCCGGGAGGTGGAGCTTGCAGTGAGCTGAGATCACACCACTGCACTCCAGCCTGGGCGACAGAGCAAGACTCCGTCTCAAAAAAAAAAAAAAAATTATTATCTTTGCATACCACTTAATGGAATAGCATTCTATGCATGTTGTCTAATTCATTAAATCAACTGGCAATTTGTTGAATGTTTTTAATATGGTTGAAGGGAACTCTAGATATCCTGAAATCTAGTCCATTAACTCTATGAAGAAGGACCCAGTGCGATGGGACACTTGTAGTTCCAGCACTTTGGGAGGCTGAAGCAGGAGGATTGCTTGAGGCCAGGAGTTTGAGACCAGCCTGGGCAACATAGCAAGACCCTGACTCGAAAGAAAGAAAGAGTGAGAAAGGCCGGGCGCGGTGGCTCACGCCTGTAATCCCAGCACTTTGGGAGGCCGAGGCCCATGGATCAAGGGGTCAGGAGATTGAGACTATCCTGGCTAACACGGTGAAACCCCGTCTCTACTAAAAATACAAAAAATTAGCCGGCATGGTGGCGGGTGCCTGTAGTCCCAGCTACTTGGAGGCTGAGCCAGGAGAATGGCGTGAACCCAGGAGGTGAAGCTTGCAGTGAGCCAAGATCGTGCCACTGCACTCCAGCCTGGGCAACAGAGTGAGACTCTGTCTCAAAAAAAAAAAAAAAAAGAAAGAAATAGAGAGGGAGGGAAGGAAGGAAGGAAGGAAGGAAGGAGTGAGTTTTGGTGTGTTAGAAGCAGAAAAAAATGACAAAATAAAAACAACAACAAAAAAAGTTACAAAAAAGAGAAAAAGAATTTTAAAGTGTAAAAAAAAATCTGTGAAGAAGAATCATATTCAACAGCTGACCTGACATCTCCCCCGGAGTGCCTAATAGACATCACAACGTAATATGGCCCTAATTAACCTCTTGATCCAAGTTTCTTACTCCCCAGTCTTCTCAAAGCGAAAGTCCCTACTATCCCCTTGATTGTTAAGACAAAAACCTAGGAATTGTCCCTGATTCCGCTGTTTCCTCACACCTCACTTCCAGTCCATTATCACATATTCTTGACTCCACCTTAAATTCTCAATCTATCCACTCTACAACATCTCCACCTCACAACCACTATTGTCTCACCCAAATTCATCTCCATATGTGCTATGATTTGAATGTTTGTGTCCCCTTCAAACTTTATATGAAAACATATAAAATGTGACAGTTTTAGGAAGAGGACCTCAAGGAGGGGAGTAGGCCGTGAGAGCTCTGTCCTCATGAATGGGATTAATGCCCTTATAAGAGAGCCTGAGGGAGTGAATTCAGCCCCTTTTTGCCTTTTCATCCCTTCTGCCAGGTGAGGACACAGCAATCCTCCAGAGGATGCAGCAACAAGACACCATCTTGGAAGCAGAGCAGCCCTCACCAGACACCAAATCGGCCAGCCCATTGATCTTAGACTTCCCAGCCTCCAGAACTATGAAAAATAAATTTCTTTTGTTTATAAATTACACAGTCCTGTGGTATTTTGTTATAGCAGCACAAGTGGACTATGACCCCATGTCTTCCCTCCTGCATCCTACACAATAGCAGCATTTTCAGTGGCTTCTCATAGCACTTAAAAAAAAATACAGGCCGGGCAAGGTGGCTCACGCCTGTAATCCCAGCACTTTGGGAGGCCGAGGTGGGAGGACCACCTGAGGTCAGAAATTCGAGACCAGCCTGGCTGACATGGTGAAACCCCATCTCTACTAGAAACACAAAAATTAGCCAGGTGTGGTGACGGGCGCCTGTAGTCTCAGCTACTTGGGAGGCTGAGGCAGAAGAATCACTTGAACACGGGAGGCAGAGGTTGCAGTGAGTGGAGATCGCGCCACTGCACTCCAGCCTGGGTGACAGAGCAAGACTCTGTGTCCAAAAAAAAAGAAAAAAGAAAAAGAAAAAAATACAAATGCTTTCCATGGTCTACCAAAATGGTACACGATGGAGGCCTTGCCCACTGCACCAACTCCATCTCCTGTCACTCTTCCCTCATTCACGCCACACTAACCACACTTTTATTTCCTGAGGTTCCTCAAACGCATCAAATACTTTTGTACTTAAAAGCCTCAATAATATCTGCTTCCTTTATATGGAATATTCTTCCTGCAGAACTTCATGTAGGCCCTTCCTTCATTTGATACAGGTCAGTTATCTCCTCAATTGTCATCTTCGCAAAAGCCTTTACTGACCTAAAATAGCTCATTCCGGTCACTCTCACTTCAGTCAGCCTCTCTCATTTAACTCTGCCTTGTTCTCAAAGTACTTAGCCCCCCTCAAAATTATCTTTTATACCTTTTTGTTTATTAATTACTTCCTGTCTCCCCGCTCTGGAATGCAAGATGTCTATCTTGTTCCATTGTGTATTCCTAGTGTTTAGAACAGTTCCTGACTTACAGTAGATGTTCGGTAAATACCGATGATTGAATGAATGAACATCTGTGCTGGGACTATGGTCAGTTTGAAGATCCGAGTAAGAATATGACTTGATAGAGTAGGGAGTATAATAGAAAATAAATACTGTAACTACTGACAGCCTTTATTTTTATCTTTTTATTATGAGATATAAATACAAGTAATAGAATACAAACGTACATTTTGTTAAAGTGAACCCTTATATAAACACCATCCAGTTCAAGAAATAGAACATCACCAGCAACCCAGATGATCCTCATGTCTACTCTCCTAATCTGAATTCCCCCTTCAACTTTTACCCTATAGGTGATCACTGTCGTGAAATTTATGGAAATCATTTTCTTGCATTTCCTTATTCATTTATTTTTGTTTTTTTGGAGAGCGATGTCTGGCTATGTTGCCCAGGTTGGCCTCGAGCTCCTGGGCTCAAGTGATCCTTCACTTCAGCCTTCTCAGTAGCTGAGACTACAGGTGCATGCCACTGTGCCAAGTACTTTCTTGTAGTTCTTTATAAGTGTTTGTACTACATTTTTATAGCTATAAAGTATCTCACTGAATGCACACAAGAATATATTTATCCCTTCTACTGTTGATAGGCATTTGGATCATTTCCCATTTAGGACTCTTATAAATGATGAAGCTATGAGCATTCTCCTAGTGTACATGGACACATTTCTCTAGATGATGGTTTATCAATCTTAGCTCTTTTAACATGTAGGGCCGGATAAATCTTTGTTGCTGGAGGCTGGAGGGAGAGGGTAGTCCTGTGTAATGTAAGATGTTTCACAACATCCATGATCTCTACCCACTAGATGCTAATGGTGCACCCCAGTTGTGAAAATCAAAAAATGTCTCCAGGCATTTCCAAATGTCCACAGAGCGGCAAAATTGCCCCATTTGAGAAACACAGCTCTGGAATGTCAACAGAGTAGAGTTGTTGGTTTACAGATTTACTACATAAATCTGAAGAAATTTATGTTTCCAAATTGTTTTCTAAAGTAGTTGTAACAGAAACGACATCACAGAATTAGCAGAATAGGGAGCGCCAAGAATTGGTCCCTCTACTGAAGCAAACATTAAATGGCAAAAAATGACAGAATCGACATTTCAGACTCTGGAGTCTAATAAAATATTTAAGTCAACCAGGGAGTGCTTAATAAAGAAAGAGGCAGCTGAATTTTGATAGGAAAGAATTATGGGGGATTTTGCTTGCCCACCTAGCATCCTCTACTCCCCAGCCTGGTGGTAGTCTTATGGATGGTGGCTTGTGTTCTGATGCAGCTTGCTGGTCCCAGGCTCAGCACTATGACCTTGTTCTCAAAACATTTTGGTTATGCATTTGACCGGTTTCTGCATTCTCTAAGGCAGCAGTTCCCAATGTTTTTGGCACCAGGGACCAGTTTTGTGGACAATTTTTCCATGAACTGGGATGGGGGATGGTTTCAGGATGATCCAAGCACATTACGTTTGTTGTGTATTTTGTTTCTATTATCATTACACTGTAATATGTAAAAAATTAATTATACAACTCACCATGATGTAGAATCAGTGGAAGCCCTGAGCTTGTTTTCCTGCAACTAGACAGTCCCATCTGGGGGTGATGGGAGGCAGTGACAGATCATCAGGCATTAGATTCTCGTAAGGAATGCACAACCTAGATCTCTTACATGTGCAGTTCACAGTAGGGTTTGTGGTCCTATGAGAATCTAATCCTGCCATTGATCTGACAGGAGGCGGGACTCAGGTGGTAATGCAAGCAATGCAGAAAGACTATAAATACAGATGAAGTTTCACTCAATGACCGCTCACCTCCTGCTATGCAGCCCAAGCCCAGTTCCTAACAGGCCACTGACCAGTATTGGTCCATAGCCTTGGGGTTGGGGACCCCTGCTGTAAGAGACTGACCTGGAAGCTGACCCTTAATTTTACCTCCTCAGGTTGGAGGGCTTCCTGCACAGGATCTGATGGAAATATTTAAAGACATACACTATCCACCGCTGCCTGGGGCAAGAAATGGAGGATGAGGCAAGCAACAGACAGATCCAAAAACCTGAGAATGAGGAGGAAGATTCTTGGGGGAATAAGAGCTTTGGAGGGCTACAGCATATACTGGGGAATCTGGAGTATAGTATACATGCACAGGCCCAGATGCGTGATCAGAAAAGGCTTAAGAGGATCCTAGACTTACACTTGTGGCTGATCTTTGGACTCCACACAAGCAAGAAGTGAAGGCTAAGGTAGGGTTGCCATCAGCTTGGCTTAGCATTGAAGGAGTGTCCTAGCTTAGAGCCAGAATGCAAAGACCAGAGGCACAGTCTTGTGGTTTTGTGGGTGTTTTTCTTTTTCTTTTTTTTCTGTCTCTAGGTATTTAAGGAAATCTCTTTCAGGTCACTAGTCAATTGCTAAGATAACAAAACAGAGAGTTCAATGAGCACACTTGACAAAGAATACAGTCTTTGCAAAAACAATTTGGAAACTCATTAAACAAGTGGATGGCTGCCCTCAATAATGAAAATTAAAGCCTTGGGTAGAGTCTTATTTCCAGAGTTCCACATTATAATATTCAAAATGTCCAGTTCTCAGCAAAATAATTACAAGGCATGCAAAGAAACAGGAAAGTATGGCCCACTCACAAGGGAAAAAAATAAATTCACAGAAACCATCTGTAAGGTACGTGGATGTGCTTTAGTCAAGGAATAGGCTGAGGCAGACATCCAGGCCTGCATGACACAGCAGGATTGGTGCATAGGCGCACACCTCCATTTGTTATATAACCTGTTTGTGTTAAGTTCATACTTGGCTCAAAGCCTGTAGAAGGTATAACTGTCTGTAGAAGGTATAATTGCCTTGCTGACACTGTGCACAGGGCTCTCAGGCATGGCTTGACATGGTGCTGGTGCCCAGAGAAAGAGAGAGGGAGAACCAGAGCTGTCTGTCTTGCAGACGAGCCATGGCATGGCTCACGCTGGTGCCCAGAGAGAGAGAGTTAAGCTGCCGACCCTGAAAGCAAGGGAGAACTGGCCGTGCCCCTACAGACATGGGGAAGGCAGGGGCCGCAGAGCCAGAGCAGAGAGCTGAGATAAAGACAGACAGTGTGAGAAAGCTGGTGTAAGTAAGCTGCTGATGAGAAAGCTGTTGATGAGAGCTGCTTCTGAATAAAACAATATTCACCTGCCTACGGCCCCCCGAGTGTTCTTTCAGCTAAATGCCCATCCACCCACTCCCCTCAGACCTCAGCATGGGCCAGAACCTGACCCTGAGTGGACATTTGGCATAGTCGTGGACCTAACACCATCCCTATAAAATCCCAGACATTAAACTTACTAAAGAGAGACTTAAATCCACTATCTTAAATATGCTCAAATAACTAAAGAAAATCCTGAACAAAAGAACAACAGGAAACCAAGAAAACAACATATGAACAAATAGAGAATAGCAATAAAGAGGTAGAAATTATAAAAAGAAACCAAATAGAAATTCTGAAGCTGAAAACTGCAATAGCTGAAAAAAAATTTCACCATGGGGGTTTAGCAAGAGAATGAGCAAGCAGAAGAAGATCAGCGAACAATTGAAGTTATTCATCTGAAGACTAGAAAGAAGAATGAGAACATGATAGATAGGAGACAGGACTAATGTGCATCTCCCACTTGGACAGACAGAACAGCATGTGGAAGCTCACACTGTGTACTTTTGCTCCAAGAACCACAGCAGGAATGTGCCAGGAAGACCGAAAGAGTTCACAGATCCTGTGGAAGAAGCGGCTCATGGCTGCAAACTGTGTGAGACAGCTAAAAACCTGAGTTCCCAAAGTATGAGAGGGGAAAACCTGCCTCGGAACACACATCCTCACTGGGGAACCTGAAAATCCAGATCACAGGAGAATAATTTAACCTTACCTAGAGTTGGAATGGATTTAGGGAGCTGAGCAAAATATTAAAATACAAGAAGCAATGAGAAGAGCCCTGTAGGTACTCCCAGTCCCCAGCTCAAGCCTAGGTAAGCCATCCCTGACTCTGCCTCACAGGGGTCCTTGGGGAAGGCGTGCAGCGGAACTAGGTAGGGGTCACTAGGTAGGGTGAAAGAAGCTTCCAACTAAATTTAGTAATTTTTTTCTTTTTGAGAAGGAGTCTTGCTTTGTTGCCCAGGCTGGAGTGCAGTGCCGTGATCTCGCCTCACTACAACCTCTGCCTCCTGGGTTCAAGTGATATCCTGCCTCAGCCTCCTGAGTAGCTTGGATTACAGGCATGTGCCACCACACCTGGCTAATTTTTGTATTTTTAGTAGTGACAGGGTTTCACCATGTTGGCCAGGCTGGCCTCGAACTCCTGACCTCAGGTGATACACCCACGTTGGCCTCCCAAAGTGCTGGGATTACAGGCATGAGCCACCACACCCAGTACTGAAATTTGTAATAATTTTGACTGAGCACAAATTTTCCTGAGCAGAATCTGGGGGGCAAATGGGAATTGCTGCAGGAGCCACAGCCAATTGTGTGGACAGGTGGGGAAGGGCAAGGCCTGAAAGCCATACTTACTTTCTCAGCAGGGAGGCTCATAGTTTGGGGCAAGGTCTGAGCCCCATGCACATGCCTGGGGATCCTAGATGTAAACTCAGCACTGTTGGCAGGGCACAGTGGGAGTGAGACCGGCCTTGTTGGCTATGTGGGATTTGGATGAGGCCTGTCACTGCTGGCTTTCCCTCACTTCCCTAGTGACTTGTGTTACGCAACAGGGGCAACCATATTCTCCCTTGGAACGTAACTCCATTGGCCTGAGAACCATCACCCATCTCCCACAGTGGCTGCAACAAGCCCTGCCCAAGGAGAAACTGAGCTCAAACCCACCTAACCCTGCCCCCACCTGATGTTTTTTCTCTACCCACCCTGGTTGCTGAACACAAAAGACACAAATTCTTGGGAGCTTTATGTCCCTGCCCATCACCTGAGAAACCCAAATATTTATCCTGGCCAATTTAGGGCACGCTTATAATCCCCCTTCTACTACTGCAGCTGGTGCTCTCTTGAAAGTGCCACCTCCTGGCTGGAGGTCAACCAACTCAAGCCATTACAGAACTCATGACAGAATAACCCTACTCCAAGGAAAGCTAAAACAACAGCTAATTCCACTGCCTGCAACATCCTGGCCTACCAGAGGTCCTGAGTCTGTCCACATGACAACTTCACTGCTGGAATAACCAGCATTCGACAAAACCAGCACACTAAACAAAACTATAACCAAGGACTATTACAGTTTACTTCACTCCTCTGCCACCTCCAATAGAGCAGGTGCTGGTATCCACAGTGGGGAGACCTGAAAATGGATGACATCACAGGATTCTTTGCAGACATTCTCCAGCACCAGCCCAGAGCCTGGTAGCCTCACTAGGTGGCTAAACCCAAAAGAGCAATAACAATCACTGCAGTCCAACTCTCAGGAAGCCCAATCCCTAGGGAAAGGGGGAGAGCACCACATCAAGGGATCACCCTGTGGGACAAAAGAATCTGAACAGCAGCCCTTGAGTTCCAGATCTTTCCACTGAAATAGTCTACCCAAATGAGAAGGAACCAGGGAAGTAATTCTGGTAATATAACAAAACAAGGTTCTATAACATGCCCAAAAGATCACAGTAGCTCCCCAGCAATGGATTCAAACCAAGAAGAAATCTCTGAATTGCCAGATAAAGATTTCAGAAGGTTGATTATTCAGCTACTCAGGGAGATACCAGAGAAAGTTAAAAAATAATGTAAAGAAATTAAAAGAAAATACAGGATATGGATGACAAATTTTCCAGAGAAATAAATATCATAAAGAAAAAACAATCACAACTTCTTGAAATGAAAGACACACTTAGAGACATACAAAATACACTGAAAAGTTTCAATAATAGACTAGAATATGTAGAAGAAAGAACTTCAGAGCTTGAAGCCAAGGTTTTTGAATTAACACAATCAGACAAAGACAAAGAAAAAAGAATTTTAAAATATTGAACAAAGACTCCAAGAAAGTTAGGATTATGTTAAATGACTGATACAGTTTGGCTCTGTGTCCCCACCCAAAGCTCATCTTGAATTCCCACATGTTGTGGGAGGGACCCGGTGGGAGATAATTTGAATCATGGAGGTGGTTTCTCCCACACTGTTCTCTCGTGGTAGTGAATAAGACTCACGAGCTCTGATGGCTTTATCAGGGGTTTCTGCTTTTGCATCTTCCTCATTTTCTCTTGCAGCTGCCATATAAGAGGTGCCTTTCACCTCCAGCCATGATTCCAAGGCCTCCCGAGACATGCAGAACTGTAAGTCCAATTAAAACTCTTTTTCTTCCCAGTCTTGGGTATGCTGTTATTAGCCGCATGAAAATGGACTAATACAGTACGTTGGTACCAGGAATTGGGTGTTGTGAAAAGATACCCAAAAATGTGACTGGGTATCAGGCAGAGGCTGGAACAGTTGAAGGACTCAGAAGAAAAGAGGAAAATGTGGGAAATTTTGGAACTTCCTAGAGACGTGTTGAACGGCTTTGACAAAAATGCTGATAGTGATATGAACAATAGGATCCAGGCTGAGGTGGTCTCAGATGGAGATGAGGAACTTCTTGGGAACTGGAGCAAAGGTGATTCTTGTTATGTTTTAGCAAAGAGGCTGATGGCATTTTGCCCCTGACCTAGAGATTTGTGTAACTTTGAATTTGAAAGAGATGATTTAAGGTATCCGGTGGAAGAAACTTCTAAGCAGCAAAGCATTCAAGAGGTGACTCGGGTGCTGTTAAAAGCATTGCATTTTAAAAGGGAAACAGAGCATAACAGTTCAGAAAATTTGCAACCTGACAATGCAGTAGAAAAGAAAAAACCATTTTTTGAGGAGAAATTCAAGCTGGCTGCAGAAATTTGCATAAGTAACAAGGAGCCAAATGTTAATCCCCAAGACAATGGGGAAAATGTCTCCAGGGCATGCCATAGGTCTTCACAGCAGCCCCTCCCATCACAGACCCAGAAGGCTAGGAGGAAAAAATGGTTTAGTGGGCTGGGCCCCGAGTCCCCACGCTGTGTGCAGCCTAGGGACTTGGTGCCCTGTGTCCCAGCCGCTCCAACTGTTGCTAAAAGGGGCCAAGGTACAGCTTGGCCCATGGTTTCAGAGGTTGCAAGCCCCAAACCTTGGCAGCTTCCATGTGGTGTTGAGGCTGCAGGTGCACAGAAGTCAAGAATTGAGGTTTAGGAACCTCCACCTAGATTTCAGAAAATTTATGGAAACACCTGGATGCCCAGGCAAAAGTTTGCTGCAAGGGTGGGGCCCTCATGGAGAACCTCTGCTAGGGCAGTGCAGAAGGGAAATGTGGGGTCAGAGTCCTGACACAGAGTCCCTACTCGGGCACCCACCTAGTGGAGCTGTGAGAAGAGGGTCACCATCTTCCAGACCCCAGAATGGTAGATCCACTGACAGCTTACACCGTGTGCCTGGAAAAGCTGCAGACACTCAATGCCAGCCCATGAAAGCAGCCAGGAAGGGGGCTATACCCTGCAAAGCCACAGGGGTGGAGCTGCCCAAGACTATGGGAAACTACCTCTTGCATCAGCATGACCTGGATGTGAGAAATGGAGTCAAAGGAGATCATTTTGGAGCTTTAGAATTAGACTGCCCCTCTGGATTTCAGACTTGCATGGGCCCTGTAAACCCTTTGTTTTGGCCAATTTCTCCCATTTGGAGCAGCTGTATTTACCTAATATGTGTACCCACATTGTATCTAGGAAGTAACTAGCTTGCTTTTGATTTTACAGGCTCATATGCAGAAGGGACTTGCCTTGTCTCAGATGAGACTTTGTACTGTGGACTTTTGGGTTAATGCTGAAATGAGTTAAGACTTTGGGGGACTGTTGGGAAGGCATGATTGGTTTTGAAATGTGAGGACATGAGATTTGGAGGGGTTTGGGGTGGAATGATATGGTTTGGCTCTGTGTCCCCACCCAAATCTCATCTTGAATTGTACTCCCATGATTCCCATGTGTTGTGGGAGAAACGTGATGGGCGATAATTTGAAACATGGGGGTGGTTCCCCTATACTGTTCTCTCATGGCAGTAAATAAGTCTCACAAGATCTGATGGTTTTATCAGGGGTTTCTGCTTTTGCATCTTCCTCATTTTTTCTTGCTGCCACCATGTGAGAAGTGCCTTTCACCTCCAGCCACGATTCTGAGGCCTCTCCAGCCACGTGGAACTGTAAGTCCATTAAACCTCTTTTTCTTCCCAGTCTTGGTTATGTCTTTATCAGCAGCATGAAAATGGACAAATACAATGACCAAGCCTAAGAATAATTGATGTTCCTGAGGAATAAGAGAAATCTACAAATTTGGAAAGCAAATTTGAGGAAATAATCAAGGAAAACTTCCCTGGCCTTGCTAGAGATCTAGACATCCAAATACAAGAAGTGCAAAGTACACCTGGGAAATTCATGACAAAAAGATCATCACCTGCGCACATAATCATCAGGTTATCTAAATTCAAGATAGAGGAAAGAATCTTAAGAGCTGTGAGGCAAAAGCATCAGGTAACCTATAAAGGAAAACCTATCAGATTAACAGCAGATTTCTCAGCAGAAACCCAACAAGCCAAAAAGGAGTGGAGTCCTATCTTTAGCTTCCTCAAACAAAATAATTATCAGCTGAGAATTTTGTATCCAACAAAACTAAGCTTCATAAATGAAGGAGATATAAAGTCTTTTTCAGACAAATGCTGAGAGAATGCTCTAATACCAAGCCAGCACTACAAGAAATGCTAAAAGGAATTCTAGATCTTGAAGCAAAAATCTCAAAATACACCAAAATATAACTGCCTTAAAGCATAAATCTCACAGAGTATATAAAACAATAATACAATGAAAAAAAAGCAAGGTATAACACAATGAAAAAAGAAACAAGGTATCTAGCACAATAGATGAAACAGTACTTCACATCTCAATACTAACGTTGAATGTAAATGGCCTAAATGTTCCACTTAAAAGATACAGAATGACAGAATGGATAAAAATCCATCAACCAAGTATCTGCTGTCTTCAAGAGACTCACTTAACACATAAGGACTCACTCACATAAACTTAAGGTAAAGGGGTAGAAAAAGATATTCCATGTAGATGGAAACCAAAAGAAAGCAGGAGTAGCCATCCTTATATTAGACAAAGCAGACTTTAAAGCAACAACAGTTTTAAAAGACGTAGAGGGACATTTATAATGATAAAAGGATTAGTCCAACAGGAATATATCACAATCTTAAATATATATGCACCTAACTTTGGAGCTCCCAGATTTATTAAATGATTACTACTAGATCTAAGAAATGAGATAGACAGCAACACAATAATAGTGGGGGGCTTGTAATACTCTACTGACAGCACTACCCTGGTCATCAAGACAGAAAGTCAACAAAGAAACAATGGACTTCAACTATACCTTAGAACAAATGGACTTAACAGATATTTACAGAACATTCTACCTAACAACTGCAGAATATACATTCTTTTCATCAGCACATGGAACACTCTCCAAGAGAGACCATATGGTAGGCCACAAAACAAGTCTCAACAAATTTAAGAAAGTTGAAATGATATCAAGTACCCTCTCAGACCACAGTGGGATAAAATTGGAAAGTAACTCCTAAGGAACCCTCAAAACTATACAAATATACAAATTAAATAATCTGCTCCTGAATGATCTTTGGGTCAACAATGGAATCAAGAGGGAAATTAAAACATTCTTTGAATGGAAAGATAATAGTGACACAGCCTATCAAAACCTCTGAAATACAGTAAGAGCAGTGCTAAAAGGAAAATTCATAGCATTAAATGCCTATATCAAAAGTCTGAAAGAGGACAAATAGACAATCTAAGGTCATATCTCAAGGAAATAGAGAAAAAAGAACAAATCAAACCCAAATCCAGCAGAAGCAAAGAAATAACAAAGATCAGAGCAGAACTAAATGAAATTGAAACAAACAAAAAAAAAAGACGAATGAAACAAAAAACTTGTTCTTTGAGAAGATAAACAAAATTGATGGGCCATTAGCTAAATTAACCCAGAAGAGAGAATATCCAAATGAGCTCAGTTAGAAATGAAATGGGAGATTTTGCAACCAATACCACAGAAATGCAAAAAATCATTAAAGGCTACTTTGAACACCTTTACATGCACAGACTAGAAAACCTAGAGGAGATGGATAAATTCCTGGAAATCTACAATCCTCATAGATTAAACCAGGAAGAAATAGAAACTCTTGAACAGACCAATAACAAGTAGTGAGATTGATACAGTAATTTAAAAATCGTCAACAAAAAAAATCCATGACCAGATGGATCCACAGCTGAATTCTATCAGACATTCAAAGAAGAATTGGTACCAATTCTACTGAAACTATTCAGAAAAACAGAGAAAGAGGGAATCCTCCCTAAATCATTCTATGAAGCCAGTATCACCCTAATACCAAAACCAGGACAGGACATAACAAAAAAAAAGAAAAAGAAAATTACAGACCAAAATCTCTGATGAATATAGATGCAAAAATCCTCAACAAAATACTCGCTAACCAAATTCAACAACATATCAAAAAGGTAATACCCCATGAGAAAATGGGTTTCTTTTTTCCTTTTTTATTTTATTTATTTATTTTTTTGAGATGGAGTCTTGCTCTGTCACCCAGGCTGGAGTGCAGTGGTGCAATCTCAGCTCACTGCAACCTCCACCCCATGGATTCAAGCAAGTCTCCTGCTTCAGCCTCCCTAGTAGCTGGGACTACAGGCACCGCCACCACGCCCGGCTAATTTTTTGTATTTTAGTAGAGACGGGGTTTCACCATGTTGGCCAGGCTGGTCTCAAACTCCTGACCTCAAGCAATCCACCTGCCTTGGCCTTTCAAAGTGCTGGGATTACAGGCATGAGCCAACACGCCTGGCTTATCAAGTGGGTTTCATCCCAGAGATGCAAGGATTGTTCAACATATGCAAGTCAATATTTATGATACATCACATAAACAGAATTAAAAACAAAAATCATATGATCATCTCAGTAGATGCAGAAAAAGCATTTGACAAAATCCAGCATCCTTTTATGATTAAAACCCTCAGCAAAATCAACACAGAAGGGACATACCTCAAGGTAATAAAATCCATGTATGACAAACCCACAGCCAACAGTATACTGAACGGGGAAAAAGTTAAAAGCATTCCCCCTGAGAACTGGAACAAGACAAGGATGCCCACTTTCACCACTTCTACTCAACATAGTAGTGGAAGTCCTAGCCAGAGCAATCAGACAAGAGAAAGAAATAAAGGGCATCCAAATCAGTAAAGAGGAAGTTAAACTGTTGCTGTTCACTGATTATATGATCCTATACCTAGAAAACCCTAAAGACTCATCCAAAAAGCTCCTAGATCTGATAAATGAATACTATAAAGTTTCAGAATACAATATTAGTGTATACAAATTAGTAGCACTGCTATACACCAACAGCAACCAAGCTGAGAATCAAATCAAGAACTCAAACCCCAGTTTTTCATTTTGTTGTTTTTGTTTTGTTTTGTTTTGTTTTTTTGAGACAGAGTTTCGCTCTTGTTGCCCAGGCTGGAGTGCAGTGGCATGATCTCGGCTCACCGCAACCTCTGCCTCCTGGGTTCAAGCGATTCTCCAGCCTCAGCCTCCCGAGTAGCTGGGATTACAGGCATGCACCACCACGCCCGGCAAATTTTGTATTTTTAGTAGAGATGGGGTTTCTCCATGTTGGTAGGGCTGGTCTCGAACTCCCGACCTCAGGTGATCCCTCCTGCCTCGTGCTGGAAAAGTGCTGGGATTACAGGCTTGAGCCACTGCACCCGGCCAAGAGCCCAAACCCTTTTACAACAGCTGACAAAAAAGAAAAAAAAAAAACTTAGAAATACACCTAACCAAGGAGGTGAAAGATCTCTACAAGGAAAACTATAAAACGCTGTTGAAAGAAATAACAGATAAACAAATAGAAACACATCCCACACTCTTAGATGGGTAGAATCAATATTGTAAAAATGATCATATTGTCAAAAGCAGTCTACAGATTCAATGCAATTCCCATCAAAATACCACCATCATTCTTCACTGTACTAGAAAAAAAATCCTAAAATTCGTAGGGAACCAAAAAAGAGCCTGCATAGCCAAAGCAATGCTAAGCAAAAAGAACAAATCTGGAGGCGTCACATTATCCAACTTCAAACTGTACTATAAGGCTATATTTACCATAACAGCATGGTACTGGTATAAAAATAGGCATGTAGACCAATGGAACAGAATATAGAACCCAGAAATAAAGCCAGATAGTTACAACCAACTGATCTTTGATGAAGCAAACAAAAACATAAATTAGGGAAAAGACACCCTATTCAAAATATGGTGCCAGAATAATTGGCAAGCCACATGTAGAAGAATGAAACTGGATCTTCATCTCTTACCTTATACAAAAATCAACTCAAGATGGGTCCAATACTTAAATCTAAGACCTGAAACCATGAAAATTCTAGAAGATAACATCAGAAAAACTCTTCTAGACATTGGCTTAGGCAAACAGCTCACGACCAAGACCCCAAAAGGAAATGCAACAAAAACAAAGATAAATAGATAGGACCTAATTAAACTAAAAAGCTTCTGTACAACAACAACAACAACAAACAATCAGCAAACAGACAGCACACAGAGTGAGAGAAAATATTTATAAACTATGCATCCAACAAAGGACTAATGTCTAGAATTTAAAAGGAACTCAAACAAATCAGCAAGTAAAAGCAAATAATCCCGTCAAAATGTAGGCTAAGGATATGAAGAGAGAATTCTCAAAAGAAGATATACAAATGGCAAACAAACATATGAAAAAATGCTCAGCATCAATAACTATCAGGGAAATAGAAATTAAAACCACAATGTGATACCACCTTACTCCTGCAAGAATGGCCATAATTATAAAGTAAAAAAATAATAGATGTTGTCATGGAGGTGGTGAAAAGGGAACCCTTTTATACTGCTGGTGAGAATGTAAACTAGTAACACTACTATGGAAAACAGTGTGGATATTCCTTAAAGAACTAAAATTAGAACTACCATTTGATCCAGCAATCCCACTACTAGGTGTCTACCCAGAGGAAAATAAGTCATGATATGAAAAATGCATTTGCACACGCATGTTTATAGCAGCACAATTCACAATTGTAAAAATATGGAACCAACCCAAATGCCATATATATATATGCCATATAAAGGAACAAAATAATGGCATTCACAGCAACCTGGATGGAGTTGGAGACCATTATTGTAAGTGAAGTAACACAGGAATCAAAAATCAAACATCATATGTTCTCACTTATAAGTGGGAGCTAAGCTACAAGGATGCAAAGGCATAAGAATGATATAATGGACTTTGGGGACTCTAGGGAAAGGATGAGAGGGAGGTGAGGGACAGAAGACTACACACGGGGTACAGTGTACACTGCTCGGGTGATGGACGCACCAAAATCTCAGAAATTACTACTAAACAACTTATCCATGTAACCAAACACCCAAAAACTATTGTTCCCCAAAAAATATTGAAATAAAAAAATTAATTTAAAAACATTTAAAAAAGAATTACAAATAAAACATTGGACAGAAGTTAAGGCCCCCCTAAGATACTATCAAGCATATCAATATATTTATTATGGAATCCACAGAGGAAGAAGAAAGAGAAAAAGGGAAGAAAGAATATTTGAAGAAATTATGGCCAAACCTTCACAAATTTATGAAAAACCTGAATCTATCCATTCAGGAAGTTCAACAAAGTCAAAGTAGGATAAATTCAAAGAGATCCCACTAAGACACATAATAATCAAACTGTTGAAAGCCGAAGACGAGGAGAGAATTTTGAAAGCAGCAAGAAAGAGAGAAGCAACTTATCATGTACAGAGATTTTCAGTAACATGAACAGTTGATTTCTCATTGAAAACCATTGAGGTCAGAAGACAATAGGATGACGTGACATAAAACGAGTTGGTGGATGTATTCTGTTTTTCCGTTGAATAATTTGTGAATGTTTTCTTAAATATTTGGTAATATTTACTATTAAAGCCATCTAGATATGGAGTTTTTGTGGGAATAAATATCTAATTCAATTTTATTGACACTTAGGGAATTATTTGGCTGTTCTATTTCTTCTTGAATCATTTTTGTTAAGTTACAAAATATAATAAATTTTCCATTTCATCTAAATTTTCAAATTTTTGTCATATCTAGTTCATAATATCCTCAAATTATCTTAAAAATCTATAAGATCCATAGTTATCCTTTCTTTTATTCCTGATATTGGTTGGTTATTTGTAACTTTGTTCTTTTTTACTTAATCAATCTTGCCTAGAGTTTGCTGGTTTTATTAGTCTTTTCAAAAAACCAAATTTGTTATTTGTTGCATATATTCTGTTTACTCAGTTTTGCTCTTAGCTTTCTATTTTACAACCTTTTTATAACATCTTGAGATGGATGTTTAGCTTATTTAATTTCAAGATTTCTTCTTTCAGATTTTTTTTTTTTTTTTTTTTTTTTGAGACGGAGTCTCGCTGTCGCCCAGGCTGGAGTGCAGTGGCGCAATCTCGGCTCACTGCAGGCTCCGCCCCCTGGGGTTCACGCCATTCTCCTGCCTCAGCCTCCCGAGTAGCTGGGACTACAGGCGCCCGCCACCTCGCCCGGCTAATTTTTTGTACTTTTAGTAGAGACAGGGTTTCACCGTGTTAGCCAGGATGGTCTCGATCTCCTGACCTCGTGATCCGCCCGCCTCGGCCTCCCAAAGTGCTGGGATTACAGGCGTGAGCCACCGCGCCCGGCCCAGATTTTATTTTTAAGGTGTAATTTTCTATCTAAATATTTCTTTGGCCAGGGGCAGTGACTTGTGCCTGTATTCCTAGCACTTTGGGAGCCTGAGGTCGGTGAATCACTTGAGCTCAGGAGTTCAAGACCAGCCTGGGCAACATGGCGAAACTGCATCTCTACAAAAAAATACAAAAATTATTCACTGGGTGTGATGGCTTGTACCTGCAGTACGAGCTACTTGGGGGGCTGAGGTGGGAGGATTGCTTGAGCCTGGGAGGCGGAGGTTGCAGTGAGCTGAAATTGCGCCACTGCACTCCAGCCTGGGTGACAGAGGGAGACCCTGTCTCAAATTTAAAAATATATGTGTTTATTTTATTTATTTATTTCTTTGTTTTGAGACAGAGTTTCACTCTTGTTGCCCAGGCTGGAGTGCAGTGGTGCCATCTCGGCCCACTGCAACCTCCGCATCCCAGGTTCAAGCGATTCTCCTGTCTCAGCCTTCTGAGTAGCTGGGATTACAGGCATGTGCCATCACACCTGGCTAATTTTTTGTATTTTTAGTAGAGGTGGGGTTTCACCATGTTGGCCAGGCTGGTCTCGAACTCCTGACCTCAGGGGATCCACCTACCTTGGCCTCCCAAATCGCAGGGATTACAGGCGTGAGCCACCAGGCCCGGCCCATTTATTTGTTTTTATTACTCAAATTTTATTTGTAATTTTTTCATAATTGTTCAGTGTAAAATATTTTCTGATTTTTATTATGATTTCTTCTTTCTTTGATGATATTTTAAAATTTCTAGACATATGAAGTGTTTTAGTGTGGTAACACATATATTGGATTTTTTTTATTTTCTTCATCTTTTACAAGTGTCTTCACTATTTTTGCACATTTACTATTCCATAAAAAATATTACAAAAGTTTTGTCACATTCTAAACAAAATCCCATTAGTATTTGGACTTGGATAGTATCAAATTTTAGATGAAATTGGGGGAGAATGGACATTTGCAGAATATTGAATTTTCCCATCTATATATACAGTTTATCACTCCATTTATTTGTTTTATTTTAGTTAGCTCAATAAAATTTTATCTTTTTCTCCAACTTTTTTTTTCTTTTTTTTTTTTTAAGACAGGTTCTCAATCTGTTGCCCAAACTGGAGTGCAATGGCCCAAACACAGCTCACTGCAGCATGAACCTGCTGGGCTCAAGGGATCCTCCCACCTTGGCTTCCTGAGTAGCTGGGATCACAGGCACATGCCACCACACCCACCTAATTTTTTTATGTTTTATTTTTGGTAAAGATGGGGTCTCATCATGTTTCCCAGGCTGGTCTCGAACTCCTAAGCTCAAGCAATCTTCCCATATTGGACTCCCAGATTGCTAGGATTGCAGGTATGAGCCACTGTGCCTGGCCTTAAACTTTTTTTTGTTGAGTTTAATTTCTGGGTACTTAATACATTCTGTTACCATAATGACAGTAATCATTACAAAAATTACAAGTTCTATTTAGTTATATTGGATAGAGAACTCTTAATTTTTGTATGTTGATAATTTGTGAAGGCATGCTATAGGACTCTTATTACTTGTACCAACTGCCAGTTGATTTGTTCAAAAATTTTAGGTAGATAATTATCTTATTTGCAAATAATAGACACTTTGTCTGTATATTTCCAATCCTTATATATCTTACATTTTCTGCTTTAATTGCATGAGATAGCACCTCCAGTAAAGTTCTGAATCCTAGGAATGAAGGAGATCAGTCTTGTCTGTACCTGTTTTTATTATAGATGTTTAAAAATTTTATCAGTAAGTATAATGATTTATGTTGTTTGGGTTATTTTTTAGTTTTTATTAATATTTATTTATATTCAATTTAATAACTTTAGACAAAAATAATGAATAATGTATGAAATTTAGGATTCTTTATTTTCTGGCCCCTATTGAAAAGATTATATGGTTTTTGACTTTAATTTGTTAATGAGCAAATTACTTGAATCAATATATTTCTGACAATCATTTTTGCATTCTGTGATAAAATTTGCTTATTATTAGTGATTTATTAATCTGGTGGAATTTATTTGCTAATGTTAATATTTAGGATTTTTGCATCTATATACAGAAATGACATTGCCTTCTGCTTTAATTCTTTTTTTTTCTGTTTATATGTCTTAGTCCATTTGGGCTGCTATAACAAAATACCATAGAATGGGTAGCTTAACAACAGAAATTTATTTCCTACAGTTCTGGAGGCTAAGAAGTCCAAGATTGAGATAGCTGGTAGGTTCAGGGGCTGGTGAGGGCCCATTTCCTGGTTCATAGATGGCAGCTTTTCACTGTGTCCTCACATGGTGGAAGGTACTAGCAGTACTAGTTGGCTCTCTGGGTCTCTCTCTCTCTCTCTCTCTCTCTCTTTAGCTTCCCTAGTAGCTGGGATGACTATAGGCATGCACTACCACACATGGCTAATTTTTGTATTTTTTATAGAGAGGGGGTCTCACTATGTTGCCTAGGCTGGTTTTGAACTTCTGGGCTCAAGTGACTCACCTGCCAAGGCCTCCCAAAATGCTGGGATAACAGGCGTGAGCCACTGGGCCAGGCTGGAGTCTCTTTTTCCAGGGTGCTAATCCCATTCATGAGTGATCTGTTCTCAGTATCTAATCACCGCCCAAAGGCCCTACCTCTTAATATCATCACCTTGGGGGTTAGGTTTCAACAGAGAATTTTGGGGGTACACAAATATTCAGACCATAGCACTCTGTATGTCTTATTTTTGTGACAAGATTATCCCAACTGCACAAAATAGATTCAATGTGTGGTACAAGAAATATATTTGGTCTGTGTTCCCAGTACCTGGCACAAGGCTTCTAAAACCCTGGGAATTGATAAGATTGTCTTTTGTTATTCATAAGTAGCCTCTTTTGATCACACCTGAGTTAATCTAATGAGTGACTTAGGGTAGGCCCTCTAAATAGCCTCAGGATGGAGCTGGTCACCAAAACACCCAAGTAATTAGAGGGTTGAAACATTTAGCCCCACCCGCTAGCCTCTAGAAAGGGGTTGTAGGATTCTGGGGATTAAGCCATATAAAAGCTTTTGAGCAACAAATGGGATTAAATTGTAGGACACTCAGTCGGGATCTGGAGAGTTGCAAAATTGCTTGGTGTGGGGGAAAAAAAAATCCACCTATTTGCTGTCAAAAGTATTGTATGTGTACAGAAACAGTGAATGTTTTATCAGAAATAGTTTTCTGTATTTTCTGTACTCTGGAATACTTTGTGTAAGATAGCAATTTTCTCTTCCCTAAAGTTTTTGCAAAACTTGTTTGTAAAATTATTGGACACATTTGGGAAATTACACAAAAATTTCCATTTCTTGTGTGGTTAGTGGGTCTATTTAGGTTTTCTATACTTTCTTCAGTTGATTTTTGTAATTTCCATCTTTATAGAAAATGATTATTTTCATCTGGATTTTCAAATTTATTAGTGCAAAATTACCTCTTACAAGGTTTTAAACGCTTTTACATGTCCTCCCTTTTTCACTTAATCAATATTATCAGGACTTAATCTGTATTATTTTATTAATTTTTTCAAAAAGCCATCTTATGGTTCCAATCAATTCCATTTTTCCTATGTGATTAATTTCTGCCTTTATTTGTTTTAATTACTAGACTATTTTTTAGAGCTATTTTAAGTTTACAGAAAAATTGAGCAGAAAGTACAGGGTTCATATACACTTCGTATCTCTCCAACCCACACACAATTTCCGCTATTATTAACATCTTGCATTATAGTAGTTCATTTGTTAACGGATGAATCAACACTGATGCATTATTATTAACTAAGGTCCATAGTTTAATTAGGGTTTATTCTGTGTTGTACGACGGGTTTTGACAAATGTGCAAGGTCATGTATCTACTATTACAGTATTATACAGAATAGTTTTATGATCTGAAAATCCCTTGTGCCGCTCCCTCCCCCACCACCCATCAATCTCTGACCCCTACTGACCTGCTGATCTTTTCTTTTTCTTTCTTTCTTTTTTTTTTTTTTTTTTAGACGGAGTCTCGCTCTGTCGCCCGGGCTGGAGTGCAGTGGCGCGATCTTGGCTCACTGCAACCTCTGCCTCCCAGGTTCAAGTGATTCTCCTGCCTCAGCCTCCTGACTATCTGGGACTACAGGCGCCCACAACCACGACCTGCTAACTTTTGTTAGCAGGTATTTTTAGTAGAGACGAGGTTTCACCATGTTGGCCAGGATGGTCTCTATCTCTTGACCTCGTGATCCGCCCGCCTAGGGCTCCCAAAGTGCTGGGATTACAGGCGTGAGCCACCGCGCCCGGCCCCATACTGAACTTTTTACTGGTTTTTTTTTTTTTTTTTTTTTTTGGAGAAGGGGTCTCGCTCTGTCACCCAGGCTGGAGTGCAGTGGCGCGATCTCGGCTCACTGCAAGCTCCGCCTCCCGGGATCATACCATTCTCCTGCCTCAGCCTCCCAAGTGGCTGGGACTACAGGCACCCGCTACCACGCCCGGCTAATTTTTTGTATTTTTAGTAGAGACGGGGTTTCACCGTGTTAGCCAGGGTGGTCTCGATCTCCCGACCTCATGATCCGCCTGCCTTAGCCTCCCAAAGTGCTGGGATTACAGGCGTGAGCCACCACATCCGGCCATTTTTACTGTCTTTATACCTTTGCCTTTTCCAAAATGTAGTAGTTGGAGTCATACAGTATGGAGCCTTTTCAGACTGGCTTCTCTCACTTACCAATATACATTTAAGGTTCTTCCATGTCTTTTCATGGTTTCACAGCTCTTTTATTTTTATTGCTGATAATAATCTGTTGTGTGGATGTACCTGTTTATCCATTCACCTACTGAATGACATATTGGTTGTTTCCAAGTTTGGGTAATTATAAATAAAGCTGCTATAAACTTTGTATGCAGGTTTTTGTGTTCATTTTCAACTCATTTGTGTAAATACCAAGAAGCACAATTGCTGGGTCATATGGAAGGAGTATATTTAGCTTTCTTTAAAAAACTGCCAAACTGTCGTCCAAAGTGGCTGTATCATTTTGCACTCCCACCAGCAATGGATGAGCATCCTTGTTACTCTATAGCCTCACCAGAAGTTTTGGATTTTAGCCATTCTAATAGGTATATAGTGGTGTATAATTGTTCTAATTTGCAGTTCTCTAATGATATATGATATTATCTTTATCTTTTCATTTGCTTATTTGCCATCTGTACAACGCTGTGATCATAACTCACTGCAACCTCAAACACCTGGGGTCAAATGATCCTCCCAACTCAGGCTGCTGAGTCGCTAGGACTACAGGTGCATACCACCAGCTAATTTTTAAATTTTTTTTAGAGACGGGGTCTTGCCATGTTGCCCAGGCTAGTCCTGAACCCCTAACCTCAAGCAATCCTCCAACCTTGACTTCCCAAAGTGCTAGGATTACTGCATCTGGCCAAGAAGTGTTTTTTAAACTTCCACCGTGGCTGTCAATTTCTTTTGCATCCTTTGTCAATTTTTGTGTTATATAAAATTTAAAGCTATATTGTCCGTGCAATAGAATTGAGAGTCCAGAAATAAACCCATACATCTATGGTCAATTTTCAGCAAGGAGGTAAAGATCATTCAATAGGAAAAATAATAGTCTTTTCAACAAAATGTGGTGGGATAACTAGATATCCACATGCAAAAACAAAAGTAAAGTTGAGTTCTTACCTTACACCAAGCAAAAAATGAACTCAAAATGGATCAAAGACCTAAATGTAAGAGCTAAAAAATAGAAGATTCTTAGAAGGAAATATAGAAATTAATCTTCGCCACCTGGGATTTGACAAAGAATTCTTAGATATGACACTAAAAGCACAAGCAACCAAAGAAAAAATAGATAAATGGGGCTTCAACAAAATGAAAAACTTTTGTGTCTCAAACGACACAATCGAGAAAGAGAAAAGACAGCCCACAGAATGGGAGAAATTTTTTGCAAATCATGTATTTGATAAGGGACTTGTATCTAGAATGTATAAAGAATATTTACAACTTAATAATAAAAGGAAAAATACCTCAACTTAAAAATAGGCAAAGGCTCTGAATAGACATTTCTCTAAGAAAGATATATAAATAGCCAATAAGAACGTGAAAAGATACTTAGAATTATTAATCAGGAAAAGGCAAATCAAAACCACAATGAAGACCAGGCACAGTGGCTCACACCTGTAATCCCAGCACTTTTGAAGGCTGAGGCAAGTGGATCACTTGAGGGTCAAGAGTTTGAGACCAGCTTGGCCAACATGGTGAAACCCCATCTCTACTAAAAATACAAAAATTAGCCAGGCATGATGGTGGGCAGCTGTAATCCCAGCTACTCAGGGGACTGAGGCAGGAGAATCACTTGAACCCAGGAGGCGGAGGTTGCAGTGACCTGAGATCATGCCACTGCACTCCAGCCTGGGTGACAGAGTGAGACTGTCTCAAAACAAAACAAAAACCAAGCAAACAAAAAAAAAAAACCCACACAGTGAAATACCACTTCACACCCACTAGGAGGACTAGAATCAAAAGGTCAGATAGTAACAAGTGCTGGTGTCAATGTGGAGAAATTGGAACTCTCATAAACTACTGGTGGGAATATAAAAATGGTACAGCCACTGTGGAAAACAGTTTGACAGTTTCTCAAATGCTTAAACATAAAGTTACCATATAACCCAGCAATTCTTGTAAGTAAATATCCAAGAAAAGTGGAAACATGATTATACAAAAATTTTTATCTGAGTGTTCATAGAAACACTATCCATAATAACCAAAAGGAGGAAACAAACCAAATGTCCATCAGTAGATGAATAGACAAACAAAATGTGGTATATCCACATAACGTAATGTTCAGCCATAGAAAAGAAATGAAGTACTGATGCATGCTAGAACTTGGATGAGTCTTGAAAACATTGTGCAGTGAAAGAAGCCAGTTACAGAAGCCCAATTATTATATGATTCCATTCACATGAAAGTTCAGAAATCTATAGAGATAGAAAATAGTTGTTTAGGGCTGGAGGAGGAATGGGTTGGTAGGGTGATGATGACTAAAGGGTATGAGGTTTCTTTCCGAGTGATGAAAATATTTTAAAACCGACTGGTGGTGGTTGTACCTATCTGTGAATATACTAAAAACCCTTGAATTGTGCACTTTAAATGGGTGAAATACATGGTTTGTAAATTATATCTTAATAAAATAGCTTTTAAAAAATATATATGTTTTTAGCTCCTACACATTCTTAACAAATATCATCTTGACAATTTGTCATTTTATCAATATGAAATATCCCTCTTGGTCCTGAATTTTTCACCGTGAATCCTATTTACTCTTTATTACTTTACCAGATATCTTGCGTTATTATTAATCTGGTGTATCTTTCTCTATTCCTTTGTTATTAATTTTTCTGTGTTTCTTTCACCAGGTTTTTGTTTGTTTTAGAGAAGGGAGTCTCACTGTGTTATGTAGGCTGGCCTTGAACTCCTGGGGTCTATCAATACTCCTGCCTCAACCTCCCAAGTAGCTGAGACTACAAGCATGAGCCACCATGCCCAGCTTCTGTGTTGTTTTGCTCTAGGTTGTGTCCTTTGGAAGGTTGATTTTAGGTGATAGATAGATAGAAAGATAAACAATTTTTCACATATATGCATGCATAGATAGATGCCCTGTCTTTGAATAGATGAGTTTATAGATAATTTTTCATACATATGCATTTATGTATTATGTACGTGATTTATATAGGAATATGTTGTATCTGCAATATGAGATGCCCTCTCTATGAATTGATGAGTTTAATCTGTCCACATTTATTATGAATACTGTTGTATTTGAACTTGTTTCTGCAAACTTATTTTATAGGTTCCAGGTACTATTGTTTGGGTCTTTTTGCTTGTTTCTTCCTTACTGTTTGATTGAACAAGTTTTTCATTTTTCCCTCTACTTGTTTGAAAGATATACACATTGTTTCTAAACTTTTAGTAATTACTCTTAAAATATCAAAATAAACACACAAACATTTTTCTGTCAAAGTAGTTAATCAGTCGCTCTTTCCACCAAATAAAACAAGAACTCTAGTATGAGTTTTTCTTCCTTTTATCCTCAACCCTTACTTAACTCATATTATTTTTTAGAATTTTTTCTAAATATTTGAAATGGTTTCAAACCCACAGAAAGTTATGGTAAAAGAAAAGTTGCAAGAACAGTACAAGAACTCCCACATATCCTTAACCTAGATTCCCTAATTGCTAACATTTTATCACATTTGCTTCACTTTTGCTCAGTAGAGAGGTAGATAGATATATAATTATAAAATACTTTACTGGCATGATGCTGCATTATCCCTAAACACTAATTAGAGCTTCCCCCAAACAAGAACATTCTCCTCTGTTACCACGAAGCAGTCCTCCAGCTCAGGAAATCAACATTGATCCAACACTGCCATCCAATCCACAGACCCCATTCAAATTCCACCAACTGTCTCAACTATGTCTTTTTTTTTTTTTTCCTATCTGCTCCAGGAATACACTGCATTCCTTTAGCAGACTGTTTCTAAGGTGGCTCTCATGATCCTTGCTTCCTTGTGGTCAGGCCTGTGTATTATACTCTTCCACTGAGTATATGCTGGACTTACTGTCTTCTAACAAATAGAAAACAGCAGAAGTGATGGGATATCACTTCTGATATTTGGTTACAGAAAGACAGTGACTTTTTCCTTGGGCAGTCTCTCCTGCTCTCGTGCTCACTTTCAAGGAAGCAGCTGCCATCATGAGTTGCCCTATGGAAAGAATAGATAACCATCAATCCTGTGTGATAAGGAATTGATGTCTCCAGTCCCTAGTTCTGTCCATAGCTACATAAATGAGCTTGGAAGTAAATCCTCCCTTATTTGGGCCTTGGGATGACCATAGCCCTTAGCTAACAACTTGATTGCTGCTTTGTAAGAGACCTTAAGCCAGAAACATCCAGCTAAGCCACATTTGGATTCCTGTCTCACAGAAACTGCGAGATAATAAATGCTTGTTGAAATCAGTATATCAAAGAGATATCTGCATTCCCATGTTTGTTGCAGCTCTGTTCACAATAGCCAAGATTTGGAGGTGACCTAGTGTCCATCAACATGTGAATGGATAAAGAAAATATGGTACTTATACACAATGGAGTACTATTCAGCCACAAAAAAAAGAATGAGATTCAGTCATTTGCATCAACATGGATGGAACTGGAGGTCACTATGTTAAGTGAAATAAGCCAGGTACAGAAAGACAAACATCGCATTTTCTTACTTATGTGTGAGATCTAAAAATTAAA
Source organism: Homo sapiens (assembly GCF_000001405.40). Classification (NCBI taxonomy): domain Eukaryota; kingdom Metazoa; phylum Chordata; class Mammalia; order Primates; family Hominidae; genus Homo; species Homo sapiens. The sequence continues at coordinate 33,250,128 of NC_000003.12, read as the reverse complement.
AAAAAAAAATTGAACCCATGGAGATAGAGAGCAGAAGGATAGTTACTAGAGGCAGTGAAGGATATTGTGGGGTGGGGGGTGAGGAGGGCATGGTTAATGGGTACAAAAAGAATAGTTAGAATGAATGAATAAGACCTAGTATTTGATAACACAACAGGGTAACTAATAGTCAATAATAATTTAATTGTACATTTTAAAATAAAGAGTATAATTGGATTGTTTGTAACACAAAAGATAAATGCTTGAGGGGATCTGATATGGTTTGGATAGGTGTCCCTGCCCAAATCTCATGTTGAAATGTAATCCCCAGTGTTGGAGGTGGGGCCTGGTGGGAGGTGATTAGATCATGGGGGTGGGTTTCTCATGAATGGCTTAGCACCATTTTCTTGGTACTGTCCTTGAGACAGCGAGTGAATGCTCCTGAGATCTGGTCATTTAAAAGTGTGTGGGGCCAGGTGCGGAGGCTCATGCCTGTAATCCCAGCACTTTGGGAGGCTGAGGTGGGTGGATCATGAAGTCAGGAGATCAAGACCATCCTGGCTAACACGGTGAAACCCCGTCTCTACTAAAAATACAAAAAATTAGCTCGGCATGGTGGCGGGTGCCTGTAGTCCCAACTACTCGGGAGGCTGAGGAAGAAGAATGGCATGAACCCGGGAGCCGGAGCTTGTAGTGAGCCAAGATTGCACCACTGCACTCCAGGCTGGGTGACAGAGTGACACTCCGTCTCAAAAAAAAAAAAAAAAGTGTGTGGAACCTCCCCACTCTTTCTTTCTGCTTCTGCTCTGGCCATGTGAGGTACCTTCTCCACTTTGTCTTCTACCATGATTTTAAGTTTCCTATGGTCTCCCCAAAAGCTGAGCAGATGCCAGCATCATGTTTCCTGTACAACCTGCAGCAATGTGAGCCAATTAAACCTCTTTTCTTTATAAATCACCCAGTCTCAGGTATTTCTTTATAATAATGCTAGAACAAACTAATACAGGATGGATACCCCATTTTCTGTGATGTGGTTATTATACATTGCATGCCTGTATCAAAACATCTCATGTATCCCATAAACATATACACCTACTATGTACTCACAAAAATTTAAAATTTAAATTAGGGCTGGGCACTGCAGCTCACACCTATAATCCCAGCACTTTGGGAGGCCAAGGTGGGAGGACTGCTTGAGCCCAGGAGTTTTGAGACCAGCCTGAGCAACATGATGAAATCCCACCTCCACAAAAAATACAAAAAAATTAGCTAAGCATGGTCATGCATGCCTCTAGTCCCAGCTACCTGGGAGCTTGGGGTGGAAGAATCACCTGAGCCCAGAAAATCGAGGCTGCAGGGAAGCATGTTCACATCACTGCTCTCCAGCCTGGGCAACAGATTGAGACCCAGTCTAGAAATTAATTAATTAATAGATAAATAAATAAATATTAAAATAAATAAACTATATTTTTAAAAATACAAAATAAATGATAGTTGTTTTCAGCCATAAGTTTTGGAATAATTTGTATGCATCAATACATAACTAATATAGTTGTCATGTCTCTTGAGGCTCCTTCAATGCAGAACAATTCCTCAGTCTTTCCCTGTCCCTTATATCCTTGATGGACTTAAAGAATAGACGCCTTTCATTCTGTAGAGTGACCTGTAACTTGGATTCATCTGATGTTTGCTTATGGCCAGATTCAGACATGTACTCTTGGCAGGAACACCATAGTAATGATGCTATGCTTCTCAGCGTATCACATCAGGAAGTAATGATATCAATGTGTGCTATCACTTGTGAGGTTAACCTGGACTATTGGTCAAGAACCAGGGCTGCTCTATAAAGTGTTCCCACTGTAAAGTCACCATTTTTCCCTTCATAGGGGATTTGAAAAATTGTGGGAATATATTTTGATAATATGTTAATATTAAACCTCCATATACCAACCTTAGCAAACATTGACCACCATTACCCATATCAACTACCACTATGATGTTTGCCTATTGATGGTTATCTATTTCCATTATTCCTTCTACACTTACTCATACATTTTCTTCTGCAAGGAAGAGCTTTCCCTTCTCCACATGCATTTCTGCACTCTTGTATTTATATCAGTATGGACTCAAATTCTTATTTTATTCAATGGATTGTAATTTAATATTGTTATTATTTATTTTGCTGTTAAAATTGTCCTGGATTTGGCCAGTGGGAGCCCCTCCACAGTTTCCTGTGTCCTTTTAATACGTCCCTACCATTCTTTGATCAGCTCTTTATTTTCCGGCACAAAGAAGTATCATAAACTCATCTGGATATTAAAAGTATTCTAGGGCCAAAATTATTTTCTGTAAGACTAATGTTCCTCCACCTGGGTGGTATTGCTTCCCTAGAGGATGTTTAGAAATGAGAAGTGGGGTGGGTATGGTGGCTCACACCTGTAATCCCAGCACTTTGGGAGGCCAAGGCGGGAGGATCCTTTGAGGCCTGGAGTTTGTGACTAGCCTGGGCAACATTGGGAGATCCCATCTCTACAAAATAATTTAAAAATTAGCCAGGCATGATGGCATGCACCTGTCAGGGCTACAGTGAACCTTGACTGCACCTCTGCACTCCAGCCTGGGAGACAGAGGAAGACCCTGTCTGGGAAAAAAAAAAAAAAAAAAAAAAAAGGCCGGGCGTGGTGGCTCATGCCTGTAAGCCCGGCACTTTGAGAGGCCGAGGTGGGTGGATCACTTGAGGTCAGGAGTTCGAGACCAGCCTGGCCAACATGGTGAAACCCTGTCTCTACTGAAAATACAAAAATTAGCCAGGCATGGTGGTGCACACCTGTAATCCCAGCTAGGGAGGCTGAGGCAGGAGAATTGCTTGAACCTGGGAGGCAGAGATTGCAGTGAGCCAAGGTCGTGCCACTGCACTCCAGCCTGGGTGACAGAGCGAGACTCTGTCTCAAAAAAAAAAAAAAAAACCAAACAAACAAGAAAGAAAGAAAGAGAAAGAAAGAAAGAAAAGAAAGAGGAAGGAAGGAAGGGGAAGGAAGGAAGGAAGGGAAAGAAAGAAGGAAAGCAAGCAAGCAAGAAAGAAAGAAAGGGAAAGAAAAGGAAAGAGAGAGAGAAGGAAAGAAAGGAAAGAAAGAAAGAAAGAAGAAAGAAAGAAAGGAAAGAAAGAAAGAAAGAAAAAGAAAGAAAGAGAAAGAGAGAAAGAAAGAAAAGAGAGGGAGGGAGGAAGGAAGGAAAGAAGGAAAGAAAAAATGAAGGGAGGAAGGAAGGAAAGGAAGGAAGGAAGGTAGGAAGGAAGGAAGGAAGGGGAAGGGGAGAGTTGTCATAAGGACTGGGGCACACTATTAGCCTTTAGTGGGCAGGGTTATGGGTGCTAACACATTCTGTGATGCACAGGGAAATCCTGCACATGAAGAATTAGTTTAATCCAAATGTCAGTAGTGACCCATTAAGAAATTTTACCTGAGATTTTTACTTTTTTTTTTTTTTTTTTTTTTTTTTGAGACTGAGTCTCTCTCTGTCGTCCAGGCTGGAGTGCAGTGGGGTAATCTCGGCTCACTGCAAGCTCCGCCGCTTGGGTTCACGCTATTCTCCTGCCTCAGCCTCCCGAGTAGCTGGGTTTACAGGCGCCCGCCACCACGCCTGGCTAATCTTTTGTATTTTTAGTAGAGACGGGGTTTCACCGTGTTAGCCAGGATGGTCTCGATCTCCTGACCTCATGATCCACCCACCTCAGCCTCCCAAAGTGCTGGGATTACAGGCATGAGCCACCACGCCTGGCCAACTTTCACATTTTTATATCGGTATTTTCTGGATGGGAAGTCTGATATCAAACTGATTCTCATTCATTTGTACACATTTGTCTTTCTGGTAGTTATTAGGATTTTTCTCTGTTTCACAGATATCTGAAATGTTACTCTATGTGTCTAGATGTGATCACTATTTTAATTCTTCCTGCCATTTGGTAAGATTTCGATCAATTTGAAGACACGTGTCTTTCTTCATTTCTGGGAAATTCTCAGCCATTATTTTTCAAGTAGTTTATCTTCATTTCTTTCCCTATTATTTTTTTTCTGGGATTTCTAGTACACATGTAGTGGAACTGCTGGATCTATCCGGCACATTTCTCACCCCAACCCCATATTTTCCATCTTTTTATCTTATTGCTCTATGTCCTGAGAGATACCTGCAGCTTGATGTTTAGTTCTTAGTTATTCTTTGTCCATGTTCAATCTTATTCAACTCATCTATTTGGGTTTTTATAATGATGTTTTGCATTTTCAAAATTTTTTATTGTTTCTTCCCTCACAGCTTATGGCTCATATTATATAATGGTTGTACATTCTTATTATTGAAATAATATTTACACTTACCAAATACTTGCAAAGATAGGACAGAGAGTTCCAATTTATCCCTTACTCAGGTTCCCCCTAATGCGAACATGTTAACCATGATACAATTATCAAAACTAATAAATTAACGCTGGTACAATATTACTACCTAAATTGCATTTTATTCAGATTTCACCAGTTTTCCACTAATGTCTTTCCTGTTTCAACATGAAATTTAGGGTCTCACGTTGTATTTAGGCGTCATGTCTCATTAGTCTCCTCTAAACTGTGACAGTTCCTCAATCTTCTCCAGTCTTTTATGACCTGAACACCTTTGAGGAGTACTGATCAAGTATTTTGTAGAATGTCCTTCAAGTTGTGTTTGTCTGATACTTTCTCATGATTAGTTTAAGGCTATAGATTTGGGGGAAGAATACCACACAGGCGATGTGCCCTCTTAGTGCATGATATCAGGGAGTACATTATGCCAGTATCTTACTGGTGATGTTAACATTGATCATTTGTTTGAGGTAGTGTTGGCCAGATTTCTCCACTGTAATGTTACATTTTCCTTTTTAATTAATACTTACGGGGAGATACTTTGAGGGTATGTAAATATCCTGTTTTTTCTTAAACATTTGCCCACTAATTAGCACATTCATAGGCAGATCTTTCAGCAGCTAATATTACTGTGGTATTCTAATTGTGATTTTTTTACTCCCTTCATTCTTTCTAAATTTAATGTGTTATTGAAGTTCTTCTGTAAAGAAGAGTTGTTCCTTTTCCCTAATTTATTTATGTATTCAGTCACTTATTCATATCAACAAGGGTCTCATGGATATTTGTTTTATTCAGTGGGTTATAACCCAAAACTATGGTTTTAATTTTGTTATTCAAATTGTTCCAGCATTGGGAACTGTTGGACGTGCCCTCATCTTGTTTTTTTCCCAGAACTTCCTTATTCTGGCACCCTAAGGCACTCCAGGATCATCTATATCTTCCTTGACTCAGCCCCAGGGTCAACTGCTTCTCCAAAGAACCTTGGTTCTTTGTATTGGAGAATGGTATTTAGAAACCGAGATCTGGGCCTTAGGTGTATCCATTGCTGCTAGGATAGCACTGCTTCTAGGTCCTCTAAGTAAACAGAGCTAGAGAATGTATGATACATGTATGCTAACCCATGTCTTCTGTGTTACCTCTCTGAACATGTATTAAAATAACCATGAGTTCATATGGATGTTTTGGATTCCAATCTAGCAACCCAGGGTTAATTCTTGCATTCCTCCTTTGTAACTTCTTTCTCTGGCAGTGAGAATTTTTGTTATTCTTGTATATCTATAGTATATTTACTTATTTGTTCAACCATAGTATACATGTAATTTCAGAATGCATATCCCTATAAGAAACATGTTTACCAACTAGAGTACATTGGTTATATAGTTATTTTTATCTCTGGCATTACAATGTCTACTCAAAACACTGTTTTCCAAAGTTTCTTAGGGCAGTGCCTTTCTTTCTCATCCTCTTCAGTGTGGTTATGTTATACATAATATATATGTCATATGTAATACAGTTAGATTTATTTGTCATACTCTGCATTCCATCTTGGTGTTTGGTTTTTAAAAATTTGCATACAGTAAAATATTCTCCTTGTGGTGTACACTCTGTGAGTTTTTGGCAAGTGCATAAGGTTGTGTGTCCCTCACAGTACCATATAGACCAGTTTCATCTTTTCCCAGATTCCCTTGCTCTGCCTTTTTGTAGTCAATTTCTTCTTCCACACTCATGCCTTAGCAACCAGTGACCTATTTTTTATCACTGTAGTCTTACATTTTTCAGAATGTCATATAAATGGAATAATACAATATTTAGCCTTTTGGATCTTTCACTTAGCAAAGTGCATTTAGGATTCATCCATGTTGTTACATGAATCAATAGTTCATTTCCTTTTTATCAATAAGTAGTATTCCATTGCATGGACATCACATGGTTTGTGTATTCATTCACCTGTAGGAGAACATCTTGGTTATTTACATTTTTTGGCTATTTTGAATAAAATTGCTATAAACATTCAAACACTGATTTTTGTGTGAACATTAGTTTTCAACTCATTTGGGTAAATAACCAGGAGCAGGATTTCCAGGTCTTAGGGAAAAAGCATTCTGTATCTCACCATTGCACATAATGTTAGCTGTAGTTTTTTAGTAGATGCCCTCCATTAAGTTAAGGAACTTCTCTTTTATTTCTAATTTGCTGGGAGGCTTTTTTGTTTGTCTTATTTCATACTGAATATATTTTGAATTTTGTCCAATGTTTTTTATACATCTGTTGAGATTATCATGAGGTTTTTCATCTTTAGTCTGATATTATGGTGAATTACATTGAGTTTTCAAATGTTGAAAGTTGAATAAAAGGTTTCAAATGTTGAATCAATTGCTTGGATGAACTCCACTTAGTCATGGTGTATTATCCTTTTTATATATTGCTGGATTCAATTTGCTATGTTATTGAGGATTTCTGCATCTATGTTCATGACTGACAAGGACTTGCAGTTTTCCTTTTGTGTACTGTTTTTGTCTGGTTTGAATGTTAGGATAAGGTTGGTGTCATGAAATTAATTCATTTCAACAGTGAAGACATTTGGCCCAAGAATTTTCTTTGTGGGAAGGTTTTTAATTATAAGTTCAATTTTTAAACTTAGATATAGGGCTATTTAGATTATTTGTTTCTTCTTGAGTGAACTTTGGTAGTCTATGTCTTTCAAGGAATTTGTCCATTTCATATAAGTTCTCAAATTTGCTGGAATTACTTAATAAGTTGTTTGTAATGTTTTATTATCCTCCCCACCTTTTTTTTTTTGAGACAAGCTCTCATTTTGTCACCCAGGCTGGAGTGCAGTGGTGTGATCTGAGCTCACTGCAGCCTCAACCTCCTAGTCTCAAGTGATCATTCCACCTTAGCCTCCCAAGTGGTTGGGACTACAGGCTCAGGCCACCACATCTGACTAATGTTTTTCCCCACAGAGACAGGGTTTTGTCATGTTGCTTAGGCTGGTCTACAGTCCCTGGGCTCAAGCAATCCACTCACCTTGGCATCCCAAAATGTTGGGACTCTAGGTGCAAGCCACCATGCCTGGCCCTATTATCCTTTTAACAGCTGTGGAAATTGTGGTAATATCACCTTTCTCATTCTTGTTATTGGTAATTTGTCTTCCTTCTTTTCTTACTCATCAATATTGCTAGAGGCTTATCAATTTTATTGATCTCAAATAACCAGCTTTTGTTTTTATTGATTTTTCTCCACTGTTTTTTCATTTTCAGTTTTCAGAGGGAATTGACTTCAATTTTGAAAGAAGTCCTAGTGGATAAAATGCTATCAAACATCACTCCATGTTACAGAGATATCTTTTGTGAAAGGAAGTCAATCAATGTGGCAAACTTCATTGTTGCCTTATTTTAAGAAATTGCCACAGCCACTATAAACTTCAGCAACAACTACCCTGAGTCAACAGCTATCAACATCAAGGCAAGACCCTCCATCAGCAAAATGATTACAACTCACTGAAGGGTCAGAAGGTTGTTAGCATTTTTTAGCAATAAATTCTTTTTATTTCATTCCATGGTGATTAGGGAAGGAAATAAATTATTTTTAATAGAAGTCTGTGCATTTTTTAGACAATGTTATTGCACACCTAATAGACTACAGTATAGTGTAAATATAACTTTTAAATGCACTGAGAAATGTAAAAATTTATGTGGTTTGCTTTATTGTGATATATGTTTTATTGCCGTGGTGTGGAACTGAACCTGCAATATCTCAGAGGTATGCCTTTACAGCTACTGCAGTGTTTTTGTTTGTCTAGTGTTTACATGGTAAGACTTTCTCCCTCCTTTTACTTTTAACCTATCTATGTTTTTATATTTAAACTTAGTTCTCATAGACAACATATAAATTGGTTCTTGACTTTTTGTCCATCTGGAAATTTCTGTCCTTTAGCCAGTGTGTTTATACTATTCATCTAACATAATTATTGGTGTGATTGGATTAAAATCTACCATCATGTTAGCTGTTGGCTATCTGTTCTTTGTTTACTATTTCTTCTTTTCATGCCTTCTCTTGGTCATGAAAATTTGTCATTTTTGTCATTCCATCTTGATTTATACCTATTTTTAAGTTTTGGTGGTTTCCCTAGGGTCTACAATATCCATTTTAAATAATCTAGTCTACCTTTGAATAGTATTACACAACATCATATGTGGTGCAAGGAACTTGTAGCTATATATTTCCAATTCATTCCTTCCATCTAGTGCACTATTATTGTCATATTGCCATATATTTTACTTTTAAATATGCTATAAATAGGTAATACATTCTTAGTAATTTTGCTTTACATAGTTACCTTTTAGAGCAATTAAAACTAAGAAAAAGTAAATGTATCTTTATTTATTCCAGTTCCAATGTGCTTCATTTCTTTATATAGATCAAGACTTCTGTCTTATTATTCTTCTGCCTGAAAGTTATTTTCTTATAAAGTAGATCTACTACCAATGAATTTCCCTTGTTTTTGTTTGTGTGAGGAAGTATTTATTTCTCCTTTATTTTTGAAATAATATTTTTGTTGACTCTAGATTTCTAGGTTGAATTGTTTTCTTTCAGCACTTTAAAGCTGTCACACTATTATCTTTGTGTTTGTCTCATTTCTGACAAGAAGTCTGCTCTAATTCTTATCCATCTTTCTTTGCAAGTAATATGTCATTTATCTCTGGCTGACTTCAAGATTTTTCTCTTTGTCTTTGTTTTTCAGCAGTTTAAATGTGATATGTCCTGATGAATATTTTGTTTTATTGGGGTTTTGTGGGGAGTATTAATTCCGTTTGGTATTTTTTGAGTTCATTGCATCTGCTGTTTAGTGTCTCTCATTAATTTTGGAAAATTCTTAGCCATCATTTCCTCAAATGTTTCTTTTGCCATGTTCTCTTATTTCCTTCTAGGAGATATTATGCATATATCATGCATAATTATAATAATTATGCATATGTTAGACCATTTATCTAGATTGTTATCATGTTATCTCAGAGTTCTTGGATGCTGTTTTTCCTCATTTTATTTTCCTTTTTGTTTCACTTGGGTAATTTCTATTTATTTCAAGTTTATAGATTATTTTCTCTGTTATTGTGGTTTCTATTCTTAGAATTTTCATTTGGTTCTTTCTCACAGTTTCCATCTCTCTGCTGAAATTAACCATCTGGTTTTGCATATTGTATTAATTATCTGTTGGTAATAGCAAATTGTCTCCAAAACTGGCTTCAAATAACAAACATTTACCGTTTCTGTAGGTCAGAAATCTGGGCACAACTTAGTTGAGTGTCTCTGGTTTAAGATCTCATGAGGTTGCAATTAGGCTTTTGGCCAGGGTTGCAGTATCATCTGAAAGCTTGCTTGGGGGAAGATCCACTTCTAAACTCTCTTGCTTCCTAGTAGGGTTTTGGACTGAGGGCCTAAATTCCTGGCTGGCTATTGGATAGAGGCTTTCCTCAGTTTCTTGCCAGGTTGACCTCTTCACAGGGTAGCTTATAACATGGCAGATAGTTCATCTCAGAGTGAATGAGAAAGACAGTGAAATAGGACATTCAGAATAGAAGCCATAGTCATTTTACAATCTGATTTAAGAGGAGACATCACATCGCTTCTGCCATGTTTTATTAATTAGAAGCAAGTCACTAAATAACGCCCACACTTAAGGGGAAGAGATTACAAAATGGCATGTATTCCAGAGGCACAAAACATTGTGGGTCATAGTAAAGGCTGTTTACCATAGAAGATTTCTCTCAAGGGTTTTTATTGTCTAAGTCCATTGTGAGGTTCTACAGCTTTACTTATCCTCAGATCAAAGTGGTGAAATGAAGAAAAACAAAACAGGTAATTAAGTTTTGACTTACATTTCCAATTCACCTGCTGTTAATAATGGCCATCTCCATCTACTATTGTCTACGTTTAGGTTTCAGGTGGTTTTTCTATTCCGTCCAAAGTATTTTGTGGTGATATATCATGTAGATAGACTGTAGTGGTCCATCTTGGTCAACATCAGAGGTCCTCAAAGTCTAATCTGATCAATACTTTCCCACTTTCCCAGATAATACAAACCCTTTGAATATCTTCACTCCATTCCCTCTCTCCTACTTGTATGCTGTTATCACACATTTTACTGAACATGTAAAACTTCATAAGATATTATTGTTTTATGTAGTCAATAATTCTCTGTATTTACCTACTTTATTCATTTTCATTTCTTTCTGTATCTCCAGTCTTCCATCTTAGATCATTTTCCTTCTACCAGAAGAATAACTTTGGTTATTTCTTTTAATGTGGATATACTGGTGTTAAATTCTGTAGTTTTTTTAATGTCTGAAAACCAAAGGTCCTCATTTCACCTTCACTCATGAAGGATGTATTCACTAGGCATAGAATTCTAGGTTGGCAGTCATTTTCTGTCTGCAATTTAAATATACCATTCTGTTGTCTTTGGCTTTTCATTGTTTCTAGGGGAAAATTAGCTGTAAGTTCTTTTGTTTCTCCTTTGAGGATAATCTCTCTCTTTTTTCTTTAGCATTTAACTTTTTTTGGTAATATTTGGACTTCAGAAGTTTTACTGTAATGTGCCTAGGTATGGCTTTCTTTGTATTTATCCTCTTTGGCTTTGCATGTCTTCTAGCATCTGTGGCTTTATATCTTTTATCAATTGAGGAAAATCCTCAGCCATAATCTTGTCAAATTTTTTTTTGTTTCATTCTTACTCTCCTTTGGAAAATTAAAATGTCGTATATTAGATCATCACACTGTAGTCTCAATATCTCTTATTTCTTTTCTACTTTATACCTTCTGCCTTTTTTTTTTTTTTTTTTTTTTTTTTTTTTTGAGACAGTCTTGCTCTGTTGCCCAGGCTGGAGTGCAGTGGCACGATCTCGGCTCACTGCAAGCTGCACCTCCTGGGTTTAGGCCATTCTCCTGCCTCAGCCTCCCAAGTAGCTGGGACTACAGGCGCCCGCCACCACGCCCAGCTAATTTTTTGCATTTTTAGTAGAGACGGGGTTTCACTGTGTTAGCCACGATGGTCTCGATCTCCTGACCTCGTGATCCACCCGCCTTGGCCTCCCAAACTGCTGGGATTACAGGCGTGAGCCACTGTGCCCGGCCACCTTCTTCTTTTTATCTCATGCTTCATTCTAGTTATTTTCTTCCTACAGATATTTCAGTTCATTAAATCTCTATTCAGCATTGTTTAATCCACTGTTAAAAATATCCATTGTGTTTGGCCAGGTGCGGTGGTTCACACCTGTAATCCCAGCACTTTGGGAGGCCAAAGCAGGTGGATCACTTGAGCCAGGAGTTTAAGACCAGCCTGGGCAACATGGTGAGACCCTATCTCTACAAAAACATACAAAAAAGAAAATTTGCTGGGTGTGGTGGTGCATGTTTGTAGTCCCAGCTACCTGAAAGGCTGAGGTGGGAGGATTGCTTGAGCCTGGGAGGCCGAGGTTGCAGTGAGCCAAGATCGCACCACGGCACTCCTGCCTGGGTGACAGAGTAAGACACTATCTCAAAAATAAAAAAAGTATATATATATATATATATATATATATATATATATATATATATGTCTATTGTGTTTTAAATTCAGTTATAATTTTTAGTTGTAGACTTTCCATTTTGTTCTTTTTTTTTCTGAATATAAGGCTGGATAACATTTTGTTCTTTAGTGTTGCTAGTTCTCTGTCATATTTCTCAGTCATTCCTTTTATCTCTCTGAACATAGTGAACAGAATTATTTTAAAATGTTGTCTGATAGCCACAGTTTCTGGTTTCTCTGAAGGTCTCCTTTTCATCATTTGTTTTTTCTGCTGGTTTTTATTTTTTTTATTGTATCTCCTATTTGCCCATTGTGCTTTAAATGTAGGCCAGATATGTATATGCAGATTATTTGTAGAATAATTCTTTGCTCAATATGATGTATTTTTCCTTCAGAGAAGAGTTTCATGTTTTCTCACATCCGTGAGCAAATAATATGAGATTTCCTTAAGCCAAATTCAAAGCTGAGCTGCAATCGCTGCAAAAACTTGCCTACTCTTGCACGCACTTATTACTATTGTGGAGTATTGAAACCCCAGCAAAAAGCAAGGGAGCTTTACCAGGGAACCCCCGTTTTTGGTTGAACCTTGTCATTTTCCTGTTCTCTTAGCCTAACAAGACTATCAAAAGAAACTTTCAGTTTCTTGTCCTCTCAGCAGTCCCTTGTAAATGGTGAAATAACCCCCAAAGGAAAAAGAGATCCTATACACTGGGATCATCTCTCTGAACCCTTCCCTTCCTTGGATCCTAGCCTAATAATTATTCATTATGTTAATAGCTCCTTGACACCTTTAAATAGATGCCTTTAAGTAGATGCCTTTCTACCATTATCAGAAGTAGAAATTCCCTGAAACCTTTTCTATTTTCACACATATAGATATAGCTATTCGTAGATAATTATTAGATATATTGACCAGGTGTGGTGGCTCACACTTGTAATCCCCGTGCTTTGGGAGGCTGAGGCAGGTGGATCACCTGAGGCCAGGAGTTCAAGACCAGCCAGGCCAACATGGTGAAACCCCATCTCTACTAAAAATACAAAAATTAGCCAAGTATGGTGGCACATGCCTGTAATCCCAGTTACTCAGGAGGCTGAGGCAGGAGAATTGCTTGAACCTGGGAAGTGGAGGTTGCAGTGAGCTGAGATCATTTCACTGCCCTCTAGCCTGGGCAACAGAGTGAGACCCTGTCTCAAAAAAAAAAAGATGTATATAATATTAGATATCTATATAGCTATATATGTATAAAATGGATAAAAAGGGTTTGGAAAACATCTACTTAAAGGCATCAAGGAGCTATTAACATAGTGAATAGATAGATAGATAGATAGATACTATATAGTATTATCTAGAGTGTATTTTGTTTTTTACATGAATAGTATCATAATATATACTCAGTGAACTTCTGAAAACACAACTTTACCCATCAAACTTACAGTGGTGGATGCTTCTGGTCTTTGACGGGGTTGGTGTTTGAAGTTTTTATACAGGTGAAAAGGGAATTTTGGAGTAAGAACAGAACTTTGGGGAAAAGAACATCATTTTGCCAGACAATTTATTTGGCATTTTCGGATTATTTTTTAACGTGCTATGTTTATAGTAGATGTTTCCCCTACAGCATTTCAAAAGATCCTACTGCTGCTCCATTTTTCCAAATAATTTGTCAATATCATTGCCTAATCAATCCATAAAGTGCCCTCTGTTCACTGGTAGCAGAATCCTTCCCCTTGAATACTAAGTCATTTTTTCCATCCTTTTCTCCCTTTTGCTTCTGTAGGCACACACTATACATTTTTGTGGAACCTGGCGAAACTGAAGTTAGAGTTTGTTTATTTTTTCATGTGAATGAAGATAAAGTCCTTTAAACACCAAGTCCAAATAGCTACAAAGCAATCTTTTTATTTGCTCATTTACTCTTACACAGACTGTTTGGCAGGGCCCTCTTAAAAGTCACTAGACAGGAAAATATGCTGTCTTAAAATATAATGTAATGAAAAACAGTGGGCTTCTAATTATTCTCCCAAGGCTATTCCTACCCTTTGCAATAAATTAAAGCAAGCTTAGCCACTGTTTTATGGATGGCATAAAAGTAAACAGGGGCTAAGATAGCAGATACCAGACCTAGCAATCCAAGATGCAGCTAATTCAAGTCTCCCCAGAGCAGCAACGCCCTTTTGCAGGGTTTAATTAGGCATTAAAGAGCCCAGTTCAATCTCCAGTGGGGTCCTCAGGGCTATATGCCTACAATACCTCCCAGGTGCTCTGGTGGGCTTCTCTGGATTCCAGCCTAGCTTCATCCCTAGGCTATGGCTGCCAACCTCCTCAAAACTTGAATCTTCCTTGAGACTACTTCTCGACTTCTTACTTGGCCATCACATGTTTATTGCACAAAATGAATGAATGAGAGCTAAGCCATTTGCTCTTTATCATAGTAATACCGAGTGGCAAACCCCATGTGTTTCTCTGTTAAGCATTTTGTTACCCACTGTAGGGAACAGAGGAGAAACACAAAATATATTTCTCTCCTTTTCTTTATTACCTATCTGAGACCAAGTCAATTCTAATCAAGTGCCTGGAAAACGGTCATGTGTATAGTTCTATAGATGTGTGTATCTTACATTTTATAGGTGACTCAACCTAATTATTGTTGATTTGTTAACTCAGTAGTGAGTGGTTTTAACCTCCAGTGCATAATATTAAAGGAGGAAAATAGTTTTACACAGTCTGATATATATATTCAGACAATAAACTGAGGTTTGAAATGAATATAAAAATGTTTAAGGTATATAAGTTGGTATGTTGAATAAGAGTGATACATGGATTGTGATCAAGGCAGAAGTTCATTTTTACCTCCCACTGTTTCTTTGAATATTATTATTATTTTATTATTATTTTTTGAGACGGAGTCTTGCTCTCGTTGCCCAGGCTGGAGTGCAGTGCCACGATTTCGGCTCACTGCAAACTCCACCTTCCAGGTTCAAGCAATTCTCCTGCCTCAGCCTTCTGAGTAACTGGGATTACAGGTGCCCACCACCACACCCGGCTAATTTTTGTATTTTTAGTAGAAACGGGGTTTCACCACGTTGGCCAGGCTGGTCTCGAACTCCTGACCTCAGGTGATCCACCCGCTTTGGCCTCCCAAAGTGCTGAGATTACAGGCGTGAGCCACCATGCCTGGCCTGAATATTATTTAATACAGTAATTGTCCCTGTCCCCCAACCTACGGTGGATCCATGGCTTTTCTCCACTTTATTTATTTTTATTTATTTATTTATTTAGAGACAGAGTCTCGCTCTGTCACCCAGGCTGGAGTGCAGTTGCACGATCTTGGCTTACTGCAAGCTCCGCCTCCCAGGTTCATGCCGTTCTCCTGCCTCAGCCTCCTGAGTAGCTGGGACTACAGGCGCCTGCCACCACGCCTGGCTAATTTTTTTGTGTTTTTAGTAGAGACGGGGTTTCACCGTGTTAGCTGGGATGGTCTCGATCTGACCTCGTGATCCACCCGCCTCGGCCTCCCAAAGTGCTGGGATTACAGGCGTGAGCCACTGCGCCCGGCCTTTTTTCCACTTTAGTGGGTAATGGTCTCACTGCCACTTTAAGTTACAAACACAGTTTTGTTTCAGAAATTGGCACTAGACTCTTAATAATCAAAATATGGGCTACGCACAGTTGTTCAAGCTTGTAATCCCAGCACTTTGGCAGGCCAAGGCAGGAGGACTGCTTGAGGCCAGGAGTTTGAGACCAGCCTGGACAACATACTGTATCCCCTTTTCTAAAAAGAAAAAAAAAATTGTTTTAATGAAAAAAAATTAAAACAAAATGCATAACTTTGCTTGGCATGAGTCTTCTCCTCTTCACTGGCTTGGTCTCCCATGTCTCTTGTGGATGCATCTTTGTTTGGGGATCCTGTGCAGCTCTTTTCTCAGCTGTTGGCAGCTGATACAAATTTCTGTCCTCTTCCTGCTAAAGTCTCTTTGCTTCTCCAGATGAACTTGTGTGACAGACCCAAAATAATACTGTGCCAACTCTCTGTCTTGCATGGTCCAGATTTGGTCCCATGCTCTGACCAATTTTGGGAGAGGGAGTGGAAACTTCAGCATGGCCAACAGGAGGCATTCTAAACACGGAAAACAGCTATGCATGAGGAAAGTGGCCTTTCCCACACAGAATAATGGAAATCTCCTTGGAAGTCATCTCTCCACTTGCTGGGCTTTACTAAACAAGAAATGGAGGGCAAAGGAATGATTAACCCAACAATAAGTAGATGATGGTAGAATTCAGTTTTCTGATGGCCCTAGGGTTGGGCCCACATTATTTCTCAAATAAATTTTATTTTATTTTTTAAACTTTTTTCAGATGGAGTCTCACTCTGTCACTCAGGCTGCACTGCAGTGGTGCCATCTTGTCTCACTGCAACCTCCACCTCCTGGGTTCAAGCAATTCTCCTGCCTCAGCCTCCTGAGTAGCTGGGATTTTAGGTGCCCGCCATCACGCCCAGCTAATTTTTGTATTTTTAGAGAGACAGGGTTTCACCATGTTGGCCAAGCTGGTCTTGAACTCCTCCTGACTTCAGGTGATCCACCTGCCTCGACATCCCAAATCCCACCTGCTGGGATTACAGGTGTGAGCCACCGTGCCCAGGCTCAAAGGAAATGTTTAAAAATCTCTGCCTTTGCTAAGCTTCAGTAAAAAGCCAAAATCAGCATATGGGCTCACATGAGTGATTTTAACATGTCACATCATTAGGTTTTTCCTGCTGTCTCACCATGTCCCTTGTATATGATAAGTATTCTTCTGGAAACAAAGATTTGGTGCATAGCCTGACAAGCACATCTATACCAAAGAGTACAATAAGACTGTCCACAGGTTGTGCATCCCACATCCAAAAATCCAAAATTCGAAATGTTCCAAAATTCACAACTTTTTTGAGTGTGGACATGATGCTCAAAGGAAATGCTCATTGGAGCATTTCAGATTTTGGATCTTCAGATTTATGATGCTCAGTTGGTATAATGCGAATATTCCCAAATCTGAAAAGATCTGAACTCTAAAACATCTGGGACTAAGCAGTTTGAATAAGGGATACTCAACCTATATTAACCCGTGGACTATCTGGGGAAGATCTGGGATGAAGAGTTCCCAGAATACTCATCGTGTTCAATGGCTCAGAGTTCCACAGGGAATTCAGTGGAGATGGTCAGTTTACCCTGCTTTCCCAGAGTGAAAAGACATAGTTCAGTGATTATCTTTAAAGAAGTGAAGATCTTAATGTTAGACATGATAGAAGGTTAGAGTATACTTAAACTTCCTGCTGCTGTAAACTAGCCCTGCTCAATTCGCCTGTCCTTTATTGGCACCTATTCTTCCCCCTGTACTGAGCTAGTTGCGGTGAATACAAAATGAAACACAGTCCTTGCCCTCAAGTGGTTTATAGAGAGATACAATGTTGCAATGTGCTGAGGTACCATGCATATAGAAATTATTACAGATAATACTTTTATGTAAAAAAGTTTTTTTTAATTTACAAAGTAATTCCAACTTCAAAAATCCTATATGTCACATGGCATAATCAACTCTGTTGAATGGGTAAAGCAACTGAGGCCTGGAGATGTAAATTGTTGTATTCACATTTCCAAAAGTCAAGTTGCAAAAGCCAGAATTAAACTCAGTTCATCTGACTCTTTTCTAGGGTTGTCCTTCTCAGTGGCATTTGTATTTCAACAAGAAACAAAGAAAGCAGCAGGATTCGAACTAGGGCCAACAGGAGATATTTGGGAGATTGGAGCACTGGAGACTTCCCAGGGTCCTGGGAATGCCAGCACAGAAGCAGCCTGTGGACAACACTCACCTGGAAATGAGACTCATGCTGAGGAGGGATGCTACAGCCCCACTCCTTGCCGCCCTGGATGCCTTCCCGCCAAGTTCAAAGCCTGTCTTCCTTTGGGGCCAGGGCGTCTGAATTGCTTTCTGAGGGCTCATTACTGTTTTTCAGTAGATTAGGTGCAAACACTCTGAGTAAACAAAAGAAAATTTTCTACTATTGGCAGCCCACTGCTAACTGCTACACCCTGGATATTTTTCTTATAGTTAATTTAAAAAAAAAGAAGATAAAGAAAGGAAGGGTAAATTGGAGGTTGTGTGGGGACTTGGCTCTGGCTGCAAATCAACTTCAGACCCCAAGGGAACTTAAAAGAACTACTAGTGGCCACAATGGCTCTTCAGTGCAGCCTGTGTTTACTCAGGAGCAGCCACCACCTCCACAGCCCCGAAGGCAGCCTGCATGAAAATGCCACATTGTGCAGTGATTTTTCAGTTACTTCAGGGGCTTCAGGCTGGTAGCAGATGATTTGTGAGACTGCTATAGATCCATCAGCTTTTGAAATTCTACACAGGCTGGTATATGTTGCTGTTGAGCCTCACTTATTCACCTTTCCATTTGGCAAAGCTTACTCAAATAAACGTTTATTATGTGCTAGGCACTAGAGTAGCCAACAGGAATAGAAAAGCATGAAGGACAGAGTCATTGTCCTAAAAAGAAGATGCTAAGACCCATGTGATCTCTTGGCAAGTTCCTCATTTTAATGACAGACTTGTCAAGATCCTTGCTCTCTCATTGGGGTCGTTTAATGAGTTAACCTGACAGATCAGGTGTATGATTAATTCATCAAACATAGACCGAGGACCTACTGTTAGCCAAGCACTTCTCAAGGCACTAGAGATTCAAAACACAGAAAACATGTGGTCTCTGCCTGCAAGGACATTCAGACTATTGGGAGGGACAGATCTACAGTTCCATTAGGGCCACGGTTACTAAGATAGACAACTGTTGAGGGCAGAGTAGAGGCACAAAGAAGATAGTTATCAGTGGAGTGACTGGGCTTAGTCACAAAAGAAGACTTCCCAGAGATGACGCTAATACTGAATTAAGAAAGATAAACATATTTCCAACTGGGCACAGTGGCTCATGCCTGTAATCCCAGCATGTTGGGAGGCCGAGGTGGGTGGATCATCTGAGGTCAGGAGTTCAAGACCAGCCTGACCAACATGGTGAAACCTCGTCTCTACTAAAAATACAAAAAATGAGCTGGGCATGGTGGCTCACGCCTGTAATCCCAGCTACTGGGGAGGCTGAGTCAGGAAAATCACTTGAACCCAGGAGGCAGAGGTTGCAGTGAGCTGAGATCACACCACTGCACTCCAGCCTGGGCAACAAGAGCAAAACTCCATCTCAAAACAACAACAACAACAACAAAACAAGATAAACATATTTTAATCTTATATAACAAGATGATATGATCATCCTTGTGATCATCTTGTGACAGGAAACCCCTGCTACGTGTTTTAAAAAAAAACTAGTTTAATAATTGTGAGCTAATAGATGTCCTGCTACCTGGTTTTATTTAAGAAGTGGACCCCCACCACTGCCATCGGCGTAACTACCCTGACACTTGAAACACACTCAAGTTTTGTTATTTGCATATTGTCAGATAAGGTCTTCCTGTTTTGCAAGACTGAAATATGGTTAGCTCAATTATCTATTAAGTCCTGCGAAAAGTCCAACGTCTACCCAAAAGTTTCTGAAAATTTTTGAAACACTTGGGTTATCAGAATCACCTATAGTTTCTAATTCCTTACTCTTCTTTTCTGGTTCTTCAGAAAATGGCTGTTCCTTTGTCTCCACCATGATGTTCACCCAAATGTAAAATTCATTTTGGAGTACTTTTTATTTCCATTCAAAAGTGCTTAAGCCAAATTCACTGTAGGCTTTTACCTATGAAACTACCTTTTATCAAAGCTTTTAGAAAAGTGATGAGTTTTGTTACGTGAATGTAAACAATTATTAAAACTGAGTATGAGGCTTCCCTATTCTTAACAGTTCTTTTTGGCCAGTCTGTCATTCTCCTTGGCCATCTTCTTTTGTTCTTCACTCTTCCCCGAGGTCCCCTCTTGTTTGCTCTCTCCCACCCCCAATTTCTTCCCCCTTTTAAGGTCCCTTCCTCCCTTAGCTTCCCATCATTACTATAAATACACCACTCACATCATCCTTGTGATCATCACGTGACAGCAAGTGTCATGTGATGAAAAAACAGACATCAATTATGCCATTGAAGGTAAAAGATGCCCCTTACCTATATATGGACATGCATGGAGAAAAAGGAATCTGGCAGCACTTCCAGCGGGAGGGGGAAGCTCTCCTGGATTTCAAGTCCCGTGAAAGGGCCCACTGCCAACGAAACAGCCTCATCAAAGTAATTTAGGAATGTCCCTTTTGACAGTTTTCTGGTTCTTCTGGTTGTAGAGACTCTGGCTGTGAGCCTGCCTTCTTGCTGGATACAAGTAACTGGTAACAACCCTAGAGAAATCCTAGATGTATTTTGCTGAGAACCCAGACAAGGTGAAAGTCAATATCCCAGGTGTATCATTCCTCGCTAGTCTCAAGCTTCATGTCTGGATCTCCTCTTGAGTCTACATTTTGGAGATGGTGAAGGGAGCATGATTTTTAGCTGTGGGAAGCAGTGTAATGTAATACAAAGCACATGGACTAAGAAGTCAGATTTGCTGATTGTTTTGATTGCCTCACTTCACCCCATCAGTGAGCAAGGGATTCCACCCTAGGGTTATAAGGATGGCTGAACATGTGACACCTGAGATGAGATTGACAACAATTTATTGGGCACGTATGGTCACAGTCTAGGGGAGGAGGACATCACATGCTATGCAGGGCTACACAGAGGTTGCATTTGGGAACAGAGAACAGAGTGAACAAGCGGGGGCTATGGGCCATAGGCTTTGTAATAACAAGAGAGTGGGGTGACTCCTGGTTCCTGAGGGAGGGTGTGATTGGCTTGTTTGAACAATTCCTCAGATTGACAGAGAACTGAAGTCTGCTATTCAGGGTTAGGAGAGATAGGGTTACATAGAGACTGTGCCTGGCCCCTATGATAAGAAGGGTTATTTGGGTAGGGGACCTTATCTTCGGGACTACAATGGGGAGGAAAACTTGAGGTTAGGACATTTGAGATTTTACCGGGTATCATGACTTTGGGGAACCTGTAAGCACTGAGTCTCACATCCTTATTTGTTAAATGGGGATAATAATACAATAATACTACACTCATAGAGTTCTTTTTTTTTTTTTTTGAGACGGAGTCTTGCTCTGTTGTCCAGGCTGCAGTGCAATGGCATGATCTCCACTCACTGCAAGCTCCGCCTCCCAGGTTTGAGCAATTCTCCTGCCTCAGCCTCCCGAGTAGCTAGGATTACAGGTGCCTGCCACCACGCCCAGCTATTTTTTTTTTTTTTTTTTTTTTTTTTTTTTTAGACAGAGTTTCACTTTTGTTGCCCAGGCTGGAGTGCAGTGGCGTGATCTCGGCTTACTGCAACCTCCATCTCCCAGGTTCAAGCGATTCTCCTTCCTCAGCCTCCTGAGTAGCTGGGATTACAGGTACCTGCCACCATACCCAACTAATTTTTTTATTTTTAGTAGCAACGGGTTTTCACTATGTTGGCCACACTGGTCTCGAACTCCTGACCTCAGGTGATCCACCTGCCTCGGCCTCCCAAAGTGGAGGGATTATAGGTGTGAGCCACTGCACCCAGCCTAATTTTTGTATTTTTAGTAGAGACGGGATTTCACCATGTTGGTCAGGCTAGTTTCGAACTGCTGACCTCAGGTGATCCACCCACCTCGGCCTCCAAAAGTGCTGGGATCACAGAGGTCCCAGCACATTTTAAACACAGTGCAGTAATTGGTTAATGAACAGTTCTGTAATTCATTTTCTTAATTGCTTGGGAGACACAATCAAAAAAGAAAGGAGGTGATGTAGTCAAATTTCCTTGTAAACATGTTAATGACAGACCTGGTAAGCAAACTAGTAGTATTTGCCAGCAGGAGAGTGTTTATCCCTGGAATGCTTTCAGAAGGATGTACCTGATTGTCTAGGATTGCTTACGGTAAACAAACCCTCAATCTATGGATTTATGTGGCATGGGCTCTAGGAAAATCATGTAAATTATGTATTCATTTAAGTGTAAAATGGGCATGCATGTCTCATGATTCAGATGGCTCCCTGTGTGTAAGTATCATTATAGCACATATCCCTTAATGACCTGATACATTGATGGGAAGACAATGCAGGATCACCAGGTATAGAAGGAATAGCTATAATATGATAGATAAAATTCTAACTAAAGAAACAGGAAATAAGAGCAGTCTAGAAGAAATCATGCAGGGGCATAAAAAGTTTGAAAGCAATAACCTTACTTTCCTCATGGAGATAAGACACTCTAGTCAAGAATGTAGAACCGGAGGTTGTATCACAAATAGAAATGTTCAGAGTGTAAAAAAATATTTCTTGGAAACTAAAATATTATTTCATATCAGAAATGAAAAACTCAATAGATGAATCAGAAAATAATGTTGAAAAAAGTCTCCTAGAAAGTATAGCAGAAAGACAGAGATGGAAAATTGGGGAGAAAAAAAAGATAATTAGAGAACTATGTCAGGAGGTTCAACATGTTAAAAGTAGGAAATTTTTTAAAATACAAGAGATTGTAGGACCGGCACGGTGGCTCATGTCTGTAATCCCAGCACTTTGGGAGGCCAAGGCAGGCAGATCACCTGAGGTCAGGAGTTTGAGACCAGCCTGGCCAACATGGTGAAACCCCGTCTCTACTAAAAATACAAAAATTAGCTGGACATGGTGGCATGCACCTGTAATCCCAGCTACTTGGGAGGCTGAGGCATGAGAATCATTTGAACTCGGGAGGGGGAGGTTGCAATGAGCCAAGATTGAGCCACTGCACTCTAGCCTGGGTGATGGAGCAAGACTCTGTCTCAATAAATAAACACAAAACAATACAATACAATACAATGCAATACAATACAATACAATACAATACAGGGGAGAGGAAACATCATCAAATATGTAATGTAATACAATTTTCCAAAACTGACGAATATCATAACTTGTTTGAAATGATGAATTATGTGTGCATCATAACTTATTCAACAATTCAAGAAATATCCAGAGGGTTCTTAGTGTGAATATTACTTTTACCATCAAATTTTGTGTTTGTATAATCACTAGAAAAAAAAATGAGGTGAATTTCGAATAGTCTTTAAATAATAGCAGTTGTTTCTTCTTTGACAGAATGAGCTTCAGAAAGATTTATCTTAATTTTGGATATTGGATGAAATAATCGAATCATTACTGAAGTTAACCGATTTCCTGTTTAAAGTGTCGGAAAACACTGTGTAAAACTGGCATCATTTAACTGTTCATGGAACCAACATATGTGCACAAGAAAAAAAATGAATGAAATTAATTTAGAAGAATAGCCATTTGATCTAATTGAAAAGTCATGTTTGATAGAATGATATGTAAATGGATCTTCTGCACTGCACCTATTAAAATATTACCTTCACACAGTGCTCTTAATATAACTGTTGGCCAGGCACAGTGGCTCACGCCCATAATCCCAGCATTTTGGGAGGCTGAGGTGGGAGGATCACTTGAGCCCAGAAGTTCAAGACCAGCCTGGACAAAACAGTAAGACCCTTACTACAAAAAAAAAAAAAAAAAAGCTATGCTACATGTCTGTAGTTCCAGCTACTCGGGAGGCTGAGGTGGGAGGATCACTTGAGCCCAGGAGTTTGAGGCTGCAGTGAGCCATAATTGTGCCTCTGCACCCCAGCCTGGGCAACAGAGTGACACCCTATCTCTAAAAGAAAAATAGCCAACTTTTGAAATGATTGCTGAAGCTCCTTCAGTAGATTCATGTATTCTGATGTTCATGTTGTCCCTCAGTCCCATGATGGATGGTAAATGTTGACAAATATTTTGGGAAATGTGTATGTTCATTATTAATTATCTTAAAAATGGAAATAGAATACTTTTACATTAAATATGTACTTCCATTCTTAAACTTAGTATCATAAGGACGTACTTCAAAATAAATAGGTTACCAAACAATAAAGTAAATAAATAGTTGTAGGTTTACACCATAAGGTAAATGATCATTCTAGGTAGCAAGAGCATTCAAACTACACACTAATGGCTCCAGGGCAGGATTCATTAGTCTCTATTTTCTGCACATATTTTACAGAAACCTAACCTAGAATGTCTCACATTTCCTACTGGCCTACAGCATTTCTAGAGGCTAATGAAAACTGCCTAATGAACTGAGTGGCTGGCAGAGACTTTGAATATTCTTCCACCATGTCCGGAGACCATAAAGAGCGAGCTGTTCCTAGATACTTGTGTCTGAGTGCACTTGATTTATGTAGTTAATCATTCTGCATACTGTCCTTGAAAGAGAGAAATTAGATACATTACACCAGGAACAGATCAGGGAAAATGAGATGTGTCTCTGATTACTGCTCATGTTTAATCATGTTTTCAAGGTACAACTGCACATGTATCTCATGCACTACTAGATGAGAACATGCAGAAGCTAGAAGTGCAAAATTGAGGACTACCATTCTGGTTTAAGCTAATTCTACTGTTAATATATTTTTAAAACAATGAAAAATCTGGGTCAAATATGAAATTGGATGGAATTCTGGGACAACAGCTGTAAACATGATCTATAAACCAGGATATTTGGCTGTTCATTGTTTTGTTTCGGGTTTGCAAAAGCAAAAGCCAGAAGAGTTTGGAAAAGATTCTTTGCTTATCTTCAACTTAATCAATCATTGATTCCAATTGTGACTGTTCTTCCAGATATATTATCATGACTGGAAAAAACCAACACTGTCTCTGGTACTTGTTATGTAGCTATTGACTCCAAAAATGCTTCATTTTATTTATTTATTTATTTATTTATTTATTTATTTATATTTGAGACAGAGTCTCACTCTGTCGCCCAGGCTGAAGTGCCATGGAGCGATCTCGGCTCACTGCAACCTCCACCTCCCAGGTTCAAGAGATTCTTCCATCTCAGCCTTCCGAGTAGCTGCGATTACAGGTGCCTGCCACCACACCCAGCTAATTTTTTGTATTTCTAGTAGAGAAGGGGTTTCACCATGTTGGCCAGGCTGGTCTCAAACTCCTGACCTCAAGTGATCTGCCTGTCATGGCCTCCCAAAGTGTTGGGATTACAGGCATGAGCCACCGTGCCTGGTCTAAATGCTTTATTTTTAATTCAATCAGCAAACAGAAACGGTTGGCTTTCTCCTACCAAGGGTAGCAGCCTGCTTTTACTATCTTATCTCAGGGTTGTATCTAGAAACAAATTGATACCCAGGTACTACTATCACACATAAAAAGATACAATATTTCTGAAGCCATTTACTATGTGGTAACCCATAAGGTTTACAGTTTTGAAAGCAAGAGGGAGCTCTGCACTATCTACGTTGCAGTACAAGCTGCCTTGCTGCTTTGGCCTTATGTTACAAGAGGTACAATACTTTAAGTGACTGTGGCAGATAAAAATGCCTTATGAAGCACTTGTGCAAACCAAAAAAATTGCAGTGAAGACTCCTACAGTTTTCGTGTACAGTCAATTATTCACCATACGATAAGCACTTCCAACCTTGCTACTGGCCCTGGTAGAGATTGACTGCTTGACCACAAGACACCGCATGAGTGTGACGCCTTAGTTGGTCTCGTGAATGAGGTATTTTGAATCACAAAGCAGAATTCTACTATCAAATGAAAATGGTACATACAAGAGTAGGCTCGGAATGAACATGTAAATCACATGAGCAAGAGGCTTAGACTCCTATGGCACTTGCTTCCACTGCTTTACTGCCTTTCCCTCAACCCACACCTATGGCCTCATGGGGAGTTTTACTTAATGGAAGAGAAAAAACTTGAACCTGCTTTATGCTTGGATGTCTATGGGGTAGGACTAGTTAGCCTCACACTGGTATAGCACTAAAAACAACAGTGGCATGAAAAGACAAATATTATGTGATTCCACATATATAAGGTACGTAGAATAGTCAAATTCATAGAGACAGAAAGTGGAACAGTGGTTACTGGCTGCTAGAGGGAGGAGGGAATAGGGAGTTATTGTTTAACGGGTACAGAGTTTCCGTTTGAGATGATGAAAAACTTGGAGGTGGCCGGTGGTGACGGTTTCACAACAATGTAAATGTTCTTAAGGCCACTGATTTGTATACTTAAAATGGTCACAATAATAAATGCTATGTATATTTTATTAGAGTAACATTTTTCTATTGAAAAGTAAAAACTAGCAAAAGAGAATCCTCCCAATGGGTGGAGCTTTGGTTTACATGAAAGGAGAGATGGCTTCATTTATGGATCTTCACTGATTTATGGACAATGCCTAATCATCAGTTAATGACTTGAAAAGTTCAGAACTAGGAGACTGATAGCAAGGATGTCAGTGTGGTTCTCCTGGGATGGGCACAGCGTGTGTGTGTGTGTGTGTGTGTGTGTGTGTGTGTGTGTGTGTGTAGAGAGAGAGAGAGAAAGAGGGAGAGAGAGAGAGAGTGCACCGTGAGTCTTCATATGGCATTATTCCCTAGCCAGCCTCTCCTGTTGACTACGTAGAGAAAGGTTATTTAAATTGGATTTTTTTTTCATAGAGACTGCAGTTATTTGTCCTTATTGGAATAAATTCTTTTATTTTCTTGCTGTATTTGTTGAAATAAATTCTTATCCTAAATCTGACTTTGCCTTCTTTGTCTGGCTTTCTTCTACTAGCACCACTATATGTAGATGTATATAGAATGTCTTCTCACCCATGGCCATAGCAGCACACATTACATCATCTCTAATCAAGAAACTGATTTTGTAGAAATCGGTGGGGCAATAGACTCATTTCATGATATTTACCTAGAAGCATGTGGCTTGACAGAAAGATAAGTCACAGTTAAGGTACTAGCTAGAAGACAGCACCCCGGGAATTTGGGACATTCACTCCGGTTACAATATATGCCTTAAACCAGTAGCCAATATGTGGTGTAATTTCTCTCATAGACATAAGAGACTGGTTTAAGGACCAAGGTCAAAGTGGGACCTCTCTATTACATATAGTAACC
Source organism: Homo sapiens (assembly GCF_000001405.40). Lineage (NCBI taxonomy): Eukaryota > Metazoa > Chordata > Mammalia > Primates > Hominidae > Homo > Homo sapiens. The sequence continues at coordinate 33,223,183 of NC_000003.12, read as the reverse complement.
CATCTAGCAAAGTTTTGCATAATATCCCCACATCCTTTAGATTGGTGAGTTGGGATACAACTCTTAGTAGTGGATGAAAAAAGAAAGAAAAAAAAAGATTGGTGAGTTGGGAGGTTTGGGTGCCCACGACAGAAATGCTTCCTTGTCAATTGGAAGCTGAGACTTTTCTCTTGTAATTTTGTAGTCCTCATGTTGAAGAACCAAGAGGCAGAAAAGAAGGTTAGTTTACTGACTGGGTGATGGATCCTGATTACCTGATTACCAAGGGGAAATTGGATTCCTGCTTCATAATGGGATGACTATGTCTAGACCTCAGAGGACTCCCATATCCAATAATTATGGTCACTGGCAAACTAATAAAGATAAGTCTTTGGCGGGAATGAAATTTTAGGCCCCTGTCATCAGTTAAAAAAAAATTCATGCAGGCCAAAATGCTCAGAGAGTAGAGGGAAACATTGGAATGATTGTCAAATAAGGCCTCATGACCAGTTACAGAAGTGGGGACAGTAGAATCTATATTTTGTGACAACTGTTTACTTCTCCCCTTTTCTGTTTATGTGAAACTGTATTTATGTGAATGTAACCACTGATGGTTAATATCACAGTTTAGCTCCAAGTGGAAATTTGACTGAGTTGACATTATTCCCAGGTCATACAAGAGAGGACTGACAGGATTTTGTGTTTCTCCTGTTTTATTTCTAGTTATTCTTAATCAAATGAAAGAAAAAAGTAGATGAGCTGTGCTGGTTGTTTCCCATTTGCCATTCCAGATCCACTCTTTAACCTTCTTTGTCCAACCCTGCACCCTAACAAGGTGACTTCTAAGGACCACTGCACCTGTGCTTCTTTACCCTTTAGCTTTTAAATGGTTCAGCCAATAGAAGGTATCAAGAGGAATATCAAGGATAGAAGGAGAGAGAGGTCAGGGTCTTTCTTCCTCACTCCCTCCCTACCAGACCAGTGGCAGCATCTTGATTTTTCTACCTATGGGTATCCTTTTTTTCAGGCGGCCTCTTTCATGGCCACAGCTGTTGCTGGTTTGGTAACACCTCAACCTTCCCTCACACCTTCAGGCCTCACCATGGCTACAGCTTCCAGCTGTTGCTAGACCCAGGAGTTTCACCACCCCTTATTGGTTCTCTCGGTCCTGTCCACATCACTGCATGTGGTCCTTTCATCAAACTCTCTTCTATTAAACTTTTTTTTTTTTTTTTTAAAGACAGAGTCTTGCTCTGTCGCCCAGGTTGGAGTGCAGTGGCACAATCTTGGCTCACTGCAATGTCCGCCTCCGAAGGTCAAGCAATTCTCCTGCCTCAGCCTCCCAAGTAACTGCGACTACAGGCACGTGCCACCACGCCTGGCTAATTTTTTGTATTTTTAGTAGAGATGGGGTTTCACTGTGTTAGCCAAGATGGTCTCAATCTCCTGACCTCGTGATCCACCCACTTCCCAAAGTGCTGGGATTAGAGGCGTGAGCCACCGCACTTGGCCTTCTATTAAACCTTCTTTATTTTTTAGTGCAAGGACTGAAATTCTGATTTTTAAAGTATTTGTTACTGAAGTATAAGTATTCAATTAAATACAAAGATTTCAAGTGTACAGTTTAGGGATGTTTGACAAACATATACACTCATGTGACCACCATCCCCATCAGGAATAGAACATTTTCATCACTTCAGATGTTCCCTTGTGTTCCCGTTCTATCAAAGGCAACCACTGTGTTGACTGTTTTCACCACAGATTAGTTTTGTCCTGTCTTGAACTTCATATAAATGGAATTACACAGTATGAATTGTTTTGTGTAAGACTTCTTTCACTCTGTATGCTATCCTTGAGATTCTTTCACGTGTTGAGTAGTTCATTCAGTAGTTCATTCCTGTTGTCGAATAGTATTCTATTGTGTGAATATGACAGTTTGTTTTTCTATTCATCTGTTGATGATATCCGAATTCCTTCTAGTTTTTGATCATTGCAAATAAAGCTGCTATGAACAGTTGTGCACAAATATTTTTGTGAATATAGGTTCTCATTCTTTTGGATATAATCCTAGGAGAGGAATTTCTGGGTCCTAAGGCAGGTATATGTTTAGATGGAACAGCCGGTTTTCTAAAGCAACCATACCAATTACCCTTACAGCATGCCATCTCCTCACATCAGGACAGGCCAAGACAATTGTGAATAAGCATAATCTTGAAAATGTTAGGAGAATTAAGTAGTAATATTCAATTGACTGTTTTTAAAATGTTCCTAGGCAAAGCTCCTGAGTGAGTGAGTTGGTAGCTCTTGGCAGGTACCTTCTGATCCCTCCCCTCCGTTCTCAGCACTAACCAGGCTTTAAAATGACCCCTCCAGTCCAGACATGTGAAGTCTCACTCCTTAGGTTACCAGCTAACTGTTAAAAGGGAAGGAGCTGGCCGGGTGTGGTGGCTCATGCCTGTAATCCCAGCACTTTGGGAGGCCGAGGCCGGCGGATCACGAGGTTAAGAGATCGAGACCATCTGGCCAACATGGTGAAACCCCGTCTCTACTAAAAATACAAAAATTAGCTGGGCGTGGTGGTGCACGCCTGTAGTCCCAACTACTCGGGAGGCTGAGGCAGGAGAATCGCTTGAACCTGGGAGGCTGAGGTTACAGTGAGTCAAGATCGCTCCACGGTACTCCAGCCTGGCAACAGAGCGAGACTCTATCTCAAAAAAAAAAAAAAAAAAAAAAAAAAGGGAAGGAGCTAAGTAAATTCATTTATACTTGTCAGGCCTCACTGCATTTAACACCTCACTGCATTAACAGCTACCACGCCCGGCTAATTTTTGTATTTTTGTAAAGATGGAAATTTCACCATGTTGGCCAGGCTGGTCTCCAACTCCTGATCTCAGGTGATTGGTCGGCCTCCGCCTCCCAAAGTGCTTGGATTACAGGCCTGGGCAACCGTGTCCGGCCAGTATTTGTATTTTGAAAGCAAAGTTTAATTATCCAAAATAATTACTCATTAATAGTAGCCCTTGTAGTTGATGGGAAGTAATAAGGAGAGAAGAAATCTTTTCAGTACATTTCAACAATTAATGCAAGCTGAAAAATGACACCTGTAGTAAATCAGATGTGGATTCAAATCCAAGTTCTTACTGTGAAAAGAAAGTAAATTATTTCAATGTCTGTGTCCTGGTTCATTAAATGAGGATAATCATCTGCCCCTTTAGCACCAATCACTTTTTCAATTGTAAGTATATTTTATTTAAGTGTGAACATTTTTAGGACCGATTGCAGCCACATTCAGGGTCTAGCACAGGGACAGGCATGTATGGGCACTCAATAGATGTTTGTTGACCCATACATCAATATAAAAGGGATTTGCAAATTGTAGAGCACCGCGCATGCCTCAGTTATAACAATACTGATCTTTATTACTCTACCTATGAAGAAAGCAAGTTCTTCTTTCACTGAACAGGGCTGGTGGTAGGGAGACAGGCTAGGGGCGAGCAGGAAGAAGGAATCAAGTCAAACAGGGACCCCTGCAGCAGAATCCATTGGGACACTTTAACTTAGAGTGTAGATTCCCAGACCAGACCGACAGAGTCCGAATCTCAGACCCTTTCGAGGTCAAAAAGCCCTGATTTGGGAGGTGGGTGATAATGGTGACAATCTCACTAGCCCTCTTACTGCTCCTTGAGAAATACTAGCGTACCAGGAAAAGTGGTGAAGGAAGCGTTCCTGAAGATATCCTTTCCTCAGTGACTCTCAAACTTCGCTTTTAGGAAAGAGGAATTTCGCTATTCCATGCGTTTCACACCTTAGAGTGAGGGTGGTAGGTAACTTAGATTTTCCTCTCTTCATTAAAAAAAAAAAAAAAAAAGAGTGTTGGTGGGGAGGGGGAGGAGGCCAGTTGAAAAGTAGAGGCCGAGGACAGAGTTAGACACTCGTTGTCTAACGGCCCTGCCGGAGGGGCTCCGCCTGTCAGACTGCGTCACCCTCTCGCCAAGGGTCCCCCAGACGGGCGGGGGCTCCTTGCGGCCGGCTAGCTACTCTCCCCGCCTCCCTGCGCCCTCGCCCTCCGCCCCGCTGTACCCGCAGAGCGCGCGGCCCAGCGCAGCCCCTTTTGGCACCGAGGTTTCCAGGTGCCCAGCGCGAAGGCGGAGCCGGGTTACAGCCGCCTCCTCGGCGCCACAGAGAAGACCCCCGGGAGTTCGGCGGCCCAGGCGCTCCGGCTCTGCGTCCCGAGCCTCCCCCGGCTCTCCGCGCTCCTCCCTCTCGGCGCGCCCGGCGCGAAGCCTGCGATTCGTGAGCCGAGCGCAGAGCGCAGAGCCGAGTGGCGCACGCTGGGCAGTGGCCTGGGCAACCCCAAACGCAGCCAGAGCCCTCACCCGAGTCCGCTGGCCCGCGCACTCCCGGACCATGACTGCCGAGGGACCCAGCCCGCCTGCCCGTTGGCACAGACGCCTCCCCGGGCTCTGGGCGGCGGCGCTGCTCCTGCTCGGTCTGCCGCGCCTTTCGGTGCGGGCGGATGGTGAGTGTGCGGGAGGCGGCGGGGCGGGGGGTGGAGCGTGGGGTCCGGGCAGGGAGGGCGTAGCTCGCCGGGGCTGCTCCCTCTGACCGGCCCGGCAAGCGGCAAGCGCAAGCCTGAGAGGAACGAACGAGCCGCGGTCCTGCGACCCAGCATCCCTCTCCTGGCCCACCAAGTCTCCGCGTGCCCGTGCGCCCAAACGCCCGCCTGGTGCCTGGACCCTCCCTTAGCGCCGAGCGCGTAGGTCCCGCAGTCCCGCCGCTGGCTTTCCTAAGGTCTCCAAGAAAGCTCGAATGAAATCACCTCTAAGGTGCCCTAGAACCTCCTCTGCTAAGGGGTGATTTTCCGCCGTCCCTCAGTTTCTCAACGTCTATTAATGTGCCCCTGAGGACACCGCCGATGGTTAGAAAACTCCCTCGGATATTTTGGCTTGGTCCGGGAAGACGTGAAAGATGAGTGGGAATCAGCGAGGCTAAGAGAGAGAGAATGGCCTGGCCAGAGGGAAAAGCACGTGCAAAGGCTGTCTCTGAGTGACAGGAAAAACGGGACAAATGATAAAGCAAAGTACCTGGAGGCGAGGGGACGTCTTGAGACATGAGGTAGAGAAGTGGGCAAGGGCCAGATTATGGCAGGTTCTCTGAGAATTGATCCACTTCTTGTTCGTTTGCTTGGTTTTTCAGCCTGAATTTAGCTTGTAATACTTGCCCTAAAATGAGCAGGATTGGAGCTCTGTATCCATTCCCTTTTGAAAAGCTAATTCAGCTGTGTTTTCATATTAGAACAAAATCCCGCTGACTTGGTACAGGAGCATCTGAAGGAAGCAAGCTTAAAGCCAGCAGTTCTCACACCCATGAGGTAGTTCTAGCTTAGGACGAATTAGACTGATAAAAGAGAAAAGCCCTCCGTCAATTTAGGATGCGTTGTATATTTTAAAATGTGATTCTTGTTTAGCCAACGATATTGAGTGAAACTAGAAGACATGGGGAAAAAAAAAAAAAGCATGGTTGTCAGGAAAAGGGGAAAGCCAAGGAAAAAACCGTCTAGGTCGTAGAGTTTTTAGTGCTCTCTGTTTTAAGTGCAGGCTTGAAAAGCTCTCCGTTCCTAATTAAGGATGAATGTCGTATTTCTCCATATCCTCAGAGAGAGTGTTAGAGACAAAACATTTTTAACTTTGAAGGCTGTTAGTAACCACTGCTAATTTTTTTAATTGACATGTATTTCACATAAAATTTGTCATTTTAAAATATACAGTTAAGTGGGTTTTAGTATATTCATTAGGTTGTGAAAACCATGGTTTGCATGCATCTAATTCCAGAACATTTCCATCACTCCTCAAAAGAATCCCATACCTATTAGCAGTTTACTGATAATTCTTCACTGTAGTGTTTTTTGACTGACATTGAGCCATGAAAATTAAGCTGATTTTAAAGAATGCAAGTAGAATAAATTGGAGCTAATATTAATCTTTGAACAAGATATATTGTGCCAACTTTAATTCCTTTTAAATAAATATTTTTGCAATCCATAAGGTTTTAGAGTTTCATCCCATTATAACTGTTTAAGTGGAATGCCATGTGGATAAGGATCAATATTTTGTGCCTGTCTAGCTTGATACGGGTCATAGAAAATTAAAGGCAGAAATGTCACTGGTCAAAGAGAAAGTAAGGACAACACCAGAGCACATGATTCTTTGTTACTGCTTGCCAGAAATGATTCCTTTTCTTCATTCTCCTTCCTTTTCTTTCCCCACTTCCTCAGTGGACAATTATAGGTATACTTCCTTATAGTAAACTCAATTTTATGAGCTCCAACTTTTATACTAGAACCAGGAAGAGTTATAAGCTATATTATCAAAGGATTCTTTTTGGTACTAAATTCTTAGCTGCCACCAGTTCCTACATTTAGTTATTTGTGTGCTATGGTGACGGGAGGAAGAAGAAGAAATGCTCAGCTTAAGTATGATGAATTACAGATGTTTGAAGAGATAGATTTGGAGAGAAACTATTTCTAAAAACGTGTCATCTGTATAAGGATGGTCTTTGAAATCATGTGCGTGGGCAGAATCCTAAGGAAAAATTTTACAGCAAGAAGACCTAGAACTGAGCCTGGAGTGAGGGAAGCTGGTTTGGGATTATTGAATCTATGTTTATGAAACATATTAGCCTGTAATTTTCATTTTTTATAATATCTTTGCCAAGTGTTGATATCAAACGTATGATGGTTCCTAAACCAAATTGTAAAGTTGCTCCTTCTTTAACTCTGAAAGGGTTTCTGCGGGTGAGGGCTTTTGTTTGTTTGTTTTGGTGTGAGATCATCTGTGTCTGAAGGTTTTCTTGTAGGAAGATTTTAAATAATGAATTTAATTTGTTTGGTAGATAAAGAAGTATTCAGATTTTAAAATTAATTTTGTGTCAATGTTGCTAAGTTTTATTTTTTAAAGTTTTTCCCCCACTTCATTTAGATTGTCTAATGTGGCATATACAATGTAATAATCTCTAATTATCATTTCAGGGTCCACGGGATCTGTAGTGATGTTCCCTTTCATTCTTGATATTGGTACTTTGTGTTTTCTCTTTTTTTGTCTTGATCAGTCTTAGTAGGGGTTTATCCGTTTTATTATTCATTTGAAAAAAGCAACTTTTGGCTTTATTTTCTTGATTGTGTGTCTGCTTTCCGTTTTACTGATTTCTGCTCTATCTGTATTATTTCCTCCTTCTACGTTAGAAGATTTGATTTTGTGGGACTTTTGTGTTTGTTTTTTGAGCTAGAAACTTAGATCATTGATTCTCAACCATACTTTTTTGGTATTAATAATGTGAGATCTGAGGCTATAAATTTCTCTTAAACTACTTTAGTTTCTCCATAAGTTTTTGGCCCTTGAGTTGACATGTTTTATTTCAGTTGGGATTTCTTCTTTGAACACAGTTTATTTAGAAGTATATTTTGTAATTTCCATGCACAAGGGGATTTTCCTAGTTATTGCTTTGTTATTGAGAGGCAGTATAACCAAGTGATTAAAATCACTAACGGAGCCATACTGCCTGGTTCTGTATCTCTGCTGTGTGATCTCGGACAAGCATTAATACTAAACCTTAACTATAAAATGAGGATGATAATACCACCTATATCATAGAGTTGTCATAAGAATTAATTTAATGAGTATTTGTAAAGCAATTTGAACAACATCTAGTCCATAGTAAACACTATATAAGTGTTTCATATATAAAATAAGTGATTTTAGCTTTGTTGTAGTCTAAAAGGCATGCTTTGTATGATTTTTGTCTTTTGAGGTTTTTTTAGATTTGCTTTATAGCTCAGTATTTGATCAGTTTTACAAATGTTCTGTGTGTGCCTAAAATGAATGTGTATTCTGTAGTTTGGTATGCAGTAGTGCACATAGGTTCTTACATCAAGAGTGCTAATTTTGTTTTCTGTTTTAACAATTACTGAGAGGGATAGTAGTTTAAAATTTCCTCAAGGATTGTGGATTTTTTTGTTTTTCCTTGTAGTTTTGTTAATACTACCTTTTTGTAGTTAAATGTAGGAGTGCCAGTCACCTATGGAAGTGTTTATTTAAAATTTTTTTTTGTATTTTTATTATAACTTTTGGTTCCAAAGCTGTGGAATTATTATATTTATTATAATAATTTTGCAAGTAGATGACTTGTGTCTTAGTCTTTTGCAAGCAGATGACTTGTGTCTTAGTTGTGTCTTAGTCCAATCACTGATATATTATGAAAAAGTTGGTGACAGATGGAAGTAAAGTGTCTCATTCTAAGTAGGTGTTTTCTCCCCTGCCTTTAGCTTAACTTGATAGGGCCACCCAAGGCATTGCTTCATTCCTCCAGGAGGCTCCTGGGGACCTCAGTGCTCCCTCCGGTACCGTGGTTTCCTTGCTTAAAATTCTCATTTGCCTTCAGCCTGGGCTTTCACCTCTGCTTGAATTCAGGTTCCCATCCCCCCATTAATCACACATTCTTTGAGGCCCACTACATGTCCATATATTAATGTGCTATAGGAAGCCAAGGTGTACCAGACATCATCCCTGTTTTCTTGTGCAGTAGGACAGAAGTACAGCAGACACAAATGAATTTATTGTGAAAGGGGCCTGGTAATATCTTAAGGCAAGGGACAGAGAGAAGGGAAGCAACCTGTTGTATAGGGGGTCATCCTAGGGCTGAGGGAGGCAGAAGAAAGCAGAGCTGAGGCCTAAATCAGTGCCTTAGTCATCAAGTGACCTAACTCAGGGAAGCCTAGGACACTGAGCCTTGACACATGATATTTGTAAAACACCGTTTTAAAAGAAAGATTTGAAGGGCTTTTCCAGATCGACATGCCAGAGCAGATGGTTAATTTTGGGCGGGTGGGGTGGGGAAGAAGAAGAAGATAAGAGAAAAAAAAAAGACGAAAATGCTAGTGTAATTATCATCACCTGGTCCCAGGGATGTGGATGTGGTAGTTGCTGCACTTGGGCCTTCAGGCAAGGACTACAGTTCTAACTGGCGTCTGCCAGAGGATGTTTGCTGAGACTAACTTCCCATGGATCCTGAAATCCACATGTGTTTGTTCTTGTTCCCACACAGGAAAGTTCTTTGTGCTGGAGTCTCAGAATGGCTCTCAGGGCCTACAACTGGAGGCTGCTCGGCTTTCCTGCAAGAGCAGGGGCGCTCACCTGGCATCTGCAGACGAGCTGCGGAGAGTGGTACAGGATTGCTCCTTTGCGGTGTGCACCACTGGCTGGCTAGCAGATGGTACTCTTGGGTAAGTTAGGCGAGCACTCCTTTTCCAACTCACCCCAGTTGCACCACCAAGGCTTATATAGGACTCAGTAATTGTTCTGTTGAGGTACCATACAGGCAGAGTACAGTGGGCAGTAGCGTGTTCATGTTTTGTTTTGTTTTGTTTTGTTTTGTTTGAGATGGAGTCTAGCTCTGTTGCCCAGGTTGGAGTGCAGTGGTGCAATCTAGGCTCACTGCAACCTCCACCTCCCAGGTTCAAGCAATTCTCCTGCCTCAGCCTCCCGAGTAGCTGGGATTACAGGCATGTGCCACCATGCCCAGCTAATTTTTGTATTTTTAGTAGAGATGGGGTTTCACCATATTGGCCAGGCTGATCTCGAACTCCTTACCTCAGGTGATCTACCTGCCTCGGCCTCCCAGAGTGTAAGCCACCACGCCTGGTGTGTGTTCATGTTTGAGTTTACTTACAAAAGCATTTTTCTGGAGTTCTGTCATAGTTCTTTTATCCCCTTACTTTGTTATGTTGAATTTTCTTTTTTTGTTTTAGACATAGGGTCTCACTCTGTCCACCAGGCTGGAGTGCTGTGGCACAATTATAGCTCACTGCAGCCTCAACATCCTGGGCTCTAATGTTTCTCCTGCCTCAGCCTCCTATAGCTAAGACTATAGGCATGTGCCACAACACCTGGCTAATTTTTTTTTTATAGAGGTAAAAAATGCTTGCTATGTTGCCCAGGCTGGTCTCGAACTCTGACCTCAAGCAATCCTCCTGCTTTGGCTTCCCAGAGTGCTGGGATTACAAGCGTGAGCCACCCTGCCTAGCCTTGAATTTTTTTTAAGTAATAAAAAGAATACATGCTTATTGTAAAAATTTCAAATAATGCATATATATATAAAGTACAAAGTTAAGTTTCTCTCTTCTTCTCCACCTCAGAGATAATGACTATTAATTGTTTGGTATACATTCTTTATCCCTTTTTTCTGTGGATACTCATCTGCATGTATATGTATAGGAACGTGGTATGGAGGTTTTAAAATATGGCCACAAATTTTTTCACACCACTGCCATCAATAGGTGTGTTTGCCTCTACTGATAGAATACAGCAAAAGTGAGATTACGTGACTTCTGAAGTTAGGTTGGAAAAATCCATGCCGCATCTGTCTAGATTTCTGGGGACACTCACTTTTGTAGCCTTGAGATGCCATGAGGAGTCTGACTGTGCTGAGATGGGTGTGCTGTGAGGAATGCCAGACCACATGGAGGTATCTCCTTTAGGGGCTCTTGCCAACAGCCCTAACCAATGTCCTAGCCAGTGGCTAGCATTAACTGCCAAAAATGTGAATGAAGATGCCTCTAGGTGATTCTAGCCCCCAGCCATTGAGTTATTGCCAGCCTATGAGTCTTGCCAGCTCAGCCCCTAGACATTATACGCAAGACTAGCCATTCCTGCTGTGGCTATTTGAGTGCCTGACCCGTGGAATCCTTTAGAGAAGTAATTGTTATGGCCAGCTAGGAGAAATCTTTCTAATAGTGCTGAAACCTGCTTTGTTTTAAATTTTTATTAATTTATTAGTTTTTTTTGTAGAAACAAAGTCTTGCCTTATTGCTCAGGCTGGTCTCAAACTCCTGGACTCAGGCAGTCCTCTGGCTTCCACCTCCCAAAGTGCTGGGTTTACAGGTGTGAGCCACCATGCCTGGCCTAATTTTATTTTTTAAATTGACAAATAATAATTGTACATATTCATGGGGTGCGTAGTGATGTTTTGACACACATAATTGAGAGTGATCAGATCAGGGTAATTGGCATATCTGTCATCTCAAATATTTATCATTTATTTTTTGCTGGGAACATTCAATATCCTCCTAGCTATTTGAAATGATATGTTATTGTTAACTATGGCCATCCTACAGTGGTATAGAACACTAGAACTTAGAACACTCACTGGGGAAAGGACAGTATCTTCAATAAATGGTGCTGGGAAAACTGGATATCTGTATGCAGAAGAATAAAACTAGACCCCCACCTCTCACCTCATATAAAAATCAACTCAAAGTAGATTATAGAACTAAATGTAAGACCCAAAACTATAAAACTACTAGAAGAAAACATAGGAAGAATGCTTCAGGATATTGGTCTGGGAAAATATTTTAATAAGATCTCAAAAACACAGGCAACAAAAGCAGAAATAAACACTTCTTTAGTCATGCTCAGAGAAGGCAGGAGCCACTTCACTTTTTCCTTCATGCCACAGGAAATGTGAAAGCAAACAAGGCACCAAGAACTACTTTGGTAGATGATGATCCTAAGATGTCTGGCTGGCGAGTGGCCATAGAAAACATAGCCATGCTGACTCATGTCTCCAAATGTGCCAAGTATGAAGCAGCAACTGAATAAAGGGACAACTGAGGCTACATCCAAAGCCTTTTGGTGAATCTGGAACTGTGGTCCTCTCTGCCTTACATTTTATATCTATGCTCTTGAATAGACAAAATATGCCCTGTGCATGCATTTCCATAATGTAGTCAAGTAGGAATATTTTTTCATAATCCTGTTACTATAAAATTTCATCAGATAACCAGAGTATTCACAGATTCTGAAGAGACCGCTTGCAACTAGGCTTAGGTCTCTCAAGCATTGTATGCCAGGACTGGATGATTAGAAAGGTCCATCTTCTGTAGGTTTACTATAAGGTATTAAGACATATTAGTGGATCTCTGCAGGCTGAAATGATATTACCTTACAAAGAAAACATACAGCTGGGTGCAGTGGCTCATGCCTGTAATCCTAGCATTTTGGGAGGCCACGGCGGGCAGATTAGTTGTGGTCGGGAGTTCAAGACCAGCCTGGCCAATATGGCGAAACCCAGTCTCTACTAAAAAAATAAAAATAAATAAAAAAATACAAAACTTAGCTGGGCATGGTGGTGTGTGCCTGTAGTCCCAGCTACTCAGGAGGCTGAGGCAGGAGAATCGCTTGAACCAGGGAGACAGAGGTTGCAGTGAGCCAAGATGGCACCATTGCACTCCAGCATGAGCAACAGAGCTAGACTCTGTCTCAAAATAAATAATGAAAGAAAGAAAATAAAGAAAATATACTTGTTATATTTACTATACAATGTATTAAAATAGTTTTTCTATCCCTTTTTAATTTATTTTTTAAAACATATTATTCTCTTTTCACCATTCCTATTCAATGTCCTTTCATTTTATTTTTCTAGAAACAAGCATCTGACCATTAGTATGTACATTTCACTGTGGGCCTTTCCTGCCCAGGTCTCCACTCCCTCACCACACACTGAAAAGCAATGATTAAATGTGTGGTGCATCTTGTAATTGATGGCATAGTAGACATCTAGCACATCTGCCCTATATCTCTATGAATTTATGTTGAGTGTACACATAAATCCAGAGAATGATAAAGGCCTAGAATGATGAATTCAGACTTTTGGGCCACTTGTCTCCTGGAAACCTTTGCAGATTCCATAAAGTGTGGCTAAAAAGCTGAATAGCAGTTTTAATAGCCACATGGGACTAGGAGGTTGGAGATTTGAATTCACCTTCTGTGTAGGAGGGGACCCAGTGAGCCGTTTTGCTTTGGGTTGGGACCTTGCAGGGCTATGCCCTAAGGGTAAGCTGGACACAGTACACTGTACAGTGAACTGTTCGCAGGCCCTCCTAGGAGAAGCAGCACATCTTCAAATACTCTATAGCCATGAATTCGGATTGAGATGACCCTGAATTTCCAGTGCTCCAGATGTCTAGGAGAATCAAATAAAAATTATGTTTTGAGGAAGATAGTATCCTAGACCTCAATTAATTTCAACAAACAATTTAGCCAATGTAGGATTTGTCACACAATATAAAATAACTAGTTGCATGAGGAGACAAGGCAAGTAGAATAAAATTCAGAAGAAACAATAGGTAATAGAAACTCCAGACATTAGGATTGGTAGATGCAGACTTTAAAATAACTATCCTTGACATGTTCAAAGATATAAAAGATGAGAAGGAGAATTTTGGCAGAGTGTGGAAACTGTAAAAATAACCAAATGGAAACTCTAGACATGAAAAATTCAGTAACTAAAATTAAGAACTTAATGGATAGACCTAATAGCTGATTAAAAAGAGCCAAAGAGGGCTGGGCATGGTGGTGCATGCCTATAGTCCCAGCTACTTGGGAGGCTGAGGCAGGAGGATCACTTGAGCCAAGGAGTTCAAAGTTTAAATACAGTCTAGACATCATAGTGAGACCTTGTTGCAAAAAGAAAGAAAAGAAAAGAAAAAAAAAGAAAAGAAAGAAAGAAGAGAGAGAAAGAAAAGAAAAGGAAGGAAGGAAGAGAGAAAGAGGAAGGAAGGAAGGAATGAAGGAAAGAAAGAAAGAAAAGGAAAGGAAAGGAGAGAAAGACTTTTAAAAAAAAGAGCCAAAGAGAGGATTAGTGAACTGGAAAATATTTCAGAGGAAGATATCCAGAATAAATAACAGAGGGAAAAAGGATGAAAAATTATACAACAAAGGGTAAAAGACAAAGAAGATGTAATATGATTTGAATTCTAAAAGGAGAAGAGAAAGATAAAAGAAAATAGAATAAAAGTAATATGAAAATGATCCACAATTGAAGAAAAACATCCAGACACAGATTCAAGAATCCCTGCAAAGCTCAAGTAAGACAAATACAAAGAAATTCACAGCTAGGCACATCATGGTAAGACTGGTAAGAATCATATATGAAGAAAAGAATATTTTTATAAATTAAAAATGCTGAGATTGTCTTTAAAGGAGCAACAATAAACTGACAATGAAAGCCCAAAGACTTTTGATATTTTGAAGGTACTGAAAGAAAATTACTGCTAACCTAGAATTTTATCCTCAGTGAAAAATATCTCCCAATAATAAAGGTGAAATAAAGACGTTTTCAGACAGACAAAAGGTGAGAGAATTCATTACATCCAGTCTGCACTTAAACACTAACAAGTGCTCTTCAGGCAGGAGGAAAATATTGCATGAAGAAGACTGGAGAGGCAAAAAAGAATAAATGGAAGGAGTAAATATGTGGACCAATTGAAATTATGTAATTGAAGCAGTAACAGTAACACTGGATACTAAAAAATGATTTATATAAGTGGGAAGTATTTTAAGTGTATTCATATGTAGTGTTTTAAGTATTTCAAGTTGTATTATTAGGGAAGATGATAAAAGTAATAATACATTTCAATAAGTCAAAGAAGTTGTAACTTCTGGGTACCACTGAAGAAAATAGAGAAAGGATATTTAACTTCCAAATCAATACAGAGAAAAAAGAGAATACTGCCCCAAAAAAGAAGAAGAATAATTCAGATAACCCAAAGTGGGAAAAAAGAAAGAAGAGGAAAGGAAGAGAGAATGGGCAGAACTAATAAAAAGCAGATTTAAATTAGATTGATGATTAAATTAAGTATTAGTAGACAGGAGGCTCCAATTAGAAAACAGAGATTGTGAGATGAACTTTTAAAAATTCAAGTATTTGCTGTTTAGAAAAGATATCCTTAAATAAATTATGGGAAAAAAATTATAATGGAAATTATCATATATTTAGAACTAATTAAAAATGTACATACCCAAACTCATGGGGTGCTGCCAAAGCTATACCTAGAAGGAAATCTAAAACATTAAATGTTTGTTAGAAAAGGAAAAAAGTTGAAGTTTCATGAACTAAAGAGCTAAAGAAATTTGAAGAACAGCAAAATAAGAGAAAAAGAAAATAGCAGAATTTTATGAAATAAAAACCAACATAATCTAGAAGAGATCAACAATATATTGCCTTTGAAACTCGAATTGATACCTATAACATCAACTGAAGCATCACCTGTATTTCTGAATTTAGACCTTTTTTTTGCAGAGAATGTGTCCAGATTTATGCTTTCAGACAGAGCTCATGAATCAGAAAAATCTCTGCTGATTCGGAGCTGACAGCAGAAGAGAATTATTCCTTATTATTTTCAACCCAGAGTTTTCCTCATTCAGTGCCTTTTTTGTCTATTTCAGAACAACTGTGTGTAGCAAAGGAAGTGGAGAACAGCAAATCATGAGAGCTGTCGATGTGAGAATTGAGAGCAACCCAGTTCCTGGTGGCACATACAGTGCCCTTTGTATTAAGGATGAAGGTCAGTGCCAGAGTCTTCTTAAAGGTGCTGGAGGGTGTGCTCTTGGGGATTGCTATATGAGGTTGGTTTCTCTAGAAGAAAACCTTGAAGTGAGGATTTACTAGACATGGTTTATCAGGAAGTCTTCCAAAGAAAAGCCAATAGTGCGGTGGGGAAGTGGACAAGATGAGGAAGGGGGTCAAGCATCGGTGCAATATTAAGTGAAATTCACAGTGGTGGTGAGGTGCCGAGTAACTTTGGCTCAATCACTCAGGAAACCCCTGGAGATAGTGTATGTATGTAACCACAGTTTTTCTGATTGGGGTGAGGGAGCTGGAGTAGTTATACCACACCTGTCAGTCATGTGTGAAGGGTTGCTTCAGGAGATATAAATTCCCAGGTTCTTCTGTTTTTTCGTGTGTGCACAGGCAAAAGGTTCCAGTAGCCTGAGTCCACCTTCCAACAAAGAGGCAAAGGTGCCTACCAGGAGTCCGTGTGCATGGGAATGGTAAAGGTGTCTAGAGAATGTGGGCAGAGCCCTGGCAGCATCTGATACAGCTGCTGATGTTCAAAGCTTGCCCTCCAGTCTCTCTTCATATTGGACAGTACACTAAAAAGAAAATAATATTTTTCCCAAAAAGGAAATTTATAAGATTTAGGGAACTGCTCACAGTAAGGAAAATCCAAATTCCTATTGGGAAATCAGCTGAGTGGTGAGGAGAAAATCATAAAGAAGCCTCAAGGGCAGCATTTTGTATGCACCAAATAAGTACACCTCTGTTATCAGAAACACATACGGTTGTAAAAGGAATATTCATGTGAATGGGGAGGGAGAAGCAAGCTTCTTACTAATCAGTCATAGAAACGAGCACAGGTTCTTCTTGGCTGCACACTGGACTCATTGGGGAGGGGTGGGGGGAGTAATTAAAAAATACTGATGCCTCAGTGCCAGCGCTAAAGATTCTGATTTAAATGTTCTGGGTTTTTTAAAACTCCCTTGTGATTTTAATGTACAGCCCAGGTTGAGAACCCTTTCTGTAATGCAGTGTTTCCCAAACTCCCCTGATGATGTGAAATACCAGAAGAACTTGTTGAAAGTACAAACCGTCTGGCTGCATCCCAGAGGCACCAAATCCTTATCTCCAGGAAAGGGATCAGAGGAGTTGGTAAAAGTAAGAGTCATGGTGAACCCTAAGAGCCTTCTGCTCTGGGGTCCCTCTCTAGGAAGGGCTCTGCATCTGCTGCTTTCTATGGAAGGATGTTGGGAGAGTCTCCTGCCATCATTGATCCAGTCAAGCAACTGAGAGATGTGACTTGGTTTTCAAAAAATCCAGGGAGAGCAGTATCTGTGGTTTATTTTTTTTCTTAAAACACATACACACACACACACACACACACACACACACACACACACACTCAAGTAAATTTTTTATTTTTATTTATTTATTTATTTTGAGATGGAGTCTTACTCTTGTCGCCCAGGCTGGAGTGCAGTGGTGTGATCTCGGCTCACTGCAGCCTCCACCTTCTGGGTTCATGCGATTCTCCTGCCTCAGCCTCCTGAGTAGCTAGGATTACAGGCGCCCGCCACCATGCCCGGCTAATTTTTGTATTTTTAATAGAGACGTGGTTTCACCATATTGGCCAGGCTGGTCTTGAACTCCTAACCTCAGGTGATCCACCTGCCTCGGCTTCCCAACATGCTGGGATTACTGCACCTGGCCCATATTAGTAAATTTAAATAATCTTTTAAATTCTAAACATAAACAGAGGGTCATATCCCTGAGGGAGACAGGACAGAGCCAGAAGAAAAACAGGACAACCTTTTTTCGTCAGTAGTATCAAAGAAATAATGTAGGGCTTCTGAGTCTTACTTCTTTCTCCAATAAACAAGATATATCAGTTAGCTTTTGCTAGCTAACATATCACCCCAAAATGTAGTGGCTTAAAACAGCAACTGTTTATTTAGCTTACAATTTTGCAAACCACCAATTTGGTTGCTTTTCTGCCAGACTTGGTGGGACTTATTCATAAGTCTGTGGTCAGCTGCTGTTAGCTAGGTACCCTTGCTTCTAGGAGTTGGCTGGCCGTTGGCTTGGGTGACAAGGGCAACTGAGCCATGTGTTTCTCCTCATCCAACAGGCCAGCCTGGGCTTTCCACCTCACAGACCATCGAGCAAGTTATGTGTATGCAAGTGTGTGCCTCTTTTGCCCACAACTGTAATGCATGGAGCCAAAGGTTGAGAACATCCATTAATGTCCTATAGGACACCAAAGTCAATGTCATGATAGTGACTCCAGATTTGAGTCATGGGCAACTCAATATGTATGATACATTGCACTCAGAGGAACACATTGATTCAGTGATTCATTTTTATGCATATTCCTTCCAAAAATGTGTAACTGAATCTAATCACAAGGAAAAATTAACCAAACTCAAATTGAAGAACATCCTACTCTTTTTAAAAAAATGTCAAGAATAAAAAAGGCTAAGCAACTGTTCTAGATTAAGAAAGACCAAAAAGACTTGTCAATGAAATACAATTCGTGATCCTGGATTGTATCCTGAACTAGGAAAAAATAGCTATAATTGATGAAATTTGAATACAGATTATGAATTAAATAATAGTATTGTATCAACGTTTAAATTTTCTGATTTGGATAACTACTGCAGTTATGTAAGAGAATATCCTTGTTTTTAGAAATGCACACCAAGGTTTTTAGGGACAAAGGGACGTCATATGTACAACTTACTCTCCAATGGTTCAAAAAAGAATTATAGATACACATATATACATATTCATATATATATGTATACACACACACGTGTGTGTGTGTGGTGTGGAGAGAGGAAGAGGTGTGGAGAGAGGAAGAGAGAGAAGAGAATGATAAAGCAAAAAGGGGAAAATGAAAACACATTGGTGAACCTGCATAAAAGGTGGGTTCCTTGCTTTTATAATGTTTATGTAACTTTGAAATTATATAAAATTTTAAAATCTCAAAAAGCTCAGGCTGTAGCCAGATGTAGTGGTGCATGCCTGTAATCCTAGCCACTCAGGAGGCTGAGGCATGAGAATCGCTTTAACCTGGGAGGTAGAGGTTGCAGTGAGCCAAGATCACATCACTGCACTCCATCCTGGGCGACAGAGCAAGACTGTCTCAAAAACAAAACAAAACAAAACAAAACAAAACAAAACAAAATAAAACAGGCCGGGTGTGGTGGCTCAAGCCTGTAATCCCAGCACTTTGGGAGGCCGAGGTGGGTGTATCACGAGGTCAGGAGATCGAGACCATCCTGGCTAACATGGTGAAACCCTGTCTCTACTAAAAATACAAAAAAATTAGCCGGGTGTGGTAGTGGGCACCTGTCGTCCCAGCTGCTCGGGAGGCTGAGGCAGGAGAATGGTGTTAACTTGGGAGGCGGAGCTTGCAGTGAGCCGAGATCGCACCACTGCACTCCACCCTGGGTGACAGAACAAGACTGTCTCAAAAAACAAACAAACAAACAAACAAACAAAAAAGCTCAGGCTGGGCATGGTGGCTTATGCCTGTAGTCCCAACACTTTGGAGGATAACTTGAGCCCAGAAGTTTGAGACCAGCCTGGGCAACATAGCAAGATACATATATATACATATGTAAATATGTATATATGTGTATCTATAATTCTTTTTTGAACCATTGGAGAGTAACTTGTAGATATGATGCCCCTTTGTCCCTAAAAACCATCTCTTCAAAAAATAAAAAAAATTAGCCAGGCATGGTGGCGCACCCTGTATTCCCAGCTACTCTGGAGGCTGAGGTGAGAGAATCTCTAGAATTCAGGAGTTTGAGGCTGCAGTGAGCTATGATCATGCCACTGCACTCCAGCCTGAGCAACAGAGTGGGTCCCTATGTCTCTCTCAAACAACAACAGCAACAACAAATGGTCTACATACTTCTCCAAAAACAGCAAAAACAACAACAGCAGCAGACAGAAATAAACCTAAGAAACAAAATAACACTGAATCATGGGAGCGCCTGTTGGAGGGAGCCAATTGGAATTGGAGGGTGTGGAGACCCGGGCACAACGAGGGCATGCCTCCAGAAAGCTCAGCAGCAAACTGTCCGGATGTGTTCCAGAGGCAGAGTATCTAGGTCGTCTCAGCTTTTGGGCTCCCTGAGCTCATGCCCATGCGTGAGCTGAGTAGAACTGCATGCTTTAGATGAGGCATATGCCAAGGCTCCCGTGACACCTGTTGGCATGTGTGTGAAGACTGGATGCCATTTGAAAAGAGCAGGCATTATATGTGGTTCATCACTGTTACAGTGCTCGAGGGCCCTGCGTCCCAGAGCAGCTCACCCCAGCCTAGCCTGGGCAAGAGCTGCACAGGGCAAAGGCTACAGGGAAGACAGGAGCCTTGGCCCTGCAGGGCCTAATTGGTGAGGAAGCTTCAGGTGAGCCATGAAGAGGATGCAGGAATGCATGCAGAGATGGCATGAGGGCTCCAGGACTGTTCTCCTGGGGCTTAACAGAAAAGCAGGATGGATTCCCACAGTTACTCAGAGAGAGTTCTATCCCTGTCCCTCTGCCTTTTCTCCTTTAGAAAGAGCATGTAAATGGCTCCTGCAAGGCCCTCCGCCCTTCTCAGCAGAGTTGCTGCTTTTCCTCAGTAGAGTCTTTGTTGACAGCACAGTCAACAAGGGAAATCTGTTTGCTTAAGGAAGGTGCAGCGCCTTGGCAGAAGCAGAGGAGAACAGGCTGTGCTGTGAGGTTCCCGCGTGAGTGTAGGTGAGGTCCAGCTCAACAGATGCTTCCGTGCAGTATTCCTCCAAAGCTTGCCTTTTTCCCAGTGATGCTGCATGGTGCTAAGCTGCTTCTCTTTGGCAAGACTGGAAGAATGAAGAGTGCTAATTCCAAAAATGGCAGACCTGTGCCTCATAAAGAGCCCAGAAGGAAAACATAGCCTGTGGAATGTTCAGGCAGCTTCCTCCTGTGTTTCTTTATAAAGTTCATCGTGAATGTAGACTTTTCTCATTTTCCTTTCAGTATTTTTGTTTCACTGACAGTGAATTTCCAGCCCTGTGGTGATCTCACTTAAACTAATAAGTGAAGTTATTTTTAACCAACTGGATTCTGATGAAATAAGCTGCCTCCACTTGGGTCTTCTGGCTTTGCTTCTCTTGGCAGCTTGTCTGTGGGGTCTGCAGCTTGGGGTCTGGAGGCTTTGATTTTCCTCTGACCCTCTGTTGCCCTGAAAGGCTTCACTCAGTGTGTGCTTCTGTTTCTCCCCATCTAAGACAGGTCTGGCCTTGCTTCCCTCTCCCCAGCCCACTTCACCTTCTTAGTACTGCATTCCTCCTCCCTTGCATACTTTATGATTGCCTCTATTGCCCTTAAAAACAGGAGTGAAATTATTCCCTTCCTTCATGTCATCAAAAAGAGAGCTGGATGCTCCCCTGTCTTGGTGAGTGATCAGGAATTTTTGAGAGTAGCTAATTTCCAGGGCTGCCTGGAGAAGGCCTGGTGTCTCAGGAATAACTTTGGGGAAATTTTCCAGCTGTGATACCAGATTGGAACCAATTAATTGCATTGGTTGGTACAGCTGATGGAGAACACTTAGTTCAGGGTCTCCCAGGGAAGTGTGAAAGCCTCTGAGCTCATTACCATGGACCTGCTGTCAGTCATTTATGTGTTCATTTATTTGTCCAGGGTCAGGCAAAGTCCAATGCTCAGACTTGTGGGTGCTTCAGATAGATGATAGATAGATGATAGATAGATAGATAGACAGATAGATAGATAGATAGATAGATAGATAGATAGATAACTTCTCCCCTCTCTCAAGGAGTTAACGGTGTATCACGATAGGTAAGAGATGAATATTTTTCCATGACACAAAGGAGAAAGGTTATTAGAGAGACTTCCTAAGCAGTGGCATTTGAGATGGATAAGTTGAGGGGATAATAGGTGGGGAAGAGAGGATAGGACATGGCGGACAGGAAGAACAGGGGTAGCAAGGGCTAGGAATCTAAAGATACCAATGGCTTTGGGAGAATAGCTGTGGTTGTGCCGTTGTACTAGAGCTCTGGGAGAGTGGGCTGGGTCAGCACATGCTTGGGGGCTTGAGTAGCTGTTGGGTAGGCCTGAGATGGCTGCAGAGGGTAGCCCAAATAATCCCCATCACAGTAAGCAGTGATGCCCCCTCACCTGCCACCCACACACCCAGGCCTAGGTGGGCATCAGGTCTTGTTTTCTCAGACCTGAGGTCTTCTGCTCCAAAAATGTGGGCTAGACCAGTCCTGATACACCAGCAGCCAGCTTCCACGAATGCCAAGTGTCTGGGCAGCCAGAGAAATGTTGCCAATGGGTCTTTTGGCCCCAGAGGCAGATATCTCTGGGATGTCTTTGTGGCCTGGGGCCATGAGCACCAACAACCCAGACAGACTTCTCCACTTCTGTGCTACTCAGAAGAGCTGCGGCTGCACTCTGGACCTGTCCGTGTGGTCAGGGACTTGTGGTTTGGTTTTCTGGCATGTGGTAAATGTGAGGAGGAGTTCAAAGCCCTGCCTTGCAGACATATACATGTGTGCCTAGGGCTGGGTGCACTCAGGGACAACTTTATTCTTAAGCCTCTGCTGATCCAGTGAGGGTCCACATGACCTCTGAGCATGGACTTGGAGATATCTGCCTACATGCTATTCCACAGCAGCCTCTGGACCTGCAAGAGTCACTTAGTAGCAGTCTGTTATTTGCCTTTTTAGAAAGGGCCTTTATGCTGTTCTTTCCAAAACAGGGTTTCTCATTGTTTTCAATAATGATAAGCTGAGAATTTTCCAAATTTTTTAGTTCTGGTTCCTTTTTGCTTAACAATTCCATCTTTAAATCATTTATTTCTTCTCAAATTTTACTGTAAGCAACAATAAAGGAGCCAGGCCAGTCCTTCAAACTTTGGTTAGAGATTTCCTCAACCAAATATTAAATTTCATGGCTTGCAAGTTCTGCCTTCCATAAGACCCTAGGACACAAACACAATTCAGCCAAGTTCTTTGCCATTTTATAACAAGCATTGCTTTTCTGCTGATGTTCACCAACATGTTCTTCATTTCCATCTGAGACCTCATCAAAATGGCCTTTATTGTCCATGTTCCTACCAACATTCTGTCCAGAGTTGTTTAGGTATTGTATGAGAAGATGAAGACTTTCTCTACAGCTCTCGTTTCCTTCTGGGCCCTCACCAGAATTGCCCTCGATGGTCCATTCGTGGCAAGGTAGTCTTTTTCTAGCATGCTTGACATGGCTACCCAGCCTGGTCTCATCTCCTAGACCCAAAACACTAAGGCTGGAGGACTGGAAAATCCACAAGAGATGTGGTGCACTGCAGAGGAAGCACCTAAAACATTCTAGCACCTCAAAACTTTTCTAGCTTCTACCTGTTAATTCCAAAGCTGAATCCATATTTTTAGGTATTTGTTACAGCAAACCCCCCACTTCTTGTTACCAATTTCTGCTTAGGCTGCTATTTAAAAATAACATAAATGGGGTAGCTACAAATGACAGAAATGTATGTCTCACAGTTCTGGAGGCTGGGAAGTCCAAGATAAGGCACTGGCAGGTTCGGTGTCTGTGAGGACCCAGTTCCCAATTCACAGATAACTGTCTTCTTGTGGAGTCTTCACATGGTAGACGGGGTGAGGCAGTTCTGTGAGGTCTCTTTCATAAGGGCACTAGTCCCATTCAATGAAGTTTCTACCCTCATGATCTGTCTTGCTCTGTCTTGTATGGCTATAACAGAATGCCTGAGACTAGGTGATTTATAATAAACAGAAACTTATTGGCTCAAAGTTCTGGAGGTTGATGAGTCCAATATCAAGGTGCCAGCATCTAGCAAGAGCCTTCTTTACATGGCAGAAAGTGAGAGGAACCGAACTCACCCTTTTATAATGGTACCAGTTCCACCTATGAAAGTGGAGCCCTCCTGGCCTAATCACCTATTAAAGGTCCACCTCTTAATACTGTTACAATGGCAATGAAATTTCAACATGAAGTTTGGAGGAGTCAAACATTTGAACCATAGCATGGCCTAATCGCCTCCCAAAAGTCCCACTTCCAAATAGCATCACACTGGGGATTAGGTTTCAACGTATGAATTTTGGGAGGACACAGACATTCAGTCTATAGCAGAGTGACAGCTATGACATGAAAAATCTTCTAAGACATATTATGCAGGTCTCAGAATATGTATAGTATAATCCAATTTATTCTTTAAAAAACTTTTTTTGGTTGGGCGTGGTGGCTCACGCCTGTAATCCCAGCACTTTGGGAGGCCGAGGCGGGCGGATCACGAGGTCAGGAGATCGAGACCGTCCTGGCTAACACGGTGAAACCCTGTCTCTGTTAAAAATACAAAAAGTTAGCCGGGCGTGGTGGCGGGTGCCTGTAGTCCCAGCTACTCAGGAGGCTGAGGCAGGAGAATGGTGTGAACCCGGGAGGCGGAGCCTGCAGTGAGCCGAGATTGTGCCACTGCACTCCAGCCTGGGCAACAGAGCGAGACTCCGTCTCAAAAAAAAAGAAAAAACAACTTATTTTTGTGTATATGTGTAAACGTGTGTGTGTGTGTGTGTGTGTGTGTGTGTGTGAAATTCTCCCCTAGAAAAAAAGACATCTGAAGGAGAAACACCCTAGAAAGGGAGTAGCAGTGAGACTGAAGGGAGATATTTATAGTTCATGCTCTGTATTTTGTATATTTTGATTTTTTTAGTAGTGCGCATGCATTATTGCATTTCTTATGTAGCTTTAAAATATCTCCCTTCTATATGTCTTTTCTCAGCCTATCTTTTATCTTTTACGTGGGTATTCTTGAGGCCAGGGTCTGTGCTTAGAACTGGGCCTTCTTCAATATTTTGGGTGCACCATGTTCACATTCCTGTAGCCCATGTCTGCTGACTTCAGTGTCCCGGGGTGGGTGAAATATGGGTGATTCTTCCTAACTCTCTTTCCCCCAAGTAAAAGCTTTCCTCTGCAGTGTACCACATCTCTTGTGGATTTTCCAGTCCTCTGGCCCTGGTGTTATGGGTCTGGGAGATGAGACCAGACTGCATAGCCATGTCAGACTGCGGGCAGGAAAGAGCTTGGTGTGTTTGAGAAAACAGTGAGCCTAGATGGTTTCAGGTGAGAGGGAGTGATCCAAGATAGGGCTGAACAGATTGGGATAAGAGCTGGATATACAGGGGTGAGAATATTGGATTGAATTTTTAGGTGAAACAGGAAACCATTGTAGGGTTCTCAGCTAGGATGCACTTTTTGAACATTTTCTGAAAATTGTTCTGGCTGCTAGTGGTGCAGTCCAGTAGATCAGGAAGCCCCAAACTTGTCCTTTTTGCAAAGTCCACCAGGCCCCATGTTTATGACAAGAAAGTGAATCAGAGCTAAACCATGGTGTTCTCAAAGGAAACAACACCTGGAACACAATAATAATGCACAATGATTAGAACCATGGGCTCTGTACCCAGAATCCCTGGGTTTGAATCTTGGTTCTACCACCTAACTTGCCTTGGGAATAATATTAGAACCCATGACATAGATTTGTCAAGAGGACTGAGTAGGGTAATACAAGTGAACCACTTAGCCTAGTGCATAGCACAGAGTAACACCTCAATAAGTATGAGCTATGACTATGATTAGTATCTAGCACCACATAACTCTAACAACATAAAGTGATAATAATAGTATGGTTTCTTCACCTTGATGTTACACTGTTTTCAATAAATCAACGCATAATTTCTTTCAAAATAATTCTGCAAAGTTTAATATGCATATATATACATGTATTATATATACAGCTAATATGCGTACAACCAAGTAATTCCATGCCTGGGTATTGATCCAAGAGAAGTGTATGACCACACAAAAATGGGTACACAAATATTCATAGCAATTTTATCATAAAAGCCCAAAACTGGAAGCGACACAGATGTTCATCAACTGATGAATGGATCAAAATATGTGGTATATCCATACCATGGATTAGTATTTGGCAATAAAATGAATGAAATATTAATACATGCAAAAGCATGGATGAATCTCTATATATTAAGCTAAATGAAAAAAAGTCAAACACAAAATATACATACTGTATTACTCCATTTGAATGAAATTCTAGAAAAGGTAAAACTACCAGTGAGCGAAAGTAGCTTAATAGTTGCTTGGGGTAGTATGGAGTAGGGGAGGGTGTCTAGGGCCAAAGGCAAGTAGAATATGGCTTTTAAGAATTGTTCTATACCTTGATTGTTGTGGTGGTGGTGGTGGTTATACAATTGGATACATTTAGCAAAATTGACTAAGCTGTACACTTAAAATTGATGAATTTTATTTATATAAATAATACTTTAAAACACAAAAAAGAACAAGAAAAAAATTATCGAGCAGCTTTACAGTTATATTCTATAACTCCAAAATTGTGTTTTTCCCGAGTGTTCCCACAAACGTTATCTCATTTAATCAGCAAGGCAATACTGTAGGCAGGGTGTTATCATTCTCTCTATTCAGATGAGGAAACTGAAGAACAGAGAGATTTGGTGCTTTGTCTCAAGTGACACAGCTCCTGGGAGGTGCAGATGAGACCTCTCACCCATGCACCTTCCTTTTCCTGTCCCCACCCCTCCCAGTCCTATGCAGCAAGCCCCAAGATCCAGTTAAACCTGGTGCAAACATCTCCACCACTTTTTTTGACCCTGAGGCTGCAGCTCTAACTGTGGGCTTTGCTTCAGATTCTCAACCTCAGAAGGAAAATAGTAATAGCTAACACCTGCTGTAGTACCCTGTGTTCACTCATTTAATCCTCACAACAGCACTGCAGGAATTTACTATTATCCAAATTTTACAGATGAGTAACTAGGCACAACAAAGTTAAGTAATTTGTCCAAAGTAAGTAGGGGAGCAAGGACTCAAACCCAGACTCTACAGGCTTTTTGTTTTCTGAGATGCTCCTTTCTTCTTACTCTTGAATATCTTACCTTCACAGGCACTGCCGTTTGGGTTGGAATGTACGATACTCATGTTAGGGTGCCCTGCCTTCCAGTTTGCTCAGGATAGTTCTTTCTTGTGCTGGTAATTATTAACCAGGATCCCAATCATTTTCAAAAGTGTCCTTATATGGATGATAAACTATACGGTCAGCCTACCCTATTGACTTAGAAGAAAACTTTCCCAGGGAGCCCTGCTTACCAAAAGTAGAGAGTGTGAGAATGGTAGAGTAGTTACATGTGGATCTGTGCTTTCCCCTGCTCTCTACAGAAGTTCTTTTTTGTTAAAACAAAGATATCCTGACAGATCCAGAGACGCAGCTGTTGTCTGTGTTAGGGCAAGGGGAACCTTTGTGTGTGTCAGGGAAAGGGGAACCTTCCAGCAAATCACCACTGCAAATTAAACTGATTATTTGCTGCATTCATGGACCATAGCCCAACCCCAAGAATCCATCAGTAATCCTCTGTGTTCCCAGCTCTGCTAGCTTCTTCTCACCTTGAACCAAGCCTCCATCACTGACCATTATTGCTATGTCAGTAGTGGGCAAATACAGGCTCATATCTGGTTTTATCTTTTTATGAGCATTTTGTTTTTCCCCTTTTCATGGCCCAAGGTGGCATTCAATTCCAATTTAGCCATGGTGTGGTTGGCTTTATTTGGTTTAAGGACAATGGGTATTCAGTTACCATCATGACTTGAAGATCCATTCAGGGCCATTCAAAAGACCATCAGTCTCCAACCATTTATATGGGAAATGGAGCTGGTTTTTATTCAGGACCTTGTTAAGTTTCAGGAATGTGGTAGGCACTGGGAAAGGCATATGTTCGTTTAATTCTAGTAACAATCCTAAGAGATAAATGTCATTAGCTCCATTTTTACAATTAGAATAGATTTTCTATTATAAATATGAATATGTGGTCATTTTAGTGGAAAGTATAAAGAAAATTAAGGTCTCTCATAATCAGTCTTCCCTAATACAAGTATTTTAGCATGAGTCTTTTGTGTTCTCTACATGTTTTATTTAGTTTACTAAATTGGGATTATATGAACAACATATAAGATTGCATTCTGTTTTTTTTTTTTTCATTTATATGGCTATAGATCTATATCTCCCCATGACATTGAATATGCTTCAAAGAATGGCTATAATAATCCATTATATGAATGTACTATAAATTAAACATTCTCCTGTTATTAGACGTTTTGGTAATTCCATGGATTTCACTATAATAAATACCATGATTGAACATCTTCATGCATATATCTCTTTACTTATCTTCAACTACTTCAGGCTCTTTTTGTAGTTTCAATTTATCTAGAACTGTGAGCCAGAAATTGCATTAAGACCTTGTCTATTGTGCACTGCCTCAGACCTTGTCAATTACCTGCACAACAGCCATTCCCACCTCCATCCCCCAGCAGTTTCTCCCCTTCCCAAGAGAGCTGGTTGTTAATTTAATATTTATCAGCACATCACTGATTAATTGGGGACTAAGTAAGCAGAGAAGAATTATAGGACAAGCGAAAAGAGTTCGCATTTCAAAAACGAGGGAATTATTTTAAGGACTCAGAACAAATAAAACCACTTGCAACTGTTTAGAAAGTGATTATTTATTGTTTCGTTTGTTTGTTTTGAGACAGAGTCTCACTCTGTCCCCCAGGCTGGAGTGCAGTGGCACAGTCTCGGGTCACTGCAACCTCTGCCTCCTGGGTTCAAGCGATTCTCCTGCCTCAGCCTCCCGAGTAGCTGGGACTACAGGTGTGCACCACCAGGCCCAGCTAATTTTTGTATTTTTAGTAGAGACGGGGTTTTGCCATGTTGGCCAGGCTGGTCTTGAACTCGTGACCTCAGGTGATCCACCCACCTCGGCCTCCCAAAGTGCTGGGATTACAGGTGTGAGCCACCGTGCCCAGCTGAAAGTGATTATTTATTCTTGCCTCTGAGCTAAACAAAGAAAAAAGAAAAAAGGAAAGTGATTATTTACTAATAATTCATATTTTCATCAAGCTGTTACTCTGTATCCTTTTAGCTACTATTCCATCTCTCTCCTTCCTTTCATAGCCCTCAAAATCATCTGCACTCATGGCCTCCATTATCTTACCTTCCATCATTCATTCTTCCATCTACTGCCTTCTGGTTTCTGCCTTATCAGTTAAGTGGAACTACTGTCACCAAGGCTACTGGTAGTTTCTCTGTGGCTAAATATCATGGCCATTTCTCAGCCTGCCCTTTGCTTGTTGTTTCTGAAGCTTTAAGTACTTGACCACACACTTCCTTGAAACATGTTCTGCCTTGTCTTGCTCCAGGTTTTCTTTGTATATGTCTGGCTACAGTGATGTCCTTTGTGAACTCTTGTTTCTCTGCTCACTTCCTCTGGGCTCTGACCTCTGCCCTCATCTCCCCTTGTAACCAACCAGCCAGTGGGTTCCTCTTGCCTGCTGCTCAGATAGAGCCCATTTATTAAGACAGAGGAATTGCAATAGAGAAAGAGTTTAATACCCGTAGAGCCAGCTAAATGGGAGGCCAGAGTTTTATTATTACTCAAATCAGCCTCTGAAAATTCAGAGGCTAGGGTTTTTAAAAGATAATTTGATGGGTAGGGGGCAAGAGAATGAGAAGTGCGAGTTGATTGGGTCAGGGATGGAATCCTAGGGAGTTGAAGCTGTCCTCTTGCTCTGTCAGTTCCTGGGTTGGTGCCACAAGACCAGATGAGCCAGTTTAGTGGTCCGGATGGCACCAGCTGGTCCATCAGAATACAGAGTCTGAGAAATATCTCAAACACCAATCTTAGGTTTTACAATACTGATATTATTCATAGGAGCGACTGGGGAGGATAGGAACCTTGAGGCCTCTGGCCGCATGTCTTCTGGGCCATAATTTCTAATCTTGTGGCCACTTTGTTAGTTTTGCAAAGGCAGTCTGGTCCCCAGGCAAGTGGTGGGGGGGTTTGTTTCAGGGAGGGGCTATTATCGTTTTTGTTTCAATGTTACACTATAAATTCTTCACAAAGTTAGTTTGGCCCATACCCAGGAATGAACGAGGGCAGTTTGTAGGTTAGAAGCAAGATGGAGTCGGTTAGATCAGATTTCTTTCACTGTCATAATTTTCCTATGGTAGATATTTCTCATTGTCATACTTTTTGCAAAGGTGGTTTCACCCTCATCTCCCCTCACTCACTCAACACTTCAAAGGCTTCAGTTTTCATCTAAATGCCTGGTAATCTCAAATCATTTCTCAAGCCTAATCTCTCCAGACCCCTAAAGCCCTGAATTCCATATATGCAGCTACCTATGGGCATTGCTTGTGGCCCATCAAAATCCACAAGTCCCAAACTTA
Organism: Homo sapiens; assembly: GCF_000001405.40. Classification (NCBI taxonomy): domain Eukaryota; kingdom Metazoa; phylum Chordata; class Mammalia; order Primates; family Hominidae; genus Homo; species Homo sapiens. The sequence goes on along the minus strand of NC_000003.12, from coordinate 33,193,491 downwards.
TACTCATATCCCTCAGCCTCCTATGCCCTGATCCTCATCTCACCCCTAACACCTTGTAGTTAAATGTTCTGTAAAAACTTCCCTTTTCAGTATCTGCCAGATCCACCTAGTTCCTGCCCTCTGCACCTCATTTGGCTCCTGTGCTGCTATCCTGGACAGCTCAAATGGCCTCCTCACTGGTCCTCCAGTCTCCAGGCATGCTTCCTCAATGCATCGTCTACAATGCAAATAGTGTTGTTTCTATACCGCCAAGGGGATCATGTTATTTTCTGTGTTAAACTCCTTAGTGGTTCCTTGTTTTCCTCTGGACGAATTCTAGACTTTTTACCTGGCTTATGAGGCCCTTCATGAACTCATGCCTGCCTCCCTATAGCTTCATCGCTTGCAACTCCCCCATTGCTTGCTTCAGTCTTATCAACTTATTGCTATTATTTCAATAATGTAGGAGGCTCATATGCAAAAAACCGTTGTTTGGCACTGAGACCCAGACAAGTACTTCAGTGCAAAAGACTGGAAACATCAAAATAGACCCAACATACATAAGTGTATAGTAAGAATGGTGAAACTTCAAATTAGTGGGAAAAGGATGGATGGATTATTTGATAGTACTAGGCTAATTGGTTATGAATATGGGAAAATAAGGCAATGAATTATTAGATTATATATATATATTTTTTGACAGAGTCTCACTCTGTCACCCAGGCTGGAGTGCATTGGTGCAATTTTGGCCCACCACAACCTCCACCTTCTAACCTTCTGGGTTCAAGAGATTCTCGTGGCTCAGCCTCCCAAGTAGCTGGGACTACAGGCACGCACCACCACATCTGACTAATTTTTTATATTTTTAGTAGAGATGGGATTTCGCCATGTTGGTCAGGCTGGTCTTGAACTCCTGACCTCAGGTGATCCACCTGCCTTGGCCTCCTAAAGTGCTGGGATTACAGGCATAAACCACCTAGCCTGGATTATTGTATTGATATATGTAGATATCTTATAGATTGAAAGGAAAAGATAAAGACCACAATAGAGAAGTATTTTGAAGCAATACAATTGGTCAATAAATATTCAACTCTCTTGCCAATTAAAGATATGTGCATTAGGCCGGGCGGGGTGGCTCATGCCTGTAATCCCAGCACTTTGGGAGGCCAAGGTGGGCTGATCATTTGAGGTCAGGAGTTCGAAACCAGCCTGACCAACTTGGTGAAACCCCCATCTCTACTAAAAATACAAAAAAAAAAAAAAGAAAAAAAATTAGCTGGATGTGGTGGCGCATGCCTGTAGTCCCAGCTACTTGGAAGGCTGAGGCAGGAGAATCGCTTGAACCTGGGATGTGGAGGTTGCAGTAAGCTGAGATCATGCCACTGTACTCTAGTCCAGGCGACAGAGCAAGGCTCTGTCTCAAAAAAAAAAAATATGCGCATTAATATAAGAAATCACTTTTTCAGCCTGTAAAATTGTCAAAGTTTACAAACAATGATAGCACTCAGTGTTCTGAAGGGAAACAAGCAAATTTATATGCCACTTGTAGGTATATAAATTCTTTTGGGTTTTTAGAGACAGGATCTTAACTCTGTCACCCAGGCTAGAATACAGTGGCTTGATCATAGCTCACTACAGCTCCTGGGCTCAACAGATCCTCCCACCTCAGCTGCCTGAGTAGCTAGTACTACAGGCGCACACCACCATGCCTGGCTATTTCTTATTTTTTAATTGAGATGGGATCTCGCTATATTGCCCAAGCTGCTCTCAAAACTCCTGGCCTGAAGCAATCCTGCTGCCTCAGCCTCCCAAAGTGCTGGGATTACAGGAGTGAGCCACTGCACCCAGCCAGCCTGAGTGTAAATTCTTAAACACTCATATTCAACTTGGCAGAACTTATCAGAAGCTTAAAAACTACATATTCCCTTTCATCCATCGGTTCCACTTTGAGTATTTTATTCTAAGGATATTAGCATGGCTAGTAGTGTAGGGGAAGGAAGACTTTCCTATGCTCTGAGGGCTCAGTAACTGAGTCTATGAACATTGACAACAGACAGATCAACAGGGAAAAAAAGGTATACTAGGCCGGGTGCAGTGGCTCACGCCTGTAATCCCAGCACTTTGGGAGGCCGAGGCGGGTGGATCATGAGGTCAGGAGATCAAGACCATCCTGGCTAACACGGTGAAACCTTGTCTCTACTAAAAAATACAAAAAATTAGCCAGGCGTGGTGGCAGGCACCTGTAGTCCCAGCTACTTGGGAGGCTGAGGCTGGAGAATGGCTTAAACCCAGGAGGTGGAGCTTGTAGTGAGCCGAGATCATGCCACTGCACTCCAGCCTGGGTGACAGAGCAAGACTCCATCTCAAAAAAAAAAAACAAAGTATACTAATTTATTATATGCACAGGGCATCACAGGAAAGAAAAGTAAATACCCAAAACCCAGTAAGATTTAGGAGCTTATATATACTCTATGAAGAGGGTGAAGAGGGTACATAATATGCTCTATGAAGAAGGTATATAAGCTCCTAAATCTTACTGGACTTTGGATATTCACAGTGGAATTTGATGGGCTGGGGTGGGGGAATGTAGACAATTTAGGGGAGATTAAATGATTTTGGAGAGAGATGAATGAGCCCTCAGAAAAGTGGGTGTAACAAAGTCTGTCTAGGTCCTCTGCTGTGATAGGAGTAAATCTTCTCTGCTTAATGAAATTCCTGGGGAGGGGATTCATGACAACTGAGTTCCTTTTGGAGGATCTGTCATCAGGCAGACAAGGGAAGCCCAGAGAAAGCCTCTGCCTGCATCTTCTGTCCCCCAAGTGCCCTCAGTTTGAAGTAATCAGCATGCCAAACAGAGTTGTATATTTTTGGGTGGCATTTCCTGAACTCCCTCAGTATAAAGGTATGTTACAATGTTCATTATTTAGTAAGGAAGAAATAGAAACAAAGTTAATGTCCCACCCTAGGGGGCCCATTATGGTAAATCCATACAAATGGAATAATATATAGTCATTTACAATAAATTTTTAAAATACAAATATTTGTTGATAAGGAGAAAATTTCACAATATAATGTTAAATTAACAAGCTACAAACTAAAATGGTTATATCGTATTATAGCATAGTGCTGTGCATATGTATTTGTGTGTATGTGTGAAAAACTGAAGGAGTAAAAACCACGTTAAAAATATATCCCTGGAACAAAAATGATCTTCGCCAGCATTAAGAAGAAGGCAGAAAGGGCAGACTTGATAGCTTATCTCAAAAAAGCTGCTAACGAGTACTAATTGGCCATTGCTTATTTATTACAAAACAGAAATGTCTTATGACTTTTTTATGTGTACCATAATTTAATGAATCTCATATACCAGAATTTAGATCATGAGTGACTGATGAATATTTTTGTTGGGCAGTCCTGATTTAACTAAGACTGACTGGCTTGTGGTTAAATGAGTACGTTCAGTTTTTTGAATTTGAATAGTAATTCCAATCCAGTAAATGCTGTCACTATTCCCCTTTTAAAGATATGACTGGACTTCACTAGTAGGGTCAACTTTTCGCAAAGATGGTGAATGTCATCTTAAAATCTATTGGAGATTGGTTTTATATATAGATTTATATAACTGGTTATGGGAATATATTTAAATACTGGGGAAATTCCTTCATTGTCTCAGAACCAAGCAAGACTCACTTGTGTTTTGTATTCATCTGCATCTTAAAGGCAAAGGCTGAAGATAAGCTAGCAATGTGTACTTTATATTTTTGGTCTTAACTATGCCAATCTAATTAGAATTCCCTGTATCTAAAATGGTTCTTTTTACTTACTGAAAGGCATTTTAGTGTGATTTATGTGTAATATCAAATACAGAACATTTAACACTTCTCAAAACAAAAACAATGGTTGTCATTGGTGAGGGTAAAGGAAAAATTTGATTTTTTTCCTAAAGCTTTCTTATATAATTGAGATATTTTAAAGCAAATCCAGGACATTATATCATTTCATTCTAGAATTTTTTTTTTTTTTTTTTTTTTTTTGAGAAGGAGAGTCTCGCTCCACCCACCGGGCTGGAGTGCAGTAGCGTGATCTCAGCTCACTGCAACCTCCGCCTCCCGGGTTCAAGCGATTCTCCTGCCTCAGTCCCCGAGTAGCTGGGACTACAGGCGTGCGCCGCCACATCCAGGTAATTTTTGTATTTTTAGTACAGACGGGGTTTCACCATATTGGTCAGGCTGGTCTTGAACTGTTGACCTCGTGATCCACCCACCTCAGCCTCCCAAAGTGCTGGGATTACAGGTGTGAGCCACCACGCCCAGCCGGCTAGAATATTTTTTAAATAAGTTTTTAGGAGGAGAAACTCAAGGAGTACTATCATGTAGATTTCCATGTATTAGTAATTGATTTAGAGTTATTGGTTGATTGACGCAGGGTTTATTTGCATATGAACTTGCCTACATCTTGCAAATACTATATTGCTTCCCTGGTAGAATCCCTACAAGTTGGAAATCACTATCTTAAGGCATGAAGTATCCATTGGGAGAGGTTGTGAATAATTTTCAACCACTTATACCTCATGCTGAATAAATTACAGATTTTTCTAAGGGGAGGTATTTTTTAAATTAACTTAGTTCATTAAGGTATAATTTACATCAGCAAAATGCACAGATCTAAAGTTGACAAGTTTTGACAAATGTATACACCTGTGTAATCAACACCCAGTCATGATATAGAACATTTTCTTCACCCCAGAAAGTTCCCTGGAGTCCTTTTCCAATAATCTTCTGCCCCTCCCTACTCCAGCAGAGCCAGAGGCCCATCTCTATTCCAATTCTTATCACCACATATAGGTTTTGCCTGTTTTTGAGGATAGGTTTTTGATCCACAGCAGCAGTTCTCCAAGGGTGGTCCTTGTACCAGCAGTCTCAACATTACCTAGGAACTTTCAAGAAATACAAATTTTGGGGCCTCAGCTACAGAGTCAGAAACTCAAAAGGAGGGCCAGATGTATTTTTACAAACCTTCCAGGTGATTCTGATGCATGTTCATCTTTGAGAACCACTGATGTAGAGGAGTGTAAGAACTAACTGTTCTTGGGGAGGACAATGCTGGTTGTGTGTTGTGGAGTGAGTGGGAGGGAGCTAGCAGGGGGCCCTAAAGACACATAGCTTGGGTAACACCAAAAGGAAGGAGGAAAGATCAGGCATTTGTTTCAGAATTTTACATTTTTGTCTTGCAAAGTAATAATTGAGTTTTGCAGGCTCTTCTTTAAAATTTCAAAGGTCAAGATGAAAGTCAACAATTTATCAGAATAAAAGCATCAACTTTCATATGAGTTCTAAATTCTTTGTGGAAACACTGGTTATCAGAAGCTTTGATTGGCAGGCAAATGTGCCCTTTTAAATTGAAAAATGAGTGAAATAAATGTGCTTATGAATAAACATTTGGTTGATAGACAGAATCTTTTATAAAATCTTCTTTTCTTGGAAGGAAAAATAATAGATATATCTCTTGATGTTGAAATGGTTGAAACCCAGGTCCTAAATCTGTGTTCACAAACCACAATTTCTATCTACAGAATAATCGAGAAGCAGTATCAAGGACAAAAAACCAAACACTGCATGTTCTCACTCATAGGTGGGAATTGAACAATGAGAACACATGGACACAGGAAGGGGAACATCACACACCGGGGCCTGTTGTGGGGTGGGGGGAGGGGGGAAGGATAGCATTAGGAGATATACCTAACGTTAAATGACGAGTTAATGGGTGCAGCACACCAACATGGCACATGTATACATATGTAACAAACCTGCATGTTGTGCACATGTACCCTAAAACTTAAAGTATAAAAAAAAAAAAAAGACTGTTAGTACACTTACCAAATGTTAAGTTTCCCTAGAGAGGAGAAGAAGGTCCAGGTATATAGCCAGCTGTTTTCCATAGCTCCCTTGTGAGGTTCAAGATGAGAAGATTGGTGAAAGGAACTAATTCAAGTTGCACCTGGATATGAGTGGTGTTTTTGGCACGCACTTGGTTGTGTTAACGCATAGCACTGTTGTACTGGAGCTTCTGAATCACACCAGCTCAGAAGTGTGTTTCCTGTCTTGAATGTTTGCGGGAAATCCAGAAACATATGGTGTATGTACCTAGACTCTCAGCAGCATTATTGCGGTTTTCCTGAGCCAGATTCTAGCCCATATCGTTTTGAAAATTAATTCTGAAGAAGATCTTATGAGTCTGGTGGGATCTGAGTTTAGCCTGAAGTTCCTCCTTCTCTACTTCCAAAACAGTTTCCCTGTGTTCCTTAGATAGATTTATGTGAGACTGAAAGTATTAATCAGTCCTTTCATAGTGTTTGCTGAACAGCCTTCCAGTAGATCCTGGTGGAAGAAAACAGTGGGGCATCCAGCATGAGTCATGGGCAGCTGAGAAAGGTGGAAAGTCCAGGCCTTTTGCCTTTGAGATACCAGCTGGAATTTGGTCCAGCCTGACATAACTGAGGTGGATGACTTTGGTTCATTCTTCACCTACATGATTCTCCCCTACTCACCCTGCGGAGGATGCATCTGAATTTGTGGCAAGGGTTTCAGATAACTGCTTGTCCCGAATTGCCATATAGGTGAAATAAGCACTTGATCTCCTAGGCTCCTTGACTCAGAGAGTCAAGGTAGTTTTGGTCAAAATGTGTCACTCTGTGCTGTCTTCCTGAAGTACAGCCACACACTTCTTCATTCAAAATCTCTCTCATATAAAAGGATATGCATAGCAATGAGCGTCTTTAAGAAAGTGCTGACCGGGCGTGGTGGCTCACACCTGTAATCCCAGGACTTTGGGAGGCCGAGGCGGGCAGGTCACGAGGTCAAGAGATCAAGACCATCCTGGCCAACATGGTGAAACCCTGTCTGTACTAAAAATACAAAAATTAGCTGGGCATGGTGGCACGCGCCTGTAGTCCCAGCTGCTCAGGAGGCTGAGGCAGGAGAATCGCTTGAACCGGGGAGGCGGAGGTTGCAGTGAGCCAAGATCACACCACTGCACTCCATCCAGCCTGGTGACAGAATGAGACTCTGTCTCAAAAAAAAAAAAGAAAGAAAGGAAAGTGCTACCAAACTACAAGCTGCGAGGCCAGTCAGGGTGGCTTAAAGCACAAGTCGTATTTTTTATTATTTTCTATTTTCATCATTTCTCAGTCTATCTTCTTTTTTTTTTCTTTTGAGACACAGTCTTGCTCTGTCACCCAGGCTGGAGTGCAGTGGCGCAATCTCGGCTCACTGCAAGCTCCACCTCCCGGGTTCACGCCATTCTCCTGCCTCAGCCTCCCGAGTAGCTGGGACTACAGGCGCCTGCCACCACGCCCAGCTAATTTTTTGTATTTTAGTAGAGACAGGGTTTCACCGTGTTAGCCAGGATGGTCTCAATCTCCTGACCTCATGATCCGCCCGCCTTGGCCTCCCAAAGTCTATCTTCTTTTAAGCAATATGCTTCTTAGGTAACTTGACTGCCTAAAGACTAAAGGAAAACAACCTGTAAAATTAGAAGAGGAAATTTGAATTTGAATTTTTTTTAATTGTAACATTACTTTGATGCAGCAGTTCCACTTCTAGAGGTCTATCCTAAAGAAATAAGATAGGTACAAAAATGTGCATTTGAGACTGTTCATTGAAGCATTATTTATAATCATGAAAAGTTGGAACCAACATAAATATCTGTCTAATGATTAAATAATGTCTGCTACCAAAGATTGAAGTAGATTATAGTATTAATGTGGAAAGAGCTGTAATATTTAAAGAAAAAAAGAAAAAGACTTCTGGTTTCTGGCCCAGCATGTCAGGAGTTTAGAAGTTACTGCTCCATCATAACAAGTAAAAAGCTGAACAAACTGACACATCCACAGCTCTTCTTAGATCCATCAGCAAAGTGAGGTCACAGGGCAAACTGCTGTCCCTAGAATTGGAGAAACAGGTAAAAACAGATAATCACAAGTTACCTAAGCAGAACAATTGGAAGAAACCAGTGCCAGGGTAGGAAAACGTAGCTGTAATTGATGAATTGCTGGAAGCTCAGGGTGGACAAGTTTGTGAGTTAAAAACTCCAGGGGGACCCAGTCATCAAGGGGCCCCCATGCTTTTGGAAGTTTTACCTCCAGGAGCTCTATCAGGTCCTTACAGAAAATATCAGAGAAAAATCTTTTGCTTCCAGCAAACAGAGAGGAAAAAGAACCATTTTGAAATACCCCAGAATATTCTGTTCTTCTTAACAAGGCCTGTGATCAGGAACAAAATATTTTTTCAGAGCCTGACCTGCTGGAGGGAGGGAAATTCCCAACTCCAGCTCCCTGTAGCCATCCTCTCTCACCTAGATGGGAGGGGAAAAATGAGAAGCACTGATGAAGTTCACAGTCCAGGGGCACATGCTGACAAAAGACTGAGACCTAGTCATGGGACTCTAGAACACTTCCTCTCCCCTCCACAGCTTCCCACCACATTCCCAAAGGCCTGTTTACCACAGTGGCTTTTGCTCAGAACATCATGTCCACTTTTCAACAAAAATTACGAGGCATTCTAAAAGACAAAAGATACAGTTTGAAAAGACTGAAAACAAGCATCAGAGCTAGACTCAGATAGGGCGGGAACATTGAATTTATTAGACCAGGAATTTTAAAATGCTATGATAACTATGCTCAGGGCATTAATGGGAGAATTAGATGACATACAAGAACAGATGGGTAATAGCAACAGAGAGGTGGCAATTCTAAGGAATCAAAAAGAAATGTGAGAGATCAAGAGCACTGTAACAGAAATAGGCTCATCAGTAGACTGGACACAGCTGAGGAGAAAATATCTGCGGTTGAAGATATGGCAATAGAAACTTCCAAAACTGAAAAACAAAGAGAAATAAAAGACAAAAAAAGAGAACAGAATATCCAAGAACTATGGGGTACCACAAAAATTATAACACACACATAATGGAAGTATCAGAAGGAGAAGGAAGAAAGGAACAGAAGCAATATTTGAAATCGTAATGACCAAGAATTTCATCAAATTAATGTCGGACAACCAACCACAGATCTGGGGAGCTCAGAGTACACCAAGTAGGATAAATACCCAAAAAACTACACCCTGGCATATCATTAACAAACTACAAAAAAATTTAAAGATAAATTTAAAATCTTGGAAGAATCTAGAGGAAAAAACCCTACCTTATCTATGGACGAGCAAAAGTAAGAATTATATGCAATTCCTCCTCTGAAACCATGCAAGAAAGAAGACAGTGTAAGGCCGGGTGTGGTGGCTTATGCCTTAAATCCCAGCACTTTGGGAGGCTGAGGCAGGCAGATCACCTAAGGTCAGGAGTTCGAGACCTGCCTGGCCAACATGGTGAAACCCCATCTCTACTAAAAATACAAAAAAAGTAGCCAGGTGTGGTGGTGTGTGCCTGTAGTCCCAGCTACTCAGTAGGCTGAGGCAGGAGAATCGCTTAAACCCAGGAGGTGGAGGTTGCAGTGAACTGAGATCACGCCACTGCACTCCAGCCAAGGAGATAGAGCGAGACTCCATCTCAAAAAAAAAAAAAAAAAAAAAAAAAGAGGGTAATAAAATATTTAAAGTGTTAAGAGGAAAAAAAACCCCATTAACCTAAAATTGTATGCCCTAAGAAATTGTCCTTCAAAAGTGAAAGAGAAATAAAGGCTTTCTCAAACAAACAAAAAATGAGAGAATTTGTGGCCAGTAGACCTGTCTTGCAAGAAGTGTTAAAAGAAGTTCTTTAGGGAGCAGGGAAATGATATAGGTCAGAAACTCAGACCTATGTAAATAAAGGAAGAACATCAGAGAATAAATAAGTGAAGGTGAAGTAAAAACTTACTTTTTTGTATTCTTAGTGATCAGAGAGATAATAGTTTGTACAAAATAATAGCAGCAATTCAATAGTGAACTGAATGACACCAATGATACAGGGGGCAGGAGGAATTAGGCATATTTTGTTATTATAAGGTACTTGCACTACCTGTGAAGTATAGTATAGTGTTATTTGAAAGTGGAGTTGGACTTGTAAATGTGTATTGCAACCACCAGGGCAACAACTAAAAAAGATAAAGAATAAAAATAAAAAAACAAGTATAATTGATACGTTAAGAAAGGAAAGAAAATGGAATTATATAAAATGCTCAATTAAAACCATAAAAGACTTAAAAAACATAGAAGACAAAAATAGAAACAGAAAATACGGTAACAAATAGAAAACAATAACAATTATAGTGGTTATCCAATTATATCAATGATCACTTTAGACATCAATGGTCTAGATACACTAATTAAAAGGCAGGTATTATCAGAGTGTGTTAAAAAACAAGACCTAACTATATGTTGTCTATAAGAAACCCACTGTAAGTATAAAGACACATATAGATAAAAAGTAAAGGGAGCTGGGTGTGGTGGCTCACGCCTGTAATCCCAGCACTTTGGGAGGCCAAGGCGGGTGGATCACGAGGTCAGGAGATCGAGACCATCCTGGCTAACACGGTGAAACCCTGTCTCTACTAAAAAAAAAAAAAATACAAAAAATTAGCCTAGTGTAGTGGCAGGCACCTGTAGTCCCAGCTACTCAGGAGGCTGAGGCAGGAGAATGGCATGAACCTGGGAGGCAGAGCTTGCAGTGAGCCGAGATCACACCACTGCACTCCAGCTTGGGTGACAGAGCAAGACTCCGTCTCAAAAAACAAAAAGGAAAGGGATGGAGAAAGATATACCATGCTAACACTAATCAAAATAAAGTGGGAGTAGCTATACTCATTTTAGATAGAGCAGACTTCAGATCAAGAAAAGTTATCAGGGATAAAGAGAAGAATTACATAATGGTAAAGAGGTCAATATTCTAAGAAGACATAACCATCTTTAATGTATATGTGCCTAACAACAGGATGCCAAAATACATGAGGAAAAACTGATAGAACTGCAAGGATAAATAGATGAATCCACTGTTGTAGTTGGAGATTTAAACACCCCTCTGTCAGAAATGGACAGATCTGGCAGGCAGATCAGCAAGCACATAGTTGAACTTGACAGCCAATTTAGTTAACTAGATATAATTGACATATTTAGACTACTTTATCCAACAACAGCTGATTACACATTCTTCTCAGGCTCACATGGAACATTTGCTAGGATCAACCACATCCTGGGCCGTAAAACACAAATTAACAAATTTTAAAGAATAGGAATATGATGTCTGCTCTCAGACCACAGTGGAATTAAGGTAGAAAACAATAACAGAATGATAGCTGGAAAATCCCAAAGTCCTTGGAGATTAAACAACATACTTTTAAATAATGCATGGGTCAAAGAAGATATCTCAAGAGAATTTTAAAATATTTTTAACCACATGAGAATGAAAATACTTTTCAAAAGTTGTGAGAAGCAGTGCTTAGAGGCAAACTTATAGCAGTGAATACATATATTAGAAAAAAAGAAAGATCTAAAATCAATAATCTTAGCCTCCACTTTAGAAAACTCAAAAAAGAAGAGCAAGTTAAATATAAATTAAACAGAAGAAAAGAAATACAGTATTCATTGACTAACAGCAGGGATACATTTTGAGATATGCATTGTAGATGATTTTGTCATTGTGTGAACATCGTAGAGTGTACTTACACAAACCTAGATGGTATAGCCTACTGGCACCTACACTAATGGTACAGCCTGTTGTTCCTTGGCTACAAACCTGTACAGTGTGTTACTGTACTGAATACTGTAGGCAACTGTAACACAATGGTAGGTATTTGTGTATCTAAACATAGAAAAGGTACAGTAAAAATACAGTATAAAAGGTAAAACAAACAAAAAATGGACCAGGCACAGTAACTCATGCCTGTGATCCCAGCACTTTGGGAAGCTGAGAAGGGAGGATCATTTGAGCCCAAGAGTTTGAGACCAGCCTGGGCAACATATGGAAACCCTGTCTCTCCAAAGGGGGAAAAAAATATCTAGGCAGGGTGGCACGTGCTCTTGGTCTCAGCTACACAGGAGGATTGCTTGAGAGTCCAAGAGGTCAGTGAGCCACGATCATGTCACAGCATTCCAGCCTGGGCAACAGAGTGAGATTTTATCTCAAATCTCCCCACCCCCAAAACAAAAACCAAACAAATGCAAAAAAAAAAAAAAAAAGATGAAAATGATACATCTGTATAGGGCATTTACCATGCATGGCGCTTGCAGCACTGGACGTTGCCATGGTTGAGTCAGTGAATGAATGTTCAGTGAATGTGAAGGCCTAGGACGTTACTGTATACTACTGCAGACTTTATAAACACTGTACACTTAGACTACACTAAATTTATGAAAATATTTTTTCATCAGTAATAAATTAGCTTTAGTTTATTGTAACTTTATAAATTTTTAATTTTTTAAAACTTGTTGACTTTTTCATAATAACAGAGCTTAAAAACACATTGTACAACTGTACAAACATTTTCTTTCTTTATATCCTTATTCTATACTTTTTTTATTTTTTAAATTTATTATTATTATTATTATTTGCTGGGTGTGCTGGCTCATGCCTGCAACCCCAGCACTTTGGAAGGCCTGAGGCAGGAGGATCTCTTGAGGCCAGGAGTTAAAGAACAACCTGGGCAACATAGTAAGACCCTATGTCTACAAAAAAAAAAAAAAATTTTTTTTTTGAGGCAAAGTCTTGCTCCGTCAGTGAGGCTGGAGAGCAGTGGCACAACCTCGACTCATTGCAACCTCTGCCTCCTGGGTTCAAGCTATTCTCCTGCCTCAGCCTCCCGAGTAACTGAGATTACAGGCATGCACCACCACGCCTGGATAATTTTTTTTTGTATTTTTAGTATAAAAAGTAATTTTAGGGTTTCACCATGTTGGCCAGGCTGGTCTTTGACTCCTCACCTTAAGTGATCCATCTGCTTCAGCCTTCCAAAGTGTTGGGATTACAGGCATGAGCCACTGCACCTGGCCAAAAAAAATTTTTTTAATTAGCTGGGCACAGATGCATGTGCCTATAGTCCCAGCTATTCAGGAAACTGGGGCAAGAGGATCACTTGAGCCCAGGAGTTCAAGATTACAGTGAGCCATGATCATGCCACTGCACTCCAACGTGAGTGACAGAGCAAGACCATGTCTCAAAAAAATTTTTTTTTAACTTTTTAAACTTTATTGTTAAAAACTAAGACACAAACATGCACATTAGCCTAGGCTTACACAGGGTTAGGATCACCAATATCACTGTTTGACACCTTCACGTCTTGTCCCAGTAGAAAGTCTTCAGGGGCAGTAAGACACATGGAGCTGTCATCTCCTATTATAACAATGCCTTCTCTGGAATATCTCTTGAAGGACCTGCCTGAGGCTGCTTTAGTTAACTTTTTAAAAATAAGTAGTAGTACACTCTAAAATAATGATTAAAGTATAGTATGGTAAATATATAAACCAGTAACATAGTCATTTAGTATCATTATTGAGTATTTTGTACTGTACATAATTGTATGTGCTATACTTTTATACAGTTGGCAGTGCAACAGGTTTGTTTACACCAGCATCACCACAAACACATAAATAATACATTGCTCTATGATTTTACAATGGCTACATCACTAGGTGATAAAAATTTTTCAGCTCCATTATAATCTTACGAGACTACCATCATATATTCAGTTCCTCCTTGACCAAAATGTTGTTATGTGGCACATGACTGTAATAAAAATTAGAGTAGAAATCAGTAAAATTACAAACATAAAATCAATGGAAAAAAATGTTGGTTTTTTGAAAAGAGCAATAAAATGGATAAGCCTCTAGCCAGACTATGAGAGAAGATGCAAATTACTAATATTGAAAATGAAACCCCAAAGCAAGCCGTAAAACTTGGAAATACTATTATAGCCTTCTCCCACCTTTCTGTGTAGCACCCAGCCTGAAAGAAATAACTTGACCTACCTTGTTTGGTAATAGGTCATAAGACCTATATTCCAGAGAGGTTCTGCCTATATCTAGGAGAAAATAATGCTACACAGAGAGGCCAACAAGAAGCTCAACAAACAAACCTTGCTGGGTTTCCCCCTTTAGTATATTACCATTAGATCATACCCCTTTTGTCCAATCACATTTCTACACAGCTGTCCATTCTTCTTTGAATCTAAACATAAAAATCAACAGTTTTCCCTGGTTCTTCGGGTATTGATTTCTGAAGGCTCATAGGTCACATAAAACTGATTAAACAATTGGTTATGCTTTTAAAAAAAAGAGGGGACATCACTACAGATCCTATGGACATTAAAAGGATAATAAAGGAATATTATGAACAACTCTATGCCTACAAATTTGATAACCTACATTAAATTGTCCCATTGTAGAGAAGAAATGGGCAATCTGAACAGGCCTATAGCTATTAAATAAATAAATAAATTGAATCAATAACTAATTACCTTCCAAAGAAAGCACAAGCCCAGAGCGTTCACTAGTGGATTCTGCCAAACATTTAAGGCAGACATTATGCCAATTCTCTACAACCTTCCAAAGAAAGCACCAAGCCCAGAGGGTTCACTAGTGGATTCTGCCAAACATTTAAGGCAGAAATTATGCCAATCCTCTACAACCTTCCAAAGAAAGCATCAAGCCCAGAGGGTTCACTAGTGGCAGAAATTATGCCAATTTTCTACAATCTTTTCCAGAAGTTAGCAGAAGGAATACTTTCTAAGCCATTCTATGAGGCTAGTATTACCCTAACACCAAAACCAAACAAAGACATTACAAAAAAGACTACAGACCGGGCCAGGCGCGGTGGCTCACGCCTGTAATCCCAGCACTTTGGGAGGCCGAGGCTGGCAGGTCACGAGATTGAGACCATCCTGGCTAACACGGTGAAACCCTGTCTCTACTAAAAATACAAAAAATTAGCCGGGCGTGGTGGTGGGCACCTGTAGTCCCAGCTACTCGGGAGGCTGAGGCAGGAAAATGGCATGATCCCGGGAGGCGGAGCCTGCAGTGAGCCAAAATCACGCCACTGCACTCCAACCTGGGCGACAGCAAGACTCCGTCTCAAAAAAAAACAAAACAACAACAAAAAAAAAACTACAGACCAATGTATCTCATGAACATAGATGCAATTATCTTCAACAAAATATTAGCAAACAAAATTCAACAATGTATACAAAGATTTGTACACCAAAACCAAGTGGGATTTATCCCAGGTGTGCAAGGCTAGTCTTCAAAATTAATATGGTCCATCACATCAAGAGGTTATGGAAGAAAAATCACATAATTATATTGATAGATGCAGAAAAGGCATTTGACAAAATCCAACACCCATTCATGATAAAAACTCCTAACAAACCAGGAATAGAGGGGAACTTCTTCAACTCAATAGAAAACATCTAAAAACAAAAACAAAAACAAAACAAAAAAACCTACAGCTAACATCATGATTAAGGGTAGAAATTTGAAGCTTTCTTACTAAGATCAGAAACAAGGCAAGATGTCTCTTTTCACCACTGCTTTTCAGCATTGTACTGGAAATCCTAGCTAATACAATAAAATAAGAAAAGAAAATATAGATTGCGAAGGAACAACTGAAACTGTCTTTGTCTGCAGATAACATGATTGTCTATGTACAAAATCTGAAAGAATCAACAACAACAAAAAGCTGGAACTAATAAGCAGTTATAGTAACAAACCCGCACGTTCTGCACATGTATCCCAGAACTTAAAGTATAATTTTTTTAAAAAAAGCAATTATAGCAGGATTGCAGGATACAAGGTTAACGTACAAAAGTTAATCACTTTCCTGTGGACCAGCAATTAAATAGTGAAATTTTAAATTAAAAACACATTACCAGTTGTGTGCAGTGGCTCATGCCTATAATCCCAAGACTTTGGAAGGCCGAGGTGGGAGGATCACTTAAACCCAAGAGGTCAAGGCTGCAGAGAGCCATGATCCCACCACTGCACTCCAGCCTGGGCGACAGAGTGAGACCCTATCTCAAAAAAACAAAAAAGCCAAAAAACACCATGTTACCATTTATATTAGCACCCCAAGGAAAAATGAAATTCTTAGGTATAAATCTAACAAATTACGTACAAGATCTGTAGATCTAGATGAAGAATACTGTAAAACTCTGATGAAATATATCAAAGAAGAACTAAATAAATGGAGAAATAGTCTATGTTCATGGATTGTGAAGATGTCAGTTTTTCCCAACTTGATCTATAGATTGAACACATCCCAATAAAAAATTCAGCAAGTTACTTTTACGGATATTAACCCATTTATGCCTCGTGTTCCATTGTTGGAATGCTAAGCTTGTGGGAGTTATTTATATCCTACTTCTCAAGGTCATCACCAAGGTCTGATTTTTGACACAAAAAAATTTGCAACCTCTGGCATAAATGGGTTAACAAACAAAGTCTGTAGTTTATATGGAGAGGTAATAGACCCAGAGTAACCAACTAAATATTGAAGGAGAAAAACAAAGTCAAAGGGCTGAACCTGTTGGACCTGAAGACATCTATAAAGCTACAGCAATCAAGATAGTGTGATATTGGTGAAAGAGCTGACAAATATCAATGGATCAGAGTAGAGAGCCCAGAAATAGACCCACATAAATATAGTTGATTCATCTTTGACTAAGGAGAAAAGGCAATACAATGAAGCAAAGATAGTCTCTTTTACATAACTGCTGGAACAATTGGACATCCACATGCAAAAACGATTACCTAGACGCAGACCTTACACCCTTCACAAAAATTAACTCGAGATGGACCATAGACCTAAATGTAAAACCCAAAACTGTAAGACTGCTAGAAGTTATCATAGGAGAAAACCTAAATGACCTTGGGTATGGCAATGACTTCTTAGACTAAAGGCATGATGCATGAAAGAAATAATTGATAAGCTGGGATTCATTAAAATTTAAAACTTCTGTTCTGCAAAAGACAATGTCTAGAGAATAAGATGGGTCACAGACTTGGGAAAATATTTGCAATCCAGAACACAAACCAACAAATGCTAGCAAGGATGTGGAGCAACAGGAACACTCATTCATTGCTGGTGGGAATGCAAAATGGTACAGCCATTTTGGAAGACAGTTTGGCAGTTCTTACAAAACTAAACATACTCTTCCCATACAATCCAGCAGTCACGCTCTTTGGTATTTACCCAAGTGAACCAGAAACTAATGTTCACACAAAAACCTGTAAATGGATGTGTATAGCAGCTTTATTCATTGTTGCCAAAACTCGGAAGCAACCAAGATGTACTTCAGTAGGTGAATAGATAAATAAACTGTGATACATCCAGACAATGGAATAATATTCAGTGCTAAAAAGAAATGAGCTCTCAAGCCATAAGAAGACATGGAGGAGCTTTAATTGCATGTTACTAAGTGAAAGAAGCCAATCTGAAAAGGCTACGTATTATGATTCCAACTATGTGAATTCTGGAAAAGGCAAACTATGGAGACAGTAAAAGGATCAGCTGTTGCAATCTTTAGGGAGAAGGAAGGTATAAATAAGCAGAGCACAGAGGACTTTGGGGCAGTGAAACTATTCTGTATGATACAATAATGGTAGATATGTGTCACTGTGCATTTGTCAAAGCCCATAGAATGTGCAACACTGAGTAAATTATGGTAACCTTGAGGTAAGTTATGGACTTTGGGTGATAATGAGGTATCAGTGGAGTTTCATCAGTTTTCACAAATGGACCACTCTGGTGCAGAATGCTAATAGTGGGAGAAGCTGTGTGCGTGGAAGGGTCGGGGGTATAGGGGAACTCTCTGTACTTTCTGCTCAACTTTGATGTGAACCTAAAAAATAATCAATTTTTTAAAAGCAGGGTACTCAATAATACATACGATATAAATCCCATTTATGTAAAAAAAAGAAATATGTATGTATTTGTATATATGTGTGTATATATATGTGTGTGTGTGTATATATATATATAGTGTGTGTGTGTGTGTAATTTTTGTGTATACCAAACTGATAACGGTGTTGCTGTTGGTGTTGAGGTTGTGGGCGGGGAAGGGGGGAAAGATACCCTCTGCTGTACTCTGTAGTCTGTAACATTTAGCCTTTGTCAGAGTTCCTATTCACTTATAAAATACGGCAAAAAGGAGCTTGCTGCTAGGTATGTATCTCCAGACCCTCCTTTCAAGGAAACATTAGAAGGTAACATTGTTTGGCAACTTTAAAATGCAAAGTTGCAGCACTTTATGTGGCGTTTATTCACGCAACAAGTATTTTTGAGTGCCTCTTCTATTCCAGGTATTCTGCCAGGCCTTGGAGTTGCCAGGGTGACCAAGAAACAGCCCCTGTGATCACAGTTGAGGGTACGGTGGGCGGCAGGGGAGAGTTGTGTTTTAAGTCTGTTTTCTCATAGGCTGAAAAAGTTCCGCACAGTTTGGAAAAGCTAACTGTGATTCCTTCTCCTCAGAGAAGCCGTGTGGAGACCCGCCTTCGTTCCCACACACCATCCTGCAGGGCCGCACCGGCTTGGAAATGGGGGATGAACTGCTGTACGTGTGTGCCCCAGGCCACATCATGGGCCACCGGGAGACCGCCTTCACCTTGCTATGTAACAGCTGTGGGGAGTGGTACGGCCTGGTGCAGGCCTGTGGGAAAGGTAAGCAGCCCAGGGATGGGCCACCTTCGCGTGCCCACGCAGTGCTGGCTGAGGGCTCCACTGCTGCTGGCTGCATGCGGTGGGCTCTTCTCCACCAAGGTGCCTTTGAAAAGAGGCTTTCAGACCTTTATCCTGAGCTCTGGACCTAGCAACATCTCCACTTGGGGATTCCTGTAGCATTTCAAATGCACAACTGAGCTCTTCATCTTCCATGCTGGGAGTAAAGGGTTAACAAGTTAAAATCCCCACTTCTCTAAGTACACAGTTGACCTTGAGTTAACTTTCTAGTTTATTTCCCTGGAAACCTGGTCAAGTCGGAACATCAGCTGTGGTACAAAGCAGCATTGCTTCTGGTGAAAATGACCCCCAATTGGTAAACTGGGCTGGGAAGACTATAATGAATATGTGTTAGGAAGCCCAGCTCTGGGCTGCCCTGAGGGTGGTGATTCTTGTATCTGAGCATGACCTTTGTGAGGACCCTGAGAACTATTCTGTGGGTTGTTGCAAGACATTCAGACTCTTATGGGGCATGGGGCTTCCAAGCACTATTGATCCACACCACACATATGAGTTCTGATCCACCTGAGCAATCTTGGGAGGAAAGCAGGGGTGGTGAGGGGTGGAGCGAGGAGACGAACTCCAGGACGGCTGTATGGAACTGCTGCAAGGGCTATTCCCACGGATGAGACTTGCTTGCTGCTTCCCAGTGGCCTTGCTCTGCTCCCTGGCCTGGAGCCTTCTGAATGCCAGGAGTGACCTGTGGAGTCTGAATAGTTAGTTGAAACTAAAAAGAGTCCTAGTGGACACTGAGTTCCCCAAACCTGATCTGATTTCCCCAGATGTCCCCATTCCATCAACATCACATTTCTAGGAGTCCCAGGTTACTGCAGCCTCCTTAACCCCTGCTGCCCAGCCCCTTGGGAATTTCTCCAGCAGCAGAAATCGCTGTGTCCAGCCACAGCCAGGCCTGGCCTCCCCACCCCAACAGGGACGCAGCAGCCAGCAGGCGATTGGGGCAGCCCCATGGCTGACCTGGCTTGTGACTCCTATACCTCGGACCTCATGCTAGACCCTGAATTGTTCCCTTATCTCACAGTGCTCCTCTCACTCCAAGACTTTTTCAAGAACCCCCTCCCTGACCTCCCATGACATCTAGGTACCAAGCAGAGTTTGGTTCTATAGAGGGAAATAACTCCAGCACCATGATGTTACTGAACTTATAGGACAGTTTGTCCCTGGAATGTCCTGCAGATCCCATGAGAGAACTCAGATGAGACCTAGGGTGCTGTCACACCTGTGAGATTCATTCACGTTGTTGCCTGAAGCTGTGGTTTCACTGCTACTATAGTCTTCACTGCTATTTACTATCCACAGTGTGAATACACCACTATTTATTTATCCAATCAGCTGTTGGTGGACATTTTGCTTATTTTCATTTTGTGGCTGTCACAAACTATGCTGCTATAATTGTCCTTAGCCTCCTTTGGTTCCCATGTGAACACATTTCAGTTGGTTCCTAGCAGTAGAATTGCTGCCCATGGAGTATGTGTGTGTTCAGCTGCAGCTGATGCTGCCAAAGTGTTCTCTAAAGTATTTGCCCAGTCTGCTCTCCCATCAGCTGTGTCTGAGAGTCCTTGTCGTTCAGCACCTCATCAGCTTTAGGACTGCCAGTCTGGTGACAGCTCTGTGGTGATTTGTAGTCGTAATATTCATTTCTCTGATAATAGTGAGGTCAAGCACTTATCACATGTTAATAGGGCATTAGAATTTCTTTGTGTAAAATGTCCAGGTACTTTTCCCATTTTTCTAATTGATTTGAATTTGATCATTTACATATTATAGAATTTTTACATGAAATATTCATAATTAATGTGTTGCAAGTATTTTCTCTCATTCTGTGGCTTATCTTTTCAAACTCACAGTGTCTTTTAATGAGTTGGTTTTGTAGTTTTCTATTTCACTACTTTTCAAATTCTTTGTGAACTCTTACACATTTTTTGTAGTCATTAGCTGATTAATACTTCGTAAAATGCAATAAAAATGAATTAATATAAAATAAAATAGATTCTAAATATAAGCACAATCTGTGTTAAATTAAGTAGACATAAAATTCCCCTGTCAAATTGTTGCAAAAGTTTCTAAAAACTTTCTGGGTGTTTCTACTTGCCTTGTTGCATACCTAATAACAAGTTACAGACTGGGACAAGTGCTGAAAGCACAGTTTGAGCAATGTTCTAGAACTTTCCTCATCTTTCTTCTGTTCCTGTTGCTTTGTGCCAGGCGGGAGCTACTTGCCAATTCTGATCATTCACCTGCCCAAGAAAATCAAGCATAAGCACCAAGCTTCCTGTTGGTCCAATATGTCGCCTTGAAGCAGGCCCATACCCACCCTGAGTTGTTAATGTTCCAGTGAGGTGCTGAAGTTGCACCATCTCATGAGCCACACCCACAGCCAAATGGGTTGTTTGCTAGCCCTAGTTGAATGAGCACTAAATGCAGGTTTTGCGGGTCCAAAATGATCTTTATGTTCCCACTGCAATGCAGTTGTTAAAGCTTTAAGCTGCTGGGCAGGAATTCTGGTTTATATGCTTGGGCTGGATATACAGATTGTTAACAGTGTCTGAGAGTTTAACATTTAAGCTATCTGTGTCCTTGTAAGAA
Organism: Homo sapiens; assembly: GCF_000001405.40. NCBI lineage: Eukaryota > Metazoa > Chordata > Mammalia > Primates > Hominidae > Homo > Homo sapiens. The sequence continues at coordinate 33,172,224 of NC_000003.12, read as the reverse complement.
GAGTGTGTGTGTGTGTGTGTGTGTGTGTGTGTGTGTGTGTGTGTTTTACAAGAGTATCTTCACCAGATGAATTGCTTCAAATTGGAGAAAAGTCAACTTGGGGGAGTGGGTCAAACAAGGATTTTGGAATTGGATCCATCTGGGTTTGGATAATCACTCTTCGTTGTACTGGCTGATTGGACATTGATCCATTCATTCATTCCACATCCCATCATTTGGCAGGATCCTAGGTGCTGTGTATACAAGTTGAGTAAACACTGTCTCAACCCTAAAGGAAACTCTAGTAAACTGGGTTCCTCAAAGACACAGAAAAGCAGTAGATGATGAGATAGAGACTGGAAATTGAGGTGTCACAGAAGGTGACGTTTTACAGGAAGTGTGTTTCCAGATGTGGAGGAAGTGCTCAGTAAACCCAGAGGCTATAGAAAACAAGTAAATGAAAGCTAACATGTATGCGTTGGCTTCACTGTGTGAAGGAGGTTCTGACAGCCTTGTGTTTTCAGTGTGTATGTGGAGGGTGGGGGATGTACCATAGCCACGCTGCAGTGCATACAGGAATAAGATGCAGGGAGGAAGAAGGCCAAGGACTGACAACTCAGGTTCAAATTTCTGCTGCTGCATGAAGCGGAATAGGGAAGACACAAACGATAGAGCTGGAAGAAGATCAGAGGTCCAAAGAGGTTGTAGGGGTTTGTTTTGTTTGCTTGCTTGCTGTTGTTATTTTTAAGGTGATTTCTTTTAAAGATGCTTTTTAAAAAAATTTCCTACAACAAGAGATTTCAGCTTATTTAAACAATGACAGAAAGGATGAGAAGAAGAGAAAACCGTTTTCTTGACTTTTCTGAGCCTTAATTTGCCCATAATACCCTTTTTTTTTTTAAGAAGGAGTCTCGCTCTGTCGCCAGGCTGGAGTGCAGTGGCATGATCTCGGCTCACCGCAACCTCTGCCTCCCGGGTTCAAGCAGTTCTCCTGCCTCAGCCTCCCGAATAGCTGGGATTACAGGCATGCGCCACCACGCCTGGCTAATTTTGTATTTTTAGTAGAGATGGGGTTTCGCCATGTTGGCTAGGCTGGTCTTGAACTCCTGAGCAGGACTCCAGGCAGTCCACCCACCTCGGCCTCCCAAAGTGCTGGGATTGCAGGTGTGAGCCACTGCACCCGGCCCATAGTACCCATATTTTAAAAATAGGTACTAGTTATCACAGAGATACCTTAGAGATGAGGTTCCTGCGAATATATCATTTAGAATAGGACCTATAATATAGTATGGGGGTCAGTAAATGTTCATTCTCTTTCACCTATGTGCTGATCAATGAGACCTTTCAGGCCCTTTCACCTAAGGTATCTAAAGGGATTTGTGCATGACACTGGCTGCTCACTTCCTTGTGTGTTATTAACTCTAGCCCCTGTTACCATGAATAACTAACGACAGCCTGTGACTTCAACTGTCTGTTACTTGGGTGAGAAGTTAATCTCTGCCAGCAGGCTTCCCAGATTCTGGAGACCGGCAGCTGGCCTTTCCAGAAGGGCATGGCCAGTGTGGCTTTCAGACTTGATAGAGACCCACGCAGCTGGTAGCTTCCTAGTGTGTGGCACGCATACCTGGTGGGTAGCAAAAGGTGAGGGAGTGGATGGTGTAGGAGGGTCCCTCAGCCACACGCCGACCAGGCTGTGTGTTCACAAGCAACATTCCAGGCTTAAGTGGTGGGGATGCAGTCTCTCACTTAAGCACGGGGACTTCTGTCTTGACCGTTCACTGAAATGGGCGAGGACTTATTTAACTGCCATTTTCTCCCCTCTGTGTATTGGTACTTCTCTAGCTCTGGTCCCTAGAGTTCAGGTCTGGTTCTGGCCATTTAGTCTTCCATAATCCTGTCAAAATCCACACATGTTCTTGGTTTCCATTCCCAGTTTGGTAGCAGGAAATGTCTGTCATGCCCTCTCTAATGTACTCAGAATCTAACTAAAATTGGTTGTTGCCCTAATTACAGAAAAGTCCTGATGCGGCCGGGCGCGGTGGCTCATGCCTGTAATCCCAGCACTTTGGGAGGCCAAGGCGGGAGGATTACTTGAGGTCAGGAGTTCAAGACCACCCTGGCCAACATGGAAAAACCCCATCTCTACTAAAAATACAAAAATTAGCTGGGCGTGGTGGCATTGCGCCTGTAGTCCCAGCTACTCGGGAGGCTGAGGCAGGAGAATTGCTTGAACCCGGGAGGCGGAGGTTGCAGTGAGCTGAGATCGTGCCACTGCACTGCAGCCTGGGTGATAGAGCGAGACTCTGTCTCAAAAAAAAAAGAAAGAAAGAAAAGAAAAGATGCCACAGGGCTATCTGCCGCCAAGTGTGAAGACAGGCTCAGAAAGGCCCACCCCTACCCTCAGTTCCATCGGTTCTGTTTGTTGCTTTCTGGGCTGCAGTATCAGGAAAGTGCTTGACCCCAAGCTGGACCTCCCTCCACCAGCCTCGCCGCCTCTGAGTCCAACAGCAAATGTACAGCTTTTGTTTTTCCCTTCCCTGATCTGACACAGCCATGGAAACAAGACACATTGCCCAGTTAGGCATTGAGAACAAAGCTGTTATAAACCAAACACTCACTCCATGCTGTCTGTCTTCTGGGAGTTGTTTTTTGGGCCTGCTTTTTCAACAACTCTATTGGGTTTAATTTGCATACCATAAACTGTACTCATTTAAAGTATAAATTCGGCCAGGCGTGGTGGCTCATGCCTGTAATCCCAGCACTTTGGGAGGCCGAGGCGGGTGGATCACCTGAGGTCAGAAGTTCAAGACCAGCCTGGTCAACATGGTGAAACCCCGTCGCTACTAAATATACAAAACTTAGCCGGGCGTGGTGGCGGGCGCCTGTAATCCCAGCTACTCAGGAGGCTGAGGCAGAAGAATCACTTGAACCCAGGAGGCAGAGGTTGCAGTGAGCTGAGATTGTGCCATTGTGCTCCAGCCTGGGCAGCAAGAGCGAAACTTCGTTCCAAAAAAAAAAGTATAAATTTATCTGAACTGTCACAGGTGTATACACTCATGAAACCACCATTATAACTAAAATATAGAACACTTCCATCATTCCCAAGTTTCCTTGTGCCCCTTTCTACCATAGTTTTACACACTTCATCTCATTTAATCTTTCACAAGTCTGGAATTCCGTAGAAATGTCGAGTACCAATTTATAGATGGGAACACTGAGGTACAGGAAGGTTCAGTGACTTGCCTGTGTCAGACACCAGAAAGAAGCAGAGCCGGGGTTTAAAACCAGGCATGTCTGGCCAGGTGCAGTGGCTCATGCCTGTAATCCCAGCACTTTGGGAGGCCAAAGCGAGCCAATTACTTGAGGCCAGGAGTTTGAGACCAGCCTGGCCAACATGGCCAAACCCTGTCTGTACTAAAAATACGAAAATTAGCCAGGTGTGGTGGCACATGCCTGTAGTCCCAGCTTCTTGGGAGGCTAAGGCACAGAAATCACTTGAACCCAGGAGGCGGAGGATACAGTGAGCCAAGATCACCCCACTGCACTCCAGCCTGGGCAACGGAGTGAGATTCTGTCTCAAAAAAATAAAAATAAAAAATAAAACCAGGCATATCCTGTCCTGATATCTGCATCATGCTATGTGCTGCCTCCAGGGCCCTGAGATGGGGAGGAGAACGAGGCCTCGGGGCAGCACACCTCCTCACTTGCAAACTAGCTGTCCCCTCAGTAAGTTCCTTTGCTCTTTTCTCATTTCTACAGGTATTATTTTGTTTTCTTAAATTAACTTCTATTTCTGTTTTTCTCCATCTTTTAGACTTAATTTCCTTCATAGAAGAAGGCATGAGACTGAAACTGAATTTAGAATTTCCTTGTCAGGAACAAAAATTGCCATATTTGTTCAGAGGTTTATTGAACCAGTAGTTATTTCTGGCTTGTCTGGTTGTCTTTTTTAAAATTACTATTTTTAAAGGCTGTGTAGCCAAGAACAGAGGGAAAAAAAAAGAGGGTACGTGTGGGGCTTCCAGAAAGGCAGCAAAGTAAAAAAAGATGGAAAGTAGCAGCCCTGGGAGAACCCCAGATACTGGGCTCTGGCCTGTCTCCTGCAGCCCCCAGCCACATCCCACTCTGATAAAATACACAAGCAGTGCACAAGCCAGCCTGCACTTTTCAGTCCTGACGTATGACTTTCTGTGCTCTTCTGTTTTCCAAAAGTAGCAGTTAAATATAAATGCACAGTGAATGACCTGCATTTTGCCAGGAGAAGCCACAAAGCTTACATTTCCTAGACTTGTTTGTCTAAATCAGAAGGCCCCATGTTGTGTTAGCACAGGTTTTCACAGAGAGGGTCGGGTGAGGGCAGAGCTAGAAGGATGGCTGAATGATCTGAGTCAGAGTGCAGACTCAGGAAAGCAGAGGGGAGGTGAGAGATACAGTACCTCCACAGGCAGAGAGCTGGGCTTCTCCATCTTGTGGGCAGAATGTGCTTGTTGGTTGAAATCTGGTGAATAACAAATGTTACTGTTCCCCATGGGGAGAAAAATAAGCTTTGGATACTTCTTCATAAGTAGGCTAATTGTAAACACTCATTCTTGTCTTCATTTGAGGTTTTGGGGAAACTGTGATATACTGACAACCTGTTTTTAAGTCAGGACCTTGACCTGCGAACCTGGGGAGACAGGAAGAGCTTAGTTCGGGGCCCTGGGCTTCTGCCCAGGGTTGCTGTAGCCTCAGGGAGCTCTGGAGGCAGAACCTTAGACACCCATACAGAGACACACACACACATACACACACAATCACATGCACATCCATGCATACACAGACACACACACACGCATGCATGCACACAAACAAACACACATAGTTCAGACTGTAAGTGTCCAGGTCAAGGCCACAGCCAGGGTGAGCTGACCTTTCCCAGATCCTTGCTCTAATATTAAATGCTAAGCCAGTGTTGCCTGCACACACAAAAAAGTGAGAGAGGAGAACATACTCATCTTCTGCCTGTGTTCCAGGTGCCTTTTGACTTTATGTTTTATATATATATTTATATATATATATATTTTTTTGAGATGGAGTCTCGCTCTTGTTGCCCAGGCTGGAGTGCAGTGGTGTGATCTCGGCTCACTGCACCCTCCGCCTCCCGGGTTCAAGCTGTTCTTCTGCCTCAGCGTCCTGAGTACCTGGGATTACAGGCACGCACCACCACGCTCAGCTAATTTTTGTACTTTTAGTAGAGACAGGGTTTCGCCATGTTGGCCAGGCTGGTCTCGAACTCCTGACCTCAGGTGATCCACTTGCCTCGGCCTCCCAAAGTGCTGGGATTACAGGCATGTGCCACCAATATTTAAGCTCATGGGATGGGTAACACAGGAGGTTGAAGTTAGCAGACATTGATTATCCCCAATACTGGAACTCAAAAGTCATTTATCATTCTTTGCCTCTCTCATGAATCAAATGATGCCCTGGCTGATGGACTTCCAGACTGCATCAAGCTTTGTAAAAACTGTAATTCACACCCACTAATTCATCTCTTCACTAATTTATTTATTTATTTATTCAGCAAACATTTATGGAGTGCCTACTATATGCCATACACCATGCTGTGGGCAGGGGGAATACAAAGGCAGGGGGGACATGCCCTTGTTCTCAGGAAGTTCCTGGGCTAGTGGGGAGTTGGGCAGGCTGTGTGGCGAGAGCAGGGTGGTGTGGTCAGTGCATGGTGACAGCGGTGAACTCTGTTCTGGATGGATGCTGTTCCCAGCATTCTGGTGAGTAACACATTAGTCCCAAACTGAGACCTTTTAGGGTTCAAGTGTCAAGCACCATCAAGATCTAAATTGGTTTTACCCTATCCGTATAAGAGCATGAAGTGTTTCTAAGGTATCTTTACCCAATCCCTATATCATATATACCTTTCATTTTACCAGTGAAAGCCCATTTCTAATATTTGTCATTGGTAGTTAATAGGTCACTAATTTTACCAATAGAAAGCTGTTTCAGATATTCAGGGTATTAATTAGCAAAGCAATGTTTTTGGTCAAGATACAAATAAAGAAGTACTTGTATTAGCCACATCTGGAGGAGGATTTTTTCTAGTGGGAATGCTAACTGTCCGTCCCAGAGTGAATTCTTAATTGGAATACCAGCAGCAGCTGGGTTACAGCTTAACATAAGTAACACATGCACAATATTACACAGTGTGTTTTCCTTTTCTTTCCTTTTTTTTTTTTTTTGGAGAGGGGGGTCTCACTCTGTCACCCAGGCTGCGGTGCAGTGGGTCTCACTATGTTGTCCAGGCTAGTCTTGAACTCCTGGGTTCAAGTGATCCTCCTATCTCGGGCTCCCGAAGTGCCAGGATTGTAGGCATGAGCCACTGCACCTGGGCACACAGTATATTGTTCTTGAGATAGCACAGACATCTTAAGATGAATGAATGCCTACTGTTGATATAAAATTGAATGACATCTTAACAAAGTACAATATTGTTGAATTACATTTTCTGTCCCTCAAAGATTATAGCCATTGTTCTTTTTTCTTCTACCACTGAACATGATGAGGTGAAATTTTAGGCAAGCCTGATTTAATTTTGTTCTTGCATGGGATTTGCCTTTTCTTCCTGAATATCAGTTGAATTATTTCTTCATCCTTGGCATTCAGCAGCCAAATACTGTGCCAGTTTTTCCTGGTACATGGTGTCCACTTCTGATTGTCTATTTATATTTTTACTTAAGAGTAAGATAAATACAGAACATTTCAAAAATCAAATATTATAGAGTTCAGTGAATTATCATACCATAAACTCACCCATGTAATCGGCACCCAGGTCAAGAAGCAGACCACCACCAGCCATCCAGAAACACTCCTGGTGCTCCCTTTCAGTCCCAGCCTCCCTTAGAGTAACCACTATCCACACTACTTAATAAATTACATTCGCCCACCTCACTTGAATTTTATTTAAGTGGAAGCATACATTATGTACTCTTGTGTATGGCTTCCTTTGCCCAACATTATGTCTGTGAGACACATACATGTTGCTCTGTGAGCTGTTCACTCTTTTTCTTTGCTTTGGAGTATTCCATTCTACTGTTAGGATTATTTTTCATTGTTTCATGTTTGGGGCTATTATAAGGACATTCTTGCACAGGTCTTTTGGTGACCATGTTACATGTATTCCTCTAGAGTTTTGCATTTTCTAGAATTTTGTCTATATAATTTAGAGTTGAATTGCTGGATCATACGTGTGTGTGTGTGTGTGTGTGTGTGTGTGTGTGTGTGTTCAACTTTAGTAGATAATACCCAACAAGATAATGCCCAAATGGTTGTAACAATTTATGCTCTGAAGAGCAATGTATAAGAGTTCTGGGAGCCTTACCTCCCCATCAACAATTGGTATTGTCAGTCTTGGAAATTTTTAGCCATATTGATGGGTATGTTGTGATGTCACTTAATTTGAGTTTCCCTGATTAATGATGTTAAGCACCTTTTCATATGTTTTCTGGCTATTAGAATACCTCATTTGTGAAGTGCCTATTCAGTTCTCCTGCCCATTTTTCTACTGGGCTATTTTATATTTATTTGTAGGAGTCCTTTATATTATTCTGGATACCAGAACTTTCAAGGTTATTTATGTTGCAAATGTCTTCTGTTAGGTAAGTTGCCTTTTCATGTTCTTCATAGTATCCTTCATAAATAGAATTTTAATGTAGTATAACTTATTAATCCTTCCCTTTTTAAAAAAATTGTGATAAAAACCACATAACATAAAATTTACCATCTTAACCATCTTCAAGTGTGCAGATAAGTAGTGTTAAGCATATTCACATTGTTACGAAACAGATCTCCCTAACTTTTTCATCATGTAAATCTGAAACTTTATACTCATTAAATAAAACTTCTTCTTTTTCTCCTTTCCCTCAGCCCTTGGTAACCACCATTCTACTTTCTGTTTCTATAAATGTGACTACTATCAAAGCCTCATGTAAGTGGAATCACACTGTATTAGGTTTATTTTTGTGACTGGCTTTATATAAAGGAAACTATATATCTATATCTATATATCTTTTTTTTTCTTTGAGACAGAGTCTTGCTCTGTCGCCCAGGCTGGAGTGCCGTGGCAAGATCTTGGCTCACTGCAACCTCCACCTCCTGGGTTCAAGTGATTCTCCTGTCTCAGCCTCCTGAGCAGCTGGGATTACAGGCAGTTGCAACCACACCCGGGTAATTTTTTGTTTTTGTTTTTGTTTTTTGAGACGGAGTCTTGCTCTGTCACCCATGCTGGAGTGCAGTGGTGCGATCTCGGCTCACTGCAAGCTCCGCCTCCCGGGTTCACACCATTCTCCTGCCTCAGCCTCCCAAGTAGCTGGGACTACAGGTGCCTGCCACCATGCCCGGCTAATTTTTTGTATTTTGTTTAGTACAGATGGGGCTTCACTGTGTTAGCCAGGATGGTCTCGATCTCCTGACCTCGTGATCCGCCCGCCTCAGCCTCCCAAAGTGCTGGGATTACAGGCGTGAGCCACCGCACCCGGCCATTTTTTATATTTTTTTAGTAGAGACACGGTTTCACCATGTTGGCAGGCTGCTCTAGAACTCCTGACCTCAGGTGATCCACTCACCTTGGCCTCCCAAAGTGCTGGGATTATAAGCATGAGCCACCACGCCTGGCCCAGCCTATATATTTTTAAAAGAAACAAAAAGGTGTATTTTAAAAATCAGGTTAAGGAAGTTTCCTCATATTCCTAATTTCTAAGGGTTTTTATCTTGTTGACTTTGTCAGATGCTTTTCTAAAACTCCTTTTTTTCAAATATTAAACCAATGATAAATTCCTGGGATAAATCTAACTAGGTATAATGTATTATTCTTTTAATATATTAACTTTTAATATATACTTAATATATTAAAGCTTAACCCAGCTTACCGACATTAACTTATTGCTGGATTCAGTTTGCCAACATTTTATATGGGACTTTTGCATCTATGTTCAGTGAGATTGGTCTGCAGTATTTCCTTTTTATTATGTCCTTGCCAGGTTTTGGTACCAAGGTTACACTGTATATATAAAATAAATTGGGAAGTATTTCCTCTTTCTCTTTTGTCTGGAAGAGTTTGTATAAGATTGGAATTATCCTCTTAAACATTTGATGGAATTCATTGGTAAATCCACCTGTGCCTAGAGTTTTGTGTGTGTGGAGAGATTCAGTTTTGTTAATGGTATATAAAATTTTTCTATTTCCTCTTGTGTCACTTTTGGTAAGTTGTATTTCTCTAGAAATTTTTCTATTTCATCAGAATTTTTAGTTTCCTGGACATAATTTTTTTTTTTTTTTTGAGATGGAGTTTTGCTCTCGTTGCCCAGGCTGGAGTGCAATGGCACCATCTCAGGTCACCGCAGCCTCTGCCTCCCAGGTTCAGATTACAGGCATGTGCCACCACGCCCTGCTAATTTTGTATTTTTAGTAGAGATAGGGTTTCACCGTGTTGGCCAGGCTGATCTCAAACTCCTGACCTCAGGTGATCCACCCACCCCAGCCTCCCAAAGTTCTGGGATTACAGGCGCAAGCCACCATGCCCAGCCAGCTTCCTGGATATAAATTTTTATCATGAAGTCCTGCTATTGTATTTTCTAATACCTGAAACATCTGTGATGATGCCTTTTTTATTCCTAATGTTTTTCATTTGCATCTTCTCTAAATTCTTCTTAATTAGTCTTGCTAGGAGTTTATCAACCTTACTCGTCAGTTCAAAGAATTTACTTTTGACTATGTCGATTTTCTGTATTGTGTGTTTGTTTTTTATTTATTTCTCCTCTTTTAAAAATCTCCTTCTTCTATTTCTTTGTTTTTAACTTAATTTTCTTTACCCAGCTTCGGGAAATCAATGTGATTTTTCAGCCTTTCTTCTTTTCTCACATAGATATTTAAAGGTATAACTTCCCCCGAGCTCAGCTTTTGCTGTTTCCCACAAGTTTTGATATGTCATATTTCCATTATCATTCAGTTAGAATGTTTTCTGATTTCCACAGTAATTTCTCCCTTGAGCCATGAGTTATTTAGACATGTTTTGTTTAATTTCTATACATAGGGGAATTTTTAAGTAATTTTTTGTCTAAGTTAATCTCACTATGACCAGAAAATGTATGTATGATTCAGTCCTTTAAAGTTTGTTGATACTTCTTTTATGGTCTATTTTGTAAAAATTATTCTATGTGCACTTGAAAAGAACATTTATTCTATAGTTGTTGGATGTCATCTACACATTTCAAAGAAGTCATATTTATTAAATGTGTTGTTCAAATCTATATTCTTACCTTTTTTCTATTTGTTATAATTATTAATGATAGAGATGTTTAAAATATCTCACTATGATCATGGATTTATCAGTGTCTTCTTTTAGTTCATGTCTGTTAGATTCCTATATTTTGAGGCTATATTATTAAGTACATACAATTTTAAAATTTGATATCTTCCAGGTGAATTGAAACATTTATCTTTATGAAAGAGCCTTCTTTATCTCTACTAAGTATTTTTTGCCTTAAAGTCTTTTTTGCTGGTTAGCCTCTTCGTGACTTTTTTTAATTCTTTTACTTTCAACTCATCTGTGTACTTATATTTAAAGTGTGTCTCTTATAAATACCAGGTACATGGGTTCTGTTTCTTTATACAAGCTGACACCTTTTGTCTTTCAATAGTAGCATTAATCCATTTTACATTTAACCATCGGTAGATTTGGTTTTAAAATTACTGTCGTTTTTGTTTTCTCTCTTTCCTATTTGTCCTTTGTTCCTTTTTCTCTGCTTTCCTGCCTTCTTTCGAAGCAATTAAGCATTTTTTACTTATTATGTTTACCCCTTCTATTACCTTCTAATAGTCTTTTACTCTCCTTTCAGTGGTTACTCTAGAAATTATAACAGGCACCCTTGACATATAGAAGTTTAATATTAATTAATAGTTACACCATTTCCTGGCTAATTTAAAGCCATCAAACACTTTGACTCCATTTACCTCCTCCCAGCTTCTATGCTATTGTCAAATGTTCTGAATGAATATTGTGTGTGTGTGTATATGTTGTTGTTTTATGCAGTCAACATTCACTTAGCTCTGCCTCCATATTTACTATTTCATTGTTCTTTCCTTCCTGCATCTCTGAGCTTCCATCTATGACATTTTCATAGAGTAAGAAATTCCATATTGGCAGTTCTTTTCTTCTAACATTTTGAATATTTTATCACATTGTCTTCCGGCTTTTATTGTTTCTTTTGAAAAGTCACCTCTCAATCTTATTGTTGCTTTATCAAACATTATATATTTGCTTTCACAGGTTGCTTTTACGTTCTTCTGTCTTTGGTTTTTAGCAGTTTTAATTTGGTATGGCTGTAGGCAATTTATGTGAATTTATTCTGCTTGAGGTTTGTAGTGATTCTTGAATATGTCTCTTCTGTCTTTTTTTTCTGGTTTTATAAAATTCTCAGTCTGCTCTGTTCTTTGAAGTTTCTAACTGATTTTTTAGTTCTGTCATGATGCTACATTGGTCCTGAATTTGATGCCTGAAGTTCATAACCACCCTTTTCATAACATTCTGTTATTTTACACATTACCTTTGAGCTTTGTTTTATTGCACTCACTTTCTTATTAAGTTTTGTGTTGTGAAACAGTCCTTTAATCCAGAAGAGGGAATGGTGGCCGTAAGGGGACAAGTCAGCTGAAGTAGTATGTTGCCCAGGCTGGAGTGCAGTGGCACGTCATGGCCCACTGCAGCCTCAATCTCCTGGGCTCAAGTGATCCTCCTGCCTCAGCCTGCCGAGTAGCTAGGACTACAGGTGTGTGCCACCACACCCAATTTTTTTTTTTTTTTTTAAGAGATGAAGTCTCACTTTGTTGCTGAGGCTGGTCTCACTCCTGGCCTCAAATGATCCCCCTGCCTCAGATATTTTACTTGTTTGTTTATTTGTTTGTTTTTAATATATCTGGGCGTGACTGGGCATGGTGACTCATGCCTGTAATCTCAGCACTGTGGGAGACTGAGGTGGGAGGATTGCTTGAGACCAGAAGTTCAAGACAAGCCTGGGCAACATAGTGAGACGCTGTCTCTGCAAAACATAAAACAATTTTTTTAAGTCTGGGTTCTGCTTTTTCCTCAGAAATGTTTTAAATGTTCTATATCAAAGTTTCCTTCCCTTGCACAATGTGAAGTCTTGCCATTTCAGATTCTGTCAGGAAGAAGCAGCCCTCCTGGTTACTGGTCTGGTTCTCTCCATCCACTTTGCGTCTCTCTAGGATTTGCTGACTCCCAGGACCATTTCTGAAGGGTGAGGGTGGGTTAGGAGCTAAGCCAGGTCACGCTTGTCCAGTCTTCTTTAGAACCCTCTGTTTCTCCTCTTGGTAACTAGTTTCTGAAATTCATTGCAATATATTATTCCCTTTTCGTGAGGTTGCTGTTGGTAAAATGTTTTTGCTGATGTTTAGTATAGTTTCCTCATTTTTAGAAATTCACATTCAGTAAGCCCAGTTTTATGTTTGTGTTTGTGTGTGTGTGTGTGTGTATGGGTGTGTTTGGTGGTGTTTCCCCATTTTGGTAGGTATGGGGGAGGGAAAAATATACGATACAGTTTCAACTGGAACACTTAGATATTTTCAAGTGTAGCCTGTAATGCACCCTGCTCATAAGGCAATTTTGGCCTGTATCCCCAGTACATATTCTAGTGGTCTGGAACATAAGTGATGAGGTAGAAGAAGGAGGAAGAAGAGCAGAGGGACGGGCAGCCAGAAGCAAGAACAAAAAGGCAGGGAGCACTGGGGCAGATGGAAGTGAAATATGGGGTGTGGGCATAAGAGACAGGGAAGAAGCCGGAGCAGAGGTTACAGCGAGACTTGTCAGGGCCACAGATACTCTGAGGTGCTGGAAGATTTTGAGTATCCCTACAGTCACACTTCTTTTTAGCTGTTGGTTATTTGGGTAGAATTCTGCTTTCCCGTGGACAGTATCAGTCTTGGTATCTGCAGAGGTGACAAGATGGTGGTCCATGAGGACAGTGAGGAAGCACTTCGACTCACCACCCACCTTGACACCGACAGCCTGCCAGCTTTCCCATCACCTAGGACTGCCTTTGGCAAAGCTCTGTGCAAATGTTGTTCCCTTTCATCATGCTGACTGAGTTCAGCACAAACAGCTTGTTTACTCCCAACAGTCAGTGAGCTATAGTTGATGACCTGAAAGAAAATGAATGCACTCTCCGGATTCGTGCAAGCAAGAATGGGAAATGACAAAAATACCATGGAATAAAATAGAATCTGGGGTTCTTCACGGTTCGATGTCTTGGGGCTGCAATGAGGCAACAAAAAATATTCCCTAGTAAAATGACGTGTGGAAAGAGGCCTTAAGGTATAGCTGGTGCATGAAGTGATGGCCTATGCTTTCGAGTGGGTGGAAGCTTCTTGAGGAAAAATGATCTTGGAGAGTTACTGCTTCCTACCTTACCCCTCATGAAAGGGGGCCGGGTTCTGGCTGAGAACAGGGATATTCATCCTCAACAGCAGAACCTCTAGGAGACAACTGGCAAAGGTGTATTGTTTCACAAAGATAATTTCTTCTGCAGTACCGCAGAATATGTTCTTTTCTTTAATTAAGAACAAATTGGTTGGGGCAGATTTGGGGCAAAAATGACTGGTCAGACATGTGGAATGCCAAGCTTCTTTGCATTAGGAGCAAGCTTTGATGGAGCGGGGTCACCATTCTGCTTGAAATCGACTAGCAGTGGGGAGGGAGTTCTACTAGGCTACCCTTTGAAATTGATAGGGATGTGGGCACCAAGGAGAGGCTGGGATGAGAAGAGATGCTCTCACCAGCCAGGCTGTGGCAGCGATTTGCTCACCAGTGTGTGAGGGTGTGTGTTGTGTGCACGTATGTGGTGCACACCTGTGTGTGTTTGTATTCAATTGGTCCTTCAACAATGGCGTCTTTTCAGAGGGTCTTCGGGGTGTTATGAGAGACTATGGGTACAAGTGATTTATTCCGTGTAATTTAGAAGTGGGCCTATAGTCCTCTTGTGTTTTGGGAGACTGTGCTCCTGGAAACTGATCCCAGTGCTGAACAGTTTTAAGGTAGCAATGAAGAGAAGCTTGGGATCTGAGCTGTTGCAGACTTTTCCTTGTTTTCCTTCCAGAACCATTTATTCTTTCACTCACTCAAGAATACCTATAAGAATACCTATAGTAGATAAGCACTGTTCTACTTTAGGGACACAATGCCTTGGGGCCTGCTCCCCAAGCAGCTCATTGCTAGTGTGTTAGTTAGCTTTTTCTGCATAATAGACCATCCCCAAAAACTTAGTGGCATGAAACAACAATTTATTCTGCTCCAGTTCTTTGAGTCAGCAGTTTGGGCTGGGCTCACTCAGGTGAATGTGGTCAGCCACAGCTGGCTAATCTACGGTGGCCTCAGTTGGGACGTTTACCTCTCCTTCATGGGGTCTTTTATCCTTCAGCATCCAGGTTTGTTCACATGGCAGCTGGCAGGGCTCCGAGGCAGAGAGCAAAGGTATGCAACACTTTCATTGCGTTCAGTAGGTCAAAACAAGGGACAAGGTCAGCCCAGATTCTAGAGATGAAAAAATGGGCCCCATCTTTTCATAGGAAGAGAGGTGCAAAGTCACATTGCAAAAGGACTTGATGCAGGGAAAAGTGGAGATTTGTGGCCATTATTGCAGTCTGTCTTCCACAGCCAGTAAGTACACACATGTGCACAAGCAATCTAACCACCTTATCCTGAGGTCAAAGATATACGTCATGACTTTCTTAAATCTCAGTGTGACTTGTCTGTATGTTTTGGGTAAATTGTAGTGAAAAGTTCTGTCATAGTGGCATTCATTTCATTTTGTTGTTTTTTGAAGGAAGGACAGTACTTCAATGCAAAACCTAACGCCCATTCAGAATGTTGGGTGAAAATTTATGCACACAAAATCTTTGAAGTTCAACCCTATAGGATGCAAGACCATGAGATTCTGTCCCATATGCTCCAACGGGGGAGGGAGTATTTATCCTGTTCACCAGTGATCCCAAACTCTAGCACATAGTCAGCACTCAGTGAGGTCTGTTGAATGAAGGAGTGGGTCAGTGCAGGTTTTGAAATGAGGATATAACAGGGAATGTGAAGGGCCTGACTGAGCCCTGGGAGCCTGTATGTGAATTCTACAAGGCTCATTAGAATGGTCCAGCCATCTGATATGTTTTTTGTGTGAGGTTTTATGAACAGGACACAATGGGGTGTGATTGGGCTGTCCTTTTCTAAGCATAAAACACGCATGCATTTGATATTTGTCAGTGATGTTTGCTCTTCATCCACTGTTTCCCTTTTCTGACTGAGGACACATGTAAAGTGAATGGGCTTACATGTCAGGAGCAGATCAGAAAAGATTGTTAACTTTTATTTATAACTCTGTCAGTCATTAAATAAGCAAGATACAGAGTCTTATTCTCTAACAGCCTTTAGAAATAAGCCAGATACCCACTAATCTAGTTTCAGAGCCCAGGAATGCACCACATGACACCTCAGCATTCCATCTAGACCTTGGCTCTGGAGCTCTGTGCATTTTGTTCTTCCGAAGTTGAAAGTTAAGTGGGAGAAGCAGTCTGTTTTAATAATTTAAGTGTATCTTCCAGTAGGACTTGGCTTTCAAAGACCATTGAGAGAGGGGAAGGTCAAAGGGCTGCTGCTGTCTTCTGAGGACACCAGCTTCTTGAGCTTTCCTGACCAGTTGATTCCCCTCTCATCGGGCTGTCCTTACATTCTGGTCTCCTAGTTGTGGGGCTCTATTGCTTCTTATTCAGTTGAATTCAGAATACTTTACAGCATCATCTCATGACTTGGAAGTTTTACAGAGAGCAAATCAGTGTTTTAAAAGATGCATTTGGGGGCCGGGCGCGGTGACTCATGCCTGTAATCCCAGCACTTTGGGAGGCCGAGATGGGCGGATCACAAGGTCAGGAATTTGACACCAGCCTGGCCAACATGGTGAAACCCTGTCTCTACTGAAAATACCAAAATTAGCTGGGTGTGGTGGTGTGCACCTGTAATCCTAGCTACTCAGGAGGCCGAGGCAGGAGAATCGCTTGAACCCGGGAGGCGGAGGTTGCAGTGAGCCTAGATTGCACCATTGCACTCTAGCCTAGGAGACAGAGCGAGACTCTCTCTCAAAAAAAAAAAAAGATGCATTTTTGAACTTAATTATAAAATACATACGAATCATAAGGCAACAAACCAATGAATTATCAAGAATAAACACTGATATTTAGGCCTTGACACAGGTGAAGAAATCGAATATTGCCAGCACCCTAAAAGTCCTGTTTGTACCATACCCAGTCATCACCCCTTCTCTCCTACCCAAGTGTAACTACCATCCTGAGTTCCGACATCCATAGATTAATTCTGCCTGTTTTTAAACTTTATATAAATAGAATCAACACAGAGTGTGCACTTTTGTGCCTGGCTCAACATTATGGCCATGCAATTCATCTATTTTGTTGTGGGAAGCAGTGGTTGGTTCATGTTTATTGATGTACAGATTTGCATTGAGTATACCATAACTGATGTACCAGTTAATGGACATTTGAATTGCTTCCAGTTTTTTACTATTATGAACATTCTTAGGCGTGTCTTTTGGTACCCATATGCACACATTACTGTTAAGTGTATATATTTAGGAGTGGAATTGCTGTGTCATGGAGCATCCATATGTTCAATTTTAGTAGAGATGCCCAGTTTTCCATCGTGGTTGTTCCAGTTCACACTCCCACTAACAGTGCTGTATATCCTAGTTAACATTTGATATTGTCGGTCTGTTTAATTTTAGCCATTCTGGTGCTATGCAGTGGTATCTCATTATGACTATAATTAACATTTCTCTCTTACTAGTGAGGTTGAGCATCTTTCCACATGTTTAATGACTAATCTGATATCTTTCTGGTGATGTCCCAAGTCAACTATCTTGCCAATTTTTCTATGGTTTGTCTGTCTACTTAGTATAGATTTGTGGGAGTCCTTTTTAAATTCTGGATACAAGCCCTTTGGAGGTCATATGTGTTGCAGATAGCTTCTCTAACTCTGCCTTGCATTTTAACTCTCTTTGTGGTAGCTTTTAATGAACAGAGGATCTTCATTTTAATGTAATCCAGTTATCTGTCCTTGTGCCAATACCACAGCCTTAAAAGGTAATGCAGTTTTATAGTAAATCTTGAAATGTTTTGCATATGTCTTCCGGCTTTTTCTTTTTCAATATCGCCTTGTCTATTCTTACATTGCATTTCCATAAACTTCCATCCATTGCATTTCCATAAACTTTAACATTCAGTTAATGTCTGAGATTTTTATTGGAATTGTATTAGATCTGTATAGATCGATTTGGACAGAATTGCCAACTTAATGATCTTGAGCCTTCTACTACATGATCATGGTCTATTCCTCCATTCATTTAAGTCTTCTTTAATTTTGCTTAGCAATGTCTTATATCATTCCATGTAGAAGTCTTGAACATCTTTTGTTAGATTTATTCCTATGTGTTTGGTTTTTTTAATGTTATTGTAAATAGCATCCTTTTAAATTTTAATTTTCTGTTTATTGACAATATTTAGAAATACAATTGATGTTTATATTTACTGTAGACCTAGTATCCCTAATAAACTCACATGTTTTTTGTTGTTGTTGTTTTTGAGTTGTTGTTTTTGTTGTTGTTGTTTTTGAGTCTCACTCTGTCACCCAGGCTGGAGTGCAGTGGTACGATGTTGGCTCACTGCAACGTCCGCCTTCCGGGTTCAAGCGATTCTCATGTCTCATCCTCCTGAGTAGCTGGGATTACAGGCATATGCCACCATGCCTGGCTATTTTTTTGTATTTTATTAGAGATGGGCATTCGCCATGTTGGCCAGGCTGGTCTCGAACTCCTGGCTTCAAGTGATCCACCTGCCTAGGCCTCCCAAAGTGCTGGGATTACAAGTGTGAGCCACCATGCCCGGCCTAAGCTCAGATGTTAAATTTTAGTTACTTGTAATATTCATATGTAGATTATTTGGGTTTATCTATGATACACAGTCATATCATCTGTGAATAATAACAGTATTATTTATTCTGTCCCAGCCTTTATGCTTTTAATTTCCTTTTCTTATGTTCTATACTGGCTCTGTGCCTTTGGAGCTAATGAGGTTTTTTCCCTCTTTTCTTCCAGATGAGGCTGAGGCACACATTGACTATGAAGATAACTTCCCTGATGACAGATCTGTGTCATTCAGAGAGCTCATGGAGGATTCCCGGACAGAGGCAGATGAGGACAGGGGTCAGGGAGACTCCTCTGAGGAGGCTCCAAAACAGGACCGTCTGGTCTCCATTTCTGTGGGGAGAGAAAACATAGCCCGGGATAAAGTCTTTGTGCCAACCACAGGCTTGCCTGGTGCTGGGAGCAGTGTCCCCGCAGATTCACCAGGATCACGGCTGCTCCAGAAGCACTTGTTCTGGTTTCCTGCTGAGGCTTTCCACAAGCCTGGGTTGGAAAAGGAGGTGGATGATGACACCAAAAAGCAGTTTTCTGCTGGAGACAACCACAGTGGTGTAAAATTGGTCCCAGGTGAACCTGAAACCAAGGTGATCTACGGCAACACTGATGGTCCCTCGGGGCCATTTGTGGGCAAGAATGACAGCAAGGCAGGAGATCCAGTGGTGAGCAGCAGTGATGAGTCCTGGTTAGATGGCTACCCTGTGACAGAGGGGGCTTGGAGGAAGACAGAGGCAGAAGAGGAAGAAGATGGGGACAGAGGGGATGGGTCAGTAGGGCTGGATGAAAACGTCCTAGTTACTCCTGATCAGCCCATTCTTGTGGAAGTTAAGAAGCCCAAGAGTAGCACCCTCACACCAAGCGAGGGCATGACCCATAGTTCAGTTCTTCCATCTCAAATGCTAGATGTGGAAGCTTTGGCGCTCAGACCCGTGAATGCTTCCGAGACTGAGGGCATTGGGGATGGTGACTTGACGAAGTACCAGTCAACTCTACCCTGGAGATTCATCACAGAGGAATCTCCCATGGCCACCCTGTCCTATGAGCTCACCAGCTCCACCCTGGAGATATTAACAGTGAACACTGTCAAGCAGACACCTAACCACATCCCCTCAACGATCATGGCAACCACCCAGCCTCCAGTAGAAACCACTGTTCCTGAGATCCAGGATAGCTTCCCATACCTGCTGTCTGAAGACTTCTTTGGACAGGAAGGCCCCGGGCCAGGTGCAAGTGAGGAGCTTCATCCCACCTTGGAGTCGTGTGTGGGGGACGGATGTCCTGGCCTCAGCAGAGGCCCTGTGATCGCCACCATTGTCACCGTCCTGTGCCTACTGCTGCTCCTGGCAGGTGTGGGGATGGTGTGGGGCTACCGCAAGTGCCAGCACAAGAGCTCTGTGTACAAGCTGAATGTTGGCCAGCGGCAGGCTCGGCACTACCACCAGCAGATCGAGATGGAGAAGGTCTAGGCACCTTTGGAGTGGGTTCTCCCAAAGCCACTTGGGAGGAAAATAACTGTGACACATCACACGATAATTCACTAGAGCATGACGCAGGTGGACTGAGGCTCATCATTTTTTCCTCAGCCCTTTGTTTTATAGGCTGAGAAGTGTCTCTGGAGCACCTGGGAGGGCAGGGAGGCTTTGGTGACATCATCACTCATGTCAATGTCTCCTCCACCATCTGCCCTGGAATTGACTACACTAATCCCAGACCTGTGCTTGGGCCCTGTTTCCAGTGTGAGGTCAAAAATCGCCTCTTCCTTCATCACAGTATTATCTTTTTTTTTTTGAGACAGAGTCTCATGCTGTTGCCCAGGCTGGAGTGCAGTGTCCCGATCTGAGCTCACTGCAACCTCTGCCTCCCAAGTTCAAGCAATTCTCCTGCCTCAGCCTCCCAAGTAGGTGGGATTACAGGCATGCACCACCATGCCCAGCTAATTTTTTTATATTTTTAGTAGAGATGGAGTTTCACCATGTTGGCCAGGCTGGTCAAGAACTCCTGACCTCAAGTGATCTGCCCTCCTTAGCCTCCCAAAGTGCTAGGATTCCAGGTGTGAGCCACATCACAGTATTACCTTTTTGAAGAAAGAAAATCACCAGCTTCATGCCCTGAAATTTTATAAATAGTCATGATAAACCAAGTGTATGAGAGCAGTATTATCTAGGACATGGATATTGAATTATTGGGAGAGGAATATGGAAGAATAATGGGTTGTTTCCTTTTAATGTTGTGATGTTGCTGAGGGCAGATGAACCAAGAGCCAGGACACAGTCTAGAAGCTTTGAGGTTTCTTTTTTCATTGTTTCTTGAAATTAGAATTTAAGACTGACATTTTGTTGGGGGAGTTGAGGAGTGAAGAAACACACATCCCCCTCTGTTCCCTCCATTCTGTGGGACAGTCTGTCATTTATTTTATTTTATTTTCAATATTTCATGGTTAAGGATTTGCCATTATTTTTTAAAAACAAAGTTAGCTTTGTACCAGTAAGTACCATTTCCTCTCAGAAGCAGTGGCCTAGTTGTCCTTGACCAGTCTGTGCCTAGGAATGTCTTGGAATTTTTGCCAGGACTAACAAAACTCAGTCCTTGGTTTCCTCTCTCAGGATTAACCATTTCTCTGAACTCCAGTAAGAGAGAATGACACGGGAGAAAAAAAAAAGAAATGTTTTCAGAGGGCCGAACACCAGGTTATCAAGTATGGGCACATACTTGATGGAGAAGCAGAAGAATCTGTGAAAGAATATGAAATGATCTGTGCTGATCTGTTCTCTAGTGTGGAAACTGGGAGCTCTGTGGAAACAGAATCCATCCTGTCTGTTGGGTAACCCATTTCGTAGCATCTAAATCATCTTAGGGTGGCTCAGCGAGGATGGTTTATGGCAGTGGTTCTCAAAGTGTGGTCCTCAGACCAGTAGCATCAGCGTCACCTGGGAATTTGTTGGAGATGCAAATTCTCTAGTCCCACCCTGGACTCAGGAAACAGGAACCCTGGGAGTAGGGCCCAGTTCTGTTTTTAACAAGCCCTCCAGGTGATTTTGATATGCACTCAAGTTTGAGAGCCTGTTGGTTTATAATAATCTCAAATGTGAACTTCGAGGCCAGCTGAAGCCCTAAAGGCACAGATGAGTATGTGGTGTGTGTTGTGTGGAAGTCAGGCATGGCTGTGTGCAGCTGAGGTGGCATTTGAAGCTGCCTAAATGCCACCTGCAATAGTCTCCTGTATGTTGGCACAGAAATGAAACATGTTATATTTTTCTAATATGAATCACCTTCTTAGAAATAGTTATCAGTGGTAAAAAGTGATGAATGCAACACATTTATTTTGAGACACCATAGCAGTCTAAGTGTTTTTGTGTGGTAGAGGGAAATCCTGATCTTTTTTATGATTGAAAAATTGTTGGTGGTGTTTTACCTAAGGAAAAAAAACATTCGCAACATGTTTTCTACCCTGCCACCTCTTTTCAGCAAGCTTTGGAAAAGTAATAGGCGAAGTAGCTGTAAAGAGAGGCAGCATAATCAAAGATCTTATTCCCCATAGTTGGGTAAAATAAAGCCTGAAGGTACCAACTAGAATACCTGTGCATCAGACGAAGTCAAGAACAATAGGAATAAAATGCTTTCTGCATGTAGCCAAAGCAAAACATAATAGAATAAAAGCCAGAGACTGTATATATTTATAAATTAGATCCTAATCTACTGCAAGATAACTTTTCTATTTTTAACTATATAAAATAACCTCTGTCTCAGCATTGGGACTGTGTTAGCAACTATTATTGTGGAATAACCCAGAACATTGGATTTATACCAACAAATAGGCAATATTAATACAGTGTATTAATAAATTTATTACAAATTATTAATACAGTGTATTAATAAATTTATTACAAATTATTAATACAGGTAAATGTTTTATTTGTAGACATGGACTGTGAAATAAACCCAACACATCAGTTTTTAAGTTCTTATTGGTGTGGTATCCTCTAAATTAATGTTATAGAATCTAAAAATTCATGTTGAAAGGGAATGATTAAAACAATGTAAATCTAAATTGTATGTCATGCATGTTTTGAGAATGGTGAATGTTTAATGCTCATGAAAATTGGGGGAGGGGGTTCTATTAACACAAAGCTTCTGAGATATTTAAAATAAATAATTATTGCCCCAACAGTTGCTGAATGTATTTTATTTCTAGGCTACTGCACCAAGGTTTAAAAAAAGAAAAAAATTCTCGCTGGGCACAGTGGCTCACACTGGTAATCCCAGCACTTTGGGAGGCTGAGGTAGGCAGATCACTTGAGGTCATGAGTTCGAGACCAGCCTGGCCAACATGGTGAAATCTTTTCTGTACTAAAAATACAAAAATTAGCCGGGCGTGATAGCATGCTTGTGGTACCAGCTACCCAGGAGGATCAGGCAGGAGAATTGCTTGAACCCGGGAGGCAGAGGTTGCAGTGAGCTGAGATCATGCCACTGCACTCCAGCGTGGGGGACAGAGCAAGGCTCCATTCAAAAAAAAAATCTCTAGTAATCTTGAAAATAATGTCTTAATACTTGCTATATCTAAGATCTAAGACTGCCCTTTCTAAACCTAACTCTCAGTTATGTTACCTCCTGCAGCAGGATTTTAGGGAAGTTGGTGGCACTCTTGCCCCCCCCTCCCTCCCTACTTCCCTCTTCCTTGCCCCGCCCCCCCCTACTTCCCTCTTCCTTGCCCCAACCAGAGACCACTTACTTCACTGCAACGAAACACCCGGGACCTCGCTATTCAAAGTGTGGCTCCTGCCCCAGCAGCACAGGCACTGCGAGCTTGTTAGAAGTACAGAATCTCAGGCCCTGCCCCAGGACTGCTGAATCAGGATCTGCATCTAACAGGATGCCCAGGTGGTGGGCATGAATGGTAAAGCTTGAGAAGCACTGGCCTAAGAGAGAACTGATTATCCCCTTTCTCCTAACTCACAGGACACTCAAAGGAGTAATTAGAGGGTTAGCTGAAGGGACTGTTCACAAAGGTGTGGGGAAAGTTAGGGGAACCATCAGGGGATGGTGGGGACCTGTTATGGAACCCAACAAGAGCTCAGTAATAGGAAAGGCCCTGCAGGACAAGGGCTCTGGCCTCAAAGAGAATGCAGCCAGTGTCCAACTGTGGCCTGGAGGAAGCAAAGATTTTAAGGAACCAGACCTTGTCTCACCCTGCCATCTCTTGTTGGCATGTCCCAGTGGCAACTGGAAATCAGAGGGTGAAGAAGCCCAGGCAATGGAACCATAGAGGTCAGGCTTCTGGGACACCGGGCATGTTGGAGGGGCATGTTGGAAGAGATACGGAAGGGCAGCTAGCAAATCCAGCTCAGACGCCATCAGCACCAATCCCATCTGCCTTATGTCCATTTTTACATCCATGACCACCACAGATCCATGCCTCCCAAGCCTTCCAATGTTGTGGACATTGTTGATGCCCCTCCCAGGTCCCCTTTGCTAGGTAGGTGAACCTGTCTTCCAGCTGCCCTGAGTGTTGGCTGTTAAAATGCTCATAAGCACGTAAGTGTACCCTTCCAACGCAGAGAATTGCCCTTGGCCTATTGAGAGTTCCCTCACCCAGGAAGTTAGACCACGGTATACTCTGCTAGGGCAGCCTATAACCAATGACCAGCTGTCATGGGAATGCAAAAGGCTGGCCTCCTTTCCTCAAGGTGGGACCAACTCCGATATGATTCATGCTCCAGAGCTCCCATGAGATCAAGCTGAAGTCAGTCTCCAACTGAAGACACATCCTTACTGGCTCCTTCCTGCTTCTCTCACACCCCTTCTCTTGAGAGCACCCCATCACTTCCCTTGCTTCAAAGGATCCTGACCTAAGACATCCATCAACACTCAACTCTTACTCCCTACACCTCCTCTCCTCAGTCCAGATTTTTTCACCATAACCTCTGGAATTCTTGGGCTGACCTCCATGTCCTCCACCTCTTCTTCAGACAGCTGTTTCAACTCTCCATAACGTGGACTTCTTTTTGTGCTGGCTGGTTCCTCACTCTTTCCACCTGCTTCCTTCTACTCTTCTTTCTCCTGCCTGCCCTTTAGTGGCATGCATGGAGCATAGTTGCTGTTGACAGTCATGCCTGAAGATGCTTTGTGTCCCTGTTTGAAACAGATTCCAAATGTTTTTCCTAGTGGGATTCCAGATCTCCTCTGAAAGACAATCTTCCGGGGGAGAGGCATGAGCCTCTACTGCCTGACAGGACCTCAGCCAGCTCTTGGCTCATGGAGAGCAAGGACCACTCCTCTTGCATGAGATCCAGGAGTCCCTGGCTTGAAGTTTCTACTTTGTTAGATGAATGTCAGAAATTTCACAGACCTGAGAAAACAGAGCTCATTACAACATAGCTTCTAGAATGTGGTGAAGACATCCCTGTCCAGTGGATAGAATAGAAAATAGAGAATAAGCAATGTAAAACATTTAATGTGATTTAAAAAGAAAAACAAAAACCTTTTGTTTTCAACTATTTTCTAATTTTCAACAAGAGTGAGCTTGTACATACCACACTAACCCAAAGAGGGGAGGCAGAAAAAGACATCAGCAACGGTCTTTGGAGTTTGGCCTACTGGCTGCCACCCTAAAGTGGGAGATAAAACTCTGGAATCTATCTTGTATCTGTTGGCCAAATTGCTTAATTCCTTCCTATTCTCTTCTTGTAAAATGAGGCACTAATATCTTACCGGCCAGCTCCAAGGGGATATAGAGCCAACTCACTCATTCATTCAACAAGCAACGAAAGCCAGCTATTTGTGTGGGGACAGTGTCAGGTGCAAGGATATGTGGCTGTTCACGAGCCGGCCCTAGACGGAAAACACTCTAAGGATAACAATAGCTGCTCTTGATTCTTATTTCTGGGGTAGCAGTGGGTCAGTCAAGGCAAAGCCGGGCTGTCATGGTGTCCTCTTTCAGGGAGATGTCATGGGCACAGGCATGGGGATCAGTCTTGCCCCTGGGGGCAGGCACAGGAAGTCCAATGCATAAAACCTTTGGCTGAGGCTTACTTAAGGTTCCTTTCCTTTTTTTCTTTCCTCCCTTGTACATAGTTTAAACTCTCCACACTAGGTCATTCAGGCCTGGAGTCACCAGAAAAAAAGAAGTCACTGTTTGGGGGATGGCAGATGATCAAGAGTTCAGACAGCTGCGATGAAGGATTAGTTGTGGGTTTTTCTCAGTGCCTTGCTACAAACTGTGTTGCAGTTCCATGTTCTGACACTATTAAATAATGTTTTCTCTGGCACCAATCCACCTTTTCCCTACAGTTTAAGTATTGATTTTTTTTTTTTTAACTGAAGTAGCTTCAGTTTACGGCTCACATTTAAAACCTAGAAACGTTATTTCCATAAATGTTGGCAGAAACTGGTCACTGTTTATTTCACCAGCAGTCATAATAAACCCCTTCCAACTGACAATCTAACAAATCATTTTCTGTTTGTCACTAAGGTGGGTTCAATAAAATTTTTGTGCTCTTAAAATTCCCCTAATAAGAACTCCTGAAAGCACACATTTCCTTCCTAAGGCAGCCCTTGTGGTCAGTGCTCGCAGTGGCTCTCTTTCTGAATTCCAGAGGTGAGCACAACAGGTTAGTTGTAGTAATTAGAAAGTCTCGAAAATCAGGAAGGTATTAGTATGTTGCATATGTCGGTATGTGCTCATTTCAGTCAGTCAGTCACTTTTAAATACATGGGTGTACACAAACCTCCCCTCAGCCCTTCGCTTCTCCACAAGTCAAGTGTGAACAGTAGCAGTGGCCACAAGGAGTATCTTTAGACCCTTCCCAGCGGGTGCCTCCTGTTTGGATGCCCTGAGTGGCAATGGGGCTGGACAGATGCCCCACCACGATGGGCGGCCTCCCCACCAGCCTGCAGAACCAAACAGCAACCACTGAGCTCCATGCTGATGGGTCAAAGGACAAGCAAGGCATCTTAGAGCAGGCCTGGAAGCTCCCACAAAGCTTACAAATGTGTTTGTTTTTTCGAAGACGGGCCAGACTTGAGGCTGAACCAATGGGGTCTCCATCCAGGAATCTTCTAGGCTCTTCCAAGAAGCACACTCAGGGAGGTGTTGGGTTGAGGTCATTGAGTGCAGCCTGCACACCAGGGTTTCATGGTAGGTTTGGAAGACCCAGCCCAGTTTTTGTTTTTTTTTTTTAAGGTTTGGTTTCCTTTGAAATAGAAATTTTGGTAACTCAGCTCTACAGCCTTCAATCAAAGCAAAGTACTGACAATATTGACTGTACTATCACCCGGGTCCTCAGGGGACATCACTAGGGTAGGGGTGGAGGTGCTTTTCAATCCCCAGTGAAAGGAGGCCAACTTCAGAGAGTGAACGAGGACCCCCCAGCATGCCAAGTCAACCCATACGTGGAACAACAACATGTACAGAGAGCTCACCCCAGGCTCACAAGACAAGGACCCAACAGTACCTCTGCAGGGCACAGAGGTGGAGTGAGTCACAACACCCAACCCTGCCTGGGTCCCTGTGGACGTCGGCTTTCATTTTCTCACACAGCTGGGAAGGACACTGCAGCCTGAGGCTATAAGGGGAGTTCACAGCTGCTGGGCACACTATTTACAGACTCAGGAATCCCGGAGCAGGGCGTCCACTCGCTGGGTCCCCCACTACTTTCTAGTCCTGTCTCATCACCCTCTTCCCCACTGAGTTCAAAAGGAAGTTTCTCTGGTGGAGTAAAGGTTGGGGTGAGGAAAGAAAGGAGAACCCGGCATCCCGTGGGTGAAGGCCATCTCCCCCAGCAGGAAGCCACGTAAGATCTGACGCATCGCTGGGATTGGGGGCTGCTGTGGACACGGTGCATCCACCAGTAATAACACTGACTCCTCGGGCCAAACACCCCCGCTGGGAGTACAGATTTTGTGGACGTGGGCAACTTCAGCCCAAGACAGAAGTGGTAGGGGACTGTCCTGGGTGGGTACCCTCAAAGGAGAACCTGATGCAGGGATTCTTGTGCAGGTGAGTGAGGACGTGGTGTCAGAAGGGATGAGGAAAGCAGGATAGAGCTGAAGGAGAAACAGAAGGATGTGCCCGAGTTCCCCGAGGTTGGTAGAGTGTTCTGGGGGATAAGGGAAGCCCAGAAAAAGCACAACGTGTGAGTGTTCCACCCCAATTAACCACCATTACACAAAAACCCAAACACTCTATCCTTTTATTCCTTCCCAGGCTATTGCAGGAAAAGTCTTGTTTCCCAAACGCTGTGCCTTTCTCCTCTTGCCTTCAACCCTGGAGGGGCCCAACTACACAAGTGGCTTATTTGGAGAAGGGAATGAGGTTGAATAAAGAAAGCTCAGCTTCCAGAACACCACACTCTCTTGGTTTTCTCTGACCTTAAGGTAACTCCTTCTCAGTCCTTTGGCTGATTTCCCATTTCCCAGAGAGCCCAAGGGCTCCATCCATGGCTCTTTTCTGTTGCTTCTCAGTAATACTCAGAGACAATCTCAGTGGCCCCTCCAGCTGCATGGCTTTAAATGCCACTGACATGCTGATGGTTCAGTAGGGGGCGCTGTGGTGCCCTGCCAGATCCCTTCACACAGCCAGTGCCCAGGACCCCCACCCCCAACACACTACCATGCATGGTAGCTGCCAGATGCCTACAGCCTCTTTTCCAGAGACTTGCCCTCAACTGAAGTCACTTGCCTTCAAATGTACCCACACTCCCAGAGAACTTCTCACAGCCAATAAATGACTGATAAAGGCTTTCACAGGTTCCTTCTGAGAGCACCCCCAACAATAAACCAAGTGCATTCAGATCCCTGTCTCGAGCTCTGCTGCAGACCTGACCTGAGAGAACTCTCCACTTTGATTTGCAGCCAGAACCTCCCATTCCAACCACAGACAGCCTGCTTTGCACCAAATTCCATACTTACCCAGCCCATCCTTCCCTATTTCAGTAACTGGTAACTCCATCTTTCCTGCTATTCAGGCCAAAAACCTTAATGTCATCATTAACTCTTCCTTCTCTTACACTCCACATTCAAACTCTCAGCAAATCCTATTGGCTCTTTTCAAAATAAATCTAGATATTTGACCACTGCTGTTGCTGTGGCCCAGGCCCAAGCCTGGAACCTTGCAGTAGCTTCCTAACAGGTCTTCCCTCTTCCTTCTGCCCTTGTCCACTAAAGTTTTTCACAATATGGCAGCTAGAATGACCCTTGCAAAATATAAATCAATCAAGGCACTCCTCTGTTCAAACCCTCCAGTGGTTCCCATCTCACTTAGCAGAAGCCAAGGCCCTCCACCACCTGTCCTCCCCAGCCGCCTCTCCTTCCATTCTACCCCTGCCCACGACTCTGCTTGGTCTCCCTGCTCTTTCCTGACCACGTAGAGCAAGTTCTCACTTTGGGGCAGTGCACATCCTGTTCCTCTGCCTGGAATGCCTTGTCCAGGATCCACTTCCCTAACGTCTCTGCTCAACGTCACATTCCCAGTGAGGCCCCATTTAAAACTGCAGCCTCATCTCCAGGATTTCTTACTCCCTCCCCTGCTTTATTTTTCTCCACAGCAATTATCACTACATGATACCTTGTATATATTTATTCCTATGTATTGGCTATCTCTTTCTCCCTGTAGAATGTAAGCTCCATGAGCACAGGGAACTTTCCCTGTTATTCTGTGAAGTATCTCTAGTTCCCAGGTCAATGCCTAGCACACAGTAGGTACTCAATAAATATTTACTGAAAGAATGAATGAAACTAGACAGCTCTGGCTTTCTTCCTTTTCCAACTCGGAGACTTATAACTAAGCATTGTCCTCAAATGGGATCGGCCAACCGTTGTAATTTTGGAGATGCAAAGTGGGGCAAAAGCCACATTTCTGCACTCTACACTCTCTACTCAACTTGTTTTTCAGTGGGTGCTAGAATTGGTACAAGTCAGACCAAGTGAAGACCATTGTGAGGCTGGAGAAATTTAGCCTATGTCTTCCACCATCTTTCCCGGATGGGGAGAAAGGAGACTAAAATCTGGAAAAGCAAATAAGCCAAAGGAGGTTTTCACAATTATCATCTTCTAGGAATGTTTTTCTTATTTAAAAAATAATACTGATTTTCTGGGAAAAACAAAAAAACAAGCCAGAGAAGACTGCCCTTCAAACCAAAATGGTAAGAAAGGCAGCTATGAACATGGGGAAGACAAGTGTGAACATGAGGAAGACAGGGATGAAGGTGTGAAAACAGATGTGAGGATAAGAAGACAGGTGTAAAGGTGAGAAAGAGGCCGGGCATGGTGGCTCACGCCTGTAATCCCAGCACTGTGGGAGGCCAAGGCAGATGGATCATCTGAAGTCAAGAGTTCGAGACCAGCCTGGCCAACATGGCAAAACCCCGTCTCTACTAAAAATACAAAATTAGCCGGGCGTGGTGGCACATGCCTGTAATCCCAGGTACTCGGGAGGCTGATGCAGCAGAATTGCTTGAACCCAAGAGGCGGAGGTTGCAGTGAGCTGAGAACGTGCCATTGCACTCCAGCCTGGGCAAGAGAGCGAGACTCCATCTCAAAAAAAAGGTGAGAAAGATAGGTGTGAACATGAGGTGGCAGGTGTGAAGATAGGAAAGGCAGGCTCACCCCTGATGACATGCAGTTAGAGAGACGGGGGCTTCCCTTTCACTTTGGAGAGTAAAGAGAAGGCTCTGAGGTATCAACAGCCTGGGCTGTTGGGAAAAGGACAAAGAATCTGTGTTTCCTGAACGCCAAGAGGAAGTCTCTTTGGTTGCTGTGGGCTAGCTGGTCTCCTCCAGTTCCAAGAGGTCATCCACATATTCCACAACTTCTCCCTGTAAGAGACAACAGGACAACTTTATTAAATGGGCTATTGGACTTTTAAAAGTACTGATGAGCAGAAACAGTATCCCGAGAGGCCATCACCACTGTCTGCTTTGGCTGAAACAGGTTTTTTCTGCTGGTCTGGGGCCCAGAGGACCTGATTTCTCCCTGTGGAGGGGACCTCGGCTTCCACTCCATTTGAACTTGGTATCAAGTGCTCTGCGAGATCCGCCAACATGCTGTGTGAGGCGGACAGCCCAGCCTGTGAACAGCTCTACTAAGTGGCCCTCCTGTGTGCATCTCTGCCTACTCCCCTTCCTCCCCTCTCATGTGTGCAGGTCTCCCACAGGAACATTTTCTATCTGTTCCCTTTCTGCCTTGACCACCAGAACCCAAACTTCTCAAGGACCAGGGGACTGGGTTGATTTTTCTTCCCCAGAGTCCAGCACACAGAAGGTGCTCAATACATGTGTTGAAGGATGAATGATTGAGTGCTTGCATACATACTGCTGGTGTGACTGAAGCAATCACTCCTCTTACAGGAGAGACACACAGGGATAGTGGGATCCACTTGCCCAGTGTCGGTACCAGGAGCTCACCTGCTCCCTCCTTCTGCAATCAGCCTTATACTTCAACTTGAAGCAGCCCAGCACCCTTCCCAATTTCTTTCTCCACATTGACTTCTCTTCTATAACCCTCCTGGACCACCAGCTGATGACACCCATTCTCTTTTCTGCAGAGAATGAGTGAATGACCAAGGCTGAGGCCCCTTCCATAAGAGTCAACACAGACTGGCCCCACCAACCCTGCTAAAACTCGACCTCCTTCACTGAGCTCACCATCCCAGGCCAAGAGCCTGTTGGCTCCTTTTGATGTTTTAACACAGAGAAATTTATAAAAATCTTGCAGCATTTGGGAATAACTGGAAAACCTATCAAGTACATGAGACACAAATGGGGGGTCTTAGTATTATCATCAAATACTTCTACTATGTCATGCCTGAGATTAGAAACTCAAACTGTAGACACTACAGCTTGGAAAAATTGTTTTTCAGTTGCTTTCTAGACCCCAAAAGGAAAACACAGCATAGTAGAGGGATTATGTGTATAGCTATGACTTCTGCTTAGGGAGTTACTATATCCTGCTGTGTGTCTGTTGTGACTTGCGGGATGATGGTATTGTTTGCTTTTAGCTCACTAGTAATAAGTGCCCGAGGCAGCACAGACGAAAGAAATGCATCCCCTGCATGGCTGTTGTAGTGAATACTGTTGGGGCCTCACTCAGATCTCCTTCCCAGTGCACTCATCCCCAACTCCTGTGAGGGCTGCTTGCTAATGGCTAGCAGCTGCCCCTTCTCTGGGCAATTGCCTTTGGCCAAAAACAAAAACAAAAACAAAAAAAAACAGCAGTCTTGACAGGGAGGTTACACACCAGCCCTTCCTGGCAACGAAGAACGAATGACAGACTGATAAGGGGGACTACAAAAGGCAAGAACAACTCTGTGGTGCAATTCATGCTCCAGAGTCCCCCATGGGAGCAGGCGAAGCTTGACTCCAGCTGAGACCACGTATTTGTTGAGCTCCTTCCCCTGACCCTCATTCCGTTCCTACCTGAGAGCACTCCCTCAATACATCCTTCCAACAAATTATATTCTATTTCTTTTGGACTTCCCTGAAGCAAACAACCATCAGAACTTGAAACCTGAAGCATCTGTTTCAGCCTGTTTTAAAAAGTTTCTGAAACTGTAATAAACCTCTGCAAAATTCTGAACCAGTGCGTAAACTTTCAGGAGTGCTTATACACATTTCAACACCAGAAAGATAATAAGGAAGAATGCCACACATATCAGCAGCTAAAGTGTACTGATGCTTTGTTTCAAAGGAGTATTATGTCCTTTGGAAAATGGAAGGACTAACTAAGAATTTGATGATTTTGGTTATATTTTCATTTCAAAGTATTACTTGCCATAATTTGGTATATAGTAAGAAAATGGTTCATTCTTTAGAGATGGATTAGTTCTTCCACAATTCTAAAGCCTCAATTAATAAGCAAACTACTCCAGAACCTTCAACAAAGTCCTTTTATCTTGAAAGTGCCAAATCCAAGAATCCTAGGAATTTTAAAGCCTGCAATAAGCTTGGCGTGTTCATTAGATGATTACTAACCCTCTGTGTGACTATGAGCAAGCCACTCTGCCTTTCTGAGTTTGTTTCCTTATCTGTGACATGAGAGAGCTTTACTGAATCATGTGAAAAATCTCTTCGTGTTCTAGTATCTATGATTTGCTTTCTATATATGTTGTTCTTGTACATCAGAAGTCTTGAAAATGTTCACAGCCTTAGGCCAGGAATTTCACCACTGGGAATTTTTTCTAAGGAAATGATTAGAGAAGAAGTAAACAATTTAGTCCCTGCTATGCTATTTGTAAAAGCAAAAAGTTGGAAGCAAACTAAATGCCTACAAAAAGGCTATATTTCTTAAAATTATCTATATCATGTAATATTAGTCACAAAAAAGTCATTTTTATAATGAATATTAACAAGGGAAACAAAAATCATGTGACCATCTCAATAGATGCAGAAAAAGCATTTGACAAAATTCAACACAAATTCATGATAAAAACATTCAGGCCGGGTGCGGTGGCTCACGCCTGTAATCCCAGCACTTTGGGAGGCCAAGGCAAGTTGATCACCTGAGGTCAGGAGTTCGAGACCAGACTGGCCAACATGGTGAAACCCCCGTCTCTACTAAATACAGAAAAATTACCCGGGTGTGGTGGCACATGCCTGTAATTCCAGCTACTTGGGAGGGCGAGGCAGGAGAATCACTTGAACCTGGGAGGCGGAGGTTGCAGTGAGCAGAGATCACACCACTGCACTCCAGCCTAGGCAACAAGAGTGAAACTCCGTCTCAAAAAAAAAAAAAAAAAATTCAACGAATTAAAAATAGAACTTCCTCAACCTAATAAAGGGCACCTACAAAAAACCCCCAGCTAATAACGTACTTTCACATTTAATGCTGAAAGACGACTGTATGCTTTTTCCTTTTAAGACTGGGAACAAGACAAGGATGTTCACTCTCTCCACTTCTTTTTTTTTCCAGAGAGACAGGGTCTTGCTCTGTCACCTAGCCTAGTGTGCAGTGGCATGCTTATGGTTCACTGTACCCTCCCACTCCTGAGCTCCAGCAATCCTCCCACTTTAGCCTCCTGAGTAGCTAGGATTACAGATGTGCACCATCATACTTAGCTAATTTTTTTTTTTAGACAGTGTCTCACTGTGCCACCCAGGCTACAGTACAGTGGTGTGATCTCGGCTCACTGCAACCTCCACCTCCTGGGTACAAGCGATTCTCTTGCCTCAGCCTCCTGAGTAGCTGGGATTACAGGCATGTGCCACCACGCCCAGCTAATTTTTTTGTATTTTTAGTAAAGCAAGATTTCGACCGATTGGCCAGGCTGGTCTCAAACTCCCGACCTCAGGTGATCTGCCCACCTCAGCCTCCCAAAGTGCTGGGATTACAGGTGTGAGCCACCACACCCAGCCTAATTTTTTTATTTTTTGTAGAGATGGGGTCTTGCTATGTTGCCCAGGCTGGTCTCAAACTCCTGGGTTCAAGTGATCCTCCTGCCTCAGCCTCCCAAAGTGCTGGGATTAGAGGAATGAGCCCCTGTGCCAGGCCCACTCTCTCTGCTTCTATTCAACATAGTACTAGAAGTTTTAACTAGAACAATTACGCAAGAAAAATAATACACATACACATACAAACTAATAAATAAGTTCAGCAAGTTTGCAGAATCAATACACAAAATCTATTGTATTTCTATTCTTTTAGAATATGCCCAAAAGTGAAAATAAGAAAACAATTTCATTTATAATAGCATCAAAAAGAATAAAATGCTTGAATACTAGGGGTTGGAAAGAATTTATTTTAATTTTTTAAAAAAGAATAGAATGTTTAGGAATAATAAAATAAGAAAACACTGTGAAATAAATTTTTAAAAAATCCAAATAAGTGGAAAGACTTCTCATGTTCATGGATTAGAAGACAATATTAAGAAGCCAATACTCCCCAAAGAGATTTATGTGTTCAGTGGAATTCCTATAAAAAAATCCCAGCTGCCTTTTGCAAAAACTGAAAAGCTAAACCTATAATTCATATGGAAATGTACAGGACCCAAAATAGCCAAAATCATCTTGGAAAAGAAGAACAACGTTGGAGGACTCACAATTCAAATTTCAAAATATAGTATAAAGCTACAGTAATCTAATCTTGGTTGAAAGTCCACGTAATTTAAAAAAAAAAAGCTATATTAATGAAGACAGTGTAGTACTAACTTTAAGGATAGAAATCAAGATGAGTGGTATAGACTGAGAGTCTGGAAAATTAACTCTCACATTTATGGTCAACTGATTTCTTTCAAAGGGTACCAAGACAATTCAATGGTGAAAAAGTCTTTTCAACAAATAGTGCTGTAACAACTGGCTATTCACATGCAAGAGAATGAAACTAGACCTCTTCCTAATATCACACATAAAATTAACTCAAATGGGTTGTAAATTTAAATGCAGGAGTTAAAATTACAAAAATCGTAGGAGTAAAAATCAGGAGTAAATCTTTGTGACCTTGGATTAGGCAATGGTTTCTTAGATATGACACACAACACAAAAGCAACAAAAGAAAGAACAGATAAATTGAATTTCATCAAATTTGAAAACTTGTGCTTCAAGACACCATTTAGCAACTGAAAAGACAACCCACAAATTGTGAGAAAATATCTACAATTCATATATCTGATAAGGAACTTATAACTAGAATATCTAAAGAACTTCTACAACACAATAATAAAAAGATAAGTAACAATTTTAAAGTGGACAAAAGATTTGAATAGACATTTCTTCAAAGATATACAAATGGCCAATCATGAAGGGATGCTCAACATAGTCACTAAGAAGGTGCAAGTCAAGCTGGGTGCAGTAGCTCACGCCTGTAATCCCAGCATTTTGGGAGGCTGAGGCGGGTGGATCGCCTGAGGTCAGGAGTTTGAGACCAGCCTGGCCAACATAGTGAAACTCCATCTCAACTAACAATACAAAAAATTAGCTGGGTGTGGTGGTGCGCGCCTGTAATCCCAGCTACTAGGATGGCTGAGGCAGGGAATCACTTGAACCTGGGAGGCGGAGGTTGCAGTGAGCCGAGATCGCACCATTGCACTCCAGCCTGGGCAACAAGAGCAAAACTCTGTCTCAAAAAGAAAAGAAAAACAACAGAAAGTGGAAGTCAGAACCACAATGAAATACTACTTGCATCCACTAGCATGGCTATTAAAAAAAAAAGACAATATTAAGTTTTGTTGAAGATATTGCAAAGTTGGAACTCTCATACACTGCTGATGGGAATGTAAATGGTGCAGCCACTTTGAAAAACAGTCTGGCAGTTTCTCAACAGGTTAAACCATTACCATATGGCCCAGCAATCCATTCCTAGGTATGTACCTGATATGGTTTGGATATATGTCCCCTCCAAATCTCATGTTGAAATGTAATCTCCGGTGTTGGAAGTGGGGCCTGGTGGAAGGTATTTGGGTCAGGTGGGCGGATGCCTCAAAAATGTCTTGGTGCTGTCCTCATGATAATAAGTGAGTTCTCACTCTGAGTTCACACAAGATCTAGTTGTTTAAAAGAGTGTGGCATGCTCTTGCCATGTGACATACGCCAGCTCCCCCTTTGCCATGACCATAAGCTTCCTGAGACCTCACCAGAAGCCAAGCAGATGCCATTGCCACACTTCCTGTGCCACCATGCCCAGCTAACTTTTAAATTTTCTGTAGAGACAGAGTCTCACTATGTTACTCAGGCTAGTCTTGGGCTCAAGCAATCCTCCTGCCTTGGCCTCCCAAAGTGCTGGGATTACAGGCATGAACCACTGCACCCAGCCAGGTATTTCTTTACAGTGATGCAAAAATGGCCTAACATAATACCTATGTATATACTCCTAGGTATAAAAAACTGGAAAGCTTATGTTCAAACAAAAATTTGTACACAAATGGTCATAGCATCATTATTCAAAATAGCCAAAAAGTGGAACCAACCCAAACATCCATCAACTGAAGAATGGATAAACAGAATGCGGTACATCCAAAAGAAGAATATTACTTGGTAGTACAGAGGAAATTTTACAGGCAACATGTTCAACATGGCTGAACTTTGAAAACATATGCTCAGTGAAAGAAGCCAGTCACAAAAGACCACATACCCTATATTTCCATTTATATGAAATGTCCACAACAGGCAAATCCACAGAAACAGAAAGTAGATTAGAGTCTTCCAGGGGCTGGAGGTGGAGGCAGGAGTGGGAATGTTGGCCCAGAGGAGAAATGGGAAGTGACTTAGCTATGGAGTTTCTTTTGGGGGCAATAAAAATGTTCTAAAGTTAAATAACAGTGATGGATGCAAAATTTTGTGGATATAACAAGTACAACTGAATTGTATACTTTAAAAAGGAGAATTTCATTTTTTGTGAATAATATCTAAATAAAGCTGTTTTAGAAAAATATAACAAGAGAAACTGCTCACATAATAATATAAAGTGAAAAAGTCATGAGACATAATTATAGCTGAGTTTATAATAAATATGTAGAAAAACAAATTTAAAACTATAAAATTTTTTCTTTAATAATAAAAAAATGGAAAGATATATACCAAAATATCCATATTAGCTTGCCTCTAGATAACTGGGAACTCAACTTCTCTTACCTTTTCTAAATATATTTTTCTATACTTTCCTTTTTTTTTTTTTTGAGGCAGGGTCTTACTCCAATTGCCGAGTCTGGAGTGCAATGGCGCAATATCAGCCTCAAACTCCCCAGACTCCTTCAGCCTTCCAAGTAGCTAGGACTACGGGTGCACTCCACCATACCCAGCTAATTTTTTTGTATTTTTTGTAGAGACGAGGTTTTACCATGTTGCCCAGGC
Organism: Homo sapiens; assembly: GCF_000001405.40. NCBI lineage: Eukaryota > Metazoa > Chordata > Mammalia > Primates > Hominidae > Homo > Homo sapiens. Next base: position 33,135,431 of record NC_000003.12, on the reverse strand, counting down.
TGGTCTTGAACTCCTGGTCTCAAGCAATCACCTGCTTTGGCCTCCCAAATGCTGAGATCACAGGTGTGAGCCACTACACCCAGCCTCTGCTATACTTTGTAAACCACAGTGGCCAATCTTGTTGGTATCTGGCTGGTGTTCCTTCCTTTAGGGAATGGGGGAATGGCCCCTGTGGCATCTTGGGATCCTGTCTCAGGCTCTGCTTCAAGGATACCCAAACCAAGACATAGGCATTGCATCACTTTCCAGTTTAGAAAGCATTTCCACATGCAACACAGTATTTTATTCTCACAACCCTGGGAGGGCAGTATTATTATTCCCATTTTATAGATAAAGAACTGAGACTCAGTTGTTTAATGCCAGTGATGAGTTCATCCCATACATATTTATAGACAGAAAACAAATTCCACGAAGATGTCTTATTCAGAGGTACTTCACCTAAAACGGGTATAGGAAGAGCAGACCTGGAGGCTCAGGAAACTTGCTGGCCCCATGCTCCTCATCTATAAAGCGAAGGATCAGACCAGAGCAAGCTCACAGCTCTCTTCGAGCTCCAATAGCTGACAAGTCCCCAGCTTTCTCAGTAAGCATTTTCCAGTTTGTTCCAAACAAATACTCTAAATACTACCGCTAATGATGGCTTTTCTGTGACCAGACTCATCACAAAATGACCACTCCATAACCAGTTGAGTCAGGGTCAGAAAAGGGGTCAGCTGAGTAAGGTGGAATCAGGAATTTCAAGCAATTCTAGAGAATGACAAAATGCTTACAGTAAAGATGCAATTTAGAAAAAATAATAATAGCAATAGTCTAGCAGAAAAATTGGGGTGTGAGTATCCATGTCTCTTCAGAGTGCTGAGCAATTAAAAATTCACTGTTTTTATATAAAGTGAAAAGATGAAGAATGACCACTGTGAATTCCTGGAGTGTGGCCCCACACCCGTTTCGCTATCAGGAAATGTGGCACTCCTGCCTAGGTTTCCTAGAAAGCCGCTCTTTCCCATGCCAGCATTCTGACTGTCACTGAAACACCCACAGGAACTGTCTTTCTCAAGGTCCCCTCTGTTTCTTACTTCAGGGAGGACTCAGCCTTCCAGTGATTCTAGCAAAGATGTGAGTAATATTTTCTCGTAGCCACCAGACATGTGCTAAGCATGAAAACTTACCTCATCATCATCCATTATATTTTCCTTAGCAAAGTCATACAGCTCCTTCTGGAGTGTGGTCACATTAAAGAACTGAACTGCTTCCTGTTCAGACACAACAGAGAACAGTTTATAGGACCAACCTTTTCATCTTAGAACTGGGAGGAGGGAGGAACAGGATATGGGGTTTTTTCTAAGGTGATGAAAATGTTTAAAATTAGATAGTGGTAATGGCTGTACAACTCTGAATATACTAACAACCACTGAATTGTACACTTTAAAAAGGTGAATTCTATCCTATATAAATTATATCTCAATTTTTAAAAAAGAGTGGCCAGCCCTCAGTGGAAGACAAACTTATGAAAATCAAGATGGCATATAGAAATCCCAATGAAAATACAAGAGCAAAGATCAATTAGAAAAAATCTTTTGAAAGTAATATATAATGAATGGGGTTCACTGACAACACATGCTAAGTGGTGAGTTTGCCTATCAAGGGAATTAAATGATGGTCCATCCGCAAAAGAGACTACCAGGGAGCTGTTAAAGGATAATAATTAAGATGATACATGGATGTGACATGGAGAAATATTCACGACAAATTGTCAGAAAGACAAAGTTGCAAAAAGTTGTAAAACTATGTAAATATGACCTTGTTTTTATAAAAATACACAAATATTTACTATATATATGAGTAAATATATACCTTTAAAGCAGGAGATAAAGAGATGGCACAGGCTGGGCGCAGTGGCTCATGCCTGTAAATCCCAGCACTTTGAAAGGCTGAGGTGGGCAGATCACCTGAAGCCAGGAGTTCGAGACTAGCCCAGCGAAACCCCATCTCTACTAAAACTACAAAAATTAGTGTGATATGTTGGTGCACGCCTGTAATCCCAGCTACTCGGGAGGCTAAGGCAAGAGAATCGCTTGAACCCAGGAGGCAGAGGATGCAGTGAGCCAAGATCACGCCACTGCACTCTAGCCTGGGTGACAGAGCAAGACTCTGTCTCAAAAAAAAAAAAAAAGAGAGAGAGAAGGTGTAGGATTACGAGAGAATTTTGTTTTCCGAGAGAGAAAGAAGGTGTAGGATTATGAGAGAATTTTGTTTTCAAAGTAAAATATTTCTGTAATGTTTGAAATTTGTAGAGTTTTTACAGATTCAGAAATCAGAATGAAGCAGTAAAATGTTAAAACACACACATGCACAAAACTACAGAAAAAAATGACTTTTCCTTGATTTCCTTTTTTTTGGCGCAATCTCGGCTCACAGCAACCTCTGCCCCTGGGTTCAAGCGATTCTTCTGCCTCAGCCTCCCAAGTAGCTGGGACTACAGCCACGTGCCACCACGCCTGGCTAATTTTTGTATGTTTAGTAGAGATGGGGTTTCACCGTGTTGGCCAGGCTGGTCTCGAACTCCTGACATCATGATCCGCCCGCCTCGGCCTCCCAAAGTGCTGGGATTACAGGCATGAGTCACCGCGCCCAGCCCCTTTATTTCCAAAATAACCCTTTCTCTTAAGGCACGAGGTAGTCTCCAGAAGGCAAGAATGAAGAGAAAAGGGAAGGTGTGGTGCACCAGACTTACAGGTCTGGGCTGGAAGTGCTCATCCGAGAGGCCCCAAGTGTCCCTGTGGTACTGGTAATACACCAGGTTCTGCTGCATGACCTTGTCATTCTGATCAAAGAGCAGATAGCTGACTGCACAGGGGGCTGCATTCTTCAGGTCGTTCACTAGGGTTGGGAAGAAAAGACAAATGAAGAAATCAGCAAACCACACCCTATAATTTCTCTGCTTCTAAACAAAAAGGCCATATGAACAAGCCCCTTCTCCACAGTCCTTCTTCAGAGAGCCTGGGGCCGACTGGCAGCCCTGGGTGGGCAGGCCACAGATGGGGTCTCCACGGCAGCCTGGAGGCCAGGCTTGAAACTTAGTTCTAGTTAGGCACATGCCTATGGAGAAATGCCTATGTTCCACTTCCAGCTCTGGTGACCTGAGCTGGTCTCAGGTCCCTGGAAGCAGCTGGAAAAAGCTGGATTGTCCTGGGGCTGAGGGAGATAGGGAGGATGTGCTCAGCAAACAGGTGTCTCATCTGGGTCCTAGAGTGTCTGGATCCCATCTGGATGGGACCACAGTCTCCAGATCTAGGTTAGCTCCCCTACAGCTAAACCAGACCTGGAAAACCCAAAGGATGGTGGAGCCTCTGGGTTGGAGGGGATTTGGAAAGTCGCCTAGTTTTGCCACCTCCTGAGGTTGGAACTCCCACCTCCAGCCTCTCTGCTTGGTGTTGCCCACCTGTGACAGTACCTTCAGCATAGGGATTTTGCAGGGCTTGGGATTTGTCTTGGGAGTGCAGGATGAGGAAGAGGTGATGAGACACAAGCCCCTGGTATGTATTCTGGCACATTCCACTCTAATTTACACAACAGTACCTTTGCTAAAGCTGTGGTTGGCCGGAGAAGCCAAAGCTTGGGTATGAATAAATTGTGCCACCCAGTGGCTGTTTCCTGTAATGACTACTTTAAAGCCAGCTCTTAGGGACATTTACTCTTCAAATATAAATAATACCACCTGCCCTCAAGCAATGTAGCATGGTAGGTGGTCTAGAAAAAATTCAAAACGGGGCAGATTTTCAGGAAGCTCATTTCAGGAAGTACACTTCATTCATACTGTTGATCCCCGAAAGCAGATTTCCTGGGAAGCAGCAAGCATAGCTAGAGGCCTCAGTCCACCAGTGTTGATAAGTCTTTGCCAGTTTCTGATATGCAGGGCGATTTTCAGGGCACGTGAGGATTTCAGAGGCCCAGGGAGCTGCCAGAGCCCGCATGCATCCAGAACACTTCTAAATTCCTAGTGTTCTAGCTTTATACATTTAGAACCAAGCCATGCTCAGTGAGCTAGAAGACCTTATGGCTTTTTATATTTATATAATACATATTCTTTTTCTTTTTCTGACCTTCAGGGTGCAAGGCTTACGTGTTCTGAAGAGGATGGGAGGTGAGATAAAGAGGAACCCCCCCCCGCAAAAAAAAAACACAATTACCACAGTGGGAAAGGAGGGCTAAAGCCAAGATCACCTCTCTCACTCTTCCCAAGGCACCCTGAGACCAGCCACTCCTGAGTGTGAAGGGGCGACCCAGGGGATCTATTCTAGCCAGAAACCTGCCACCGCTAGACCCTGGCATTTCATTAGGGCAGAGGAAGTCCTACTGCCACTTTCCCTAATAATTCTTCTGTGCTTGGAACTGAACTGCCAAGGGACACACTGCTTGAACAAGTGGCACTTGGCAAAGTCAGGTACAGGGAGAGGAGGAAAAGCCGAAACACGCAGGCTCTGAAGTCTAACCCTGAACTTCCTTCTCTCCCACGTTTGCTTCCCATTGTCCACTAGAACGTTCTGATTGAGAAACTCCCATTTCAGATCAAGGGAGGACCAACTAGAATGAAACTAACAGGACGGGCGCAGTGGCTCACACCTGTAATCCCAGCACTTTGGGAGGCTGAAGTGGGTGGATCACTTGAGGTCAGGAGTTCAAGACTAGCCTGGCCAAGATAGTGAAACCACATATCTACTAAAATTACAAAAAATTAGCTAGGCGTGGTGGCACACACCTGTAATCCCAGCTACTCAGGAGGCTGAGGAAGGGGAATCACTTGAACCTGGGAGGCGGAGGTTGCAGTAAGTCAAGATCACACCACTGCACTCCAGCCTGGGCAACAGAGCAAGACTCTGTCTCAAAAAAAAAAAAAAAAAAAAAAAAAGAAAAGAAAAGAAAGAAAGAAAAAAGAAAAGAAAATAAACTCTAACAGTCTGAAAAGTAAAGCTAGTGATAAGGAGGAAGGGAAATAATGATAACAAAAACAAACACACAGTTTGCTATGTGCCAGTGTGGGAATACCCCAGACATTTCACATCTATTAACTCATTTACTCCTCAGGACAATCCTATGAGGTTAGTACTACAATCTCTATTCACAATGAGGAAACTAAAGCACAGAGAAGCTAGTAAGTGATAAGGCTGAAATCGAACCCAGGCACTGTGGTTACAGGCTCTGCCCTGAATCACTAAGCCATGCTGCCTTTTTGTGCAAAGCATAGCACCAGGGTTGTCAGTGGACCTTGATGAACTCTCAACAACCGTAGCTAAGAGTTATTACCTCTATTTTACAGTCTTAGAAGGACTAAGTGCCTCACCCAAGATGTCACAGAAGATTACTTACACTTATAATAGGCAAACTGCAAGTAATGATACATGGTAGCCACAAATTTCTCAACCGGATAGCCTCCTATAACTGGGGTGAGGTTCTCTTCACACTGTATTTTGCATTCCAGAACTTCTACATAATGATCTGAAACAAAACATATAAATTTTCAGAGCAGTGGATCCATTACTTTCTTAATATGCTACTGCCTCCTGCCCAAATGAAAAAGTTAAAAGAAAAATATTTACAGGCCGGGCGCGGTGGCTCACGCCTGTAATCCCAGCACTTCGGGAGGCTGAGGCGGGCGAATCACAAGGTCAGGAGGATCGAGACCATCCTGGTTAACACAGTGAAACCCTGTCTCACTAAAAATACAAAAAATTAGCTGGGCGTCGTGGTGGGCGCCTGTGGTCCCAGCTACTCAGGAGGCTGAGGCAGAAGAATGGCGTGAACCCGGAAGGTGGAGCTTGCAGTGAGCCGAGATCGCGCCACTGCACTCCAGCCTGGGCAACAGAGCAAGACTCCGTCTCCAAAAAAAAAAAAAAAAAAAGAAAAAGAAAAATATTTTCAACACCTACAAGGAGCTGAAAATCTTTAATATACAAAGTTGTTTCAAATCAATATGAAAAAGATGAACATCCACTATATAAATGGCCAAATGATATTAATAGAAATTATTAAAATGTCTAAAAAACATTGAGAGACACTACACCTCTTTTGTAATTAGGAAATACAATTACCCCCAAAATAATTTAAACTACCAAATTGCAAAAGTTTTACAAATTCATACTGTAGTATTAAGAAGAGAACAGTGAAACTTACACTCTCATATTCTGTTGATGGAAGCAAAACAGGAACAAACTTTTTGGAGAACAATTTGGCAAAATTTATCAAAGGTTAAAATACACATATTTTCCAACCCAGCTGTCTACTTCTAGGAAATTTTCTTTAGACACAGGCATACATAAACACTGTTTATAACAACAAACAAACAAACTTGTAAGTACCTAAATGCCAATCAATAGGATGAGGATTAATAAATTACAGTATATAAAAATAACAGAATCTACACAGCCTTTGAAAGAGAGTAAGGTGAACCTAAATATAGTCAAAGACTACAATTCCCATGCAGCTAGGTTGGGGCCATATGACTAGTCGTGGCCAATGACATGTTGAGAGTAACAATTAAGGAATGCTACTTCCAGGCCTAATCCCTAAAATCTCCCACATGATCCTTGGCTCCCTCCCTTTTCTCCCTTTATGCAGCTAGAAGCAAAAGACTCCAGAAGGGTTGCACACATTTCATAAGACTGTGGAGGAACAGGCACTTTCAAACATTGCTGGTAGGAAGTACAAAATGATACCTTAAAACACTAAAATTAATTTACAGAAACATTTACTCTTTGAACTATTATTTCCACTTTGGTTGACTCTGAAAACACGCCTCCATACTTACTACCATCACCAACAAAAAAGCCTTACATACTTACTACCACCAACAACAAAAAATTAACATCAACAATAAGGGTGCAAACAAACATCATACATATCTTGACGTGATATCCTGAGGAGGACATTTATATAGCGGTCCAGCCAAAAATACACAACCTGAATGTAACTGTGAAGACACATAATAGAAACCCAAATTGAGGAATGTTGACAAAGTAATTAGCCTATATTCTTAAAAAATATCATTGGCATAAAAAGACAAAGAAGGCCAAAGGATTGTTCCAGATTAAAGAATTCTAAAGGAAGATGACAAATAAATAGGAAGCATGATTCTGAACTGGAACCTGTACCAGGAAAAAAAAAGGTGCTAGAAAGAACATTATTGTGACAATTAACAAAAAGAGAATATGAACTACAGATTGAATACAAGCATTGTATCTAGTATATTAAGTTTCCTGAATTTAATTACTATGGATATTTAGATAATATTATTGTTCTTAGGAAATAAACTGAAGTATAATGGGGTAAAGAGTAATAATGCATGTGCAACATACTTCCAAATAGTTCTGAAATAAAAATAATTATACAGAGCTGGGTGCGGTGGCTCAAGCCTATAATCCCAGCACTTTGGGAGGGCAAGGCGGGCGGATCACTTGGGGTCAGGAGTTTGAAACCAGCCTGGCCAACACAGCAAAACGCTGTCTCTACTAAAAATACAAAACATTAGCCAGGTGTGGTGGCGCCTGCCAGTAGTCCCAGCTACTCAGGAGGCTGAGGCAGGAGAATTGCTTCAACCCGGCAGACAGAGGTTGCAGTGAGCCAAGATCGCACCACTGCACTCCAGCCTGGGCGACAGAGTGAGACTCAGTCTCAAAAATAAAATATAATAGGCCGGGTGCGGTGGCTCACGCCTGTACTCCTAGCACTTTGGGAGGCCGAGGTGGGTGGATCACCTGAGGTCAGGAGTTCGAGACCAGCCTGGCCAACGTGGTGAAACCCCGTCTCTACTAAAAATATAAAAATTAGCCAGACGTGTTGGTGCATGCCTGTAATCCCAGCTACTCGGGAGGCTGAGGCAGGAGGATTGCCTGAACCTAAGGGGCAGAGGTTGCAGTGAGCCGAGATCGCGCCGTTGCACTCCAGCCTGGGCAACAAGAGGGAAACTCCATGTCAAAAATAAATAAATAAATAAATAAAATAATAACAATAATAATTATACCCACAGCACATATGGAGAGAGCAATAAAGTAAATGTGGCACAATCAATGTTACAAATTGGTGAATCTAGGTAAGGTGTACATGAGAGTTCTTTGTATGATTCTTCCGACTTCTCTACAAGTTTGAAATTATTTAAAAATAAAAACTAAAGAAACTCTAAATATCTATATATCTATACTGTGAGAGGAAAATAAATCTCAGGACCTCAAAATCACTAAGCCAAAGGGAAAAGTCAAGCTGGGAACCATGTAGGACAAATGTGTTTCCCATCCTATTCCTAAATAAGATAGCTACAAAAATTTAAAAAAAAAAAAAAAAAGCCACAAATCTCTCTCATAATTTGCCCACAAGGAAGTTTTTGTGGACAAAGGACAGGCAGAACTCAGTCATCCCTCTGCTCACATGGAACAAATGTATATATGGTTGTTTCCTTTGCTCTGTTGTTTCACTAAGCCAGACTAAAGCATAAGTGACTATTCCTGCAAATTGCATATTCAGTGAAAGGCTAATCAGAAACTCAAAAGAATGCAACCATTTGTCTCTCACCTACCTATGACCTGGAAACCCCCTCCCACTTTGGGTTGTCCTGCCTTTCTGGACTGAAGCAATGTACATCTTACATATATTGATTGATGTCTCATGTCTCCCTAAAATGTATAAAACCAAACTGTGCCCTGAGTACCTTGGGCATATGTTGTTAGGACCTCCTGAGTCTGTGTCACAAGTACATCCTTAACTTGGCAAAATAAACTGTCTAAATTGATTGAGACTTGTCTCAGATACTCTTTGATTTACAATACATATATATCTTAGCTGTATCAAAGATAGATGGAGAGAAACCACAGACATTATGTGCCTCCTGATGAAAGAACTCAGCATCAACTATGAAGCAGTTGACTCCCACCAAAATTTAAAACCCTAAAACAAAATCAAACCGAGCCTGTTCAAGCCTCTACATCCAATTACCGATTTACAAGAAATACAGAAGACAGAGGAACATGGGGATACAGTCAGCAAAACCCAGACCATGGGAATCTCTACGGGACAAAAAATGCAGATTCTTCAATAGCAAAGGGGAAAAGATATGGCGGAAGAACCTATGGATTAAACGAGCCATAAAAGATAACCAACTTGCCACAATATGGATGAAACGAGGACATTATGCCAAGTGAAATGAGTCAGTCACAAAAAGGCAAATACTGTATGACTCCACTTACGTGATGTATCTAGAGTAGTCAAATTCACAAAGACAGAAAGTAGAAAGGTTGTTGCCAGTGGCTGGGGGGAAGGGGATATGGGGAGTTATCGCATACAGAGTTTCAATTTGGGGAAACATAAAAAGTTCTAGAGATGGATGGTGCTGATGGTTGCACAATCATGTGAATGTAGTCAATGCCACTGGAGTGTACATTGAACAATGGCTAAAATAATAAAGTTCATATTAACGTATATTTTACCACAATAAAAATTTTCAAGAGATAACCCATTGCAATGGATGGACCTTATTTGGATCCTGATTCAAACAAATGGTAAATTAAAGGCACACACATGTATTTATGACATTTCTGAAATGATTGGGACACTGTTTAGGTATTTAATGATGAGATCAAAGAATGATTGTTAAAATTCTTACAGGGGTAATAGTTTGGTGTTATGTTTAAAAAACAAAGAGTCCTTACCTTCTAAAGGTATATACTGAAATATTACAAATGAAATAATATGGCATTTGGAATCCGCTTCAAAATAACATGAGAGGAAAAGTAGGTGGGAATTAGAGGAAGCTCAAGTAGCCATGAGTTGACAATTGTGAAGTTGGGTCATGGGTACATGGTGGTTTATCTACTCTTCTCTCTGTTTTTTGTGTATGTTTGAAATTTTCCATAACAAGAAGTTTTCTTAAGGCAAAAAAAAAAAAAAAAAAAAAAAACCTACTTTGTAGAAAGAGATTAATGAATAAAAAGTGACTGAAAAAAAAAAACAAAACCGAAAACGCTGGATTCAATAACTTTAAAAGAGCTTCTCTACTGCAGGATTTCTAAGGGCCTTTAACCATTAAAGTGCACAATGATTCTTCAAGTGGGAGATGCAGTCAGTGCTCAGCCCATTCCCAGACTTATTTACAAGTACATAGACATGATACCTTTATCCAAGGTACAGTCCAGATTTTACTTATCTAGTGCTTTCAGGAAGGCACAGTTCTAGGATCAGTGTTCTCAAACCACTTTGGGAAAGAGCTTCCCTTAGCCATTTCCCAGTTTCTGGAGTGATGCTGCCCAGTAAAGCACTTGGGAAATGTCTAGGCACTATAGAGAAATCTGGGCTACCTATGTGTAGAGTTTTACATTTTCTTCCTTTCTTCATTTTTCCTTTCTGTGTTTTCCAAACTTCCTATAATGAGCACACATTGTTTTATAATCAGAAAAGAAAATTTCAAAAAGCTACCTTAGTGATGGCCACTTAAAGGTTCATTCTACCTTTATATGTGTTGGAAAATTGCCATCATCAAAGTTATCTCAGTAATGTGAGTCACTGAGGTGCTCCTGGGCCCATTTTTATTTTTCAAAATGACTGTAGGAAATCTGTAAGCAAGTAGGGCAGACACAGAATTCTACCTTGGCAGGCCTGTGCTTGAACCTTCTCTCAGTGATTTCACTAGAAGCCCCTGCCAAGTCAAAGGTTTATCTATGCAGGTGGTGACTACCCTCAGTTACCCGTTAATAAGTATGCTCAAAAATTCCTCAGAGGCTGCTCCAGGCATCTAGCAGGCATGCAGGCAGAAACCAGACATCTAAGGAAGACTATTCCATGGGAGTAGTGAGCCTATTGACCTACCACCAACCTGCTATGGAAAGGTAGAAATCCTTGAAGTCCTTGATCTCCCTGGAACCCTCGCAGGCTGCGAGACACTCGTAAAAGGCTTTGAAGAAGTCGGGAAGGGCCAGCTCCATGTCTGTGATGGATGTTCTCCAGTTCTCACCGTTGTATGCCCGCACTGCTCGGATGAACAGGCTCTGAAAGGCATGGAGAAGCCAGTGAAGCTCGCTCTTGGGCGTGAAGGGAGACAGTCATGAAATCTCAAAGGGAACCAAGACCACCACCAAGCTAGCTCTCATTAGCTCTGAAGAAGCCACACTGGCCCTTGAAGAAGTCAATCAGTGAGTTACTTTATATCTAGATTTTTCTACTTTGCTTATGATGGGTACATTTCTTATTTAGTTCAATTCAAAAAGTAGCAGGCCCTTGATAATAATCTGAATTAAGGAAAATGGGAAAACTATGACAGAGATCAGATCAGTGGCTGCCAGAAGTCAGGGGTTACAGCAAAAACTTGACTACAAAAGGACAAGAGGAAATTGTTCAGGGGTGATGAAAATATTCTATGTCGTAACTATGATGGCAGTTACAGGACTGGATGTATTTGTCAAAACTTACTGCATTATACACTTAAAATTGATAAATATATTGTATATAAATAGTACCTCAATAAAACTGGTTTTTAAAATGGAACGAAAAGAAAAATGTAAGTTTGAGAGCAGGTATATTAGTCTGTTCTCACATTGCTATAAAGAAATACCTCTAGCATGGCCAATATAGGGAAACCCCATCTGTACTAAAAATATAGAAATTACCAGGTGTAGTCACATGCTTGTAGTCCCAGCTACTCACGAGGCTGAGGCACAAGAATCACTTGAACCTAGGAGGCGGAGGTGGCAGTAAGCTGAGATTGTGCCACTGTACTCCAGCCTGGGTGACAGAGCGAGACTCTGTCAAAAAAAAAAAAAAAAAAAAAAAACCGAGACTGGGTAATTTATAAATAAAAGAGGTTTAATTGGTTCATGGTTCTGCAGGCTATACAGGAAGCATAGCAGCTTCTGCTTCTGGGGAGGCCTCAGGAAACTTACAATCACGGCAGAAGGCAAACAGGGAGCCGGCACTTCACATGGCCAGAGAAGAAGGAAGAGAGCGGGGAGGTGTTACACACTTTTAAACAACTAGGTCTCATGATAACTCACTCACTATCATGAGAATGGCACAGAGAGGATGGTGCTAAACCATTAATAAAGGATCCACTCCCATGATCCAATCACCTCCCACCAGGCCCCACCTCCAACCCTGGGGATTACAACTGGACATGAGATTTAGGTGGAGACACAGATCCAAACCATATCAGCAGGTGTCTGTCACCCCACTTCCTCCGACAATGCAGTTAAACAGAAGTGCCACCATGCATCAGCACTAGTTACTAGGAAGGGCAACCACATGCCAGATAGTGGAAACTTCAAGGACTTTCTGCTAATTGTTGATTAGACTCGATTAGAAGAGAAATAACAGGAGGCTGAGGCAGGAGAATCATTTGAACCCAGGAGGTGGAGGTTGCAGTAAGCCAAGATCGTGCCGTTGCACTGCAGCCTGGGCAACAGGGCGAGACTTCATCTCAAAAAAAAAAGAGAGAGAGAAATAAACTAGGACCAAGGAAGTAGCTTGGTCTCCAAGAAATAAGTAGAGATCCTGGATACACACAAAACCTGCTAACTTGCAGAGGCCAGGACAGGCCCTGAATAAGCATGGGACCCTCCATTTGGAGTTCTCAGCTGCTCTGGAATGGTGGTATCTGAGGGCACCCCTTAGACCTAGAATTTTCACCAAGCTTAAGGCCTCAGGTAAAGACAGTGGATTTTCTTCTTCTTTTTTTTTTTTTTTTTTTTTTTGAGACAGAGTCTTGCTCTGTTGCCCAGGCTCGAATGCAGTGGTGCAATCTCAGCTCACTGCAACCTCCAACTCCTGGGTTCAGGCAATTCTCTCTGCCTCAGTCTCCCGAGTAGCTAGGATTACAGGTGCCTGCCACCACGCCTGGCTAATTTTTTTGTATTTTTAGTAGAGACAGGGTTTCACCATCTTGCCCCAGCTGGTCTTGAACTCCTGACCTCGTGATCCACCCACCTTGGCCTCCCAAAGTGCTGGGATTACAGGCATGAGGACCGCGCCTGGCCGAGGGTGGATTTTCTTAAACCTCCTGGGCAGGCCACATGCCCTGGAAATAAGACAGGCTGAGAACTGAAGGAGCCTTTCCTGAAGAATGGGTCAATAAGTAGCCAACTCCAGACAGCTGGTTCTGCAGAAGCAGCGGGGCAGCAGCAGCAGCAAGAAGGACCAAGCAGAAAGAGGAGGCCCCTGATCACACAGGAGGGCAGCACAGCCACCCCAAAAGGGCTCCAGTGAGGGCCAACAGGACTAGCTGAATTCCAGATAAGCCCAGGGCACTGACCACACGCACTCGGCTTCGTTCCCCAAACCCTATGAAAACAACAGTGAAGACTATGAAAGGCATAAATTGCTTTTATGGGAGAATGGGAAGGGAGCAAGCAGCAGATGAGATTTCAACAACTTTTGGAAAGGCAGGAAGTGAAATAGTCACAAAGGAGGGGCCAGAGGGGAAGCAAGCTATATGTCCCATTGGCATGCGCAGGCATGAGGGACCACGGGAGGCTGGGGTAAGGCATGGAGCTAGAAGCAGGGCTGCAAGTTTGAACAGGCTGTTGGGGTCCTGGGTCCGCTCCCAGCACCTACCCACCCACCCAAGAGATCATATCTCCCAAAGCCACTCTTCACCAGAGAGTGGCAGTTTATTCTAGAGACTTTACCCATAAAGGCTGAGGAGTCAGGGACCAGACGTAGCAGAGGCCAAGTGGAGGCATGAGGCTAAAATCAGGAAGCAGGTGAAGTATTCCTACTCACCTGGGTGACCCTGTCCCTCTCCCCACACTGGTTCTCAGACACCAGCAGAGGAGTATGCGCACCCCACCAGCCCTGCAGAAGGCTGGTGAAGTCTTCCCTGGAAAACTGACAGATACCCCCAAAAAGAGACTTCCACACATACATTTTCCCTAGCAGTCAAAAAGTGAGCCTGAGATCTGATCACTCTACAGAAAACCCTGTGGTCAGGCCTTGGGAACTATAACTTCTAGTGGATATTTTCCACATATCCCCATTTTCTTTCATTTTTTTTGAGACAGAGTCTCGCTCTGTCGCCCAGGCTGGAGTGCAGTGGCGCAATCTCAGCTCATTGCAACCTCTGTCTCCCGGGATGAAGTGATTCTCCTGCCTCAGCCTCTCGAGTAGCTGGGTTTACAGACATGCTGAGTCACCACGCCCAGCTAATTTTTGTATTTTTAGTAGAGACGGGGTTTCACCATATTGGCCAGGCTGGTCTCAAACTCCTGACCTCAGGTGATCCATCCGCCTCGGCCTCCCAAAGTGCTGGGATTACAGGCATGAGCCACTGTGCCCAGCCAAATTCCCATTTTCAACAATGCCCTGCCCTTGCTTGAAACCCAGGCCCCCAGTGCCTGAGTTCCAGAAGACCTTGACAATAGTGAGTGCTCAAAAGGGCGAGATCGTTCTTTCTTATTGTTGTTCTTACGACTAATTCTCATCAAAACTCTTCTTCGTAGATGCGCAGATTTAAGTGTCCTCTACTCTGTCACATCAGCCTTCCTAACTCGTCTTCATTTTCTACCTTAATATATTTAGGGTGCGTTTGTGTGCAAGTGTGTATAAAAATATATGCCTTCTCATTTCATCAAAACTGGAGATTTATGTTTCTATTTCTTGTGTTCCTGGTCATTTTAGATGATTTCCAAGATATGTCTTTAATCTACCCTCTTAAAACTAAATAATTAAATGACCATATTTCTAAAATGTAGCATTTAAAGGGAACATGGCTTTTAAAATCATCACGGCATACAAAATATCATTATTAAATGGATCACTTTGTGCTAAAAGTCAATCATTTCTATTGTCATAATATTCAGCAAATGTCACCAAAAATCACTAGAGGTCCTTAGCTATCAGCAGCTGCTTATGGAGAGACATTTCTTTAACAGTCCAGGTTGCCACTAACTGCCACATAAAAATCCAAACATACTTCATATGACTTGGTTTCCAGGTCTTTAATGTAGTCCTCGGCACCAGGCAGGCTCTTATAATATGCCATGTTCCTCTTCATCATTTCGTCATCAGGATGCTTCAGTAGAAAGGTGTGAGCAGCGGCGATGGCTTTGGGGAGATTATTTGCCTAAAAGGACAAAGAACATAAAAGCTACTCCATGGATGCTAAGTGGTAATTTTTGTAAAACAAGAATATCTGCTTAGTCCTTCAGAAACTTTGTGTTGCTATAACTTTTCCAGCTAAAGGTTCCATGACTTCCAGGGCCCCTCAAGACCAAGTCCAGGCACTGTGAGACAAGTGCTGATTTCCTGAAAGCGACTGTCTGGATGGCCTCGGTCTGCCTTTCCCAATCTACTCTGCACTGGCTACATGCCCCAGGAGGCTGGCCTGTGTGGACTATAACAACAGACTCCCTCGCTCTCTGGCTTCCAAAGAGGTTCACCCATGAGGAGCCCCAGTAGATGACTGAGGAAGGGAAGAGAGTAAGGTCATGTTATTTCATTTCCTGGTTCCCTCCCTGCACAGTCCTCTTGGGCTGCTATGTCCCTTAATTGAAGATCACAGTTCTTCTCAAGGTGACCCTCTCCATAGAGTCTCCCTCCTTCCCGGTTTCAATCACTGCTCTCTCCCCTGCCCCTTTTGGCCTAGGGTTGGTCATATCCCACTGCTATCACCCCTGTGGCAGAACACTATCTCTTGTGGATTCCCCATGCACTGCACACACCTTTGTAAATAACCACCTTCTTAAACTTTCCTCCAATTACCCAATATGACTGCACCATATCTTTTCCACTGGCACCTTGACAAATATATTGTTTTCCCAAATCCCCCACAGACCTTCTGCTAACATTCTCAATGACTCCACCACCTCCTCACTTATTCATCCATTCATGCAGCAATAAACGTCATATTACAAGAGCACCATTTCTAGGTTGTGGGTCTATAACAATAAGCAAAACAGGAAAAAAAAATCCCCACCTGCATGGACCATATATTCTGTTAAGTTCTCCCTGTCTCCTAGTGGCCTCAATTAAGAGCCTCTCTGTTGGGCTAGTTCTGGGTTCTGTCTTCCCGCATTTTACGCCACCCTACAATCTCAGTGGTACGTCTATCTCCCCCATCAGACTATGATCCTCGGGGGACCCAGCTGTGTGTCATTCATTATCTGGATTCCTGGTGCCTCACACAGTCCTCAGGACAAGGCAGGACACAATAAGTATCTGTGATTTGAACATAATGACATTATGACCATAAAATATAATAAAATTAATTCACATTTTCCTCTCTTTTCCCCTCTGTCTTCTCTCCATTGAAGGGGCCAATGATTCTGAGTTTCACTGTCTCAGGGGAGGTAGATATCTGGTCAGAACCAGCAAATTATTCACTTGAAAAAAGCCTGCACTCACAAAAGAGCCTGACAGGTTTGAGGGGAGAAAGAAATTGGAGAGGAGCTGCAGGAAGAAGCTGACTGGCCTGGGAGAAGAAGAGGGAGAAAGGGAATCTCCCAGGCTAGGAAAAAAGTTTCCCTTGGGATCTGTGAGAGCAGCAGGGCTGCGGGCCCCGGAGCTTCAGGGCTGGCACTTATCGGCAGTGTTCAAGACGGCAGAAGTCCTCAGGAAGAACAGGTATGTTATGGCAGGACCTCAGGAGGGCAGGCAAATAAGGATGCAGAGGCCTCCCTGTGAGGACTCATGACCACCAACCAGAGGGCCCCCATGCTGATGGACTCTTGGCACAACCTAGTAGGGAGAAGGGCAGGCACCTGTGCATGTGCACAGAGACTCAGCCAATCCAGAGGGACGCTCCAAGGCGGGAATTAGGGAATTCGGTTTAGACAGAGAAAATAAAGGAATATTTGGTATACCCTAGACTTCTAAGAGTCATAGGATGGCATATATCGGTACCGAATTGCCCCAGAATTGGAACCAAGTCATTTTGAGACAATGGCAGTGGCCACATCAGAGAAGTGGTGGGTGGTGATGAGGGCAGACTCCCAGATGTCAATGCTGATGTTTTGGGAATGCCAATTAGTGGCTTGTGGCAGGGCTGCCTTTAAAACAGCCCTACAGAAAGCTTCACACTCCTGGCCAGAAAAAGGCTAGTCTTCAGCTGGAAGGAAGGGAGAGGGTATGAATGCTGCCTTTTAAAGCATTTGCCAGTGAAATTAGAGTCACTAATTCTCAGAACAGCACTTAGAAAGAGGGGCACAGAGGCCGGGAGCAGTGGCTCATGCCTGTAATCCCAGCACTTTAGGAGGTCGAGGTGGGTGGATCACGAGGTCAGGAGTCCAAGATCAGCCTGGCCAAGATGATGAAACCCCATCTCTACTAAAAAGACAAAAATTAGCCAGGCACAGTGGCAGGTGCTTGTAATCCCAGCTACTCGGGAGGCTGAGGCAGGAGAATCACTTGAACCCGGGGGGCGGAGGTTGCAGTGAGCCAGGATCGCACCACTGCACTCCAGTCTGGGTGACACAGTGAGATTCCGTCTCAAAAAAGAAAGAAAGAAAGAAAGAAAGGAATAGAAAGAGGGGCACAGAGTAGGATTTTTAAGGCTTCTAACTTAGGATGTTTTACAAAACGGAATCTCTTCCTGAAGAGAAAAGAGTGATTTTATTTACTTCAACTCAGGCTCTGCAGCTGGAACATGGAGACACATCTTGGCTACCAAACCTCTGACAGACCCCAGGCAGATTTTGGAGAAGGTGGTAGGGATGGAGGGAACCACCTTGCCTTGGGTTCCTGAGATACAGCCACCAGCATGAGCCACCCTAAATCAGCCATGACACAGAGGCAGGCCCTGTGGTTCCGGGGAGTTAGAGGCCACAGCCAGGCAAGGCCTGGGGTTAACAGTGCCTGTGAGTCAGTGTTCTCTGTCCAGGTTAGAGCTCAACAGTCATTAAGGATTTGATGAAGTGCTCCGGCCTACTTTTTGCTTGGCCTATGAGAAAAATGAGTTTTTCGTGGAAGATGGTAATTGTGGAGAGAACCCAAAGAAAGCTAATGACATGGACCTAGAGTAGGCTGGTGACGAGAAACCTATGATGCACCTGAGGCTGCACACCAGTAGCACAGCCCTTTTCTACAAGAGCACACATCCAAACCTCCTCGCCTCCCTCTGGCAGTCGGAACCCACCATTGCTATTCCAGTGATCAATTGAGGCATTTCTCCTTAATCACTGAAACAGAGAACTGCAACTCAGAACAGCAGAGTAACATTTATCCATGTCCTGCCACAGCGCACTATCTACCTTCATATCGACCTCCAGCCTTCAGGTGCCAGGTAGAATGTATGTGCCTGCCACCCATCTTTTCCTCTCTATCCATAAACAGAGTTTAAACACGTAAACATCACTTTTTTTTGACACAAGAGTCTTGTTCTGTCACCCAGGCTGGAGTGCAGTGGTAAGATCACAGCTCACTGCAGCCTTGACTTTCTGGGCTCAAGTGATCCTCCAGCCTCAGCCTCCTGAGTAGCTGAAACTAGAAAGGCACGCCACCACACCCGGCTAATTTTTTAATGTTTTTGTACAGATGAGATCTCATTATATTGCCCAGGCTGGTCTTGAACTCTTGGACTCAAGAGATCCTCCCACCTTGGCATCCCAAAGTGCTGGGATTATAGGCATGAGCCATCATGCCAAGCCATAAACATCATTGAGAAAAAATACACCATACAATATCTCCACCAAAAATTACTTTTTCAGTTATATCTTCCATTGAAACAATTAAGTAACATTCACGTTTATTAATAAAATTCTTAGCTTTTTCCTGCCCTATATGAGATCTCAAAATGTTAAGATGGTGGCCGGGCATGGTGGTTCAAATCCCAGACTGTAATCTCAGCATTTTGGGAGGCCAAGGTAGGTGGATCACTTGAGGTTAGAAGTTCGAGACCAGCCTGGCCAACATGGTGAAACCCCATCTCTACTAAAAATACAAAAATTAGCTGGGTGTGGTGGCACATGCCCGTAATCCCAGCTACTCAGGAGGCTGAGATACAAGAATTGCTTGCACCCTGGAGGCAGAGGTTGCAGCGAGCTGAGATCGTGCCACTGCATTCCAGTCTGGGTGACAAAGTGAAACTGTGTCTCAAAAAAAACAGATAGATAGACAGATAGATAGATAGTATTTTACTGACTTTCAACTAAGTGATTGTTACAAGACCTGTAAAGGGTTTTGAAGAGAAGCTATGACCATCCTAACCTTTTGGGGCCACCATGATGAAAGAGAAAACCCATGCCTTTTGGTCACATTGAGTAAAATGTTCTTCCCCTCTTCCCTGTAACACTTGTTCAAATTCATCTGTATATTAAAGAAATCAGAGGTTCTAGTATTCTCTAGGTTTAAAAATAAAATGATTTCCTCTTGATTATGTGACCTAAATTTGGTTCAGAACATATTTGCCAAAAGCTATACAAAAAAAGAATTAGATAAGTCATTTTTAGCTTAAAAAATGATGCTTTGTATGAACCAGCCCTCATTTTCAACATTCTGGAATTTTATTAATCTCATTCCCTGCTTCTGTTTTAAAACTGTTTTTTTTTAATTGCCAGAACAAACATTCACAAAACTGATACTTTAAATAAAACTGTAACTAAGCATAGAAGTATAGAAGTAACCCAGCTTTTCCCCTCTTTGGGGTTTTGTGTTATTTTATTGCTCATATAAATACAATATACACGTGGCTCTGTCTCGGTGGAAATCTGAAAAAACAGATCTTGCAGTCCAGAAACTGAAAACAAAGTTTAAAAACAAAAACCTTCTACCTCAAGAGTCTAGGATATGCCATGAATCTATTTTTGTAGTAATTTTAAAAAACACAATATATTCCTTTTAAAATCTTTCTCAGAGAAAGTAGAAACTGGGCTTTGAGAGGGCTCTTTTAGCCAAACCCTGTGAGGACCCACCAAGCTAGAGCCTCTTTATCTAGTGACAGGGAATCTAACCATTCTTAAAACTTGTGGGTCCTCGGAGTGAGAACCCATAGGATAGAGAACTGCAATTTGTGGCTATTTTTAGCCAGCAATCACAGAGAGAACTTAAGCAGCCATTAAAAGGAGGCAGTGAACTGTGTTAAATTCTAGATGAAAGAGAGAAACAGCGGAGAGGGCCAATCCTGATGACTCACGGTGCACGAGTTCCCCTTTAAGCAGGGATGTGTCCTTGCAAGGAGTCCCTGCCCTTCCCTGGCCTCAATTTCATCCTCTTTAAAAGGAACTAGTCAGCTGGGTGCAATGGCTCACGACTGTAATCCCAGAACTCTGGGAGGCGAGGTGGGAGGATCACTTGAGTCCGGGAGTTCGAGATCAGCCTGGGCAACGTGGCGAAACTCTGTCTCTACAGAAAATACCAAAAAATTAGCTAGGTGTGGTGGCGCGCGCCTATAATCCCAGCTACTCAGGAGGCTGAGGTGGAGGATCACCTGAGCCTGAGGAGGTCAAGGCTGCAGTGAGCCATGATAGCGCCTCTGCACTCCAGCCTGGGCGACTGTGAGACCCTGTCTCAACAAAAAATAAAAATAAAAGGTACTTGTCGGCTCCTCAGGTCTTCTGCTTTATTATCGCAAGTCACCGCTCACTTGAGAAAAAAGGCGACTTTAATGGTATATACAGAAAAGAGGCGTCTGCCCTCAAATAACAGAGAACATTTATCAGGCACTTTGTTGGGTGCCTGGCGCTGTACTGCGTTCTGTGTACGTATTCTCTACCTTAGAGTTACCCTTCAAGAAAGGCATTTTCATCTCTAGTTGAGATGAAGAAGGAGACAGGACTTGGAGGAGACCTTTGGCAGGGCTGGATGGGAGGGAGCCAGGTCTAGAACTGGAGGGGCAACGCGGCCCCGGGCGCAGGGGCGGGGCTAGGGCCTGGAGGCTGGGTCAGGGGCGGGGCCGGGGCCTGGGACGGGGCGAGGCGGACTTGCCTTGAAGTAAGCGAACTGCAGGAACTTGTAGGGCTCGCGGCGCTGGAAGTCCGCCAGCACCTCGCGGCTGGGCTGGGACTGGCGGAAGGCTGGCAGGCCCTGCTTGCAGCGCTTGAGGCAGTGCGCGCGGCGCAGCAGGCCCCCGAAGAGGCGCAGCTCGGGATAGCTGGCGAGGCCGGCGGCGGGCTCGGGCTGCGGCGCGGCGCTGCAGTTGCGGTGGCAGAAGGCCTCGCTGTCGCGCAGCAAGCGGTGCAGCCGCAGGCTGATCTCCAGGTAGCCCACGCTCTCGGCCCAGTGCTCGCCGCTGTACTTGTCCAGCGCGTGCCGGTAGGCCGACTCGAGCGGCATCAGCTCGTCCCGTGGGAAGCTGCGGAAGCTGTAGCGTTCGTATTGGGCGCGCCCGGCGCGCAGCGCGCAGGCCACGCACAGCAGCGCTAGCAGCGCCGCGGCCCCCCGGCGCCCCGGCTCCATCGCGCCCGGCGAAAGGAAGGAAGGAAGGGACGAAGGAAGGGAAAAGGGGAGGGAGAAGGAAAGGAAAGAGGACGGTGCGACGCGGCGGGCCCAGTGCTTTCGGGGCGGGGACGCCAGCCTCCGGCCCGCCCCGTCCGGCCGCCCCTCCCCACCCAGCCGGGGGATCTGGGCGCCAGCTGCCAGCACCTAGAGGGTGCCCGGGAAAGGCGCGCTGCGCACTGGTTCACGCAGGCTGATGCGCATGATGGGACTCTGCCGCTCATTCACTTGGAGACCCGCCTGCAAGGCCGACGCGGCCCTAATAGATTATATACATCGGCCCTACGGTCTATATAATCTACGATCTTTATATTCGTTTGGAGGTTTGTGAAAACGAAGATTCCTGGGCTGTGCCCCCAGAGTTTCTGATTCAGAAAGTCTGGGGTGGAGGTCTGACGATTTGTGTGTTTAACCAGCACCCTGATGAGGCTAATGCTGCGGGCCCAAGGGCCGCACTTTTAATAGCACTGCCCAACCTTAAATTTTAGTGAGAGAAAAAGACAGTGCAAAAATAAAATTAATAAGGATGTCAGCACTTTGTAAACTGTATAGCTAGTCAGGTTGAAGATGTGCACACCTTATGAATCTGCAACACCATTCGGTGGAATATGCTGGAGAAGCTTGCGCGTGTGCATCAAAAAATATGGATGGAATGTTAATGGCAGCACTTTTAAAAAATCTTTAAACTTTTAAATCTTGAAATAATTTACAAGAAAGCTGCAAAAACAGTACAAAAAGTTCCTATATACCCTTCATCAAGATTCACAAGTTGCTAACGTTATACCACATTTCTATCTTTACATTTTTTTCTGACTCATTTGAGATAGGTTGCATGTATCAGGCCCACTGTCCGTTAGTCTTTTTTTTTTCTTTTTTTTTTTCCTTTTTTTTTTTTTGAGACGGAGTCTCGCCCTGTCACCCAGGCTGGAGTGCAGTGGCGCGATCTCGGCTCACTGCAACCTCCGCCTCCCGGGTTCAAGCAATTCTCCCTGCCTTAGCCTCCCGAGTAGCTGGGATCATAGGCACACACCACCATACCTGGCTAATTTTTCTATTTTTTACTAGAGATGAGGTTTTGCCATGTTGGCCAGGCTGTTCTTGAACTCCTGACCTTAGGTGATCTACCTGCCTCTGCCTCCCAAAGTGCTGGGATTACAGGCGTGAGCCACCGTGCCCAACCCCTTAGTCTTTCAGTATGTATGTCCTAAGAATGAAACTACCAGACAATCAAATTTAGGAAATTTAATACTGATAGAAGACTTTAATCATGTTCCATTTCCGGTTATGTCAGCTGTTCCAATTATGTCTTTCATGGCACTTTTTTCTCTTAGGATGCAGTCCATCCGTGATCACTGTTACATCTAGTCTATTTCATATCCTTTAAACTGGTTCCTCGGCTTTTCTTGTCATGCCGTTGTCATTTTTGAAAAATATAGGCCAAAACAGCAATGAGATACCACTACAAAATCCAAAACACTGACAACGTCACATGCTGACAAGGATGTGGAGCAACAGGAACTCTCATTCATTGATAGTGGCAATGCAAAATGGTACATACAGTTTAGAAGACAGTTGGGCCGTTTCTTACAAAACTAGGCATACTCTACTCATACAATCCAGAAATTGCACTTCTTGGTATTTACCCAAATGGGTTAAAACTTATGCACACACCTGCGAATGGATGTTTGTAGCAACTTTATTCACAATTACCATAACTTGGAATCAACCAAGATGTCCTTCAGTGGGTAAGTGGATACATAAACTGTGGTATATACACACAATGGAATTTTATTCCAAGCCAAAAAGAAATGAGCTATCAAGCCATGAAAAGACATGGAGAAGTCTTAAATGCATATTACTGGTTGAAAGAAGCCAAACTGAAAAGGCTACATACTGTGTGATTCCAGCCAAATGACATTCTGGAAAAGGCAAAACTATGGAGACAGTAAAAGGATCAGTGGTTGCTGAGAATTATGGAAAGGGAGGAATGAATGGGTAGAGGACAGGATTATTGGAGCAGTGAAACTATTCTATATGATAGTATAATGGTGGATATATGCTATACATTTGTTAAAATCCATAATATGTACAACACTAAGAGTGAGCCCTAATGTAAACCGGACTTTGGGTGATAACGATGTGTTGATGTAGGTTCATTGATTGTAACAAATGTACCATTCTAGTGCAAGACATTGACAGTGGGGGAGCTTGCGCATGTTGTAGGGTCATGGAGTATATTTGAACTCTGTAGTTTCCGCTCAGTTTCGCTATGAATCTAAAACCACTCTAAAAAATAAAGTCTTTTTTTTGTTTTTTGTTTTGTTTTGAGATGGAGTCTCGCTCTGCTGCAGAGGCTGGAGTGCAATGGCATGATCTCAGCTCACTGCAATCTCCACCTCCAGGGTTCAAGCGATTCTCCTGCCTCAGCCTCCTGAGTAGCTAAGATTACAGGCCCGTGCCACCATGCCAGGCTAATGTTTGTATTTTTAGTAGAGACTGGTTTCACCGTATTGGTCAGTCTGGTCTCAAACTCCTGACCTCATGATCCACCTGCCTCGGCCTCCTAAAGTGCTGGGATTACAGGCATGAGCCACCGCGCCTGGCCTTTTTTTTTTTTTTTTTTTAAAGAACACAGGCCAGTTAACTTTATAAAAAGTTCCTCATTTGAGGTTTTCCTGATGTTTCCTCATGACTAAATTCAGATTAAGCTCATGACTAAATTCAGATTAAGCTCATGACTAAATTCAGATTAAGCTCTTTGGCTAGAATGCCACAGAAGCAATGTGCCATCCGTCTCAGGTGTAAAATCTAAATAACACAATGCCCACCCCTTGTCTGTGTTAATTTTGATCACTTTATTAAGGTGATGTCTGTTTTCCCTACTTCATTTGTTTTCTTTTGTAATTAACAAGTGTCTACAGTAAGGTAACGCAACATTGTTCTTAATGGCAGAAAGCAGGAATAACCTGTCCATAAACAGAAGAGTAGATTTAAAAAAAAATGAGAGTAAATGCATATAGAAGAATATATTATAGCAGGGAAAATGAAAGAATTAGAGCTACAAATAACAGTTCAATCTGGGGGCGGGGGGGAACCATTGAGAATGATTCCATTTGCCTAAAGTTTTTTTGTTTGTTTGTTTTTTGTTTTTTGTTTTTTTTTTTTTGAGACAGAGTCTCGCTCTGTCGCCCAGGCTGGAGTGCAGTGGCGCCATCTTGGCTCACTGCAACCTCTACCGCCCGGGTTCAAGCGATTCTCCTGCCTCAGCTTCCCGAGTAGCTGGGATTACAGGCACCTGCCACCACACCCAGCTAATTTTTTTTTTTTTTTTTTTAAGACTGAGTCTCACTCTGTCGCCCAGGCTGGAGTACAGTGGTGCGATCTCGGCTCACTGCAACCTCTGCCTCCCAGTTTCAAGCAATTCTCCTGCCTCAGCCTCCTGAGTAGCTGGGATTACGGGCGCCCGCCACCACAGCTGGCTAATATTTTGTATTTTTAGTAGAGATGGGGTTTTACCATGTTGGTCAGGCTGGTCTCAAACTCCTGACCTCAAGTGATCCACCCATCTCGGCCTCCCAAAGTGCTGGGATTACATGCGTGAGCCACTGCACCCGGCCTGCACCTGGCTAATTTTTGTAGTTTTTAGTATAGACAGGGTTTCACCATCTTGGCTAGGCTGGTCTTGAACTCCTGACCTTGTGATCCATCCACCTCGGCCTCCCAAAGTGCTGGGATTACAGGTGTGAGCCACCACGCCCGACCCTAAAGTTTTAAAATATGGAAAAACACACAATGTATTATTTAGGAGTAAAAATAATATAGTCCTACCTTATACAGGGTAAAACTATATTGAAAAGAGAATGATAGGCTGGGCGCGGTGGCTCACACCTGTAATCCCAGCACTTTGGGAGGCCAAGATGGGTGGATCACTTGAGGTCAGGAGTTGGAGACCAGCCTAGCCAACATGGTGAAACCCTGTCTCTACTAAAAATACAAAAAATTAGCTGGGTGTGGTGGCACATGCCTGTAATCCCAGCTACTGGGAAGGCTGAGGTGGGAGAACAGCTTGAACCCAGAAGACAGAGGTTGCAGTGGGGCGAGATTGTGCCACTGCACTCCAGCCTGGGCGACACAGCAAGACTCTCTCAAAAAAAAGAAAAAAGAAAGAAGGAAGGAAAGAAAGAGAGAAAGAGGGAAGGGGAGGGGAGGGCAGGGGAGGGAAATGATAAACAGAAACTTAGGATAGTGGTTTCCAGTGAGGTAGGAGGAAGAACATGGAATGGCAGAGGGTCAGACGCAGGGGAGGGATTGGGGAGTAAATGTGAGAATGTTTATTGCGTCGTTACTTTTCATGCCATACATATATTTTGTAAATATTATTTTATATATATTTCGTGGTTTTATTTTTTTAAAAACAATTTTTGGAAAAAGAAAAGATTGCAGTAGTGATATGAAGAAAATTAAAAAGCTGAATGAGATGAGGTGGGGGAAGATTGGTTAAGGAGGTGGCATTTGGACAGAGACCTGAAAGAGGAGGGTGCCTGTGGAGAGAGCTGTGCTGGGAGATGGTGCGCAATGTGTACCTGATCCTAGAACATCTTACCCTGGAAATCGCCAGTAACTATCATTCCCAGTAGCAAAGAGATACAATTTGGAATCATCTCACACAATCACTCAATTGAACAAGATACTAAGCTCTGGCCACAGCTTCTTCCTCTGTCTTGCCCTTGCCTTACCAACTCCTGCCAAAGAGCCTTTGCCCAGGGCTGTTATTTCAGATTTGGGAGGCCAAGGTGGGTGGATCACCTGAGGTCAGGAGTTTGAGATCAGCCTGGCCAACATTGTGAAACCCCATCTCTACAAAAAATTAGCAGGGCAAGCACCTATAATCCCAGCTACTTAGGAGGCTGAGGCAGGAGAATTGCTTGAACCCAGGAGGCAGAGGTTGCAGTGAGCGGAGATTGTGCCACTGCACTCCAGCCTGGGCGACAGAGTGAGACTCTGTCTCAAAAAAAAAAAAAAAAAAAAAAAAGAGGCCGGGCAAGGTGGTTCACACCTGTAATCCCATCACTTTGGGAGGCCAAGGCAGGCAGATCACAAGGTCAGGAGATGGAGACCATCCTGGCTAACACAGTGAAACCCCATCTCTATTAAAAATACAAAAAGTTAGCCGGGCATGGTGCCATGTGCCTGTAGTCCCAGCTACTTGGGAGGCTGAGGCAAGAGAATCGCTTGAACCTGGGAGGTAGAGGTTGCAGTGAGCTGAGCCCACGCCACTGCACTCCAGCCTAGGTGACAGAGTAAGATGCGGACTCAAAAAAAATTTTTTTTTTAATTCCTGCCTTCTCCACATCCATGCCCCTTGGCAATCTCCACCAAGAGGAGGTTCTCCACCAAGAAGCAGAGTCAGTTTCTCCACCCTTTGGATGGGGTTTGGATGTGTGATTTACTTTTGTCAGTGAGACAGCAGAAAAGGTCCCAAATATGCACTGGGACTCACCTCTTTCATGGTACTTGGAACCCTTCCTTCATGTGCTTATACCTAGGCTAGCCTGCTGAAGGTTGAGAGACATGTGACCCAATTGTCTTTCCATTGTTTCTGCCACTTCTCAATTGTATGCGTCAGGCCATCCTGGATCATTCCACACCAGGAGTTTCACCAGCTGTCTGCAGAGGCATGGGAAGTCCAGTAGAGCCAAAACCAGAAGAATCGCTCAGCTGACCTGCGGAATCATGAACTAAATAAACGATTGCTGGCTGGGCGCAGTGTCTCCCGCCTGTAATCCCAGCACTTTGGGAGGCCGAGGTGGGCAGATCACCTGAGGTTGGGAGTTCGAGACCAGCCTGACCAACATGGAGAAACCCCGTCTCTACTAAAAATACAAAATTAGCTGGGCATGGTGGCACATGCCTGTAATCCCAGCTACTCGGGAGGCTGAGGCAGGAGAATCGCTTGAACCCAGGAGGCGGAGGTTGTGGTGAGCCAAGATTGCGCCATTGCACTCCAGCCTGGGCAACAAGAGTAAAACTCATGTCTCAGAATAAAAAAAAGATTGCTATTGGCCTCTAAGTTTGGGGGGGTAGTTTGTTACATAGCACTAGCTAATAGATGCATTGACGAAAAGTTCAAGAAGGATAACTGTTCTTTCTTCTTATATTGCTCCTTCTCTTGTCTTTGAAGTCAGTTTGAGTCAACCTGGTGAGATTGATGGGGAGAGACTGTTGTATGTGCACTCTGGCCTCTGCTGAAACATCATTGGGTCCTGG
Source organism: Homo sapiens (assembly GCF_000001405.40). NCBI lineage: Eukaryota > Metazoa > Chordata > Mammalia > Primates > Hominidae > Homo > Homo sapiens. The sequence goes on along the minus strand of NC_000003.12, from coordinate 33,107,771 downwards.
TTGGTCACCATTGATAAGTCATTCCCCATCTCCTTTAGCCAAGGCCCCTCAGGTCCATCAGCTCTGTGCTACATCCAGACCACTCAACTTTGACAATGGAGTTTGGGGAATCTCAGGGAGCTGGTTGGATCCCAGGCTACCTCCAAATATCACAAGCCAATGCATTGCTCCCAGAGAAGATGGGTGGAAGGAGACATAAAGATTACAAGAGACTGAGAGAGGGCCACTGTGGAGAGAGCATAAAGCATAAAGAAAGGGAGTGTGGGCCGGCAGAAGTCAGGTGGAATTGCCTTTGAGGAGCAAGGCTGTCTGTGGACAGGTGGAGGTGGAGGGAACAGTTGCTTTCCATTATAATTCAATAGAATTTTTTTTAATGGAGTCTCACTCTGTTGCCCAGGCTGGGGTGCAGTGATGCGATCTCAGCTCACTGCACCCTCCACCTCCCATGTTCAAGCAATTCCCATGCCTCAGCCTCCTGAGTAGCTGGGATTACAGGTGCACACCACCACGCCTGGCTAATTTTTGTATTTTTAGTAAAAACGGGGTTTCACCATATTGGCCAGGCTGGTCTTGAACTCCTGACTTCAGGTGATCCACCCACCTCAGCCTCCCAAAGTGTTGGGATTACAGGTGTGAGCCACCATGCCTAGCCAATTCAACAGAATTTGTAAAAGGAAATGAAACCAGATGTCTAGTGTGGCTGCCTTCTGCTTGAGTGGCTGGTTAGCCTCATTAGAGCTTTGTCTAAGGGTGTCTCCTCACCAAAGAAGGCAATGTTCCCCCAGGTGACTTAAGTGACAAATTCTCTTTTATATCGTGAATTTATTCATTCTTTCAGTACACTGTTCAGCATCTACCTTTTACCAGGTCCTGCACTTGGTGCTGAAATGCAAAGATGAAACAGACATACTTCCTTGACTGTGTAGTAGAGGAAATGCAATATTTATTTATTGTTTCATTTGTTACATAAACCTATAGCGAATTGTATTCCAGATGCTATATTAAAGAAATGATATCAACTTTTGCCTCAGAGAACTCAAAATTAGGAAATGACAGATAAGTAAACCTTTAATCACCCTACTGATGGAGCTGGAATAGAGATGTGGACAGAGTACTTGTGGGGACCCCAAAGAGGGCTGGGTAACCTAGTCTGAAGGTGAGTCTGGAATGGCTTTTCCAAGCGGCCATGCTTGAATTCCTTTAAAGAATATGAAAAGATAGAATAGAAGTTGACTGGAGACAAAAATGGAAAAGGAAGAAGTCTGTTGGCAGAGGGCACAACATATGCAAAGGCTTATGGGGAAGAGAGTGTTGGGCCTGGGAGCCATAAAGCAGTATGGGAGACTCCTGAAGTGATTCCCACAAGAAATGGGAGGGCCCGAATTGAAGCACAGAATATAAAGACCCATAACACAGATAAAGAAAAAAGATAAATGTCAAAAGTTAGGCCAAGCACGGTGGCTCACACCTGTAATCCCAGCACTTTGGGAGGCCGAGGCAGGTGGATCACCTGAGGTCAGGAGTTCAAGACCAGCCTGGCCAACATGGTGAAACCCTGTCTCTACTAAAAATACAAAAATTAGCCGGGTGTGGTGGTGGGCGCCTGTAATCCCAGCTATATGAAAGGCTGAGGCAGGAGAATTGCTTGAACCCAGGAGGCCGAGGTTGCAGTGAGCTGAGATCACTCCATTGCACTCCAGCCAGGGTGACAGAGTAAGACTCTATCTCAAAAAAATAAATAAATTAATTAATTAAATAAATAAATGTCAAAAGTTAGATGTATGTAGAACGCTACGAGAATTTCTGGAAGGAAAGAACTCCTTTAGCTAGTTCAATCAGTGATTACTTCATTTTAAAAAAGGCATTAGGTCTGGGATTTGAATTGGGGATGAGCTATAAACCCATAATCCTTAAAACAAAATCTAACAGACTTCCCCAAAACCCTAGGTTGGAGAAAGCTCAGGAAGTGCATAGGTTGGAGAAAGCTCAAATAGTTCATCATGTTGAGCAACTGATTATCTCATCTTGAACTCTCTAGAAAACAGAGCCTGTGGCAAGAACTAAATACTAATCCTGTATTTGGGAGGTACAGTGCACGACAGTGACAATGAGAAGAAAGGGAAATGAGGCAGGAAAGGAGGAGAAGTGGTGCCAGGTAGTGAGTTACTGTGCAGGCTAGTGCTTCATGCCAGCCTTAAAGACACGGAGACAGTTTGTTGGCAGGTGCACCCACTATACCATGTGGAATGTCTCTGGTCAGAGAAACCACATCTTGAAATAGTTCAGCAGAGGGGGGAAGGCAGAGGAAATTTATTTATTGGCTCATCTCTGGTCTTCCACTGCACTGGGCTTCTCCATGTGGGAGTTAACTTACCTGCCCTTGTGGGTACCACCACCTAGCTAGCGTCTTTGGCAGCCACTTGGGAAGCATGGTGCCTCATTCCAGTGAGTCCAGAAGAGTCTGGAGGAGCCAGAGACTCCAGATGGTTGGCTTTGGGTGGCATATGTGCTGCAGCAGTAGCTATGGTAGAGAGGCAGCTGAGAGTTCAGGAGAAAGGTGACTAGAGAATCTAGGCATCATAGAGTATGTCGTATACAGTAATCATGGAGGTTCGACCAAATTACCACTGAGACTCTGACCCAGAAGTTGCAAATGTCAGTTTATTCTACCTTGGGGCCCACTGCAGTTCATGTCAAACAAAAGGCAAACCAAAGCTAGGTGTGATGGCTCACACCTGTAATGTCAGTGTTTTGGGAGGCTAAGGTGAGAGGATTGCTTGAGGCCAGGAGCTCAAGACCAGCCTGGGCAACATAGCAAGACCCTATCTCTACAAATAAAACAAAAATTAAAAAAAATTTAAAAAGCGCATATCTGTAGTCCTAGCTACTCAGGAGTATCTCTTGTGCCCAGGAGTTCAAGGCTGCAGTGAGCTATGATTGCACTACAGCCTGGGCAACAGAGTGAGACCCTGTCACTACCCAAAAAAAAAAAAAAAAAAAAAAGAAAGAAGTGAATCAGATGGAGAGGGCTGCCAACTGGAGAGACATATTCTGCCTAAGGAATGTCCCAACTCGTATCTCTGGAGTACTGTTACCTCATGGGATCTTGGGCCTGGCGTGGCCAGACCTTCTGATCTTTGAAGAGAAACTGGAAATCCATATTATGTAAATTCCCCTGATTAAATGTTGACAACTACTGTAATTAAATAAAATCAAACACACTGGTGGGTCAACACGGACAGTGTCAAATCAAATAGCTTTTCTGGCCACATCTAGTTTTAACCTTCAATCTAGCTAGAAAACTACTATGATCATTCACAGAAGGAGGGAACCACAACTGCAGGCATGGCTACAAAAACAAAGAGGGTGGGCTAGCTCCAGGGGTCCAGGTGAAGAAGAAATGACAGGCTTTGGTGGTAGATTAGACATGAGGGGGAAAAAAGAAACAGAATAAAGAAATAGGCTGGGTGCGGTGGCTCATGCCTGTAATCCCAACACTTTAGGAGGCTGAGGTGGGTGGATCACCTGAGGTCAGGAGTTTGAGACCAGCCTGGCCAACATGGTAAAACCCCGTCTCTACTGAAAATACAAAAATTAGCCAGGCATGGTGGTGTGCACCTGTAATCCCAGCTACTCAGGAGGCTGAGGCACGGGAATCGCTTGAACCTGGGAGGTAGAGGTTGCAGTGAGCTGAGATCGCACCACTGTACCCCAGCCTGGGCAACAGAGTGAGACTCCATCTCGAAAAAGAAAAAGAAAAAGAAAAAACAAACCTGCAAAGATGCATCTGAGAGACTCTGGGGAGCAGATGCCCATGACAGGAAGGTGACAGACAGAAGACAGGAGAGAAGAATGTTTGAAGCAACATCTTTTTTTTTCTTAAGGCAGGCCTCACTTGAGGCATTTTATGTTTTCAGATATCTCAGACTCCCAGAGGGTAAGCATGGGGAAAAAGTCATCTCAAAACCTGTGACTACCATAAGGCATAGTCCTGTACCTCATCACAGCTATCAATTTTTATTAGGAACTGTAGAGAAACTGTTGGCTGATGATTTCACAATTTTTTTGTTGTTGTTTCATAACCATACCCATCAAATTGGTTGCACGACTTAACCCCAGGACAAGTTAGGTTTCAGGACTTTTTGCATCAGAAAGCTCAAAGACGTGTGAGGAGGCTAAGGAATTGCTGCACAGCAGAATTGCCCACATTTGTAGGCCAGAGACCTCGTTATTTTCAGTTTTTTAAATAACTTCTAATTTTGACTTAAGAATTATTGTATGCTGTTTACCTACTTCATCAATTGTTAACATTTTGCTTTATTTGCTCTATCACTTGGTCTCCCACCATTTTCATGTAAGGTACATGTGTATTATGTGTAATATATAATTATATGTATGGAAGTATAAACATATTATTATAGTTATCATATGAGAATAAGGTGTAGACATTATGCTCCTTTTTTTTTGAGATGGGGTCTTGCTATGTTGCCCAGGCTAAAGTGCAGCAGCTATTCACAGGCTCAGTCCCACTACTGATCAGCATGGGAGTTTTGACCTTCTTGGTTTCCAACCTTGGCCAATTCACCCCTCCTTAGGCAACCTGGTGGTCCCCTGTTCCCAGGAGGTCACCATATTTATGCCAAACTTAGTGTGGACACCCAATCGGCATAGCGCACTACAGCCCAGAACTCCTGGACTCAAGCAATCCTCCTGCCTCAGCCTCCCGAGTAGCTGGGAGTACAGGCGTGCAACACCACACCTGGCAACATAATGCTCCTTTACTCCTGTGTAATTCTGGGTGTATTTCCAAAGAACATGGCCACAATATCACTTATCGAAAATAGAAAATTTAATATTGAAACAATATTATTTTCTCATCCATAGCCTATATTCAACTTTTGTTAATTTTCCCAATAATGCTCTTACCGATTTTTTTTCCCCTGGTCTAAGATCCAGTCTAGGACAATGTATCACATTTATTTGCCTTGTCTTTCTAATGGAGTACATGTTTATTTTTCTTGCCTTTAATGTGTGTAATTTAATACTCTTTTAAAACCTATTCCAAATTATAATCACTTTAATGGCATTTAAAAAATATTAGAAATATAAAATTAGGCCGGGTGCCGTGGCTCTCACCTGTAATCTCAACACTTTGAGAGGCTGAAGTGGGCGGATTGCTTAAGCCCAGGAGTTCAAGACTAGCCTGGACAATATGGGGCAACCCCATCTCTACAAAAAGAAAAAAGAAAAATTTGCCAGACATGGTGGCCTGTGCCTGTAGTCTCAACTACTCAGGAGGCTGAGGTGGGAGGATCACCTGAGACCTGGAGTTCAAGGCTGCAGTGAGCCATGATCACGCCACTGCACTCCAGCCTGGGCAACAAAGTGAGACAAGAAAGAAAAGAGAGAGAGAGAGAAAAGAGAAAGAAAGAGAGAGAAAGAAAGAAGAAAGAAAGGGAGAGAGAAGAGAGAGAGAGAGAAAGAAAAAGAAAAGAAAGAAGGAAAGAAAGAAAGAAAAAGAAAAGAAAGAAGGAAAGAAAGAAAAAGAAAAGAAGGAGGGAAGGAAGGAAGGAGGGAAGAAAGGAAGGAAGGTAGGTTACATAAAATTTTTTATTGAAATGCAGGTCAGAACTGACACTGGGAATGAAAATTTGCTGAGTAGGAAAACTCCATAAGGGAAAACAGATCAAAGAAACTGAGTTTGATGATTAACTTGTGTGTAGAGCCCTGTTAGAACAGAAAAACAAAGCTTTCCTATGTTTTGGGGCCACACGTTTTTCTCCCTCTCATTGTTCTTATGCTACTGATGAGGCCTCTGTGCTTCTCAAACTATTTTTGGTAAAGGATGAGTTGTGTTTTTTTGTTTGTTTGTTTTGTTTTGTTTTGTTTTTGAGACAGATTCTCGCTCTGTCGCCCAGGCTGGAGTGCAGTGGCGCAATCTCACCTCACTGCAAGCTCCGCCTCCCGGGTTCCACGCCATTCTCCTGCCTCAGCCTCCCGAGTAGTTGGGACTACAGGCGCCCGCCACCACGCCCGGCTAATTTTTTGTATTTTTAGTAGAGACGGGGTTTCACCATGTTAGCCAGGATGGTCTCCATCTCCTGACCTCATGATCCCCCCGCCTCAGTCTCCCAAAGTGCTGGGATTACAAGTGTGAGCCACCGCGGCCGGACTTTTTTTTTTTTTTTTTAATTATTAGTGCTCTTTCCTGCCTATCAAGGATTGATCCTTTCATAAAAATTCAATAAAAATAAATTATTAGAAAAATAGGCCGGGTGTGGTGGCTCACACCTGTTATCCTAGCACTTTGGGAGGCTGAGGGGGGTGGATTGCCTGAGCTCAGGAGCTCAAGACCAGCCTGGGCAACATGGTGAAACCCCATCTCTACTAAAATACGAAAAAATCAGCCTGGCATGGTGGTGTGAGCCTGTAGTCCCAGCTACTCAGGAGGCCGAGGTTTAATTGCGAGAACCCAGGAGGTGGAGGTTGCAGTGAGCCAAGATCATGCCACTGCGCTCCAGTCTGGGCGACAAAGTGAAACTCTGTCTCAAAAACAAACAAACAAAAACTACTAGAGGCCAGGCGTGGTGGCTCACGCCTGTAATCCCAGCACTTTGGGAGGCCGAGGCAGGTGGATCACCTGAGGTCAGGAGTTTGAGACCAGCCTGACCAACATGGAGAAACCCCATCTCTACTGAAAATATAAAAGTAGCGGGGCATGGTGGCACATGCCTGTAATCCCAGCTACTCAGGAGGCTGAGGCAGGAGAATCGCTTGAATCCAGGAGGCAGAGGTTGCAGTGAGCCAAGATCGTGCCATTGCACTCCAGCCTGGGCAATAAAAGCGAAACTCTGTCTAAAAAAATAAAAATAAAACATTACTAGAACAATGAAATAAAAATAGATGCGTAATGATTTTGTTCATTATTAGATTCAACAGATAGACTTACTTTCTCAAATTGCTGCAAGTTTCTAAGTGCCTAGGCTGAATTTCTGTACTTATTGCACAGCACTGGTCTAAGGATCAGACTCTGAGAAGTATTAGTCTATATTAGAGCATGTACCATGTTTAGAGATGAGTGCCTGCAGGGTGACAGCCTTCTCATGGTCCCTTCATATTCTCCAGTATGCAGGGGGCTTTGCATCCAGCACACTCTGTCTGTGCATTTAAATGGGAACCAAACAGTACACTATGAGCAGAAGCATAGCCTTGTGAAAATAACTCAGGCCCTAACGTCAGGCAATGTAACTTTAGAGACTCTACTGCTCCCCAGCTCTGTGGCTACTGGCAAGTCATTTAACTCCTCTGGGTCTCAGCTTTCTCATCTGTGAAATGTGGATAAGAGCATGCAGCTCGGATTGGGAGGAATAGTGACACATACTGGTAAAGCATTCAGCACAACAATGGCTATTACTACTATTGCCATTTCAACTACAAACATAGTCAAATACTAAAAATCTCAGAAACAATCTACAATCTATATTCCTTTGGCAAGCTTATACTGTAAAGGGCTAGAACATAAATATATTCAGTTTTGTAGGTCCTAAGATCTGTGTTGCAACTACTCCATTCTACCGTTGTAGCGTGAAAGCAACCATATGCAATATGCAGAGGATTATAGGTGGCTGTGTTCTAAGAAAACTATTTATGTGTAATCTTGGCACTTTGGCAGCCAAAGTGGGCAGATTACTTGAGGCCAGGAGTTCAAGACCAACCCTGGCAACAAGGCAAGATCTTGTCTTTAGAAAAAAAAAAATTATTCAGGCATGGTGGCACTCGCCTGTAGTCCCAGCTACTTAGCTACTCAGGAGGCCGACATGGGACGACTGCTTCAGCTCAGGAGTTCAAGGCTGCTGTGAGCTATGATTGCACCACTGCACTCCAGCCTGGGTGACAGAGCAAGACTGTGTCTAAAAAAACAAAACAAAACAAAAAAAACAAAAACCAACCCCACAAAACTTTATTTATGGACACTGACACAGGAAACTTACAACATTTTCAAATGTCATAAAATATTATTCTTTTGATTTTTTTTCATTCATTTAAAAATGTAAAAACCATTTTTAGGTGGCAGGCCATAGAAAAACTGGCAGCAAATTGTGCCGATTCTTAGTAAAAAGAATTTTAAAAAGAAAAAGAAAAACAGGCAGCAGGCCAGATTTGATCCTCTGCCCTTAGTTTGCCAACTCCTGCTCTAAACCCTTTCTACCTCAGTTCAGTTAAAAATACCTATTGCATATGATAACCCTGAGTGTACAGAGTAGGAAAGAAGGTAGAAGAAGTTGAATCTGCCATGTGTTAAGGATTTTTGTTTTGTTTTGTTTTTAAACTTCGTTCTGCAATAATTTCAGGCTTAGAAACAAAAAGTTGAAAAAAAGAGTAAAAATAATTCCTTCATTGATTTTCCAAATGTTAACATTTTACCACATTTGCTTTTCTTTCTCACGTTCTTTTCATGCCTGGAATACCATTTCTCTCCCTCTCTCTCTCTCTCTTTCTCTCTCTCTCCATTTTTTTTTGTGAACTGTTTGAGAATCAGTTGCAAAGATGATGCCCTTTTGTTTCCTAAAAAACAAGGATGTTCTTTTATATAACCATTACCAAAATTACCATTACCGTTACCCAAATCAATACACTAATACAAAACTATTATTTAATATTTAGACCGTGTACCATTATCAAAATCAGAAAGTTAACATTGATGCGGCCGGGCACAGTGGCTCATGCCTGTAATCCCAGCACTTTGGGAGGCCGAGGTGGGCAAATCACTTGAGGTCAAGAGCTCCAGACCAGCCTGGCTAACATGGTGATACCCCATCTCTACTAAAAATACAAAAATTAGCCAAGCCTAGTGGTGGGTGCCTGTAATCCCAGCTACTTTGGAGGCTGAGGTGGGAGAATCACTTGAACCTGGGAGGCGGAGGTTGCAGTGAGCCGAGATTGTGCCACTGCACTCCAGCCTGGGTGACAGAGTGAGACTCTGTCCCCCCACCCCCCCAAAAAGGAAATTAACATTGATGCATGGTACTAATCTAACCTACAAGTCTAATTCTGATTTCATCAACTGTCCCACTAACATCCTGTATATACCAAGCTTCTTATCGTCATCATCTCTGGTAATTTCCCCAATTATCCAGTGAATTTGATATTATTAGCCCTGCTTTACCAACAAAGAAACTAAGCTCAGAGAGGTTAAGTAATTTGCCCACAGTTACACAGACAGTAAGTGGCAGAGCTGGAATTCCAACTCAAGTGTACTTCCTCCAGAGCCCTTGTTCTTTAATACTGAACTAGAATTGCAGAGCTTGGAAAGGACTTCACAGTGCAAGGACACGGAATTGGTACTACAGGCATGAAAAGAAGCCAGGCACGGTGGCTCATGTCTGTAATTCCAGCATTTTGGGAGTTCCAGGCAGGTAGATTGCTTGATCCCAGAACTTCAAGACCTGCCTGGGAAACGTGGTGAGACCCTGTCTCTACAAAAAATACAAAAATTAGCCGGGTGTGGTGGCGCACGCCTGTAGTCCCAGCCACTTGGTAGGCTGAGACGGGAGAATTGCTTGAGCCCAGGAGGCCAAAGCTGCAGTAAGCCGTGATTGCGCCCCACTCCAGCCTGGGTGACAGAGTGAGACCCTGTCTCAAAAAACACAAAAACAAAACAAAAAAACAACCCCCCAAACCAAAAAACAAAAACCTAAGAAAAGCCAGTAACTGATACTTTCTCAATCTCTCAATGAAATGTCCTTTCTGATACTTTCTCAATCTCTCAAGGACATGTCCGGTAGGAAAGGAGAAAGGAGTGAACAAATAGAATTTTGGCTACTTTGTTATACAATGTAAAAAGGCTTTTTGGAACACCAAGGCATAAACTAAGGTTATTTTAAAAAAGAAAATTTTTTTTTGATACGGAATTTCGCTCTTATTGCCCAGGCTGGAGCGCAATGGCTCGATCTCGGTTTACTGCAACCTCCACCTCCCGGGTTCAAGCGATTCTCCTGTCTCAGCCTCCTCAGTAGCTGGGATTACAGGCGCCTGCCACCACGCCCGGCTAATTTTTGTATTTTTAGTAGAGACGGGGTTTCATCATACTGGTCAGGCTGGTCTGGAACTCCTGACCTCAGGCGATCCGCCCGCCTCGGCCTCCCAAAGTGCTGGGATTACAGGCGTGAGCAGGATTTTCATTCTAACAAGTTCCAGGTGAGTTGATACAGTGGCTCCAGGGACCGACCACATTTTGCTAACCCCCGGCTTAGAGTTATTCAAAGAGCCCGTATATGAGACGCGGATTCCATCTAGGGCGTTTAGGTTTAATGATTAACAATTTCCCTCTTCTGCTCTCTCAAGGCAGCCAGGGAACAGGGAGACCATGATTCATGTCCAATCCCCGAGGCGCGTTATCAAGCTGCTGAAAGCAGGCCCTCCGGACTGCAGTTCCAAAGGGTCCCTTCCCAGGGAAGACGCCTGCAAAACCCAGATAGTACTATCCTGGAGTCACGCGGCGGCGCGCAGCCTCCTAGCCGCCCCCACCCGCCCGGCTCGGCCACAGCGGGGCGGGGCGCGGGGCTGAGCAGGCGCGAGGGCTGGCTGCTGGGCCGACGAGGGGCGGTGCCAGGCCGTGGGTCCTTAGTCAAGTGACGCGAAGCGGCCGGCCTGGGCGCCGACTGCAGAGCCGGGAGGCTGGTGGTCATGCCGGGGTTCCTGGTTCGCATCCTCCCTCTGTTGCTGGTTCTGCTGCTTCTGGGCCCTACGCGCGGCTTGCGCGTAAGTCTGCGGGACCCGGGTACGGGGAGGCATTGCTAGGGGACAGGCTGGCGGGGAACCGGGCTGGGGTCGCAGCCACCCGCGGTCCCGCAGGGCGGGGAGCCTGAGCCCCGAAGTGCCCCCCAGCAGGCTCGCGGCCGGCGGAACGCAGGCAGTGGACCGGCCTTCCCGTCGGGGGCGGGCCGGGCGGGGCGCGCGTCCTTCCAGGCAGCTCGGTCGCTTGTGCGTTCCGCTCCGGCCGCCCTTTGCGCTTGGATCCACTTCCCCATCTGTAACGAGGTGTTGAGACGAGGTGCGTGTAAACATTTCCTAAGTTGGCTTTCCGGGAGGGGATTCCAAGTTGCGCGGGTTAGAGGGTGCCTCCGGCTCTGGTTTGGGGCGCCCTCGCTTTCCCAGTTGGTGCTCTGCGGAGCGCTCCGGAAGGAGAAAAATGGGGTCAGGAGAGGCCCTTGCAGTGGGAACATTGGGTTATTTCCCCTCTGGGTGCTCTCCCTCTTCGTGCATCTTGTTCCTTTCTCACCACTCCCCGTCGCCTGCCCTTTGGCTTGGGTTTTTCTTTGTATTTGTGGGACCGTTTTCCTTCGGCGTTTGGGGGTCCAGGTTGAGGGGGGGAATAGGCAGGCTGCCGGGGGATGCCATCGTTGATCGGGGCAGGGCTGGCGAGGCGAATAGGTGAGGTGCGGGGCGTGCACAGTTGGTGGGAGAGGAAGGACAGCTTCACTCGCTGCGTCCGAGCTGAGGCGACTGGCTGAGGGGCTCCAAAGCGCTGCCTGGGGAGGTTTGCATCACACCTGCGGAAAGGAGAGTGGGTAGTTGCAAGCTGCTCCTCTGCACGTTCCGCGGACCAACTTTGGTTCCTCCAGGGTGTAGGTGGGCTGAGCCTGCAGTATGCTTTAAGTAAGAGCTGGTAGCATTTGACACCGTTGACTTGTAAGTTACACCCTTTAATAACGCTTTCAATAACGTGCCTAGGGCAGAGAAAAGTGGTACATTTATCTACAACCAAGATTGAACATCTTAAGTATTTGGAAAACAGCTGCTGAAAATGTTTTCATTTTGGGAAAAAGTCAGCACAGATTATTTGCTGCTCCCTCTTCACCCCGTCTGTGGTTCCCCTACCCCAGTATGTAGACAGAGTTTTCTTGTCCAGAAGGCCCGTAGGACCTTAGGAGTCAGAGCTAGCCAGCTGTGAGAACCACTGGGGAAGGTGGAACTGGGGCACAGTTCAGGAGAACAGTGGCAGGGTAAGGGGCTAGGGGAAAGGCAGATCTTAACCAGTATCTGGGAGTGGGGGTAGGGAGAGAGAGAAGGATTTATGAACCAGGAACAGGTGGACAGGGTCAATCTGTCTGATGTGAGCTCATCAGTCTTGTGCAGCGTCATTGGGTCAGGGTGGATGCCCTGTGGCTGCCATACCTGAGGCCCACACAGGGAGGCTGGCATCACCCCAGGAATTCTCATTTCAGGTGCCTAGGTGTCCCTCTTGGGCTTCTGTGCCCACAGCTAAAGAAAGATACCAGCAGTCTAGCTTTCCATTATCTCCTTGTTTACATTTCTTTAGGGTTCACGCCATTCTCCTGCCTCAGCCTCCCGAGTAGCTGGGACTACAGGCGCCCGCCATCACACCCGACTAATTTTTTTCTTTTTTTGTATTTTTAGTAGAGACGGGGTTTCACCATGTTAGCCAGGATGGTCTCGATCTCCTGACCTCGTGACCCAGCGGTTCTCAAATTTTAACTAAATTTTAGCTGTCCTAGAAATTAAGAGAATATTCCTTTTTTTTTTTTTTTTTTTTTTTTTGAGACAGAGTCTCGCTCTTTTGCCCAGGCTGGAGTGCAGTGGCACGATCTTGGCTCACTACAACTTCCACCTCCCAGGTTCAAGTGATTCTCCTGCCTCAGCCTCCCGAGTAGCTGGGATTACATGCATCCACCACCATGCCTGGCTAATTTTTGAATTTTTAGTAGAGACAGGGTTTTACCATGTTGGCCAGGCTGGTCTTGAACTCCTGACCTCAGGTAATCTGCCTGCCTCGGCCTCCCAAAGTGCTGGAATTATAGGCGTCAGCCACTGTGCCCAGCCCTAGAGAATATTTTAAACTATTTGTTAAGAAATACTACATCATTACACGTTAATAAACAATATATATATTTGAAAAACAATAGTATTTCTCCCCAAATTTTAGGGTGAAGAGTTGCACTGTTTTACATTTCTGCAAATCTCTTTCAATGTCTCTTAATAGAAGACAGTCAAATTTTCATGTTTATTTCTGCATTAAATCTGTTGCCATATCACATGTCACATAGCCTCTGGAAGACTCCACCCCCTCAGGACAGAGTGAGAATGGAAAAGGCAGTAATGGCTTGGAATTATAATAAAAATAGTTTTGACTAATTGGACCCCTGAAGGGCTCTCTCCAGACCACACTTTGAATACCGCTGATTTGGAATGTTTTTATAAAACAAGTACATGCTTACTGTAGAGAAACTTTAAACGTATAGAACATGTGGTAAGAAAATGAAAACTGCCCATCATGTCACAATGCTGTGAGTTTCTTTTTGAATAATAAAGTATAGCTAGCAACTGACTGGTATTTGAGTAGCTTGGATTCAAGGTGGGTTGGGCAGATGTAAGTGGCCTTTGAGTTTTGAATGGGTACAAGGACACTCTAATATCCCACAAAGCTGATGCTGGTTCCTGGTTGCAGGCGGAGTTGACCTGGAAACCTCTCCTTGGCCACTGTCCTTTCTAAGGAACTCATTTCCAGAGTCCACCAGCACAGAACTGGTGGGGGAGCCTACTAGGAGCAGAGAAAATGGCCATCTTCAGGCAGCTGTCCCTAGGCGCGAAGGCCACCCTGGCTGCTGTCACTGTCTTCGTGTCCATGATCGCCTCCCGCTCGTATCTGGCAGAGAGCCTTGAGCTCAGGGCCTGGCGTTGGCTGCTTCGCTTGCAGCTTGCCCTGTTTGTCAACTCGCTCTTGCTCATTGGCTCCCTCTACATTTGGCGCAGCACAGTGAGCAACCTCTGCCACTCCCCAGCTGCAGAGTCAACCTGTTTTCAGCTTTGGAAGGTGGTGGTTCTGGCATTTCTGGCCCTGGCCCATTCCAGTTTCTTTACCATGTTCTTTTTAGTGGCCGAAGAGCCCTATCTCTTTTCCTTGGCGGCCTACTCCTGCCTGGGTGCTTACATCATCATGCTCTTCTTCCTCTTCATCCTCAGCGGCATGGAGCAGGCCTACCAGCTCTTGGCCTGGCGCAGTGGTAGGGTCGTGGGCAGCCTTGAGAAGACAAGGAAGCTCGTGCTCAGGCCTGCCCTGGCAGTGGGAGTGACTGCTGTGCTCAGCGTGGCCGGGATTCTGAATGCCGCGCAGCCCCCGGCTGTGAAAACTGTGGAGGTGCCCATCCATCAGCTGCCTGCCTCAATGAACAACCTCAAGATCGTGCTCCTCTCAGACATTCACTTGGGCCCCACAGTGGGCAGGACCAAGATGGAAATGTTTGTGAGGATGGTGAATGTGCTGGAACCAGACATCACGGTGATTGTGGGTGACCTCTCCGACTCAGAAGCCTCGGTCCTGCGGACGGCTGTCGCTCCTCTGGGCCAGCTTCATTCACATCTCGGTGCCTACTTCGTCACAGGCAATCATGAGTACTACACGTCAGATGTCAGCAACTGGTTTGCACTTCTGGAATCCCTGCATGTCCAGCCTCTTCATAATGAGAACGTGAAGATTTCCGCCACACGGGCCCAACGTGGTGGTGGTGGCAGTGGCAGTGGGAGTGAGGATGAGGACTGGATCTGCTTGGCTGGGGTGGACGATATTGAAGCAGACATCCTGCACTACTCTGGCCATGGCATGGATCTTGACAAGGCCCTGGAGGGCTGCAGCCCAGACCACACAATCATCTTGCTAGCTCACCAGCCCCTGGCTGCCAAGAGAGCTCTCCAGGCTCGGCCAGATATTAACCTGATCCTTTCTGGGCACACACATGCTGGGCAGATCTTCCCCTTGAACGTAGCAGCCTATCTCCTGAATCCCTTCTTTGCTGGTCTCTACCAGGTGGCCCAGGCTACATTCGTGTATGTCAGCCCAGGCACAGCCTACTACGGGATACCCATGAGGCTGGGTAGCAGGGCCGAGATCACAGAGCTCATCCTGCAGCGGTCTCCCTGAACTGGCCCTGCCCTGTGCACCTCTGCCCTGCCCTTGTCCTCGACCCTCCATCCTGCTTCAGAGTGGTTTGCCTGCTTTTCCCCTCCAGCCTTGCCCACTCATCCTTGCCTACACACCCTTGGTCACAAGCCTGACTCAAACAGTGACTTATGGTGGGCCTGCCTGGCATGTTCAGGCTGGTTTAACTATTTCCTTGGCCAGTTGCTTTTTTTGATGCACTTGTGAGATCACTAAGGTCACATATATTAGCACTCCCCTCTATTTTCCAGATGATGTGGAATGGGGACCTTCTCCTGCAGAGCTCCCAGGGATGAACCTCCCCTCGGGGTTGCTAGAAAGGCATACCTCTAGAAGGTGGGGCGGGGAGGAGCAGGAGCATTTTTCTCCTGGTGTTTTAAAATTGTCTTTAGGACTTAAGTGGTTTCCAGAATCATTGATCCAGAGCCTTTCTGGGGAAGGGGTAGTGTTGCCAGGTAATTTGGGAGAACAGGCAAGATGGAAGGGCCCTCTGGCTGCTAGAGAAGAATATTTTCTTTTCCTCTGATTCTATCAGGATCACCTCTATTGAGGGCATCAGCAAAATCTACTGGAATGCAAAGCTCCTCCTGTTCCAGGCCTTGAGGGATGCTATTTAACTGTCTGTGCTCCTGGGCCTTTGGGGGCAAGGTCAGGGGAGAAGAACGGTGGGCGCCATGGTCGGTGATGGTGAGAACATGGCTGCTTAGGAATTCAGAGGGCTTTGCCTCCCTTGTCTCATTTTATACAACCCTTCGGGGAGCTCACTGGGGACAGGCTGCTTTTCCCTATTTGGAGATAAGGAAACCAAGGCAAAGAGAGATAGGGCACAGGCAGTATGACAAGATATGTAGGAGATTTGGGGCTAGAAACCAGGTCTTGTACCTCCCAGTAAAAGCGGTGCTTTTGCCCTTTTGCCAGAAGCAATAGATCCTTTGATCCTGAGATGGAGATAAGCACCCGTGTTAGAAAAGGCCTCACTGAGAAGACAGGGCTGGGCTGGTTTCCTGCTGGGTGATTTAGGCTTGTGATGGAAAGTCTTCCTCCAATGGGGAGTGAAGACACTCGCTCTGACTGGAGAGGCTAACCCTGCTGCTCACTCATAGGGCAGCGTTGGGTGGGTGACTTTCCCTCACTCAGCCTTGGTTTCCATCAACCCTAAAATGGGGATAATTATCGTATCTACCTCAAGATTGTTTTGTCAGGAGGGATCCATCAAGCCTTGTGCATGAGTTCCACATGGCACAGCGTGCACAGTAAACACTCAATGTTAATTTTTCAACGTTCCAGTGGAGCTTGCTAAGGAACTCTGTTGGGCACAGGTGCCCAGAGGATTCATGGAGCAGCCAGTCCTGGGGAATGTGAGTGGGTAGCGAGCTGCCTGCTGCTGGGGCAGGTGATGTGTCAAAGCAGCAACTGCTAGGGGTTTGCCTTCCTTCCCTCATGTGCATTCTGGCAGGCAAAGGGGGTTTCTTCCTTTCCTCCTTGTCCTCCTGGTGTATAGTGGGGTTCTGGGGGATCTGGAGACCACCCTTTTTGTTCCCAGGCAGCCACGGTATTGACAGTGGGCCATACCATGCAGTTTAAAATGTATCTTTGAGTTGAAATTTTGGTGGTTTCCTTATTCTTTTTTCTCTCTTCACTGTCCTTCCAAACTCACTTTTCTTGTGTCCCGACCGCATTTTGTGAATCATCCTTACTCCCTTTAAGTTCTCGCTTTGGATTTCACCAGGTGGGCTAGATGGTGCCATTTCACTTCCACTGTTTGATGCGGCTGGTAATGTTTGACTCACCTGTTACGTGTTATTTCACTGGTTTCTTGATTTTACATCTTTCTCATCAGTGACCTGGGCTTGATGAAATTAGCTTTCATTAAGTCCTATTTTTTTTTTAATTTTGCATCCTTACCTCTTTTCTTTCTCTTGAATGCCATCATTGTGTGGTCTTATGTACCCTTCATCCACTCTGAAGTCCTTGCTTGACTGATTGCTTTCTATTAGCAGAAAGAAAACAGGTCCATCCTATGTATCTGAGAAACAACATCAACACCCTCTCGTATGTGGTTTGTATTCCCTGACGCGGCGGACATTTTTGCAGCAGAAATTTCTCCATCACTGTCCAGATTCTGGCCCTGGTGGGCAGGTCTCCATGACACCTTTAGTCCCTTTGTTCAACATTCTTAAACCATGGACCTTTTTGTTTGTTTGTGGCCGGGGGAGGTGGTGAGAAACGTTACTTGAAGCTTGATCATTCTTTCAATTTCATTTGTTTCTTTATTTTTAATCTGTTAGATGCAAATTGAAATGCAATGCTTTTTGAAAATCAGCAATAGTGTCTGTAGTATATGATGCTGTCACAAAATCTCAATAAATTGATCCTGCTGCCATTCCTTCCAAATACCCATCCATGCTTTTCTTCCCCTCGTGTTTTGTTTGGTTTGTTTTAAACTTTTCGTACATGTACCTCTCTCCCAGCTTTAACAAGCATGACGAGACCACTCTGCCATCCTTTCTCAGCTACCCCTGCCCCACCTGTACTCTTTATTTTTTGGCTGGAGTATATTAAGGTAAATCATAGAAAACATAATGTTACCCCAAAATTACTTCAGTATGAATCCTTTTTCAAAAAGCATAGCTATAGTGTCATTATCATATCCAATGAAATTAACAGTGATTCTTGAATATCATCTAATAGCTAGTTAGGAGATTTGGGGCTAGTAGCCAGATTTTTGACCTCTTTAAAGAAGTGTTCTTTCCACTCTCTGAGTATTAAGTAGCTGTATCTGTCACAAATGAGTACAGAATTCAAATGCAGTTAACTGTGTGAAGAGTTAGTGTTTAGTTTTTCCTGATTATCTCAACTATATTTTTTATTGTGGCAAAAAAATTACTATCTTAACCATTTTTTTTGTTCTTTTTGTTGTTGTTGATCTTAACCATTTTTAAGTGAATAGTTCAACAGTGTTAGGTATATTCACATTGTTGTGAAATTGATCTAATTGATCTGTAGAACTTTTTCATCTTGCAAATCTATATACCCATTGAGCAACAAGGCTCCATTTCCCCCTTCCTCCAGCCCCTGGTGACCACAATTCTACTTTCTGTTTCTATGAATTTGACTGCTTTAGATACCTCGTATAAGTGAAATCATGCAGTTTTTGTCTTTTTGTGGCGGGCTTATTTCAGTTAGTATAATGACCTTAAGGTTGTGGCACGTGACTGGATTTCTGTCCTTTTTAAGGCTGGACTACAGTAATACTCTTGTATTTTCATGCCACATTTTGTTTATCCATGTTGAGCATGTTTTCATGGGCTTGTTGGCCACCTGTATACCTTCTTTGGAGAAATGTCTATTCAAGTCCTTTGCCTATCTTTAAATCAGGTTATTTAATTTATTGTTGTGGAGATGTAGGAGTTCTTTATATATTCTGGACATTAACCCCTTATCAGATACGTAATTTGCAGATATTTTCTTCAGTTCTGTACATTGCCTTTTCACTGATTGTGACCTTTGATGCACAGAGTTTTAAAGTTTAATGCAGGCCCATTTCTCTATTTTTGCTTTTATTTTGGCATCATATCCAAGAAATCATTGCCAAGTTCAATATCACGTAGCTTTTTTCCCCATGTTTTCTTCTAGGAGTGTTATAGTTTTGGGTCTTACGTTTAGGTCTTTAACCCATATTGAATTAATTTTTGTGTATGGTATAAGATAAGGGTCCAACTTCATTCTCTTGCCTGTGAATATCCAGTTTTCCCAGCACTGTTTTCTGAAGAAATTGTCCTTTTCTAACATCAAGAGATCTTGGCATCTTTGTTGAAAATCATTTGACCATATACACAAGAGTTTGTTTCTTGGTGTTCTATCCTCTCATTGCTCTATGTCTGTCTTTATGTCATTACCATGCTATTCTGATTACCACAGCTTTGCAATATGTTTTGAAATCAGGAGGTATGAGTCTTTCAACTTTGCTCTTCTTTTTCAAGACTTTAGTCTATTTGGTGTCTGTTGAGATTCCATATGAATTTTAGGATAAATTTTTCTATTTCTGCAAGAAATGCTATTGGGATTTTTATAGGGATTGTGTTGAATCTGTGAATCACTTTGGGTAGTATGAACATCTTAACAATATGAACCTTCCACTCCATGAACATAGGATGTTTTTTCCATTTGTTTGTGTCTTCTTTAATTTCTTTTTAACAGTGTTTTGTAGTTTTCAGTGTAGTCTTTCACCTTAGTTAGGCCTATTTCTAAGTATTTTATTCTTTTTGATGCTTTTATATATGGAATTTTTTGAAATTCCATTTAGGATTGTTCATTTTTAGTGTATAGAGAAGCAACTGATTTTGGTATGTTGCTTTTTGTATCCTGCAACTTTGCTGAATTCATTTATTAGTTCTAACAGTTTGTGTGTGTGTGTGTGTGTGTGTGTGTGTGTGTGTGTGTGTGTAGTCTTTAGGGTTTCCTACATCTAAGATTATATCATCTGTGAATCGATCATTTTACTTCTCCTTTCTAATTTGAATGCCTTTTATTTCTTTCTTGCCTAGTTGCTCTGACTAGGACTTCCAAAACTATGTTGAGTAGAAGTGGCAAAAACAGACATCTTGCCTTTTTCCTGATCTTAGAGGAAAAGCTTGCAGTCTTTCACTATTGAATATGATGTTAGCTATGGGCTCTTCACATGTGGGCTTTATGATGTGGAGGTAGTTTTCTTCTATTTTGCATTTGTTGAGTTGTTGGTTTTTTTAATCATGAAAGGGTGTTGAATCTTGTCATGCTTTCTCTGCCTCAATTTAGATTATCATGTGGTTTTTGCCCTTCAATCTGTTAATTTGGTGTATTATATTGATTGATTTTTATATGTTAAACCATTCTTGCATTTTAGGAATAAATCCCACTTGATCATAGTATATAACCCTTTTAATGTACTGTTGAATTCAGTTTGCTAGTATTTTGTTGAGGATTTTTGCATCAATATTCACCAGGAATATTATTGTTCTGTAGTTTTCTTGTAGTGTATTTGTCTGGCTTTGGTATTAGGATAATATTGGTCTCATAGAATAAATTTAGAAATGTTCCTCCTCTTCAACTTTTGTAATAGTTTCAGGAGGATTGGTATTAATTCTTCTTTAAATGTTTGGTAGAATTCTCCAGTGAAGCCATCTGGTTCTAGGTTTTTCTTTGAGTGTGTGTGTGTGTGTGTGTGTGTGTGTGTGTGTGTGTGTGTGTGTGTGTGCGCGCATGCTGAGACATGGTCTTGCTCTGTCGCCGGGGCTGGAGTGCAGAGGCATGATCTTGGGTCACTGCAACCTCCACCTCCCAGGTTCAAGCGATTCTCCTTCCTCAGCCTCCCAAGTAGCCAGGACCACAGGCACGCGCCACCACACCCGGCTAATTTTTGTATTTTTAGTAGAGACGGGGTTTCACCATGTTGGCCAGGCTGGTCTCAAACTCTTGACCTCAAGTGATCTGGCCGCTTCCCCCTCCCAAAGTGCTGGGATTACAGGCGGGAGCCACCGTACCCGGCCTCTTTGAGGTTTTTGATGACTGATTCAATCTTTTTAATAGCTATTGGTCTGTATAGATTTTCTGTTTCTTCATGATTCGGTCTTGGTGGGCTGGGTGTGTCTAGAAATTTATCCATATCTTCTAGGTTATCCAATTTGTTGGCATACAGTTGTTCATGCTATTCTCTTACAATTCTTTATTTCTGTGTCATCAGTTATAATGTCCCCTCTTCATTTCTGATTTATTTATATCTTCTTTTTTTTAAATCTAGTTAAGTTTCTCAATTTTGTTGATTTTTTTTTCAAAAACCAACTGTTTTTTTTTCCTACTATCTTTCTATTCTCTTTTGTTTATTTCTACTCTAATATTTTATTTCCTTTTGCTAGCTTTGGGTTTATTTTTTTCTTCTTATGGAATTGTCTTTTTATAGTTATTTTGTTTGAAACAGGATCTAAAAATAGGTCTATATTTTGCCTGTGGTGTATTTCTTCAGTCTCCTTAAGTCTATAACATCCCCTTTTCCTTATTTTTTATCATTTATTTGTTCAAGTTATCTGGGTCATATGTCTTAAAATTTTATACATTTTAGATTTTGGTGTCATTTAACATGTTCATATTTTCTGTGAGCTCATAGAGCTAAAGCTCTCTAAAGGTTAGAGCTAGAGGCTGGTTGGATTCAGGTTCAACTTTTTCGCTTTTTGGGTAGGAAGAATTCATTGCTTCACTGATATTAAGATTGACCTGTTGGTCCAGGTGTTGTCAGCTTGATCCCTCCACTAGAAAATTCCGCATTATCTTTCCATTTAATGTTTCAGCAGTCATTGGTGATTGTTGCCTAATGTCATTATTTCACTAAAGATTGCAGAATAGTGATTTGTAAAATTCTACCCTTTTTTTCCTGCATTTACTGGCTATGGATCCTTTACAAAGAACTCTCCTCATTAATTATGTGGTTACTCTGAAAAAGCCTATAACAAAGGCAAGACAGATACCAGATTCTTTCACTTGATTCCTTAGTTTATAGCATAATGATCTGATACCACAGCAACCTCCAAGAATGACCAATAAGCTTTTCTTCTGGGTGGGTGAAATATTGTTAGGAATTTAGATATTTAGATATTTTATATATCTGATGTTTTTTAGTTCATCAAAGTGTTACATCTTTTAATACTCAAAATAGCCCATCTTTGGCCAGTTGGGACCTTTTCATTTTTCATTTTTTACTTTTTAGAGTCTTAGTCTTGCTCTGTTGTTCAGGCTGGAGTGCAGTGGTGTGACTGTAACTCACTGCACTCTCAATTTCCTGGGCTTAAGCGATACACTCACTTTGGCCTCCAGATAGCTAGGACTACAGGCATGCACCACCACCACCACTCCTGGCTCTTTTTTTTTTTTTTTGGTAGAGACAGAGTCTCTCTTTGTTGCCCAGGCTGGTCTCAAACTCCTGGCCTCAAGCAGTCCTCAGCCTCCCAAAATGCTGGGATTACAGGTGTGAACCTGTAATCAGCCTCCCAAAATGCTGGCATTACAGGTGTGAACCACTGCACTTGAGCTGGTTGGAGCCCTGTCATCTTGTCATTTTGATGAGACCCTAATAGTTTTGTTTTTTTTTTTAATCTAGCCCTGTTTTGTACATCTTATGCCACAGACTTGGATTAACTAATTTCTTGAAGAAGCAGCTTTGGTTACTTTTAGTGGGAAATGTTTGCAGATCACAATTTAGGCGCTATATGGGTTAGATTGCTACCCGCTGATATCATTTCCAAACTGTGTCTTTGGGTATTGCTAGGAAATGCAATACTTTTTTAGAGAGAAAAAAAATCATAAGTGTATACTAGTATTTACAATTCAAATAAGAGATTATGGATTTTATTGTTTTTTAATGGACTATATTTTTTAGAATAGTTGTAGCCTTATAGCAAAATTGAGTGGAAAGTACAGAGATTTTCCTGTATCTCCTGATTATGGGGTTCTTAATTTTGTTTGATTTTATGTTTGTTTCTCTCTCTCTCGCTTTTTTTTTTTTTTTTTTTGAAACAGACTCTTGCTCTGTCACTCTGATTGGACTGCAGTGGCACCATCACTACTCACTGCAGCCTGAACCATTCTGGGCTCAAGCAATCCTCCCACCTCAGCCTCCCAAGTAGTTGGGACCACAGGCATGTGCCACCATACCCAGCTAACTTTTGTTTATTTTTTATAGGGATGGGATCTCATTTTGTTGTCCAGGCTGGAACTTCTGGGGTCAAGCCATCCACCCGCCTCAGCCTCCCAAAGTGCTGGGATTACAGGCATGAGCCACTGCACCCAGCCTGTTTCTCTTTTACACTGAAAAATTTGGTTCTTAGTAACCTAATGTAGTTACTTACTTCTTTTATCCTACTACATATATAATAGAACCAAAATAGTAACGTCAATGTGGTTATTAAGATGAAGTCTACTGAATGCAGTTTGCTTTTGTTTTTTTCCCTGAATGCAGTTTAAGCTGTATTTTTATCCTTAGGCCAAATATGGTCAATGTAGTGTGGAAAGTTAGATCTGTATGTTTTTAATTTTAAAGAAATTACATATTTTTTAATTTAATTTTTATTTTTTTAAACTGCACATTTACCTTTTCTCTGAGATGAGGGGGCACATTTAAATCTGTGTATGTCCAGAGTCCGTGAGGATTGGGAATCAGTCTAAAGCTGTGCTCGCTTCTCCTCTTCCATTGCGATTTGCCTTCTTTATCCAGTCTTTTGGAATGCTGAACAAAAATGTTTTTGGCACAAGGCAGGCGTGAAAACATAAAGTTAATAAAAATCGAATGCATAAGCTAGAGCAGATTATCCACAGATTCTTCCATCTCCATATAGATTATCACCATTGCCTGCACCTGTTTTCCTTCTCCAGCCTATCTGATGGAATGGTGCTTCCATGACATGTGGTATTTGGAAGGCTCTTAGCTCTGATGTAATCAGGGTTTGACCCATAGTCACCTGAAATAGTTCTTCTGTTTCTCTTTGTTCTATGAACTGAAGGGTCTCAGAAGCCCGTGTTATGCAAATACCCTTCCATCCCCTTCCCTCTCCCCTTGCCTCTATCCATGTTCCCTCAGCCTCAGGGTGCTTGCAGGCTAAGAGGATTGGGTCTCTGGCATCCTGGAGCTGAACAGCTCGTGTCAGGAATTCCCCAGGCCCTTGAGTCTCTGGGGTGAGTTGTAGGGGTGTGTAGGGTGCTGGGGATTAAGATCTGCTGAGTAGGTGCTTACCAGAGTTATACTGAAGGACCTGAAGACAGATCATCTTCACATAATCAGCATGACCCATAATCTGTGATGTCACTGAGCTTCTTTTATTTCTGTAGTCAAGGAATGTGCACAAGTAATGCAAATATAATTACTTTTAGTCCTGAGGATTAGGGAACTTGGGGGATGTTCACATTACCTGATGATGTCAATATTGTGTTATGTTTAATTTTTTTTAAAAAAGATGCTTATTTATTACTGAAATAATCTAAACTGAATAAATAACTTTTTAAAAAATTACATTGGCCAGTATTAGGTTCCTGATACGTATTTGGTGTTTTGTTTGTACTGCTGGGTTTTTTCTCTCCAGTATTGGATGCGTTAACGGGGAGCCTTGAGAAGTTATGAATTTTGGTTTGTTCGGAATTGCTTTTTATAAGTTTTCTGTGACCTCATGCACTAAATACTGATGCTACCACACTCCTGCAAGTATGAAATAAAAGTATGTCTCTTCAGTATTGCATTCCTGCGCCAATTCATTTAGAAGGGTAGAATTTGCACACAGGTCAAATCTTGCATTATTTGCATTTGGGGGGAATACACTCTGAAGGCAGTTTTCTCTCTCTCTGTCTCCTTTTTCCTCCTTTCTTCCTCCTATTCCCACTTTTTTTTTTTTTTTTTTTTGAGACAGAGTTTCAGTCTTGTTGCCCAGGCTGGAGTGCAGTGGCGCGATCTTGGCTCACTGCAACCTCTGCCTCCCAGGTTCAAGGGATTCTTCTGCCTCAGCCTCCAAGTAGCTGGGATTACAGGCATGTGCCACCACACCCAGCTAATTTTTGTATTTTTAGTATAGATGAGGTTTTGCCATGTTGGTCAGGCTGGTCTCGAACTCCTGACCTCAGGTGATCCACCTGCCTCGGCCTCCCAAAGTGCTGGGATTACAGGCGTGAGCCACTGTACCTGGCCTATTCCCACTTTTTTTGATCGCCTTCTGTCAGTAGTTCCACAGCTCAGAGGAAGCTCAAAGGAAGCTGGGTCTTTTTTTTAGGTCCGTAACTTTTGAGAGGGGTCATCTTGGGTCCATGAAGTGGACTGTCCCTGTTTACTTTGGCTGTGACAGTCAACAATGATGAACTGTCTTTTAAGTGATACTGCTTCTGCAGCTGTCCATCTTGATCCCCTCTCTGTGGCTTTTCTAGGTTTTTGTTTCAGAGACATGTCCCCTGCTCTCCTGGTTCAAATAACATGGTGATGTTCATCTCTCAGACCATGACAGTCCATGAATGCACAGACAGTCCAGGTCTCGTGTGATACAGCAGGGCAGTGGACACAGCCCCGGGCAAGAGGGAGAATATACTGCTGTCCTGCCCACTCACGAACTGTTTTCAATCCTTTTTATCAGTAGGATTTGAAAAGATTAGAACATTAATCGCAAACCAAATATCAGAGGCTGTGTTGTTCTGTCCCAGTGGTAATCCCATACCTACATGGTAGCTGCTTTTGGAGCTACTACTCGGTTAATTAAGTGGCCACCATCATGTACTGTGATCTGTTTTTTCTGGCAGAGGCTCACGGGCAATTTGAATGAACATGATGGAAATGATCTTTAAGTCTTTGTGGAGGGGGCACTAATAGCTACAATTCCCAGAGGATTGTGGTCTTGCTTCAGATTTATCTTGAGTGGGAGTGGGGAGTGGGCAGTTCCAGAGCTTCCACTTGATCCATGATGGCTCCTACTCATTATGAGGGTTCTGCAGGCCATTATGTAAAACCATCCCACTTTGAACTCATAGCCAGGGAAATAACCGTGTGATGGATCCTCTGATTTGTTGGACTCTCTGTGAAAAGGA
Organism: Homo sapiens; assembly: GCF_000001405.40. NCBI lineage: Eukaryota > Metazoa > Chordata > Mammalia > Primates > Hominidae > Homo > Homo sapiens. The sequence continues at coordinate 33,082,231 of NC_000003.12, read as the reverse complement.
CTGGGGCCAAGGCTCCCATTATCCCTGGCCTCCCTAAGAGTGATAAGGGAGAGTGATGGCATTTCAGGTTCCCTGGTGCTACCATGTCAGTTCAGACTGTATCCAGTAGTCCTCAGAAGGTGGTGGCCTTGGGGTGCCCCTTTTCTTAGGACACAGTTACCCTGAGTCTTGTTGGGAAGGATTGGAGGAATATTTACTGTGTGGACTTGGGGTGGTAATGCAGGATCCTTCCTCAAGGGGATCCATCCAACCTTCCATCAAATTTTGTTGACTGTATGTTAGAGAACTGGCTCAAAGCTGGGAATTGGATGAAGGAATCTCAATTTTCCATGCAGTTGTTGACATCAGCCTTTTGCTCACAAGTTTTTAAACATGTCAAGCAGTACTCTTGCTGATTGCCTGGCCAACTCACCCCACAGAAACGTGTGGCTTATGAGCCACTGCATAAGGTCACTCCTGGTCCACAGGTCAGCACACCCTGGTTGCCACTGTGACCTTGCTGGTTGTTGTGGTAATTGTGCCTTCCTGCTTCTGATGGTTAAGCGGTCCCATGCTGGTTATGCCAGAACCTCATCATCCCCAGCGACACTAGGGCGCCCCTTGCCTGCAGAGGATGGCCCCACTGGGGGGGCTTCCCAAGTATGCCAGGGCCCTCCTCACCAGTGCCTTCCTTCCTGAAGGGAGAGTTCTCTGGGCTCTCCTGGGGAATAGAGCCAGGTAGTGGGGTCTCTGGTCACCCTTTTTACATTCCCACCTCTTGAGCCATTCCATACCTTTCTCAGGATGCCAAGGCAGTCCTGGCATCCTCACCTCATTTCCTGTAGACCAGCGTCATGTCTAGGTTCCAAGGATCCTCCCAACAGCATAGGGACTGGGCTCTTACCAATAGAATATAGGTCATGGGAGAATACACCCTACCAGTAACTTCCCCATATCCGGCCTGGGATTTTCCCCCTCAAGATCCATTCCCAGTGACCCCCATAGTTAGGTCTTACTTTTCTGGCCTGAGATGTGAGTCTCTTTAAACATTGCCACAGAAGCCTCTGATATTCATAGGATGCCCTGAGTGGATGGCTCACCTGAGCCCATCAAACCGTCACTGTCTTCAAAGCTTCCAAATCTGTTAATAAAAGCCAGCTAACCTCACACTCCTTTCAATGACCAGTGACCCCCACCTCTGCCCCGCTCCAGGGGTGGAGCCAGTGCAGATACCGACTGCTCCCCCTCTCTCCATGCCTCCTCCCGGTCCCACAGAGTTGAGGGCCTTGGTATTTGTCTTTGAGGCGTTACCACCCCACTTAGCACCAGCTATAAGGTTCTTGCTATTTGACATTCATGAGACAACAAGGTGCAGACTCACATCCTGATGATCTGCTGTTGAGGCCACTCCTGGTATCAAGGTCGTACTTTGGGTCCCTCTAGAAGCAGAACATTGGGTGCAAGTGGTTTGAGAAGTGATCCAAGAGCATAGGAGCAAGGGACAGGTGGAAAGAAGGGACAGCCTGGGTCAGAATGCATATTGTAGTTATCACTCTGGGAACCGGGACATGATTCTTCTGAGACCTCCTGAAAAGTGCACAAAGTGTCTCCAGAATTATTTGCCTAAAAAACAAGAGAATGCAGTTCTCCACCCTCTTTGTCCCTCATTGGCTGAAGGTTGCCCTCAGGGGCATGGACTGCCTGGTGCTCCTGGACTTCTGGGCTGAACCCATTCCCCCAGTGTTGGGGCAGAAAGGCAAAAAGACATGAGATCTGAGTGTGAGTTGAGACAATCAGCACAAAGCATACTGAGCTTGCACAAGACCATTCACAGAGCTACAGCTGATGTAGGCATGTTTTTAAAAACTTTTAAAGACCAGGCGCGGTGGCTCACGTCTGTAATCCCAGCACTTTGGGAAGCCGAGGCGGCGGATTACCTGAGGTCAGGAGCTCCAAACCAGCCTGGCCAACGTGGTGAAACCCCGTCTCTACTAAAAATACAAAAATTAGCCGGGTGTGGGGGCAGGAGGCTGAGGCAGGAGAATTGCTTGAACTGGGGAGGCGGAGGTTGCAGTGAGCTGAGACTGTGCCATTGCACTCCAGCCTGGGCCACAAGAGTGAAACTCCATCTCAAAAAACAAACAAACAAACAAAAAAAAACAGTTTTCAGGCTGGGCACAGTGGCTCACGCCAGTAATCCCAGAACTTTGCGATCGTGAGGTGGGAGGATTGCTTGAGGCCAGCAGTTGGAGACCAGCCTGGGCAACATAGTGAGATCCTATCTCTACAGAAAATTTGAAAATTATTAACTGAGCATGGTGGCGCACCCCTGTGGTCCCATCTACTTGGGAACAGAGGTGGGAGGATCGCTTGAGCCCAGGAGGTCAAGGCTGCAGTGAGCCATGATCATGCTGCTGCACTCCAGCCAGAGCAACTGAGCAAGAAAGACCCTGACTCAAAAACAAAAAACTCTCTCCTCTGCCTTCTCTTTTCACCCTATATCCCTCCCAAAGTGCTGGGATATCCATCGGAGATCATTTCACAATGGCAAGGGCTACATACTCTCCAGAGCTGCGTAACATTTGATCATGTATGTGTATTTGTATATATACAAACATGCATGTACAATACACATACAATATAAACCATAATTCATTTTATCAGTCTGCATTTTTATTTGTGTCAACATTTTGCTAGGAAAATTTTTCAGAGAGGGTTGAAAGATTATACCATTAACATATTACTATCAGTCCATTCCTCCATCTATCAATTCATCTTATTTTTTGAATGTATTTCAAAATAAGTTGCAGATATCAATGCCCTCCTCTTGCTAAAATAAATACTTCAGTAGGCATATCATTAACTAGCAGTCAGTGTTTGTTAGTAGCCCCTTTTTCTTCCAAGGTAAAATTTACATACAATGAAATGCACATATCTTAAACGTACCATTTGATGAGTTTTAACAAATGCCTACACCTGCATAATCCAAAACCCTTATCTAGCTATGGAATATTAATTACCATTACCCCAGAAAGTTCCCTCACGTCCCTTCCCAGGCAATACCTACCTCTACTCTCCCAGAGTTAACTATTCTGATTTTTTCTTCCACCATAGATTAGATTTGCCTTTCCCAGGACTTCATATAAATAGGTTCATGCAGTATGAACCCAATTGTGTAAGGCTTCTTTCTCTCAACATTTTTGAGATTTATTTACATTATTACAAATACCAGTAGTTTGTTCTTTTTTATTGCTGAGTAGTAGTCTATCATATACATATGCCATAGTTTGCTGAAGCAGGAGAATCGCTTGAACCCAGGAGTTCAAGACTGCCATGAGATATGATTGAGCCATTGCACTCCAGCCTGGGTGACGGAGCAAGACCCTGTATCCAAAAAATCTTAAAAAATTATAATAGTAAATAAAAAGTAATAAAAATAAAAGAATTAGGATCCAAACCAGGTTCACACTGACCTAATGAATATCGTATCATTTCATATTACGAATATTGTACCATACCTTATTACACATATCATATCACATATAATGATCTAATGCAATCATTAGGCCATTATTCCTCTGAAGTTCTTTCATTTCCAAATAATACTCCCTTTCTTTCTTTTAATACCATTGATTTGTTGGAACAACTGAATCATTGGACTTTTAAAATGTCCCACATTTTGGATTTGGCTTATTGCTTCCTTATGGTATTATTAGATTCGGGTTCAATTGTGATTTTGATTCAATAATGAGGACTACTTTCTAGATGAGACTGTACTTCGTGTTAAATCATAACATGAGAGACATAATGTCTGGCTATTCGACTTTTTTTGAGGCTGAAATTGAGCAGATGGAGCACAAAAAATATGCCCAATCCTTCACACAATTTCCATCAGTGTTTCTAATGGTTTTAGCATCTATTGATGATTATAGCTTAAATCCATTTCACTAAGTGTTGGGGAAAAGGTGTTTTCAGATGCTTTTATTCCTTCTGCATTTATTGTTATTTTGAGACAGGGTCCCTCTCTGTCACCCAGGCTGGACTGCAGTGGCCCTATCACATCTCACCATCGCCTTGACCTCCTGGGCTCGAGCAATCTTCCTGCCTCAGCCTCCTGAGTAGCTAAGACTACCAGTGCCTGCCACCACACCAGCTAATTTTGTTTGTTTATTTATTTTAAACAAGAAGTTTAAACAACAAGCTTCTTGACTTGAAGGAAAAACTATCTAGGATTCCTTTTTTTTTTTAGACTAATTTATCCCTACTTAAAGACAAATTGCCCTACATTTAACAACTATGTACAACAAAGTTATAAAATTGTCCTTGGTTTTACAATGATAAATGAAAAACATTAACATTCTACAATTGAATAAAGTATGCAAGGATTTTTATGTTTTTTTTTTGTTAAAACAGCAAAATAACTTACTGAAATATAAAGATAAGAGCTGAATGAGCATGCCACTAATGAAGAAAAGGGAGTATTTTTACAGAATCGGTATTTTTCCCCATCTCATCTCCACTTGATATCAATCAAAACGTACCATTGGCTGTTTAGTTAAAAAAAAAAAAGTAATATACTTGTGCACATTTACCAGTTACTTTATGTACAATAAAGGAATGGGGAAGGGGGAAATGAAAGAATAGAGAAAACTATACTGTAGTAGTCAGGATGTGGTGGAACCAAATTGCAGTTTTCTATTTGAGAATGTGATCTTGGTCTGTAAAGAACAGAGTTCTGGAGTGAAGTGGGAGGTTCCCTTTTTAGTAGACACCCCCTGACTGCTGTTGGAACATATCGGTTGTATCTTCATCCTCCATTTCCAACTGAGCAGGTGTGTCTCTTTCATTGATTGGTTGCCTGTCAAATTGGAATCTGATCTGTCTCATTGACCATCCCTATCGTTCACAACAGGCTTTCATTAGTTTACTAAGTGGTGTATGCCTCTTAATCCTAAACTGCACCACAGAACCCTCCTGCCCTGCCACCTTCAAATTAATATGATCTTTGTTCTCAGTCTCGATTCCTTCCTTGGGCTTTTCATCTGCCACGGCAAGCGCCTAAGTCTCAGCTGCCGCTTCACAAAAGAGGTACCAAGACTGCACCGAATGAGCACGCAAGCAGCAACAGGAGTGGGAGAAGAAGGAGGCGGCAGCAGTGGGTGAGGGAGACACTAATTTTAATTTTTTTTTTTATAGAGACAGGGTCTCGCCATGTTCCCCAGACTGGTCTTGAACTCCTGGGCTCTAGCAATTCTCCTGCCTTGGCCTCCCAAATTGCTGGGATTACAGGCATGAGCCATTGTGTCCGGGCCCTTCTGTATTTAATTAACTGGGATCCAGTGGAGAATTTTCCATTGTCAATGTTTTGATAACCCTGAAATACAGTTTTTATGTGAAGGGGAAGTAAACTGCTTGACTCTTTCTCTGTATTTATCACTTTTCATAGTAATGAGTTGGTACTCTAGCAGTCTCCAAAAGTGACCAATGAATTTTTTCTCCCTGTAAATTACGATGAACTGATAGGTGTTAATATACACGTAGTCATATTTTTTAAATTGATATATCTCTTAAGTCTCTCACATGCTCGCTCTCTCTGTCTCTCATTTTGACACTCAGATTTCTCCCCAAGAACAGTGGGAGCCTCTTCAGGTTCGCGCCTGTGCCTCACATCTAACTGGCCACCATCCTGGAATGTCCTCCTTCTGCCTCCTGCCCACCTCATTGTCACCACCGTGGGCCATAGCCACATCTCTTCTGCCTTTTTTGCCCATTCAGGAAAAAGCCAAACATTTGAAAACACATATCTGGTCCTATCATTCTTTCATTTCAGTTGCTCTCCATGGCTCTCAGCATAAAATCCGGGCCCTTGAATCTGGACTTCAGGGCTCATTCGATCTGGCCCTGGCCTCCTCCTCTGCCTCAGCAGCTGCCATGTTTCAACTATATTGAGGCTCTGTGGCTCCTGGCCTGTAGTCCTGCCCTCCCTCCCCCAGGCCTCACACGCAGTTTTCTCCATCTGTGTCACCTTCCCCCATGGCTAACTTCGCTTTATCCTAGGCCTTGGCTCAGGCCAGTGGTTCTCAACCTTGGCTGCACATTACATCATCTAGGCAGCTTTAAGAAATTCCAATGTCTGGGTTCCTCCCAAGACCAATTAAAACATGAATGTCTGGGGGTGAGGTCAACTTTGCTTTTTTTTTTTTTTTTTGAGACAGAGTCTCGCACTGTCGCCCAGGCTGGAGTGCAGTGGCACAATCTCGGCTCACTGCAAGCTCCGCCTCCCAGGTTCACGCCATTCTCCTGCCTCAGCCTCCTGTGTAGCTGGGACTACAGGCACCTACCACCACGCCCGGCTAATTTTTTTTTTGTATTTTTAGTAGAGATGGGATTTCACTGTGTTAGCTAGGATGGTCTCGATCTCCCGACCTCGTGATCCACCTGCCTTGGCCTCCCAAAGAACTTTGCTATTTTTAAAAGCTTGCGTAGATGATTTTGCTGTGCAGCCAAGATTGAGAAACACAGTTTGGGGTGTTTCTTCCTTTGAGAAACTTGCCCTTGCCCCTCCCCTCAACCCTGCCATGCCTGGGTTCCCTGCCATTTATTTCTGCTGCAGCATTCTGCTCTAACCCTTACTTTACCGCCTCGACCTCACTGTGTTAACCCTTGGGTTTCTTCTAGGCTAGATGGAAGCTCCATATGGGTTGTGGCCACATCTGTGTGGTTCTTGTCTGTGATTACTCAGCACGTAAGAGGTGCTTGGTAATACTATATTTGTAAATGGATGGTAGGGAGATATTTAGACTAGACTGAGGTCATTGGAGGGTAGAGACAGTGTCCCACCATGTATGGGACAAAGGCCAGATTCCATTGTCTCCCACCATCATTTTTTCCCAGCCTTATCTCCTGCTCCTCTGAACTTTTTCACTTAGACAGGTGGATTTCAAACAGCTCTACCCTTTTCCGAATTCTGCCAGTAGTTGCTTGGCCTCCTTTCTACCTGTCTAATGAATGTTCCCACCTCATGGGCCACCTTTGAACTTAGGAAACTTGTGAGGAACACTTATTTGACACTTAGCCATGTATATACTATGAGAATGTTTTCAAGAGCATCCATTGAGACACCTGGTGTAAGAAATAATTTTTCTATTTTTGTGAGTTTAGGGGACTTTTCCTTTGAACAGAAATTAAAACCTTATTTACTAGAAGAATAAAGTGATGTTAAATTGACACTTGCCCTTTTAAAAATGATTCTTAGTTGTTTGTGTTTATTTAGCTTTATTGAGATGTAATTCACTTACAGTGAAGCTCTCCATTTGCCCCTATGAATTCTTCTCTGAGTTGTTTAACTTCCGCTCGCCAGTTGGATTTCAGGCATGTGTGATCTAGGACTCATGCTGCCACAGTTGCTTCCAAATACAGCTTCAAGGGCAACCCCCAAAGCCACCATGGACTATGATGCTACTGTGACTAGAGCTAGTATTGTGACCTTTGAAAGCCTAAAGATGCACAAGGAATCTGACCCATAATGGAAAGCACTAGTTAGTTGGCTTCTTAAAACCCTGGTTCTCTTGGCTCCTGTGGCCTGTTGCTGCCTTATCCACCAGAGGGCAGTGTTCCACTCGGCTTAACAGTCGAACCCCCACCCCCACCACCCGTTGAGGTCTTGCCTTTCAAAATCCTAACATTTTAGCTCCTGAAGTGACCCCAAAACAGTGTTTCTTAAAATCGTGCTTGGTAGAAATAAATCTTACATTGCAACCAAATATACATGCGTACATATACAACTCCACATATGTATATATAACAAAAGTTTTATAAAGTAATACTTTACTATGTGTAATATTCTTTCTTTCTTTCTTTCTTCCTTCCTTCCTTCCTTCCTTCCTTCCTTCCTTCCTTCCTTCCTTCCTTCCTTCCTTCCTTCCTTCTTTCTCGTTCTTTCTTTTGACGGAGTCTCGCTCTGTCACCTGGCTGGAGTACAGTGGCATGATCTCGGCTCACCGCAACCTCCACCTCTCCGGTTCCAGGGATGCTCCTGCCCCAATCTCCCGAGTAGCTATTTTTTTTTTTAATTTTTGGTAGAGACGGGGTTTCACCATGTTGGCCAGGATGCTTTCGATCTCCTGACCTCGTGATCCACCTGCCTCAGCCTCCCAAAGTGCAGGGATTACAGGCGTGAGCCACCGCACCCAGCCTCTATTTTCTTTCTTGCCTTTTTTTTTTTTTTTTGAGACAATGTCTTGCTCTGTCACCCAGGCTGCAGTGCAGTGGCATGAACACGGTTCACTGCACTCTCAACCTTCTGGGCTCAAGCAGTCCTCCCACCTCAGCCTCCCAAGTAGCTGGGAGCATAGGCGTGTGCCACCAAGCCTGCTTAATTTTTGTTTGTTTGTTTGTTTGTTTTTTTGTAGAGACGAGGCCTCGCTGAATTGCCTAGGCTGGTCTTGAACTCCTTAGCTCAAGTGATCCTCCAACCTTGGCCTCTCAAAGTGCTAGCATTATAGGCATAAGCAACGGTGCCTGCTATTCTTTGATTTTTATTTTTATTTATTTTATTATTTTTTTGAGACAGAGTCTCGCTCTGTCGCCCAGGCTGGAGTGCAGTGGTGTGATCTCAGCTCACTGCAACCTCCGCTTCCCGGGTTCAAGCGATTCTCGTGTCTCAGCCTCCCAAGTAGCTGGGATTATAGACGTGCACCACCATGCCCGGCTAATTTTTGTATTTTTGGTAGAGATGGGGTTTCACCATGTTGGCCAGGCTGGTCTTGAACTCCTGACCTCAGGTGATCCACCTGCCTTGGCCTCCCAAAGTTCTGGGATTACAGGTGTGAGCCATCATGCCTGGACAATTCTTTCATTTTTAAAAGATGCTTATTGCCACCAAAAATGAGTTTATTATTCACAAATCAGGTCATGGCCCACAATTTTACAAATATTGCCTTAAATGCCTTAAAGTTCTTTTAGTCTAATACCCTGGATAGTTATGGATGAAGAGAGGTAGGGTTAGAGATGGGACTTATCCAGGTCACTATGGGATTCAGAGCAATATCTAGGATGGGGCGTCAGGCTCTGGAGTTTTAATCCATTGCTTTTTGCCCTGTATTTTACACTTAGAATTTTGTTAATGGGTCTTGGTTATCCCAGTGACATTGTTGTTGAGGTGCATCCAGTGCTCAGGCAGGTCACAGCAACAATGGCGTGTGTGCGTGCATGCGTGTGTGTGTGTGATGTTCCCCAGCCCCATGAACAGCACAGTGGAATATCATCTCAGCCACTGATTGTCAGCTCAGTGCTGGCCTCTAGAAGCTAAGCCTTATGGAATCCTGCATGTGGATCCTCTTAGATGATTTCTCTTACCTGAGTACCCCTGGTGGACCTGGCTTAGCAATGGTTTGTATGATAGCTCAGAAAACAAGCATTAAGTCCATCAGCACATTATACAAATTCAATAGGCAGAGAGTCACTTGCTACTCTCAAAGGATCGGCTTCTGAAATGCAGAAGGTGGAAGTTCTCATGTGACCCCATCCTTGCTCTGTAGAATGCCACCCAGAGGATGTTTGAAATTGACTATAGCCGGGACTCCTTCCTCAAGGATGGCCAGCCATTTCGCTACATCTCAGGAAGCATTCACTACTCCCGTGTGCCCCGCTTCTACTGGAAGGACCGGCTGCTGAAGATGAAGATGGCTGGGCTGAACGCCATCCAGACGTAAGTAGGAGGGCATGTGGCTCTCACCTAGGCCTGAACACCCACTCTGGAGAGAAGATACAACTGTATTTCTCAGGGTGGCTATTTTATTGCTCAGAAATGGGAAATGGTCCAGTGTGATGTTCTGGGAGGGGCTTGTCATGAGCCGGACTGGCCCTTTTTCAAATAATTAACTACTTCTTCCAATCTTCAATTTTAATCATCAGAAATCATTAAATAAATAGCTTAAAAAGGAAAAGGATGGGGGAAGCAAACAGAAGTAACAATGATTGAGCACTTACCAGATACAGGGCACTTTATACTAATGATTCCATTTCCTCGAGATAGGTATTATTGTTCCTGTTTATAGCTGGTGAAACTGAAATTTGCCCAAGGCCATATCTTTGGTCAGAGGTTCAGCTAGTATTTGAAGGGAAGGGAAGGCATGCAGGCAGCTGTAGCACAGGTATGGCTGTAGTCATACAAAAAGCTAGGTTAACAGGAGAAAAGCATAACAGATATGTAAGTTTTATCTGACATGAGAGTCTTCAGAAAAGAAGACCCAAGGAAAACTTTTTACACTTAGATTCCATGAAAGGTTCTGACCTAATGGTGGTGGACTGAAGTGGGAAACCCTCAAGGCCTGCCTCAACAGATTCTTCTTGGCCTTTCTGGGTGGCATTCCTTCCTTCTGGGTATGGAGCAGGACCCCTCTGCAATGAGGGTCTAGAAGGGAGAAGGGAGAGGTGACCTTTCTAGGTTTTCTGGCTTGCTTTGGGAGAGAGGGGTTCTAATTTCTATGACCCACACTGGGGGAAGATGAATTCTGGTTTGACTTGCTTCAGGGGAGAAGGAGGGGTGGGCAACAGAAGAGCAGGAGAAGGCCAGAGAAAGAAGATTTGCTTCTAAGGCCTTCCGATCTCCTTTAGTTCAAAGTACTTAGCATGCCAAGGTGCCATACTTTGGGGTATTGTTTTCTGAGCCCCAATAACAGAATAAGCCTTGTGCTTAGGTAGATTTCTGAAACCCAGTTTGGCTTTGTGGTTCTGCTGCGGTAATTGTATAACTTCAGGGTGTAGAATTATCCCAATAGCTATCTCTCTGCATCTCTTTTGCTATTGCAAAGTAACTAACTAACAGGCAAGAAAGTTGGTGTGGCTGGCTGCTCTGGCTCTTGCAGTGCTGATGTGGATTGCTGATAACTTCTCAAAGATGAAGAGTGAGAAAACCCAGAGGCAGATTCCGAAGATAGATACTTAGGGAGAATGCGCTCATTATTCTGGTTCTAAGGCCACTGGCAGAGTGAACCCAAGTTCACCTGTTTATAATTCCGACAGTGAGTTCTGGAAGACCAAGACTGTTCCAGGGAACCCTGAAATCATGGGATCACACACACGCAAAATGACACAACCCAGGGTCTTCAAAGAGAGCTTTGTGATGGTAATGGATGGCTCCATATTTAACTTTGTATCCCATGCTGTCTGTAGGTAGACAGAGGAGCTGGTAGAAGGTTTTGTCATTTTACCTCCTGCCACATGATTCCTGACAAAATCTTTTGTCAGAGGATCTAGGGCTTGGAGTTTTTCCTACACGTACTAAAAATTATTTCTTCAAAAAATAAATATGTCTCTTACTACTTTTCAGCAAAATATTCTTATTTTTCCTAAGCCTCACATGGACATATATAATTTTTATTTTTATTTATTAAAACAATTTTTTAGAGCTGGGGTCTTGCTCTGTCACCTGGCTGGAATGTAGTGGCTCAATCATAGTTCACTGAAACCTTAAAGTGGGCTCAGGTGATCCTCCCACCTCAGCCTCCTGAGTAGTTGGGATTACAGGCACTGCTACCACACCAGCTAATTTTTTTGTTTTGCTTTGTTTTTAGAGATGAGGTCTCACTATGTTTCCCATGGTGGTCTTCAACTCCTGGACTCAAGCGATCCTACTGCTTTGGCCTCCCAGAGTGCAGGGATTACAGAAGAGAGCTACTGTGCCCAGCTATAATTTTTATGTAATAGGAATTAGTGCTGATATAACTCTGGAGTTTTCTGTTGTTGTTGTTGATTTTAAGAAGTGTCCCCATGAAGTCTGACTAGCTTGGGGAGCTGCTGTAAAAATTCATAACAAGGCCCCTCCCAAGAGGCTGCCAAGCGGGAAGGTCTATGTGTCCTGTGGTTTATGGTTCTACACCATATCTTTCTCTATAGACAGTTTAGAAATTTATGTAGGATACTGGATTTTTGAGCTCTTTCCCCTTCCACAGAGCACCTCAATTCAATTATTTATGCAAAATATAATTACAAAAAGCTAAAAACCTGACTTACAAACAAGTATATAATGGACATATGTCAGAAATTTATTTAACTGGATAAAGAAAATGTGGTACATATACACCATGGAATACTACAAAAATCACAAAAAAGAATGAGATCATGTCCTTTACAGCAAACTGGATGCAGCTGGAGGCTATTATCCTGAGCAAACACAGGGACAGAAAACCAAATACCACATGTTCTCACTTATAAGTGGTAGCTAAACATCGAGTACATATGGACACAAAGAAGGGAACAACAGACAATGGGGCCTACTTGAGGGTGGAGGGTGGGAGGAGGGTGAGTTCCCCTATCGTGTACTAGGCAGATTATCTGGGTGACTAAATAATCTGTACACCAAACCCCCATGACACGCAATTTACCTGTATAACAAACCTGCACATGTACCCCTGAACCTAAAATAAAAGTTTTTAAAAATTTATTTAACTTATTACTGAGGAAACTAGCTAGATGGTAAAGCTAATTCAAAGGAGAATTTGAGGAAGGGAGGTTTACGGTCAGTCAAGAAAGTCATGTTCAAATAAAGTTATCTTTAGAGATAAAACTGGTTAGTATCATAAAGGGCAATGAATGAAAAAGCAACCTTTAGAGTTGTCTTCTCTGTATGACAATCATTTGTTTCTCTCTCAGGCAATAATCTACAAATTAATCTGTAACTTCAAAGTTCTTCCCTTAATCAATAGTAAATAGTAAGTCAAACAAAATATCTCCCCTGGAGAATGAAGGAAGCCTCAGTGGGCCCATTGGACAGTCCTCCATTATAACATGGAAAGGAAATGCAGTCACCCTTTTGCCTTATATCCAAATTCTGGATAATTTTTCTTTTCTTTTCTTTCTTTATTTTGACACAGGGTCTCACTCTGTCATCCAGTTTGGAGTGCAGTGGCACAATCACAGCTCACTGCAGCTTCAACCTCCCTAGCTTAAGCAAACCTCCACCTCAAGCCTCCAGGGTAACTGGGACCACAGGCATACACCCTGGCTAATTTTTTTGTGTTTTTTGTAGAGACGGGGTTTCACCATGTTTTCCAGGCTGGTGTCAAACTCCTGGGCTCAAGCCATCCACCCACCGTGACTTCCCAGAGTGCTGGGATTAGAGGCCTGAGCCACTGTGCCCAGCCTTGGATAATTTTTCTTTCAAAGCGCCTTCTCCCTCTTATCCATGTGTTAGCAATAGTCCTAATGAGGCCCTTTCCCCACGCTTCTTTCTTCTTGACTCTGCCAAGTATCCAGGAAGGGGCTGTGTGTGTCTTGGCAGGTATGTGCCCTGGAACTTTCATGAGCCCTGGCCAGGACAGTACCAGTTTTCTGAGGACCATGATGTGGAATATTTTCTTCGGCTGGCTCATGAGCTGGGACTGCTGGTTATCCTGAGGCCCGGGCCCTACATCTGTGCAGAGTGGGAAATGGTGAGTGTGGCTAGACTGGGCTCTACCTGGTGTGTGTGAGCTGGCAGGCAGCAGCTCTGGGGCAAAGGGAATTAAAGCAGACCTGCATTCCAGAGAGCATGGGGCCTGGGACTGTACCCAGCACAGGTGTCTTTTACCTTGACAAGGTGCCCAGGCAGAGAAACAGGCCAGGGTCAGGGCATGGGCTCTCCTCTTGGTGGTCACTCACATACCTCAGCTTGCTCATCTGTAAGAAGCAGTTAATGGTGTCTTCTCTATCTACGTCACAGGGTATTTGTGAAATTAAATTGAAAAATCTTTATGAAAAGGGCTTTGGTCCTTAAAACATTGCATTCATGCAGAGTGATCTTAATTGTCCTACATTCCAATTTCTAATTTCTCTGCAAGTTATAAACCAAAAAGCCCAGCTCAAATACCCCTTGTCCCTTGAAGCTTTTATTCTTTTCCATAACTACTAATAGTAATTTCTATCTCCTCTGAGCACCCTTCACGGAACAGACATTATAATGGCTTGTTTTCCCTGAACTAGGGAGGATTACCTGCTTGGCTGCTAGAGAAAGAGTCTATTCTTCTCCGCTCCTCCGACCCAGGTAGGTTGTTACAGATGTCTTGAGAAGATTTATAAAAGCTTCAGCCTAGGTGCGGTGGCTCACGCCTGTAATCCTGACACTTTGGGAGGCTGAGGCGGGTGGATTACCTGAGGTTGGGAGTTCGAGACCAGGCTGGCCAAAATGGCAAAACCTCGCCCCTACTAAAAATACAAAAAATTAGCTGGGCATGGTGGTGGGCGCCTGTAATCCCAGCTACTCAGGAGGCTGAGGCAGAAGGATTGCTTGAACCCTGGAGGCGGAAGTTGCAGTGAACCGAGATCGTATCAATGCACTATAGCCTGGGTGACAAAGCGTGACTCTGTCTCAAAACAAACAAACAAACAAAAAAGCTTCAACAATTTATATCAAAAGGGGGAGGTATTTTGAAGGCTGGGGTACCTCTGCACAAATACTTTTGAAAGTTTAGTGAAAGTCTGAGTGTTTATCACTGACCAGTGCATAGCAACAAACTAAACCTCTAGGAAATTAGGCTTTGAACTACGTAACCAGATCTTACTGATAAACTGGTAATTCTTTGAATTGGTATTGAACCCTGTTTGCGGTTGACCAACTGACTTCAGTGCTTTCTCTTCCTATTTACTTAGCATATTCCACAGCCAATGATAGCACCTCGCTAATCAAAATGACAAGTCAGGCATGGTGACTCACACTTGTAATCTCAGCACTTTGGGAGGCCAAAGTGGAGGGATTGCTTGAGCCCAGGAGTTTGATACCAGCCTAGGTAACATAGCGAGACCCTATCTCTATAAAAATTAGCCAGGTGTGCTGGCACATGCCTGTAGTCCGGGAGGCTGAGGTGGGAGGATTGCTTGAGCCTGGGAGGTTGAGACTGCAGTGAGCCATGATTGTACCACTGCACTCCATCCTGGGCAACAGAGAGGGACTTTGTCTCAAAAAAAGAAATAAGGTCGGGCGTAGTGGCTCATGCCTGTAATCCCAGCACTTTGGGAGGCCGAGGTGGGTGGATCACCTGAGGTCAGGAGTTCGAGACCAGCCTGACCAACATGAGGAAACCCTGTCTCTACTAAAAAATACAAAATTAGCTGGGTGTGGTGGTGCATGCCTGTAATCCCAGCTACTCGGGAGGCTGAGGCAGGAGAATTGCTTGAAGCTGGGAGGCAGAGGTTGCAGTGAGCCCAGATTGCGCCATTGCATTCCTGCCTGGGCAACAAGAGCGAAACTCTGTCTCAAAAAAAAAAAAAAAAAGAAATAAAAACAAAATGACAGTTTCTGGGATGGTGTCATTGGATTGCTTGGTAGCTGCAATGCCTTCTATATTCTGGCCACTTTTATAGAGCAATGTGTAAATGATAGTTTTTTTCTTTGTCTTACTCCAGTACCTTCATGTTTTGCACGCTTAGCATATTATTGGTGTTTTCACTGTGGTAACTCATTTAATCTTTATGCCAACTTTATGTGGCATGTACATTTATTATTCCTATTTGACAATATAAATATAGAATTTATTAGAACTTCATTTTATACGGAAAAAAAGCCTTCCTGTGACTGAGAAGAGGATACACTGTTCAGTCACTCTTTTCTTCATTCAGCAAACATTGCTTGGATATGTTCTATGCTCCAGGCTTTGTGTCCTGTGGCAAGGATGGTCTTAGTCTGTTTTCTGTTGCTTGTAACAGAATACCTGAAACTGAGTAATTTATAAAGAAAAGCATTTATTTCCTACAGTTATGGAGGCCAAGAAGTTCAAGGTGGAGGGGCTATATCTGGTGAGGGCCTTCTTGCTGGTGGGGACTCTGCAGAGTCCTGAGGGGGCACAGGGCATCACATGGTGAGGGGGCTGAGTGTCCTAGCTCAGATCTCTCTCCCTCTTCTTATAAAGCCACCAGTCCCATTCCCATGATGACCCATGAATCCATTAACCTATTAATCTATTAATCCATGAGTGGATTGATCTACTTATGAGGGCTGAGCCCTCATGACTCAACACCTCTTAAAGGCCCCACCTCTCAATACTACCACATTGGGGATTCGATTTCAACATGAGTTTCAGAGGGACAAACATTCCAACCATAGCAGATGGATACAGGCACACTGGTCCTCGTCCCCTGAGGAGCTCAGCTGAGGAGACAACTACATGCAGGACAACTTTTATGAGACTTTTACTTCAGAAGGTACTTGTCGAGTCCTGTATATCCTGATCTCTGCTGCCAGCCCTGGTGTAATAAGGCTGCACTGGTGTCTCTTTGTACTAAATCATAATTTTTTTTTTTTTTTTTTTTGAGACAGAGTTTCACTCTTGTTGCCCAGGCTGGAGTGCAATGGTGCGATCTTGGCTCACCGCAACCTCCGCCCCCCCGGGTTCAAGCAATTCTCCTGCCTCAGCCTCCCAAGTAGCTGGGATTACAGGCATGCGCCACCAAGCCTGGCTAATTTTGCATTTTTAGTAGAGATGGGGTTTCTCCATGTTGGTCAGGCTGGTCTCGAACTCCCGACATCTGGTGATCTGCCTGCCTCAGCCTCCCAAAGTGCTGGGATTACAGGCGTGAGCCACCGCACCCAGCCAGAAAACTCAGAATGTTTTTAAAAAGTTTACGAATTTGTGTTGGGCCACATTCAAAGCCATCCTGGGCTGCATGTGGCTTACAGGCTGGGGTTGGACAAGCTTGTGTTAAACTTTTCTTGTTTTCCAGATTACCTGGCAGCTGTGGACAAGTGGTTGGGAGTCCTTCTGCCCAAGATGAAGCCTCTCCTCTATCAGAATGGAGGGCCAGTTATAACAGTGCAGGTAACCCTGGAGTTGAGCATGGATGGATTGGGGGAGGGGTTCCCATCCATCTACATTACATAAATGATAGAAGTGATGCAGACATGAGCCTCATAGGTCTGTTTCTTTAAGAGGTAATGCCACAGATAGTGCTTTTAGTTCAATTGCATTTGGGAAGGCATTGCCATTTTTGAATGCCTGCTATGTGGCAGGCTTTGTGCTGGGTGCCTTGTAAATGCTATTCAATTCTTCCAACCACCTTCTTTTTTCAGTGAGGAAGTTTGAAAAGGTTAAGTGACTTGGCTAAGGTCACCCAGCCAGCAGGTGGCAGAATTAGGATAGCACCCTAATTCTGTGGATCCCAGAGTTTGTCTCTCTGTTTCTCCTGCAATATTGTTTTCTGGCAGCAGGCATGCAGCGTGGACTGAAACACTTTGGTATCGGCACTGCCTTGACAGTCAGATAACCCTGGAATGGAAAAGGATATGGTCAATTGGGGCTGGCTGTTATGTTTCCTCTCTTACTTCCTGCCCCATTCTCCTTCTTCTATGTGTTCTTGGCTCTGCAAGGACTAATATACTGTGGGGTACATTGAACTTTAACAGTTTTTGGTGTTGGTAAAATTACTTAGGTGAAACATAAAACCATGTTCATTGGACATTGACCAAGGATGCCATGGATGCTCTTTTTTTTTTTTTTTTTTTTTTGAGAGAGAGTCTCATTCCGTTGCCCAGGCTGGAGTGCAGTGGGGCAATCTCGGCTTACTGCAACCTCTGCCTTCTGAGTTCAGGCAATTCTCCCACCTCAGCCTCCCATGTAGCTGGGATTACAGGCGCATGCCACCATGCCTGGCTAATTTTTGTATTTTTAGTAGAGACGGGGTTTCGCCATGTTGGCCAGGCTGGTCTCAAACTCCTGACCTCAGGTGATCTGCCCGCCTTGGCCTTCCAAAGTGCTGGGATTACAGGCGTGAGCCACCGTGCCCGGCTATGACCAAGGATGCTCTTATGGAAAAGAGTAAAGGTTTTTTGTTTTTTTTTTTAGGAGACAGAGTCTCGCTCTGTCGCCCAGGCTGGAATGCAGTGGCACAATCTCGGCTCACTGCAACCTCTGCCTCCCAGGTTCAGGCGACCCTCCTGTGTCAGCCTCCCAAGTAGCTGGCATTACAGGCGTGCACCACGATGCCTGGCTATGTTTTTGTATTTTTAGTAGAGACAGGGTTTCACCATGTTGACCAGGCTGGTCTCAAACTCCTGACCTCAGGTGATTCACCCACCTCAGCCTCCCAAAGTGCTGGGATTACAGGCGTGAGCCACCGTGCCCAGCTATGACCAGGGATGCTTTTATGGAAAAGAGTAAAGTTATGTAAAAGTGGCTGCATCCTGGACATCCCAGGGATGCAAAGTGGCACTCCCTAGGGGAGTGTGGGCCAGGCTTCCTTCTTATGAACAGTACTATGGGCAGCTTGTGGGGATGGATCATAGTAGGGTGGGAGCATGGGCACTGCTTTGCCTTTCAGGTGTCGGTGGACAGAGGTGCTGAGAGGGCTGCACTGGCCAGGGTGTCCGTTCTGAGGCTTTGTGGTGGGAGGAGATGTCTTCTTGAGAGAGGCCAGGTTGCTGCTCACAGAGGGATGTGTGAGTCACCCCACGTGCCCCTAGTTTTTACCATCTTGTGTCTGTACTGGTTAAGCTAATAGGAACCACATTTTCCTACATGAAGATATCAAGTCTGAAACTTGGGTGCGTCTTTGCTCTGCATGGCTGTGTCTTCTTCCTTTCTTCTGGCCTCAGGTGCAAACCCTCTTTTGATGCCCTCTTTTTTTCAGTCTCTGCCTCTCCTTGAATCACTTTCAATTTCTGCTCACAACTTTTCTGCCCCTTTTGGTTTTGGAAATGCCACAAAAAGTATAATCAAGTATTAATTCTGCAAAGGAGAATGAAGTTGACTGTGTGGAGATATTTCTTCTTGTGTCCATCCCTAGCAACCTCAGATGACTTTAACTTGACCCTGGGTCCTGCCAGGTGACTCTGTCCCCCTCCTCCTCCTCCTCTCCCCTTCCCATCTCCACATGCTTGAATCCCACTAATCATTTTTGCCCCTTGTTTACAAAATAAACAAGTATAGACATAAGAAAGCAGAAAAAACATAATTGTTACTCAAACCTCAGGAGCCATAGCAAAGCTCTTCACATTTTGGGAGTTTCCTTGAATATTTTTTATGCCTTTTTTTTCTGCTTTCTTACAGAGTAAGTTCATTCTGTGTGACCTATTTTCTGTGTGGCTTTTTTTGCTTCATTCTTTGTCATGAGCACTTTTTCATATCGTTCAAAATTCTTTCATCATCTTTCATGGTTGTCCTACTTACCTTCTGACGCACAGTTCCTATACGTGTTCCTTCTGTCTGGAAGCCATCCCAGTTGACATATTGGCTTCCGTAGGACTTTCAGAACCGTCACTGTCGCCTCCTTTTGTGAAGCACATGTGGGAGCAGTTTCATCCCTGACACACTGTGTCTCTAGTCTCCTGGCCTTCCACGCCTCTGCCTGGTAGCCATGAGGGCACATCATGCATTTGTGCACATCACATACCCACCGAACGGCTCTGGAATGGAATAGAAGCTGATTGCTTTGATAAGAAGGAACCGGGGGATTTGTAGACAGTAATTCTTTTCGTTGTTGTTATTGTTTTTGTTTTTTGAGACAGAGTCTCTCTCTGTCACCAGGCTGAGTGCAGTGATGAGATCTCGGCTCACTGCAACCTCCACCTCCTGGGTTCAAGTGATCCTCCTGCCTCAGCCTCCTGAATAGCTGGGACTACAGGTGCGGGCAACCACGCCAGCTAATTTTGTGTATTTTTAGTGGAGATGAGGTTTCACCATGTTGGTCAGGATGGTCTCAATCTCTTGACCTCATGATCCGCCCACCTCAGCTTCCCAAAGTGCTGGGATGAAAGCCATGAGCCACTGTGCCAGGCCTGTAAACAGTATTTCTGTGTGTGAAGATTTCTGTAAAAGGGCCAAGGCTGATGGCTCAATGCCCGTAATCCCAGCACTTTGGGAGGCCGAGGCAGGAGGATCTCTTGAGCCCAGGAGTTCAAGACCAGCCTGGGCAACATAGTGAAACTCCATCTCTACAAAAAATTTAAAAATTAGCTGAGTATGCTGCCATGCACCCGTGTTCCCAGCCATTCAGGGGGCAGAGGCAGGAGGATCACTTGAGCCTGGGAGGTTGGGGCTGTGGTGAGCCGTGATCACACCACTCACTGCACTCCAGCCTGGGCAAAAAAGTGAGACTCTGTCTCAAAAAAAATAAAGATTTCTGTAAAAGCTGATTTCTGTCTCTGTCTTAATTCATGTTGAAGGGTAGAAAATGGTGGCTTTCCTCAATTCTTGATGCTGGTTTTCTCTCTCAGTGCTCAGAGTTTGAGATGGCCAGGGAGGAGCTACGTGTTTGCAGCCAGGGTAAAAATGAGTCAGACCAGAAGGCTTAAATCCCTGTCTGAGAACATTTAGGGCCCTCAACACTGTTGTGTTACAGATACAGGAAACCAGGTCTGTGCTTTTATTCATCGTCATGATTCAGTCAGATATGCAGATGTTTCTCTTTTGGGGGGATTAGCTGAGCCAGTGCCACCTATGATGGTTTGCATATGTGGATGTTTATCTCAGTTTCTACCTGAAAAAGCTAAAGCCATTGATAATATCCAAGGTGAAAATAATTAGGAGTGGACGACCTTCCACCCACAACTTAACTTCATCCAATTAACAGGGCATTCATCATGAGGTAATAAGCCTATTTATGACTGTTTGGAAGATCAACATCTTTAAAAGTCTCTGGTGCTTAAGGAGCTTACAGAATGGAGACAGTTACTCTAAAACAAAGACCTGCAAATTATGGCTGCCACCTACATTTTTTTGTAAGTAAAAGTATATTGGAATCGCCACACCGTTTATATATCATCTGTGGCCGCTTTTGTACTATAGTGGCAGAGTTGAGTAGTTGAGATGGAGACCTCTATGGCTGCAACACCTAAAATATTTACTCTCTGGTGGTTTTTTGTTTGTTTGTTTGTTTGTTTGTTTTCTCTGTCACCCAGGCTGGAATCCAGTGGCGCAATCTCTGCTCATGGCAACCTCTGCCTCCCGGGTTCAAGCAATTCTCGCACCTGAGCCTCTCAAATAGCTGGGATTACAGGCACCTGCCATCATGCCTGGCTAATTTTTTTTGTATTTTTAGTAGAGATGGGGTTTCACCATGTTGGCCAGGCTGGTTTCAAACTCCTGACCTCAAGTGATCCACCCGCCTCAGCCTCCCAAAGTACTAGGATTACAGGCGTGAGCCACCACGCCCAGCCTGGTGTTTTATTCAAAAAGTTTGTTGACTCCTGCTCTAGAAACATCGGTGTTCCTCTGAACCTAGCCATGACTTTTTCTATGGGTTTTTCAAGCCTTTTCATTTGTGTGTCTCACCTACCCCCAGCCTTCACCCACCTTTTTTTTTCCTAATTGGTAGTAACATAGAACTTGAGTAGAGTCTTAGCTGCTAACATTTTGAGCACTTACTAGATGCCAGATCTGTGCAAGGTTCTAGTCATGTATTGACTCAGTTAATCCTCATGATAACCCATCGAGTTAGGTACACTTTACAGGTGGAGTCCCATGGGTAGGAAGTGGCAGAGCTCAGATTTACATGTAGACAGTTGGGCCCCTGCCAGCCGTGCCTGTGACTAGAACTCTAAGCTGCCTCGCAATTGTGCTTTTCTCGCTCTCTCAAAACCTAACCAAATTATGTGTACGCATTTTTTACAAGCCTGTTTATTTTAGAGTATATGATACAATGATGATAATGGATAAATAAGACCTGGAAAAGCAAGATGATAAGAAAACCAAGGTTGGGTTTGGGCATGGGGGTGAGCTCAAGAGAACATGAGGTACAGAGGCTGTGAGACCATTTAGTTGCTGGAGCTAACTTTTAAGATCTTTAGCTCTGAATTTCTTGACAGCCAGATGATAAAAAGGAGACACAGTCATGTAAGTAGCACTTATAAAGGAGGAGAAAAGAACTTTGCCAGTATTTACAAAGCTTTTCTTAGCATTTATCTAAATTATTGCAAAAGGAACTTTCATGGAACTCATCAATGGGAGTTTTCTACTCTTGTAAGCAGCAAATACTTCCTCTTCCAGGATGGTTTCATGACCAGTGAAGTCTCTGTCCTGGGCATGCGTGCTACAGTCTGTTTTACTTCTTGAACCCCAAATCTGAAAGTATTGCCAGAGGGATCCTCTCTGAGAGAAGGATCATTCATGAAACCTTGTGGGAGGCAGGACTGTGCAGATAACGACGGCAGCATTTAATTCATTTTTGTCACTCACCATTCTTCTCCCACTCTCCAACTCTGCACGTGGATGAAATTGAGCTGTTGGTGATGTCAAATATGTAGGAATATCCTCTACCCATTCCCTTCCCAAGTTCAGAGCCTTTTCTTCTAGAGCTACCTCGGGCTGTCCCTCCAAGGAACCTTCCCTAACAATCTCTCCCAGGCACTCAGGCTAAGCACCTCTTTTCTGGGACTCACAGTTTCTTGTGCTTACGTTTAAAGATCATGTATTCCCAGGATCACAAATATTTTTGTATTATGTGCATGTTAAAATGTTATGGTTGGGTATTTTTTAATTTTTTATAAATGAAATATAGCATACATACGTAAATGCGCAGTATGATGAATCACTATGGTGTGAACACCCACATAAACACCAACCAAGGTCAGGAGACAGCACGTGGCCAGTGCCCTAGAAGCTTCCCAGGTGTCCTTGTTGATCATACACCATTTCGTCCCACTGTCCTGACGCTTATGACCATCAGTTTTCTGCTTTTCTTTATACTTTTACCACCTATGTGTGTACTCAGACTTTATAGTTTGGTTTTGATTGTTTTGAATTTTCTCTAAAGGGGATTGTACTGTATGTATTTTTCAGTGTCATGCTTCTTTCACTTCACATTATATTCCTGATTCTTTGGTGTATTGGGTAGAGCTGAAGTTCATTTGTTTTATTGCTTCAGAGCAATGTTTCTTAACCTGATTTTTTCATCATTGCCCCCAAGGATCCCTTTTAAACTTTTTTTCTAATTGCCTTCTCCTCTCCACCATGAAATTTTATTACCTGAGATATTGTATATTGGTTTATTTGCTCTGTGTGTGTGTGTGTGTGTGTGTGTGTGTGTGTGTGTGTGTGTGTGTATGTTTTATATAAATAAGGAATAATTTTTTTTATCCCCAAAGCATCAATTTTTACCCCCTTGGGGATGCTACCCACCTCACTGGGAATGCATGCTTCAGAGCAGGGACCCCACCCTCAGCACTATTGCCATGTTGCACCTGATAATTCTTCATTGTGGGGCTTCCCTGTGCACTGTGGGATGTCTGGCAGCATCCCTGGGCCTCTACCCACTGGATGCCATGAGCATGTCTGCCGAGGTATGACAACCTCAAACATTTCCAGACATAGCCACATGTCCCCTGTGGGGCTAAAGAGCTCCTGGTTGAGAACCACCGATGTTATTGAGCACAAACTGAACACCGGTGTGTGTGTGACAGCAGGTCAAATAAACATGCTGTGTCTGTCCCTGGCATTCACCCTTCTTCTTATTGCCATGGAGATTTTGCATAGTATATTAAGGGAAAACACAATTACAATTGGTGCATATAATATGCCAGTTTTGAGGGAAGAAAACACTGCTGTATATTATTTGCGTATATTTGGGGAGTGTGTGGGTCTGTGTAAATCTAGACGGCTGTATACTAAAATGCTTGCAGTGATTATCTCTGGGCAATGGAATTAATGGATACTTTTCCTGTTTTCTTTTCATTTTTCTAGCATTTCTACCATGGGAAGGTATTATTTATGTGATGTTTAAAGTATCTACTTTCTATTCTAGGGAAGAATACCACTACAATCTGAACACCAGTTTGGTGTTTTTTGTTTTTCTTATTTCTCAGTGGTGGGAGAGGGTTAATAGGAGGTAAACTTTTATGGTGAATTGTTGGTGTTTTTTCTTTTAGTCAGTTTTGAGGTCTGAGTGAAGGAAATTTTTCCAGCAGTCATTAAGCCTTGTCATCTTAGCAGATGCTCAGATATTTTCCCACACAAAAGCTTGCATTAGGGTGGCTACATTAGGATCTCCTCATTTTTCCCTGCTCTTTTTTCACTCACAGGTTGAAAATGAATATGGCAGCTACTTTGCCTGTGATTTTGACTACCTGCGCTTCCTGCAGAAGCGCTTTCGCCACCATCTGGGGGATGATGTGGTTCTGTTTACCACTGATGGAGCACATAAAACATTCCTGAAATGTGGGGCCCTGCAGGGCCTCTACACCACGGTGGACTTTGGAACAGGTTGGTGTTTGTAGTAACAGAAATTGCAGCTTAAAATCAGCTTTTTACTCAGTCAGTTGCTCTGGGCAGCTGTTGTTATAAGTGTCATGGGCAGATTGAGATTTTTCATGTTTTCATTTTTCAAGGAACAGGTAGAATAGAATACTTGCACCCCTCAGTAACAGAGGGTTATCTGTAGGCCAAGAGCTTCCAGGGTAGCTGCATTTTCAGCACTGGTGGAGCTAGCCTGGAAAATGGAGTACTGCTATCTCAGGGGCTAGGCTGGCCCACCCAAGATGAAGAAGCAGGTAGGCATCTCCAGCTGTGAGAAGCTCTACCTTGAGGCAGTCACCTTTTAGGCTGTGTCTGGGGCGCGCTTCTCTGCTCTTTCTGCCCTCCCTGTCCTCCCACCTTGGCAGGACACTCGGGGTTATGCCTTGGCTGTAGCCAACCTTGAGGTCAGCCACTGGCTGGGAACTTACCTTATGCTTTGTTGTCTTTCTGCATAACTTAGAACACTGAACTGTCAGGGCTGGAGGTGGTTTGGCAGATGCTACAAAGGCTATGCCAGATTCCTTACACAGTGCTGTGTAAACTGTGGAGATGCTGCAAGTGAAGGTTACAGATGGGTGGGCAATGTGGTTAGGATGCTTCTGGCCATAAGTAATATTAAGAGAGACTTCATTTAGGAGAGTGGCTTTCATAAAGGATATGACAGCTGTATTCGTCCATTCTTGCACTGCCCTAAATAAATACCAGAGACTGGGTAATTTACAAAGAAAAGAGGTTTAATGGACTCACAGGCTGTATAGGAAGCCTGGTGGCAACAGCTTCTGGGGAGGCCTTAGGAAACTTAAAATCATGGCAGAAGGCAAAGGGAAAGCAGGCACGTCTTACATGGACAGAGCGGGAGGAAGAGATAGGAAGGGAAGTGCTACATACTTTTAAACAACCAGATCTCATAACTCATTCACTCACTATCAGGAGAATAGCACTGAGGGGATGGTGCTAACCCATTCACAAGCACTTTGCCCCCACGATCCAGTCGCCTGCCACCAGGCCCTACCTCCAACACTGGGGATTATAGTTCGACATGAGATTTGGTGGGGACACAGATCTAACACAGATCCAAACCATATCAACAGCTAAATGTCTGACTGGACTTTTTTTGTGTGTGTGGCTATGAAAGACATTATTGAGAAATTGCAATCTTTGAATAAAGTCTGTAGATTAGATAAGAGTACTGTATCAGTATAATTTCCTGATTTTTAGAAGTATATTGTGTTTATTTAAAGAATGCCTTTGTTCTGAGAGAATGAACACTGATGTATTTAGGGATAAAGGGCCATCACATCTGCAATTTATTCTCAGGTGGCTCAGAAAAATGTATATTTTTATAGAGAAACTGATAGTGTATATCTAGTAAAATGCTAACAATTGGGAAATCTAGGTGAAGGGAATAGGAGAGTTTTTTTGTACTATTCTTACAACATTCTGTAAGTTTGAAATCACTGCAGAATAAAAAGTTACAGGCTAGGCATGGTGGCAAGTGCCTGTAGTCCTAGCTACTAGGGAGGATGAGGTGGGAAGATCACTTGAGCCCACGAGTTCAAGGCTGCGGTGAGCTGTGATTGTGCCACTGCACCCCAAGCTGGGCAACAGAGCAAGACCCTGTCTCAAAAAAAAAAAAAGATACACACACACAAAAAAGACCAGTTCCTTGAGTAGCATAAAGACCCTGATGTTCTCCCCTCTGAGGTAAAAGGCACTTCATGTGCATTGCACAGCCAATGTTTGCCTCTCTTAAGAGGGATGTACAGAAGACTGAAATGAGGAAATTAGCCTGGTGTTGCTTTTTTTTTTTTTTTTTTTTTTTTTTTTTGAGGTGGAGTTTCGCTCTTGTTGCCCAGGCTGGAGTGCAACGACCCGATCCTGGCTTACTGCAACCTCTGCCTCCTGGGTTCAAGCATTCTCCTACCTCAGCCTCCCAAGTAGCTGGGATTACAGGCACCTGCCACCACGCCTGGCTAATTTTTGTATTTTTAGTAGAGACAGGGTTTCACCATGTTGGCCCGGCTGGTTTCAAACTCCTAACCTCACATGATCTGCCTGCCTCGGCCTCCCAAAGTGTTGGGATTACAGGCGTGAGCCACCGCGCCCGGTCTGTAGTCACATTTTTTAAGAGGTTCTTCTACCTTATCAAAAAAGAGAAGAACAGAAAAGAACTGACCTTAAGTGAATGGAGTGTTTCGAGAGCATTTGGTGATAAAAGGACTCATCCGTTAGGTTGGTTAGGTTGGTGCAAAAGTGATTGCAGTTTTTGCCTTTTAAAAAAAAAAAACGGGCCCAGCGCAGTGCCTCCTACCTGTAATCCCAGCAGTTTGGGAGGCCAAGGCAGGCGGATCATGAGTTCAGGAGTTTGAGACCAGCCTGGCCAACATGGTGAAACCCCATCTCCACTAAAGATACAAAAATTAGCTGGTACAAAAATCGTGGTGGCGCACTTTTGTAATCCCAGCTACTTAGGAGGCTGAGGCAGGAGAATTGCTTGAACCCGGGAGCCAGAGGTTGCAGTGAGCTGAGATTGCGCCACTACACTCCAGCCTGGGCAACAGAGCGAAACTCCATCTCAAAAAAAAAAAAAAAAAAGAAAAGAAAACCATGACAAAAACCACAATTACTTTTGCACCAACCTAATACAAAGCGCTGCAGAGGAAGTGACATGCCGGTTTCCTCCTGCTTTGGCCAGGCTTCTCATCACAGCGATGAAAAAGCACGGCATTTTTCTGTTGGGAGGAACAAATTGAAGGTGATTATGATTGTGTTTTAAGCATAATTTGTATGTGAGGTGACAGCGTGACTGTCACTGCTAGGGGTTGGAGAATAGACAACCACAAGGCCAGGGTGCCTGGGGCAGATGGGCCCTCCAGTCTGAGGCTTTTGCCAGCTTCATTGCTTTGTGTGGGAGAGGGGCATTGCCCGATGGGTCTCATGAGAACAGTGTTTAAAGAGCTGAATGCCACCTAATGCTTAATAGTGAGAAAGACAGCCAATGAGATTCTGCTCTTTCTCAATCAGCATATTCTGTCCTGAAAGCTGGCCTTACAGAGAAGCCAAAGGCCCATCTCAGAGCAAGTGGTTATCAGAGGGTCTTGGCTGGGGCCACGTCCACCCTGGGATACCTGCTGTGGGAACTGGGTTGTGAAGTGTGGGGCCAGGGCATTCTCTGCTCGGGTTGGTGTGGACACTGCTCATGCTTCCTCTTTCCCCAGTGTTTGGCAGCCCATTCCTTCTCTGTGGAGAAATTCTTTTTTGTTTTAGAGGAGGAAGGGAAAATAGAAGACACGAGAGGCAAGACAAGACACCCCTAATGGGACATTTCATGAGGAAAACTTGAGAGCAAGTGGTTTGGAATGGCTGATGTACAAATTAGAATCCAGAGTATATTCCATTATTCAGGGGTAAACACAATTAGAGCCCCCACATCCCTTTGATTTCTTAATTAACTGGCAAATATTTGTGGTAGTATCATGTGTATGGTGTTATTGAGGCTGTAAGTATCTTCAAACCAGGCTCATCCTGTGGGGTGCATCCAGGTCAACCAGATGTTCTTGTGAAGAGATAAGCCCACAAGATATGTGTCCAGGCCCTGGGGAAACACAGATAAAGAAGACAGGCCTGTGAAGGGAACTCTTGTGCAGACAGGAAAGGCCACGGGGACCTCCTCAGAGAGGAAGCAATGTTCTCTGGTCCACACACATCTTCAAATGGGTCCAATCAGAAGCTAGCTTGGAAGTATTCCAGGCCCATGGGGTGTGGGAAGGGAAAGGGGCCTGTCTTAGTCAGTGTGGGCTGCTATAACAAAATATCTTAGACTGGGTAATTTATAAACAAAAGAAATTTATTGCTCACAGTTCTAGAGGTGGTGAAGTCCAAAATTAAGATGCCAGCAGATTCAGTGTCTGGCAAGGGCTTGCTCTCTGCTTCAAAAATGGTGCCGTGCCTTCTTGCTGTGCCCTCACATGGTCAGGAAGCTCCGTTGAGCCTCTTTTTATTTATTTATTATTATTATTTTTTTTAATAAAAAAAATATTTTTGAGATGGAGTGTCACTCTGTTGCCCAGGCTGGAGTGCAGTGGCACGATCTCGGCTCACTGCAACCTCCACCTCCCGGGTTCAAGCAATTCTCCTGCCTCAGCCTCCTGAGTAGCTGGGATTACAAGTGTGTGCCACCATGCCTGGCTAATTTTTGTATTTTTAGTAGAGATGGGGTTTCACCATGTTGGCCAGGTGGTCTCCACCATGCCAGGCTGGAGTCTGTTTTTATAGGGGCACTAATCCCATTCATGAAGGTGGAGCCCTTATGACTTAATCACTTCCAGTGGCCTCACCTGTTAATACTATCATCTTGGGTGTTAAGTTCCAACATGAGAATTTTGGGGGGATACTAACATTCTGACCGTAGCAGGGCTTCAGGCCCGAGTCCCATGAAGGGCTCTTGTTATTTAACTTCTTGTCATTTCCACGACTGACCTACCTTCTCCCTCTTACAATTTTCAGGCAGCAACATCACAGATGCTTTCCTAAGCCAGAGGAAGTGTGAGCCCAAAGGACCCTTGGTAAGAATCGAGGGTGAGGTGTGTGTTTGCAGCTGTTAAGAGAGAAAAGTTACATGCTGCTGAAACTGGGCAGTAGGCCCTTGATGTTTTTGGCTCTGGAGTCAGCAGCTAATGGGATTGTGGAGTCATAGCCATTCTGGACATGTGAATGACAGCAGAAACAATGTTTCTATTTGAAATTGAGCTCCTGCACTGGGGTGGAACAGACTGGGGACCAACATGAATGGCCTGTTACACATCAGGTTCTGTGCTCCTGCATCCTGGTCTCATCTGGTCCTCAGGGCAACTCTCATAAGTGGTCTTATTGTCTCCATTTTTATTGAGGCTCAGGGAACCTATGTCACTTGCCAGGGTCATATAGCCAGTGTGTGGCTAAGCCGGGATGGTTGGCAAGCTGCAGGTGGGTGTCAACAATCTATCAATCCTTCTCTCTCCGTTCTTCCCGTCTTTGGCTGAAGTTGCTATTCTTGTTGTCACTCAGCCCAGTTTAAGGGGTTAATATCCTGCGCCTTCTCTGCACTAGGTCAGACTGCCCCACCTGTGTACAAGCCTGATTTATAAAACAGCCTTTTCTGAGTCTAGTCTCTGCTTAGTGAGCAGTGCAGACCCTGCATTCATAGACTTTGGGTGGAGCTATTTCCTGGAACCTAAAACAAGAAGTCCCCACAAGAAGGTCCAGACTTCTTTTTTGTTCTCTAGACCAAGGCTTGGCAGGGCAATGCCCAAGAAAAACATGAAGTGTTTGAGGCCTGCTTTGCAGAATACTGGGACAAGCCTTCCTCGTTATAAATCAACCTGAGATCTGAAAATCTGGATTCATACAAAGGTTGAATTTGGAGCTGTTATTTATTTATTTATTTTTAAATGGAGTCTCACTATGTTGCCAGACTGTAGTACAGTGGCGCGATCTCAGCTCACTGCATTCTCCACCTCCCGGGTTCAAGCGATTCTCCTGCCTCAGGCTCCTGATAGCTGGGACTACAGGGGCGCACCACGATGCCCAGCTAATGTTTGTATTTTTAGTTGAGATGGGGTTTCACCATGTTGGCCAGGAGGGTCTCAATCTCTAGACCTTGTGATCCGCCCACCTCGGCCTCCCAAAGTACTGAGATTACAGGCATGAGCCACTGCGCCCGGCCTGGAGCTGTTATTCTATAAAAATATTTTGCTACCCAGTTTCTTTGCCCAACAAGACTTTCCTACTGTGTTTAAACAGGGGATCAGCTATCTAAATTTTAATATAGGCACCACTTTTCAGGAATACTTGCATTGTATAAGATGAGATCTACTTTAGGTTAGAACCTGAGGACTGAACATAGGCATTGCTGGTATTGGAAGTGCTCACTGGGGGGCGTCTCTGGGTTAAGCAGTGCATGTCAGCATGTCAACCCCCTTTACACCTGTCATAGATGGGGCATTGCAGGGAAGCCCTGGCATTGGAAGGTCATAAGTCTATCCTAAGGGCTACGTTCTTTTTTTGTTTTAGATCAATTCTGAATTCTATACTGGCTGGCTAGATCACTGGGGCCAACCTCACTCCACAATCAAGACCGAAGCAGTGGCTTCCTCCCTCTATGATATACTTGCCCGTGGGGCGAGTGTGAACTTGTGAGTGTTCATTGCCTGAGGGGAGGGTGCCCTCAGTAGCCATGGGCTCACAGTGAAGTACCGTGTTCTTTTGTTTCCTTGTAGGTACATGTTTATAGGTGGGACCAATTTTGCCTATTGGAATGGTAAGAGCACTTTAATATCTGTAGAAACTTATGCTAGAATGTTTCTGTTGATTAATTTGAGGAGGGGTGTGCCCACAGACAATTTTATTTTCCTTTTTTTGTTTATCCTCTCCTAAATTTTCTTTTTTTTTCTTTTTCTTTTTTTTTTTTTTTTGTAGACAGTCTCACTCTGTCACCCAGGCTGGAGTGCAGTGGTACAATCTCAACTCACTGCAGCCTCCACCTCCCAGGTTCAAGGGATCCTCCTGCCTCAGCCTCCAAGTAGCTGGGATTATGGGATTACAGGCATGCACCACCATGCCTGGCTAAGTTTTTGCATTTTTAGTAGAGACGGGGTTTCACCATGTTGGCCAGGCTGGTCTTGAACTCTTGACCTCAAGTGATCCTCCCACTTTGGCCTCCCAAAATGCTAGGATTACAGGCGTGAGCCACCATGCCTGGCCCTAAATTTTCTAACATATAAGGATTACCTATGTAATTTTAAAAAATAATATTTCTTACTTTTTTTTTTTTTTTTTTTTTTTGAGACGCAGTCTCGCTCTGTCGCCCAGGCTGGAGTGCAGAGGTGCAAATCTTGGCTCACTGCAAGCTCTGCCTCCCGGGTTCACATCATTCTCCCACCGCAGCCTCCAGAGTAGCTGGGACTACAGGCACCCGCCACCACACCCAGCTAATTTTTGTTTTTGTATTTTTAGTAGAGACGGGGTTTCACCGTGTTAGCCAGGGTGGTCTCGATCTCCTGACCTCGTGATCCACCTGCCTTGGCCTCCCAAAGTTCTGGGATTACAGGCGTGAGCCACTGCGCCTGGACAAAATAATTTTTAAGGGAAATAAATGTGAGCATTTAGAAGCCTTACTGTTTTAAACCAGGGTAGTTGGGCAGGCTTCAGTCACAGTCTATAACTGTAGCTTATTTGTTCAAATATTCTACTGTGGTCTCTTTCTTTTAACGTTTTGTTTTGTTGAGGTATAATTCACAAACCATAAAATTGACAATTTTTAAGTATATGATGCAGTGGTATTTACTGTATTCACAAAGTTGTGTAACCATTACCATTATCTAATTCAGAAACATTTTATCACCCCAAAAAGAAACTCCATACCCATTAGCATTCATTCCACACTCTCCCTCCTCTCAGCCCCTGGAAATAATATACTTTCTGTCCCTGTGGGTTTGCCAATTCTGAACATTTCGTATAAGTGAACCACATATATACACCTGTATGACTTCTTTCATTTAGCCCAATGTGTTCAACGCTCATCCACGTTGTTGCACGTACTAGTGCTTCATTCCTTTTTATTGCTGAATAGTATTCCCTTGTGTGGATGTACAGTATTTTATTTATCCATTCATTGGTTGATGGACATTTGGGTTATTTGCACATTTTGGTTATAGTGTTGCTTTGAACATTGATGTACAAGGATTTGTTTGAATTCCTGTTTCAGTTCCTTTGGGTGTATACCAAGAAGTGGAACGGCTGTGTCATATGGTAACTCTATGTTTAGAGTTTCAGGAACTGCCATAGTGTTTCCCAAAAAGGCCACACCACTTTACATTTCTGTATTTTTTTGTGTAGGAAAAATTATGACAAAATTTTTCTGTAACGTCTTTGATTTTTGTTGTTTTTTTGCAAAGACAGATGATGCTGTACTGGCTTTTCGCTAAGCTTCATTTCCCACCTGTCTCTTTATTTGCATTTTTCTCTCTGAATCATGGAGGATGCCCAGCTGTTGAGTTTTGAAGGCTTAGTTTGGGCCTAAATCTCTCAGGATCTGAAATTGGATACTATCAGCTCTTAATGAAGTTTCTCCTTTGAACTGCTATCTTTTTTGCAGGCTGAGATGGGCTAGGAGAAGACATCGCTTACAAGCATTATCAATTTTAATACTATTAGTAGAGCCAAGAAATGAAGATATTGCAAAACTCAAATGTCACTGCATATAAGATAATAGTGTGCCTGGGGCGTGTCTGGGTGGGTGAGGGGAGGGAGAGCATCAGGATGAATAGCTAATGCATGCAGGGCTTAATACCTAGGTGACCAGGCTGGGTGCGGTGGCTCACGCCTGTAATCCCGGCACTTTGGGAGGCTGAGGTGCGTGGATCACGAGGTCAGGAGTTTGAGACCAGCCTGGCCAACATGGTGAAACCTTGTCTCTACTAAAGATACAAAAAATTAGCTGGTTGTGGTGGCGCTCACCTGTAATCCCAGCTACTCGGGAGACTGAGGCAGGAGAATCACTTGAACCCAGGTGGTGGAGGTTGCAGTGAGCTGAGATCGTGCCATTGCACTCCAGCCTGGGTGACAGGGTGAGACTTTGTCTCAAAAATAAAATAAAATAAATACCTAAGTGACCAGTTGATAGGTGTGGCAAACCACCATGGCACACGTTTACCTATGTAACAAACCTACACGTCCTGCACATATATCCCGGAACTTAAATTAAATTAAAAAAAAGGAAAAGATAATAGTGTGCCAAGGTTGGTCACTGATATTTTAGATAATCCCTCTGTGTTCATCTTATGAGAAACAGTTGAGACCTGGTGGGTGCCTTTTTCACTTAGTAGATGGGGATTCCCCCTAGCTGCCATTGATGGGATCGGGACCAATCATCCGATCCAGGAAAAAAGGCATCGTTTTTGGAACTTTATGGTTCATGACACAATTTTTTAAAAATCTTACTGTTATACTTAAAATAACACATTCATCTTAAAAAAAAATTGGACATTATAGAAACTGTCAGAACATAAATGTTGTCCTTAATCCTCTCTCCTGCCCCTCCCTCTGCCATAATCCATAGAATTCCCCTTTCTTCCTCTGTTGCCTTATTTAGCCTGCATATTAGCCTCATCTTAATTAGAGATTATCAGCACCACTTTTCAGATAAGAATAGCTGAATACAAAAAAAAGTCCACACGTTTTCTGTTCAGCTGGCAAGGGGTGAAGCTTGGACTGGAACTCAGGTGGTGGTGAGCCAGAGTCACTGCGCTTTGGATCACCCTTTGCACCCTGGAGCCCCTGAGCCAGCCCCCACACCCACCCCACTGTGTTCTGCCAAGCCTCCCTGAAGCTGCTTTTTGCCCTGTCTCTTTGAGGAAGTGAGAGAAGGCCAGTCTGTACTTAGCAGCTGTTCTTCAGGCCAGCTTCCTAGAGGAGAGCAGGGAGAGAAAGGCATCAGGAGTGGGGAGTTCACTGCCCATCCCACCCACAGGAACATGCACCTGCCTGTGCAGGTGTGTGTCTCCTTCCTCCACACCTGTGTGTGTCCACAGCTGTGTGATGGCTGCCTACAGGGTCCAGGCGCTCCTGTACTTCTCACACAATGTGGAATGTTGATGAATGCAAAGTCTCACCATTTCTTTCACCTTCCCACCTCACACCCTCTTAAGTGGCCAGAGGAGGCTTGAATCTGCACCATTTCTCTGCGATGCTGCCCTTTGGTGGTCTAAAAACACCCAAAGTAAGATTCTGCCAGTAGAACTAGAACAAATACTTAGTCTTCCAATCCATCCTTAAACCCACTGGACAGCTTCCCAGCCTGGGCTCCCTCGGCCTGTAAAGTGTGCTTCTAGAGGTCACACTTTCCCAACTCAACCTGGCAACCCCCTCCATGCTGGGCTCTGGCTAAGGACTCAAGGGCAAGTGAGGCACAGTCTCTGCCCCTGAGGTGCAAGCAGTGTAGCATGGAGAGAGACATAACAAATAAGAAACACAGCACAGCATGGGTGACTACCACATTAGAAGCAGACGAGGGCCACAAAGAAGGTGAGTTCCTTGCAGCAACGGATGTGGGTTTTTTTTTTTCTTTGTGTCTCACAGGAAGGGATGTGTTTTAACCTATGAATCCCTTAAGGCAGGCAGACCTGTTGGCTGTGAGTTGTCTCTGATTAATAAGAAATGGGGGAAATGGTATGACTAGATCAGTTCAGTTGGTTGAGTGGTCCAGATCTTTCAAAGTTTAGATTCTGTGCAGAGAACTAATGAAAAAGTCTTTGGAGCTGACCTGCTTGATCTGATCCTCAGCCTTGCTCATCTGTCACCTCCACAACCAGTAGGTCACCCAAGGTGGCTCCATCATTGGTGAGCTGCATCCAAGGAATTTATTACTAATCCTAGGTAAACTATCATGTTTTGTGCCTCATTGATGTACAAATTAGGTTGGACAAAAGACTATTCCTAAAATAACTTCATTCTCACACACTTGCATTGCAATATGCTCTCTGAAGTAGAGGAGGAAGGCACAAAGCCTTGCTGGTCTATGGATGGCAGCATCAGCGTCACCTGGACACCTGTTAGAAATGCAGTTTCAGGCCCCACTCCAGACCTGCTGAATTAGAATCTCTGGGATGGGGCTTAGGAATCTGTTTTAACAAGCTCTCCATGTGACACTTAAGCATGGGTAAGTTTTTGAAGTACCACCCAATGTTGCAGACAACCTCATACCTGTGAACATCATCCCTGACAAGGTCGGGATCCTCTGGTCTAGACCCCGCCCCTTGCACAGTGACTGCAGGGGCATTTGTTTTTCTAGTCCTTTTGTATACTCAGTGTTGGCATTATCCATTGGTCTTTGTTGTAGGTCAAGTTCCCAGGGAAACAGACTCTGAGATTACCTGGTAGAAAGCTTATTGATTGTGCTCTCTGGAGCAATGCCTGTAGGATAGAGAGGGAGAAGTGGGGCTATGATGCAGCTTCACAAGTGGCCTCATCCAATCTTAGAGGGAGCTCTGCAGCTGGGTTGGCTGTTCGAGGCACATTGGTCAGTTGTTGGATGTGGGCTATCCCTGAGGGTTGTAACCTTGGGTGAGGCAGCTCAGCACAGGCCAGCACCCAGAGACGGACACATCTGAGAAATGTCAGCAGACAACAGCCCTAGCTGCTGGGAGAATGAGTGAGTGCCCTGGTTCTAAAGGGGGATCCAAGAGGTGCACCACAGCCCCATCGACAGTCTTTGTAGATGCAACAAAGGCCCTCGGATTATGTTTGAACCTCTGTGGCTGATGTGGGTCTGCTGTCATCTCCCGCTGTGTTTGGTTTAATAAGCCCTGGGTTTTCTGCTGATCCATGGCCTAGTCATCTGTGTCTTCACCACTGAGCTTTTCTCAGCCACAGCTTGAGGACGTGAAAAAGTTCAGAGTTGACAGGATTAACAGTCAGAGATGGGGGTCATATCATAAGCCCTGCCATTACTGCTTGTGAGGTGTTAGCAGATTTTTGTGGGGAGCTTCAGATTCCCTGCTTGTCCAGTGGGGGTGATACCTGCTAGAATCACAGCTGTGAGCTTCTG
This sequence comes from Homo sapiens, assembly GCF_000001405.40. Taxonomy (NCBI): domain Eukaryota; kingdom Metazoa; phylum Chordata; class Mammalia; order Primates; family Hominidae; genus Homo; species Homo sapiens. The sequence continues at coordinate 33,046,471 of NC_000003.12, read as the reverse complement.
TAGAGAGTGGATGGAAAGAGTCCTTGGTAAACTCTAAGGTGCCTGGTAACTGCTACCTGTAGAAAGAAATTCCTTCCTCTAAACGTTGCATCCTGAGGGTCACGTCTGTGTCTCCCAACAAGTGGTTTTAATGTGTCTTCTAGTTTTCTCTCTCTACAGTGCTGAGCTCATGGATCCCAAAGAACTTGTCCCAGAGCTGCACCATCAGTAATAACTAGTGGCACATTTTTGTCTTCTAGGGGCCAACTCACCCTATGCAGCACAGCCCACCAGCTACGACTATGATGCCCCACTGAGTGAGGCTGGGGACCTCACTGAGAAGTATTTTGCTCTGCGAAACATCATCCAGAAGGTGGGTGCTTTGTATGAGCTGTGGTGGGCTGATCTTGGACAGAGCCTCTTTTGAACTCACTGTGGCTCTGTGGACAACTTCCTGCCTGGAGCCCTCCTGTTTAAAAGGATGGATGAAGGGAGGCATCAGCTAGACTTGGGTTTGCATCTTGTACCCACGTGGTTAAGAGTGAGTCTATGAGCAGATGCTTATAGGAGAGTAGGAGATATAAGACATGTATTTAAAAACTGCAATATATAATACAGTGTTAAATGCTACTTACAGATTCACTTCTTATATGGTGAGAATTCACCCGGGGAAATTTCTGTCTCCATTTTCTTCTCCTTCCAGGCCAGATTATCTTTCCAAAAGTTCAGGTGAGAGGTAGGGTGATGGGAGAGAATGCACAGATCCTCTTGAGACTATAGCCCCTATTAAGGCAGCATGGATATATGGGAGCCCCTATCCTTGAGACACAGCTAATGTACTTCAATATCAAAAGAGGTAAAGCTAAGCTCTGGTTTCTTTATTTAATGCATCATCTGAAAAAAGTAAGTTTCCAGTAACCAAAGTGTATAAGAATTATTTCTCACTAGAAAATAACTCCGTCCTTATTTGCAAGAGAGAAGAAGATAAACTATTTTCCTTTTTATGTGTGGCCCAATATACAGACTATGTGATTTCAGAATGAGGAACACCAGATTTTGAACCTGGACACTATTTCTTCAACCTTAAGCCAATTGTGTAAATTCCCTTTATATAAAAGTAGAGGTAGCCGTACTTACCTCACAGACTTGTACAGTTTAAAAATAAATGGCACTCAATAAATGTTTGTTTTCTTCTTTCATAGTCAAATAAATGAACAATAATTATTTATTTACCTAAAAAAAAAAAAGAGTGAGTCTATGAGCAAATCAGTCTACTGATTGTTAATTTGTAAAACTGGGATTACAGCATCTGGTTGTGCTGTAAAGCTTGAAAAGAACGTATGTAAGCCATCCAGGACAGTTCCTGACACATATATGTCTAATAAGTGGTAGCCGTTAACTATTATTTATCTTAAATGTAAGAAAATGTGTGTCTACTTAAATAGCTGATGTACATAGGAAAAAAAATCTTCAGATACTGTGAAGCATGGTGCAGATGTCAGCTGTCAGTGAAGCTTCATTTTTCTATTTGGAGCAAGTGATTGCTGTTTCTGGACTGCATCTGAACTGCTTAGTCCTGCTAGCGTTGTACCCTTTTGAGGCACCTAATGCACCTAGGTGGGGTTTCCTGTCTCTGCTGTGGGTTAAAAGAAAAAACCCACAGTTTTTATGCTCAGTCACCTGAGTTTTGAAGTTAAAAAAACAAAGGTTTTCTGCCTATAAATGGTATGGTTTTTTTTGTTTTAAGTATGATGTCGTTTTAATTTTAAGCATGTGTTAAAATGAATATTACAAATTTTTTAAATATAAAAAATACAATCTAGACTTACCACACTTATAATTTGTCCATTTCATCTAAATTTTCAAATGTATTGTTAAAATGTTGCTTATGTTATTCCTTTATTATGGGTTTAATCTCCACAGAATTTATAGTAATGTCTCCCAAGCTCTCCCTTGTATGTTTGTTCTGTTTTGAAGCTTTCTGTTCCTATCTTTATTATTTCCTTCCTTTATTTGAAGCTTAGCTTTTTAATGCAGCCTTTCTTCTTTTCTAATATAAATATTTAAGGTTATAAATTTCCTTCAAGTACTGCTGTGGCTTTATCTCGTAAGTTTTGATGTGCAATCTATTTCTTACTGTTTGCTTCTAAACATATCTATTTTGATTTCTCTTCACCATTGATATGTGTTTTTTAAATTACTGGAAATAAGTACTTTCCTGTTTTTTTGATTTCTAGTCTTTTTGCATTCTGGTTAGAGAATATAGTCTGTGATACCAATCCCTTGAAAGCTGCTGAGCCTAGTCTTAGAGCCTGACATACACCAATATTAATGGTCAATGTGCGCATAAAAAGAAAGTATATTTTACAGTTGTTGACTATATTCTACATACATGTTCATCAGATTAAGTTTATTAATGGTGCCATTGATATCTTTGATCTGCTTCCTAATTTTTTGTCAGTTCAGTCTACTATTTAGTGAGAGTTGTCCTCATGTATTTCCCTTTGTAGCTCTGCCAGTTCTGAGGTTATGTTATTAGGTGGGCAAATTGAGAATTACATCCTTCAGTACTTAATAGTAAAGGGATTATATAACCCTCTATTTCTAATAAGGCTTTTTGCCTGGAAGCCTTTTTTTTTTTTTTTTTTCTTTTTTTGGTCTGTTATTCATTAACACCATTTACCTGCATACTTTTGCTTGGTATTTTTCTGAGGTATCTTTCCCAATGCTGTAATTTCATCCTTTTTATATCCTTTGTTCTGTTTACATGTGTCCCTTATAAACAGGATATAATCGAATTTTTAAAATATCTAGTTTGAAATTTCTTGTCTTTTAACTGATATATTTATACATTCTCATTCATTGTACTTCTTGATATACATAGATGAATTTCAATTATCTTATTTTATAATTTCTATTCGTTTACCTTTTTGGCTCTTTCTTTCCCTTTATTGCTTTCTTTTAGATTGAGGTTTTTTGTTTTGTTTTGTTTTTTCCTCTTATTTCTTTCCCCCCTCTTCTACTTTGGAAGTTATTCACTGCATTCTAATTTTTTTAGTGGTTACCATTTAAGTGTGACATCTATACCCCCAGAAAAGAACAACTCGTAGTACACAGCTCAGTGAATTTAGGCAACGGGAGCGCAGCCCTGTGACAAACACATAGCTCCCCGGAAGCCCCTCTAATGTCCCTCTCTAGTCATTGACACACATACCCATTCCTGAGCTCACAGCTGTCCTCACCTCTATCACCAGAGATTCATTTTGCTCGTTTTTAGGCAGCAAGTTCCTACAATATACACTCCTGTGTCTGGCTGTCTTGTAATAGTTTAAAATTAATCAATATCTTTACTTTCTCCATATTGCATCCCTCTTTAACTTACTGTAACTCCAATTACAGCCCTCTTGATTTGTATGTTATTATTGTCATGTATTTTAATTCTCTGGGTTTAGTTTTCATGTATTTTAGTTCTCTCCTTAAAAAATAAAACCCATGGGGCATTACTACAATGGCTTCAGATAGTATTTCACTTGACCCACATAGTTCATTTATTGGCAAATGATTTAACAAACATTCATCAAGTACTCTGCATGCGCCAGGTTGCAGTTTTAGGTGCTTGGTGGCTGTAGGCTTTCCTGAAAAGGTGGAGCTCAAACAAAAATTTTAAGGTGGTGAGAGAGCCATGTGGCATATCTCCGCCTGGACAAGAGCATTCCAGGCAGAATGCAGCCAGTGAGAACTTGGGAAGGTATATGGCATTTTTAAAGACTAGCAAGGAGGCCAGTGTGGCTGGAGCCCAGTAAATGAAGGGGTAAGAAGTAGGAGAGGCTGTGCGCGGTGGCTCACGCCTGTAATCCAAGCGCTTTGGGAGGCCGAGGCGGGCGGATCACGAGGTCAGGAGATCGAGACCATCCTGGCTAACACAGTGAAACCCCGTCTCTACTAAAAAGACAAAAAATTAGCCGGGCATAGTGGCGGGCGCCTGTAGTCCCAGCTACTCCGGAGGCTGAGGCAGAAGAATGGCGTGAACCCGGGAGGTGGAGCTTGCAGTGAGCCGAGATCACGCCACTGCACTCCAGCCTGGGCGACAGAGCGAGACTTGGAAAAAAAAAAAAAAAAAAAGGAGGAGATGAGGGGTCAGGGATATAGATGGGGAACAGATCACATGGAGCATTACAGGCCATTATAAGACTTTGGCTTTTACTCTGAATGTAATGGGAATCCATTGAGGAGTTGAGCAGAGCCGTTGTTAAAGCATTCTATTAAAGCAGATTCCAGCTGCTGTGTTGAGATTAGACCCTGGGAGGTGCGGCAAGGGTAGAGTAGGAAGACCAGTTAGAAAGTTTTTGCAGCCATCTCAGTGAGAGGTGATTGTGGCTTATGAAGGTAGTAGGAACTAGGCAGTTTCAGAATATATTATGAAACTAGTGCTAATATAATTTTCAGATGGGGAGTATGAAAGAGAGGAGAGTCGGGTGACTCTAAAGTGTTTTAAATGGCAACTTGAAGGACAGAGTTACCATTTATGTGGGGGGAAGATCAGGAGTTCAGTTTTGGCTGTGCAAAGTTAGACTTGTCTAGTATATGTACTAGTGGAGATGTAGAGTAGGCAGTGGATATATGAATGCACAGCTTGAGACAAAGGTCTGGTACCTTTGTCCCAGGACCACACTTTTCTTTATCTTCTATTGCTTCTTCTGCCTGAAGTATATTCTTTAGAATTTCATTTAGTAAGCAAGTTATATTAATTCTTCTTTGTCTGAAAATTTTTTTTTCACCCTCATTTTCAAAATGCAGTTTTTCTTTTCTTTCTTTCTTTTTTTTTTTTTTTGAAGACAGGGTCTCACTCTGTTGTCCAGAATGAGTGCAGTGGTGAGATCTTGGCTCACTGCAACCTCTGCCTCCCAGCTTCAAGCGATTCTCCTGCCTCAGCCTCCCAAGCAGCTGGGATTACAGGCGTGCATCACCACACCTGGCTAATTTTTGTATTTTTAGTAGAGATGGGGTTTCACCATGTTGACCAGGCTGGTCTTGAACTTCTGACCTCAGATGATCCATCTGCCTCAGCCTCCCGAAGTGCTGGGATTACAGGTGTGAGCCACCATGCCCGGCCTCAAATTGTAGTTTTTCTAAACTGATAGTTTTCTCTCAGCATACTGACTTTGGGCTTTTATTGTTGCTGCTGAGAAGTCAGTTTACTGTACTCTGTCACTCTCTTGAAGATAATCTATCTTTCCTCTTGGACAGCTTCTGAGATTTTCTCTTTATATTTGACGCTGTATAGTTTCTCTGTGATGAATCTAAGTGTGACTTTCTTTTCGTTTATCCTGCTTGGTAGTTTTGGAACTTGTGGCTTGGTATCTTTTTTCACTAGTCCTAAAAAGTTTATGCCATTATGTCTTCAAATATTTATTTCTATTAGATAATTTGTTAGACCTTCTGATTCTAGCCTTCACAGCTCGTAATCTCTTTTTCTCTGTGCAGCATTCTGATTGTCTTGAAATATGTTCTTCAATTGTTGCTTTCTCTTTAGTAGCTATAAATTCTAAGATTAAAACCTTTCCATTGAATTATTAAATTATATTTTTCATTCTATAAGTTCACATTAGCAGTTCGAATTTTACTCAGCCATTTTTAAATTCTCTTGCTTTTTCCTTATGTATACATGTTCTTCTTTTATTTCTTTAAACATACTAGAGATACTTCTGTTATATATCTCTATTTGATCATTTCAGTATGCAGAGTCTTTCTTTGTCTCATTCTGCCTTTTGTTGTTTCTGTGACCTCTTGTTCATGGTGTCTTGTTTCTGCGTGTGTGTTGTGATTTTGACTGAGCTGAATTTCTTGGAACTTTTTGTTGTTGTTGTTGTTGTCATTGTTCTTAGAGACAGGGTTTCACTCTCGCCCAGGCTGAGTGCAGTGGTGCAGTCCTGGCTCACTGCAGCCTCAACCTCCCGGGCTCAAGTGATTCTCCTGCCACAGCCTCCTGAGGAGCTGGGACTACAGGCATGTGCCACCATGCCTAGCTAATTTATTTTTTATTTTTTTTTTGTAGAGCCAGGGTCTCACTATGTTGCCTAGGCTGGTATTGAACTCCTGGGCTCACTCATGGAACTTTTATCTTTAGGAATTATTTGAGATTTGGGGTGAATGTGGGTTCTTCCAGAGAGAATTAGCATTTGCTTCTGGCAGGTACCAGGGAACATTACGCCTTAAATTAAAATCTTAAATTGAGGGATTTTTTTTGTACTACAGAAGCAGTGTGAATTTTAGCTACAAAATATATCAGAGGGCTGACTGTGCATATGAATTTTCAAAGGAGATTTATTTTCTCCCTACCTATTGCCATGTAACAAAGTACCCCTAAACCTAGTAGCTCAACATAACAAATATTTATTATATCACAGTTTCTGAGGGTAAAGGATCTAGGAACAGCTTAGATAGATGTTATGTCTAAGCTACTCCTAGGGCTATTTTTTTATTTCTATCAGTTTATGCAGTCTTAAAAATCAGCATTTTCAAAATACCATTCCATATTTGTATGTATGACCTCCATCATTTCTTTTGAAAAATCACCTGTCACTGGTTTTCCTTTGATGGTATAGGTCTTTTTTTCTCTAGTGCTTTTAAGATTTCCTTTTCATCTTTGATTTTTAGGAATTTTCCTATGGTATGCCTATGCATAGTTTTCTTTATATACATCTTGTTTGAGGGTGTTTGAACTTCCTAAATCTATGGCATTATTTCTTTTGTGGATTTTAGAACATTCTTGGCTGTTATCTCATCCAATGTTATGTTTACTTCGTTCTCCCACCTTGCCTTTCAGAACACCAGTGATATGTGTGTTAGACGTTTTTTCCTGTGTTCTGTGTATCTCCTAAGCGCTTCCATTGTTTCTATCCTTTCCCCCGAACATATTTTAGTTTAGATTTTATTCTGACCTATCTTCTAGTTTATTAATCCTCTTTTCAACTGTCTGAGTGAAACCCATATTATAGACTCAATTTCAATGATTGCATTTGTCAGTTCTAGAGCTTCCATTAGATTTTAAAAATTGTTTCCAGTTCTCTGCTGAAATTCCTCATCTTCTTTTGTTGTATGTCTATTGGCATAATTTTAAGCTTTCTTCAGATTATTCCAATACCATGATGTCTTATGGGTCTGTTTCAATGGCTTTTTTTTCCTTTTTTTTTTTTTTTTTTTGAGACAGAGTCTTGCTCTGTTGCCCAGGCTGGAGTGCAGTGGTGTGATCTCAGCTCACCGCAACCTCCACCTCCTGGGTTTAAGTGATTCTCCTGCCTCAGCCTCCTGAGTAGCTGGGATTACAGCTGTGCACCACCACACCTGGCTGATTTTCATAGTTTTAGTAGAGATGGGGATTCACCATGTTGGTCAGGCTGGTCTTGAACTCCTGACCTCATGATCTGCCCACTTCGGCCTCCCAAAGTGCTGGGCTTAGAGGTATGAGCCACTACGCCCGGCCCTGGCTTTTTTTTCTATTCGTTTTTGATCAGATAGTGTTGTCTCCTATATGTTGGGTTTTTTCTCATCTAGAGGTCAATAAAACAAAAAAGAAAGAGATAATTTGGGTTATATATGTTTTTTCTTCCAAAAGAGATTTACTTTTACTTCTACCAGGCAGTTAGAGTAGACAGAGATCATCTTCATGCAATCAGGGATTAAGCTAATTTGAAAGTGGGCTTCTGTCTTCTTGAGGGTTGGTCCGCTTCTGGTTCACTTTCTTAGGGGTCTCAACTGAGAGCTTGAAGTATTTACCAGGGTTCTTTCTCCGTTCTGATCTCTGAAGTCCAATTTTTATCTTCTCAGCCCTAGAAGACTCCCAGAAGTTGTGTTCGGCTTCTAGCCTCTCAGTTGGCCCTTGTGAATTGACAAATACCTTGATGGGAAAACTAGTAACAAATATCAGACTTGCATCATGACATTTTCCATTTTTTTGGAATTGTAACCACTTAATTCCTTTCTGCTTTGGTAGCTTTCTGATGCTTTCAAAAAGATATTTTAAAACATCTTGTACAATTGTTCTAGATGTTTTCCACAGCAAGATTTGTCAACAAAAACCTAGTTTCAGAGATTTACTTACTCCCTAAGAGATTCTCCAGAATTTGCTATACACAAAGGTGTTAACCTTCAGAGCACAGGGCAAACCTTTCACAAATTATTTTTCTGAGATCTGTCGATCATCCACTTAATCATTATACAAACATTCAACACCAGTCTTACAATTTCCGTGTTAAATGCTAGAGGTGAGTGATAAGTCTACCATGGTCCTGTGTTGGAGGGGCTCACAGAAGAGATAAATTTGAATTTTTCTCTTTAAGCATCCCTCTTACTCCAGAGTTTCTCCAAATAGAATGAAATCATCTTTAAGCAAGTTTTAAAGATATGGCAGATATGCAATTTGTTACCTCTCTCACCAATCTGAGCCTTTTTTTTTTTTTTTTTTTTTTTTTTTGAAGAGTCGCCCAGTATTGTGTGAGAGGTAGAGTCACAGATTGGAGAAGCTTTGGAGAGAGACAGAACAAAACTTGAGTGTTGACTCCAGTACTCAGTGGGCAAGGTACCCTCCTTCCACATCTGTGCAATACGGTTAGCATGTCTTCTCAGAGAATAATACATAGCAGTTATTTTTATTACTGTTTTTCTTCACTTATGTCATTGTAAAATTTCAAACTAGAGTTAAATATTCCCCTGGAAACTTGTGCCCACTTATGCTCAAAGCCTCTGTTGACAGTGCCCTTTAGTAGCTGCAGTAATCACCATTGCTCAATTGCTCCCAAGAAAATCAAGGAGGAAGTATTATTCTGCCATTCTATTAGTTTTTATGTGGTGTCCAGACCCAAAGGGTATCCTGTTACAGAGAGTGTGACATGAGCACTGTAGTTTTTTCTAGGTAAGAGTTACTGTTCCATGTTTAGTTTGGGTGTCTTCTATCAGCCAGGACTACTGATTTACTTGATTTGATTATAATGCCTGTGGACTTGTTTCTTTTATAGACTATTGCTTCATTTCACAATCCACTTCAGGTTTATTTATTTTCTAAACAGATTTGTTGAGGTATAATTCACATACATTTCTCCCATTCAAAGTACACCATTCAATGTTTTTTGTTATATTATTAATTTTTTAGGCCAGGTGTGGTGGCTCATACCTGTAATCCCAGCACTTTGGGAGGCCGAGGCAGGCAGATCACCTAAGGTCAGGAGTTCGAGACCAGCCTGGCCAAAATGGTGAAATCCCATCTCCACTAAAAATACAAAAATTAGGCTGGCATGGTGGCGCACACCTGTAATTCCAGCTACTCGGGAGACTGGGGCAGGAGAATCGCTTGAATATGGGAGTCAGAGGTTGCAGTGACCTGAGATCACACCACTGCACTCCAGCATGGGTGACAGAGCAAGACTCTGTCTCAAAAAAAAAAAAAAATTAATTGTGGTAAAATATATATAAAACAAAATTTGCCATTTTAACCATATTTAAATGTAAATTCAGTGCCATTAGTTATATTCACAATGTTATACAGCCATCACCATTATCTATTTTCAAAACTTTTTCTTCCTTCCAGACAGAAACTCTGTAACCATGAAGCAATAGCTCCCCAGTCACCCTCTCCTCAGCTTCTAGTAGCTCCTAGTCTACTTTCTGTCTCTGTGAATTTGCCTATTCTAGATATTTCATATAAGTGGCATCATAAAATATTGGTCCTTTTGTATCTGGCTTATTTCACTTAGCACAATGTTTTCAACGTTGTAACGTGTCAGAATTTCATTTCTTTTTATGGCTTAATATTCCATTGTATGCGTATATGATATTTTAATTACCTATTCATTTTGTTCATCTGGTGATGACCATTTCAGTTGTTTCCATCTTTTGGCTATTTGAATAATGCTGCATTGAACATCAGAGTACAAATATCAATATGGATAAGTCTCTGCTTGTCATTCCTCTAGGGACATACCTAGAAGTGGAGTTGCTGGTAGGCTTATTTTTAGAATTATTTTCTTTCTGAAATAGTGAACTTTCCTAATGTGGAAAAAATCAAATCAAGTTTTAAAACACATATTTACATAAGCTTTATTGCATAAAATATCACTTTACTTTTGGCCTCATTATAACAGCACATTTTTATTCTCTCATACTTCTAGCTACTTCTTCCTGCCATCCCCTATCCCTGAAACTCCACACACTTTTCTTGACCTTCCCTTGCTCTTCTGATCGATGGCTGGGATAATCTTACACCATCACCCTCAATCCTTCTGTATGCAGCTGTTTAAGAGGCCCTGCTCTATGAACCACTGCTGGGACCATTCTGACTGTCACACTCTGGAACCAGAGCCAGGCAGAAGAATTTTAAACTTCAGTATTGACTGGCCAGGAAGGGATCTTACTTCCAATCTGATTTGGATCTTTCATGATCTCTAGTTCTCTTTTTGCCCTTTGTCATTCCTTCTTCTCACTGTATGGTATAAACCATCACCCTTACACTTTATCCTAATGTACAGGTGACACTGTCTCCTACTTCACCAAGAAAATAAATGCTATTGAATACACCAAGTTAAGGAGCTTGAATTATAGGTAATGGTGCCTTTGAAGTAGTTTAAAGAAGAAAATGATATAATCGGCTATGCATTTCAAAATGGCTATTGGATGAGGCAACAAAAAGGAATGTGTAGTTAGAATGAATCAAGAAATCATTACAAATTCCAAGTGTCTTAGTCAGTTTGAGCTACAATAACAAAGTACCATAGACTGGGTGGTACTTATGGTTCTGAGGGTGAAAATGCCGGCATGGTTAGGTTCTGGCGAGGGTCCTCTTCCACATTGCAGAGCACTGACTTCTAATTGTATCCTTAATTACAAAAAGGGGGCTAAAGAGCTCTCTGGGATCTCATTTAAGGCACTAACCCCATCTCAAAGTCCTTACCACATAATACCATCACCTTAAGAATTAGAATTTCAACATATGAGTTTTGGGAGGACACAAATGTTCAGTCCATAACAAAAAGATTAAATGATTAATCACAAATATCACCTTTTTTTTTTGAGACAGTGTCTTGTTCTGTTGCCCAGGGTGGAGTGCAGTGGTGCAATCATAGCTCACTGCAGCTTCAAACCCCTGGACTCAAGCGGTCCTCCTGCCTCAGCCTCCTGAGCAGTTAGAACTACAGGTGTGCGCCACCACACCTGTCTAATTTTTAATTTTTTTGTAGCGATGGAGTCTCCCTATGTTGCCCGGGCTGCTCTCGAACTCCTGACCTCAAGCAATCCTCCCACCTTGGCCTCCCAGAGTGCTGGCATTACAGGCATGGGCAACTGCGCCCAGCCTACAACATTTTTTTAAAAACATCATTTGGTTTTATTAACTGCTTGAAACTTCTACCATTCTTCATTCCTTACCTTTTGTTTATTTTTTTAATAAGCAATATGACTTTATTTAGTGACTTTGGAAACAAAACCTCCCAAATAATGCCTGAACCCAAAGTTACCTAAAAATGGCTAAAAATATTTTAAAATAATAGATTTGAACATCATTTGTAGTTTCTGCCTCATAACATGAATGCTTTCAGCTGGACAGTAGATTACAAACCATCTCTGATCATGTTAAGGCAGATTAGATGATCAGTCAGTCCTGGAGCTGGCAGGTGGGAGGCTCTGCCTGTCTTGTCACTGCTTGTTATGCTGGCCCTCTATGACTGAAGCTGACACAGAGCCCTGGCCCTTGTTGACATCACTGATACACACCCACTGCCCATCAACCAACTGCTTCCTCAGGGTCACCTTATTGTCTCCACCAGAGATGGCCAATATGTTGGCTGTGATGGACCTGCCCGCATGCTACATGACATCATTGAACTTGTGCAGCAATTTGGGAGACCATATATTTCCCAAGGCATCATCACAGGTCCAGATGAACACACGACCATCCCAGGAGCAGCTGGCAATGGTGCTGGTGGGCAGGCTGATGGAGGGGGCCCAGGCCACATCTCAAACCCAGTCACTGTGCTTCCAGCTTCTGCTCTCCTTCCACTGGCCATCCTTGAAGAGGTTGTCACAGCCACCTGATGGAAACTTCTTGATGTAATTGGGTTTCTGCCTGAACAGCTGGTCTATGAGGCTTCCAGGTACAACAGCAGGGGCCTAGCTGATGGCATTGCAGCCAATGGTGTAAGCGTTGTTGATCTTTTTCACTTCCCATTGGCCTTCCCCTGTATAAGTCAGCAGGAAGATGGCCCCATCTGAGCTCCTACAGGCCAGGATCAGGCCGTAGTCATGGGGGACCTAGCATACAGAGTTCACGGAGGAGTCATATCCTGAGGGGTCGTGGGTCTTCTCCCAGGTGCCGTTTTCCTCTTTCCAGATAATGACTTTCCAATCATAGGAGCACAATGCCAGGATATTGCCATATGTGGGGTGAGCCCAGGCCACTTGCCACATAGGACTCTCATGACTTCTGAGGTTGGCAATGAGGATCTGCCCTCTGTTGTGCACTTTGAAGATTTTGACGGATTTTTCTGATGAGCAGGTTGCCAGGCGGGTGCCATAGTAGTCCATCTGGGCATCATAAATCATATCCTTATGGGAGGTATCCACAGTGTTAATTACTGACACCATGATACCAGCGTGACTGCTCTAGGGACGTGGCAGCTCCTGGTGGTGCCTCCCCATTCCTTACCACCTTTTTTTTTTTTTTTTTTTGAGACAGTCTCGCTCTGTCACCCAGGCTGGAGTGCAGTGGCACGATATTGGCTCACTGCAACCTCTGCCTCCCAGGTTCAAGCGATTCTCCTGCCTCAGCCTCCTGAGTGACTGGGATTACAGGTGCACGCCACCACACCTAGCTAATTTTGTATTTTAGTAGAGACGGGGTTTCACCATGTTGACCAGGCTGGTCTCGAACTCTTGACCTCAAGTGATCCACCTGCCTGGGCCTCCCAAAGTGTTGGGATTACAGGCGTGAGCCACCCCGCCTAGCCTCTTATCACCTTTTTTAGCAACAATGTTTGCCTCTTCAGATGGCCACAATGTTTGTAATCTTTTCCTCTAGAGAGAATAGAAATCTTTCTTTTTAGCCTGGCTGATTGAAATTTGTTTAGTATTGATAGTTTAGAAAAACAAAAGCTTCACATTTTATTACTGATAATATTATATAAATGTTTAAGATTGTAATCAAAATTGGGGAACTATCTCTCCAGTTTGTTCATATATGAGCTATAATTTTTGGAAGAAATTTTCACAGACAGGTTCTGGCCCCATACATTTCAAACCTTGCTTCTCCACAACCCATGTACTTCCGGGGCTGGGTGCCTTTAGGCATAATTGTATTGCACTATGATGCTAAGTGAGTCAGCACATTGGGTGAAGGGATGATCCATTATTCATAACTTACCTACTCACGGAAGTAACCAGGAATCATATCAGTATATCCTACTGTACCCATGTAAAGTAAATCCCTACTTTAACTGATTTTTACTTGGGTCCCCAAAATGCCTATAGCAACCTGTAAAACCTCCCAAAGGAAGAGGACATTTGACACAGGGAAGCTGGAACAGAAAGAGACAAGGATCTTAGCTTGTTATGGTCAAATTATATTACTTTTGCAAGTTTTACAAAAACATATGACACTATGAACATGCTGGTGGGATTCCTCCCTTGGGGCACTTCTGGATGCAGCTGCCATGGTAGCCTAGGAATGAGATGACGGCAGGGGCATCAGGGAGTGGAGAGGAAGAAATCAATTTGAAAAACATTTAGGGCTGGGCACAGTGGCTCTTGCCTGTAACCCCAGCACTTTGGGAGGCCAAGGTGGGAGGTTCACTTGAGGCCAGGAAATCAAGGCCAGCTTGGGCAACATAGTGAGACTGTCTCCACAAGAAAATTTAAAAATTTAAATTAGGAAAGAAAAGTGTTCAGGAGGTAAAATTGATAGGATTTGGTGATTGACTGAACACAGATGTGAGAAAGAATGAGGAGTTGTTGATTTTTCCAGGTTAAAACCTTAGTTAGATAACTAGGTGGGTACTGGGATCGGCACCTGAGATAGAGGATTGCAGAGGAGGCCCTGGCAGGGACAGGGGAAGCAAGTTCAATTCTGGGCTTATTCAGCTCAATATTTCCAGGAACATCCAGGTAGACAGATTTCTCCATAAGCACCAACACTTAATAGTAAGACACTCCAGGGAGAAGTCGGAAAGGTTGGCGCAGATTCTGGGGCGATCAGTGCAAATGGAAGCCGAAGTCCAGGGAGAGGTTGAGACTGCACATGGGGAGCTGACTGAGGAGGGCAATGGGCCAAGCAAAAGACAAACCCAGGGGATCCCAAGCTTTAACAACTGGGCAGAGTAAGAGAACCCACAAAGGAGACAGAGTCTTTAGAAATTGCCAGGCTCAGTGGCTCACGTGTGTAATCCCAGCACTTTGGGAGGCCGAGGTGGGTGGATCACCTGAGGTCAGGAGTTCGAGACCAGCCTGGCCAACATGGTGATACTCCATCTCTACTAAAAATTAAAAAATTAGGTGGGCATGATGGCGTATGCCTGTAGTCCCAGCTACTCTGGTGGCTGAGGCAGGAGAATCGCTTGAACCCAGGAGGCAGAGGTTGCAGTGAGCCGAGATCATGCCATTGCACTCCAGCCTGGGTAACAAGAGCAAAACTCTGTCTCAAAAACAAAACAAAACAAAAAAAGAAATGAATGTAATTCAATAGCTTATGATAGATTGCAGCTTAACATGTCATATTTTCCCTCTTTTTTTGATATTTCTGGTTTGAAAGAGAAATTAACTACAAGATTTAGTGGAGATTATATATATATATATATATATATATATATATATATTTTTTTTTTTTTTTTTTTTTTTTTTTTTTGAGACAGAGCCTTGCTCTGTCACCCAGGCAACTTCCACCTCCCTGGTTCAAGTGATTCTCTTGCCTCAGCCTCCCGAGTAGCTGGGATTACAAGCGCACACCAATGCACGTGGCTAATTTTTGTATTTTTAGTAGAGACGGAGTTTCGCCATGTTGGCCAGGCTGGTCTCAAACTCCTGACCTCAAGTGATCCACCCGCCTTGGCCTCCCAAAGTGCTGGGATTACAGGTGTAAGCCACCGCACCCAGCCAGTGGGCTCTTTCTTATGAGACTTTGTAGACATTCCATTAGCTGATTTGTTAAATGATCTTCAAAATATTTGCTTGCATCAAGTAAAGGAAATTGGATGGTAGATATCCCCTGTATATAGCTCTACCTGCCTCCTTCCTTCATCAAAGACTCAAAAAGCGGAATATGTCTCCTCTGTAATCCATTTCAAGAACACATTAGGTGGTGATGGGCAATATATTTCACTGACATGGACTCCTGGGGATAATCTCCCAGCAGGCTGCATAAGCCTGTGCTCAGTGGTGAAGGCCCCCAGGCGGTTGTCTTCATATGAATCTTCAAGGCATGGCAAAGCTCATGACATTTGCATTTTAAAAGGTATTTGCTTTGGTGTGGGTAAAACTCAACCAAACATGGTTAACACTTTGACCTCGAGGATGAACCATAAAAATATAGGGCAGCGACCTCCTCTTCCCTACTGATTCCTGAGAGGGGCAGTGGTGAGTTTATTTTTGTATGCTGTCAAATCAACTTAAGACCCATTTTAAGAGTTTTGTTTCTGTTCTTTATAGGGATTCCATCAACGTAAGAGTTCCGCTGATGTTTTGGAAATGGGTCACTGTAGAAATTAATCAAGTGGTAGTGAGGACCTTGATAATTGGAGTGGATTCTGGGATTCCCAAAGGTAGTAACTGGGCTGAGTGGTGAAGAGGGGATGGGAGAACAGCCACAGTGATTTTTTCTGTACTTCAAAAGCTTAATGAAGTTTGAAATTTGATCCAGGATTTGTCTACACTGGCTGATTGATCATCCTGCACTGTTTATGACTGGAATGACATTGGCTTGATACGCAGACACAGCTGTCTCTTGCTGATGTATAGTGCTGGTGAAAACCAGTGTTTTATGTCTGATGGTTACAGATGAGAAAGGCAATATTACTTAGCAACTGTTAAATAGTCTTTTAAAGTGTCACCTGCTCTCTTGTAGTACTGGTCTCTTCGTTTCCTGTAGAGTTGGCTTTTCTAGTCCCTCTCCCAGAGTGATTTCTCTAAAACACTGATGTGATCGCTTCTCAGTCTTTTGGCTAAGATCAAGTGTAGTATCTAAAACACTGATGTGGTCAGGATACCTTCCATGACTTGGCCCCTATATTTTTCCAGCCTCATCTTTCAATTCTCCCTTCTTAGATGTGACTTCCTGGCCTTAAGTTGGAGCTATATACAATTCCATGAATGAAACAGCACTGTTTATACCTCCTGGTCTCTGCACCCTCTGCCTTTATTCACCTGGAAATGAAGACACACCTCAGTTACCTTATCTGCAGAGTCTTCTTTGACCCACTTGTCAGCCAAGTTAGTCACATTTTGTTTTCTATCACTTATGTTGTAGAAATCTTTTAAACATTACTTTTCTTTTTTTTTTTTTTTCTTAACTTTTAGGTTCATGGGTACATGTGCAAGATTGTTGTGTAGGTTAACTGTGTGTCACAGGGGTTTGGTATACAGATTATTTTGTCACCCAGGTAATAAGCATAGTACCTGATAGGTCATTCTTTGATCCTCTGCCTCCTCCTACCTACCACCCTCAAGTAGGCCCTGATGTCTGTTCCCCTCTTTGTGTCCATGTGTTCTCATCATTTAGCTCCCACTTATAAGTGAGAATGTGCAGTATTTGGTTTTCTGTTCCTGCATTAGTTTGCTTAGGATAATGGCCTCCAGCTCCATCCATGTTGCTGCAAAGGACATGATCTTGTTTCTTTTTTATGGCTGCATAGTATTCCATGGTGTATATATGCCACATTTTCTTTATCCAGTCTACCATTGATTGTCATTTAGGTTGATTCCGTGTCTTTACTAGTGAAAATACTACTTTTTGTGGTGTATTAATATAACTGATTTATACACATTTCTCACTCTCTGGAATAGGTTTATAAGTCTAGTACCAAGCATAGGACCTGACACAGAGTACTTTCTTAATAAGAGTTTGTTGGATGAATGTATGAAAACATTAGAGGTCTTGGTGAAGGAAAAGCTGGTCACCATTGAATCTAGTGGATTCCACAGGGAAAAGAGCAGCTTCCCGTGTTGAATGTGTCCGGTTAAGTATGAGAAGCAACATTTCTGATTGCTCTGAAAAGTATGATTAAAGCACAAATTATTATGGAAAAATAATGGTTTAGAAGTATAGCATTTTGGTATATTTGTTCATTTCTTTTCTGAAACATTAATTAGCTAAGGTAAAGATGAGGATTTTGCTATATGATAATCAAACTAGTATCAATGAAAATCATCAATATTAAAATGAAAAGTTAGAAAATTGTAGTAAATGGGATAGACAGATGAAAGCTTAATATCTGTATTATAATGAGCTAATATCACTGATCAGAATATCAAGATCTACATAGAAAATTGGGTAAATGATGACCAGGCGCAGTGGCTCACGCCTGTAATCCCAGCACTTAGGCCGAGGCGGGCGGATCACCTGAGGTCAGGAGTTTGAGACCAGCCTGACCAACATGGAGAAAACCCGTTTCTACTAAAAATACAAAAAATTAGCCAGGCGTGGTGGTGCATGCCTGTAATCCCAGCTACTCGGGAGGCTGAGGCAGGAGAATCGCTGGAACCTGGGAGGTGGAGGTTGCAGTGAGCCGAGATTGTGCCATTGCACTCCAGCCTGGGCAACAAGAGCGAAACTCCGTATCAAAAAAAAAAAAAAAATTTTTGGGTAAATGACATAAGCAAGTATGGATACTTGATGAAAATGTGAGTATACACTATTTTAAGAGTCTTATACTCATATCCTTTGACCTAGTCACCCCACACTCAGAGTGTTACTTTTAAAAAATAAAAATTTAAAAGGATAATGCTATAGACATGAAGTTTGAGACTCCATCTCAAAAAAACAAAACGAGAAAAAAGAGGCGACATAGGGTAATATGCTAATTGATGGAACTAATAAATAAAGATATAAGGATATTATTTTAAAGGTACAAAGATAACTAGGAGAGAAGCTGAAAATGGTGATATAACCATAATAGCAAGAAAGGAAGATAAACTTTCTTTATCTTCTGGGCTGTACTCTCATGTGTTAAAGAAATCAATGATAAGAAAAAGCAGTACACATATATTACTTAGAGACCAGAAGAAGCAAAAATAGGAACAATTAAATAATCTTAAAATGTGCTGGGCGTGGTAGCTCACACCTGTAATTCCAGCACTTTGGTAGGCCAAGGTGGGAGGATCGCTTGAGTTCAGGAGTTCGAGACCAGGCTAGGCAACATAGTGAGACCCCATTTCTACAAAAATAAAAATAAAA
This sequence comes from Homo sapiens, assembly GCF_000001405.40. Taxonomy (NCBI): domain Eukaryota; kingdom Metazoa; phylum Chordata; class Mammalia; order Primates; family Hominidae; genus Homo; species Homo sapiens. The sequence continues at coordinate 33,028,068 of NC_000003.12, read as the reverse complement.
ATTAGCAGGTCATGGTGGTGCATGCCTATAGTCCCAGCTACTCAGGAGGCTGAGACAGGAGGATCACTGGAACTCAGGAGGTTGAGGCTGCAGTGAGCCGTGATTGTGCCACTGTACTTCAGCCTGGGCAACAGCCTATCTCAAAACAAAATAATAAAAAATGATAATTTTTAAATGGCTTCCTCTGAAAGAACTAAGAGAAAAGTGAGGCAGGGGACTGTTGCTTTTCACTATAACAGTCTTTTGTCCTCCTCTTTTTATTTATTTTATTTTATATTTTATTTTTTGAGATAGAATCTCACTCTGTCACCCAGGCTGGAGTGCAGTGGTGCAATCTCAGCTCACTGCAACCTCCGCCTCTCAGGTTCAAGCGATTTTCATGTCTCAGCCTCCCAAGTAGCTGAGACTACAGGCATGTGCCACCATGCCTGGCTAATTTTGTATTTTTAGTAGAGATGGGGTTTCACCACGTTGGCCAGGCTGGTCTTGAACTCCTGACCTCAAGTGATCTGCCTGCCTCGGCCTCCCAAAGTGCTGGGAATATAGGCGTGAGCCGGGTGTCACTTTTCTGGCTGGAAACCTCTGTGGCCTGTGGCGCCTTTGCCCGAGTTTTGCTCGGGCCCACTGGGTTCGTTCTGCCCACTCGGCCTGGCAGGCTGCACTCGGTTCATGCTTCCTGCCTGGATCCCATACCTGCCAAGGGCAAGTCAGGCATAAAGCGGCAAGGGGTGTGTGAGCAAGCGTGGGGTTGAGCCACTGTGCACGGTCAGACACGCTGGCTGCTGCTGCTGCAGGGTGAGCAGCTCCAGGTTGCCCGCACAGGCGCCAGCCCTCTGCAAGGCTGCAGCTGGACCAGGTGCACTGCAGACAGCTTCTCTGGCTGGCATCAGGGTATGCAATAGTGCCCAGAAGCTTGGAGATGCCAGGAACCACAGGGCCCCAAAGAGAGAGTCACAGCCCCAGCTCGGGTAGCTCCCAGGTCTGGGCTCCCCAAAGGACCATAGCTCTTCTCTCCTTTTCCCCCACAACGTGGTGAGCAAGGGGCATGTTTCAGCCCTATTTGTGTTACAGCTCTTTTAGCCTCACCATTCAGCGGATCTTGAGTTCTTGTCCTACATCCAGGAAGAATGAGGTATACAGACAAGTGGAGGGTGAGCAAGATGAAGAGTAGCTTTATTGAGCGATAGAACAGCTCAGAGGAGGCCCACAGTGGATAGCTTGTCTCCATAGCCAGGGTGTCCCAGCGAGTGTTCAGCTCTCAGCAGAGAGGGTAGTGCCTCTCTGTGGGTAGATTGTCCCATCCTCCCTCCATCCTCTCAGCAGAGAGGATAGTTTCTCTCTGCAGCTGATTGTCTCCCCTTGTCTCTCCATCTTCTGGTCTTGCTGAGCCAGCAGTTGTTATGGGCTTCAGTGGGGAGGAGGTGCTGCTTGGACCATGGCGGCCATTGGCAGGCCCAGGGAAAAGCACCACAAGTTACCCCTCTGGTCCATGAGACTAGTGGCCCGAACCCCAGGCTTCGGGCCCTCCCCAGCTTGAAGGTGGGGCTTCACCAGGGACTCGCCCCCTTCCACCCAGGAGCCTGTCTACCTTCTGCCACCATTCATGGCGCCCGGGCTGTTTGTGCCAAGGGACGCCTACAGGCCAGTGCTGAGCTGCCCTCAGCACCCCCTCGGCCTCCCTCCTGTGCTCATCGGTGCCCAAAGTCCAGAGGGGGCTGAGGTGGCAGGGGGCTGGCATGTCAGTGCTACCCTGAACGTTTGCACACCCAGCCAGCGTGCGACAGCACGTGGGCTCAGCCCCATCCTTGCTCCGAGGTCGGAGTGGCGCTGGGAGAAGAGAGAGGCTAGGCAGCGGGAGCAGACACCTCTTAGCCTTTTGGGGGAGGGGGACCTTCCTGGATCCCCAAGAGTGCAGAGATGTTTCCGTCTGCAGCTGCAGCTTGGTAGCTGCAGCCACGCCCAGCTCCTGCTTGGCTCCATGGATCGTGGCACTGCCCCGGGCACAGCTCTACCTCGGGGCCCTTCTCTGTCCGCCCCTCCGTGCCCAACCACGCTGCTCCCCCACCAGCGGGTGACTCGGCCCAGTCCCATCGTGGCGGGCTTCAGGGACTGACCACCTCCTTCCTGCTGCACCCTTTCCACAGCAGCAGCAAGGCAAGAGCAGTGACGCGGGGCCAGGGTCAACAGCGGCAGAGGCTCCGGGCCTGGGAGTGGGTCCTGCCTGGCCCCGTGAGGCTGGGGACGGCACAGTCAGCTGCCTCGGGGACATGGGGCACAGGGGTCCTCTCCGCCGCCACTACTGGCCCTGCAGCTGCTCCCACCGCCACGGCCCACGACCTCCTTCCGCCACAGCCAGCGTGATGGCAGCAGCTGCTCCCACCGCCACGGCCCACGACCTCCTTCCGCCACAGCCAGCGTGATGGCAGCAGCTGCTCCCACCGCCACGGCCCACGACCTCCTTCCGCCACAGCCAGCGTGATGGCAGCAGCTGCTCCGGGCTACAAAGAGGCGATGCTGCCAGCATTGTGACTTTTAGAAAGGGAAACCAAAAAAAAAAGAAGGAAAGAAAGAAATAGAAGGATCTTGAGAACTCACAGTACACTCTACTTGAAAAGCCGGATGGCTACAGACATTTCTAAGACGTGGGACTTTCTCCCAGATCTTCTTACTCCATAATTGTATACATACATGCACATATATGTGTGTGCATGTGTATATGTCCAGATATAATATTTAACATTTAATAAGGATTTATTTTGAAAAATAGTTTCAGACTTTCAAAAAAGTTACAAGAATAAAAGTAGTTTAAAAAAAGAGGATTTGTGGCCAGGCGCGCTGGCTCACGCCTGTAATCCGAGCACTTTGGGAGGCTGAGGCGGGCGGATCACCTGAGATCAGGAGTTCGAGACCAGCCTGACCAACATGGAGAAACCCCATCTCTACTAAAAATACAAAATTAGCCAGGTGTGGTGGTGCATGCTTGTAGTCCCAGCTACTCGGGAGGCTGAAGCAGGAGAATCACTTGAACCCGGGAGGCAGAGGTTGCGGTGAGCTGAGATCGTGCCATTGCACTCCAGCCTGGGCAACAAGACCGAGACTTCGTCTCAAAAAAAAAAAAAAAGAGGATTTGTATATTCTCCACCCGGACTTATCTGTGTCAACATTTTACTCTACATGCTTCATCACTCGTGCATAGACTTGTTTCTTCTCTCTCTCTGTCTGTGTGTGTGTTTTCTAAATCATTGGAGGATTGCATACATCACGGCCTTTACCTTTAAATACTTCGTTATATGTTTCATAACAATATGGAGAAGTATTCTCTCTTGTAACCACAGTAAATTTAACATTGATACAGAACTTTAGCAATAAGATTAATATTTTTCCTATGATAGGCTGTCTCCCTTCAGAGTCTGTCACGTACCTGTTTCCTTTTTTCCTCCCACTCCCCTAGCCTTCTGCTGTTTACCCTCATTCTCTCTACTTGTTTTTGCTCTTTTGTTTTGAGGTCTTTCGGTTTATAATTATTTGGATATTCCTGAAGCTTAAAACACAGACATACACTTAGAGGTAAAAAATTTACCAGATCCTGCTTTGGAAGAAGTCTCTAGTTCCTTTGATTTTCCAAAAAAGCAGTGGCACTGTTGAGTCTTTGACCTTGCTTTCAAATAATAAATTTTATGAATATGTTTCTGAAGGTTTACCAACTTTTTTTCTTTTCTCTCTTTTTCTACTCTGGTTTATAGTTTGAAAAAGTACCAGAAGGTCCTATCCCTCCATCTACACCAAAGTTTGCATATGGAAAGGTCACTTTGGAAAAGGTAAGAAAAAAAAATAACAGAAACTTTGAAAGTGAGAGATGGGAGTGAGAAAGTGGAATTTAGTAGCAGTGAGTGAAAGTGCTGTGCTGGAGGAATTGGTTCGTTATTTTTCTGCGAATTTGTTTTCTGCAAGCCTAATGGGGTAAATGATGTTTCTGGGAAAATGGGGAGAGAGAGGTGAGAAGATACTCATGCCTGTTGACAGGATGAGCAGATGAGACATGGGTGGGAGTAGTAGGCATTCTTGGATCATTTGGGTCATCTTGGTTCCTTTATCAGTGGTTTAAACAGTGTCAAGTGCCTTTGTGGAAATAACATGCCACCTCATTGTTATGGCTGCCAAGGCTCTTTGTCGTATTTACCTTTTTTAGGAGTTCCCCAAAATCACAGGCATTTTGATAGACCTCTGCCCTAAATTATATACTTACCTCCATCTCAAAGTCATGTCCTAATTTTTATGGTCTGTGGTTTATACGTTAAATGGGGACACTGGGGGAAAAGCTAGAAATCAATCATAAATAGGAGTTAAGGGCAATGTATTCTAGGAAAAGCGAAAAAGAAGAGAGGTTTTACTTAATAGTCAGAGGAGTGACATAGCCAAAGTCAATTTGTTTTGACCATCTGTGTCTTCAGGTTTTCCCCTTTTATAATCCCTAACTCCTACATGTATTAACTCACAAGAAAAAAAAAAAAGAACCGTTACCTATTTCTTAAGAATCTCGATATCCTAAAATAGTATCGTAAGTTTTTATCTTCAAGCAAAATGCCAAACATGATTATGTAATTTTTCCATCCAAGAAGCCCTTTGACATGGTTGGTTGGTTGAGTTCTTATAACATTTTCCACCTAGTGTCAGATACCTGTGCTACATTCTACAAAGAATGTGGTCTTTCTGTCTGATAAGGATCTTTCTTTAGATTAATCAGACTTCAGTCACTCTTGTAAAGGGAGCACCTTCTACTTGTTCATTGCTACAGCTACTTAAGGAAAACTTTGGTTTGTTTGTTTCAGAGCCATGACAAATCTATTTTTATGCAACAGAAAATAGCTCCAAATGTTCAAAACAACAACATTGCTAAAACCAAGCTAGCTTATTACCAAAAGCACATTCTGTTTACCGTGAAGGAAAATTGTGTGAGCAGAAATGACTTTTTATTTTTAAATAAATATATACAGTTGAAGATAGCAAATCAGCATATAACTGAATTAAGTTTATGTAGAACACAGTTATATAGAAAATAAGTTTTTACCGTGAGTTGAATTTCTTAGTGTTCAGGTGGGAAAACACCCATATGAGTAGCTGGCTTGATGAAATTGTAAATGAGATTTTTTTCCTTGATGCTGCACATCAGCAAGGTAACCATGGGAAGTGTTTATGAAATTCCTAACTGGGCTGGGCATGGTGGCTCACGCCTGTAATCCCAGTACTTTGGGAGGCCGAGGCGGGAGGATCACCTGAGGTCAGGAGTTCAAGACCAGCCTGGCCAACATGGTGAAACCCCGTCTCTACTAAAAATACAAAAATTAGCCAGGCATGGTGACACATGCCTGCTCAGGAGGTTGAGGCAGGAGAATCACTTGAACCTGGGAGGAGGAGGTTACAGTGAGCCAAGATTACGCCACTGCACTCCAGCCTACCAGCCTGGGTGACAGAGTGAGACTCTCTCAAAAAAAAAAAAAAAAAAATCCTAACCAGTATTATAGTCATGGAAAATCCTGGGGTTTGGAGCCAAATCTAACTACAAATCCTGGCTCTGTCATTACTCAAGTGGACTTCTGTGAGTCTCCACAACACAGGGACAGTAGTACCTGCCTCACAGGGTAGCTGTGAGTATTCAATGAGCTAGTGCATGTAAAACGCTGTATCTCATCTGGAGTGTGTAGACAGGCAATGACTGGTAGCTGTTATTATTATTGTTGTTATTGCATCAGAATAAGTATCCTGGGTTGCAAGAATACACAATCCTTTGTATTGAATATAATAAATACTTACCAGGCATTTACTATGTTCTGGGCATTGGGGCTGAGAATGGAACATATCTTATCCTTAAGGAGCTGACAGTCTGGTGAGGAAGACAAAGATGAGCAACTGAAAAGTGATACAGGCATGGAAGATATGCCACACACAAGTTCAGAGGAGGGTGAAGTAACTAGGAAGTATTAAATATTAAGGTGATATAATAATAGCATGTCTAATCTTAGTTGAATGTAACTGGCCTCTGGTTACTACTTTTACTTCTTAGTTGTTTTACTCGGGGGTGTTCAGAGAGGGTTTATAAGGAGGCAGCATCTGAGCCTTCGTTTTCATTCATTTTAAGAATCTTTTATAGGTCTCTGAGCAGGTTGGACTTCCGAATAGGTATGTTTGAAACCTTTTTAAGACTACTATCATTCATAGTTTTCATCAGGAGTTAGGGAGTAGATGGAGAGGACTGAAGGAGACTGGGAAGCAATACTGAGTGGAATTTGAATGATTTAGGTTTATTTAGGGGTTTGGTCAAACCCACTGATGTCTTTGATAATTAGGGAATGACTCTGTAACCTGATGACCAGTGAGGGGTGCAGTGTGTGAATGCTGCTTTTGTTTCTTTTCAGTTAAAGACAGTGGGAGCAGCTCTGGACATTCTGTGTCCCTCTGGGCCCATCAAAAGCCTTTATCCCTTGACATTTATCCAGGTGAAACAGGTAGGCCTTCAAAGGTAATGCCTCGCCTTTTTTCTACTTGCAAAAGTGTGCTTTCTGCACTGCCTTGCAGTGCCCATTCTGAATTCAGGGGCCAAAATGGTAAGCAAATGCATCAGATCCCAGGTAAATGAACCATGAATTTCCAGGCTCTCTTTAGCTTGAAGTGCTGCGTGGTGGGCTGATCATGCCTATATTTTTTGCCCCACTTCTTCTCACTCATACAGGAGGTAGCCCAACCTGCTTCAACATAATTCTGTACAAGTTATAAATTGAGTTCACTGACCAATCTAATTAATCTTTATTACTAGGCATCAGTGGAAGATCACTGTTTTAATACTCAAAACAGACAGTTTAATTATTTGTTCTTAGTTCAATGGCATAAGGACTGTGTTTTTTGGTAGACTAGGTTCTTTGAGATTCTTTTTCCTGCTTTTGAAGAGAACAGAGCACATCTTTTTTTTTTTTTTTTTCAGTGTTTGTATATGTGTATGTGTTTGATCTCCAGACACTGCCTCATCTTTATTTTTTTAAAGTTTTTCCCAGCATTTTGTTTTGGAAAATTTTAAATCCAAAAAAAGTTGCAAGAATAGTACAATAAACACCCATATGCTTTTTACCTAGATTCACCAATTGTTAACAGTGCTTTAATTGCCTTTTTCTCTCTGTGTATGTAGTCAACTGCTTTTCTTTTTCTAACCATTTGAGTTATCAGCACCATGTCACTCCACAGCATACATCTTTTAAGAAAAAGAACATTATCCTGCAGAACCACAATACAATGATCACACATGAGAAATTTAATATTGATGCAATCCTATTATCTAATATAAATTCTATAGTCAAGTGTCCCTGGTCATTGCAATAACGTCCTTTACAGCTTAATCTTTTCTCAATCCAGTTTCCAATCCATAATCACACATTAATTATATTCTCCTTAGTCTTCTTCCGTCTGAAACTGTTCCTAAGTCTCTCTCTCATGACATGGACATTTTTGAAAAGGTCGGGGTGTTTGTAGACTTTGCCTCACTAATTAGATTCAGTAAGACATTTTGGACATGAACACAACAAAGGTGATATGTCCTTCTCAGGGAATGATAGCAGGATGCCCGTGAGACCAGCTTGTCCCTTAACTGCAATGTTAAGCTTCATCACTTAGGATCTCAGCCCCATGTTTTGAAATGGAAGGTTATCCACGTCCTCCTTTCTGATTTTCTGTGGCAACCACCTTCTGGAAGGAGTCTGAACAGTAAGGCAAAATAATAACAGCATATCTAATCTTAGTTTAGTGAAGTTTGCTGTCAGTTCCTGTTTTTACACCTGTGATTTTATTCCAACAATTCTATTTTGCAATAAAATGAATAATTAAGTCCCCCCACCACACACACATTCACTGTTTCATGAACGTTGTATAGGGTACTCTGCAGTCCTAGCACCCACATCTATAAATGGAACTTACCTGCACTTAGCAGAGCTGTTGAGCACTTCAGACAATGATCCCAGAGCACGTGTAGCCTGGGGAGGGAGTTCCAGGTTACTATATGAACACGTGCAGCCATTGTTCTTTCTCAGACCCCTTCTGCTTTCTGATCTTTGGCCAAGGTAGTGCTCTCAGATTGGGTGGGGCTTCCTGGGCCCTGGCTCTTTCAGATCTGGGGCAAGTCCACAGAATATCTATTTCCAGCAAAAAACCCCAAAGGGCACAGACTTCAGGGAGTGGGGCTCAGCCTACTGTCTCTGCAGGGATCCCCTGAGCCTCAGCCACACCTGCCTGGGGAGCATCACAGCTTCTACCCCTCCTTCTGGAAGCCCTTGACAAAGCTTTCCTCAGCCCTTGAGGAAACTTACCACTTTAGCTAGTTTTCAAAATAAGTAAATAAATGAACCAGAAGGAGATGGAGATGTGGAGCCTGGGCGGGAGGTGTTCTTGCGCTAGAAGGTTTGTGTGGTCTTAGTAGCATTTCTTGTGCTCAGCTCATTCCTGCAACACAGGAAGGTGGATTAGTGCTCTCCTCAGCTCCTCCCAGTCACCTTTCCACTTGCCTGAAGTTTACTTTCTTTCTTTCTGGGCCCTAGAAGTAGGGAAACTTTTCTCTGTTCCATGCTGGATCTCTATTTGCATTCTGTTCCATAACTGGATTTATGTCCCAGCTCAGCCCTGCTAATAATGTCCACAGCAGGAAGTAAATAAGCAAAGTCAATAACTATAATTCTGTGGATTATTATGTCAATAACTATAATCTGTGAATAATTCCGTTACTGCTGAGGCTGATTGTTTGAGGCTTTCCTTTTGGACCAGGGATGTCAGCATCTAAAAATATTTTCTGACTTAGTGGTTGGTTACAATCTAGTCTCTTAACTGTTTCTTTCCCCCGTTCCTCCACTTAAAACAGTTCTGATGGACTTTGTTGTTATTATTATTATTATTAGAGATGAGGTCTTGCTATGTTGCCCGGACTAGCCTCAAACTCCTGGGCTCAAGAGATCCTCCCCAAGTAACTGAGACTACAGGTGCATGCCACTGCACCCAGCTCATTGCCTTTTGTTTTGTATGTTAAAGCAGATTTAGCCCATGAACTTGGAGACAGTTTTGCTGAGCAGAACTTCATCTCTTGGCTTTGCTGTTTGTTTGCCTTGTTTTTTTGTTGGTTTTACTTAGTTTTGTTTTTGGAGCTAACATCCATAACTTTTGCTATGTATGATATAATCCCCTGTATGACCCTGGGCAAGTAACTTAACCCATTCAGGGTCCAGGTTCCTCTTATGGGAAAGGGATGCTTGATAAGACACTGTTCATGGTTCCTTGCAGTTTACTATTATGATAGATATTCGATGACCTAAAAATTAAACCAGTTTCCTTTTTCAAATTTAATTTTTTCGGGAGGTGGAGGAAGATTTTCATTCCTTATGGTTTGAGAAACATCGCTTTCATACATGTCTAGGGTAACCAAGTTCTCTAAATGAATGGCAATAGTGATGTATTTTTCTTAAATCCTTTTCTAACCAGCATTATGGGTTTGTGCTGTACCGGACAACACTTCCTCAAGATTGCAGCAACCCAGCACCTCTCTCTTCACCCCTCAATGGAGTCCACGATCGAGCATATGTTGCTGTGGATGGGGTAAGAATCGTCTCTGAACTGTGCGTTTTGTCCCAGTGAGGGTGGGGATGAGCAGCCTGCACTTGTTAACACAGCATTTGGGGTCTTTGCTCACCTTTTCAGCCTCAGGCTCTACCCATCATCTTTTTTTTTTTTTTTTTTTTTTTTTTTTTTTTTTTTTTTGAGACAGGGTTTTGCTCTGTTGCCCAGCCTGGAGTGCAGTGGTGCAATCACAGCTCACTGCAGCCTCAACCTCCCAGGCTCAAGTGATCCTGCTACCTCGGCCTCCCAAGTAGCTGAGACTACAGGGGTGCACCACCATGCCTGGCTAATGTTTTGATTTTTTTTGTAGAGACAGGGTCCCACTATGTTGCCCAGGCTGGTCTTGAACTCCGGAGCTCAAGTGATCCTCCTGCCTCAGGCTCCCAAATTGCTGGGATTACAGGCATGACCCACCACGGTGGGCTCCACCCCTCTTCTTGGTGACCCTTAGCTGTGCCTCTTGCTTGCTGTGAGGCCTCATGCATGTGCCATTTGCTGAAATCCACCCTACCCACCATCTTAACCCAGAGGGCTGTGCTTGATGCGCCACCCTCTCAGAAGCCTTCGGGGTCTCCCCAGCCAAGGCCGCCCTTCTGTGACTGATGTTGCCTGTGCTTTCTTTGCTCCTTAAGGGTGGGGTCCATTTCCAATTCAATTTTGTACCTGCCACTGTACAAAGTTTGTTGAACTTCGTGCCTTTATCCTACATGAGAAATTATATTCTGAAGGACTGCTCGTGACAACTATTACTGAAATGCACAAAGAACCGTGTTTCATAACAAAAGCAGATGCATTTCAGGACTTCCAGTCCTCTCACCGAAATGGTCACAGGAAGGAACACAGGAAAAGATTTTCTTCACCAAGAAAATTTGTTCAGAAGATTTTAAAATATTTCCCATTCTCTTGTAATCAACAGCTTTCATTTCAGTGGGAGCAGATTACTAAGACATTCTGCTCTATTGATGGTGACTGTTTCTTCGCTTCTAACTTGGGTGTTGTCTTAGTGAATTATGATCATTGTAAGGTCAATTTTTAAAGTCTAACCTTTTAAAAAGTTAGGAATATGTTGTTGATAAAATACCTGTTGTTTTTCCTCATTCTGTTGTATGATTTTCGTGGTTAATGCATCATGTCAAGTATTTTGAGGTGAGAATACTCCACCTAACTTCTCTGATTTTATCTCTTTTGTCTGATTTTGTCTTATCTCTCCATGTTGTTCAGAAGCAATTTTTTGTGAGTGACTTTTGTGCTGTCAGAACACGAAGCAGCTACTCTAGTAAGAATCCTCCCCTGGAATTTTCCACTAAAAGTAGTTGGCAGTAAAACATTCCAGGGCAAAGGAAACCAGCTTAGACCGTTCCATGCTCTGAGCTGTGTCTGGCAGTTTTCCTGTTTAGGAAGCAGTGATTGGGGGATCTTTCCGACCTGGCCGGTAACTTGGGCTAAGATGCTATCAAAGCATTTCTTTCCAAGTCTGGTGACACTTCAAGGCAAGAAAATGAGTGCTAAATTAACTGAGCATGCTGCCTCTCCTTGCTGACCTTCTTACCCTCAATTCAATTGTCATTTGGTCTTGAACCCCACAGATCCCCCAGGGAGTCCTTGAGCGAAACAATGTGATCACTCTGAACATAACAGGGAAAGCTGGAGCCACTCTGGACCTTCTGGTAGAGAACATGGGACGTGTGAACTATGGTGCATATATCAACGATTTTAAGGTAGGACAAACCACACTGTCAAGACTAAGGTTTAAGGGGTGACAACTTAGAAGTTGAAGCCCAGTACAGTGGCTCACACCTGTAATCTCAGCACTTTGGGAAGCCAAGGCAGGAGGATCACTTGAGGCCAGGAGTTCAAGACCAGCCTGGGTAAAATAGTGAGACCTCTACAAAGAATTAAAAACTTAGCCAGGTGTGGTGACATGCACCTGTGGTCTCAGCTACTCAGGAGGCTGAGGCAGGAGAATTGCTTGAGTCCAGAAGTTGGAGATTAAAATGACCTATGATCATGCCACTGCACTCTAGTCTGGGTGACAAAGTGAGACCTTGTCTCAAAAAAAAGAAGTAGTTGAGCTATTTTGAAGAGCTGTTTTCCTCTGTAGGTGATGAGAAAGTTGAGCTTTGCAAACAGAACCTTTCCCCTGTGTTTGAGTTTGGTCATCCTATAGAAAGAAACAGAAGGAGGAAGCCCCTCCACCATGCTTTTCCTCTGCTTTAAAAGACCACCAAGCTCACTGAAGGCACTCCTTTGCCAGTAAAGCCAGCTGAGCCTCTGTTCTGCCCTGTTTTATGGGTTTGGATGGTTAGCCTGTGGCAAACTCTTCACTTGTAGGAAGCCTCTTCCCTTGGGGCACTGGCTCTCACCTCTGTTGATTACTCCTGTGTCCAGATGTGTAGCCCAAATAAGTTTTTCTAACACATATTTTTAGAGCATTATTCAGCAAGCATTTGTTAAGCTCCCACTCCGCGAGATGCCCCACCAGGTGCTTTGGGGAATGCAAAGGTGTCAAGAGACAGGCTTCTCTCAGGGAGCTCAACCTCCGCGAGAGGAGAGAATGCCTTATCAAGGGAACAATGGCACCACCCAGGCTAGGGCAGGACAGGTGTCTGGGGCTATTTCCTGACCCTCTTGAGATCAGGCAATTACATCTTAGGGAACTTAGGGAATAGCTGTGTGCAGGCCACCTTTGCCTCCAGTATAAATGTCTCTCTCATAGTTCTTGTGCTCAGGGTGGACTTCATGGCCTCCTGCCTGGCTCTCACAGGCCACATTGACCCATGGGAGTGACTCGACTCTGTTGTGTAGTCTCTGGGTCTCCAGTACCTGTCAAAGAGCCTGACATACAGCCACCTGGTTAATATTTATCAAATTATTAAATGGGCAATCGAGACTTGGTATCTGGGATTCCACTGGGAATGGGGAAGTTCCCTACATACAAGCCAGGGAAGGGGAAGTTAGCTGAGCCTTGACAGCCCAGCCCTGGCCTGTGTGGAACAAATAGAGCAGCTTCTGAATTCAGGTCTGAGGTTTGCCATCGTCATCATTACCTTCCTATCCTCTTAAGGTATCACAGTATTCTCATGTATGTTATCTCACTTGGCCCTCATAACAGGTGAGTGACTCGGGTGTGGTCCTCCCTGTGATGATGGCTGAGGTGCTCAAGGCCAATATTTGCTCCTGGCTGCATCCGTCGTACCTGCTCCATCCGCAGTGGGATGACTATTCCTTTGTATCCCACACTCACTCATTCCTTCTGTCCCCAGATTCCATCTTGAGACAGGATCTTGCTGTCACCCAGCCTGGAGCGCAGTGGCACAATCTCGGCTTACTGCAACCTCTGTCTCCTGGGCTCAAGCAATCCTCCCTTCTCAGCCTCCCAAGTAGTTGGGACTATACGTGCATGCCCCCACACTAGGCCAATTTCTGTATGTTTTGTAGAGACTGGATCCCTTTTTGTTTTGAGATGGAGTGTCGCTCTGACACCCAGGCTGGAGTACAGTGGCGCGATCTCAGCTCACTGCAACCTCCACCTGTCAGGTTCAAGCGATTCTCATGCCTCAGCCTCCTGAGTATCTGGGATTACAGGCACCTGCCACCACACCCAGCTAACTTTTGTATTTTTAGTAAAGATGGGGTTTCATCATGTTGGCCAGGTTGGTCTTGAACTCCTAACCTCAAGTGATCTGTCTGCCTTGGCCTCTCAAAGTGCTGGGATTACAGGCATGAGCCACTGCGCCTGGCCCATCTTTCTTGGTGCCCATCTTTCTCTATTCTAGCAGTGGCTCTCAGCCAAACTCTGAAAATTTGGGAATTTGGGATCAATCACTCTAGCAACTCAATGCCCTTTCTGTAGAAGCAGAAACTCTGGGCCTTTTATAGAGACATCATGACCTGCAAAGGAGAAAGCTATAGTTTGGGGAATATATCTCTTCCCAAGGATTTGTAATTCAACCTCCAGTTAGATCTGTGTTACTTCGATGTACACATATTTCGAGGTTCATTTCCTGTTGGTGTTTTGTATCCCGGTTTGCTTTTCCCATTTCCCTGGAATGCAGAGACATGTGAAGCCTTTTTCCTTCCCTCCCCAGCTCACTGTGCTCTGTTTCTGCTTTGCAGGGTTTGGTTTCTAACCTGACTCTCAGTTCCAATATCCTCACGGACTGGACGATCTTTCCACTGGACACTGAGGATGCAGTGTGCAGCCACCTGGGGGGCTGGGGACACCGTGACAGTGGCCACCATGATGAAGCCTGGGCCCACAACTCATCCAACTACACGCTCCCGGCCTTTTATATGGGGAACTTCTCCATTCCCAGTGGGATCCCAGACTTGCCCCAGGACACCTTTATCCAGTTTCCTGGATGGACCAAGGTACGTGTCTTCATGGGAAGGGTTTGAATTCAGGCCTAAACTTTTGGTTGTTAGTGTCTGAGAAAGAATCACAAAGAGCTGTTAGTGAGATATCGTGTGATGGTTTTGAGTGTGGCGTTTCGGACATTCTTCAGGAGGCGGATTGTGGCAGATCTTCAGGGATTCAGTGGCCAGCTCGGAGGTGCTGCCATCTGCCCCCTTGTCATTGGCTTCCTGTAGTGAATGACACCATCCTGCCTCCTCCAAGAAGAATCATGACCCCTTTTGATGCTGATTATAGGGGTGCTTTCTCTTTATCTTGAGGACAATCCAGTCAAGACAAAGAGGTGGATCCCTCTGGGAGAGTCTGTCTGGTTTTCATTTATGCCAAGCCCAGTGCTCCCAGAATATCCCCACCTGCATCCAGCCCCACACCCCTGGGGCTTCTATCATAAGCTGTCTGCTTCTCCACTCTTCCTCATCCATTTTCACTTCCCAGTCACTCCGCCTTGTCGTTTGAAGACATTGGCATATCTTCCTTCACCGCCTTCTCCTCTCCCTCATGTCCTGTTTTCATCCTAGATCACCTTACCATCACTCATTCAACACACTTCTCATTCTGTGGCCACTATGTGCCCAAGGTGTGTGCCAGGCACTAAGGATACAATCATGAATAAAACCAAACATGGTCCTTTCCCTCATGGAACTTTCAGTCTAGTGAGGGAGGCAGACTCATATTAAAAAGTAAAACCATAGCTGTGATGGATGCTAAGAAGGGCTATGGGGTTGATAATAATTGGTGCATTTTGCCTTGTCAGGGAGGTCAGGGAAGCCTTCCCTAAGATAGTGATGCTTGTCAGAGATATGAAGGATGAGTAAGAATTAGCATGGCAAGAAGGGAAGAAAGCATGTTCCTGGGAGAGGTAACAGCTTGTGCAAAGGCCATGGGGTTGGAGGGGAAAATGTCAAGTGTGGAAAGTAGGTAGAGACTAGATTGGGACGGGCCTTATAGGCCACGTTAAAGTTTTGTCTTTGTGTTGAGAGCCATTGAAGCAGGAGAGTGACATGATAAGACTGTGATCTGACAAGCTCCTCTGACCCCATTGTGCAGAATGGTTTGGGTAAGGACACTTATGGATTCGAGGAAACCATCTAGGAGGCTGGACCATAGTCTCATTGAGAAACTGGGATGGTGGTATCTAAGATGGAGATGACATCAACTATTTGAGAGATGTTCAAAGTTGGATCAATAAATTGTGACAATGGATTGGACAGGAGGGTTTGGGGAGAGGGATATGTCTCGGATGACTCAGGTCTCAAGCTTGCAGCTGGGCAGAATGGTACCATTTGCTGAAAGAAGCAGCTTCAGAAGGGGACTTAGGCTTAGAAAGGGGGGTCATGAGTTTGAATTTAGACCAATTGTGTTTGAAAAGCTGCCTTAGTCTATTTGGGCTGCTATAACAAAATACCATAAGCTGGGTGGCTTATAAACAACAGGCATTTATTTCTCACAGTTCTGGAGGCTAGGAAGTCTTCAATATCAGGGCACCAGTAGATTTGCTGTCTGGTGAGAGTCTACTTCATCATAGACAGCACCCTCTATGTCCTTACATGGCTGAAGGGGCAAAGGAGCTCTCTTGGGTCTCTTTTATGAGGACACTAATTTCATTCATGAGGGCTCCACCTTCATGACCTAATCACCTCCCAGAGGGGGCCCCACCTCCTAACCCATCACATGGGGGCTAGAATTTTAACAGATGAGTTTTGGGTGGACACAAACATTCAGACCATAGCAGAGGCCTTGGAGAATGGCTGGGAAAGACAGTATTGGAGGAGGGTTGTTGGATCTATAGGCTGGGAATTCAGGGCAGGGATCTGGGCCAGGAATGTATGTAGAAGATCATTGTTGTATAGATGATTGTTGAAAACATGGGCTGGATGAGGTCTCTCAAGGAGAGAGGATGCAGAGGGAAGAAAAGAGGACGTAAGGCTGATGTTTGAGGGACAAAAACATGATGAAGACTGAAGAGGAGAGACCAAACAAGTAGGAAGAAAACCAGCATTTATGCTGCCAAGAGGACAAATAAGATAAAGACAGAAGCACTTCGGTGGTTTTAGAAGCAAGGAGGCCCTTGGGAATCAGTAAGCCTTGTTCCAGTGGAGTGAAGCATCTCCCAGCCAGATTGCATTCTATAGAGAAGACCAGGGTAAGGAATACGAACAGGAATACTTGAATATAAACGTTCTTTTTGAGAAATTTAATTCTGAAGAAGAGGAGAAAATTATGTTAATAGCTGGAGGAGGAGAAGGCAAAAGATGTACATGGTGTGTGTTTAATAAAATGCCCTTTTATTTATTTATGTGTTGCTTGTTTAAAATTTATTGAAATGTATTTTCATTATTCTGTTTGAAATATTTTCTTTTTTTTTTTTTTTTTTGAGATGGACTCTGTCACCTAGGCTGGAGTACAGTGGTGTGATCTCTGCTCACTGCAACCTCTGCCTCCCGGGCTCAAGCAATTCTCCTGCCTCAGCCTCCAGAGTAGCGGGGACTACAGGCACACACCACCACTCCTGGCTAATTTTTTTTATTATTTTTATTTTATTTTTTATTTTTTGTTTTTTTTTTATTTTTATTGGAGACGGGGTTTCATCATGTTGGCCAGGCTGATCTCGGACTCCTGACCTCAAATGAAGTCTCGAAAAGTGCTAGGATAGACATCTGAATTCATTCCAACTTATAGTTATTATAGTTATTATAATACTGCTGTAAACACTTGCATGTAAGTTTTTATGTGAACTTGGCCTCGAAAAGTGCTAGGATTACAAGTGTGAGCCACCACAGCCATCCTGTTAGAAATATTTTCTACTTTCCCATATGATTTCTTCTTTGAACCATAGATTATTAAAAAGTATGTTTTACTGGGTGTGGTGGCTCATGCCTGTAAATCCCAGCACTTTGGGAGGCCGAGACGGGTGGATCACCTGAGGCCAGGAGTTCAAGACCAGCCTGGGCAACATGGCAGAACCCCATTTCTACTAAAAATACAAAAATTAGCCAGGCGTGGTGGTGAGTAACTGTAATCTCAGCTACTTGGGAGACTGAGGTGGGAGAATCTCTCGAACCTGGAAGGCAGAGGCTGCAGTGAGCCAAGAGCATGCCACTGCACTCCAGCCTGGGTGACAAAGCAAGACTGTGTCTCAAAAACAAAACAAAAACAAACAAACAAAAAAAGTATGCTGTTTAATTTCCACATATTTTGGGTTTGTAAAAATATCTTGTAATTATTAATTTGTAACTTAATTCCTCTATAAAACTTCTAAAATTTCTCTCTAGGGAGAGAAATCTCCATGATCTTGGGTTAGGCAAAGACTTCTTAGATTTGACACCTAAGGCATTATCCTTAAAGAACAAAAATTGATAAATTGGACTTTATCAGAATTAAAAATATTTGTTCTTCAAAAAGCATTATTAGGAAAATGAGAATCCAAGCCACAAACTGGGAGAAAAATAATTTTCAAATCATATATCTAACAAAGGACTTATATCTAGAATATGTAAAGAATTCTTACAATTCAATAATAGACAAACAGCCCAGTCACAAAAGGAGCAAAGAACTTGAATAGACATTTTACCAAAGAAGGCATAAGATGGCTAAGTACATTTGCATTTGTATACCTTCTTTGGTAAAATGTCTATTATAAACTAAAATTAGTGGCTGATTAATGTTCAACATTATTAATCATTTGGGAAATGCAAGTCAAAACCAAAATGAAATACTACTTCACACTCACCAAGATGGCTAAATAGTAAGAAGGACAATAGGCAATGTTGGAAAGGACATGGGGGAAAGGGAATCTTCCCACATTGCTGGTAGAAAGATAAGAAGGTACATTTGGGAGCATAGTTTGGCAATTTCTTCAAGGGCTAAACATAGATTACCATAGAACCCAGCAATTCCGCTCCTAGGTATATACACAAGAGAAAGGAAAACATGTTCACATAAAAACTTACATGCAAGTGTTTATAGCAGTATTATAATAACTGTAAGTTGGAATTAATTCAGATGTCTATCACCTGACAAGTGGAGAAAGCATGTATATCCATACGATTCCTCAATAAAAAGGAATGGAGTACTGATAACATGCCACAATCCAGATGAATTGGAAAAATATTATGCTAAGTAAAAGAAGCCAAAACTAAAAGGCTATGTATTGTATGACTCCATTTATATGAAATGTTCAGAAAAGGCAAATCCATAGAGATAGTAGCTTACTGGTTGCCTAGGGCTGAGGGTGGGAATGGAGCGTGACTGTTAAGTGGGCATGGGGTTTCTATTGGAGCTGATGGATATGCTCTGAAACTAACTTGAATGATGGCTGCACAGTCTTCTTAAATGTATTTAGACTTGTTTTATGGCCCAGCACAGGCATATATCTTGCTGAACATACCTTTGGAATTTTAGGCTTTAATATCCTCTCTCTGGCTGCATGTTTCTATGCACCAAACTCTCATGCCTACCAACCTTGCTCTTAAATCTTTTTTTTTATTTTTTTGAGACAGTCTTGCTCTTGTCACCCAGGCTGGAGTGCAATGGCACAATCTCGGCTCACTGCAACCTCCGCCTCCTGGGTTCAAGTGATCCTCCTGTCTCAGCCTCTCGAGTAGCTGGGATTACAGGCACCCCCCACCACACTTGGCTGATTTTTGTGTTTTTAGTAGAGATGGGGTTTCACCGTGTTGGCCAGGCTGGTCTTGAACTCCTGACCTCGTGGTCCACCTGCCTTGGCCTCCCGAAGTGCTGGGATTACAGGCATGAACCACTGCACCCGGCCTTAAATCTTATTAATGACCTGAAACATTCCACCATTAAGGCTGCAGTTCTTCCTCTACCAAGCCTAGGCCTTACCACAATCTTTTTTATTTATTTATTTATTTATTTATTTATTTATTTTTTAAGATGGAGTTTCATTCTTGTTGCCCAGGCTGGAGTACAGTGGCACAATCTTGGCTCACTGCAACCTCCGCCTCCCAGGTTCAAGCGATTCTCCTGCCTCAGCCTCCCATGTAGCTGGGATTACAGGCATGCACCACCACGCCTGGCTAATTTTGTATTTTTAGTAGAGACGGGGTTTCTCCATGTTGGTCAGGCCAGTCTCAAACTCCCGACGTCAGGTGATCTGCCTGCCTCGGCCTCCCAGAGTGCTGGGATTACAGGCGTGAACCACTGCGCCCGGCCACCACGATCTTTTTTTAAGAGTCATCAGTCCACCTGCCCCCTTGCCCCTTTGGCCTTCTACTCTGCCTCCTTCATTCCTCCTCCATGTAGAATGGATCCACTACTGGTGTCTCTGCTGGTTCACCAGTCACTGAGCACAGCTAAGGGACTTCTCAGCGCATTCATCGTGGCTACCATCCCCTCATTGTTGCCAGCCTCCAGAAGCCCTCAGATTTGCCCAGCAGTCCTTGGTCTCTCTCTGCTCCTTTCCCCCACTGGCCTTTTCAACCTTCAGCACCCTCCTTAAGCCACCTGACTCTCCACCCTCTCCACTGAAGACCTCATCCTCCTTGACTGCTATCAGGTGTAACTCCTTTGTTCCCTCAGCTTCCTGTCAGACTTATCTCTCTGCCTCCAACCTCATTTCCTGCCCAGTGGTATCTAGGAGGAAGTCTGAATTCTGAATCTCCTCCCCACCTTCTTCCTTCAGGGCAAGATCCTGTTCTCATATTTCCTCTACCTGCATTTTGTCAGCCTCTCCATCTTTCTGCCGAGTCCCATTTTTCAGCCAAAAAGTGGTAACTAGGAGCTCTAGGACCTAAACACAAAGAAAGCCCTCCCTGGATCTTCCCCCTTTAGCTAGCAAGTTCTTGTTCCCTCGATCCCTCTTTTTCTCCCCTCCTAATGCAGTAGAGACCAATGGAAAAGTGTGGGATGTGTTGGAGGTCAGAGGGAGGTTCATCTTGGCCAAGTCTTAAAGGTGTCACACGCAAGAGTTACTGACCCAGGCGTTCTGCTCAACGCTTTATAGACACTATCTCCGTAGCCATCAAAAGAGGCACCTGTGGTAGATGGATCATTATCTCCAGTTTGCAGATGAGTAGCTGGAGGCTTAGATAGCTAAGTAACTTGTACGAGGTACAGAAGTGCTCAGTGGCACATCTACCTGAGCCCCAGCCGTGTCTTGAAGGCCCATGTGAAAAAGCAGGCAGCATTGAGAACCGGTGAGGAACTCATACTCATTATCTAGGCTGGGGCTCTTTACTTATTTGGTCAGTCTGATGAATGCTCTGCATCTCCAGGCTTGAAAGTACATCTCCACACAGTATTTGTGAATGTGTCAAAGGGTTCAGACCCCCAAAAGCCCATCTAATCCATATGTCCACTCAAACACTTGTACACAACTGTTCATTGCACCGTTATCCATAATTGCCAAAAGGTGGAAACAGCCCAAATGTCCATCAGCTGAGGAATGAATAAACGAAATGTAGTACATCCATACAATGGAATATGATTCAGCAATAAAAAGAAATGAAGTATTGATACATGTTACAACATGGAAGAATTTTGAAAACATTAGGCTAATGAAAGACGCCAGTCACAAAGGACTGTATGTTGCATGATTCCATTTACATGAAATGTCCGGAACAGGCAAATTCATATAGACAGGAAGATCTGTGATTGCCTAGAGCAGGGAAAAGAGAGTGTTGGTTGGATGGGAAGAGAATGTTAAAGGGTACAGGGCTTCTTAACGGAGTGACGAAATGTTCTATAATTGACTTTGGTAATGGTTGTGCAGCTCTGTAGTATACTAAAGACTGCTGAATTGTATGGTATATGAATTCTATGTCAATAAAGTGCCACACACAAGGCCCATCCAAGAAGTTTGTGGACTTTGGACTGAATGCGTGTGAAGGTCCAAGGGTACACACACATCCTACCTAACACAGAACCAATGTGGTTTCTGTTTTCTGGTGCACAGTGGTCCCTGCTGCTGGGGACAGTCCCAGGCCAGCTCTGGGGCTTCTAAATGATCAGCCACCTCAGAACAGGCAGATCCCACTCCCACACTGAGTGCTAAGCTCTGACATTTGAAAGAATGAGCACGTTAGCACATGGTTTGAATGCAGGGAGCTGGCAGTTGCGGTGTGGGGTTGGACAAAATGATCCCTGAAGCCCCAGCTGTTTCTAAGGCTGTGCACTAACCCCCACATCCTTCATCAGGAGAGGCCCTTGTCAAAGGCCCTGGCACAGGACTCTATGCTCTTCCTATTCATTTTACTGTAAAGAAACTACCTTGATTTAGAGAGCAAAGTCACTGATAAGGGCGATTCATAAGATTAAAAAATCACTTTTGTTTACACTGGCTTTACTTGAGTCGGATGTGGCTTTCTGGTTAATGCCAGATGTGAATGAATATCAACTGGGACTTCAGTAGAAAGGGGTCAGGCATGTTCTGCTCTGTCCAGCAGACACAGGGCAATGCTTTGACCTCACTGAGTTCTTATCTGACTGGAAAGTCCATTAGATAGGAAGCGTTCTTCTCCAGTGCTTTCCACAATATGTCCTGTATGCCAGTGGTCCCCAACCTTGTTGGTATCAGGGACTAGTTTCGTGGAAGACACTGTTTCCATGGACTGTGTGGTCAGGGGTGGGGGGGTGGAAATGGTTTTGGGATGAAACTGTTCCACCTCAAATCATCAGGCATTAGTTAGATTCTCATAAGGAGTGCACAGCCTATATCCCTCGCGTGCGCAGTTCACAATAGGGTTCCTGCTCCTATGAGAATCTGATGCTGCTGCCGATCTGACAGGAGGTGGCGCTCAGGCAGTAATGCTCGCTCACCTCTCACTGTGCGGCCCGGTTCCTAACAGGCCGCAGACCAGTCTGTGGCCTGGGGTTTGGGGACCCCTGCTATATGCCAAACCTGAAATGTCATGTTCTGCCACTGCAGCAGTGCTTGTGCTATTTATCTCTCTTTCAGCTGGGTGTGGATAAGTCTCCTGTCAATATCCTATGCAGCCTTCAACATTTTGTGGTAGGTTTAGGTGCATGACAGAGCATGGTGTGAGTGGGATAGTGTCCATTTTTCCTTAACCAAAATTATGCTTTGAAGAGTCAAGAATCAAAATAGAATACTGATGAAAAGTAATTCTGTATTTTAAAGATAAATTGTCCCACCTTCAAGATGTAAAATAACTATGAAATAAAACAATGTATGATAAACGGTTGAAAGAAATTCCTTCTTTTAACTGTTTGTTGCATCTTGCTTTTGAAATTTCCTGGCCGACGCGATGGCTCACACCTGTAATCCTAGCCCTTTGGGAGACCGAGGTGGTAGGATCACTTGAGCTCAGGGGTTTGAGACCAGCCTAGGCAACTTAATAAGACCTCATCTCTACAAAAAAAATTTTTGAATTAGCTGGGCTTGGTGGCATGCACCTGTAGTCCCAGCTACTTGGTGGGAGATGGGAGGATTGCTTGAGCCCAGCAAATCAAGGCTGCACTGAGACATGATTATGCCAGAAAAGAGTATGTAAAACTTTTAAAACCTTATCAGTGTTAGTCACTTGGTCTCAATCCATTTGGAGAGACAGAGGTATAGAAAGAGCCCAAGAGGATTATAAGAGTCTGTAAGAGATATGTAAACCATGCAGTTGGGCCTTGGAGAGGAAGAAATTATAAGTGCTTAAGATTGCTGGGAAAGGTCTGGTCTTCCTAGTGGGAAGGATATTTTGTGCAGAGGGATTGATATTTTTCAAGGGAATAGTATAGTAAGAAATATATTTGGTCTTTGTCCCTGGTTCCAGGGCCCTAAAACCCTTGGAATTTTCTGAGTGGTAGGAGTGTCTTTTGTTATTCATAACTAGCCTCTTTCAATCCCACCTGGGTTTGTGCTAATGAGGCGACTTAGGATGGAGCCCCTAGATAACCATAGGATAGTTACAAGGGCATGATGGCACCTGCAGTCCCAGCTACTTGGTGAGAGGTGGGGGGATTGCTTCTCCTGACTTGCGTGCCCAAACTTCTCCTGGTTTTCTTCCCTCTCTTTGCTCCTTCTCAGGCTTCTCTGTCAGCTTCTATGTTGCAGTCCTCAGGACTTGGTCCTGGGCTCTCTTCTTACACTTTTGGGGATTGTCCTCACAGATGTGCTGGACATGCTTACATTTCCTTTTCCAGCTCAGCTCTTACAAGGCTCTGGAGCCCACCTTTGGGGGTCTCATAGGCACCTCCAGCCTGATAGGTATAAAACAGAACTCTCTCCCTGTTACCCCTGAAAGCTACTCTTCTGCTGGAGAAGTGGTCCAGAGAGAAGGAACAGAGCTGGACTTGAGTGTGGCAGTAGGGAGGGAGGGCGGTCCAGCTTCAGGAAATAGTAATAGTACCAGCCACATCTGAGAGCTTACCATGTGCTGGCTACAGTACTGAGTGCTCACAGGTGTCTTCTCACCCAGCTGTTCTCAGCAATCCTGAGAAAGGCACAGACATGGCTGAGGAAGCCCCAGTGGGATTTGGTGATTGATCAGTGAAAGTGGGACTGACTAAGTAGTGGATGGCTCTACTATTTTTAAATTGAGTTTTTAAACGTCACTCACTTTCCTGAAAAGTAGCATGCTTAGGCACCTTCTGACCATGGAGATGTGTATCAGTTAGCTTCTGCTGCATAACGAGCCACCCAAAACTTAGTGGATTAAAACGACAACAGTTTATTTAGTTCACGATTTTGAGTATTGGCAGACCAAGTAGTGGTTTTGCTGGTCTCAGCTGGGCATGACCACCTGGGTGTTAGCCATCTGTCAGCTGAGGCAACAGAGAAGATGAGACCATCTCTCTTTCATCATCCAGCAAGCTAGCCTAGGCTTGTTCACATGACTAGCAGGGTTCACACGACTGAGCAGGGTTCAAAGAAAGAATGCAAATGCGCAAGGCTCCTTAAGGCCAAAGTCAGGATTCACATGTCACTTCTTCCACGTTGTTTGGCCAAAATATGTCACTAGACCAGCCAGATCCAAGGAATGGAGAAACATGTTCTACCCCTTTTTTTTTTTGAAATGGAGTCTCACTCTGTTGCCCAAGCTGGAGTGCAGCGACACGATCTCAGCTCATTGCAACCTCCGCCTCCCAGGTTCAAGCGATTCTCCTGCCTCAGCCTCCTGAGTAGCTGGGATTACAGGTGCACACCACCATACCTGGCTGATTTTTGTATTTTTAGTAGAGATGGGGTTTCACCATGTAGGCCAGGCTGGTCTGGAACTCCTGACCTCAGGTGATCCACCCACCTTGGCCTCCCAAAGTGCTGGGATTACAGGAGTGAGCCACCATGCCCAGACAGATTCTACTTCTTGATAGAGGGACCCACTAATAATTGGGGCCATCTGTTCAATATCCCACAGGTCTTAACACTATTGGACCCTACTTTCATCCTAAATTTGATGTGCTTGTTAAACTTCTTTTTTGTCTAATTTGCAGTTATGCTTACCTCCTACAAGACCTACTATTTCCGTCTAATTCACTGTTTCCAGTTGCACAAGTCCCGTGAACTTTGAAACTAGACCATCAGACTACTCTCAACAAATATTATGTTAATTTAGCAACAAAACTTGTTAGAACTTTTGTAAATGGGTAAATAGGCTAGAAGTGAAAGAAGGTCTTCTTCAATTTTTAGGTTGTGAACTTTATAACAAATATGACATGAGGCAGTAGTTTTTGCTTATCAGTTCCTAGCTTGGTTCCAGATACGTGAGGTGGTTTGACGACTGTTGTTAGGTAAGCTATTGTATTAAAAAGGTCTAGCTATGGTGGAACTGTTGGAAGTTGAGAAGGAAAAAGAATTTTTATTTGGGATTTGATGAGAAGTGATTTATCTTTTATGCTGTTATTTTATGCATTTGATGGCTTCAGTTCTATTTGGACCTGTCCCAAAATATAGAGAAACCATAAAGTTATTTAATTTTATTACTTTAAGACTGAGGAGGAAGCAAAAAAGTGTGATTTGCGTCAGCTGCAGAGCCTTTTGGGGTTCTGAAGGAAGGGGAGAATTAATCTTCTGTGTATTTCATTGAGATCTATTTAACCTCTTATTTCTAAGCAAGCCTTGTAAGAGGCTTTTACCTTTTTTTCTTTTCAATTCTCCTCTTTTTCTTCTCTTTCTCCCAGGTAAGCATCACAGTGATTCATGAGTTCGGTGTGTGAGAGCCTTTAACCTTGGGAACTGGACCTTTGTCTTTCCCATTTTAAGTCCTGCAAGTGTCTAAATGTTTTCTTTCAGAGTGTGACAAAGGCAGCATTCACCCTGAGCTTATTGTTGCTTTTAAAGGAGCTCCCAAAAAATTTTGGAAAATTTTAAACTACAACTTAAAACAGTAGTGAGACCAGGCACAGAGGCTCACACCTGTAATCCCAACATTTTGGGAGGTGAAAGCAGGAGGATCACTTGAGGCCAGGAGTTTGAGACAAGCCTAGGCAACATAGTGAGATTCTATGTCTATTTTTAAAAATAGTTTTTAAGTTAGCTGGCCATGATGGCTAACAACAACACGTGCATACCTCCCCCCGATAGTTTCACACCTATAGTCCCAGCTCCTCAAGAGGCTGACACAGGAGGATCGCTTAAGCCCAAGAATTCGAGGCTGCAATGGACTATGATAGTGCAGCTGCAGTCTAGTCTGAATGACAGCGTGAGACCCTGCCTCATAAGGAAGGAAGGAAGGATGGAAGGAAGGAAGGAAGGGAGGGAGGGAGGGAGGGAGGGAGACTTTTGTTTTAAATTCCATTTATCCAGATAGTTTAAAACAGACAGACAAACACATGTATCTGTCTGATCAACAAAAAAGTAGGTCAGGCATTTCCAGGAACCTCACATTTATGAAACTATTATTATTGCCTTAGTGATTACAGCAAAGGGTGGAGAGTCTGCCAGGGTCAAGCCGTGGTCAGAGAAAGTCACTTTGTCATGGAACTATTTTAACTGAGACTGCCTTAGGAAGCCCCAGAAACCACTGCTTGGTCCCCATGGGGCTGACTTCATTAAGAGTGTATCTACTTTTAGATCATATTCAGCAACACGTGCATACCTCCCCACCAAAAATAATTGCAAAAGCATAACTTTTTAAGAGAAATAAAAATCAATGTATATATTTTTTAAATAGAATTTTTAAAGGTAAATTATATTAAAGTGTTTTTCATTGGTTCTAATCAAGGAGGGAAGGCAAATGTTTTTCTTTTAGTGAACAATATTCTTTAAAACTCTTAAACTGGGAGCAGAGGAACGTGAAGAATTCTTTCAGAAGGGCTTCATGTCACCTCTTCAACGAATCTTTTCTTGGCAGAATTATCAACAAGTAGCAGCAGCCATGAGTGCTACTAAGTGTATATTGAATATCACTCTCCTGCGTGCGGAGAATCTCGCCTCAAACAAAATGGACAAAGACTTTCCCTTCCTAGAGCCTGTGTTATAGCTGGAAATAGCTCATAAACTAGTCATCAAACAAAAGATATGAATTTCAAATCATGATAATAACTAGAAGAAAAAGAAAAAATGAAAGGATAGTGAGTGACTTGGAATGGAAAGCCCAGCATTAAGGAGGAGGGTCGTGGCCCTGCCTGAGTGATGAGAAGGCTTCAGGCTGAGGTGAGTAGTGTTTGCACATGGGGACGAGCTGATGCCCAAGCAAAACTAACTGAAAGTAATTGGGGAGCTGTGTGTGGTGATGCACATCTGAAGATCCAGCTTCTCGGGAAGCTGAGGCAGGAGGATCGCTTGAGGGCAGGAGTTTGAGGCTGTATTGTGCCTGTGAATAGCAACTGGAGTCCAACCTTGGCAATGTAGCAAGATGTAAGAGTGAGAGAGAGAGAGAGAAGAGAGAAGACAGGAAGGAGGAGAAGAGAAGAAGGAGAAGGAGAAGAGGAGAGGAGAAGAGAAGAGAGAAAGGAAGAACAAGAAGGAGAAGAAAGAGAAGGAAAGAACAAGAAGTAGTGGAGAGTGGAGTGAGCAAGGGGGAGTGCGGCAGACACAAGGAGGAAAGGAGGAAGGTATGGGCTGTGGACCACAGGAAGGAGGTTTGAAACAGGAATGTGTGAAAAGAATCCTATTTTCACTTTGGCAGCTATGCAGAGCCTAGATTCTAGAGTTAATAAAGTCAAGAGACTGTGAGGAGGCTGCAGCAGTCTAAGACAACATTGATTTATGACTTGCTCTGGAAGTCAGGCTGTGAGGATAGAGAGAAATGGAAGACTGATGGTCTAATAATGAAGTCACTAGGATCTCACCATACCTTAGCTCTGTAGTCCAGTGCAGTAGCTTCTTGTATAATATTGTTGGGTTTTTTCTGTTTGTTTTGTTGTTGTTTTTTTTAACTGAGTCTTGCTCTATCACCCAGGCTGGAGTGCAGTGGTGCAATCTCAGCTCACTGCAACCTCCACCTTCCAGGTTCAAGCGATTCCCCTGCCTCAGCCTCCTGAGTAGCTGGGATTACAGGCACCCACCACCATGCCTGGCTAATTTTTGTATTTTTAGTAGAGACAGGGTTTCACCATATTGACCAGGCTGGTCTCGAACTCCTGACCCCAAGTGATTTGCCCGCCTTGGCTTCCCAAAGTACTGGGATTGCAGGCATGAGCCACCACACCTGGCCTTGTATAATATTCTTTACAAGAACGTTCATTTTTAACCACATATGGTTAAGTTTAAATTAATTAAATGTGAAAATTCAATTCCTCCTTCACACTTTTTTAAAAAATAGCTACTCTTTATAGTATCACTAAAGTTGGACACATGCATATCCCATGACCCAGCAATTCCATTCCTAGCATTCCCCTCCTGTAAGAAACATGTGCATGGCCAGGCGAGGTGGCTCATGCCTGTAATCCCAGCACTTTTTGGGAGGCTGATGGGGGAGGATCACTTGAGACCAGGAGTTTGAGACCAGCCTGGGCAACATGGCGAAACCTCATCTCTAAAAAAGTACAAAAATTAGCCAGGCATGGTGGGGCATGCCCGTAGTCCCAGCTATGTGGGAGGCTAAGGTGGGAGGTTGACACTACAGTGAGTCGTGATGGTGCCACTGCATTCTAGCCTGGGTGTCTGGAGTGAGATCTTGCCTCAAAAAGGAAAAAAGAAAAAGAAAAAGGCCAGGCATGGTGGCTCACGCCTGTAATCCCAACACTTTGGGAGGCCGAGGTGGGCGGATCTCTTGAGGCCAGGAGTTGGAGACCAGCCTGGGCAACATGGCAAAACCCCATCTCTACCAAAAATACAAAAATGAGCTGGGCATGGTGGTGCACGCCTGTATTCCCAGCTACTCAGAAGGCGGAGGAACAAGAAGCTCTTGAACTTGGGAGGTGGAGGCGGAGGCTGCAGCGAGCCAGGATTGCACCACTGCACGATAACCTCCCCAGAGCAATGGCTGCTGCTTCTCTCCACCCTCCCAATCTCAAGCAAGGGCCTCTTCTGACCAACGCTAACCCAGAACCATCCAGGGAAGGGGATCCAGGGAAAACAATTCCCAGCTTACCTACCAGGTGCACAGTCCACCCGGCATGTGAGGGCCCATCTCTTGGATGCTTATGAAATGGAACTTGAGGTTTGAGAAAGGACCAAACCTCCACTTTGTTCACCTGCGATTTGGTCAAGAGTTGGCTTGGCCTGTGTCCTGACCATAGCATGAAGCCTGTGTGGTGCGTGCCATTCCTTGGCTGCTGCTCGTAATGCCCTCCCACTTCTCTGTCTTCCCCCTTGACCGCAAAAGTAAAGTGCTACTGTTCTCTAATACTGCAAAAACAAGGCACCGGCAGATTTTAAGCTGATAAAAACCTGCTAAAGCTGTCATTGTATATACCTTTTAGGATGGAATGAGATAACATATCCCAGGGTAAAAACAAGAGTGAAATAGTTCTGAGAACTGTGAAACTGTCGTCCTCTTTCTAAATGACTTAATCCAACAGACAGGTGGTTTTTAATCACGGACCCCCTTCTTTTGTAGGCATTGGAACACCAACATCTTTTCACTTTAATCATGTAAGGAGTGCTACCGCTTACAGGCCACACACTGTTCCTTCATCATCATTGTCCCCAATGACTGGTATGAAAAATTGAGTTGAGACCTGCCCAAGGTCAGACAGCTAGTAAGTGGCAGGACACAGATACGAACTCAGGTAGGAAATTCAGAAGGATCTAAAGTAAAGGGGACACTTGGAGGCTGAAAAATACCCAAACGTAAGAAGACTGAGGAGCCCTGGGGTGAGCAGCAGAGTTGTGTTGCAGAACGTGATGAGGATTAGGGCTCAGCAGGTGTCAGCCATGGCTGGGCCTCCTCCAGGCTGTCTCCTAGGATATCTGGGCCATTGTAGGTCACAGTTTCTTTCCTGCCTCCCTCCCTTCTTCCATTCCTCTTTCCTCTTCCTTCTCCCTTTATGTTTTCCTTTCTTCTCCCAGATTTTCTCTTTCTTTTGCGTGTATGTGATCTCCCCATCTTCACTTTCTTTCTTTGTAATAGAATGGTCCATCTATTCAGCCAGCTGTTGATCCTAGCCTTTGAGCTTTGAGCAAATCTTTTTTTTTTTTTTTTGAGACGGAGTCTTGCTCTGTCACTGCGCAAGGCTAGAGTGCAGTGGCGCAATCTCAGCTCACTGCAACCTCTGCCTCCCTGGGTTCAAGTGATTCTCTTGCCTCAGCCTCCTGAGTAACTGGGATTACAGGCATGTGCCACCACACCTGGCTAATTTTTGTATTTTTAGTAGAGACGGGGTTTCACCATGTTGGCCAGGCTGGTCTCGAACTCCTGACCTCAGGTGATCTGCCTGCCTTGGCCTCCCAAAGTTCTGGGATTACAGGCATGAGCCACTGCACTCAGCCCCTTTGAGCAAATTTTAGCACATACAGAGAGGCTGTGTAGACAGACCTAAACATGGTCCCTGTTTTTTAGGAGTTTATCCTCCACTTTCAGTTTTGTTATGGGAAGCAGCTTCCCCTACTCACAGAAATTGTTTATGCAACCTATAGCATCACCTCTGCTCCTGAACCAAACATGGAGTCCACACCCTAACTCTGAGGGTGCCTGTAAGAGTCCTTAGAACATAGCAGTAATATAGACACCCAACTGGATAAGCCTCTTCCTCTCCCTCACCCCAAACCCCCCTATCCCTCTTGAGGGGTTGTTTTGGGGACCACTCCTGGTACCTGTCTGACCTCAGGATGCAGGCCCTGGAGTCCTCTGTTCCCTGTGTTCACCAGGTGTACAGCAGATAGTGAGGTCAAGACCTGCCTCTGGGAAAGGAGAACAAAGAAGGAAAAGATCTATTTAAGGAAGCAGTTCAGCAGTTGTCTTCTGTGTACAGAAAAGTCAGGGAGAGGCTGGTCTGTGGGTACAGGCAGCACCTGGGAACCAGGATGAAATTCAGAAATTTCCACACTGTTCTCTGGTACCAACATCTGTGGCCACTGAAGCCCGTCAGAGGGACCAAACCTGTATTTTCCTGAAGCAGGAGTGGGTCTTTGGGGCAAGTTTTTGTTGCCCCAAAGAAGGTGGATGGGGGCATCCACCTTCTTCCCACCTTGGCCAGTTATCCCAGCAAGAAGCTAAAACCAAGGCTGGCATGGGCCTGGCTGTCAGCCTCGCCTTTCTGGGGGCATTTCTTTCCTCCATTGCTGCTGGCCTGCCCTACATCAGGGCCCCCACCTTCCTCAGGGCTTTCGGTGCATCTGGGGTTGATGGTTCTCTGTCTCTCTCTCTCCAGGGCCAGGTCTGGATTAATGGCTTTAACCTTGGCCGCTATTGGCCAGCCCGGGGCCCTCAGTTGACCTTGTTTGTGCCCCAGCACATCCTGATGACCTCGGCCCCAAACACCATCACCGTGCTGGAACTGGAGTGGGCACCCTGCAGCAGTGATGATCCAGAACTATGTGCTGTGACGTTCGTGGACAGGCCAGTTATTGGCTCATCTGTGACCTACGATCATCCCTCCAAACCTGTTGAAAAAAGACTCATGCCCCCACCCCCGCAAAAAAACAAAGATTCATGGCTGGACCATGTATGATGATGAAAGCCTGTGTCTTTGAGGGATTCTACCCTGAACATACCTCACAGATCCTCCCTGTCATGCCACATTTCACTGATTGGAATGTGGAAATGGAAAAGGAATTTAGGATGTGCATTTTCACCTGAGGTTTCCCTGCATCCCTGCAGTGCCAAAGCCCCACCTTCAGGGACCACCTGGAATGTGTGAGGGGCTGACAGCACAGTAACGTGCATACATATCTGCAGGGCTGGAATGGAAGCTTTAAAGGTGGTAGTGATTTTTATTTTGGAAGAATCATGTTACCTTTTTGTTAAATAAAATTTGTACTCAAATGATGATGTCACTGTTTTTAATGTGCAGGTATTGAATTATATGGTCTGACTTAAATCATAACTAGACTTGAGTGGGCTGAATAAACCACTTCACTAACTTGAAGTTCAAAAGGATGGAAAATAGTCTTGGTTTGATCTGTGGACTGCTGCTTTTCTGATCGTTATTTGACTTGCTTTTGGACTAGATAACCTATAAATACAGCTCAAAACAATTATGCAAACAATCTAAATGATTAACAGTTGCACAGTGTACATAGTATGGTATATCTATATAGAAGCATAGTATTTTAGCCACTAAAATGGTGAGAGATCTATACTTATATGCAAATTTTTTGATACATGAAAAAACAGATTACCTTAAATTGGATCCCGTTTTGTGTGTTTCAACATAAGAACTTCACATATTCACACAGTACAGGCCTATACACATGTCAGTAGTCAGGCATGCACGTGTGTGTGTGCTGTGTATGTGCACAGATAGGAAAGGATGTGGTGTTTCTGATATTCCTGTCCTGACATGGAGCAGTAGCTCTCATTTGTTGAGGACTTGTTCTACACCATGCACAGTTCTGAGTTTATGTTTAACTCACTTGCCCCTCACAAGAACACTGAGGAATATACTGTCATCCTGCCGGTTTACCAGATCTCACAGATGTATGTGGCGAGACAGGGTTTGAGCCCAGGTAGTCTGGCTCTAGTGTCCGGGTACACATTGCATACATAAATATTAATACATGCTTGTGTTGCACAAGAAAGGTTAGGAATAACTTAAAAATGTTCATATACTTATATCTGGATGCTAAGTATTTGAGAGATTGCTTGCTTTTTCTTATCTGTATTTTTAATTATATACTGGGAATATGTAATTTTTTTTTTTTTTTTTTTTGAGGCTGGGTCTTGCTCTGTTGCCCAGGCTGAAGTGCAATGGCATGATTGTAGCTCATTGCAGCCTTGAATTCCTGGCTTCAAGTGATCTTCCTACCTTGACCTCCCAAAGTTCTGGGATTACAGTTATGAACCACTGCACCCGGCCCTGTAGTTTTGTTTTGTTTTTAAGGAGGGAGAAAGGAAAGTTTTTTTATGTCAATCTGTAATGTTTTCTTGGTGGTATATTTTTCCCTCTGTCATAGGCACAACTAATAAATATCTGAGATTGAACAGTGAGTCTTTAAACACAGGTTGAGCCAGCTGCAAGTGGCATAGATGAGCCGAAACAAACACTGGAACTTAGTTAAGGACGTTTTTCCATAGTACCTTTTTCTAGATGTTCTGCACCATTTGATGTTTGGGCAGATCACAGGGCGAAGGAGGTGCTACATGGACTCATACCCTCATTTCATTACTCCTCCACTGCACAGTTACCAAAAACATAAAATGATACTCAAGAACCATGGCCAAACAGTGATAAGCTTTGGAAAGAAATGTGAAATGACTCCTTTTAAAGCATATGTACATTGGTGAATTGCAGTTCCCCTGCCCTAGAGACAAGCAGAGAATCTCCAGAAGGCACGAGCAGTGGAGTGTGGTTGCCTCATCAGCGTGTACACTTGCCTTATATTTCACTCATTCAGTCTTCAGAACTACACTGTAAGGTCAAATAGCAATAAGTCCATTTTACAATTGAAAATATTTAAAACTTTGGCAAGAGGCAGAGTTGATTTCAAACCTGGCCTACCTCCCTCCAAAGCCAGAGTGTTTTGTCTTATCAATGTGAGGGAATTTGGATGGGTTTTCCCACCTACAGCACTCTGCCACCCCTTACCCAGGAAGTTTTTGGAAAACAGAATCTTTTTTTTTTTTTTTTTTTTTTGAAACAGAGTCTTGCTCTGTCACCCAGGCTGGAGTGCAGTGGCATGATCTTGGCTCACTGCAAACTTTGCCTCCTGGGTTCAAGCGATTCTCCTGCCTCAGCCTCCAGAGTAGCTGGGATTACAGGCGTGCATCACCATGCCCAGCTAATTTTTGTATTTTTAGCAGAGACGGGGTTTTGCCGTGTTGGTCAGGCTGGTCTCAAACTCCTGACCTCAGGTTATCCACCCACCTGGGCCTCCCAAATCGCCGGGATTACAGGCATGAGCCACTGCGCCTGGCCAGAAAACAGAATCTTAATACATAGATAGTGCCACCTGGACTCTGGACTCCCCTCAACCCATCCAACTCTACACTGCCTCTCATGGGCACACATTTTGCCTGCTACAATGTTCTTCCTAAAATAAGATGTGCCTTCAGTCATTCTTGATTTCTCTCAATAACCTTATTTCAGATCTGTCCACGAATTGATTGAAAATGCAACTCTCTCTATGGATGCTACCTTTGGAAAATAATAAGGGGAGTACTTTTATTACCTACTATCTAAACCTTTTATATTAAATTTATCTTTCAGCCACCGTGCCCGGCCTCACAATGTAGTCATTTGTGTCTGATCTCTCTCAGCATACCGTGAGGTTTGTTCCATGTTGTAGCATGTTCAGGAATGTGTTCCTGTGTGTTGCTGAGTCGCATTCCATTGTATGGATGTACCACATTTTGTTTATCCATTTGCCAGCTGATGGGTACTTGAATGGTTTCCAGTTTTGACTATTATGAAGAATGCTGATATGAACATCCATATACAGTTATTTGTGTAGTCATCCGTTTTCATTTCTCTTGGATAGATACCCATGAGAGGGATTGTTTAGTCATATAGTAATTTATATTGAACTGTTTAAGGAACTGTTAAACAATTTCAGAATATCTTTTTTGAAGATAGTGAATAATGAAGAGGAGGCAGAATTACCCTTAGACCTGTAATCCCAGCACTTTGGGAGGCCGAGGTGGGTGGATGGCTTGAGCCCAGGAATTCGAGACTAGGCTGGGCAATATGGCAAGACCTCATCTCTACTAAAAATACAAAAATTAGGCCAGGTGCGGTGACTCACACCTGCAATCCAAGCACTTTGGGCTGAGGCAGGTGGATCACCTGAGGTCAGGAGTTCGAGACCAGCCTGGCCAACATGGTGAAACCCCATCTCTACTAAAAAATACAAAAATTAGCCGGGCATGGTGGCAGGCACCTGTAATCCCAGCTACTCAGGAGGCTGAGGCAGGGGAATTGCCTGAAAGCGGGAGGCGGAGGCTGCAGTGAGCCGAGATTGCGCCACTGTACTCCAGCCCGGGTGACAAGAGTGAGACACCGTCTCAAAAAAAAAAAAAAAAAAAAAAAAAAAAATTAGCTGGATGTGGTGGTGCATGCCTGTAGTCCTAGCTACTCAAGAGGCTGAGGTAGGAGGATCACTTGAGCCTGGGAGGCAGAGGTTGCAGTGAGCTGAGATCACACCACTGCACTCTAGCCTGGGTGGCAGGGCCAGACCCTGTCTCAAAAAAGAAAGAATCACACTTAGAATTTGCAGATTTATCATCCCTCCTGTCCTCTCTCTTCCCTTCTCCACCTTACACTACCTACTTTCTTTATCTGTCATTGTCAGTCTGTTTATCTTTGTTTCTCAGCAAATCCAGTTTATTCAGAATGAAATTGTTTAATGCTAATCCGAGGTGGGGTTTTTTTTCATTGTTTCCCCAACAAGAAATATGTCTTCTGTCAAATGACACAAATAGGAAATGATCTCATGTGGTCTTTATTTCTCTCCTTTATGAAAAAGAAGTCATTTTCTGAAATCACCTTTTTAGTCAGTCTGAGGGATCCTGACTGGTCTGTGGTAGCACACACAGCTGGTGTGGACCATCAGCACATGGGCTGCAAGGAAAATCGCCCCGATGTCCAGACAGTGGGGCCAGGTGGTTTCTGGGTTTTGGCCTAGCCCCTGCTCTTGGTCTGACTGAGCAATACTTCCCCAGATGTCCCTTGCCCTTCAGCC
Organism: Homo sapiens; assembly: GCF_000001405.40. Taxonomy (NCBI): domain Eukaryota; kingdom Metazoa; phylum Chordata; class Mammalia; order Primates; family Hominidae; genus Homo; species Homo sapiens. The sequence continues at coordinate 32,992,876 of NC_000003.12, read as the reverse complement.
CACTGGCCCTGACCTTTGTTAGAAGTGGATGCCCAGCAGCTTTCTGGTTGTCTGTGAATGCCCGGTGAAGATTCTGAACTGATTCCTCACCAGACAGTTGCTCTGTTTGCACCACAAGGGGCTTTCCCACGTGTGAGCAGGCCTCCCACCAGCTTCATTCCTCCAAACTCCCAAACCAGCAGCACTGTCTCCTAAGATACAACAGGACAGGCTTTGAGGACAGAAACCCAGGGTCACGTTCCTGCTCCATCACTTTCCATCAGCATGGTCTCGGGCAAGGGAATCGTGTAAGTCTAAATTTCTTATTCTCCTAAATGTGGTGGCCACCTTGTGGGGTTTTAAAATTAAATGAGGTCATCATAAAAGTACCTTGTATAGCATTTGCCATGTAGTAGCTGCTTACTAAATGCTAGTTTGAGTCTTTCCTATCATATTCCACCACAGAAGCAGGTAACTGATCATCTGGAAACCTGGGGGACAAGAGGGAAGAAATGACACCTAGGATGCTCCATCCTTTCCCTGCATCCCTTTGTGTTCAGTTCAACAACTTGGTTCTCCTCCTGACCAGCCACTGTGCTTGGCTGAGGACACAAAGGTGAAGGAGACAGTCTAGTATAAAACATGACACAGACCAGACCCAAAGGGGAGGAAGAGGTCCTGTAGAAAGGTGAAGGGGCATCATTCACCAAGCCTCTCCAGCATTAACCAGAGACTGCTGGAGGGCAGCGTGAGCCTACGGAAAAGACTCGACATCCAGGGTTTGGACTTAAAGGCCCTAGTGTGGACTTCTTCAGTGCTCTGATTCCTTGAAGATTCTGTTGGCTTGTTCTCAAAACGTAAGCAACTTTCCAGTGCCAACATATTGAATTCCTTGCCCACGGGGCATTTCTCATCATCATGGGTTGCAATGTGTGCTGTTGTCTGTTGCTGCATAATAAACCAGTAAGTCTGCTTAAGTGGCATGAAGCAACTATTTTGTTATGCACACGATTCTATGGATCAGGAATTTGGACAGCCCAGCAAGGATGGCTTGTCTTTGTTCTGTGACGTTGGGGCTTCTGCTGGGTACCAGAACCATCTGGCAATTCCTTCACTCACTTGCCTGCTATTTGGGCCAGGATGACTTGAAGTTTAAGGCCACTTAGGACAGTCAACAGAGCATCTACAAGTGGTCTTTCCATGTGACTCAGGCTTCTTATAACACAGTAGCTGGGTTCTGATGGCATGTTCCAGAAGGGAGCTTCCAGAGAGTGAACATTGCAACAGAAGCAGGTGGAAGCTGCATGGCCATTTAAGGCCTAGATGCAGAAGTCACATAGCATCAGTCCACTGTACTCTACTGGTCAAAGTAGTCATAACCCAGATTCAAGGGGAGGAAACACAGATCCCCATCCTTGGATGGGAGAAATGACAAAGAATGTGTGGCCATTTTTAAGAAATCATCACATGTGCACCCAGTGCTATGTTGTAGCACACTCCAATTTGTGTATTTCCATCCATTTCACTAAAGGTCTGAAAGCCCAGCAAGCATGAATTGAGGTCCAAGGCCCCACTGGTAAGGAGCAGGAGGCCATTGGCTAAGTGGTTCATTTAGCCTGTGTTTAGTGAATTGGATCCCTTTGTCTCTTTTTGCAAATTGCCAGGCCCCGGTGGTCTCACCAGATATTAACTGAGGGGAATTAACTGGACACAGGCAGGAAATCCACTGTGTGAACCCCCCACCAGTCAGAGTTTATGGAGGTATGAGATGATGGGCACTGCACACAAAGCTCAATGTGGTTTCTGTTTCTTTGGGTGAAATCTTTTGATACGATTTCTGATCAAGAGGTGCAGTCTGTCCAATTTACTTCAACTTTCTTTAATTTTTACTAAGCAATACGATTATTATTATTATTATTATTTTTAGACAGAGTCTCACTCTGTCGCCCAGGCTGGAGTGCAGTGGCGTGATCTCTGCTCACTGCAAGCTCCACCTCCCGGGTTCACGCCATTCTCCTGCCTCAGCCTCCCGAGTAGCTGGGACTACAGGCACCCGCCACCACGCCCAGCTAATTTTTTGTATTTTTTAGTAGAGACGGGGTTTCACCGTGTTAGCCAGGATGGTCTCGATCTCCTGACCTCGTGATCTGCCCGCCTCGGCCTTCCAAAGTGCTGGGATTACAGGCGTGAGCCACCGCGCCCGACTGCAATAGGATCTTTTTACCAGAGTGCTTTGGCTGTCGTGGACCACCTGACCTCTTTTCTGGGGACTTTGAAATCAGGAAGTGTCCCAAGAAGTGCCCAGTGAGGAGTCCCCAAGGTTTCAGGGTGTATCCCTTCTAGTGTGATGGATAAGCCCCTCAGCATTTAACTATTTTAGTAGGTGGGTTTGTTTTGTTTTGTTTTTTTCATTTACCCAATAGACATTCATTCAATACTTACTCTAAACCCCATGCCACTGTGTAGGACACATTTCTTGCCCCTCAGGGAGCGCACAGATCTATTAATGAACCATGTAGCTTGTGAGGGGTAGACAATGACAGCGATGAGATCAGAGTGCTGTGAGCATGCTGAATCCAGTCTTAGACTTGATGTGGAGCAGAGACTGGTCAGGGCAGGCTTCCTGGAGTTGAGCCAGGTGAAGAATAAGAGAAGAAGGAGAAAAGATAGGCATGAGTAGAGCAGAAAGTGCTTCTCAGAGGGAGGCAGCATCTGCAGAGATCCAGGGTCTGGAGAGACAATGGAGAATTCCAGAAATTGGTGGCATGTACCTCAATCTGACTGGGGTTGGAATGAACAGAGATGAGGCAGGAGAGATGCAGGGATCAGAGCTATCTCCAACCAGATGGTAGTATCCTGAAAAATTGGTTATTTTCACATATCTTTTGTCCTCTGAAGTTTCTAGGTTCATGTCTTCAACTTTGATGGTGCTTAATAAGAATAATAACATTCATAAAGTGGTTTTAATGTGTTATTTTTGCATACAGTATTTCATTCAGTCTTTATAAGAACCTTTTGAAGAAATAGGGCGGGTGGCATGCAGCTCAGTTTACAGTTTAGGAAAATCAAGAGGTAGGAAGAATTGTGATTTACACAAAATCAGGGGCCTGAAACTCACACCCAAGTCTCTTGCCTCCAAATCCCACACTCTTCTTACTATGCAGATTGCCTTGATTGAGCTGCAAGGAGAAAGTTTTGTATTGTATTTGAGAAAACTCACAACACAGAAGAACAATATTTCAGCCTTGTCTGACATGACAGATCAGGTCTGAGCTGTGGCCCCAGGTTTTGGTGATTGACCCATGAGTCTTGTGTGTGTCTCTGGTGAGCAGAATGCCCGGTATATGTGGGTCCCCAGTGGATACAGGTCAGGGAGCAAGCAATCCTCCACACTGGAAGATGACTTATTCACAAGGCTGGGCATCCCTCTCAGACAAAACCCACTATCATATCTCTTCTGGTTTAATTCATGTTTTGACACTCAGCAAATTCCCCAGGAACTTAGCTGAAGAGTTTCGTGAGCCGGAAGTGCCTCTGAAAGAAGTGAGCAGAGAGAAGGTACGTGGAACTTTATTCATAGTTGAGCAGGCAAATGATGACTCTCGGTTTTTCTCTGGAGGGGAGCTCTTCCTTGAGGTGAAACGGGCTGAGGAGACATGAGAGAGGGCAGAGAAGCACCACAGACTGACATCAACCTGAGGCCTTCTGATGCTAAGAACATCACAACTTCCCTGGTGGGCAACTGGGTTCATCTGTCCACTGTCTGCCATGATCGGCAGATATCAAGAAGCCATTTGCAAAGTCCAAAGGACAAATATGGTAAAATACTCAAGAAACTCTCTGAAGAGTTTATTTGTAGTGGACCAGAGGTCACTGTGCTGCTGCCAGCACCCCACCCCCACCCCAGTGATCTTGATAAGTCTTTCATGGTTTTGTACCCTAAAATTGTGATTACCTGGAACCAAACCTTACCATGCCAAGGGCTTCCACTAGATGGGATTTTTGCAGTACTAAATATCTACAAGAAAAAAAGAGCTTGTAGAAAAAAAAAACAGGAAAAAACAGTTGTTAGGTGGAGGACTAGTTTTATCTAGCTTTCTATTAAAAGCTTCTGTGATTGCCTGATAGGCTGATAACAGGAAGATATTGTTGAAATACATATTCCAGATCCTGTCCTGAAGTCACTGCAGATTCATCTCAGTTCACTGCAAACTCTACAAAAGCCAACCTGGTAAAAGATGGAATTCTGATTGTTCAGGAAACAGAAGTGGAGGACAGAGTAAAAAGACTGAGATTAACTGTCTGGTTTTCTTTCCACTCTGGGCACCAGAATTTTGCCTCTTAATAGCTAGGAAGGAGCCACCCATCTCAAGAATTCAGATAGAGCAATGCTTTTGAAAGCAACCAACTCTTCACTCTGATATAAAACGTCAGTGCCCATGTTATCTGAATAGTAACATATGTAGAATGTGAATACCATACAGCAGGTGTGAACTGAACTTTCAGTCCCTCCTCACTGAGCAGGACACTTCAACAACACGTTGGTCCCAACTCTTCCTCTTTCTCTTAGTGACCAATTTTGCCATTTTCTGCTCCCATGTTTTTTATACACTGAAATTTCCCCTTCTTCATTTCAGTGAGCCTATCACTTAAGTCCTTGGTCTTTGCACCTTAAAAGTCTCTAAGATCCTTTTTTTTTTTTTTTTTTTTTTGAGATGGAGTCTTGCTCTGTCACCCAGGCTGTAGTGCAATGACGTAATCTTGGCTCACTGCAACCTCTGCCTCCTGGGTTCAAGCAATTCTCCTGCCTTAGCCTCTCAAGTAGCTGGGACACAGGCATGCACCACCACACCCAGCTAATTGTGTTGTATTTTTTAGTACAGATGGGGTTTCACCATGTTAGTCAGGTGGTCTCAAACTCCTGACCTCAAATGATTCACCTGCCTCAGCCTCCCAAAATCCTGGGATTACAGGCATGAGCCACCGTACCCAGCCTCTAAGATCCATTCTTTATGGAAATGTTATTAAGCTCCAATATTCTCTGCAAAAATGCTTGTAGCCTGCATCTCTTTGTTAAATCCAGGACAACTTTCACTCATTCATTCATTCAACTATTAAGGTGTACCTAATACATGCTGGGCATTGAGAATAAAATGATAACCACTTTATCACCCCATCTCTCAGTCTCTTTTTAAAAGAGTATTGAGATACTATCAATAGCAATAATAATAAAAACATGACCTATGCCTTCAAAAGGTTTAGTTAGTAGAAGAGATAAGTAAATAGACAGTTCAATGCAGTCTCATGGGCACCATAGTGAGAGACAGTACAGAGTGGCAGAGCAGCAGAAGAGGGGTTCACAATCCAGGCCTGGGCAGCCAGGCATTCTGTCTTACTGCAGAGCCAAAGACAGGGCTTTGTGTGCACGTGGTTTACAGAGGGGATGCTCTAAGGAGAAAGGAAGTGAGGGAAGGGTGCAGGGCAAGAGAGTAAAGGTAAGCAAGGAGACTACTTTCAGCTTAAACCAACTGTTTAGTTCATGATTCTGCTATATGGTTCTTCTGGTCTGGAACAGGCTCCACTGATGTTGGCTTGGCTCCCTCATGTATCTAGCCTAGGTCAGATCAGGCTGCTAGTTCCAGAGAAACTCACACACATTAATTTCACCACAAAATTGGATGCACCTTGAGTCAAGAGGGCCAGTCTTTTAACCTTCCATCCGTGTCAGCCAGCCATTGGCCGCAGGCTGCCACTGGTGGGAGGGGAGGACTAGTTGTACTGTGGGGAGGTAGTAGGGAATTGGCCATAAAAAAAGAGAAGAGGGCATCTGTGAGCTGTTAGCAGCCAACGCTCATGGTAGCTGGGGACTGGGTACACCAGTCCATAAAGGAAAGTTGGGTGGGCATCATCAGCATCTGCTGTCGGTCTCTAAACTGAGACTTGAGTGATGAGCAATAGTTGGTCAGGTGAACAGTAGGGGAAGAGTATTCCAGGTTAAAGAAATAGTCTATTGCAGCAGTGGCTCATGGCTGTAATCCCAGCAGTTTGGGAGGCGAAGGCGAGTGGATCATCTGAGGTCAGGAATTCATGACCAGCCTGACCAACATGGTGAAACCCTGTCTCTACTAAAAACACGAAAATTAGCTGGGTGTGGTGGCACACACCTGTAATCCCAGCTACTTGGGAGGCTGAGGCAGGAGTGTCACGTGAACCCGGGAGGCAGAGGTTGCAGTGAGCCGAGATCATGCCACTGTACTCCAGCCTGGGAGACAGAGCGAGACTCCATCTCAAAAAAAAAAAAAAGAGAAACAGTCTATGTAGATGGCCAGAACTAAGAGAGAGAAAGACCATTCACGGCGACATAGGTGACGGGGATGGGCAGTGTTGAGAACACATGGGGCTGCAATAATATCAGGGAGCTCAATGTGAAGGGTCTTGTATGATTGTGTAAGAAGGAAAATATTTTTGAAGTATTTGCCCAATATTTCTGTGTTAGTCAATATAAGCTAAGTTATGTTACATAACAAGCAACACCCAAACCTTAGTAGCTTACAACAAAAAGATTTATTTCTTATCCTTACTACATGTCCTTTGCCAATCAATTTTGGGGTCTCTATTGCCCAGTGTTTTCATTCTGGGACCCAATCCATAAAGGAAATTTGGATGGGCATCAGCAGCATCTGCTACAGGTCTCCAAACTGAGACCTGAACGATGAGCAGGAGCAGCCGACAGAGCAGCTACCGCCTGAGGCGCTGCTTCCATAATTGCCAAAGCAGGCAAAAGGGAACATGGAAAATCACACACTAACTTAAAGCTCCACTTGCAAGTGATAACAGAAAAACAAACACATTTTAATTTTTAAAGCATCATTAAAAATAGAGAGTTGTCCAGGTGCGGTGGCTCACACCTGTAATCCCAGCACTTTGGGAGGAAAATGCAGCTGGATCACCTGAGGTCAGGAGTTCAAGACCAGCCTGGCCAACATGGGGAAACCCTGTCTCTAATAAAAAATATAAAAATTAGCCAGACATGGTGTTGCATGCCTGTAGTCCCAGCCCAGCTACTTGGGAGGCTGAGGTATGACAATCGCTTGAAGCCGGGAGGTGGAGGTTGCAGTGAGCTGAAATCATGCCACTGCACTGAAATCTGCGTAACAGAGTGAGACTCCATCTCAAAAAATATATATAGACAGAGTTATCACAAAAGTGATAGAATTCCAATTTATCAAGAAGACGCATCAATACTAAACACACATATGCATAAAATAAAATATATATAAAGGTACATCATAAAATTAAAAACATAGGCCGGGCATAGTAGCTAACACCTGTAATCCTAGCCCTTTGGGAGGCCAAAGCGGGCAGATCACTTGAGGTCTGGAGTTCGAGACCAGCCTGACCCACATGGTGACACCCTGTCTCTACTAAAAGTCCAAAAAATTAGCTGGGAGTGGTGACAGGCACCTGTAATCCCAGCTACTTGGGAGGCTAAGGCAGGAGAATCGCTTGAACCCGGGAGGCAGAGGTTGCAATGAGTTGAGATTGCACCACTACACTCCAGCCTGGGCGACAGAGCGAGACTCCATCTCAAAAAATAATAATAATAAAAATATAAAGTTACAACAATTCTAAACATGCAGATGCATAAAATAAAATATATGAAGAAAATTTATACAAACACAAAAAAACTGACAAATCCTCCATCGTACAGCATTAAAAAGCTGATGGAATAGTAAGAAAGAGATAAATAAATCATTCAGAGACACTTCTGCTTTTTTTTTTTTTTTTTTTTTGAGACAGAGTTTCACTCCGTCACCCAGGCTGGAGTGCAGTGGCATGAACACAGCTCACTGCAGCCTCAACCTCCTGGGCTCAAGCAGTTCTCCTGCCTCAGCCTCCCAAATAGCTGGGACCACAGATGCAGGCCACTACACCAGGCTAATTTTTTTTTTTTTTGAGACAGAGTCTCGCTCTGTCACCTAGGCTGGAGTGCAGTGGCGCGATCTCAGCTCACCACAACCTCCGCCTCCCAGGTTAAAGTGATTCTCCTGCCTCAGCCTCCTGAGAAGCTGGGACTACAGGCACGTGCCACCACACCCAGCTAAATTTTGTATTTTTAGTAGAGACGGGGTTTCACTGTGTTAGCCAGGATTTCACTGTGTTAGCCAGGATGGTCTCAAACTCCTGACCTCATGATCCACCTGCCTCAGCCTCCCAAAGTGCTGGGATTACAGGCGTGAGCCACCGTGCCTGGTAACACCAAGCTAATTTTTTAAATTTTTAATGGAAACTTGGTCTCACTATGTTGCCCAGGCTGGTCTCAAATTTCTGGGCTCAGGTGATCCTCCTGCCTCAGCCCCACAACGTGCTGGTATTATAGGCATGACCCACCACAACCAGCCACTTTTGCATTTTATTATCCAAAGCAAAATAAGTATGAAACTAAAAACTCTGTTTGGAAGGGTTTACCAAAGTTGAGAAGTCTAATAGGAAACTGACCCACATTAAGCTGAGTGGCTCTAGCTGGGGGATGCACTTGTCAGGGTAGGAGTATAACAGATGGAAAGCAAACCCCTTGAATTCCCCCCTGAGCAACGCCCTTGAATTCCCCTCAGAGGAACCCCTCTGAATTCTCAGGGGGGTGTAGGGACAAGTACCTTGATGCTGAGCAAGGCAGGAATAACTAACAACCCATCCCTGATAGGTTGTAAGCAGAGGCTAGCCCTAGTGTGGATTTATGTTCTAAATTTGTGTCACAAGATTAGTCCAATAAACTTAAGGTGATTAATTAGAGCATTATACAGAACTAATATTGCAGCTACATATCTGACAGAAGCAAACTCAAAATTATCTTGGAATAAGGGTATATTTATCCTAAACTTGGGAAATCCTCTCAAATAATATTCAACGTCAGGCTAGGAGTGGCAGCTCAGGCCTGTAATCCCAGCACTTTGGGAGGCTGAGGTGGGAGGATTACTTCAGCCATGGAGTTCAAGACCAGCCTGGGCAACACAGGGAGACCCTGTCTCTACAAAAAAAAAAATTTAAAAATTAGCTGTGCTTGGTAGTGGTGCATCTGTAGTCCCAGCTACTCAGGGGGCTGAGGTGGGAGGATTACTTGAACTCAGGGGGTCAAGGCTGTAGTGAGCCATGATTGCACCACTGCATTCCAGCCTGGGCAACAGAGTGAGACCCTATCTCAAAAACAATAAGAATTATTATTATTATTATTTTCAAGGTCAAAGGGTAGCCCCAGCCAAATATAATCAAAGGCACAATGCAACAAAGCAACATAAGACCATAGAGACAAATCCACATAGGCCTCAGATATTGAAATTATGAGACATATTTTAAAATAAACATTCCTACAATACTTAAATAAAACAACCTTGAAAATATCTACAGGAAGAGAAAACTACAAGGAAGCATCATAGATTTGCAAAAGAACAAAATAGCACTTTTGAAACTGCAAAATAAAATAACCAAATTTTAAAACACAACATATGGGTTTGGGAATTGGTTAGACACAGTAGAAGAGACAATCAGTAAGTGGAATGTAGATCAGAAGAAATGATATAGAATGTAGCATAGAAAACAAACAAAAAGGAAAACATGAAAGAAAGGTTTAGAGACCCAGAGGATAAAGTGAAATGATTAAACATGTGCTTAATCTGAATTCCAGAAGGAGAAGATAAGATGAAGTAGAGGTAGTATTTGAAGAAATAATGGATGAGGATTTTCTAGAATCAGTGTTTAAGACACCAGTCCATAGATTCAAGAAGCCCAACAAATACCAAATATTTAAACTGAAGTTCACACCTAGACATGTCAAAGTAAAATTGAAGAACACCAGCAACAAATAGAAGCATCTTAAAAGCAGCCAGAGGATAGTCTACTGCCACTTCAAGGGAGTGGCAGTAGACTCAAAGAGGATTTCTCAAGAGTAAAAGCAGAAGACCAAAGATAATACAATGATATATTCAATATACTGAAAGGAAACAAATGCTGACCTAGAATTCCATATCCAGTGAAAATTCTCCCTCAAGAATGTTGGCAAAATAAAGACATTTTATGATAAACATAAACAGAGACTCTCACTGAAGGGTACACTAAAGTATGTACCTCAGTCAGAAAGAAGATGATTCTAGAAAGTTCTAGGATATAAAAAAGATTGAAAAGCAAATAGAGTGGTAAACCTGTGTATAAATGTAAACAAATATTAAATTCATGACATGCAGTAAAAATGGTTATTGGACCTCATAAGATTTAATTACAATATAACATTGTAATTGCATAAATTACAACTTGTAAAAACAAGAACTATAAGACAGGAACAATAGAAATAGAGTTAAAATTTCTACTTTAGTTGTTTGTCTTTGTGGTTTTTTTTGTTGTTGTTTGTTTTTGTTTTGTTTTTGTTTTTGTTTTGGTAATGTCTGTAATAAGGGCAAAGGTAGTTGGTTAATTTTAAACTTTGAAAATTAAATATACTCCCCCAAAAAGGCAAGGAATGAGAGAAAAAGAAACCTGCAACAGGTAGTATAAATATAATCTATGAAATAAGTTTTTTTTTTTTTTTTTTTGGAGACGGAGTTTCGCTCTTGTTGCCCAGGCTGGAGTGCAATGGTCCCATCTCGGCTCACCACAACCTCCACCTCCCGGGTTCAAGAGATTCTCCTGCCTCAGCCTCCCAAGGAGCTGTGATTACAGGCATGCGCCACCATGCCTGGCTAATTTTGTATGTTTAGTAGAGACGGGGTTTCTCCATGTTGGTCAAGCTGGTCTCAAACTCCCAACCTCAGTTGATCCACCCACCTCAGCCTCCCAAAGTGCTGAGATTACAGGCGTAAGCCACCGCACCCGGCTGAAACAAGATGTATACAGGACTATCAGAAGCCACATTAATACAAAATAGGGTATATGCAACAGTTAAAAGACCAAGATTGTCAGACTATGTCCTTAATAAACTATGTATTGTCTACTAGAAATCAAGTTGAAAACATATGAATACCAAGAGGTTGAAAGTAAAAAGATGGAAACAAGTATACCATGCAAATACAAACCAAAAAACAAACTGACGTAACTTTGTTAGTATCAGGCAAAATATCTTTTCTTTTTTTTTTTTGAGATGGAGTCTCGCTCTGTCTCCCAGGCTGGAGTGCAGTGGTGCAATCTCAGCTCACTGCAACCTCCACTTCCCAGGTTCAAGAGATTCTCTGCCTCAGCTTCCCGAGTAGCTGAGATTACACACATGCGCCATGACGCCTGGCTAATTTTTGTATTTTTAGTTGAAACGAGGTTTCCTCATGTTGGCCAGGCTGGTCTTGAATTCCTGGTCTCAAGTGATCTACCCATATCGGCCTCCCAAAGTGCTGGGGTTACAGATGTGAGCCACCGTGCCCGGTCAGTATCGGGCAAAATATCCAACGTAAAAAGAGATACAGAAGACCTTTGCTTTTTTTCTTTTTCTTTTTCTTTTTCTTTTTTTTTTTTTTTTTGAGATGGAGTCTCACTCTGTCACCCAGGCTGGAGTGCAATGGTGCGGTCTCGGCTCACTGCAACCTCCACCTCCCGGGTTCAAGTGATTCGGCCTCAGCCTCCCGAGTAGCTGGGACTACAGGTGTATGCCACCACACTCAGCTAATTTTTGTATTTTTAGTAGAGATGGGGTTTCACTGTGTTGGCTAGGCTGGTGTCAGACTCCTGACCTCATGATCCGCCCATCTCTGCCTCCCAAAGTGTTGGATTACAGTAGTGAGCCACCACGCTGGGCCCAGATTTTTTTTTTTTTTTTTTTTTTTTTTTTTGAGACGGAGTCTCGCTTTGTTGCCCAGGCTGGAGTGCAGTTGCACGATCTCAGCTTACTGCAACCTCTGCCTCCTGGGTTCATGTAATTCTCCTTCCTCAGCCTCCCAGGTAGCTAGGATTACAGGTGTGTACCAGCATGCCCAGCTAATTTTTGTATTTTTAGTAGAGATGGGATTTCACCATGTTGCCCAGGCTGGTCTCGAACTTCTGACCTCAAGTGATCTACTTGCCTCAGCCTCCCAAAGTGCTGGGATTAGGGGCGTGAGCCACTGCGCCTAGCCCTGATGGTTTTTTTGTTTGTTTGTTTTTGAGAGGGAGTCTCACTCTGTGGCCCAGTCTGGAGTGCAGTGGCATGATCTTGGCTCACTGCAACCTCCACCTCCTGGGTTCAAGCAATTCTCCTACCTTGGCCTCCCAAGTAGCTGGGATTACAGGCACACGCCACCATGCCTGGCTAATTTTTGTATTTTTAGTAGAGACAGGGGTTCACCATGCTGGCCAGGCTGGTCTCAAACTCCTAACCTTGTGATCCACCCACCTTGGCCTCCCAAAGCTGATGGTTTTAAATTAAGGATTTTAGGATATAGTTTGAGCTGAGGAATATAGAAAGCATTACATATCAAAACTCATGAGATACAGCTAACACTATATTTAGAGGGAAAGTTATAGCCTTAAATGTGTTTATTAAAGACGAAAGTCTGAAATTTAATGAGCAAAACATCTTCAAGAAGTAAGGAGGGCCCAGTGTGGTGGCTCATGCCTGTAATTCCAGCTACTCAGGAAGCCAAGATGCAAGGATTACTTGAGGCCAGGAATTCCAGGCAAGCCTGAACAACATAGCAAGATCTTGTATTTTAAAAAAAATTTAAGTAAGGAGGGAATGGAAAGAGCTAATTAACGGTTTCGAAGTTAAAATTATTTAGGAGGAATAGTGCTAATGTCCTTATTGCACAGTAGGTTGACTATAGTTAACAATAATGTATTGAATATTTCAAAAAAGCTAGAAGAAAGGATTTTGAGTTTTCACTAAAAAAAGATAAATGTTGAGGTGATGGATATGCTAATTATACTGATTTGATCATTACACAAAGTATGCATATATTGAAACATCACATTGTACCCATAAATATGTACAATTATTATGTGTCAATTAAAATTTTTAATTAATTTTTTTCAGAGAAAAAATTTAATCTCTTAAAAGCTTCCTTTTCTTTTTTTTTTTTTTTTTTTTTTTTTTTGAGACAGGGTCTCACTCTGTCACCCAGGCTGGAGTGCAGTGGCACCATCACAACTCACTGCAGCCTTGACCCCCTGGGCTCCAGCCATCCTCCCACTTCAGCCTCCTAAGTAGCAGGGACAACAGGCACATGCCACCATGCCCAGCTAATTTTTTATTTTTTGTAGAGACAGGGTCTCACTATGTTGCTCAGGCTGGTCTCAAAGTCTTATTCGCAAGAAATCCTCCCATCTTGGCCTCCCAAAGTGCTGGGATTACAGGTGTAAGCTGCCACTCCCGGCCAAGTGTGCCTTTTTGACAATAAAATTCTACCCTTTCTTATGAAAAAAAAAGAAAAAACACCAAAAGAATTTTTTTTAATGTGGAAGAAAGAAATACATGTAATACATGTAAAAGCAGAAATTAATGAAATAGAAAAATACGTATTCAATAGAGAACATCAACAAAGTCAACAGTTTTTTATTTTCAAGTACTAATAAGTTGATAAACTCAGGGATGAAAAGTGTTTCCTCACCTCTGTAAGTGTTTTAGCCTAAGAGCTAAAGAAATCTTTCTTTATTAGGAAAGTCTGTATCCACCCTCTGAAACAATGAATGTGACTGTAATCCCAGCACTTTGGGAGACCGGAGCAGGTGGATCACCTGAGGTTGGGAGTTCGAGACTAGGCTGACCAACGTGGAGAAACCCCATCTCTACTAAAAATACAAAATTAGCCGGGCATGGTGGCACATGCCTGTAATCCCAGCTACTCGGGAGGCTGAGGCAGGTGAATCGCTTGAACCCAGGAGGCGGTGGTTGCGGTGAATTGAGATTGCGCCATTGCCCTCCAGCCTGGGCTTCAAGAGCGAAACTCCATCTCAGAAAAAAAAAAAAGAAAGAAAGAAAGAAATATTGTCTCTACTAAAAATACAAAAAAAAAAAAAAAATTAGCCGGGTGTGGTGGTGGGCCCCTGTAATCCCAGCTACTCAGGAAGCTGAGGCAGGAGAATCACCTGAACCGAGACGTGGGGGTTGCAGTGAGCCAAGATCATGTCGCTGCACTCCAGCCTGGGTGACAGAGAGACTCTGTCTCAAAAAAAAAAAAAAAGAAAGAAAGAAAGAAAAAAAAGAAAACCAGGGTTCAAGGCTAGCCTTTTCTCTTCTACTTCTTTCTTCCCTCTTCTCCTTTCCCTTCCCTCTCACCACCATCTCAGATCTATCACATGTAATGTTACTTCCGTTGGCCAAGCAAGGCCTCCATCAGGCACTGCTGCCTCTCTCTGCCGAGTTGTTGCAAAGATTATTCTGCCTTGGGTTTGTTCATCCATTGCAGAAAAGGGAAGAAAGCAGGCTTGGACTTTTTGCCGTCTGTTACAAAACTCCTATTGTATCAGAGTCCCATGAATCCCTCTGCTACAGGAGTCCACGATGTAAGAGCTTCTCTCCCTCTTCAACAATTGAAACAGGAAATTTGTTTTTTTTTTTGTTTTTTAATTTTGATGCTGTTTCTGTGGGAAAGGGTGAGGATGGATTGTTCTTCGCAACTCTCACTTAAAGAAAATGTCTCCTAACTCTTTTATCTTCATGCCGAATGTGCTAAGAATCTCACAATCAGTTTGTTTATGGCAAATGCCCCCCTCCAAAAGGAGCCTGTTGTTTTTCACCCCAACTGTGGACGTTAAGACAGTTCTCTCACCCAAACGTTTTTGAGATAATGGGCATTTTCCTGTTTTGGTGACACCTGTTCTTCATACTTTACCTCTACTCTCCCATCAGCTTAACCACAGTATCATAACGTGGCCATCACGTACCTTCTGCGGTGTATAGTCCCGTGATCACTAAACAATGGTTAGCGATAATAACAATAACCAAAAGAGAAGAGAAATGCCCCTGCTTTAATTAGGTTAAGGGCGTGTAAATATCCATGGAACTGTGTCAGAAATTCAGACGTAAGGATTAGGACCATGTTGGCAAAAAATTCTGTGGGCTTTCGGGGCAGAAGAGGACATGAATAGAACAGATAGTAAACTCTCCCATGCCTCCCAAGAGCTAGTTTCCCCTGAACGGTGTCAGTGCAGAGGCTGTCAATCTTCTCGGATGATATCCCTCTCTATGGCGCTTAGCTTACAATATTATAGTTCTTTGTTTACCACTGACTGAGGGAGCCTTCATGACAAGTGGCATAGGATTTTAATTCTCATATTCATGGTACCAAGGACAGCACATCTAGCCCATAGTAGGTCCTCAGTCAAGGCTTCCATGACTCCATTCACAGACTGAGAGGGAGTCTACATGTTTCCTTTCAGCATGTCTAACACAGATGTCAGCTGAGGTGCCCCTTCGCTTTAAAAATCTAGATAAGATTTGGCCAGGCACAGTGGCTCACGCCTGTAATCCCAGCACTTTGGGAGGCCGAGGCAGGTGGATCACTTGAGGTCAGGAGTTTGAGACCAGCCTGGCCGACATGGTGAGAAACCTCATCTCTACTAAAAATACAAAAATTAGCCAGGTGTGGTGGTGGGCGCCTGTAATCCCAGCTACTAGGGAGGCTGAGGTAAGAGAATCGCTTGAACCTGGAAGTGGAGATTGCAGTGAGCCGAGATTGCGCCACTGCACTCCAGCCTGGGCCACAGAGCAAGACTCTGTCTCAAAAAAAAAAAAAAAATCTAGATGAGGTTTGTCTTTAAAACCTTCCACAATTTCTGTGAACACCTGGAAGGCTCACTTTCTCATGGTTTCCTCAGTCTAGACATTCTGCCTCTGCCTCCACTGAATCCATTCAGTTCATGAACGATCTCACCATCCTACACATTCTTTAGCAGTATCTTGACTCAAATGTGAAACAGAGTCCCTTGAATTTCACAAAAAACTTATCCACATCAGGCCTCTTTAATGTGTAAAAACTTTACAGAAGCATTAAAGAGATGGAGGAGGAGGTGCGGTCTACAGTGTCACAGCACAAGCTCAATATATTGACTATTAAATATCCCAGTGTGTAAAAGATATTCTACCACCATCCATTTTCTTGATCATCCTTTTGTCTTCACTCTTCTCTTCTTTGTCCACCCCCACCTCTGAATTTCTAATAATTTTAAAATTAAACCTGTCCCATCTATATTCCTGAAATGACACATCCTTGCCTTTCTTCTCCACATCCAGCTTCTGAGGAAGGGGCCCTAAGAAGCATGAAGCTTCCACGGGCTAAGGGGGAGGGAGAGAGGAGTCAGAAAGGAAGCAGAAGAGTTGGGAGCTTCCCGGAGAAGAGTCCCGGCACTGCTGCCTCCCATGGCCAAGCCCTTGGGATAAGGAAGCACAATAAAATCCCCACCCAGGTTTTGGGATGTGAGAAAATAAGGCTTCGGGGCCACGTTTCCAATGTCAAGCTTGGGGAGGAAGCAAGATCCCTGAGTTCCCCATCACAGTGCAAGGGCAGACGCAACACAGTGTGGGTTGTGTCTGCATGTGGACCAAGGCAGCCTGCAAGAGTTCTCATGAACCAGCCATGGAGGGGAAAGAGTAGGATGGTTTCCCACACCAGCTTGAGCAGCAGGAAGCAGAAAAGGCCCTCGATAGCTCCAGTAAGTCTTCTGAGGCTACAGAGAAGAGCAAGAGAAAATGGAGCATTTCCCATGTCCGAAAAGGAGTGCCAAGGGATCTGAGTGAGACATGGCCCAGTATGTGGGAATGGATCAGCTTAGCAGGTGACTTCATGGTTGGATGGTTGAGGCCCAGACAGGATGCAGTTACAGGGAGGAGCTGACATCAGCAAATCACAAAGACCAGAGTCACACTCGCAAAATTGCAACACCAGATATTACTGAGGAAAGGGGAGATGGGTGAAATGCTGAATTGACTGAGATTAAGCCCCTGCCTTCTGGGGGAAATGAGGTCTGAAAATAAAAATGAAGTTCAGTTCTAGAAGGAAGTTTACTGTTGACACCCATGTTTCTCTCTCCTAACACTATTGGGCAGGAGCCACCTCCCTGGTGTCAGCAAATGTTTTACAGTCTTTTGTTCTTTCTTAGTGGGTGTTACTTTATTCTCCTCCAGATAGATCAGCATATTTATTTAAAAGTACTTTCCACACTATCCTATTACAGTGATTTCATCTCAGGTGAGCTGCTGTTTGGATTGTTGATCTTGTTCACTGTTTTAGAACTATATTTCTTCCTTGGGCTATGGAACTGTGGTGTGCACACTCATTTTAAATGAGAGATTTTCTATTTGTTTGTAAATATTTGTTGCTCTTTCTCTCGCAGTCTCTCTCTATTTCCCTCTTTCTCTCCTTTTCTACTAATCCATCTTTGTATAGAAATTTTGAAGTTGCCCCTGTACTGGGTATTGTTGATGTCCTACCAAAAAAACCTATATCTGCTTGTGCACAACTCCCCTAACTGCTGTGAGGGTTGATTGCTCCCTTTCCCCAGAGAACTATTTGTTTAATGGGAAGATGCCTCATTGACATATGGATAAAAAAGGCCAGACCCAGCCAGGGGCAGTACCTCATGCCCCTGTAATCCCAGCACTTTGGGAGGTCAAGGTGGGAGGATCATTTGAGCCCAGGACTTTGAAACCAGCCTGGGCAACATAGTGAGACCCCATCTCTGCAAATTAAAATTTAAAAATTATATGGGCATGGTAGTGTATGCCTGTAGTCTCAGCTACTCAGGAGGCTGAGGTGGGAGGATCACTTGAGCTTGGGAGGTTGAGGCTGCAGTAAGCCATGATCATGCCACTGCACTCCAGCCTGAGTGACAGAGTGAGACCCCGTCTCAAAAATAAAAATAAAGAGTTGACACCCTTTGCCTCAAAGTGGGATTCATTCTGTCACATAATTCATGCTCCAAAACCTCCATGAGATCAAGCTAGGGCTAGACTCCAGCAGGGAACTCGTGATGGTTAATTTTATGTGCCAACTTGACTAGGTTACAGGGTGCGCAGACATTTGGTCATACAGCATTCTGGGTGTATCTGTGTGTGTGTATCTGGATGGCACTAACATTTGAATTGGTAAATTGAGTGAAGCAGATCACCCACCCTAATGTGGGTGGGTCTCATCCAATTAATTGAGAGTCTGAATAGACCCTTTCGTAAGTAAGAGGGGACTCCTCCTTCCTGACTGACTTGAGCTGGGACATCAGTCTTTTCCTGCCTTCAGACTCTTAATGGAAACATCAACTCTTTTAGGGTCTCAAGATGGCCAGGTTTTGGACTTACACCATAGGCTCTACTGGTCCTTAGGCCTTTGGACTGAGGCTGGAACCACATCCTCAGCTCTCCTGGATCTCCAGCTTGGCAACTGCAGACCTTGGGACATTTCAGATTCCATAATCATGTAAGCAAATTTTTTATGATATTTATAAATTTATGGATATAGATAGATAATAGAGACACAGCTATAGATATGGATATAGATACAGATAGATTAATGATATAGATATAGATGTGGATATGGGTATATATCCTATTAGTTCTGATTCTCTGGAGAACCCTAATACAGAGCACATTCTTATTTAGCTTCTTCCCCTTCCTGGTCCTATTTCTTTCCCTCCCTCCCCCTCTCCAGGAAGCATCTCCAATAAATCACTGGCACTAGAATCCCTGCCTCAGGTTCTGCTTCTCAGGAACCCAGTCTAAGACTCCTTCCAGTTAGCAGCCTAGAGTTGCAATCCAAAATCAGGTCTTCTGTTAGTGGTTTGAATCTCACATCCTGTAATGGTTTGCGCATACCACAGTTCTAGTTGTTGAGCAGGGAGCTTAGGGGTTGCTTCAAATCTTAGTCATGAGTTTGTGTTTATCCTCCAGCCTAACAAGGCCTACAGCTGCCAACCAGCAGTTTGTCTCTTTGCAGATGAGGAGTAGCTCTGCCTTGCCCTAGCCTCTGACTGCAGCCCCCCTCCCCATATTAGATGGAGCAGAGTTACCCTACAGGATCTGAGCTCCTGGCAGCTGCTGCTTGCTTCAAGTGCCAAAACCCAGAGGACTTACAATCTCAGCTTTGCTCAACACTTTGCTTCTATTCCCTAATTCTTGTCCTCAAAGATGCTTAATCCTATTTGTTTGTTTGTTTGAAATAGTATTTATTTTTCATTGATGTACAATTTACATACCATAAAACATGTAGACTTTTAAGTGTATAGTACAATGAGTTTTGATAAATTTATATTAGGTTGGTGCAAACATAATTGTGGTTTTGGCCATTGAAAGTAATGGCCAAAACCGCAATTAGGCCAGGCGTGGTGGCTCATGCCTGTAATCCCAGCACTTTGGGAGGCCAAGGCGGGCAGATCACTTGAGGTCAGGAGTTCAAGACCAGCCTGGTCTCGAATGTGGCAAAACCCCGTCTCTACTAAAAAATACAAAAATTAGCTGGATGTGGTAGCATGCAAGCATGCACCTGTAATCCTAGCTACTGGGGAGGCTGAGGCATGAGAATTGCTTGAACCCAGGAGGTGGAGGTTGCAGTGAGCCAAGATTGCACCACTGCACACCAGCCTGGGCAACAAAGTGAGACTCCTTCTCAAAAAAAAAATGCAATTATGTTTGCACTAACCAAATATATATATACACACACACACAGGTCACCCACATCCAATAAGATAGAGAATTTCCATCATCCAGAGTGTTCCCTTGCACTCTATTATAGTGGGATTTTAAGGAATCAGAGAGACTGATGGGGTTCAAGAGGATATTTCTTAATTATTTATGTGCACCAGCCCAGTTGGATTAACATCCAAAGGACTAAGCCCCGAACAAAGAGTTAAGTTACCTTTTAAGCATTTCGTGGGTGAGGGGAGATCTGTGCAGGGGGAAGCATACTACAGAAGTAAGAAACAAAGACAGTTATTCAATTGAGACATGCATTACATCATTTCTTACTTTTCAAGGAAAAACATGTTTTGTGACTTGAGTTTATCTGTCTAGTGACCTTGCAGCTGCACAGCCAGGGAAACAGGGTCTTCACAATGCCTGGTAAGGGAGGAGAGATAAGGCTTACTAGCCACAGAAAAACAGGCGGGTTTTAAGGACTCCAGCTCTTTCTCTTTCTTAGGGGGAATTGGGTTTTCTTACATACAACTGAGTTTCTGCTTACACATTCTTTAATTTCTCTTAATTCCTGTTCTGTTCCCCTCTTTGGTGCTTTTTATAACAGAGGTGTTAATAGAAAGCACCATTATTTGCCACCTCCTCTTGGAGCTGAGCTGCTTCTTCTAAACAGCAGTGGCTGATGTCTGGTTAATGTCATCAACTGCACGGTAGTGTGTCAGGCTACTATTGCCTCCATAGTTGACTGAATACTACTAATAAACAGGGGTAAAAGGCAAGGGAGGATGAAGGAGATGACAAGAATAAGCAAGAACCCACTAATGAGGGTTTTGAATCCTCCAAAGGCTGAGAACCATCCTTCATACAAGGAGTCTGGGGACCACCTGGACCAAGTCTGAACTGGAACATGGGCTAACTTGAACATTCTAGCTGTGATTTCCATGACAGCTCGGCCATTATCATCGATTTCTAGGCAACAGTTGGTTAAATTAAATTTTCCACATACTCCTCCTTCCGAGGCTAAGAGGTAATCTAAAGCCAGCCTATTTTGATATATAACATTCCTCATTTGTGTTGCTTGGATTGCCAATAAATCTAGTGCCTTTGATGTTTCATTGGTTATGATTTCAAGGACTGCCTGCAACCTTATGATGTGGTTGAGCATATAGATGGGGGTACGGTACCCCCATGACCTGTCTTGCAACCAGGTAGCTGGCCCATAGTATTTAATGATTCTTTCAGGAGGCCATTCATTATTTTTCCAGTTTCCTATGTCCATATTCTTTTTGATATTTGTGTCTATTTTTGTGATTATGCTTCTTCTAGTTTTATTTTTATCATAAACTGGATATCTTAAGAGTTCCTCTTGCCTTCGAGGAATTAGAAAGAAGGATGGCTCGATTGTTTTTAACACACATGCTCCTGTCCATTTAGCCAGCAGTTGCCGATATGCCCGTGTTCCACAGATCCAATATAGGCCAGAGGGTTCCTTCCAAGCAGTTGGAGCCTCTAGCTGATGCCAAGAGTGGCTTAGAGTAGAGAATCAAGAGAAAGGGTTTGGATCTGGTAAGTAGGAGTCGTTCTGGGCGTTTCTCCATAGAGTTTTGTTTTTAGTCTCATCATAATACTGTTGCCCTAGGCAGGTTGTTTCTCCTACTGCCTCTGTGAAAGCCTTTCCCCATCAGGCGATATAGTACTTTCCAATTATGGAGGCTTTTAACAACCAAACGCTGGCTGAGGCTTTTGGTTTACCGGCAAGGTTAGGCGAAGTGAAGTTATCTTGTGGCATTAATTCCTTTGCCTCCCACAGCCACTGGTTCCCCATATTAGTTCCTCCACGTACATAGCATGAGGAAATTCCTAAGCTGCCAGCTATGTTTTCAGCTAGCTGAGCAAATAAGTTTTTGGTTGATGGAGGAAGCTCGGGCACTGGCTGATTAAAATGCTCATAGAATGACTTATGGACCCGGAATTGCAGGGTTGGATGCATTTGAGTCCTTCTAGTCTTTTTGACAATTAGTAGTGGAACTCCAAGGCCTGCTCCTTGTCTATCAACTCATAATAGTGCTGTCTGTCCTATAGACCAAAAAGGTAGCTCTGGCTTTAAGATAGTAATATCTAAAGGATTGCATGTCCTTGTCTTACAATCTGGTTTGGTTGACATACTACTTAGTAGAGCAGTCCTTCCTGAATATAAATGTTGGAGCTGTGTTAGCGTAGACCACTGAATGTTACAGTCCGGGCATCCGATTTGTGGTTCTCCGTACAGATGTTTAGGACTGTTGCTGCTAAGCCTCTCTTGTGTCAAACCATTGCAGATTGCTTCTGGTTTTTTATGGTTATGAACATACATGGCATGGCAGGCATCAAAGTACAAGGAAATAGGCCCTTTATAGGAGGGAGGGGATTATTTGGTTTGAGCTATAAGCTCTCTTTCTTTTTCTCTCTCCGATTTAATATGAACCTCAAACCAGAATTCATAGGGTAAGAGCTTAGGGTAAGAGCTTAGCTTCCAGTGTGGTCAGAGCAGGGCAGTTGTCCTTCTTACCGGTGGTTAGGTTTCGCCGTAGGATTATTCGGGTGGGGCGATTTGGGTCTTGCTGGCTAATCCACTGGTTGTCATCGGGAGTCACTGCTGCCACTGGTTTCAGCCGGCTATGGTGAATCCAACGTGTGACACCTGCAACTTTAACAGCAGTGAGAGTAGACATGATAACAATATGGGGCCTATCCTATATGGGTCCTAGAGTGGTTGAATTCCATTTTTCAACCTAAACAAAGTCCCTAGGTTTGAAAGAGTATACAAGTCTGTTAGACTTATAGGCATTCTTTTCCATACCTAGCCATGCATCTTTTGCATGGCCATGCTTAAAGCCTGCATTTGCCTTTTTAAAGTTAGTTTTTCTAGTTTACAGAGATTACCTTTAATCTGACTTATAATGGGGGGTGGCCGGCTGAACAAAATCTCATAGGGCAAATACCCAGTTTGTTAGGTGGGGGTGCACCTGACTCGGAGGAGGACCATGGGCAAGACCTTGATTCCACCGTGAGTTTCTTGACAAAATTTCTTCAGCAGCCGTTTGAGTGTTCGGTTCATGCACTCCACTTTACCTGAGCTCTGCAGCCTGTAGGCTGTCTGTAATTTCCACTTTATTTTTAATAGTCAAGTTAAGTCCTGAACTATTTCAGCCACAAATGTTGGTTCATTGTCTGATCTTAGAGTTAGAGGCAGTCCAAATCTGGGAATAATGTCTCTTAACACCTTGGTCACCTCTAGTGCCTTCTCTGTCCAGGTGGGGAAGGCCATGACCTATCCTGAAAAGGTGCAAATGAACACCAACATGTACTGATAGCCTCCCTCTCAGGGCAATTCGGTGAAGTCCATAAGCAGTTTTTCACAGGGCATGGCTCCTGTTTCCTGAACTCCCGGGGGCCAAGTAGGCCCTTGTGGTGGATTGTTCTGAGTGCAAGTTAAACACTGTTTGTTTACAAACGGCTCGAGTAATAGCAGTGAGTCATGGCACATGGAAATGATGCCTTAATGATGTCTTTAGTGCTGTTTTTTCCATGTGAGTTCCTTGGTGGAACTCTTTTACAGATCTGGGGGCCACCATTTCAGGTATGGCTAGCCTCCCACTGGAGAATTTTTACCATCCTCCTTCAATGTAGTTCTTATTTTCCTGGGAAAACCAAGCCTTTTCATTTGGAGTGTAGCTTGGGATCTCCGGGAGGGGAATCTCCAGGAGGAGAAGCATAGCTAAGGCTTCTTCTTTAGAAGGTGGAGTTGTCATTGCAGCCTGCTTTGCCTCTTTGTCTGCCTTTCTATTTTCTTTAGCCTTTAGTGTTCTTGCTTTTTGGTGCCCCTTGCAGTGCATCACTGCCACCTCTTTTGGGGCCCATACAGCATTTAAGAGCTGTAGAATTTCTTCCTTGTTACTTTATTTCTTTACTTCCAGCGGTTAAAAGTCTTTTTTTCTTTATAAATAGCCTCATGAACATGCAAAGTGGCAGAAGCATATTTGGAATCTGTGTAAATATTTGTCTTTTGGCCTTTTGCTAGCCAGAGAGCTCTTGTCAGAGCTATTAGCTCTGCTTTCTAAGCAGAAGTTTCTGTAGGCAAAGACTGCACCTCTGCTACTGAGTCCAAAGTCACCACTGCATACCCAGCACGACGGACTCCCTTTAGTATGAAACTGCTTCCATCAGTAAAATATTCAATGTCCGGGTCTCCAAGGGGCCGATGTGTCAAATCTCTCCGGCTTGAGAACACTCTATCTACCACATCCACACAGCAATGAAGGGGGCCTCCTGGGACTGACTTGATGAGGAGCTAAGGTTTAGGGTATTCACAGTTTTTAAAGTCAGTGTATTAGCTGCCCATGCCAGTAGGGCAGTGGCAGCTAGTGCTTTAAAACAAGGAGGCCATCCAAGTGCCATAGAATCTAATTGCCTGGATAAGTATGTCACTGGGCGATGCCATGACTTTATGGCTTGAGTTAGAACCTCTATGGCCTCCCTTTCATTTGTGGACATACAAGAAGAAAAGCTTAGTTAGTTAGATCTGGCGGTCCTAAAGCTGGGGCCTGAGTCAAGGCTTCTTTGATTTCTTTAAAAGCCTTCTCCTGGTTGGCCTCCTAGAGGAGGGGCTCCTTCTTTCCTCTTCTTTGTGACTTCATGTAATGGCTTAGCCATGAGCAAGAAATTTGGGATCTAAATGCAGCAGAACCTTGCTGCCCTTAGGAACTCTCTTATTTGACACCAGGTGGTTGGAGTAGGAAGTGCACAAACAGCCTGCTTTTGTTCACTACTAAGCCATCTTTTCTCTTGGCTTATATAAAAGCTTAAATGCTGGACACTTTTAGAGCAGATTTGAGCTTTTTTTTTCTTGACACTTTATACCCTGCCTTCCACAGCAGGTGCAGGGGGTCTTGGGTTTCTCCTGGGTGCAGTAGCCCTTGACCAGTGTTTTTTTTCATACCATGGCCTTGACCATTCTCCTTATTCTTTTGACATTTATCCTTCCAATGTCCTTTCCTTTTGCACCATGCACATTAATCTGTCTCTGGCCTTGGCTGGTTTTTAAACTCCTGTCCAGACCAGCCTTTTCCAAGACTGCATTCACGCCCATGTCCATGCCTCCTTGCAAAGCCAGCTTCTCTTCCCGTAAGGGCTGCTGCTAGTAAATTAACCTTTCTTATGCTTCCAATCAGCCTCCTTCTTTGCCTCCTGATCTCGGTTAATGTACATCTTGGTAGCCACTTTCACTTTGTTAGTGGGGACACGAAGTTCATCCAAATTGAAAAGCCACTCCTGCCGCCCTCAGCCTCTCTGAGTTGGATTAGTGGTCATTCCCCGGGAGGTGATCAAGCTCCCCTTTGTCCTTATGGGACAGGCTTCCCTGCCTTGGGCCCTTGCTCCTTACCGTGGTTCCTGAAGAGCTGGTATTGTCCTGCAGCCCCACCCCCAGTTCCGTTCCGCTACCAGGCAGGGTGCTGGGATGCAGGGAGAGCTGGTTTCCATCCAGGTGAAACTCCCCCGTGGTGCACCTTGGATGCCAGGTCTCCCCTGGCCCTGAGGCTCTAGTCCCGCAGACAAAGGAGACAGTAAATCTGTTGTCTCCATTCATGGGCGAGCTCCCAGAAATGTAGCAGGATTTTAAGGAATCAGAGAGACCGATGGGGTTCAGGAGGATATTTATTAATTATTTAGGTGCACCAGCCCAGTCAGATTAACATCCAAAGGACTGAGCCCCATCAAAGGGTTAAGTTACCTTTTAAGCATTTTGTGGGTAGAGGGAGATATATAATTCACATACCATCTTGAACCTCCACCTCCCAGGTTCAAGCAACTCTCCTGCCTCAGCCTCCCTAGTAGCTGGGATTATAGGCACACACCACCATGCCTGACTAATTTTTGTATTTTTAGTAGAGACGAGGTTTCACCATGTTGGCCAGGCTGGTCTCTAACTCCTGACCTCAGGTGATCTTCCTGTCTTGGCCTCCCAAAGTAGAAGCAATTGTTTTTTGTATGTTGATCTGGTATCCTGCAACCTGCTGAACTCACTTATTAGCTCTAATAGTTTTATAGTGGATTTCTTAGAATTTTCTGCATATAAGATCACATCATCTACAAAAAGATAATTTTGCTTCTTCCTTTTCAATCTCTATCCCTTTTATTTCTTTTTCTTGCTGATTTTTGTCCTGATGAGAACTTCCAATACAATATGAATACAAATGGAAGAGCAGACATCCTAGTCTTGTTCCTGATCCTGGGGAGAAAGCAGTCCATCTTGCACCATTAAGTATTGTATTAGTTCATTCTCATGCTGCTAATAAGGACATACCAGAGACCGGGTAATTTATAAAGGAAAGAAATCTAATGGACTCACAGTTCCACATGGCTGGGGAGGCCTCACAATCATGGCAGGAGGCAAGGAGGAGCAAAGGCACGTCTTACATGGCAGCAGGCAAGACAGCGTATGCAGGGGAACTGTCCTTTATAAAACCATCAGATCTTGCGAGACTTATTCACTATCATGAGAACAACATGGGAAAACCCACTGCCATGATTAAATTACCTCCCACCGGGTCCCTCCCAAGACACATGGGGATTATGGGAGCTACAATTCAAGATGAGATTTGGGTGGGGACACAGCCAAACCATATCATTCTGCCCCAGCCCCTCCCAAATCTCATGTCCTTCCATTTCAAAGCCAATCATGCCTTTTCAACAGTCCCCTAAAGTCTTAACTCATTCCATCATTAATGCAAAAGTCCAAGTCCAAAGTCTCATCTGAAACAAGGCAACTCCCTTCTTACCTATGGGCCTGTAAAATCAGAAGCAAGTTAGTTACTTCCTAGATACAATGGGGTTACAGGCATTGGGTAAATACAGCTGCTCCAAATGGGAGAAATCGGCCAAAACAAAGGGGCTACAGGCTCCATGCAAGTCCAAAACCCAATAGGGCAGTCAGTAAACCTTAAAGTTCCAAAATGATCTCCTTTAACTCCATGTCTCACATCCAGGTCATGGTGATGCAAGAGATGGGCTCCTACAGCCTTGGGAAGCTCCGCCCCTGTGGCTTTGCAGGGTATAGCCCGCTCCCAGCTGGTTTAACGGGCTGACACTGTCTGCAGTTTTTTCAGGTACACAGTGCAAGCTGTTGGTGGATCTACCATTCTAGGGTCTGGAGGACAGTGGCCCTCTTCTCACAGCTCCACTAGGCAATACAGCAGTGGAGACTTTGTGTAGGGGCTCCAACCCCACCTTCCCTTCTGCACTACAGAGATTCTCCATGAGGGCCTCACCACTGCAGCAAACTTCTGCCTGGACATCCCAGCGTTTCCATACATCTTCTGAAATCTAGGCAGAGGTTCCCAAACCTCAATTCTTGACTTCTGTGCACCTGCAGTCTCAACACAACATGGAACCTGCCAAGGATTGGGGCTTGCACTCTCTGAAGCCACAGCCCCAGCTATACCTTGGCCCCTTTTAGCCATGGCTGGAGTGGCTGGGACACAGGGCACCAAGTCCTTAAGCTGTACACTGCAGGGGGGCCCTGGACCTGGCCCAGGAAACCATTTTTCCCTCCTAGGCCTCCAGGCCTGTAATGGCAGGGGCTGACACAAAGGTCTCTGATATCCCCTGAAGACATTTTCCACATTATCTTAGTGAAGAATATTCAGCTTCTTGTTACTTAGCAAATTTCTGCAGCAGGCTTGGAGTTCTTCCCAGAAAATGTTTTTTTTTTCTTTTCTATTAAATCATCAGTCGGCAAATTTTCCAAATTTTTATTCTCTGCTTCCTCTTGAACACTTTGCTGCTCGGAAATTTCTTCCACCAGATACCCTAAATTATCTCTCTCAAGTTCAATGTTCCATAGATCTCTAGGCCAGGAGCAAAATGCCACCAGTCTCTTTGCTAAAGTATAACAAGAGTCACCTTTGCTCCAGTCCCCAAGAACTTCCTTATTTCCATCTGAGACCACCTCAATCTGGGCTTTATTGTCCATATCACTATCAGCATTTTGATCTAAGCCATTCAACAAGTCTCCAGGAAGTTCCAAACTTTCCCACATCTTCCTGTCTTCTTCTGAGCCCTCCAAACTGTTCCAACCTCTGCCTGTTACCCAGTTCCAAAGTCGCTTCCACATTTTCAGGTATCTTTACAGCAGTGCTCCACTACCTGGTACCAATTTACTGTATTAGTCTGTTCTCATGCTGCTAATAAGGATATACCTGAGACTGGGTAATTTATAAAGGAAAGAGGTTTCACAGACTCAGTTCCACATGGCTAGGGAGGCCTCACAATCATGGTGGAAGGTGAAAAAGGAGCAAAGGCACATCTTACATGACAGCAGGCAAGAGAGTGTGTGCGGGGAACTGCCCTTTATAAAACCATCAGATCTCATGAGACTTATTCACTATCACAAGAACAGCATGGGAAAAACCTAACCTCATGATTCAAAGTACCTCCCACTGGGTCCCTCCCATGACACGTGGGGATTGTGGGAGCTACAGTTCAAGATGAGATTTGGGTGGGGACACAGCCAAATCATATCAACTGTGATGTTACCAACATTCTTGAACAAGTCGTTTTATGGACCAAAGTTTTCATTTCTCTTGGATCAATACCTAGGTGTAGAATTATTGGATCATAAAATAGGTACATGTTCAACTTTACACAGAGTTGTCTAACAGTTTTTCAAAGTGGCATTTGTACCTAGACATCAATCAGACTTCTGTTGTTATATATTGCCTATCACATTTCAATTAGTTTTGGAAAACAGGAAGATCCCCAAACTGTGAACTTTTTACTGCACCTTAATTGGAAGTCTTTCTAGTAATAGAATGAACAGATCTGTAACCCTCAAGAAGTTCTTAAGGACTCAGATTAGAAATAACTCTTGTATTTACAACTCAAATCCATTCCCTCATATATTTACCCTTTGTCCACTGCACGAACTCCCTCAAATTCTTCCCTGGTCATTCCATGAAGAGGAGCCCAACTAGACCACACAATGCTCCATGTGAACCATCGTTCACTTTATTTGTGTGTGACATTTTTCTTGTGACATCAAAACAATTAGGAGGAAGCTCCCTAACCAAGGTAACCATGGAGAGGTGGTTGTACAGTCTAGTCTTGGTGCAGATCTTTTTCCTGCCTGCTCGCCTCCAATGATAGTCTGTTTATATCAAGCATGATCAAAAGAATTCAAACATTCTGCAGGCTCCAGCATGCTATCTTGTACCTATCTCATACCATAAACTCAGTTATTCATCCTCAGGACTGACGTCAGCATCTTCTTCAAAGCACTGCACATCTCTGTGGGCAGGTGTTACATCAGGATGACATCCGCATGCTCAAGTCACCTGGGAGCCCTATGTTCTAGAGTATCTCTGTGTGGTTTATTTTAGTCAGTTCTCCATCATCATAAAGTTCTCCTTTTTTTCCTAAAATGGAAATATTGCTATTGCTTTGGCAGATTATGAAAGTAATGCATGTTTGCTTAAAGAAATAAAGAAGCCTAGAACATACAAAGCATAATTTTTTCCTCTATAAAATGGCTAACAGTTTGGGGTTTATACTTACAGGTTTTCAAAATGCACTTAAGATATTATGGACATTTGTGAATGGTATAGGTATATAGCTGAAAGTTATTCTTTTTAATGGCACCATATTTCATAGTATATGTTAATTTACTTATTATTAAGCATTTCAACCATATAGAAAAGTACCAAGAATAATGTAACAAACATCCATGTGCCACTTGGTAATTTGAAAAAAGTTCAATTGCATTTAACTGCAACCAGATGACCCTGTTTATCATTTGTCTTTTGACTTTTTCTTTGGGGATGTTTTTGTCATGCATATTTTTAATTCACATAGTTGAATTTATTAATCTTTTCCTTCATGGCTTCTGAATTTTGAGTTATTTTTAGAAAGGCTTTGCCTGCTGCACAAATTGTGAAGAAATTGTCCCATGTTTCCTTTTAGAACTTCTATTTTTCCAATTTTTACATTTAAATATTTTTTTTCTGTTTGGAATTTAACTATGTGTAGTGTGACATATGAATCAAGCTTAATTTTTTTTCCAGATGCCAATACATTTGGCCCACTTCTGAATAAATAGTTTATTGTATTCCTCCTTTGATTTAAGTTGCCATCTTTAATATGCACTAAATTCTCACTTGTATTTTGATCTCATACTAAACTAGATTTCCCATTCTGTTTCACTTGACTTTCTGCAACATTGCTGTATATTTTAATTAGCTAATTAATTTAACATACATATTAATTTATAATATGCGTATCCTCATTGCTCTTCTTTTTCAGAGTGGTCCTGGCTATTTTTTGTTGTTGTTCATTCTTATGTAAGCTTTTAAATCGGTGTATGTAATTTATAAAAGGCTATTAATATGTCTTGAAGAATAACATTGTATTTAATAATTTAACTGAAAAGAACTGGTGTTTTTTATGCCATTGAGCTTGCTTGTATAAGGCCTTTTCTGGCCTAGTGCTGGAATAGTGTTTTAGACTAAGTTGTTCCCATATATTTTCTATCTATTTCATACTATGTATAGATAATATATATTTTAATTATTATTTATTTCTATTCTCTTTCATAATGTGGGTCTGTTATCCCACATCTCCTGATTGTTATTTGTAAATATAAATGTAATTGAGTTTGATGTATTAACATCTTCCCTTATTAACTTGCATAATTATCTTATTGTTAATAATAGTTTTTCAGGTAATTCTCTTGGGTGTTCCAATTATTCAACAGTATTATTGGAACTAGAAATATTTTCCCTTCCCCTTTCCAATTTTTTAAATAAACTTGTATTTTAGAACAGTTTTAGATTTCCAAAAAACTGGTGAAGATGGCACAGAAAGTTCCCATTTACTGCACATCACATTTCCCCTGTTATTAACACCATACATTAGAAAGCTACATTTGCTATACTTACTGAACCAATACTGATACATTATTATTAACTAACGTCCATTCTTTTTGGACATGTTTCCTTAATGTTTAGCTAATGTCCTTTTTCTGATCCAGAACTAATGACATGTAGTTGTCTCCTTAGGCTCCCCTTGGCTGTGACAGCTTCTCAGACTCTCTTTTTTTTTTAATATGTAGTCTCACTCTGTCGCCCAGGCTGAAGTGCAATGACGTGACCTCAGCTCATTGCAACCTCCGCCTCCTGGGTTTAATCGATTCTCCTACCTTGGCCTCCTAAGTAGCTGGGACTACCAGCACGCACCACCATGCCCAGCTAATTTTTGTATTTTTAGTAGACGGGGTTTCGCCATGTTGGCCAGGCTGGTCTCAAACCCCTGACCTCCAGTGATCCGCCTGCCTTGGCCTCCCAAAGTACCGGGATTACAGGCATGAGCCACTGCCAATTTCTATACCTCTACTTTATTCCCCTTATCTTGTGGAGCTGGTACCTCCAGGGCAATGTTATATAGAAGTGGTGATCACAGGCGTTCCTTCCTATTTTTAGCTAGCTGGAATGCCTCTGGAGTGGCCCATGATGCCTTTTCAGCTGAGATAGACATATTTTATCATGATAATGAAATCTTTTCTGTATTTTCCTATATTTCTCTAGTATTCCTCTCCAGATTACAGTCAATGGTGTCATTTTTCTCAGTATTTGTCTTTGCATTGTTTAATGTGCTTATGTTTGTGTTTCTGCCTAGGACGAAGGCGATGGCAGCAGTTTTCCAGGCTAGCTGTCTTCACAACCCGATGGCTCTCTTCTTTTCTGCTGCCACAGAGACTGACTGTCTGCCTCCTGCAAATTTGAAATTTGGCAAACCTGCCTCCTCTGCTTCTCAGAACCAAACTGGGGCCAGGAGAACTTCTGACCCAAGTGTTGATCACCTCTCTTCCTGCACCTCACTGTGCACCCTCTGCTCAGGAAATGCCTTTGGCGTGTTGCTGACGTCTGTCCCTGCTCCATCTCTTACCACCCTGCACTTCACCCTTTCCCACACAGGTTTCACCTGATCTCAGCTGCTTTGGGCAGACCATCCAGGTATTTTGGAGTCTGAAAAGGATCTCTGTCTCTAAGTCTGGTGCAAATGGAGTTTGGGGGTTTTAAAATTCATTCTTCTTGCTGCTGTTTCACAATTTCTCAGAAAAGGTGAAAATGCAGACTTTGGCAGTTATGTTCAATATGAAAAGTCTTAATAAAGTAATTTTTGACCTAAAGCCCACCAGTATTTCTGGAACAATTCAGTCAATCTTTGAACTTGGTCACATAAAGTCTTATTAGAAACACAACGGGGATTTTGGAGACAGGACTAGTGAACTTTGTGTAGTTAAATAGAAACTTGAATTGCCAGTGTAGAGTACTTGATTAAGAGATAAGGAAATCCACTCATTCAGTAAAAAATAATTGAGTTTTGTGCTAGCAATTTTACTAGGCAGTTAGGTGGTGGGTATTTTTGGTGGAGTGAGTCTAATTCATGATTAAAATATTGTTTCTCCTGAACCTCAATTTCTTGGAGTAATAAAATCAACCTTATCTACTTTAAGAAGAGGGTAAAATGAGTGTCAATATATAAAAGCACTTGGATTTCTGATTTTATGAAAGGGGAATTTGGAGCTATTGTAAGCTTTCAAGCGGTAAAGTATTATGACCACAAAAAGTGGGTGGAGTTTATGTCTGGTTCATTTGAGTCAAGAAAGGCTGGAGATGGAGTGGACAATCTCTGACTGGATGTAGGGTACAGGATATAGAATGACAGGTGGTTGTGGCATGACCAAGGGTAGAGATGGGCTGTAACGATAACAGGAATAAGGTGTATAGGGAAAGATGCCTCAGGGCTTGAGACACGCAAATTATGGGGCCAAAGTGAGACTGACTAAAGGAAAATAGAGGAGCCAACTGTTAAGTGAGGTTGATGGTTGGAAGGCAATTAATGAAGCACATCCCTGATGCAAAGATTATGTCTCCTCATTTTCCCGCTCCTAGGTCAGTTTCCATTTACGTTAGGTGTTCTCTTGTCCCCAGTTTGATCAGAAAGTCCTTGTTTTAGATTGGGATTCTGGAAGCTTGCTCTGAGGCTCTGAGATTAGCATGCAGGAGATTTAGTAGGGAGTCCTCTTGGAAACCACACCTGTAAGGGCATAAACAAAGCAGACTGGGGCCGGGTGTGGTGGCTCACGCCTGTAATCCCAGCACTTTGGGAGGCCAAGGTGGGCAGACCACCTGAGGTCAGAAGTTTGAGACCAGCCTGGCCAACATGGTGAAACCCCATCTCTACTAAAAAATCCAAAAAATTAGCCAGGCTTAGTGGCGGGCACCTGTAATCCCAGCTACTCAGGAGGCTGATACAGGAGAATCGCTTGAACCCAGGAGGCAGAGGTTGCAGTGAGCCAAGATCACACCACTGCACTCCAGCCTGGGCAACAAGAGCAAAACTCTATCTCAAAAAAAAGAAAGAAAGAACGCAGATTGGACAGTGGGAAAAGTTGAACTGCAACACAGTTGCAACAGAGGCCTCCACTAATCTTATGGGAGCTCTGGAGTAGCAATGGCCCTTCAGAGTTATCCCAAATCTAGGCAAGGGGCAAGTGCTTGTATCTCCTCATTATCCAGTCACTGAATATGAGCTGCCCCCAGGGAGGACGATTCCTGAAGGGAGACCAGCTGAGAGCTATCAGGGCCAACATTCCTGACGACTAGTAGAGTGAGTGCTTCAGTCCTGAACTGGTGGGTGTGTGGACAGCGCCCCTTAACCCCCTGACAGTCTCAAGCCCAGAGCAGGATGGCAGCTGACTCAGTCCATAACTCAAGGCTGCTGCCTCTTAGGTCTGTACTTTTCTTTGGTCTCACCTTTCCCTACTTTGCTCCACTGCCCCACTCCCATGCACTTTAACTACAAGAAAACCCTACTACTACCCCCTGACCACACAGTGCTCTCTTAACACCACTGTGCCTTTTCAGATGCTATTTCATCAGGCTGGGGAGTCCTTTCTCCCTTCCCTTCATCAAAATCATGCCTCTCCTACAAGGTCTACTTCAAAAGCTAATCATATTATGAGAATTTAAAATTTAATCAATTTCTCCTTCCTCTGGAGTCCCAAAGAATCTTTCTTGTGGCTCTATTATCATACTTGTCTTGCTTGCAGTCTAGTTAATCCTGCGTTTGTGTTTCCTTTATCAGATTGTGAATTCCATGAGTGGCAGAACTTACTTCTTTAACTCTTTATTATTTCCATAAACTAGCATTCTGCTTGGCACAAAATAGGCAACTATTTCAATAGAAATCGTTCCAAATTGTTAGGAGAGTTCCTTGCAAATAATCTCCCTAAAGGTCTAAAGACCCTTTGGCTTCACCCTGTATTATTCCTTCTCATGAGAAGCAGATGAAATTAATTTACTTATTCAATAGAATTTGAGAAACTACTGTGGGACAGATATTGCCTGGACTAGTTCCTATTACTCGTTATTGTTGTTGAGGTAAAATTCACATAATATAAAATGAACCATTTTAAAATGTACAATTAAATAGCATTTAGTATATTCACAATATTGTGCAACCCACCCTTCCAACTCGTTCCAAAACATTTACATCACCCCAAAAGCAAACCCACTTCTATTGTTCCTGAGCAAATTACACCTAGGCTAGGTATGTTGCAACAAGAAAGACATGAGTCTAATGTCTGAAAATTTACAGTTAAACCAATCTTTGTTTAGAAATCATGCTGGCTTGTTGGGTGCAGTGGCTCACACCTATAATCCCAGTACTTTGGGAGGCCGAGGCAGGCGGATCACCTGAAGTCAGGAGTTCGAGACCAGCCTGGCCAACATGGTGAAAGCCTGTCTCTACTAAAAATACAAAAATTAGCCAGGTGTGGTGGTGCATGCCTGTAATCCCAGCTACTCGGGAGGCTGAGGCAGGAAAATCGCTTGAACCTTAAAGGCGGAGGTTGCAGTGAGCCGAGATCACACCATGGCACTCCAGCCAGGGCGACAGAGCAAGACTCCATCTCAATAAATAAATAAATAAATAAATAAATAAATAAATAAATATTTAAAAAAGTAGAAATCATGCTGGCTTTCTTTCTATGGTTCTTTTGCTTAATGGGAAGAAACTTTCTTTTGGGTATTCTAAGAGGGTTTTGTTTGGATGTCACCAGAGGTTCTACATTCCTGTCCTGAGGGAATATTCTCTCCAACTTTGGAATAAGGGGAGCTCTGACTGACTTTGAGGAAATGAAAGACCCATCCTGAGGCAGAGATATGGAAGTAACTTGGATTGCACCTCACCATTGCTTGGTACAGCCTGTGATGGAAATGAAGGGGCAGTAAAGCCCCTTTGACCAGCCATTGTCTTTTGGTGCCCTAAAGTTTCTATCTCACTATGATTAAATGAATAAAATAAACAGCTCTACCAGGAAAAGAGAGGCAGCCGCTGATTGGGCATATCCAAAACTTTCCTTTATCTATGACCCAGGAACATAGGTGCTTTGTATTCATCATCTTTTTTTTTTTTTCAATCCCTCTGAAGCATGTTTTACAGAAGAGAAAACTGAGGCTAAGAGAGAAAAGTAGCATGCTCAAACTAACAAAGGAATGCAGAGCTAGGATTTGGCAGATCATAGCCCAC
Organism: Homo sapiens; assembly: GCF_000001405.40. Taxonomy (NCBI): domain Eukaryota; kingdom Metazoa; phylum Chordata; class Mammalia; order Primates; family Hominidae; genus Homo; species Homo sapiens. Next base: position 32,957,700 of record NC_000003.12, on the reverse strand, counting down.
CTCACAGAAGTTGTCTAAGCAAAGACTGCCTAGGAATTGGCCCATCCCTAACTTCTTTTTTTTTTCTTTCTTTTTTTTTTTTTTTTTTTTGAGACAGAGTCTCACTCACTCCGCACCCAGGCTGAAGTGCAGTGGCATGATCTCAGCTCACTGCAACCTCCGCCTCCCAGGTTAAAGCGATTGTCATGCCTCGGCCTCCAAAGTATCTGGGATTGCAGGCACACTGGCTAATTTTCGTACTTTTAGTACAGATGGGGTTTCACTATGTTGGCCAGGCAGGTCTCGAACTCCTGACCTCAAGTGACCGGCCCACCTTGGCCTCCCAAAGTGCTGGGATTGCAGGCATGAGCCACCACGCCCACCCCGTAACTTATTCGCTCTCGTCTCCAAGTCCCCTATGGCAAGACAGCAACACACAACCCGAAGTGGAGATGGCAACAGTGAACGCTTTGATTCCTCCCCTTGGGCGAGTTCACATGTACAGCATGTGGTGAAGCAATGGCACAGCAGCAGCTCTGATTCTCATCCACTGGTCAGGAGATCTAACACAAACAAGATCAGGAAAAAACGCTCCCTGGGGCTATACACAAGTTTATTTTATTTTATTTTATTTTCTATAAAGACAGCATCAACTTTCCCTCTTTAAAACCACTTTACTGAAAATGAATTTTCTGCAAATGTATTCTTTATAAATGTAGAGCATGCAAGAATGTATAAACATAACAGAAGCATTTGTAACTGGTTAACTCAGTTGACAGCTTGCAAGATAAGTTTTTGTTTTGGGAGGAATTGGAAGTCTCCCAGATTTTGCTGGAGTCTTTGCTTAATTAAGGCTGTAAGGACAGAGATAGCAATTTATCTTAATAGTATGAAAGGATTAATTAAATGATTTAAATGACTTGTAAGAAATGACTGACCAAACTTTTTAGTCACCCAAAAGTTAAAAACTAAGGCCAGTGGCTGGGCCCAGTGGCTCACGCCTGTAATCCCAGCACTTTGGGAGGCCGAGGTGGGTGGATCACCTGAGGTCAGGAGTTCAAGATCAGCCTAGCCAACATGGTGAAACTCTGTCTCTACTAAAAATACAAAAAATTAGCTGGGCGTGGTGGCAGGCGCCTGTAATCCCAGCTACTTGGGAGGCTGAAGCAGGAGAATCACTTGAACCCAGGAGGCGGAGTTGCAGTGAGCCAAGATCGTGCCATTGCACTCCAGCCTGGGCGACAAGAGCAAAACTCTGTCTCAAAAACAAAAACAAAAACAAAAAACTAGGGCCAATATTTTAAGAGAGGATGACACTTTTCACAATTTCATAATTTTTTAACAACCATATTTATACAGTGTCAACAATAACTTTTAGTTGATTGTTTTTATTTCAATTGATAGCAGGCACTTCAAAATGATTAAGGAGGTATTGTCATACTTTATTAATCCTTAATTTTAATTATGAAGAGACTGTTTATAAACAAGTAAAAGACCTTGGCTGGGCGAGGTGGCTCACGCCTGTAATCCCAGCACTTTGGGAGGCTGAAGCAGGCAGATCACCTGAGGTCAGGAGTTCAAGACTAGCCTGGCCAATATGGTGAAACCCCATCTCTACTAAAAATACAAAAATTAGCCTGGCGTAGTGGTGCACACCTCTAATCCCAGCTGCTTGAGAAGCTGAGGCAGGAGAATCGCTTGAACCTGGGAGGCAGACTTTGCAGTGAACCGAGTGCCACTGCACTCCAGCTTGGGTGACAGAGTGAGACTCCATCTCAAAAATAAAATAAAATAAAATAAAAAATAAACAAGTGGCCGGGCGTGATGGCTCACACCTGTAATCCCAGCACTTTGGGAGGCCGAGGCGGGTGGATCACGAGGTCAGGAGATTAAAACCATCCTTGCTAACATGGTGAAACCCCATCTCTACTGAAAATACAAAAAATTAGCCAGGCATGGGGGCAGGTGCCTGTAGTCCCACCTACTTGGGAGGCTGAGGCAGGAGAATGGTGCGAACCCGTGAGGCAGAGCTTGCAGTGAGCCGAGATCGCGCCACTGCACTCCAGACTGGGTGACAGAGCAAGATTCCATCTCAAAAAAAAAAAAAAAAAAAAAAACAAGTAAATGACCTCAAATAAATGTATTCTTGGCCTATGTATTATTTAATTTTTTTTTTTTTTTTTTGAGACAGAGTTTCGCTCTTTTTGCCCAGGTTGGAGTACAATGGCGCGATCTCGGCTCACCGCAACCTCCACCTCCCGGATTCAAGTTATTCTCCAGCCTCAGCCTCCTGAGTAGCTGGGATTACAGGCATGCGCCACCACACCTGGCTAATTTTGTATTTTTTAGTAGAGACAGGGTTTCTCCATGTTGGCCAGGCTGGTCTCGAACTCCTGACCTCAGGTGATCCGCCCACCTTGGCCTCCCACAGTGCTGGGATTACAGGCCACCGTGCCCAGCCTATTTAAAATTTTTTAATATTCCTCTGTTAAAATTAGAACAAAACATGTCCACAAACAAGTGAGAAACTGTGTTTGAATTTTCATAAATATGTTTGGATTTTGAATGCCTTGTAGTTCACGTTTGGAAAGCAGACCTTGGCTAATGTCTTCATATCCTTACCCTTATATCAGTATAAAAAGTTTGGTTTCAATTAACAGATAATCCTTTACAATAAATAATTGAGATCTGGTTTCATCACTTCGCTAATTGTTTCTTCATACATCTGGCTCAATGGAATATACTTTGCCTGAGATATGTTATTAGAAAAACAGTTATCTATATTGTTCCGCAAAAGCAAGAAATTAATTAGAGGGCCCATTTGCCACAGCAAAAGGTAGCGATTTACTCCATCAGCCAGTACTCTGCAATTCCCTCTGGAGAAACCCATCAGTTCAGGTTAGAAGGGAATAGTCTTTGCCTTGCAATATTACCTACAACTTCATTCAAGCACTGCTCAGAGTTCTCATCAGACTGACTCATGCCTGCAGGCAAGCCTGGTGTGAGGAAGGATGCCTCAGCCCAGGTGAACCCTTGCCAGGCTGGACTTGTCTAGTGGGAGAGAAAAAGCTGCCTGCAGGATGAGAAGCTGTCTTTCCACTGTGGGTGTAAGCCTTCCTCCTGACACTGGCTCAGGAATCTCTTACTAAAATACAATTTTAAGTAAGCTCTGAATGTGGAAAGTTCATTGACTCTGCATTTCACCATTTCATTTTTCTACAGAGCATCATGGAGATCATGATCCATGGTGGACTGCGTGTAAGATGAGCTGGGGGTGTCAGCAGAGTAAATTTGGAGGAGCCCACAGTATTGGCAGAGCACAAAAAGGCCCCTGCAGGTTTTGAAGAGCTGTAGGATGTACTTGCGAAATTTCTCCCCCAGAAAAAAGTAGATGATGGGATTAAGGCAGCAGTGAACAAAAGCCAGAGTTTCTGTGGCCTGGATGGCATAGTCCAAGTATCTTTCAAAGGTGCAGTCCTGAAGGACTTCTAGCTCCACCAGGGTCTCTAGGAAGAGCACTATGTTGTAAGGTGTCCAGAACCCAAGGAAGAGGACCACCACGGCAAAGATCATCTTCACCGCCTTGTTCTTCTTCTCATTTTTACAATGCTGCAAGGTCCTGATGATCATGGAGTAGCAAAACAGCATGATCCCTAAGGGGATCACCAATCCGAGAATGTTGATTTCCAGGGAGCTGAGAACCTTCCACGTCGTGGAGTTGAGAGAGTACTTGGTTTTGCAGTAGGTATGGTTGCGCTCAGTATAACAAGTGCTGAACAGAAAGCCAGGAAGGGAGGCGAACACAGCCACTGACCATGTAGCCAAACTGGTGATGACCCCATAAGTCAAGGTCCTTGCCCTCAAGGAAAACACCGCGTGCACAATTGCCAGGTATCTATCAATGCTCATGAGCATGACAAAGAATATGCCACTGTAAAAGCCCACCAAGTACATCCAGGAAATCATCTTGCACAGACCTAGCCCAAAAACCCACTGGTCTGCTGCATAGTAGCCCCAAAAAGGGAGGGAAAACACGAAGAGCAGATCCGAGATGGCAAGGTTGAGCAGGTACACATCAGTCATGGACCTGAGCCGCTTGTATTTGAACAGGACCAGAACCACCACAGAATTTCCAAGCAGACCAAATACAAAAACCAAGGAATACAGTGGGGGCAGGAAGAGCTCCCCAAATGCCTTGATGCCTTCTTTGGTGCAAGGCTTGGGGATACTTTCATACAGATAGTAATTGCTGTATATGCTTTCATCGAGGGTGGTGTCTGCTATATCCGTGGGGTTCATTTTTTAACTCTACAGGCTCCTCAAGGCAGGTCTGGGCCCAACCAGAAGCAGCTAATGAGGGGAAGAGCAAAGGAGATTTCTGTGAGAACAAAAATAAACCAAAGTATTGCTAAATGCAGAGCATGGCTGCGTACTGTTTTGCTCCAGGTCTGTATATGCCTTTCCCAAGATGAAGGGCTCGATTACTCACAGGGCCCTGCAGCCAGACGAAATAATTTTGGGCTTTGGAGGCAGAAAGATTTGTTTCAGATTCCAGCTTGGGCACTCACTAATTTTCTTACCTCTCTGCCAGGAGCTTCAGTTCTCTCATTTGTAAGTGAGGATCGTAAAACCCCCTTTCAAGCAGGTGTTCTTTGAGGATGTGTTTCAAAAAGATATTTCATAGTCTGGGGTTACTGAAATCACTTTCAGGGATGACAAAATCAGTTGAACAATTCTCAATTGGGTGTATTTTATATGATCATGATCATCATCAAACTGCACGTAAAAATCAATTCTACGCACAGAATCCTATTAGAGTGGGAATTCACCTGATGGATCTAGAAAACACACATCACAGCCAGAAATAAAACCTCTACCTCCCCAACCACCTTCACTTCCTATCTAAATTGGCAGATAAAGAGGTTGAAATCTTCTTAAAATTAATCACATGCTGACATGTGTATCAGAGCAATTCAGGGCTGAAGGGCTTTCCGACTCAAGGCCACTCCCTTGCTTCCTTCTTGAGGCTTTTGTGGGACCCTCACATTCCTTGTTAAAATCCTTTTCACATTCGTCAGTAAATTCACATTCGATCTCTCCCCACACCCCCACCACCACACACCCAATGCCCAAACTGTGTTTCTCAAGAAAGGGCTTTTGAAGCCAGGTGTGCAGTGGCCCACGCCTATAATCCCAGCACGTCGGGAGGCCGAGGAGGGAGGATCACTTGAGCCAAGGAGCTCCATGCCAGCGTGAGCAACATAAGGAGACCCTGTCTCTACAAAAAATTGTTTTAAAAGTTAGCTGGGTGTGGTGGTACGTGCTGATAGTACCAGCTACTCAGGAGGCTGAGGCAGGAGGATCCCTTGAGCCCAGGAGTTCAAGGCGCAGTGAGCTATGATGGCACCATTGCACTTCAACCTGGGCAGCAGAGTGAAATCCTGTCTCAAAAAAAATAAAAAATAAAAAGGAAAGAAAAGAAAAAGAAAAAAAGAAAGAAAAAAGATTTTGGTTTACTCATGCAAATAGATACTGAACACCTGTTACATCACAGAGTCTCCAAAAAAGTTTGTTGAATGACTAACAATTCTAGTCTTTCTCCACCATTTTACCAGTGAAAATGAAAGGCATAAACAAGGCTGAGGAGTTAGGAAATTATCAGGAGAACAAAAAGCCAGGAGACACAGCTGGTAAGTGTCTGGAATTATTCTGTAGGCCTTGCGTGTGTGGTATTTCTTGCCTGGGAGTCTTGCTAGAAGCAAGAAGCAGACAAGTGTATATTTTTTATGAAAATGATCTATTTATTTGGGGCATGTGGACTCAGGCCAGATGTGTGCAGGAAGAGAGTCCTGCATAAATTAGTGCCCATCAGATGAGGGCTCAGAGGGTGTGGGGACAGGTAGAAGGTGTGTGGGCTGCAAGGTAGGTGCCAAGTGTAAGCCCTAGACTCGTGAGGGGCCTGAGCATCTCAGCCAGGTCCAGAAAGCAGTGTGCGACCCAAGACCCTGGGAATGTCCCCGTCCCTGCTTACCTTGCTTTTCTGAAAGCGGCTCTGAGGAAGGTCTGTGAGGCAATGCCAGGCTTGCTCAGGAAGCACGATGCTAAGAAGGACCCGGTGCCTTTCAAGGGTGCGTGGCTTCCTGTGAGCACGAGTTATCTCCCTCACCCAACTGTACTAAGTTCAAGTGGGGTTTTTTGATAGAAGTAGGAAGCAGAAAATGATTCTTAGTCATTTCCCAAGACCGAAGGCCAAGAAGATGTGCCAAAAAAAGATTAAGAAAAAAAATGAAGTCATTTTCTTTTTAAAAAAGATTTTTAGTTTTTTTAAAAATACAAAAATGTATTTGTTGGTTTTTAAAAAAGAGATTTTTTTAAAGAAACAGGGTCTCACTCTGTCACCCAGACTGGTGTTCAGTGGTGCAATCATAGCTCACCGTAACCTTGAACTCCTGGGCTCAAGTGATCCTCCTGCCTTAGTCTCCCAAGTAGCTGAGACTAGAGGTGCAAGCCACCATGACTGACTAATTTTAATTTTTGGGGAGATAGGGGTCTTGCTATATTGCCCAGGCTCATCTTGAACTACTGGCCTCAAGCAATCCTCCCACCTCAGCTTCCTAAAGCACTGGGATTACAGGAATCAGCCACTCCTTTTTCGCTTTTTAGTTTAAAAAAAAAAATTCCATTTAACTGGCCATATGCGGTAGCAATGATCTCTACATTTTGGATCAGCAACCTGTTTGCTAGTTTCTCATCATGGATATGCAGGGGCCAGCAATCAAGATGTGCAATGTTCTCCTGACAACTGGGATCTGAGAGGCCAGGGTGAGAAGGAAGGCCAGAGATAGTCAAGAAAAAGGATATTCAAGAAGAGAGAAGAGAAAAATTTGTCCAAATGTATGTGTCTGTGAGTGACTTGGAAGGCATCAGCCAACCACATTCTTTGATTCAATAGTTGACATGGCCTCAAACCAGTGTGAAGTGGCCTGGCAACATAGCTTCAAGTCCTTTTGAGTCAGGAAGACCCCTCACCCAAGCGCCTTCTGCTTGGGGATTGCGGAGCTTCATTGGCAGTGGTCTTGGCTGAGGTCTTGATCTTCACTTTGGATGTGGGTAGCAGTCATAAGCGAGGGGCTGACATGAGCCCTAAGTCTCTCATAGCCTCAGCTTTTTGGCAACTTCCAGATGCTTTCCCTGTGTTTCAACTGTTGCTTAGCTCTTTGATTCAGCTTAAAAGAGCCATAAAGATCATTCTTTCTAAGGAATTGGCATAAATAGAAATTAAAACACTGAGCTAGAATGGTGTTAGGGAACCCCTTCTTTTTTTTCATTATCACTTGCCCCAAGGAGTCTTTTGAGACTTTTTTTCCTAACACTCCCTCATAAAATTTTAATGCTACAAACATACCATATATCTATTTATACAGTGTATGTATATCTGTGCTTTATACATAAAATGAGTATGAAATTTTTCTCCCTCCAAGAGCCAAGTTTTATCTTGGGGGCAATATTGCCTCTACTGAGAATGCACGAGTTAGAGTAGAGAGTAGAGGCACTCAACTCAGGCTCCTTGCCTCCTTGAGGCATACAGCAATATCTGGAGACATTTTAGCTTGGGGTGGGAGGGAGTTACTACTGGCTTTTTTTTTTTTTTTTTGAGAAGGAGTCTTGCTCTGTCACCAGGCTGGAGTGCAGTGGCATGATCTCAGCTCACTGCAACCTCCGCCTCCCGGGTTCAAGCAACTCCCCTGCCTCAGCCTCCCAAGTAGCTGGGACTACAGGCACGCGCCACCATGTCCGGCTAATTTTTTGTATTTCAGTAGAGACGGGGTTTCACCATGTTGGCCAGGATGGTCTTGAACTCCTGACCTCAGGTGATCTGCCTGCCTCAGCCTCCCAAAGTGCTGGGATTATAGGCATGAGCCACCGCACCCAGCCTGCTACTGGTTTCTAATGGGTAGAGTCCAGGAATGCTGCTAAAGTCCTACAATGCACAGGACAGCCCACCACAGCAAAGAGTTGTCTGACCAAGAAGATCAATGGTGCTGAGGTTGAGAAATCCTGAGCTAGAGCAATGAGCTAGAGCAATGTTCCCCAGAGTATAAACTGTGGAACCAGATTCATGGATAGCCTGCAAAAGAGAAATGGGGATGTGTGGTCAGGTAGGTCTAGGGAATGCTGGGCTTGGGTTCAGGTTAAACACAGTTCCATCCTGCAATGCTTCCTGGGGGCCTTCCAATGCTGATATCATCCTGAGCCTCTGGAAGGAGGATTTGCAATGAAAATGTCCCACGTGTATTTGACCAGCTAATCTATGCCCATTATACAGAGTAATTTATAAAATGAACATATTTCCAGAAACATGGGGCCTGAAGAAGTTTCTGCCATTAAATTATAGACTTTGAGGTACAAGTTAGAGAGCTGGCCGGGGGCGAAGTGTGAAGGGCAGGAAAGCACGTGCCGCGGCAGGGACCTGGGCAAGTTCATCTGAGCACAACGCCTACATCTCCATGGGTTCTGCCCTGGGTGGGGGCAGTGTTAAGGTTCTAGAACATACGCTATCTAGAGGTCCAAATCATCATAAATGAGCATTGATCCATATGGGTCTATAGATGATCCCTGGAGAGCCAGTTAGTCCTCCCTTGAGTGAACCTGGCCATGAGACATGCATCCTGGTCCCATGAGTGAGGCAGAGTGTGAGCTCTAGTGGCCCCATTGGTCGAGAGGACTTGCTTTGAGTCTGAGTTTGGATCTCAGTATCACCACTTACTAGCTGTGTAAACCTAAATTTTCTTATCTGTAAAAAGGGATGATAATACTTGAGGACTGTGAGGGAACTAAATGAGCTAATATTTGTAAAGCACTTAGCATAGTGGCTGGTATATACAGGTGTTCAACAACGCAGCAGCAGTGATTAGAAATGAGTAGGATAAATACTATACACAGGAATAGCTTCCTCTCTTGAAATAGCCTAGCCCAGAGCATGCCCTTGGCCATTGCTGGGATCCCAGGAAATATTTGGATTTAGACTTTTTGGGCCACATTCAATTTCCAAGTCAGGGTTCAGGTAAAAAACAGGTTTCAGGTTTCCAAGTTGCAGAGGTTACTGCCCTGGGGACAGTCAGTCTTCAGGTTGGCAAAGTAACAACATTACTGTCCTGGAGAAACACTAAGTAGGTGTCCCTTCAGTAAGGGTTTCAAAATTAAACATCCAAAAAAAAGGACCTCAGCCCCCAAAAAAGAGTCTTTTTCTCCCCCCAAGACGGAGTTTCGCTTTTGTTGCCCAGCCTGGAGTGCAGTGGCACAACCTTGCCTCACTGCAACATCCACCTCCCCAGTTCAAGGGATTCTCCTGCCTCAGCCTCCCAAGTAGCTGGGATTACAGGCGCCTGCCACCACACCTGGCTAATTTTTTTGTATTTTTAGTAGAGATGGGGTTTCACCATTTTGTTCAGGCGGGTCTCGAACTCCTGACCTCAGATGTCCACCCGCCTCGGCCTCCCAAAGTGCTGAGGTTACAGGCATGAGTCACCACTCCCAGCCAGAATCATTGTTTTATTAATGCCCATTTCATAGATGGAGAAGTAGGAACCCAGAGACGGGAGGTGGTATGCTCAAGGCAACCCAGCCAGTGAGGAACACTGTCAGGGCTACACTCACACTCCTGACATTTACATGGACACATGTTCCATTAGGCTTCGTTTCTGAAACCTAAGCAGAAAGGAGCAGGCCAACAAAAGACTCTGCAAAGCCTACCCCAAACCATGTTGGTACACAGTACAGCGCATGCTTCCAACACGAAGGAAAGCTGGAACATGAGACTACAGCGCCCCCTGGTGCATCAAGCCTTATTTCAAGGTCAAAGTCATCAAGGTACATTGCCCAGGCTCTGGCACCATACCAACCCACAGGGACCAGCATATCTGAAATTGTGCCTTCAAGAGGAGCACCACAGGACTCAGCTGCAGAGCTACGGTGATTAGGCCTTCAAACCTGTTATTTACAGCTCAAAATGAGAAGCCTGCCAGGCAGGGCCACACCAGGAGTAACAGGGACAAGGTAACAATGAGCCGGAGCTGTAGGGGCAGTTAATGTATGGCAAGCATGTGAGGTTACTTAGCAGTTTATGTGTGGCAAGCATGTGAGGTTACTTAGGTTTCAAGGGCTTTCTGCCCATTGGCTATTTTGAATAATTTTGTGTGTTCAGAGCAAAGGGGCTGTCCCTAGTGCCTGGTACCTGGCCTCAGGGCAATTAGGGCTAATGCATAGTGGCCCCTGAGTATGAGGGTCTGATAAGAGAAGTGATTGGGGTGTGAACTTAGCTGTTCAAAAAGGGGAACTGACTGGCCTTTAGCCAGCGCCTTAAAACTGGTTCAAGACAGCATTTAAAAACCAACAACAACTATATTACAGAGGAGGTCCGAATAAACAGACAAAACTTTGGTAAGGAAATAGAAGACTGCAAACAACTAAATTACTAGTTAATTTTTTAAAAGATAACTAAAAATTCCTACACATTTGGAAATTAGACAACACATTTTCATGTGACCTGAATGTCAAAGAAGATACAACAATGGAAAACAGAAAACACATATAAGTGAATAAAAATAAAATATCACTCATCAATGTTGTGGTGGGTAGCTAAATTGGGCCATAGAAAAATTAAGACTTTAAATGGTTTTTTTGGTTTGTTTGCTTGCTTGCTTTGAGACGGAGTCTTGCTCTGTCACCCAGGCTAGAGTGCAGTGGCACCATCTCGGCTCACTGCAACCTCCACCTCCTGGGTTCAAGTGATTCTCCTGTCTCAGCCTCCAGAGTAGCTGGGACTACAGGCCAGCAACACCATGCCCTGCTAATTTTTGTATTTTTAGTAGACACAGGGTTTCAACATGTTGGTCAGGCTGGTCTCAAACTCCTGACCTCAAGTGATCCACTCCCCTCGGCCTCCCAAAATGCTGGGATTACAGGCGTGAGCCACCATGCCTGGCCTTAAATGTTTATAATTAAGAGAATGTTTAAATGTTTATGTTTAAGAGAAGAAAGACTAAAAATTAATGACTTGTTTAACTAGAAAAAGAATCAGTAATTTTCTAGAAAATTTCCAAAGAAAAAAATAATAAATAAGTTTAAAAAAAAAAGAAAGAAAGAAAAGGAAGCAGTAGGAAAAAGAAGAGCAGAATAAATTCAAAGGAGGTGTAAGGAAGAAAACAATAAATGTAAGAGCAGCTGGGCGTGGTGGCTCATACTGTAATTCCAGCTACTCAGGAGACTGAGGCATGGGAGGATCGCTTGAGGCCAAGAGTTCCGGGGTAACATAGCGAGATTCCATCTCTTAAAAAAAAAGAAAAAAAAAGAAAAGAAAACAGTCCGGGCACAGTGGCTCACGCCTGTAATCCCAGCACTTTGGGAGTCTGAGGCAGGCAGATCACCTGAGGTCGGGAGTTTGAGACCAGCCTGACCAACATAGAGAAACCCCGTCTCTACTAAAAATACAAAATTAGCCAGGCATGGTGGCGCATGCCTGTAATCTCAGCCACTCAGGAGGCTGAGGGAGGAGAATCACTTTAAGCCAGGAGGCAGAGGTTGCGGTGAGCCAAGATCACGCCATTGCACTCCAGCCTGGGCAACAAGAGCGAAACTCCATCTCAAAAAATAAAAAGAAAAGAAAAGAAAATGAAAAAAAAAATGACACATATAAGAACAGAAATCAAAAGTAAAATAAGCCCACTAAAGTATTTGGAAACACTAATGTAATTGGCATACCTCTAGGAAGATAGGCAAAGAAGCAGAAGAGAGAAAAAAGGAAACTTAAAACTGCAAATACAGACTAGCGATTAGAAACAAAAACTAGGCCGGGCGCGGTGGCTCACGCCTGTAATCCCACCACTTTGGGAAGCCAAGGCTGCTGGATCACCTGAGGTCAGGAGTTCAAAGCAAGCCTGACCCACATGGCGAAACCCCGTCTCTACTAAAAATACAAAACTTAGCTGCGCATGGTCGCAGGCACCTGTAATCCCAGCTACTCAAGAGGCTGAGGCAAGAGAATCGCTTGAACCTGGGAGGCGGAGGTTGCAGTGAGCGGAGATCTTGCCACTGCACTCCATCCTGGGTGACAAAGTGAGACCCTGGGTCAGAAAAAAAAAAAAAAGAAAAGAAAAGAAAAGGAAAGAAACCACTTATCAGTAGTTTAAATGCATTGCACAAAATCAAACTAACAGAAGATGATTTTACAGGCAAATTCCATCAAACATTCAAGGTACATATAGTAATCCTCCCTTATCCTTGGGAGATACGTTCCAAGACCCCTAGTGGGCACCTGAAACCACAGATAGTGCCAAACCCTATGTATAGTACTATATTTTTTCATCAGGTAACTCAGATGACTACTCCATGATTAATGGGCAGGTAACATATGCAGTATGGATATGCCGGACAAAGGGATGATTCACATCTCCTGTGGGATGACTAAGATTCCAACATGCTACTCAGAATGGCATGCTACTTAAAACTTAAAGAATTGTTTATTTCTGGAATTTTCTTTTCTTTTCTTTTTTTTTGAGACAGAGTCTTGCTCTGTTACCCAGGCGGGAGTGCAATGGCACGATCTCGGCTCAGTGAAACCTCTGCCTCCCGGGTTCAAGGGATTCTCCTGCCTCAGCCTCCTTAGTAACTGGGATTACAGGCGCCCGCCACCATGCCCAGTTAATTTTTGTATTTTTTAGTAGAGACGGGGTCTCACCATGTTGCTCAGGCTGGTCTCAAACTCCTGACCTCAGGTGATCCGCCCGCCTTGGCCTCCCAAAGTGCTGAGATAACAGGCGTGAGCCATGCACCCCGCCTGGAATTTTCAATTTAATATTTTTGGACCATAGTTGACCTCATCTACCTGAAACTGAGGAAAGCAATAAGGGGGAATTTCTGTAAAATTCTGATCTCATGCATATTTTTCCCCCAGAAATACAAAAAATAACACACTAAACTCTGATTGCCGGGCGCGGTGGCTTGAGCCTGTAATCCCAGCACTTTGGGAGGCTGAGGCGGGCAGATCACTTGAGGTCAGGAGTTTGAGACCAGCCTGGCCAACATGGCAAAAACCCCATCTCTACTGAAAATACAAAAATTACCTGGATGTGGTGGCACACACCTGTAATTCCAGGTAATTGAGAGGCTGAGGCACAAGAATTGCTTGAACCCAAGAGGCGGAGGTTGCAGTGAGCCAAGATCATGCTAATGCACCCCAGTCTGGGTGACAGAGCGAGACTCTGCGACTCTGCCTCCAAATAAATAAATAAAAATAAACTCATTTGATAGAGTTAATATAACGTTGATAACAAAACCAAAGAAAAAATTACTGAATTTCACTTGAATATATTAATGCAAATTTCCTACACAAAATATTAACACACCAAATTCACTATAGTTGAAAAAATACATAATGATAAACTTCATTTCAGAAATGCAAAGTTAATATTAGTGAATCTATTAATACAAATCACCATATTAGCAGAGTAAGAGAGAAAAGCCCTATGTCTCAGAAAAAGCATTGAATAAGAAAAACAAAACCTGTCATTTGTGACAACATAGGTGAACCTGGAGGACATATTATGTTAAGTGAAATAAGCCAGGCACAGAAATCCCACATGATCTTATTTATATGTGAAATCTGAAAAAGAAGAACTTACAGAAGCAGAGAGTAGAATGATAGCAGGGATTGGGGGTGCTGGGTTAGATAGATGTGGGTCAAAAGATACAAAATTTCAGTTAGACCAGCAGGCAGAAATTCAAGAGATCTATTGTACAACATGGTGATTATAGTTAATAACCATATATTATATACTTGAAAATTAAGAGAGTACATTTAAGTGTTCTCACCAAAGAATATATATATATAATATATATATATGAGGTAATGTGTATGTTAATTAGCTTGCTTTAGCCATTCCACAATGTATATATATTTCAAAGCATCATATTGTACACCATATATATAATTGTCAATTAAAAAAAAAAAACAACGGCCAGGCACAGTCGCTCACACCTGTAATCTCAGCACTTGTGGCAGGCAGATCACTTGAGCCCAGGAGTTCAAGACCAGCCTGGGCAACATGGTGAAACCCCATCTCTCAAAAAAAAAAAAAATTACAAAAATTAGCCAGAAGTAGTGTTGCGCACCTGTAGTCCCAGCTAGTTGGTAGGCTGAGGCAGGAGGGTCGCTTGAGTATGGGAAGTCAAGGCTGCAGTGAGCCATGTTTGTGTCACTGCACTCCAGCGTGGGTGACAGCAAGACGCTGTCTTAAAAATATGAATAAATAAAAATATTCATGATTTTGAGGGGGAAAAAGAAGCAAATCCTTAGCTCATTAAAAGAAGGGAAATTTTTTTTTTTAATGGAGTTTCGCTCTTGTTGCCCAGGCTGGAGTGCAATGGCGTGCTCTCGGCTCACCGCAACCTCCGCCTCCTGAGTTAAAGTGATTCTCCTGCCTCAGCCTCCCAGTTGCATTTTATACACTAACAATGAACAATCTGAAAAGGGAATTTTTTAAAATTCCATTTACAATGGCATCAAAAGAATAAAATACTTAGAAATAAACTTAACCAAGGAGGTAAAAGACATATACACTGAAAACTACAAAACTTTGTTGAAAGAAATTAAAGACCAGACAAATAAATGGAAAGACATCCTGTGTTCACGTATTAGAAGACTTAATATTGTTAAGAAGTCAATACTATCCAAAGCAATCTACAGATTAAATGCCATATCTATGAAAATCTCAATGGCTTTTTTTTTTTTTTTTGCAGAAATACAAAAATCCATCCTAAAATTCCATATGAAATCTCAAGGGACCCTGTATAGCCAAAACAATTTTGGAAAAGAACAAAGTTAAACACTTCCCTGTTTCAAAACTTACTACAGCCGGGCATGGTGACTCACGCCTGTAATCCCAGCACTTTGGGAGGCTAAGGTGGGTGGATCACCTGAAGTTAGGAGATCGAGACCAGCCTGGCCAACATGGCGAAACCCTGTCTCTACTAAAAAATACAAAAATTAGCTGGGTGTGGTGGCAGGCGCCTGTAATCTCAGCTATTCAGGAGGCTGAGGCGGGAGAATCACTTGAACCCGGGAGGCAGAGGTTGCAGTGAGCCGAGATTGTGCCATTGCACTCCAGCCTGGGAGACAGAACAACACTCTGTCTCAAAAAAAAAAAAAAAACAACTTATTACAAAGCCACAGTAAGCAAAACAATGTGGTGCTGGCACAAAGACAGACACATAGACCAATGGAATAGAAGAGAGAGCCCAGAAATAAACCTTCATATGTATGGTTAAATTAATTTTTTTCTGCATTGCCTTTACTCTGTCACATACCCATTGTATAATAATGGTGTCCCTTAGCACATTCTCTGGGAGACATGGTCAAATTATTTTTGAGAAAGTTGCCAGACAGACCATTCAATAGAGAAAGCATATCTTTTCAATAAATGATGCTAGGAAAACTGTACACTCACATGCAAAAGAATAAAATTAGACCTTAACCTTACATCATATATAAAAATTAACTCGAAATGGGTCAAAGACCTAAATGTAATAGCTAAAACTATAAAATTCTTAGAGGGAAATATAGAGGAAAAACTTCATGACAATGGATTTGGCAGTGATTTCTTGTACCAAAAGTACAGCTAATAAAAGTAAAAATAGGTTAATTGGACTACATCAAAATTTAAAACTTCTATGCATCAAAGGGCACCATCAAAAGAGTGAAGGTGGGGAACAATGGCTCACACCTGTAATCCCAGCACTTTGGGAGGCTGAGGCAGGCAGATCATTTGAGGTCAGGAGTTCAAGACCAGCACGGCCAACGTGGTAAAACCCCGTCTCTATTAAAAATAAAAAAAATTGAGCTGGTGTGGTTGTGCACACCTGTAATCCTAGCTACTTGGGAGGCTGAGGTGGGAGGATCACTTGAACTGAAGAAGTGGAGGTTGCAGTGAGCTAAGACTGTGCCACTGCACTCCAGCCTGGGTGACAGACACTGCCTTTAAAAAAAAAAAAAAAAAAAAGGCCAGGCGTGGTAGCTCATGCCTGTAATCCCAGCACTTTGGGAGGCCAAGGCAGTCAGATCACAAGGTCAAGAGATCGAGACGATCCTGGCTAACACAGTGAAACCCGGTCTCTACCAAAGATACAAAAAATTAGCCAGGCGTGGTGGCAGGCGCCTGTAGTCCCAGCTACGCGGCAGGCTGAGGCAGAAAAATGGTGTGAATCCGGGAGGCGGAGCTTGCAGTGAGCCAAGATCACACCACTGCACTGCAGCCTAGGCAACAGAGCAAGACTCCATCTCAAAAAAAAAAAAAAAAAAAAAAAAAAATGAAAAGACAACACAACCCACAGAATGGGAGAAAATATTTGCCAATTATATATCAAACATATATCAAACAAGGGGTTAATATTCAAAAGAACTTCAACTTAAAAAAAAAAACAACAAAAACAACCTGATTGGTATTGGTGGTTGTTGGCACAGAAAATATATTCTAAAGGATTGCATCCTTGGGTGATCAGACATTTTGGTATTGTATCTGGAATTAGTGGGTTCTTGGTCTCACCGACTTCAAGAATGAAATCTCGGACCCTCGCGGTGACTGTTAAACTCTTAAGGTGGCGCGCCTGGAGTTTGTCCTTTCTTATGTTCAGATGTGCTCAGGGTCTCAGATGTGGTCGGGGTCTCGCTGGCTCAGGAGTGAAGCTGCAGACTTTCTTCGTTAAGTGTTACAGCTCTTAAACCAGTGCGTCTGGAGTTGTTCGTTCCTCTCAGTGGGCTCGTGGTCTCGCTGGGCTGAGGAGTGAAGCTGCAAATTGTCACAGTGAGTGTTACAGCTCATAAAAGCAGTTAACCCAAAGAGCGAACAGTAGCAGGATTTGTTGTAAAGAGCAAAAGAACAAAGCTTCCACACTGTGGAAAGGGACCCCAGCGGGTTGCCAATGCTGGTCCGGCAGCCTGCTTTTATTCTCTTATCTGGCCCCACCCACATCCTGCTGATTGGTAGAGCCCAGTGGCCTGTTTTGTCAGGGCGCTGATTGGTGCGTTTACAATCCCTGAGCTAGATACAAACGTTCTCCACGTCCCCATCAGATTAGTTAGATACAGAATTTGGACACACAGGTTCTCCAAGGCCCCACCAGAGCAGCTAGATACAGAGTGTCGATTGGTGCATTCACAAACCTTGAGCTAAACACAGGGTGCTGATTGGTGTGTTTACAAACCTTGAGCTGGATACACAGTGCCGATTGGTGTATTTACAATCCCTGAGCTAGACATAAAGGTTCTCCACCTCCCCACCAGAGCAGCCAGATACAGAGTGTCGATTGGTGCACTCACAAACCTTGAGCTAAACACAGGGTGCTGATTGGTGTATTTACAATCCCTGAGCTAGACATAAAGGTTCTCCACGTCCCCACCAGGGCAGCTAGATACAGAGTGTCCATTGGTGCATTCACAAACCTTGAGCTAAACACAGGGTGCTGATTGGTGTGCTTACAATCCCTGAGCTAGATATAAAGACTCCACATCCCTACCAGACTCAGGAGCCCAGCTGTCTTCACCCAGTGGATCCCGCACTGGGGCTGCAGGTGGAGCTGTCTGCCAGTCCCGCGCCATGCGCTCGCACTCCTCACCCTTTGGGCGGTCGATGGGACTGGGCGCCCTGGAGCAGGGGGCGGCATTCGTCGGGGAGGCTCAGGCTGCACAGGAACCCACGGAGGCGGGGGAAGGCTCAGGCATGGTGGGCTGCAGTCCCGAGGCCTGCCCCGTGGGAAGGCAGCTAAGGCCCAGCGAGAAATTGAGCGCAGCGCCTGTGGGCTGGCACTGCTGGGGGACCCAGTACACCCTCCGCAGCCGCTGGCCCGGGTGCTAAGCCCCTCACTGCCCGGGGCCGACAGGGCTGGCGGGCTTCTCCAAGTGCGGGGTCAGCCAAGCCCACGCCCACCCAGAACTCCAGCTGGCCCGCAAGCGCTGCTCGCAGCCCTGGTTCCTGCTCGCGCCTCTCCCTCCACACCTCCTTGCAAGCTGAGGGAGCCGGCTCTGGCCTTGGCCAGCCCAGAATGGGGCTCCCACAGTGCAGCGGCGGGCCGAAGGGCTCCTCAAATGCCGCCAAAGTGGGAACCCAGGCAGAGGAGGCGCCGAGAGCAAGCGAGGGCTCTGAGGACTGCCAGCACGCTGTCACCTCTCAGTATTAGTGACTATGTAAGAGGCAGCTCTCTTCTGGGCTTTCACATACTCGTTTGTGTGTGTGTGTGTGTGTTTGTGTGTGTGTGTGTTTTGTTTTTTTGAGACAGAGTTTCAAGGGGTTGGATGCTATGGGAGAAAATATTTGCAAATCATATATCCAACAAGAGGTTAATATTCAAAATAGATAAAGAACTTCTACAACTCAAAAACAATAACAAAAACTAACAACCTGATTGGTATTGGTGGTATTGGTGCAGGGATAAAACCATGGATACAGAATAAAGTATCCAGAAATGAACTTCAATATTCCAGAGATAGATTGACCATCTTTTTTTCTTTTTTTAAGCCCCAAATAATGTCCTACTCCCCAGACTGAAGCCTCATTGTGTAAAATTAGCCCTTTGGGAAACTAACATAAATATATAACTAAATTATAAGTCTGATTATTAATTTGTTTATATTAATAAATAAGTACGGGCCAGGCACGGTGGCTCATTCCTGTAATCCCAGCACTTTGGGAGACGGGCAGGTGGATCACCTGAGATCAGGAGTTTGAGACTAGCCCTGCCAACATGGTGAACCCGTCTTTACTAAAAATACAAAAATTAGCTGGGAGTGGTGGCGGGCGCCTGTAATTTCAGCTACTTTCCTGAGGCTGAGGTAGGAGAATCACTTGAACTCGGAAGGTGGAGGTTGCAGTGAGCTGAGATCACACCGTTGCACTCCAGCCTGGGCAACAAGAGTGAAATTCTGTCTCAAAAAAAAAAAAAACAAAAAACAAAAAACGAGTATGTTAAAGGCCAGAAGAGAGCTGCCTCTTCCATAATCACTAATACCAAAATGTCTCATCACCCAAGGATGCAATTCTTTAGGATATATTCTCTGCACCAACAACCACCTACCCACCTACCTGTATACAAACTATCAAATCCTGTCTCTGGAATAACCAGTTTCCTCCTACTTTTCAGTCAGCCCTGGATGAGATTCTTTCTCCCTCCTGACCTAAGAATCCATCCCTTCTCTGTTAAACACGATTGGAAACACAACATATATAAACACAGGTGCATATATTTGAAGAATATAAACAATTTTAATACTGCCATGTTGTCTACGAAAGGATAATAGGGAAAAGAAAATATCACAGGGAATTTTACTATAGAGAAATAGTTCCCACAGCGTGGTGGTAACTATTTCTGTGTGACATGAGGAGCCACCACCAGGAAGGGAGCTGGAAAGAAATCTCATTCCTGCACCTCTGAGAATCCTTGGGTGGGACCTGTGGAGGCAGGAGGTGGCTGTGGCAACTGGCAGAGACTGCGGAGGCGCACCATGATCTGTTGCTGCCATGTTTTTTTTGGTCTAGCGTAAAAAGAGAAGGAAAAACTGTCAGAAAATAATAGCACTGGCTCGGTGTGGTGGCTCATGCCTGTAATCCCAGCACTTTGGGAGGCCGAGGCGGCCAGATCATTTGAGGTCAGGAGTATGAGACCAGCCTGGCCAACATGGTGAAACTCCATCTCTATTAAAAATACAAAAAATTAGCCGGGCGTGGTGGCATGCCTGTAGTCCTAGCTACTAGGGAGGCTGAGGTATAAGAATCGCTTGGACTCGGGAGGTGGAGGTTGCAGTGAGCCGAGATCGTGCCGCTGCACTCCAGCCTGTGTGACAGAGTGAGACCCTGTCTCAAAAAAGAAAAAAAAGAAAAAAATAATAGCACCATGTTGAGCCAAATAGTGGGGCCATAAACTGCAAAACCCAGGCTTTCAACAAAGAAAAGTGAGCCTGTTTAGAAACAGTAGAAGAAACCCAGGGCCAGCCCCTTAGGATTACTCCTTCCTCAGAGTCCTCGGGTGTCAAATACTGTCTCTCCCATCCCTTGGGAGTAGATATCCTTTTCCTCCCCTCATCCCTCTCCCCCAGCCTCCTTTAGCCCCTGTCATTTCCTGGACACTCCCACATCAACACTCAGCCACTGACCCTGCGTAAATATTAGCACCACAGGGTTAAGGGCTGGGATGTACTAAGCCTTCCTAAGTGCCAGATGTCAGTGTGGAGAGGGAAATGAAATATGAATGGCTGAACATTGTCACTGTGGTTCTCTCACTGCATTTGGACATTTGGACATTCCAAAGAACATTCCAAGATAAGTGATACTTAATGTGAAATTTAGTTTTTAAAAAGCTTTTTTAGAGAGACAGTATCTGTGTCACCCAGGCTGGAGTACAGTGGTGCAATCACAGCTCATTGCAAACTCAAACTTCCTGGGCTCAACTAATCCTCCTGTCTTGGCCTCCCAAAGTTCTGGAATTACAGTAATGAGCCATGTGCCTGGCTGAAACTTAATTTATTTTGATTCAAAATATTTTCAAAGGCCAGGTGCAGTGGCTCACGCCTGTAATCCCAGCACTTTGGGTGGCCAAGGTGGGTGGATCACCTGAGGTCAGGAGTTGGAGACCAGCCTGGCCAACATGGTAAAACCTCATCTCCACTAAAAATAAAAAAATTAGCCGGGCATGGTGGCACATGACTGTAATCCCAGCTACTCAGGAGGCTAAGGCAGGAGAATCACTTGAACCCAGGAGGCAGAGGTTGCATTGAGCCGAGATCGTGCCATTGCACCCCAGCCTGGGCAACAGAGCAAGACTTCGTCTCAAAAAATACGTATTTTTTTCATGTAATATTAATGATACTTAAACAAAATAACTTTTTCTTTCTCTGAAAATATTTATAACTTTATATAACAAAATATCACAAAAATGATAACAGGAACATCTCATCAAACCACAGTGTGTTTCTATGTGTGTGCCTAAGTATACACATACCTTTGAGAACCAAAATCACTTATGTGAACAATATTTACAACACACAACAAGCAGATGTAATCAGTTCGTGTAATAAAATATATCCATGGCACAACAGTTTGTCTCAATTATAAAACCCATCATCTACCATCGTTTTAGGATCCAGGCTCATTTCCTGTATGAGACATGAACACATTGTTAAAAATTCCAAGATGTATTTCTTTGGGTCTCCTGGTTTTATTAAAAAAAGGAAAAGAGATATGTCATTAATTACTGAGTGCTGGTAAATGATCCTACTTGCATATAATTGAGAAGTGGGATCAATTTGGTTAAGGTTCAGTCAAGTTGAATTGTGAGATTTAAGAAAAATGTGAAATTTTTCACATTTCATTATGCAATATCAAAACCTCACTGTAAGAGTTTTTTGTTACTGTTGTAACAAACAACCACTACAAAATTCAGTGGCTTAAAGAACGTTAATTTACCATCTTACAGTCTGGCAGGCAGAAATCAGAAATCAGTTTCTCTGGGTGTTAGTAGGGCTGGTTCCTTCTAGAGGTTCTAGGGAAGAATCTGTTTCCTTGTCTTTTCCAGCTTCCAGTGGCCACCTACATTCCTTGGTTCATGGCCTCTTCCTCCGTCTTTAAAGCCAGCAATGTAGCATCTTCTCTCCTCTCTTAACTCATGCCTTCTTTTTACAAGGACCCTTGTTATTACACCTAACCCAGGTTCCTTTGGAATGTAGAGAAACACATTCACTGGTTCTGGGGATTAGAACATGGACACCCTTGGGGGCCATTATTCTGCCTACCGTATGGGATTCAGTAATGTCACACTGATCTCATCAGAAAATTCTTCCTGGCAAGTGGTCATATTCATGATAACAAATACAAATTTTCTTAAAGTATAATTTTTGCTTGAAAGCTCAAATTTTACCAGTGGCGACAAACATTATCAGTTGTTTCACTTGAAATCACAAGCTTATTTTATTTATTTTCAATAAAATATCTACCAAACACCTTGTTTAAAGAATCATAAAGGGGCCCGGTGCAGTGGCTCATGCCTGTAATCCCAACATTTTGAGAGGCCAAGGCAGGTGGATTGCTTGAGCCCAGGAGTTCAAGGCCAGCCTGGACAACATGGGAAAACTCCATCTCTACAAAAAATACAAAAATTAGCCAGGCGTCGTGGTGCATGCCTGTAGTCCCAGCTACTCAGGAGGCTGAAGAAGGAGGATCACTTGAGCCCTGGAGGCAGAGGCTGCAGTAAGCCAAGATCCCACCACTGTACTCCAGCCTGGGTGACAGAGCCAGACCCTATATCAAAAAAAAAAAAAAAGAAGAATCATATATGGTTTGTCATTTTTTCAAGCAAAATGGAGTTCCATGTGAATTCAAGGGTAGAGATAAAAAAATTACTTTTTCCTACTTTATCAAAGAGATTATTATCATTATTATTATATATATGTATTTTTTTGAGATGGAGTCTTGCTCTGTCGCTGGAGTGCAGTGGCGCGATCTTGGCTCACTGCAAGCTCCGCCTGCTGGGTTCACGCCGTTCTCCTGCCTCAGCCTCCCGAGTAGCTGGGACTACAGGCGCCCGCCACCACGCCCGTCTAATGCTTTGTATTTTTTAGTAGAGAGGGGTTTCACCGTGTTAGCCAGGATGGTCTTGATCTTCAGACCTCGTGATCCACCCGCCTCGGCCTCCCAAAGTGCTGGGATTACAGGCGTGAGCCACCGCTCCCGGCCTATTATCATTATTATTATTACAGACAAAGTCTTGCTCTGTCACCCAGGCTGAAGTGCAGTGGCACAATCATAGCTCACTGTAACCTTGAACTCCTGGGCTCAAAAGATCCTCCTGCCTCAACCTGCCAAATAGCTAAGGACTACAGGTGCGTGCCACCACACCCAGCTAATTTTTTTTTGAATTTATTTTTTATAGAGATGGGGTCTTGCTAGGTTGACCAGGATGGTCTTGAACTCCTGGTCTCAAGTGATTCTCCCGCCTCGGCCTCCCGAAGTTCTGGTATTATAGGTGTGAGCCACCGCACCTGGCCCTGCAAGGACATTATTAAGTGAAACTGGTTCTGGGAGTGCACAGCAGTGAAGAAAGTACATTTTTAAGTTCAGTTTGGTGGTTGTGCCTTGATTTGTCCAAAGATCCTCAGTGGTTTTGCCCGCCATCAGAGCAAATATCAACAGAGTGAAAAAGATAAAGTTATAGTATTATTAGGAATACAGTTTTGATATCATGGATACTCAGGAAGGGATCTCAGGGACCTCTTTCCCCCCATTCCCCCCAGGATCCATAGACCACACTTTGAAAATTGCTGTTTTAGGGAAATGAAACCTGCCAGCAGATGGCAGCAGGTACAGCAGCATTTTCCAATTTATATTGACCAGTATTTAGAAAATTGATTTCATGATAAATTTACAATTTTGCCTTTAAAACTCACAGACAACATTTCATTTCAGAAAATATTTTTAACTATATAAAAGAATTCCACAAAATAAATGCTACTTCAGCTCACAACTTAAATTATCCAAGAACTTTTTCTTTTCTTTTTTCTTTTTTTTTTTTTGAGACAAGAGTCTCGCTCTGTCACCCAGGCTGGAATGCAGTGGTGCGATCTTGGCTCACTGCAACCAACCTCCACCTCCCAGGTTCAAGCGATTCTCCTGCCCCAGCCTCCCAAGTAGCTGGGATTACAGGCACGCGCCACTACGCCCAGCTAATTTTTGTATTTTTAGCAGAGACAGGGTTTCACTATGTTGGTCAGGCTGGTCTCGAACTCTTGACCTCGTGATCCGCCTGCCTCGGCCTCCCAAAGTGCTGGGATTACAGACGTGAGCCACCGTGCCCAGCCTATCCAAGAACTTTTTCTTTCTCCCTTTCTTCCTTTCTTCCTTCCTTCCTTTCTTTTCTTTCTTTCTTTTTTTTTTTCAGAGTCTTGCTCTGTCACCCAGGCTGGAGTGCAGTGGTGCTTTCTTTCATGGCTTATTGCAGCCTTGACCTCCCAGGCTCAAGCAATTCCCCGACCTTTGACTCCCAAGTAGCTGGGACTACAGGCACATGCCACCATGCACAGCTAATTTCTTTTATTTTTGGTAGAGATAGGGTCTCACTAAGTTGCCCAGGCTGGTCTTAAACTCCTGGCCTCAAGCAATCCTCCCACTTTGTCCTCCCAAAGTGGTGAGATTACAGGTGTGAGCCACTGCACCAGGCCCCAATAACTTTTTCTTGAGACAACCATCATATTTCAGCGCAGTCAGGACATCACAGCTGCAGGTTCTGCATCCTCAAATTCAACCAAGAAAGAATGGAAAATATTTGAGAAAAAAATTTACAAATTAAAAATAAGCTAGGGGCAGTGGCTCACGCCTGTAATCCCAACACTTTGGGAGGCCGAAATGTGAGGATTGCTTTGGGAGGCTGAGGTGGGAGGATTGCTTGATGATGATAGGACTGTATACCTCGAAAACCCTAAAGACTTATGCAAAAGGCTCCTAGATCTAATAAATTCAATAAAGTCTCAGTTTACAAAATTAATGTACACAAATCAGTAGCACTACTGTATGCCAACGATGACCAAACTGAGAATCAAATCAAGAATTCAATCCCTTTTATAACAACTGAAAAAAAAAAAAAAAAAAAACCCAAAAACAATACCCTAGGAGTGTACTTAATCAAGGGAGGTGAAAGATCTCTACAAGGAAAACTACAAAACATGCTGAAAGAAATCATAGATGACACACAAAAAAATGGAAACATATGCCATGTTCATGGATGGGAAGGTAATATTGTGAAAATGACCATACTACCCAAAGCAAACTACAGATTTTATGCTATTCCTAACAAAATATCATCATCATTTCTCACAGAACTAGAAAAACAACCCTAAAGTTCGCATGAAACCAAAGAAGAGCCTGCATAGCCAAAGCAATCCTAAGCAAAAAGAACAAATGTGGAGGCATCACATTACTGGACTTCAAATTATACTACAAGACTGTAGACTACAGTACTGTAGTACCAGTACTACTGGGACTAGTATAAAAATAGGCACTTAGACCAATGGAACAGAATAGAGAACCCAGAAATAAAACCAAATACTTACAGCCAATTGATCTTCAACAAACCATACAAAAACATAAATTGGAGAAAGGATACCCTATTCAATAAATGGTGCTGGAAGGCCAGGCATGGTGAGTCATGCCTGTAACCCCAGCACTTTGATTACAGGCCGAGGTGGGCAGATCACAAGGTCAGGAGTTTGAGACCAGCCTAGCCAACATGGTGAAACCCCATCTCTACTAAAAACACAAAACTTAGCCAGGTATGGTGGTGGGCACCTGTAATCCCAGCTACTTGGGAGGCTGAGGCAGGAGAATTGCTTGAACCCGGGAGGCAGAGGTTGCAGTGAACCGAGATCGCGCCACTGCACTCTAGCCTGGGTGACAGAGCAAGACTCCATCTCTAAAATAAATAAATAAATAAATAAATAAATAAATAAATAAATAATGGTGCTGGGAAAACTGACAAGCCACATATAAAAGACTGAAACTGGAGGCCAGGCGCAGTGGCTCACACCTGTAATCCTAGCACTTTGGGAGGCTGAGGTGGGTGGATCGTGAGGTCAGGAGTTCAAGACCAGCCTGGCCAAGATGGTGAAATCCCAGCTCTACTAAAAAAATACAAAAAATCAGCTGGGCCCAGTGGCAGGTGCTTGTAATCTCAGTTATTTGGGACGCTGAGGCAGGAAAATCGCTTGAACTTGGAGGGTGGAGGTTGCAGTGAGCTGAGATCGTGCCACTGCACTCCAGCCTGGGCAACAGAGTGAGACTCCATCTCAAAAAAAAAAAAAAAAAAAGAGTGAAACTGGATCTCCATCTCTCGCCCTATACAAAAATCAACTCAAGATGTATAAAGACTTAAATCTAAGACCTGAAACCATAAAAATTCTGGAATATAACATTGGAAAACTTTTCTGGACATTGGCCTAGGCAAAGAATTCATGACTAACACCCCAAAAGCAAATGTGACAAAACCAAAAATAAATAAATGGGACCTATATTAATCCGTTTTCACACTGCTGATAAAGACATACCTAAGATAGAGCAATTTACAAAAGAAAGAGGTTTAATTGGACTTACAGTTCCACATGGCTGGGGAAGCCTAACAATTATGGCTGAAGGCAAGGAGGAGCAAGTCACGTCTTACATGAATGACAGCAGGCAAAAAGAGAGAGCTTGTGCAGGGGAACTCCTCTTTTTAAAACCATGAGATCTCATGACACTTATTCACTGTCATGAGAACAGCACAGGAAAGACTTGCCACCATGATTCAATTATCTCCCACAGGAATTCAAGATGAGATTTGGGTGGGGACACAGCCAAACCATATCATCCTGCCCCTGGCCCCTCCCAAATCTCATCTCCTCACATTTCAAAACCAATCGTGCCTTCCCAATAGTCCCCCAAATCTTAACTCATTTCAGCATTAACTCAACAATCCACAGTCCAAAGTCTCATCCGAGACAAGGCAAGTCTCTTCCACCTATGAGCTTGTAAAATCAAAAGCAGGTTAGTTACTTCCTAGATACAGTCAAGGTACAGACATTGGGTAAATACAGCCATTCCAAATGGGAGAAGTTGGGCAAAACAAAGGGGCTACAGGTCCCATGCAAGTCCAAAATCCAGTGGGGCAGTCAAATCTTAAATCTCCAAAATGATCTCCCTTGTCACCACGTCTCACATCCAGGTCATGCTGATGCAAGATGTGGGTTCCCATGGTCTTCAGCAGCTCCGCCCCTGTGACTCTGCGGGGTACAGACTGTCTCCCAGCTGCTTTCCTGGGTTGGCATTGAGTGTCTGTGGCTTTTCCAGGCGCATGGTGCAAGCTGTCAGTGGATCTACCATTCTGGGGTCTTGAGGACCCTGGGGACTGGTGGCCCTCTTCTCACAGCTCCACTAGGTGGTACCCCAGTAGGGATTCTGTGTGGGGACTCTGACCCCACATTTCCCTTCCACACTGCCCTAGCAGAGGTTCTCCATGAGAGGCCCACCCCTGCAGCAAACTTCTGCGTGGACATACAGGCATTTCCATACATTTTCTGAAATCTAGGCAGAGGTTCCCAAACCTCAGTTCTTGACTTCTGTGCACTCAACACCACATGGAGGTTGCCAAGGGTGGGGCTTATACCCTCTAAAGCCATGGCCTGAGATCCACATTGGCCCCTTTCAGCCACAGCTGGAATGGCTGGGACATAGGGCACCAAGTCCCTAGGCTGCACACAGCACAGGGACCTTAGGCCCAGCCCACAAAACCATCCTTTCCTCCTAGGCCTCTGGGCCTCTGATGGGAGGGACTGCCATGAAGACCTCTGACATGCCCTGGAGACATTTTCCCCATTGTCTTGGGGATTAACATTTGGTTCCTCGTTACTTATGCAAATTTATGCAGCCTTGAGTTTCTTCGCAGTATATGGGATTTTCTTTTCTATCGGATTGTCAGACTGCAAATTTTCTGAACTTTTATGCTCTGTTTCCCTTATAAAACTGAATGCCTTTAATAGCACCCAAGTCACCTCTTGTATGCCTTGCTGCTTAGAAATTTCTTCTGCCAGATACCCTCAATAATCTCTCTCAAGTTCAAAGTTCCACAAATCTCTAGGGCAGAGGCAAAATATTGCCAGTCTCTTTGCTAAAACATAACAAGAGTCACCTTTGCTCCAGTTCCCAAAATTTCCTCATCTCCATCTGAGACCACCTTAGCCTGGATTTCATTGTCCACATCATTATCAGCATTTTGGTCAAAGTCATTCAACAAGTCTTTAGGGAGTTGCAAACATTCCTACATTTTCCTCTCTTCTGAGTCCTCCAAACTGTTCCAATCTCTGCCTGTTACCCAGTTCCAAAGTCATTTCCACATTTTTGGGTATCTACTCAGCAACACCCCACTCTACTGGTACCAATTTACTGTATTAGTCTATTAGTACAGGCTGCTGATAAAGACATACCTGAGACAGGGCAATTTACAAAAGAAAGAGGTGGCCGGGCGCAGTGGCTCACGCCTGTGATCCCAGGACTTTGGGAGGCCGAGGTGGGTGGATCACGAGGTCAGGAGATTGAGACCATCCTGGCTAACATGGTGAAACCCTGTCTCCACTAAAAATACAAAAAAAAAAAAAAAAAAAAATCAGCCAGGCATGCTGGTTGGTGCCTGTAGTCCCAGCTACTTGGGAGGCTGAGGCAGGAGAATGGCATGAACCCAGGAGGCGGAGCTTGCAGTGAGCCTAGATTGCGCCACTGCACTCCAGCCTGGATGACACAGTGAGACTCCATCTTAAAAAGAAAAAAAAAAAGAAAGAGGTTTAATTGGACTTATAGTTCCACATGGCTGGGGAAGCCTCACAATCATGACAGAAGGCAAGGAGGAGCAAGTCATGTCTTATGTGGATGGTAGCAGGGATAAGAGAGAGATCAGATCTCGCCGTATGCAGTGGCTCACACCTGTAGTCCCAGCACTTTGGGAGGCCGAGGCGAACAGCCTCCCAAAGGTCAAGAGATCGAGACAATACTGGCCAACATGGTGAAACCCCATCTCTACTAAAAATACAAAAATTAGCTGGTGGGGGTGGTGTGCGCCTGAAGTTCCAGCTACTCTGGAGGCTGAGGCAGGAGAATCGCTTGAAACCAGGAGGCAGAGGTTGCAGTGAGCTGAGATCGTGCCACTGTACTCCAGCCTGGCAACAGAGTGAGACTCTGTCTTAAAAAAAAAAAAAAAAAAAAAAAAAAAGTCAGATCTCATGAGACTTATTCACTATCCTGAGAACAGCATGGGAAAGACTTGCCCCCCATGATTCAATTATCTCCCACTGGGTCCCTCCTACAACATGTGGGAATTCAAGATGAGATTTGGGTGGGAACATAGCCAAACCATATCAGGACCTAACTAAACTAAAGAGCTTCTACACAACAAAAGAAATAATTAACAGAGTAAACAGACAACCCACAGAGTGGTAGAAAATATTTGCAAACTATGTATCTGACAAAGGATTCGTATCCAGAATCTACAAGGAACTCAAACAAATCAACAAGGAAAAAAACAAATAATCCCATCAAAAAGTGGGCAAAGGCCATGAACAGTCATTTCTCAAAAGAAGATATACAGCCAACAAACATATGAAAAAATGCTCAACATCACTAATCATTAGGGAAATGCAAATTAAAACCGTAATGAGATACCACCTTACTCCTACAAGAATGGCCATAATTAAAAGTCAAAAAACAATAGATGTTGGCATGGAGGTGGTGAAGAGGGAACACATTTACACTGCTAGTAAGAATATAAATTAATACGACCTCAAAGGAAAATAGTATGGAGATTCCTTTAAAAAACTAAAAGCAGGATCTACCATTTGATCCAGCAATTCCAGTACTGGGGATCTACCCAAAGGAAAAAAAGTCATTCTATGAGAAAGACACACGCAGACACACATTTATAGTGGCACAATTTGCAAATGCAAAGATAACCAACATAAGTGCCCATCAACTAAAGAGGGGATAAAGAAAATGTGGTATGTATACACCATGGAATACTACTCAGCCACAAAACGGAATAAAATAATGTCTTGTGAGCCAACTTGGATGGAGCTGGAGGCCGTTATTCTAAGTGAAGCAACTCAGGAATGAAAAACCAAATACCGTATGTTCTGGCTTATAAGTAAGAGCTAGGCTATGAGGACGCAAAGAGATAGAGTGATATAATGGAGTTTGGGGACTTGGGGTGGGGAGGTTGGGAGGAGGGTGAGGGATAAAATACTACATATCAGGTATCATGTACACTGTTTGGGTGATGGGTGCCCTAAAATCTCAGAATTCGCCATTGTAGAATTCATCCATGTAACCAAAAACCATTTGTACCCCAAAAGTTATTGAAATAAACCAAAAACCATTTGTACCCCAAAAGTTATTGAAATAAACCAAAAACCATTTGTACCCCAAAAGTTATTGAAATAAAAATAAATAAATAATAAATAACAATACAACAATAAAAATAATACAAATAAAAACAATTCGGTATAACAACTATTAAAATAGCACTTGCACTGTATTAGGTAAAATAAGTAATCTAGAGATGACTTATGCATATTGGAGGATGTGCATAGGTTATATACAGATACTAACCATTTTATGTAAGGAACCTGAGCCTCCTCGAATTTTGGTAACAAGGGGGGGTCCTGGAACTAATCCCCTACTGGATACTGAGGGACCATACTGTATGCAGAAGTGCTCTAGCCCAAAATGACTTCTTATTTTGTCATCCAGATTACTAAGAACAGCAATAACCTTGGTATAGCAATTCTGTCATTTTATTAAGCTGAAAAAATTTAAATGTTCTACCAACTGGAATTACTATTAAATTAAAGCATTTGGCCAGGTGTGGTGGCTCATGCCTGTAATCCCAGCACTTTGGGAGGTCCAAGATGGGTGGACCACTTGAGATCAGGGGTTCGAGACCAACCTGGCCAACATAGTGAAATCCCATCTCTACTAAAAATACAAAAATTACCTGGGTGTGGTGGCACATGCCTGTAATCCCAGCTACTCAGGAGGCTGAGGTATGAGAATCACTTGAACCTGGGAGGTGGAGGTTTCAGTGAGCCAAGATCACACCACTGCACTCCAGCCTGGGCAACTGAGCAAGAATCCATCTCAAAAAAAAAAAGGAAAAATAAATATTAAAGCATTTACCCAAAAAATCGTGTATAGAGCTTAATAAAGCCCATCTTTTTTATTTTTTATTTTCTTTACTGAGGGTCCCACTGTCCCCCAGTCTAGAGTGCAGTGCTGCGATCACAGCTCACTACAGCCTTGACCTCCTGGGCTCAAGTGATCCTCTCACCTCAGCCTACCAAAGTGCTGGGATTACAGGCGTGAGCCACCACATCTGGCATCTTTTTTTTTTTCTTTCGAGACAGAGTTTCACTCTTGTTGCCCAGGCTGGATTGCAATGGCGCCATCTCGGCTCACCGCAACCTCCGCCTCCAGGTTTCAAGTGATTCTCCTGCCTTAGCCTCCTGAGTAGCTGGGATTACAGGCATGTGCCACTACGCCCGGCTAATTTTGTATTTTAGTAGAGACGGGGTTTCTCCATGTTGGTCAGGCTGGTCTCGAACTCCCGACCTCAGGTGATCCGCCTGCCTCAGCCTCCCAAAGTGCTGGGATTACAGGCGTGAGACACCGCGCCCGGCCAGGTATCTTTTTAAAATGTTACTGTTCTGTCTTTTTTTCCCCCTCTTTCCTTATTAAATATCAGTGCACTGAGGAAGAGCTTAACAAAGAAAAAATTCTTATCTATTAGAATTCAGCATCTTTATAGTCTTAAGGATTCTCAGTTAATGCATTTTTTCTACTTAAAAAAAAGCGTTTTGAATTTTATTTATGAAACATCAAGGCTTAGTGATGAATACCACAAATGATCCTGGAAGGTATGAGATGCAAGAATGAAGCAAAATGTTAGTAAATATGTGAGTATTTCTAAATTAAAACTAAATAAAATGAATATATTGTATTACTTGGAAAGTACATAAACATGAGGTAGAATTAAATATTGTTCAATAATAAAATGCAGAACAAACAGAAGACTGATCAGAACTAAAGGGTTCCACATTAAAGTCTTATGACTTTAAGTTTTGTAGGTTAAAGTTTAAGAAAAAACTCTAAAAAGATAGAACATGATTTTTTAAATAGAAGAAAAAAATCACAGAGAATCAAACTATTAACTGAAAAGTAGTTCTCACTACCTAAAATACTGAAATCCTGTTTTACTTATCTGTCTCACACATTAGGATTTAAATCCTATGAATGCAAAGATTTTTGCTTGTTTGTTAACTATCCCTAGCAGCTAAAGCAATGTCCCACACCTGGGAAGAGCTCAAAATTATTTGCTAAATGAATATCTTGCACAAATTAGCTTATATGAAATAAGAGCCTGGGCACGGTGGTTCATGCCTGTAATCACAGCACTTTGGGAGGCTAAGATGGGTGGATTACCTGAGGTCAGGAGTTTGAGACCAGCCTGACCAACATAGTGAAACCCCGTCTCTACTAAAAATACAAAATTAGCTGGGCATGGTGGCACATACCTGTATCCCAGCTACTTGAGTGGCTGGGCAGGAGAATTGCTTGAATCTGGGAGGCAGAGGTTGCAGTGACCTGAGATTGCCCCCATTGCACTCCAGCCTGGGCAACAAGAGCAAAACTCAGTTTAAAAAAAAAACAAAACAAGAAAAATGTTAGCGTCATGTGTGTGAAAGGTATGTAAGAAAATACAGTTCCTCAGGTAGGAAATGCAATTAGTAATAAATGATAATGAAATAAAGCTCAATCTTTCTAACAAACAATAAAATGCGAAACAAAATCTGAGATACTTTTTTACTTCATCATATTCACAAATACTTTAAAAGAGAATGAAAACCACAAAGATGATATATATCAAGAGTCAAGAAATGTGCAGCCATAAAAAGGAACGAGATCATGTCCTTCGTAGGAACATGGATGGAGCCATTATCCTCAACAAACTAACATGGGAACAGAAAACCAAACACCACATGTTCTCATTATAAGTGGGAGCTGGACGATGAGAACACCTGGACACATTGTGGGGAACAGCACACACTGGGACCTGTCAGGGTGGGGAGCGGGAGGGAGAGCAGCAGGAAGAATAGCTAATGGATGCTGGGCTTAATACTTAGATGATAGGTTGATCTGTGCAGCAAACCACCATGGCACACCTTACCTATGTAACAAACCTGCACATCCTGCACATGTACCCCAGAACTTAAAAGTTGAAGGAAAAAGTCTGGGTGCGGTGTCTCACGCCTGTAATCCCAGCACTTTGGGAGGCTGAGGTGGGCAGATCACAAGGTCAGGAGTTAGAGACCAGCCTGGCCAACATAGTGAAACCCTGTCTCTACTAAAAGTACAAAAATTAGCCAGGCACAGTGGTGCGCACCTGTAGTTCCAGCTACTCGGGAGGCCGAGGCAGGAGAATCGCTTGAACCTGGGAGGTGGAGGTTGTGATGAGCAGAGATCACGCCATTGCACTTCAGCCTGGGCAACAGAGTGAGACTCCGTCTCAAAAAAAAAAAAAAAAAGAGTCAAGAAATAATTGGGCAATCCAACATGCGCTTTGTCTTCCTAGCAACACAAAAACCTTTATATGTAAAGGTGATCACTGGATAATATAAGTGTAATGCTGAAAGAATAACAAATGCAATTCCACAATATGAGAACAGCTAAGCAAACCAAGGAACAGACACCATATGAACCATTTACATTGTCACAAAAATTATGTGTATGAAGACTATGAAGTGGTAAATGAAAATGGTTGAATATCAAATGTAACAAAGCATGGCCAACCTCTACTATATGATCACAACCATATACATTAAGCTAAAGCAGCCAGGTTGAATGAATTTTCATGTAGGAGGATTGTTCATAGCTCAAATTCCCAGGAGGAAATCTCTTGGTCAAAGGATGTGAACAGTTTAAATTTGAAATATATATTGTCAAATTGCCCTGCTAAAATATTGTTTCAGTTTATTTTCCAAAACAGAACTTTTCTGTGGCTACATGAAATTCATTCAATTATTTGACAAGATTTCCTGAACATCTCCTACATATCCAACACCCTACTGGATGATGGGATTTTAAGGTGAATATAAGGTGTCTAGATTCTCAGGGCACCAATTCATAGTCCAGGGAAGGACATAAAGATGTGAGGAATTTAATAATAAGAGAGTGTAAAATGTAAAATAAAAGTTGAACAGAATTCTACAGTAAAATGAGATAATTTTAATTAAGTGTAATATTGAATAAGTGAGATTTGACCACAATTCTATAAAATAACAGAAATCACACCTATTTCTGTTTGTTGGAACGAAGAAAGGCTTCTGAGGACAGCTGCTGTTTGCCAGCCATATTTGCCAGATGAAGAAAGAATCAAGTAAGGACTGATGCCAAGGCAAATGGAACGGTGAGGTCAGAGGCAAGGAGTGGAGAAAGATTAGGCAACTTGTCTGAGGATAGTAAATTCAATGTAGTCAACCAGGGTGAGATACTAATGGTAATTGAAATTAGACCTGAAGTCATCATTGGCATCAGCATTCCTCGAAACAAGAAAAACTTATGTGTAATGCTGAAAGAATAACAAATCTCATCACTCTTCTTTTTTCACATTGAATGTTAGTGCTATGTCCCAACACTGTAATGCAAAAGAGCCTAAGATTTCATCTAGTAGGTAGCCCTTTAGTGAGGTCAACTCCCATGTCCCTATTTTATTTTATTTTATTTTATTTATTTATTTATTTATTATTTTTTGAGACGGAGTCTCGCTCTGTCACCCAGGCTGGAGTGCAGTGGCATGATCTCGGCTCACTGCAAGCTCCGCCTCCCAGGTTCACACCATTCTCCTGCCTCAGCCTCCCCAGCAGCTGGGACTACAGGCACATGCCGCCACACCAGCTTTTTTTTTTTTTTTTTTTTGTATTTTTAGTAGAGACAGGGTTTCACTGTGTAGGCAGGATGGTCTCGATCTCCTGACCTCGTGATCCCCCCCGCCTCAGCCTCCCAAAGTGCTGGGATTACAGGTGTGAGCCACCGCGCCCGGCCCCCATGTCCCTATTTTCTTTTGAGCCCCTGATGGCTTTTTTCTGCCACAAAGGCCAGTCTTCCTTTCCCTCCAAGCACACCAACATCGGCTTAGCCAGTCTGCAGCACTCTTTCTTGGAGCTTAATCCCAACAATTCCTCCTAATCAGGTGACAACAGGGGACACCACTTAATTTCTTCTATGCATCCAAGGAATAAAAGTTAACATACAAGTATTTTTTTCAAAGTCTGAAGGATGAAATATGCATTATTTTTGTATTATGAAAAATATACCATTGTGAGATCAAGAGGAGGCCAAAGTGTTCACTGAAGGGCAAATTCAGTTACTGCAATGGGATGGATACTTGGTTAATCATCTTAATCCTTCTGGCCACATCCCTTCAACCTCAGGAGAGACCCAACCCCGACAGCCTCATCCTACCCAGGCTGTCCCCATATTACAGTTAGAGAATCACTGGTGGGAGGAAATGGCCCAGGTCTCTGGCCAGGTGGGGATTTCTGTGCCCTGAGGCAGATTATTTTCAGGGATGAATCCTGTTCACCCCACAGCCCACCCCTCAATGTACCCCCCAGTAATCTGGGACACGTGTGGCCTGGCCCTCCTACTGACACCAACATGTCTGGACCCCAACCTCCACCACCTCCACCACGTGTATCCTGTATCCACCAGGATACAACACGGCGGCCGGCAGTTAGTGGCCGGAAGGCTTCTCCAGCCTTTGCTCATGAGGGAGCAGCGGGGGGCATGTCTGAGTGGCACATGGAGGTGCAGTCTGTCAGAGCCCAGCTAATATATATGTCTATATTTTGTAGAGGTATCTTACTATGTTGCCCAGGCTGGTCTCCAACTCCTGGCCTCAAGCAATCCTCCTGCCTCAGCCTCCTAAAGTGCTGGGTTTGCACTTTGGTTTTTTGTTTGTTTTATAAGGAAACTAAAGAAGCCAAGGATTCTGGTTGAGTCCTAGATAACTGAGCTTTTCCTGGTGTTTGTTTGTTTGTTTGTTTTCTGAGACAGGGACCTGCTCTGTCACCCAGGCTGGAGTGCAGTGGTGTGATCTTGGCTCACTGTAGTCTCGAACGCTTGGGCTCAGGTGATCCTCCCACCTTAGCCTCCTGAGTAGCTCAAGTACAGGTATGCATCACCACACCCAGCTAATTTTTATATTTTTGTAGAGATAGGGTTTTGCCATGTTGGCCAGGCTAGTCTCAAACTTCTGAGTTCAAGCAAGCCTCCCGCCTCAGCCTCCCAAAGTACTGGGATTACAGGTGTGAGCCACCACATCCCACCCAATCCCAAAATGGTTACACTTTGAACTACTGTGCCTGGCCAATAGTGTCCTTTAATGCACAAAAATTTTAAACTTTAAGGAAGTCCAAATTATCTAATTTATCTTTTGTTGTCTCAGCTTTTGATGTCATATTTAAGAAAACATGGTCAAATACAAGGCCTGACCCCAATTTTAACCCATAGCTTTATGTGGGTCTGAGCTCCCTATTAGTAGAATCCACGGCCGGGCGCGATGGCTCACACCTGTAATCCCAGCACTTTGGGAAGCCAAGGTGGGTGGATCACCTGAGGTCAGGCGTTCAAAGCCAGCCTGACCAATATAGTGAAACCCCATCTCTACTAAAAATACGAAAATTAGCCAGGCGTGGTGGAGGGCGCCTGTAATCCCAGCTACTCTGGAGGCTGAGGCAGGAGGATTGCTTGAACCTGGTAGGCGGAGGTTGCAGTGAGCCGAGATTGTGCCACTGCACTCCAGCCTGGATGACAGAGCGAGAGTCTGTCTCAAAAATAAATAAATAAATAAAATAGAATCCAATGGTTCCTCATCAGAAGTCACTGGGAGCATTTTATTCAGAGGTCACTCTTTGTCATGGCAGGTATACTTTGACTGTTTTCCATGGGGGATCCCTGCGACTACTTGGGTCTGAACCACCTCATCCCTAGTAGATGGATGGCTTCAGGCATCTGGGATCCCTATCTCATGGATCCTGAATTTGTTTCAGGGAAAAATGAGCTGTTTTCCTCTAGGCCTACAGAAGTAGACACTGTCCTGGCCGCAAACATTCTGACTCCCACTAGCCAGAGACACCAGGGCTACTTGCATAATTCAGATACACTTTACCCATATAAGTGAAACT
Organism: Homo sapiens; assembly: GCF_000001405.40. NCBI lineage: Eukaryota > Metazoa > Chordata > Mammalia > Primates > Hominidae > Homo > Homo sapiens. Next base: position 32,920,877 of record NC_000003.12, on the reverse strand, counting down.
CTTCTGGGATGAGCCTGGAACCAAAATCTGGGGCAAGTCTGAGGGTGGAAAGAAATATGGTGCAGTTCTTGGTCCTCTTCCCATGCTTGGTCCTCTTGCCTCCGGGACCATGCAGAAGACTTGCTGACTCAGGGACACTTAAATCTAATCTAGGACACTCAAAACAGGGAAACGTGCTACTGAGTAACACATGAGAGCAGCCCCAGTTTCCAGGAACCTTTTTGATTTGGGGCAACTGGTCTTCAAAGAATGGGGATAACAAAACGCAGAACTCTGGAACTTTGTCTCAGGTGGGAACTGGGTGGATGGAATTGGGAATTGATAGATTGGACGGAGGAATGAGTAGATGGCAGATAGAGAGATAGATGATAGATAATAGATATAGATAGATAGATAGATAGATGATAGATAGATAGAAGATAGGTAGATAGATAGGTGATAGATAGATCAATCTGATCTACCATAGAAGCACTTTCTGCCTTTCTTTCTTGCCTCTTTTCTTTTGCACATCACAATGCAAAAAAAAAAGAAAAAATGAAGAGATTTGAGTATTTCTCCTTTGAATCATTTATTTAAAATAATTAAATTTAATTTGAATGAACAAATGAATACATTTGAGTGAAGTTATGAAATATAAAAAAGGAAATTTGAAGTTGAAATAAATAAGTAAATGAAATTTGAGTAAATGGAGGCAGAAAATTAGAATGAATGAGTACGCAACATCACTTGAATGCCTAATGACAAATAATTGCTGATGATACATTAAGGTAGAAGAAATGGGAATATGAAAGAATGCTAACAAGAATACAGTTCTTACTGCCCAAAGACGTAAGTTCAAGAATAAATGATATGAATGAATCTATCAATCAATTAAGCAGTTAATGCTAAATGAATATATGAATGTGCCTCTCCCCAGAAGCACACTGTTGCCTCTGGCACTAGGACAGGCCTGCAGTGAGGGAAAGCACTACCTGGACCCTCATCTTTCCTGTGCTTCCTGGCAGGACCTATACCTACTTCTGTTCCCAGCAGCCCCTTCAGCAGGAGAGCTCCGCATCCCACTGCCCTTGCTATTGTTAAGAAGAGTATGGAAGCGGTATATGGTTGATACGACTAAGAAGAGCACTGATCTCTTCCTCAAATTCTCCAAATAAAGATTGCCAGCTGGGCGCGGTGGCTCATGACTGTAATCCCAGCACTTTGAAAGGCTGAGGCAGGCGGATCACAAGGTCAGGAGTTTGAGACCAGCCTGACCAACATGATGAAACCCCATCTCTACTAAAAATACAAATATTAGCTGGGCATGGTGGTGCATGCCTGTAATCCCAGCTACTCAGGAGGCTTAGGCAGGAGAATCGCTTGAACCTGGGAGGCGGAGGTTGCAGTGAGCCGAGATCACGACACTGCACTCCAGCCTGGGCGACAGAGCAAGACTCTGTCTCAAAAAAAAAAAAAAAGATTACCAAGATTAGGAAATTAGAGCTGGGCTAGGGAAACACTCCTGCCTCTTAATCTTTGCTGTACCTATTCAGGAGAAACATATGTAGCTATTTGATTTATGAGTCTATTTGTTGAACCATTCCTCAATTCTGGCTGCCAATCTCAGTGACTTTGTTCCAGAAATGAAGCTCCCAAATATTGTCCTGCTCCCCAGACTATAGCCCCATTGGTGAAAATGCAGTAGTTTGACCCTGGGTACCATCATTTTAAAATAACTATTGAAGACTGTTGGTGAGCAGCAGAGTCTCCATGAAACAGTGCCTAGAGTCCAAAGAAAAGTGGTCCCTTCCATGTTACTAGATACCAATATACTCCATTACCCAAGAGTTATTATTTTTCGGGGCACGATCTCGGCACAAGCCCCTCCTCCCTGGCCCCAAAGGGCTACCACCCAACATACATTCAAACCTCCAAATCCTGTCTCTGGAATAACCAATTTTCTCCAACCCTGACTTTCTACTTTTCAGTCAGCCTGGCTAAGATTCTTCTTCCTTTCTTTTTTTTTTCTTTTCTTTCTTTTTTTTTTTTTTTGAGACGGAGTTTTTCTCTTGTTGCCCAGGCTGGAGTGCAATGGTGGGATCTCGGCTCACTGCAACCTCTGCCTCCTGGCTTCAAGTGATTCTCCAACCTTGGGCTCCCCAGTACCTGGGATTACAGGCATGTGCCACCATGCCTGGCTAATTTGTGTTTTTAGTAGATATGGGGTTTCGCCATGTTGGTCAGCCTGGTCTCGAACTCCCAGCTCAGGTGATCTGCCCGCTTTGGCTTCCCAAATTGATGGGATTACAGGAGTGAGCCACTGCATCTGCCCGCTTCTTCCTTTCTTAAGGCAAGGGTCTGTCCTTTCCTTATTATACAAGTGGAAGCACAAAATATACAAATACAGATTTGCATATTTAAAGAATATATTTTTATTTTACCATGTAAATAACTTTGAAAATTGACAGTACATTCAGTATAAGGAATTTTAATACTGCCATTTTATACATAAGAGAGGCAATAAAGGAAAGACTATCACAGGAAATTTTACTACAGGAAAATAGTTACCCCAGACTTCAAGAAGCTGACATGAGGAACCACGACCAGGAAGGGAGCTGGAAAGAAATCTTACTCCTGCAACTTTGAGAATCCTTGAGTGGGATCTGTGGAAGTAGGAGGTGGCTGTAGCCACTAGCAGACAGACTGCAGAGGTGCGATGATCTGTTGCTGCCATCTTGCTTTTGGTCTAGGGTAAAAATGATAGCAACAGGAGACAGATAAATTTTTAGGCAGACAGAGATGGGTCCCTGGTGAAACCCAACCTTCAAGCCAAAGACAGTTTAAAGCCTGAAACCAAGGTACCAGTTCCAGATAGAGTCCATGACCAGAGTGAGAACTTGTATCCTCATCTTACCCTCTCTCTTGATTGGTTCCTCCTGGACGATTCCTTTTTATTTTTTTGAGACAGTTTCACTCTTGTTGCTCAGGCTAGAGTGCAATGGTGCGATCTCGGCTCACTGCAACCTCCACCTCCCAGGTTCAATCAATTCTCCTGCCTCAGCCTCCCAGGTAGCTGGGATTAGAGGCATGTGCCACCACGCCTGGCAATTTTGTATTTTTAGTAGAGATGGGGTTTCTCCATGTTGGTCAGGCTGGTCTCGAACTCCCAACCTCAGGTGATCCACCTGCCTTGGCCTCCCAAAGTACTGGGATTACAGGCATGAGCCACTGTGCCTGGCCTGGATGATGCCTTTTAACCAATCAAATGGTGCTTTTTCCAAGCCCACTCATGGACCAATCAGCATGCACTTTCCCATTCTAAGCCCATAAAAACCCCAGACTCAGCCTCAAAGACAGCAACCTGCTTTGAGGGTCCCCTCTTGCAGTTGAGAGTTTTCCTTCTGTTACTCAATAAAATTCTTCTCTGTCTTACTTTCTGGTGTCTGTGCACTTTATTACTCTTGGTCGAGAGACAAGAACCTGGAACTCACCAAGCTGCAAGTGGCAGAAATGAAACAGCTGTAGCACCCTGCTCACTGGACTATGAGAGAAAGAGAACTGTAACATGCTTCCAGTTGCCAAGCTACAGGGGTGAAGAGCTGCGACTTTTCTGGGGGCTCAGACCTCAGGACTCCCCTAGCAAGAGCTGTAACATCCCTTTGGGCTCCGCACTTGCTAGCATCTCTGAGTTTTCATGCACCACCACATTCCCCTCATCGAGACACTGCCGCTGTGAGTTCATCCCTCACCTTGGCCTCCTGCACCTGCAATAGAACCAGTCTTCCAACGTTTCACTCATCCCAGCCCCCTTATAAACAAAACAAAACCCCATAAAACAAAACCACCAAAATGAGCTCCAGGGCCCCTTCCCTTCTCTTAGAACCCGTTTGTCTTTGCAGGACTCTGGTCCCAAATGAACTGGGTTCCTCCTCACCCACACCTCCCCCATGTAATGAGCTCATCCCACTTCTTCCAGAATCTCTCCCAATCCAGAGCCATTTTTCCTTTGCAACCCCAACCCTGGGTCTGGAGAATTGGAGTCTTAGGCCTGGATTTTCTCTGCCTTTGCTTAGCTGTGGTAATTTATCTTGAAAGGTAATGAGAAATTTATATGAAAGTAACTTTTCATGCAAAAAATTAGCCAGGCATGGTGGCGGGCACCTGTAGTCCCAACTACTCGGGAGGCTGAGGCAGGAGAATGGCGTGAACCCGGGAGGCAGAGCTTGCAGTGAGCCGAGATTGCGCCACTGCACTCCAGCCTGGGCGACAGAGCAAGACTATGTCTCAAAAAAAAAAGAAAGTAACTTTTTCTTCTTCTTTTTTTTTTTTTTTTTTTTTTGAGACAGGGTCTTGCTCTGTCACCCAGGCTGGAGTGCAGTGGTGCAATCACAGGTCATTGCAGACTCCCTCCTCCCTCCTGGGCTCAAGTGATCCTCCCCACCCAGCCTCTCGAACGCTGGGACTACAAGGGTGTGCCACCATGACCAGCCAATTAAAAAAAATTTTTTTTTGTAGAGATGGGGTCTCATTATGTTGCCCAAGCTAGTATCAAACTCCTGGGTTCAAATTATCCCAGCCTCAGCCTCCCAACGTGCTGGGATTACAGGTGTGAGTTACGGCATCTGGCCTCTCCTTCTTTTCTTATGTCACTACTTCCTTAAAGTGTTTTTCTGGGAACACTTCCTGATAAAAACACTTTTAAGGCCGGGCGCGGTGGCTCACGCCTGTAATCCCAGCACTTTGGGAGGCCAAAAGGGGTGGATCACGAGGTCAGGAGTTCGAGACCAGCCTGGCCAACATGGTGAAACTCTGTCTCTACTAAAAATACAAGAAAATTATCTGGGCATGGTGGCGGGTGCCTGTAATCTCAGCTACTCAGGAGGCTGAGGCAGGAAAATCTCTTGACCCCAGGAGGCAGAGGTTGCAGTGAGCTGAGATGGCGCCATTGAACTCCAGCCTGGGCAATAAGAGCAAAACTCTGTCTCAAAAAATAAATAAATAAATACATAAAATTTAAAAATAAAATAAATAAATAAAAGCATAATTCGTTAAATTTGTATTGCTTACTAAATTACAAATATCTTACATAGATTTGTTCATTTATTCTTCAAATATGTATCGAGCGTTTATTCCATACTGGACACTGTTTTAGGCAATGTGAATACAGCAGTGAATGAGCTCAATGAGGAAGAGGTAAAAAACGATAAGCCAGGCGAGGTGGCTCACACCTGTAACCCCAGGTTACAGGGAGGCCGAGGTGTGTGGATCACTAGAGGTCAGGAGTTCAAGACCAGCCTGGCCAACATGGTGAAACCCTGTCTCTACTAAAAATAAAAAATTAGCCAGGCGTGGCAGCAAGTGTCTGTAATCCCAGCTACTCGGGAGGCTGAGGCAGGAGAATTGCTTGAACCCGGGAGGCAGAGGTTGCAGTGAGCAGAGATTGTACCACTGCACTCCAGCCTGGGCAGAGTGAGACTCTGTCTCAAAAAAAAAAAAAAAGATAAATCAATAAACAAGATAATTCAAGCTAGTGATAACTGCTAATAAAAATGAGAAAGAGGCCGGGCACAGTGGCTCATGCCTGTTATCCCTGCACTTTGGGAGGCCAAGGTGGGCGAATCACCTGAGGTCGGGAGTTTGAGACCAGCCTGACCAAAACGGAGAAAACCCGTCTTGACTAAAAATACAAAATTAGCTGGGCATGGTGGCACATGCCTATAATCCCAGCTACTCAGGAGGCTGAGGCAGGAGAATTGCTTGAACTGGGGAGGTGGAGGCTGGGGTGAGCCGAGATCCCGTCATTGTACTCCAGCCTGGGCAACAGAGTGAAACTCTGTCTCAAAAAAAAAAAAAAAAGAGAAAGAAAAAGAAATGTTCTCTGGGCGAGGTCACCCATGCCTGTAATCCCAGCACTTTGGGAGGCCAAGGCAGGCAGATCATGAGGTCAGGAGTTCGAGACCAGCCTGGCCAATACGGTGAAACCCCGTCTCTACTAAAAATACAAAAGCTAGCCAGGCATGGTGGCACATGCCTGTAGTTCTAGCTACTTGGGAGGCTGAAGCAGAAGAATTGCTTGAACCCAGGAGGCAGAGGTTGCAGTGAGCTGAGATCGTGCCACCGCACTCCAGCCGGGGTGATAGCGCAAGATTCTGTCTCAAAAAAAAAAAAAAAAAAGAAATGTTCAATAAGTATTTGAATATGTATTTGAATATCGAATGAACTAATGAATAAGTAAAGGAGCATTGCCAAAGCCTCTAGTCTGAGAGTGAAACAGTGGAGGAAGCCCTCCCTGGAAGGAATGAAGAGGTGGCAAAGGGAAGCCAGTGGTAGGAAGAGAGGAGATCGGTTCAGTTTGACAGCATGTTGAATTTGGTAGTGGCAGAAGTTTCCTGGAGAACTGACAAATATAAAAATGACCTTTTAGGTGCAAACACACATGCCTGTCTGGCACGATCAAGAATAAAAATACTTAAAGCAGAAAAGAACCCAGATGAGTAAGGAGTGGCTCTTCAAATACCAAGGGTGGTTAATTGGCCTGTTTCTCAACTGGGCAAATTGCCCCACTCACAAGAGGCACACACCGGGGTATTGCTCTGTCTCCAGCATGCGTTCTCATTCCTCAGAAGTGGACTTCTGCCTGCGTCTTGGCCTTGCTTTTGGAACAATGTCCTGGAGGGAGATGTTTTCAGGAGACATGTTGTGTGGAAGATGTAGCAATAATGGGTGGTGCTGGAATCACGACAGAGCTTGTCTCTCAGAGAATCTGCCAGAATTGGCTGGGAACCTTGACATGCTGGCACCTGCCCAGCCCTTCTTTGCATGAGGGACGTGGAACACTGTATTCTGGGTGGGTCCCTCACCCCTTCTCTTCTCATTCCCATCACAAACCTTAAAGTTGTGGGCACATTCCTAAACCGAGTTGCCAAACCTCAAAAGGAGATTGCTGAGTCCAGATTAGAGGCCGTGTTTCAGTCTCCACCCCACTCTACCCCATTCTCACTAAGTACTCATCCCAGTGCCAGCCCCACACAGATAACCAGTGCCTCATCTGGCAAAAGGTGGTCCATGCTGCTGTTGAAATCTCCCTGTACAATAGGTTCTCCCTCTGGCTAGGACATAGTGTAAAAAGTTAAAATTTTCAGATTAGTGCCAGTTAATTCAGTCCAAAGAAAATACTGTCTTTAGCCTTTTTTTTTTTTTTTTTTTTTGAGATGGAGTCTCACTCTGTCACCCAGGCTGGAGTCCAGTGGCGCCATCTAGGCTCACTGCAACCTCTGCCTTCCAGGTTCAAGCGATTCTCCTGCCTCAGCCTCCTGAGTAGCGGTGATTACAGGCACGTGCCACCACGCCTAGCTAATTTTTGTATTTTTAGTAGAGATGGGGTTTCGTCATGTTGGCCAGGCTGGTCTTGAACTCCTGCCTCGGCCTCCCAAAGGGCTGGGATTACAGGCATGAGCCACTGCGCCTGGCCTGTCTTTAGACTTCTGTAGCAAGAATAGCACTTACTACCAGAAACAGAAACTGGATCTTGTATATGAAAGCCATTTCTTTTTCTTTTTCTTTTCTTTTTTTTTTTTTTCCGAGACGGAGTTTTGCTCTTGTTGCCCAGGCTGGAGTGCAGTGGCGTGATCTCGGCTCACTGCAACCTCTACTTCCTGGGTTCAAGCAATTCTCCTGCCTCAGCCTCCCGAGTAGCTGGGATTACAGGCATTTGCCACCACGCCTGGCTAATTTTGTATTTTTAGTAGAGATGGGGTTTCTCCATGTTGGTCAGGCTGGTCTCAAACTCCTGACCTCAGGTGTTCCACCCGCCTCGGCCTCCCACAGTGCTAGGATTACAGGCATGAGCCACCGTGCCTGGCCTCATTTTTTTTAATTTAAAAATTGTTTTGGCCAGTCACGGTGGCTCACGCCTGTAATCACAGCACTTTGGGAGGCCGAGAGGTCAGGAGTTTGAGACCAGCCTGGCCAATATGGTGAAACCCGTCTCTACTAAAAGTACAAAAAGTAGATGGGCCTGTAGCCCCAGCTACTCGGGCAGCTGACACAGGAGAATTGCTTGAACCCGGGAGGCAGAGGTTGCAGTGAGCCAAGATCGCGCCACTGCACTCCAGACTGGGCACAGAGCAAGACTCCATCTCAAAAAAAAATTGTTTTTAAATTTTTTGTAAGCAAGGTCTCACTCTGTCACCCAGCTGGAGTACAGTAGCACTATCACAGCCCACTGTATCCTGGACTTCCTGGCACAGGCAATCTTCCCATCTCAGCCCCCTGAGTAGCTAGAACTAGAGGCTTGTTCCACCACACCCAGCTAATTTTTTCATTTTTTTGAAGAGATGGGGTCTTGCTATGTTACCCATGCTGGTCTCAAAATCCTGGCCTCAAGTGATGCTCCCGCCTCAGCCTCCCAAAGTGCTGAGATTACATGCATGAGCCACCACACCTTGCCTGAAACCCATTTTAAAACATATTGAGAATGCCTGACCATAAAAGTTGTCAAGATTGGCCTCCATCACTAAAATAAAAGTTGACAACTTTTGAGAAAAACACCAGGAAATTACTCCACCCAAGAAAACAAAGTTGTTTTTGAGTCACCTGTTTTAGCAGGCCTCAAGGGGTTGGTTCAGCAGAAAACACATTCACGTCACAAAACTCAACAGGCAAAAGCATGTGACTACCCAGCCAAACCATGTGTCTGTATGACTTTTGACTAAAAAGGTCTTATTCACATTTGTCAATATTGCAGAAAGTATCAGGTTCCAAACCCAGCCCAAACTCCACTCCATATGTCTTCTTCCTCCCTACAAAAGAGTTCCTTTCCCAACCTCCTCACTTCTTCCAGGACAGCCTTCATTCTGCCACTAGGCTAAGAATAGAGAATCAAGAATAAATATAAGCCATAACCCTGCTTTCAAAAAACAAAACTGCTGGAAATGTGGCTCATGCCTGTGATTTCAGCACTTTGGGAGGCTGAGGCAGGAGGGTTACTTGAGGCCAAAGTTCAAGACCAGCCTGGGCAACATAGCAAGACCCTGTATCTAGAAAAACTTAAAAAAGAGTGCTCACCTTGGCAGCACATATACAAAAATTAAAAAAAGAAATTATTTGGGCATAATGGCACATGCCTGTAGTCCCATCTACTTGGGAGGCTGAGGCGGGAGGATTGCTTGAGCTCAGGAGGCCGAGGCTGCAGTGAGCCATGATTGTGCCACTGCACTCCAGCCTGGGCAACCGAGTGAGACCCTGTGTCAAAAAAAAAAAAAAAAAGAAAAAGAAAAAAAGAAAAGAAAAGAAAAGAAAAAGGGCTGGGTGTGGTGGGTCACACTTGTAATCTCAGCACTTTGGGAGGCTGAGGTAGGAAAATTGCTTGAGGCCAAGAGTTTGAGACCAGCCTGGGCAATATAGCAAGACCCTGTCTCATTCTTTTTTAAGGTATAAAAATGTTAACAACAACAACAAAAAACCACAGTCTTGTTGAGAGAAAAAAGAAAGATCAACACTGGAAATGGTAAGTTAACTGAGAAGACAGTAATTTGTTTTAAATTGTCAGAAAGAGACTTAGCAAAATGGACTCTAGTGAACTTTTTTCCGATCTTCCATTACTGGAAAATCTAATGATCAGAATGTCCTAGATAATGCCCAAACTAACTTACCACTCTTCACAAATATGAAGATTTAGAAGGAATGAGCGAACACACCACAAATCATTTTGCAAGTAGGAACATGGCCCCAGCTTGTGTGTGAAACTGCTAGAGGTCAGCCACAAGTTCAGTCTCCAAATGGACCATCTGGCTTTGCTTATGTCTATGAATGCAGTTTACCTCCCACACCATCTAATATTCACCCTTCACCCTGAATGCAAGAAACATTTGTTATTGAGAGGGCACTAAGAAATCATGTCAAATCATATCAAATGATATCAAATCATATCAAATCAAATCATATCAAATGAAATAATGAGAAAATTAAGCCCACAGATTTATATGAAAAAGGACAATAGCATCAAAGGCAGAACTACTGAGGAGACTCCTCAGTGAGAGTGGTCCAGAAAAGAGCTCTGGGAAACAATATCCCAATGAACAGACAAAAATAAGCTTCAAGAAATAAATTTTATTAAACACTTTTTTTTTTTTAAGATGGAGTTTCGCTCTTGTTGCCCAGGCTGGAGTGCAATGGCGTGATCTTGGCTCACTGCAACCTCCACCTCCCAGGTTCAAGCTTCAGCCTCCCAATTAGCTGGGATTACAGGCATGCGCCACCACGCCCGGCCATATTAGCCACAGTCAATAGCCTATGCTCCTGGAATGGAGGGCAGGTGCTTGGTGCATGCAGAGTTCATGCTACCTGCACTGGATGTCCAGGGGCTCATGTAGACCTCTCTTTGTTTCTTTATCATGAACTTTAAATTTTTTTCTCTCCTTTCTTTTCCCCCTAGTGGAACAACTGACAATCTTCTTAGAACAACTAAAAAAGCTGAAAAAATACTGAAAACATCCCACTGAAGGCCTCAGTGAGTTAACTAACTACTGAAGAATTATTAGAACTTAGAAAAAACAGGAATCCAGAAGTTTAACTCAGCTCTTTGGGAGCTTTGTCAATTATTCAAGAGGTAGCCAAGAGGCTTTTTGCTCTTTTGACTACCTGTACGGCTAAAAGGACAAAAGTCAGAGTCCGGGGCCTCTAGAGGAAGGTATGCCTGGTAAACACCCTTAACTTTGAGTTTGCACTCTGAAGAGCTGCCCTGTAGCATTAAAGTAGACCAGGTCTCACGGATCTGAAGCCAGCTCCAAATCATCTCAAGCCCCAAAAACTGGTGATCCCCACTGTTAGTGCCCAAGGTGTCTGGTGAGACTTTCTGACTCTCTAGCCTAGTCTAGAGAAAGATGACACTATTTTATGATTCAAACAATGCCTCCAAACAGGTTTTGAAATACAATATCTAACACAAAGTGACCAAGCACACAAAGAAATAGGGCCGGCGCAGTGGCTCACACCTGTGATCCCAGCACTTTGGGAGGCCGAGGCGGGTGGATTACTTGAGGTCAGAAGTTCAAGACCAGCCTGGCTAACATGGAGAAACCTGGTCTCTACTAAAAATACAAAAATTAACCGGGCATGGTGGTGCACACCTGTAGTCCCAGCTACTTGGGAGGCTGAGGCACAAGAATGGCTTGAACCAAGTAGGCAGAGGTTGCAGTGAGCCAAGATTGCGCCTCTGGGGAACTCCAGCCTGAGTGACAGAGTGAAACTGTGTCTCAAAAAAAAAAAAAGTGACCATGCACACAAAGAAATAGGCAAGAAAGAACACTTCAGCATCACCAACAATAACAACAACAATTATCGGGCCGGGCACGATGGCTCAGGCCTGTAATCTCAGCACTTTGGGAGGCTGAGGCGGGCAGATCACGAGGTCAGAAGTTCGAGACCAGCCTGGCCAACATGGTGAAACCCCGTCTCTACTAAAAATACAAAAATTAGCCAGTCATGGTGGCACTACATGGTGCCTGTAGTCCCAACTACTCTGGAGGCTGAGGCAGAAGAATCGCTTGAACCCGCGAGGCAGACGTGCAGTGAGCCGAGAATGCACCAGCTTTGGCAACACAGCAAGACTCCGTCTCAAAAACAAACAAACAAACAAAGAAACAAACAAAAATTATCAAACACTTTTACATAACTACACCTAATACATTTAAAGAGATCAGAGACACAATTTAGAATTTCAGAGAACTTGAACCTGTAAGAGGATATAACAGATTAAACTTCCTTTTTTATTTATTTTTAATTTTTTTATTCTTTTCTTTGCAACAAAAGCCACATTCAGTAGACTAAACTTTCAATAACTGAAAAATATAAAAATCAAAATTAAAAACCAAAGGGATGGGTTTAACAGCAGATTAGACACAAATGAAGAGAGATTTTTGTGAACTAGAACATAGGTTTAAAAAATCCAATAATTGGCTGGGTGTGGTGGCTCACACCTGTAATCCCAGAACTTTGGGAGGCCGAGGCGGGCAGATTGCAAGGTCAGGAGATCAAGACCATCCTGGCTAACACGGTGAAACCCCGTTTCTACTAAAAAATACAAAAAATTAGCCGGGCATGGTGGCAGGCGCCTATAGTCCCAGCTACTCGGGAGGTTGAGGCAAGAGAATGGCGTGAACCCGGGAGGTGGAGCTTGCAGTGAGCAGAGATTGCGCCACTGCACTCCAGCCTAGGCAATGGAACGAGACTCCATCTAAAAAAAAAAAAAAAAAAAAAAAAACCCAAGAAGTGGCCAGGTGTGGTGGCTCACACCTGTAATCCCAGCACTCTGGGAGGCCAAGGCAGGTAGATCACTTGAGGCCAAGAGTTTGAGACCAGCCTGGGCAACATGGCAAAACCTCTTCTCCACAAAAAAAGACAATAATTACCTGGGCATGGTGGCACAAACCTGTAGTCCCAGCTACTTGGGAGGCTGAAAGGTGGGAGGATCACTTGAGCCTGGGAGGTTGAGCAATGATTGTGACCCTGCAGTCCAGCCTGGGCAATAGGGTGAGGTCTTGTCTCGAAGAAAAAAAAAAATCCAAGAATAAAGCTCAGAAAAATAAAAAATGTGGAAAATTCAAAAGTACATTTTGGGCTGGGCATGGTAGCTCAAGCCTGTAATTCCAGCACTTTGGGAGGCTGAGGTGGGAGGAATCCCTTGAGCCCAGGAGTTCAACACCAGCCTGGAAAATATGGCAAGACCCCATCTCTACCAACAAATTAAAAAATTAGTAGGGCATGGTGGCATGTGCATATAGTCCCAGCTATTCTGGGGAGGCTGAGGCAGAGTATTGCTTGAGCTCAGAAGGTTGAGGCTGGAGTGAGCTGTGATCATGCCACTGCATTCCAGGCTGGATGATGGAGCAAGACTGACTCAAAAAAAGTAAATTTTGGAAAAGATGGAAAATTCAGTGAGACAAAAATGATTATGAGAAGTGAAAATAGGAGGCCAGGCGCGGTGGCTCACGTCTGTAATCCCAGCACTTTGGAAGGCCGAGGTGGGCAGATCACCTGAGGTTAGGAGTTCGAGACCAGCCTGGCCAACATGGTGAAACCCCCATCTCTACTAAAAATACAAAAATTAGCCGGGTGTGGTGGCGGGCACCTGTAATCCCAGCTACTCGGGAGGCTGAGGCAGGATAATCGTTTGAACCCGGGAGTTGGAGGTTGCAGTGAGCCAAGATCGGGCGACTGCACTCCAGCCTGGGTGACACAGTGAGACTCCATCTCAAAAAACAAAAACAAAATAAGATAGAAGAAACATTTGAAAAGAAACTGACCAAAACTTTCCAAAACTGATGAAATATGTCAAGCCAAATTAAACAATACTAAGAATCCAAAGCAGGATAAATAAAAAGAAATCAACAAGTAAGCCCATCTGAAAACCAAAGAAGATCATAAGGCTCGTCGTGGTGGCTCATGCCTGTAATCCCAGCACTTTGGGAGGCTGAGGCCAGAGGATCACCTGAGTTCAGGAGTTCGAGACCAGCCTCGCCAGGCTGGCCAACATGGTGAAACCCCATCTTTACTAAAAATATAAAAAATTTAGCAGGGTATGGTGGCAGGTGCCTGTTATCCCAGCTACTTGGAAGGCTGAGGCAGGAGAATCGCTTGAACCTGGGAGGTGGAGGTTGCAGTGAGCCAAGATCACGCCACTGCACTCCAGCCTGAGCAACAAGAGCGAAACTCTGTCTCCAAAACAAAAACAAAAAGATCATAAAAGGAACAGAGCCTATTACAAAAAGACAAATTACGCTCAAAGGGGCCATACTGAAGTTGACAACAGACTTCTCGACAGAAACAACAGGAGCCTGAAGAAAACCTGTTTTCAAAACGCTGAAAGATTGTGGCAATGGTTGCACAACATTGCAAATCTGCTTAATGTCACTAAATTGTACATGTTAAAATGCCTAAAATGGTAAGTTTATTATATATATATATATATATATATATATATATATATATATATATATATATATATAAAATTATTTTTTTTGAGATGGAATCTCGCTTTTCTTGCCCAGGCTGGAGTGCAATGGCACCAACTCAGCTCACCACAACCTCCACCTCCCAGGTTCAGGCGATTCTCCTGCCTCAGCCTCATGAGTAGCTGGGATTACAGGCCTGCGCCACCATGCCTGGCTAATGTTGTAGTTTTAGTAGAGATGGGGTTTCTCCATATTGGTCAGACTGGTCTCCAACTCCCGACCTCAGGTGATCCGCCTGCCTCAGCCTCCCAAAGTGCTGGGATTACAGGCGTGAGCCACCACACCCAGCCTATTATGTATATTTTACCACAATAAAAATTTAATTTTTTTTTTTTGAGATGGAGTCTCACTCTGTTGCACAGGCTGGAGTACACTGGTGCGATCTCAGCTCACTGCAACCTCTGCCTCCCTGGTTCAAGCGATTCTCCTATCTCAGCTTCCCGATTAGCTGGGATCACAGGAGCACAGCACTACACCCGGCTAAGTTTTGTATTGTTAGTAGAGATGGGGTTTCGCCATGTTGGCCAGGCTGGTCTCAAACTCCTGACCTCAGGTGATCCACCCGCCTTGGCCTCCTAAAGTGTTGGGATTACAGGCATTAGCCACCAAGCCCAACCGAAAATTTAATTTTAAAAAAGGCTGAAAGAAAATAAATTTCAACCTAGAATTATATGTCCAGCTAAAATGTCTACAAGATTAAAGGTGAAATACAGGCATTTTCAGACATGGAAAAATGAGAAGATTCATCATCAATGGAGCTTGCTAAAGAAAATAACTGAAGAGTATTCTTCAGGCAGAAAGAAATGATCCCAAAAGGCAGCTCAAAGTTGCAGGAAGGCATGAAGAAAAAAGAATGGGGTAAATATGTGGGTTGACCTAAATGGATATTGACTGTATAAAACAATTGTAATGTTATGTGGGTTCTAAAAACATAGAGAATATTAAAATACACTCAACAAAGATATCTAAGTCAAAGAAGGCTGATTAATGGTGTTAGTGTTCTAAGGAACTGGCACTGATGAGTATATAAGTACCAGTTAGGGCCAGGCGTGGTGGCTCACATCTGTAATCCCAGCACTTTGGGAGGTTGAGGCAGGTGGATCACCTGAGGTCAGTTCGAGACCAGCCTGGTCAACATGGTGAAAACCTGTCTCTACTAAAAAAGGAAATTAGAAAAATTAGCCAGGCGTGGTGGCGGGCGCTTGTAATCCCAGCTACTCGGGAGGCTGCGGCAGGAGAATGGCTTCAACCCAGGAGGCAGAGGTTGCAGTGAGCCAAGATCACGCTACTACACTCCAGCCTGGAAAACAAGAGTGAAACTCCATCTCAAAAAAACAAACAAACAAAAAAGCACACACAAAAAAACAGAAAAACGTTTTTTTAAAAGTACTAGTTAGCATTAAATTTTCTTTTTAAAAAAGGTTTATTAGGCCGGGCTGGTGGCTCACGCCTGTAATCCCAGCACTTTGGGAGGCCGAGGCAGTGGATAACGAGGTCAGGACTTTGAGACCAGCCTGGCCAACATCGTGATCTTGTCTCTACTAAATATACAAAAATTAGCTGGGCATGGTGGTGGGCACCTTTAATCCCAGCTACTTGGGAGGCTGAGGGAGGAGAATCACTTGAACCCGGGAGGCGGAGGTTGCAGTGAGCAGAGATCACACCACTGCACTCCAGCCTGAGCAACAGAGCAAGACTGCGTCTCAAGAAAAAAAAAAAAAAAAGGTTAATTTTAAAATAATTTAAAAATTATAGAAGAGTTGCAGAAATAGTATAAAGGATTTCAATATCCCACTTATCCCGATTTACCAGTTTTTAACATTTTGCCATATATGCTTCATCACTGTCTTCTTTTCTCTCTCCTTCCTTCTCTCTTCCTGTATATCTATATATACTTTTTTTCTTAATCACTTGAGAGTAGGATGCATTCATCATGCTCTTTTAAATCTTCATAAAAAGATCTTACATAACCATTAAATACATCAAATTTAGGAAATTTAATATTGACACAACACATATCTAATCTACTGTTCATTTTCCAGTTGTAAATTTTTTTTTTTTTTTTGAGACACAGTCTTGCTTTGTCGCCCAGGCTCAATGGAGTGCAGTGGCACCATCTCAGCTGACTGCAAGCCTCGGCTGCCGGGTTCACGCCATTCTCCTGCCTCAGCCTCTCAAGCAGCTGGGACTACAGGCGCTCACCACGCCCGGCTAATTTTTTGTATTTTTAGTAGAGACGGGGTTTCACCGTGTTAATCAGAATGGTCTCAATCTCCTGACCTCGTGATCCACCCGCCTCGGCCTCCCAAAGTGCTGGGATTACAGGCATGAGCCTCCGCGCCTGGCCATAAATGGTTCTTTTAGCAAGATTATGTACAGTATTGCACTGGTTGCCATGTCCTTTTTGTCTTTTTTCTCTCTCTTTGGTCTTTTTAAATCTGGAACTTTGTTTTATTGACAATGATAGTTTAACAATAAAGACCAATCATTTTGTAAAAATGATAACATTCTTGTGTCCGGAATCGGCGGGTTCTTGGTCTCACTGACTTTAACAATGAAGCCGCAGACCCTCGCGGTGAGTGTTACAGCTCTTAAGATGGTGAGTCTGGAGTCTGTCCCTTCTGATATTTAGATGTGTTTGGAGTTTGTTCTTTCTGGTGGGTTTGTGGTCTCACTGGTTCAGGAGTGAAGCTGCAGACCTTTGCGGTGAGCGTTACAGCTCTTGAGGTACCGCGTCTGGACTTGTTCATTCCTCCTGGGGGGGCTCGTGGTCTTGCTGGGCTCAAGAGTGAAGTTGCAGATCTTCACAGTGAATGTTACAGCTCATAAAAGCAGCGTGGACCCAAAAAGCGAGCAGTAGCAATATTTATTGCAAAGAGCAAAAGAACAAACCTTCCACACTGTGGAAGGTGACCCAAGCAGCCTGCTTTTATTCTCTTATCTGGCCCCACCCACATCCTGCTGATTGGTAGAGCCGAGTGGCCTGTTTTGTCAGGGCACTGATTGGTGCGTTTACAATCCCTGAGCTAGATACAAAGGTTCTCCACATCCCCATCAGATTAGTTAGATACAGAGTTTCCACACACAGGTTCTCCAAGGCCCCACCAGAGCAGCTAGATACAGAGTGTCGATTGGTGCATTCACAAACCTTGAGCTAAACACAGGGTGCTGATTGGTGTGTTTACAAACCTTGAGCTAGATACAGAGTGCCAATTGGTGTATTTACAATCCCTGAGTTAGACATAAAGGTTCTCCAAGGCCCCACCAGAGCAGCTAGATACAGAGTGTCGATTGGTGCACTCACAGGGTGCTGATTGGTGTATTTACAATCCCTGAGCTAGACATAAATGTTCTCCAAGGCCCCACCAGAGCAGCTAGATACAGAGTGTCGATTGGTGCACTCACAAACCTTGAGCTAAACACAGGGTGCTGATTGGTGTATTTACAATCCCTGAGCTAGACATAAAGGTTCTCCACGTCCCCACCAGGGCAGCTAGATACAGAGTGCCGATTGGTGCATTCACAAACCTTGAGCTAAACACAGGGTGCTGATTGGTGTGTTTACAATCCCTGAGCTGGATATAAAGACTTTCCACGTCCCCACCAGACTCAGGAGCCCAGCTGGCTTCACCCAGTGGATCCCGCAGGGGGTTGCTGCAGGTGGAGCTGCCTGCAGGTGGAGCTGCCTGCCAGTCCCGCGCCATGCGCTCGCACTCCTCAGCTCTTGGGCGGTCGATGGGACTGGGCGCCGTGGAGCAGGGGGCGGCATTCGTCGGGGAAGCTCGGGCTGCACAGGAACCCATGGAGGCGGGGGAAGGCTCAGGCATGGCGGGCTGCAGTCCCGAGGCCTGCCCCGTGAGAAAGCAGCTAAGGCCCGGCGAGAAATTGAGCGCAGCGCCTGTGGGCCGGCACTGCTGGGGTACCCAGTACACCCTCCGCAGCCGCTGGCCCGGGTGCTAAGCCCCTCACTGCCCGGGGCGGGCAGGGCCGGCGGGCCGCTCCGAGTGCGGGGCCCGCCAAGCCCACGCCCACCCAGAACTCCAGCTGGCCCGCAAGCGCTGCTCGCAGCCCTGGTTCCTGCTCGCGCCTCTCCCTCCACACCTCCTTGCAAGCTGAGGGAGCCGGCTCTGGCCTTGGCCAGCCCAGAAAGGGGCTCCCACAGTGCAGCGGCGGGCCGAAGGGCTCCTCAAGTGCCGCCAAAGTGGGAACCCAGGCAGAGGAGGCGCCAAGAGCAAGCGAGGGCTCTGAGGACTGCCAGCACGCTGTCACCTCTCATTTTGACAGGTTAAGCATGTATTACAATCTCATGGATAATGACCATGAAACTAACGAGACATTCGTTTCTGTCTCCTTTAGGAAGCCAAGTTGGCTTTTCTGCCCTGATGGTGCTTGTTGTGTTGGTTATGTGATTGTGTTTTTGTCAAAATTCACAGAACCATGTTCTAAAATGTGTGAAATTTATTGTGTGTAAAGTATACCTAGACCAAAAAAATGCTAGTCTCTAAAAGTTGAATTGTCTGAATATTCCACCAGAGTATATGCTTCCAGTGTTTTATTCTAGTCCTCATTAATTAAATTTTAAAAATTTGGATTGTTGCTTGGGAGACATGAAAGTCTTTTTTTTTTTTTTTTTTTTTTTTTTTTTTCAGACGTTGTCTCACTGTCACCCAGGCTGGAGTCCAGTGGCGCCATCTAGGCTCACTGCAACCTCCGCCTTGCAGATTCAAGCAATTCTCCTGCCTCAGCCTCCTGAGTAGCTGGGATTACATGCATGTGCCAGCCACCACACCTAGGTAATTTTTTTGTATTTTTAGTAGAGACAGGGTTTCACCATGTTCGTCAAGCTGGTCTTGAACTCCTGACCTCAGGTGATCCACCCACCTGGGTCTCCCAAAGTGCTGGGATTACAGGTGTGAGCCACCACGCCGGGCCAGATTCCCGGCCTGAAATGCATTTTTAAAGTCTATTGCTATATACTTAGGGACAAAGATGGTTGTTAAAGGTAGAGAAAACAAAACATTCAACATGTCTTGAGGAAAAGGAAGTGTTGGTGGGGGTGAGGTGGGGGCAGTTGCTTGTCTGTCCTGGAAAGGCAATTTCTTACCGCTTCATACCCATTTTATACCCATTCCATTCTTTCTAGAAACACAGATTTCTGTCCTCATTGTTTTCATATTTGTCTCCTATTGTCATGTTTTATGAGCAAGTCATAAAGGGAGGAAGAGGGAAAACAAAGTTCTGAGGCTTTCTTAATCTACTTGCTCAACCTGCATTTTTAGTAACCATAAAGAAATTGGTTGGGCTCACTTTTACAGCTTCCTCTTCTAGCAAGAAGTCCCACCACATGCCATCCACCTAGCCACTTAATGCTCGTCGAACAAGTCAAATCTATAGCAAATATGTAGTCTTGTTTTGTACTTTTTTTCAAATGTTATGTAAAAGGTATACTGTAAAATCATACTAGAACTTCTTTCACCCAATGATTTTTAGATGTACCTACACACATGTAGCGTCCCCATTCACTTTAACTTGCACTGAATAAATATATCAAATGTACTCTTCTATCTCCCCACTGACAAGATACTTGGCATTACGTACTCCAGACAACCAGGCAGCGACTGTTTTAAGTCTTCTTATGCTGTTGTTTGTGCTAGAATTTCTCCACAGCATATTTTGGAGGTGAAATTACTGGATCCGTGTGTATGTGTACATCTTCACCTTTACTAGGTATTGACAAATTCCCCTGCAAACAGGTTGTACTCCTTTTCACTCCCACCAGCTGTGTAGGACAGTTCCCATTTCTCACCAACAGTTGCTATAATTAGACTTTCCTATTTCTATCCAAAGGATGAGTATAACATTGTATCTTATTGTTGCTTTGGTCTGTATTTCCCTGAGTTCTAGGGTAGTTGAGCTCGGTAAATAACTTAACCCCACCCTTTGCCTCGTTGTTTTTAATTGGGGTATGTTTTCCTTATTGTAGTTCTTTAAATATTCTGGATGGCAATCCTTTATTAGTTATACCTTTATATTCTCCCATTCTGAGGCTTATGCTTTCGCTTCTTTAATATTGTTGTTTTTCAAGTTTCAATTTTTGTAAGTTAAAAATTGATATATAGTAGTTGGACATATTTTGGGGGTCCATATGAGTTTTGAAACTTGTATAACATGTGATTATCAAATCAGTGTACTTCGGATATCCATCGCCTCAAATATTTATCTTTGTGCTAGGAACAATACAAATCTTTTATTTTGAAATTTACAATAAATTATTGACAATTTCCCTACTGTACTTCATTGAACTAATTTTTAAAACATAAAAAACACACAACAAGTGTATACATTTTTATCACATGTGCATTCCTGGTTGCCTGGCGTGCTGCTCTTGTGTCAGCCTCTCCCAGATCCAGGCTGATGACACTTCCTGCCATCAGGAATACTAGGATACTGCCTGTGGTCATGGGAGGTGAAGAGAGATCTAACAGTTCACTTAGATGCAGTGAAATACAGCCATCCCTCGGCACCACGGGAGATTGCTTTCAGGACCGCCCGCAGCTACCAGTGGAGCGCATGCTCCATTCGGCCGCTCCGTGGAACCCGCACATACTCCACGCAGCCACTCGTCTGTGGAACACAAGTATTCCATATGGTCTGTGGAACCCGTGGATACAAATTCAGCCCTCCACATAGGTCAGTTTCACATCCCACAAATGTTTTCCATCCCTATTTGTTTGCACATGCGGAACCCGTGTTTTTCAAGGTCATCTGCACTGCTGCTCACGCTAGTTGTATGGAGGTCAGAAAAGAAAATCAAACCTCTTCACTGAACGGAAATTTTTTGTTTTGTTTTTCCCTGAGACAGAGTCTTGCTCTGTTGCCCAGGTTGGGGTGCAGTGGCGTGATCCCAGCTCACTGCAACCTCTGCCTCTGGGTTGAAGCAATTCTCCTGCCTCAGCCTCCCAAGTTGCTGGGTTTACAGGTGCCCACCACCACGCCTGGCTCATTTTTGTATTTTTAGTAGAGACGGGGTTTCACCATGTTGGCCAGGCTAGTCTTGAACTCCTGATCTCGTGATCTGCCCGCCTTGGCCTCCCAAAGTGCTGGCGTTACAGGTGTGAGCCACCATACCCGGCCGAACGGAAGTTTTTAATGCAGTCAGATATAAATTTGATTTGTTGCTGTGCCTTCTCATAATCTATGCACTTTACATTTAATATGTAAAGTTCAGTGATCTCCAGTATTTTCACCAGTTGTGAAACGACAACCACTATCCAATTCCAGAGCACTTTCAATATCCATGGCTGCTATGGAGTTTCACAAAGAAAACTGCCAATTCCTCTCAACCTCCAAGGCCCTGGCAACCACATATCTATTTGTACCTATTTGCCTATTCTGGACATTTCATGTATGTGCAGTTACGTGCCTGACTTCTTTCACTTAACACTTCAAGGTTCACCCATGTCATAACATGCATTAGTACCTCATTCCTTTTTATGGCTGTTTATCCAGTTTTCAGTTGAGGGAAATTTGGGTTGCCTGCATTTGGGGCTATTATGAATCATGTTGCTATGAACATTCATGTACTAGTTTTTGTGTGGACATGTCATCAATCCTCTTGGATATGTGCTTAAGATTGACATTGCTGGGTTCTATGTCTAACGCTATGATGAACTGTCAAGATGTGTTCAACAATTGTCTTTACCGTTTCACAATCCCGCCAGCCATATACGAGGGTTCCAATTACTCCACATCCTTGCCAATACTCACTACTGTATTATTGGCTGTTAACCTTTAAGAAAGGCAGCCTAATGGCCTGCTACAAAGAGGTATAGGCATTCTAAGCCCTTTCAAGGGTCATTTCACCCTGTCAAAGAGGCTGTGAAAATCAGGGAGACTGAAGATCAGGTGTTCTTTGTATGCTTCCCTTCCCTGCACTTCCTTCAGAAATGGGTCCTGCCTCCTTGTATTAGCTTCTCTTAGGTATTTTTTTACAGATTAAAGAGAAAAGATTCCTTTCCTTTCTTAAAAGAAAAAGTGCATCTACCCAACTTTTATATTCAACAAAAAAGCCTTCCCTTGTGTCCAGCTATGGGTAAAAGGGAAAGTGAGAGGACTTTCCCAAAAAAGATGGAAGATGGGAAGAGGAAGAATGGAGACAAGAATTCAGAGTCCATTTACACTTCAGGGTCTTTTTGAAACTGCTAATCAGGATGTGTTAATTTTGAAGCTGAAGGTATCAACACCAACATGGGAAGGAGTGAAGGAAAGAGCAGAGGTTCCCAAGTCAGGTACTGAGGGTCTGCACTTTAAGAGGGTGTTTCCTGTACTGTAGTGAAGACCCAACACCATTAGAACCTGTGTAAACGTCTCACAGCAGGAAAGGGACACAGGACAGGAAAAAACATCAGGAAAAGTAGAACCCAGGGTGCTGGTTTCTCTAGTTTGTCAGATACTGCATTCCAAAGTCAAGCCTGAGGCTGTATGACTCGAAAGAAAATAGGTGAGCAAAGTTGGGAAAATGAAGTCCAGTGAAAAATGAAATCCCAAATAAAGTTCTGAACACATTAAGCTCACGATTAACAGTCTTTATCCACCCAGCATCTACGGTATCCCCCCACTGAGGGAGAAGCCAGTTGGATGAGTTGCTCACATCTCCTGGGGCCACAGTTTAGACCCCAAATGGTTCCCAGGTACCTCTACTCAGACAGAGGTGATAAGGCCAAGACCTTCCAGAGAAAGGGGGACAGGGTGGTGGCAGCTGGGAAGTCACATATTTGCCTCTAGAGGGACATCTGCTACTCAGCTCCTTGGGAGAAGATACATACAAGGCTTCCAGGTCTGAAATTTCGTGACAATCCATAACTTTTAGGCTCTTTAACATTTACTCTATTTAAAAATGCTCCCATCACCTTTTTCTTTTTGAAGGCACCGCATGGGCCCAATCTGGCCCACCAGTCACAGTACAGCTCCTGGACTGTCTACCTCAGGGACTCCCTTTCCATCCAGTACAGTGCACATACCCTTATTTACTATGGATTAAAGGATCACACAGACACACTGTAGCCATGGAAAAACCCTCGTTTATTTGATTAAACAAAAATAAAATAAGCTGCATAGGAACAATTTTAAAGTCCAAAGAGACACCAACTTTGTTTTAAGGCTGTAGTAGCTGATACAGCATCTCCTTGCTACCTCCTCCAGCCTTCTCTGTGGACCACAGTGATACATTCAGAAGCCTGTTAGCTAACACAGGAGTTTTTGAACACTTTTCCATTGGTTCTTCACCTGCTCATTGCCTGTCATGCCTGCGGCCTGCAATAGTAACATTTAAGATTTAAAATGTGAAAGCCAAAAGAGGAGGGGGGAAAAAAACCCAAAATCAACCAAACAAAAACTCACTTTTGCCTAAAGGTTTGGGGGGAAATCTTCATTTCCCCACCCATCTACTGCATTGATGGGATTCACATTACCACGGCAGTGCCCATTTAAAAGTGGCAAATGGCAGTCAGCACCCCACCCCGGACAGGCTTGCAGTGTGGTTTCTGCGGCCAGGGGAGTTACTACGGTAGTGCATATTCCTTATATCATGTCTGCCTTGGACAAATACAAATTAAGAGGTTTAACTTAGTCATTCTAACATAAGGCAACTTGCCCACATTAATTCCCCCAATTGTTTATTTAAAAAAAAAAAAGACAAAAAGACTCAACCGAGTCACATGTTCTGCAGTTAAAAATTAAAGCATTTTGCTGACCCGGCATGAGAGCTAATGGACAGTATTAAGCAAGATTCAGTTTAACAACCCTCCCACCCACCCAAGTATAACTAACATGCTAGTTAAAAAACAACACCCCTTACCCACCCACCCTTACCTGCATCGATTTTAGGAGAAAAGGGAAAAAAAGAAAGGAATCTTACCACCCTAAAAGCAAGAAAACCCCAGAAATGTGAAAAATCTTCCTCTGAAGAAAGACAACTACACAGACTGCTAGAAACACAAAGAACTTACAGAGTTACAGAGCTGGTTATTTAAAGAAAGTAAACACTTTGCTACACACATCAACATTCAGTCAGTGTGCTCTGAGATAGAGTCTTAAGAAAAATACTACCTGAGCTTGTAAGTTAATACAATCATTAAAAGGAGGTCTAAGACCATGTGGATACACAAAACTTTTAGAACCATTATTGGTTAAATGATGATGGAAAATATCCCACCAGGCTGGCTTGTTAACCCGTAAGATCAGTTTTAAAAATAGACATCATTGAGGTATTTCTTCACCATGACATTTATAAGCCCCTCATGATAATGACAGTGGTCTTAGGACCCTCCTCTCTTCCAAACAACCAAAAATTAGGGCAGAAGAGAGGTGGGAGGGTCAATACAGTATATCCTGGTAATGTGCTTCTCAACTTTATCAAGTATTTAATAAACAAGGAAAAAAAAAACCCGTCAACATGTTACCTTTGGTAGAAAAAAATAAAAACAAAACAAAAGAGCAATACACACTTCAACAGTCACTGCTCAGTCAAAACAGTGATTGTTGCAACATCATGGTGATGAACGTCCTGCCGGGTCCAGAGAGCTACAAATACAATCATGAAGTCAAGAGGATTCTCATTCCCTTCAAATATTTGATGTTTCCAAGATCTAGACCTTTAGAATTGCTCCTAAAGGGTATTATTTGCAGACATTCGAAATACAGATAAAATATTTTTCTCTTGAAGAGAAAGAGACCTAAAGGTCTTTATTTGTAGTTAAGTCCTCCAATAGGTCAGATTAACCAGTAGTTTCATAATACTGAACAACAGTAATGGTATGCATAATTCTTTTTGAGGGGGAAAAGCCAGATTGCTAAGAACTACTTGGATTTATGACTACATTTGCCTGACATTTCTCTTTCAAGGTAAGTAGAACATTTCTCCTGGGAGAAATCAGTTGTAGATTTATGGTAACATTTCTTTTAGAGGTAGCTTCCCACTCCCACCCACTGCCCACTGGATTAATACTATTCTTTTTGAGACCTGTCAGATGCTAACATGAGGTAGATGACTTGCCACAAGTGAGGTAGAAACTCAGCAAAAGCAGTCAGTGTGGTCTGGAATGCTGCGTCCTGTGCCCTTGGCCCTATAGAAAACCAGAGAAAGCCGTAGAGCTCTGGAGGCCCTGGCCCTGTGACACCATCACCTGCAAGTACAAGAGTGTGACTTTTATACAGCCCCAGACTGTTGGAAACTCATTCAGAGTGATGTTTTAAATATACCTTAAACATACCCTAAATACTTTTTGGCACCACTGGATTAAAAAAATAAGATCAGAAAAACAAGCCTAAAACTTTGGCATATCTTTCACCACCTACCAGAACAGAGCAATCGTAGAATCTTCCAACGAGGAAGGTAACACATATATAAACAGTATTTTGCTGCTTCAAGCCTAAAAGACTTTCCTCCTCAAATAATTAAGCTTTGGCTTAACTAGAATAAATCAGACTGAGCCGATCTCAAGCTATCTCTTGCAACTCCATCACAAAGTGCCTCAGTTCTGGCAACATTTTTGGCCCAACACGTAATTTGGATTCGGTTTATGGTACCCTTTGTTATGTGTTTCCCAAATAAGTTAGACTTAAAAGGGCATTGAGGAGTTAGTGCACTTGGGGTACAACCCAGGTCACTGTGCTCTAGTCAACTTGAGTGCCACTTGCAGCCACAACAGGGCACATGTTCTGAGACAGCATTAGATCTTGGGACCAAAAATAACACTTTTGAAATGTTAAGTCAGTGTCAAGCAAAAGTAGTTTTTACCTATGGGTTAGATGTCCTTTAAACATCTCAATACTCAAACCTATATATCCAAACCCAATGGGCATCTCCACACATAAACTGAGCTTACATCATACCCCACCCAACCCTTGCCACCTGACCAGATCAGACCTCCATGGGGACTAGTAATTGTCATACTTACTCCCCAGAAACCTTTTTATTCTCCTACCTCATAATACCCAGGACCTTATTTTTTCCATCAGGATGACGACTCCCTTCTTTGACCCAACTCCTGGCTACCTGGCATTACCCGGGCAGGAGATTATGCATTTAAACACAGGTACTTTTCACAGTTTCACACTAGGGACTGCCAAATGTTGGCTTTTATCATCTTTCTTTGATTTAGAACATTTCACATCATACAATAAACACTCTCCAAAGTGCTTCGCACCAATCCCTATGGGTCAGGAGTCAACCACGGGCAGGAAAAACCGCCAATGTTTTAAAAACAAAAGCTTTCCAAATGTGACCATGTTTCTCAAATACCAGTCATGCACCATTTTGGGTACAGAAAGGTAAGGAGATAGATATACCACCACTGAGGACAAAGAGGTAGTATCTCTGACCTACACACCTATTTCAGGGGATAGTTCTAGTTGCTCTAAGCCTGCAAATTTACAAGTCTGTAAATTAAGACCTGATAATTTCAGCCATGGAGCGAAAATCTTGGCTTTTCGATCACATCCATAGTAAAATGTCAAATAAGGAGCTCTAGTTACTGTTATGCACCAAGAACATTTCTCATTCAGGTCCCAAAATTTTCCTACATCTGGGGAAATTAGAAAGAAAAGAGCAGAATGAAAATGATGATGAAAAGATTTTAATCAAGATCCATCTCCTCAATAAAATTTTTTTCAAGCATTTAAAACCAGTTGTCTTTGGTGTTTAAAGGGTGGCTTGTTGGGCAGCTGGGGAAAGGGAAGGAAGATCAGCACCAAGTTACTCCAAAATAGAAAACAGTAAAAATGTTTAATTATATTAACTCTTTACCAAAGAACTTAGAGCTTAACGGCCAAAAGGCAACTGAATAGGCATTGGGGAAGGATTCACTATTAAATTCTACAGTAAAAGGAGCTTCTAACAAACAACATTTCCTAACACCTTCCCACCCTGTAACAGCAGCTGGGAGCCAGCAGCAGTTTGAAGCTACTTTCCAACTTTTGAATCTTTTATTGCATGCAGTTCTCCTCTGTGAGATGAGGTTTTTTTTTTCCTTCCCATTTTGGTCACTCAGAAACCCTAGAATTAAAGCAATGGGAAGAGACAGAGTAGCTTGTAGTAGTAGTAAATTAAACGTCCAAAAGAGGTGTACGGGAAAAGCAACTTGATTGACTTGTCACACTGTCCCCATCATCTCCTTTTCTATTGGGATAACAGAAACAAATTGCTCCATTTGTTAATCTGTTCTGCTCATTTAAAACGATACCCATTTTGCAATAGAAATTTCTCTTAAACAGAGGAACAGAAGTTGATCCATAAGTCTTTAAACAAGAGGTCTCCCTTGTAAGTCACTGACGTTTGTTTGAGAGTCCCTCTTTTCCCTGAGGAGGGCTCCTCCAGAATTTGGTTCTTATTTCAGTATTTGGGGCATTGCAGGAACCCACTGGGTTCTGACAAGCAGGGTATCAGCTACATCTGCTTTGCACTTGAAAGACAGACAATGCCCAGAAGCACAAGTTTTGTACCCAAGTCCAGCTTACAACCAACCAATCCTGTAAAGTGACACAGATTCTACCCCACAGTTCTGCAGTGGGAGCCTTAAATTTTCATTCTTTGGTACCGAGTTACAGGTTTAAGAAAAGACATTACATCCTACATTTCAGGTTGGGACAATTTGGTTTCTAGATCCTTTATGGTCAAAGGCCTTGGGGGGAGAGGGGGCGGGGGGATTCATGTTAACCATGAGGTCCTAAAGCATGGCCTGGGTGCAAACAATCCTATAAAAAGTGACCCAAGCAGAGGGTGTGGGACTGGGCTGTTGGTATTAATTTGACTTTCAAACCTTCTATTTCCCTGAACTTTCAAAGCAGGAAAAAATTGTGCTTGTAAAATAAAAGTTCTTTCCTTTGCCTACTCTTCTTAGGAAAAGAAACCCCTAGCACTACAGAACAACATGCACTCGCGGGTCAGGGCAGACCCTGCCCTTTCTGTGGAGTTCCTATAGTTTGGGGGTGCCTTGTTCTTTAATGTGCTCCCTGACTCCCTCAGCACACGCATGTCCACCCACATTCATGTCCACGTCAGCCCATGCCTGAAAACCCTCTCTCTGAGAACGAGGTTAATTTCCTTTTTCCTTCCATTTAACCCTTTATAACCTAACAGCAAAATAAGAAAGCATAACTTTTGAGAATATGTTTAATCAAAAATCCTGAGCTACCATCTATATACTTTTTTAAGAAACCAAAGTGTGAAAAGGAGAGGTTCTTTGGGAGGCAGTGTGTCATTTTCAGCTTTACTACTTGGGTGCAAGATGGCTTTGAAACAAACATGCACACACCCTCCCTTAAAAGAAACAAAGATTATATACCCTAAAATATGAAGGGTCTGCTTTTCTTGGCTAGCAAGCCACAGCCACAACGTCTAAGATCAAGAAACGATGCAGAAGAGGATGTTAAACACACTGAGGTATAAACAGAGAACAGAGGAAATTTCTCTGTTGCAGCATTTAAAAAGAGAAGATTTTCCAAAAAGATCAAAACAACACAACATAATCTAAACCCCATATAAACAGTATTCTCAAGAACACAGGTATTCTATAATTATGCATTTCAAATCCTATTTTTTCCATGTTTTATAGTTTTTTGTTTTTTTACTTAGTAGTTTTTTTTTGTGTTTCCTTGGCTCAATCTACAGAATACACCCCACCACACACATCCAGTGCCCTCCCAGCCATACAGATGCCAGGCTTGTGCATATCATGCCCCACGCAGGGGAAGAGGGAAATGCAAACTCCACTGAGGAGGGGAAGAGGGCCTGTTGCAGAAGGAAATGTAAAGATTTATGAGGTAGATAGAAATTATCACTTCACAGGCTCAATCCCTGCAGAAAAGATAAGTACATTCATCTGTAAAAAAATAAAGATGAGGTAGGACTTAAGCAATGTTGTACTTTTCTTGTTCTCTTTAAAAAAAAAAAAGAAAAAAGAAATTTCCCTGAGACTGTTTCTTCTTTGAAATTCAAAAAGAGAGAGAAAGAGAAAGAGAGAGAGAGAGAGAGAGACACGCACACACACCCCAAACACAGAAACCTAGGAAATGCAATTAGAAGACGAGGATTCGATTGTTGCCAAAGTCCACCACAACGATCATTCCGTCGGGGGTGATGGCGATGCCGGAAGGGCGGTCCATCTGCCCAAAGCCGCTGCCTTGAGCACCAAACTTGCACAGGAAGCTGCCGTTGGATTCAAACATCTGTACCCGATGGTTCCTGGAATCCGCCACAATGATGCGCCCTTCCTGGTCCACAGCTACCCCTTGTGGGCGCAGGAACTGCCCATTGCCTGTGCCCTCCGAGCCCAGAAAGCGTGCCGACTGGCAGTCGGGGTGAATAACCAGGAGCCGGTGGTTGTTGAAGTCAGTGACCACCAAGTGGCCCTCATGGTTGAAGGCCACACCCCGTGGGGAGTCAAAGTGCTTCCAGAGAGCCCCCTCGAAGCCATACTTGTTTAGGAAGACACCATCAGGCCCAAACAGCTGGATCCGGTGGTTCCTCGTGTCTGAGACCAGGATCTTGCCCTCAGAATTCACCGCCACATCCCAAGGGTAGTTGAACTGCCCATTCTTGGTTCCTTTCTCACCAAACTTGAGGAGGAACTGGCCCTCGAACGTGAAGATCTGGATGCGATGATTGTCCTTGTCAGCCACCACGATCCTGCGTGAGGCGTCACAGGCCACGCCGGCTGGTCGGTCGAACTGCCCAGGCCGGGAGCCCAGGGTGCCGAATTTGTGGTGGAAGGCGCCGCAGGGCTTGAACACCTGGATGCGGTTGTTGCTGCGGTCGGCGACAATGATGTAGCCCTCCTTGTCTACACTCACACCCCAAGGGCGGCAGAGCTTGCCATCGCTGTCACCCTCACTGCCGAAGCTCAGGCCCGGGAGCCCAATGCCCACGTAGCTGCGGCCTGACTTGACCACCACCTTGAAAGGGCTGTTCTCAATGTGCTGGTTGCACAGTGTCACAGATACCAGGTGCTCACCCTCCAGCTGGGGTCGGTAACTCACCACGTATGTCCCATTCTGCTGATCACTCACCTCTGCACCAAACAGGTTGCCATCAGGGCCCAGGACCACAGCCGACATCAGGTCGCCTCCTGAGAGGCGGGGCTCACCATCGTGGTCATAACCAATGACTGTGAAGGAGGCCACCTTACCCTGGAGGGCACGCTTGAGGCCATCGCCTGTGGCCTTGGTGAGTGGGGCAAAGGCCCCGCTGCTAACAAAGCCAAAAGACTTGATGGCAAGGTACAGTGCCTGATCGGGGGGTGTGAACATGACTCGGTCGTCTTCCTGGGGCTGCAGGAGGCTCCGCACGGTCTTCAGCTCCTGCACCTGGGCCAGCATCCGGTCTCGGGCCAGTAGGATGTCTAGCGCTCTACCCTCCTCCAGGACCTGCTGCACGGCACTGATGGTGCTCTCAAGCTTGTTGAGGTTTTGCCGCAGCTTCTCCACCTGCAGGTACAGAGACTTGGCTTTCACCTGGCGGATCTTTTCTACCTGGAGGGAAAAGCAAGAGTGGAGAAAGACACAGAGGCTTAGAGCCAAGCACAGAAAATACCACATAAGCCACAACTAATCACAAGGAAGCATCAGACAAACACATATTGTGGGATGGTCTACAAAAGACATCTGTCTTTCTTCAAAAGCAGCAAAATCAAAATGGACCAAAAAACCTGAAGAACTGTTCTGGGTTACAGAGGATAGTTACTAGAAACAGGACAACTATATGTAATTAGTGACTCTGGACTGGAGGGAGTGGCTAGCTATGAAAAGCACTGTTGGGACAATTGTTGAACCTTGATTATGGACTGAGGAGTAGATGCTAGTACTGTATCAAAATCAAATTTCCTGATTTCTGTAATTGTAATGTGATTAGGGGTAAAGGCATTGTGTTTCCAATATGCCAACTCACTCTCAGATCACAAACATATATACACATACATACATACATACATACACACACACACACATACACGCACGCCTCATGCCTCTAATCCCAGCACTTTGGGAGGATGAAGCAGGCAGATCACCTGAGGTCAGGAGTTTGAGACCAGTCTGGCCAACATGGCAAAACCCTGTCTCTACTAAAAATAACAAAAATTAACCAAGTGTGGTAACAGGTGCCTGTAATCCCAGCTATTTGGGAAGCTGATGTGGGGAGAATCGCTTGAACCCGAGAGGCGGAGGTTGCAGTGAGTAGAGATCACACCATTGCACTCCAACCTAGGGAACAGGGCGAGACTCCGTCTCAAAATAATAATAATAATAATAATAATAATAATAATAATAATAATAATTGGGACAAAACGTACATAATCAGTAAATCTGGAGAAGGAATATATGGAGTTACTATTACTGCAACTTTTCTGTAAGCTATAAATTAAAAAAAATAAAAGTTAAAAACAGCCATCTAGAGCTGGGCACAGTGCTGTGCACCTGTAATCCCAGCTACTCGGGAAGCTGAGGTGGAAGAATCACTTGAGCCTAGGAGGCTGAGTCTGTAGTGTGCCATGACTGTGTCTGTGAATAACCACTGCACTCCAGCCTGGGTAATACAGCAAGATCCCACCTTAAAAAAATAGCAAGATCCCACCACCAAAACCAAAAACAGCCATTTGACAAAGGAGTGTACTGAGCACCTACACTTTGCCAGGCATTGGAGGTACTGCAGTAACCCACAGAAAATATAAAATATGGTCCTTGCTCACACAGAGTTGTAGTTTAGAAAAGCAGTATTCAAAAGCAAACGAAGAAATAAGGATCATGTCAGATAGTGATAGGTGTTAAAAAGTAGAAAAAGGATGTGAAAGACAGTGTCTAGGGGCCCTGATACAGACAAAGAGCACTGAGGGACAGTGCCTTTCACAAGTTCAGACCTACAGGTTGAGACTAGGCAAAAGGCCATAGGGAGAGCTATCTCAGCAAAGGAAACAGCAAAGGTCCTGCTGTGGGCACAGGCTCAGCATTTCACAACCACAGCTTTCAGTAGGGGAGTGACATGACAGATTCATATTCTTAAAGAATTAGTTTGGGGCCCAGCACAGTGGCTCATGCTTTGGGAGGCCAAGATGGGTGGACCACCTGAGGTCAGGAGTTCAAAACCAGTCTGGCCAACATAGTGAGACCTTCTCTGTACTAAAAATACAAAACTAGCCGAGCGTGGTGGCAGGTGGCTGTAATCCCAGCTACTTGGGAGGCTGAGGCAGGAGAATCGCTTGAACCCAGGAGACGGAGGTTGCAGTGAGCCGAGATCGTGCCACTGCAGTCCAGCCTGGGCAATAAGAGCGAAACTCCGTCTCAAAACAACAACAACAACAACAACAAACCGCAAAAGGATTAGCTTGGGAAATGTGTATTAAAGGAGACCACCACCACAGGGCACCTTTTTTTTTTTTTTTTTTTTTTTTTTTTTTTTTTTTTTTGGTAGAGATGGGGTCTTAATGTTGCCACGGGTGGCCTCAAAATCCTGGACTCAAGCAATCTTCCCACCTCAGCCTCCCAAAGTGTTGGCATTACAGGCGTGAGTCACTGTGCTTGGGCCAGTTTCTCTTTACTTCTGTATTTTAAGAATGGTTTTAAAAACCCAACTGGGAACCTGAGAAGCCCTGTACCCCAAATTTTAACATAGCACGCTTTTGGCATGTCTGTATTATTTCCAAAAGAGCCCTTTAAATCTAAAATGCTATAATATATATGGACATGGATTCTAACCTGCCAAAATAATTCCTGCTTGAGGTTCTCAAACCATGCTATTTAGAAATATGGAATTTTGTTTTACCAATGAAACATTAGTTTCTCTATTCTTTAAAAGTTCTCTAATTCTAAGCAATTTCCCCCTGTGAAGCGAATGAACTTATCCAAACAGTTTTCACAGAGGACCATGACTTGAGTTGTTCTACAGATCTGAAAGCCATAGAAGGCTATTTCAGAATAAGCGTCCACTGTTGAAAGAGCTGGATTTCAACCTGACTTTCCCTTTAGGGTGGGAGGGGTGATTATATGATTTCGACTCATTCCTGCTTTTTCATCTGTTCAGTGAACCAGGATACATGTGTATGGAGAGGCCCACGTGGGGACAGATTAAAGAATATTTGCCCATTAGGCCAAACCTCCACCTTTGGTTCTTACCCATGAACTATATATATGCAGCTAACCCCATGAGGTAGCCAAGTCCACTGGAAATACATAAGGCCCAAGAATGAAGAGAGGCATCTGGATATTTACAACAGGGTTATCTTAATCCTTGCACTTATATATCTTAAAGTAACCAGAGATGCAGGAAAACAAAACTTGTAACAAAGAGATGCCCAGACAGAGACAGGCAAAGTAAGAGGGATTTGCTGGGAAGGAACAGAAAAAAAAAAAAAAAAAAAAAGTCAG
Source organism: Homo sapiens (assembly GCF_000001405.40). NCBI lineage: Eukaryota > Metazoa > Chordata > Mammalia > Primates > Hominidae > Homo > Homo sapiens. The sequence goes on along the minus strand of NC_000003.12, from coordinate 32,887,476 downwards.
TAATTAGTCAAAGAGAGAGGGACCCCACAGGATTTGGAGCAAGGTTCTATAGCAAAAGTATCCAAAATAAGGAAGCTTATTTTGGAATGCTCTGAGGATGAATTTTTGGGCAAGCAGAAACTGCTTACTACAATGAAGAAGGGATGGACTCTTCTTTCAAATAGGCTTCTCCCAAGAGTAAAAACTTGCTATTTCTTCTGAAACAGAACTGCCTTTAGAGAGGACAGTGGGTCAGCCTCACAGGAGGGAGGGTAACTAAGGTGAAAGCGGCAGAAACCCCCACACACAAAGGCCTTTTTCATCAGGAAATCCAGAAGAGCGAGTTTGTGGCAGAGTTCACTACAAAGCTCTCAGGTTGCAAGAAATGGGCCCCTCAGTTATAATTAACATTCGTGGGTGGCATAACACTGGCAGACCCATGGGGACATCTGAGTGTCTGAAAATGATGTCATGCCCACAAAGGTGCTCAAAAAATATGCTGAATTAAAAATCTTGGACTAACACCTCCAAAGTCTCTTGTCAGAAAGCAATTGAGCCATATTCCTTAAGAGGTCAGAAGAGGCAGAAAGCATCCATCCAGTTGTGAAGTTAACTAAATGGAAAATGCAATGCAAAATCCAGGGACACCTTGCAGAACATTGTAGGGCCCAGTAGTTAGCAAAGTTCACTTGCAGAAACTGAGGTGCCATCCCCACCATCATCATATTGTTTGGAGATGGAAACAGGCACACTCCACAAGGATACCCTTATAAATCAGCTCTAGTCTTTTTCGTGTGTTCAGAGAATGTAATTATAGTTAAAGAATTGGCATGGAGTACTGGCCCTTTCATAGACCTAACTCTCCTCCTTTCTGAGTGGGGACATAAAATCAGAAAAGGAACAGTTGGAATGCTGGCTTGGGTGGGGCAAGTAGTCTTTCTAGCTGATTTTTATCTAAACAGCACACTAGTGTGCTCGGCACTCTTTCCTGCTCCAACAGGAAGAAAGGACACACACTCACTGCCCTCCGAAGAGGAAAACTGGTTTTCCACAAGAGGTCAGGAAGTGCAACCAGCCAGGTCACCAAAAATAGGGATGTTTCCTACCAGCCTGCCTTTCTTAACAACAGTTTCGACTATGCTCCCTTCTTTAGCCTCCTTTTGAGTGAATGCAATATAAAACTGGAGACCGCTTCCAGTCTTGGTTACCCACGTACTTCTGAAAAGGCTTCTTGTTGTTTTACTGCAGACAGCACCCACAATGTTCCAGGGACCCCCTGCATCTTTCTGCTAACAGGCTTTCTGGAAAATTACGAAGTGTTTTAAACTTAGAGCTTGGCTCCTGGATCTGTAAAGAGTCCCGTAGAGTGCTGCTGAGGTTCATGGAAGCCGAGTGGGCACAGCCTGGGTGGGGGAGCTCTCCCTGTTACCTTCCACAGCAGCTCACACTCGCGTTCCTCCAGGGCTTTCTTATGCCTCGCCGTCACGGCTTTGACCTCCGACTGCACAACCTTCGCCTTCATCTCCACCTGTTCCGCCACCGTCTGGGCCTGCTCGATGCTCAGCTGGAAAACCAAAAAGAAACAACTTCGAGGCATTAGAAGGACTGTCATTCCTTATACAAAACATTTGAATCTGCTCTGTCAGACTTGAAAAGCTGACACCCTGGGTTCCCAGACCACTTGATTCACTCCCTTGGAAGGAAAACAGGCACTTAGGGAGAGACTGGCATCTGTTTGACATGTAACTAAAGGAGTTGCTGGCAAGAGCTGGATTTCTTTGCATGAGAAATAGCACCTACACAGTGAATGTCAGAACTATTAAGAGATACTCTGACACAGCAAAACCAGTGTAGCTGGGTGACAGATGAAAACTGGGAATGAGGATCAGATGTAAAATGTACAACTCCAGCCACACAAGCAACTTCCCCAGACTTCCTGGCCTCACCCTCTGCCTAGGCGAAACCCCGCAGGCCAGGAACATCCCTTACGTGAGGGTGTGCGACAGGGTAGTGGCTAATCCATCCTGCTTTTGTCAAGGCACTGGCAACACAGCTCACCCCAGCCAGAACGAACACCAAGTGCACACTGGGAATATCCCCCGATCTACCTAAGGAGCTGTGCCCCGTGGTCAGAGACCATCTACACGTCATCACACACGCCACCCTGTACCAGCCGTAGTAAATCAGCCAGTTTAATCAGACGTATTATTGTTAATTAATCCAGACAGAAGGCATGGTGTTATCATTAATATTACATGGTTGAGATACCGAGCTATTAAATCAGGGATTCCAAAGTGATTGCTCTTGGTACAACAGGTTTCGGGTAGGTGATTCAATCAGGAGGGTGTCAGGGAAGCCCAAACTGGAGCCTGGTATGGGCTTAGGAATCAGAGTGACCAATCATCCAGTTTGCTCTGTACTGAGGGGTTTCTGGGATGTGGGACTTTCAATGCTAAAACTGGGACAGTCCGGGGCAAACCAGGCCAGTCATCCCTGGAGTCAGGTAACCCAGGTTCCAATCCTGGGTTAGTTTAGGGCCTCCTACTAGTTGTAAGGCCTTGGACAAGCTCCTGGTCCTCTCCAACCTTGGTAAAGGTAGATGTGAGGGAAATGCATGGGTAGAGCTGAGCTCAGCACCTGGCACAGAGTAAAACACTGTTATTAATAGTTCTCAGCTGATAAAACACCTGGGACAAAAGTTCAGCCATTGTGTCCCGTCAGGCCACTTAGCTCCTATCATAAAATTTACCATTAGTCACACTTAGTATGTTCAGTGTTGTATAATCACCACCACTATCTAGCTACAGAACATTTTCACCACCCAAAAAGCAAAGGCCATTACCATTAAGGAGTCATTTCCACTTCCCTCCTTCTACCCCATGGCGATCACTAATCTACTGTCTCTCTACAGATCTGTCTGTCCTGGGCATTTCTTTTTCTTTCTTTTTTTTTTTTTTCAAATAGAGATGGGGGAATCTTGTCACATTGCCTAGGCTGGTCTCGAACTCCTGGGCTCAAGTGATCTGCCCACCTAGGCCTCCAAAAGTGCTGGCATTATAGGCATGAGCCACTGCGCCTGGCCTGTTCTGGGTATTTCATATAGATGGCATCATCATACAATACACGATCTACCTTATTTTTATGAATATTCTTCCTGCCCAACAGTTTGACTTGCTCTGGATGACAGCTGACACATTCATGGCATGCAAGACACGCTCAAAGGTGCAGCCCCAAAAACACCCATGGAAGCCAGGCACAGAGGCTAATGCCTGTAATCCCAGCACTTTGGGAGGCCGAGGCAGGCAAATCACTTGGGCTCAGGAGTTTAAGACCAGCCTGGCCAACATGGTGAAACCTGGTCTTTATTTAAACAAAACAAAACAAAAAAGCACACCACCCGTGACTCCAGTGGTTAGGTGCCACACTGCATTCTCTGCCTAAGAGGATCCTGTGTGACCTAAGGATCCACTGAGCTGATTCACAGGGGAACTGGGTAGATCCAGAGGGCTCACAGGATATCCACAGCCTGGAATGCTTCACCCTAAATTTCCAAACCCAGTTCTGATGCCACTTCCCTTCTGAAGCTGGAAGGGAACAGCACATTTCTGTAATGTTTCTGCTCCACCTTTACAATCCTGTCTCAAGTACCATTACATATCAAAGCAGGAGCTAAGTACAAAGCCCATGATACTTAAGCCACCTGGGATTTAGCAGAACAATTAGCAGAACAATCTATAAATTTTATATTTGCACATCTCTAGCCATAACCATGTTTACCAAAGCACTAGGTAGCTGTGTTGGGTTAAATATTGTCCCTCCAAACATCAGGCTCAACTAAATGTGGGCCAGGATGTGACCTTGTGTGGAAATAGGGTCTTTGTAGATATAATTAGCTAAGATGAGGTTATAGTAGATTAAGTTGAATCTTAAATCCCAAAACTGATGTTCACAGAGGGTCATGTGCAGACACAGATACAGAGAACAAAGCCACGTGAAGACCAAAGCAGAAACGGAAACTGATGCAGGTACAAGCCAAGGATGCTGGCAACTGCCAAAAGCCAGGATGAGGAAAGCAATGAGTCTTCCTGAGGGCCTTCAGAGGGAGCATGGTCCCGACACCTTGATCTTGGCCTTCTGGCCTGCTGTTTTAAGTAATCCAGTTTATGGTAAATTGTTACAACAGACCCGATAAACTAATACAGAAGCCAATAAAGTGAAGCAGACAGATATTACATCCACATTACCTAAAAGTTAAAAAATCAGAATGGCCAAGCAAATGAGCATGCATATAAGCAGGTATCATAATAGCATTGATACATTTTTAGTATCTCACGCTGTCAGGATTCATCCAGGGAAAAAGAGAGAAAGCGAGAGAGAGCAAGAGAGCTCCCTAGACATTTAAACAGAATTTAGCATAGGGAAATGGTTAAACAGGTATGGGAGAACTGCTGGGGCAAAGAGCACACTGAGGCAGAGAGTACCTGCAGAAGCAGCTTCTTCTGCTTTGTCTGAGAGAACAAAGGAAAGAAAGCTGTGGTTACAAGAACCCAGAATAAGATGGTGAGGTTACATCCAGCTAATTCTGAGAGTGGCAAGATCTGAAATTGAAACCAACTTCTGCTGTCAGGGTGAAAAAGAATTGCTATTAAAAATTGGGGCCGGGTACGGTGGCTCACACCTGTAATCCCAGCACTCTGGGAGGCAGAGGCAGGAGGATAGCTTAAGCCCACGAGTTTGAGATCAGCCTGGCCAAGAGTGAGACCCCGTCTCTACAAAAAAATAAATTAGCCAGGCATGGTGGCGCTTGTGTATAGTCCCATCTACTTGGGAGGCTGAGCTGGAAGGATTGCTTGAGTCTTGGGAGATCGAAGCTGCAGCAAGCTGTGACTGCACCACCGCGCCCCCCAGCCTGGGTGACAGAGCAAGACTCTGTCTCAAAACAAATATATAATATGATAATAATATAAGTAATATGAATTGGAAGAAAAAGGGAAGAAGTCCTTTTCCCATACATGTAGTTTGAAGAGTCACAGCCCCAGTGTCACATGGCAAGAGTGTGACAGGGTTAGAGCCCAAAGAGTAGAACTTAGTAACCGGCACCCTCTATATTTTTAGATGTGTTGGTTATTAATTAGCACAACTGGTGTCCAAGCTAATATTTCACCAAGGCAACCAAACCTATGTCTGTAACATTTCTTAATCCTTCCTCAATAGAAAGCAGAGGTGGCAAACTGCTTTCTATTAATATTAATGTCATACTACTTGCCAAATTGATTTTTTTACATCTAACTTCTATCATATGTTAGAAGAAAAAAAAAGACCCAGCCTGGGCTACAAGAGCAAAACTCTGTCTCAAAAAATAAAAAAACAAAAACACCACTCCCTTTGCATAGGAATGGGTGTACTACCCTACTCACCTCTTCCCCTAGTCTCCTAGCCAGGCTTATCGCTTATCCCTCATGTCTGGAACTCACATTTTATGACAAAAATTGCTTCTTCCATTTTTCAAACAGGTTCAAAGGGGGATTCAAAGCTTTTGTTGCAATTTTAATAATCAGCAAGCATGCAAAGATATTCCTTGGGCTGAGAGTCACAAAAGCCCTACCCAATGCATAGTGGAAAAATAGGTCTTTCCCTTCCAAATTACGCACGACCCAGCCAAGCATGGCATTCCAAGATGTGCAGACCAGGACTTATTGAACTAGTTCCCAACCTCTAACAGCAGGGCATCTGAAGGACATACAGGGCAGATAGGTTGGGGGAAATGACAATGTAGAAAGGCTGGGTAAACTTCCAAAACAGATATATACATTTCACAGTAAGAAAAGAGAAATCACCCAACAAGCATGGTGCTTGAGAGAAAATTTAACCATCTTTGGGATGTTAACAGATCTAATTAAACATTTAAAAGTTGAGGGTCTACATTTGGACTGGCAAATCAGTGCACTTTCCAGCTGACTACTGAGTGGCAGTCAGTCAGCATGGTGGAGACTTGGGCCAAATCTGGCTCTCAAGGGAAAGAATATAGATATCGATCAGTGATGCCAACTGTGGAGAACAGTGGTATTTAAAGAGCCCAACGGTCAGAAGGTAAGAGAATGCAATCATCACCCATACACTTGTAGGCGACCATACTGGGTATGCGGAGCTACTGTGGTGCACTCTAAAATGTAATTTTTGGCCAGGCGCAGTGGCTCATGCCTGTAATCCCAACACTCTTGGGAGGCTGAGGCAGGTGGACTGCCTGAGGTCAGGAGTTGAGACTAGCCTGGCCAACATGGTGAAACCCCGTCTCTACTGAAGATACCAAAATTAGCCAGGTGTGGTGACGGGTACCTGTAATCCCAACTACTCAGGAGGCTGAGGCAGGAAAATCACTTGAACCCGGGAGGCAGAAGTTGCAGTGAGCCAAAATCGTGGCACTGAACTCCAGCCTGGGCAACAGAGTGAGACTCCACCTCAAAAAAATATATATATATACATATATAAAATTTTCATCACATCTTTCTCTGAATCTATAATTCATCTCTAAATTGTCCGTGGGTTTCTTCCTTTGTTAGTTGTATGTAAAATAAATGTACACCTTACAATTAATGGCATCTTAAATGTGATGAAATATAGTAATTGAAGAATCAAAACTTTCTTATGTAGAAACCAACTATTCCTGATCCTGTTTATCGCTATCCCCAGCAAATCAGTTTACCTTGTGGAATCCTCTAATAACATACATGACCAAAATGTCATATATTCAAGAAAAGCAGCAAAGTGAAAGTAACAGAATGTTCAAAAAAGCAATAAAAATGAGTGGTTGCCCCCTAAATGCCCTACAACAGTGATGAGGTGCTACATCTTCCATGCTGTTCTTGTTATGGCCAACTCTAGACACTCACCAGGGTAGATTCTCTTTATAGGACAATCCAGAATTAACTCAAGGATTTGTATCTGGAGCTCTTTCCAGAACCAAGACTCTCAGGACAAGTTGTGAGTCTCTTTAAAGTCATAAGTTAGGAACTCTGATTCACAGTTAACTGAACATCTGACATCTGCAATTTAATACCAGACATTCAATGGGGAAATATACTTTCAGTATACATATCCTCCTCATCTGGAAATGATTTATTAGATGGTTACAACAATCACACAAACTGATCTTAAAAATAAATGGATGAGGCTGGGTGCAGTGGCTCAAGCCTGTAATCCCAGCATTTTGGGAGGTGGAAGCGGATAGATCACTTGACACCATGAGTTTGAGAAGACCAGCCTGGGCAACATGGTGAAACCCCATCTCTACTAAAAACACAAAAATTAGCCAGGCGTGGTGGTACAGGCCGGTAATCCCAGCTCCTCACTTGAACCAGGGAGGCAGAGGTTGCAGTGAGCCAAGATCTGTCACTGCGTTCCAGCCTGGGCGACACAGCCAGACTGTCTCAAAAATAAAAATAATAAAAAATATAATCACAAACTATAGCCATACCTCATTTTATTGCACTTCATAGATAAAAAAGAAAATAAAAGAAAAACCCACATTTTCTTTTTTGAGACAGAGTCTTGCTCTGTCGCCCAGGCTGGAGTGCAGTGGTGTAATCTTGGCTCACTGCAACCTCAACCTCCAGGCCTCAAGCAATCCTCCCGAGTAGCTGGGACTACAGACACGCAACATGAGGTCTGGCTAACCTTCTTCATTTTTTGTAGAGACAAGATCTCACTATGTTGCTCAGGCTGGTATAGAATTCCTGAGCTCAAGTGATCCTCCCGCCTCAGCCTCCCAAAGTGCTGATGTTACAGTTTTGAGCTACAGTACTCAGCCAGTTTTTTTTTTTTTTTTAAGAAATTGAAGATTTGTGGCAATACTGCATCAACCAAATCTACTGGTGTCATTTTTCCAAAAGCCCATACTGTCTCTGTGTCACACTTTGATAATTTTTGCAGTATTTCAAACTTTTCATTATTATTTTATCTGGTGTGCTGATCTGTGACAAGTGATCTTTGGTGTTAATCAGGCCACTTAGTAACCCTACAATGGCCTCTAAGTGTTCAAGTGAAAGAAAAGGTCCTACAAATCTAAAATGATTAAGCTTAGTAAAGAAAGCAAGTAGAAAGCTACAGACAGGCTGAAAGCTAGGCCTCTTACACCAAACAGTCAAAGCTGTGATTGCAAAGTAAAGTTCTTGAAATAAATTAGAAGTTCACTCCAGTGAACACTCAAACAGCAATGAGGCAAAACAGACTTATTGCTGATATGAAGAAAGTTTAATGATCTGGAGAAAAGATCAAACCAGCCATAACATCTCCTTAAGCCAAAGTCTAATCCTGCCTGAGCAGGGACCTAACTCTTCAATGCTATGAAGGGTGAGAGATGAGGAAGCTGCAGAAGTTTGAAGCTAAGACAGGATGAGTGATACGGTTTAAGAAAACAAGTTATCTCCAAAACATATATGTGTAAGGTGACACAGCAAGTCTGATATAGAAGCTGCAGCAAGTTACCCAGAAGAACAAGCTAAGGTAATTGATGAAGACAGCTAAACAACAGACTTTCAAGACATCCTTTTATTAGAAGGAGACAGCCTGATATTGGAAAGACATAGTCTTATATTGGAAGAAGATGCCATGTAGGACTTTCATAGCTACAGAAGTCAATGCCTGGCTTCAAAGCTTCAATGGACGGGCTGACTCTCTTGGTAGGGACTAATGTAGCTGGTGACTAAGTTGAAGCCAACAGTCATTGTCCATCCTGACAACCCTAGGCCCCTTAAGCATTATGCTAAATCTACCGTGCCTGTGCTCTACAAATGGAAAAACAAAGCCTGGATGACAGCATGTCTGTTTGTAGCATGGTTTGCGGAATTTTTAAAATTTTTATTTATTTATTCATTTATTTTTTTGAGACAGGGTTTCGCTCTTGTTGCCCAGGCTGGAGTGCAATGGTGCAATCTCAGCTCACTGCAACCTCCGCCTCTTGGGTTCCAGCAATTCTCCTGCTTCAGCCTCCCAAGTAGCTGGGATTACAGGCATGTGCCACCATGACCGGCTAATTTTTTGTATTTAGTAGAGAAGGGGTTTCTGTTTCTCTGTGTTAGTCAGGCTGGTCTCAAACTCCTCATCCCAGGTGATCCACCCGCCTCGGGCTCCCAAAGTGCTGGGATTACAGGCTTGCGCCACCATGCCAGGCCGGTTTGCGGAATATTTTAAACCCACTGTTCAGACCTACCGCTCAGAAAAAAAGATTCCCTTCAAAATATTACTGCTGATTGACAATGCACCTGGTCACCCAGAAGACTCTGCTAGAGATGCACAAGGACACGAAAGTTGTTTTCATGTCTGGTAACACAACATCCATTCTACAGCCCGTGGATCAAGAAGTAGTTTCAACTTTCAAGTCTTATTATTTAACAAATAAACTTCGTAAGGCGATAGCTACTACAGATAGTGATTCCTCTGATGGATCTGGACAAACTCATTTGTAATCCTTTTGCAAAAAATTTACCATTCCAGGTGCCATTAAGAACATGTGTGGTACTCACTTTGGCAGCACATATACTAAAACTGGAGATACTATAAAAGAGCATTCGTGATTCATAGGTAGAGGTCAAAATATCAACATTAATAGGATGTTTGAAGAAGCTGATCCCAACCCTAATGGGTGAACTCAAGGTCACTGATTAGGGTTGGGATCAACTTCTTGTAGCAGAAAGAAGTAGTGGAGGAAGTCACTGCAGATGTGGTGAAAATACAAAGAGAACTAGAATTAGAACTGGAGCTTGAAGATGTGACTGAATTGTTGCCATCTCATGAGAAAATTTGAAGGGATGAAGACTTGTGTCACATTTTAAGAAATTGTCAGGCTGGGCAAGGTAGCTGATGCCTTTAATCTCAGCGCCTTGGGAGGCCAAGGTGAAAGATCGCATGAAGCCAGGAGTTTGAGTGAGATCAGCCTAGACAACAAAGCGAGCCCCATCTCTACAAAAAATACAAAAATTAGCTGGGTGTGGTGGAGCATACCTGTAGTCCTAGCTACGTGGGAGGCCAAAGAAAGGGGATGGATTGCCTAAAAGCCCAGGAGTTTGAGAGAGATCCTGTCTCTTAAAAAAAAAAATGGCCAGGCGCGGTGGCTCACACCTGATATCCCAACACTTTGAAAAGCCGAGGCAGGTGGATCATCTGAGGTCAAGAGTTCGAGACCAGCCTGACCAACATGGTGAAACCCCGTCTCTACTAAAAAGACAAAAATTAGTCGGGAGTGGTGGCAGGCTCCTGTAACCCCAGCTACTCGGGAGGCTGAGGCAGGAGAATCACTTGAAACTGGGAGGCAAAGGTTGCAGTAAGCCAAGATTGCACCATTGCACTCCAGCCTGGGCGATAGAGCAAGACTTAAGGATGCTAAACACACACAAGTTATGGTTAAACAAAAACTTTCTAGGAAATCACAATCTATGTAGTGTACCTGGCTGTGGCGTTATAGATTAACAGACCTAAAATGCCTCTACCCAAAATGCCCCATGATCTAGTATTCAGATTAATGTTGGGCACACACTTTCAACTAACATTTGAATCATACCTCTAGGATTTATGCCTAGGTTCTCACCACTTACACAGCTGACTATATTTATTTTCCCCACACTCTTTTCTCCCCACAGAATTTCCAGTGAATTTCCATTTCTCTGAGATTTCACCATGTTAACCACTCATGATTTGTTGGTGCTCTCCTTAATAAGCCTCCAGCAAATTGTTACAACTCATTTTTTCTCCCCCATGGTGGCTTTTCCCACTAAGCACAGAGAGCACCAGCATTCTCTCAATAATGCTCCAACTGTTTTCAATCTCTTAAGAGAGTAAGAGGTTAATAAAATCATATCACAATCTAGGAGTTCAGACCTAGACACCAGTGGCTCTTTTTGTTTGTCTGTTTGTTTGTTTGAGATGGAGTCTCATTCGGTCGTCCAGGCTGGAGTGCAGTGGCACGATCTCGGCTCACTGCAACCTCTGCCTCCTGCATTCAAGCAATTCTCCTCCCTCAGCCTCCTGAGTACCTGGCATTACAGGTGCCTGCCACCATGCCTGGCTAATTTTTATATTTTTAGTAGAGACGGGGTTTCACCATGTTGGCCAGGCTGGTCTCGAACTCCTGACCTCAGGTGATCTACCCACCTCGGCCTCCCAAAGTGCTGGGATTACAGGTTTGAGCAACCGTGCCCTGCTGACACCAGTGGTTAAGTTCCTCAGGCGATGCCACAGTGTCGAGGGCACCGGTGTCGAGGAGACACCAGCAGGGTAAGGCATTTATTTGTCAAGGTCCCAACTGTCGTGGCATAAAATGAAAGACACAAACCACTTCATCCGCAGGGACAGATGCACTGATATACAACAGAATGATGCACAGGTGAAGACACTGACAAAGGAGAAGAGCAACACAGAGACACTCAAGGCATTTTAAAGACAATGAGCAATACTGGCATAACAATAACAGGATTAGTCATTCAAGAAAGTCTCTCAAACTTCCAATTTTATGATCTGAACATCATAAAATCTGACTCATCAGAAAAGATTGTTTCAGTATCATGCATGGGAATGTGATAGCGGCTGAGAAACTTATTAAATCAAATCCTCCCTCTTCTGTTAAGAGGCATGATCTCAATTCTTTAGCACTTTCAAAACGGATTTTTTTTGAAACAGAGTCTTAACTGTTGCCCAGGCTGGAGTGCACTGGCATAATCTTGGCTCACTGCAACCTCCACCTTTGGGGCTCAAGTGACCCTTCCACCTCAGCCCCACAAGTAGCTGGGATTACAGGCGAGTGTCACACCACACCCGGCTAATTTTGGTACTTTTTGTAGGGTTTCCCCATGTTGCCCAGGCTGGTCTCAAACTCTTGAGCTCAAGTGATCCACCACCTCGGCCTCCCAACGTGCTAGGATTACACAGGCGTGAGCCACTGAACCTGGCCAGAATCTTACTTTTAAAACAATTCACTTATATAAATATTCTAGAATGGTTCCTATGTAATTTCTCCTAGAGGGTGAACAATTTTTCTTCTCCTAGAGGGTGAACAACTTTTCTTGACTTTCAAAGTATCCTATAACACAGGGAAAAGTCACAATTTTCTGATTTCCTAAAACCTTGTCACCTGGATCAGACAAGATTTAATAGAAATTCAGGCACACTATCACCTATGTGAGAGAACCCTGCCAATTATCAAAGTTACACATGCCCCTCCCTAGCTGTTGATAGGAATTCAACAGAAACAACAGTTTCAATTACAGGGGATTCACCATCCAGGAAAGGACTGAAGACACCGAACCTCACATAACATTCTGCTCACTAATTTCTCACATATAAATAAGTAAATCTGTATCACAAAGGTCTCTGTCTAAAAAGCATTAGGCCGGGCATGGTGGCTCACGCCTGTAATCCCAGCATTTTGGGAGGCCGAGGCAGGTGGATCACCTGAGGTCAGGAGTTCGAGACCAACCTGGCCAGCAAGGTGAAACCCCGTCTCTACTAAAAATAGAAAAATTAGCTGGGAATGGCAGCGGGCGCCTGTAACCCCAGCTACTTGGGAGGCTGAGGCAGCAGAATCACTTGAACCTGAGAGGCGGAGGTTGCACTGAGCTGATATCCCACCACTACACTCCAGCCTGGGTGACAGAGTGAGACTCTTGTCTCAAAAACACAAATAAATAAAAGGCATTGGCTGGGCTCAGTAGCTCCCAGTACTTTGGGAGGCTGAGGCAGGTGTATCACCTGAGCTCAGGAGTTCAAAACCAGCCTGGCCAATGTGGTGAAACCCAATCTCTACTAAAAATACAAAAAATTAGCCGGGCGTGGTGGTGGGCGCCTGTAGTCCCAGCTACTCGGGAGGCTGAGGCAGGAGAATGGCGTGAACCTGGGAGGCGGAGCTTGCAGTGAGCCGAGATCGTGCCACTGCACTCCAGCCTGGGCAACAGAGTGAGACTCCGTCTCAAAAAAAAAAATTAGCCAGGTGCAGTGGTGCACGCCTGTAATCCTAGCTACTTGAGAGGCTGAGGGAGGAGAATCACTTGAATCCGGGAGGTGGAGGTTGTGGTTAGCCGAGATCACACAACTGCACTCCAGCCTGGGTGACAGGGCAAGACTCATCTCAAAAAATATGTTGTAGTAGTAGTAGTAGTAGTAGTAGTAGTAGTAGTAGTAGTAGTAATAAGCATTAAGCACCCAGCCTTTCTGCAGTCCTGGCTGGAAAGTGCCAATGTCCACTTTGATTTCGGGAGGTGGCTGGGTGGGACACGTGCAGGTGGTATGTTGGGGCCCAGGCTAGGTGCTTAGAAATCTGACCAGTAACTTTGGCCACATCCCTGACATCTTCACGAGACTGCCAGAACCCCTAAAGGGACCGCTGCTGCAGGGATGTCACCTGAGCTCATTTGGGTCACTATTCCACCCCCCACACTGGAATCTGCCCAATTGTCTGTCCATGCCACCCGACAGAAAGGGGGGCTCGATTCACGTGGGAACTGCAGAAGGGCAGGGAAGGCTCACCTGGATTGCCTGTCGTCCCTGCTGGGCATCTGCCAGCAGCTGGATGGTGAGTGCCCGTGAGTCCTGCAGTGCCTCCTGGAGGTAGATGAAGCTGTGGCCCCCATGCCGGCCCATTGTGCACTCACGACAGATGGGTACAGAGCAAGTGTCACAGTACAGGTGCAGCACCTGGGGACAAGAGAGGGTACAGGCATAAATGGAGATGCAGGACGGGAGGAGGAGGGAAGACAGCAACTGGAGGGCCCTGGCTCTCACAACCGAACGACCAGCTTCCCCAATGAGCAAGCACACCCCAAAGGGAGAGGCAGCAGTGGCGTAACTGCAAACATAACTAAAAATATCTGCTTCCTTTTTTCTCCCACTCTCTCTGCCCCAAATTAAGGGGGAATGGAGGGGGGAACACAACTGAATGCCATATCCCACTCTAGTCTCATTCAGAACTGTAACAGAGACACTTCGAAGGCAGAAACCAAACAAAACAAACCTCCTGGCATGAGAGTTTGCCCTGAATCTTAGCTTCATTATCCAGAAAAGTTGTTAAGACTGTGTTACCTAGTCTGATATTAGTGGCCTGGATGTAAGAATGTACCAGAAAAGTTTCCTTTGCTGCTCTAGCCTAGATGTGTGAAGCAAGGTTAAGAGCCAGTAACAACCATCCTCACACCACAGGTAGTAATGCAAAGTGCAAAGCATGGTTCTCCCAGGCACTCAAGCAAGCTACAGGCTTAAGTTTCTGGAACGAAGGCAAAAAGCTAGTGGTAAGGTCAGCCAGCTCCTTGCCTTTCTTCTTCATGCCAAGTTATTCCAAGGAGTTGAACCTGGGAGGCAGCCAGTGCTGACAGAACTGCTTTATGTGATGTTCTACACTTCCCTGGGGCCCAGCACGCTGGGAGGGAGGGAGGGAGGGAGGGAGGGAGGGAGGAAGAGAGAGAAGGGCTGGCACAACCTTTACCTGCTAATAAACAAGGAGCTCTCAAGAGAGAAAACTCCTTGGCATAGAAACTGGGCCAGTCTCATTACTGTATCTCTCCACAGAGCAGGGCACTTAGCGCCACTCTGTAAATGTTTGCTGGATTGCTTTCAAGAGCAGAGCTTAAATTTGCCTCTGGTACACCTGGGCATGAGGGGAAGCTAGCTAACATGCAACAGGCAGGGAAGCAGTATACAAATACAACACCCACACTTCATCTCCAGGTGAGGACAGGAGTTGGGGAGTGCTCAAGGCCACAGTGTTAGCAAAGACACAGCAGGGAAGCCAGCATGAGCCTTCTACAGAGCTGGTTCCAACACAGGTATGACACCAGCTCTCTCATCACCAGTACAAAGCACCTTGCTAGGTATGGTGGAGATCCAGGATGTGAGATTCCAGGCGATTCTGCGCAGACTGAATAGAAGCTCATTCTGGTGAGAAGCAAGGCAGAGTGTTGTGGGAGACAGAGATGGGGAGAAGGCTTGGAAGTGGCCCAGAAGGTTTTCTTAGGCGGAGAGCTCCAAAAAGAGAGGGCTGGGGGCAAACAGAGGGAGACTGCTGCTTCTTTCCTTCTCCAAGTTCTTTATTTTATTAACAACCAAAATCTTCACATAAAGTGTGTCCACTAGAAAAATGCTCCCCCTAAATGGTTCACTCAAGCACACAGAAGTTACTCCACTCGGGGCTAATTGAGTTAATAGGGAAGTGTGTAATCTAGGATGGGTTAAACTGGTTCTCTAGAAACTTTACGATTCAGAAACAGGAAAAACGAAAGATTTAGGATATTGTGTTTTTACTTTTGTTAAGTAACAGTTCTGCTATAACCAGGAGGTTTTTATGGATCCTACTTTATTTGTTTGTTTTTGAGACAGAGTCTTGCTCTTGTCACCCAGGCTGGAGTGCAGTGGCGACGCGATCTCGGCTCACTGCAAGCTCTGCCTCCCGAGTTCATGCCATTCTCCTGCCTTAGCCTCCCTGGGAGTAGCTGGGACTAAAGGTGCCTGCCACCACGCCCAACTAATTTTTTTATATTTTTAGTAGAGATGAGGTTTCACCCTGTTAGCCAGGATGGTCTCGATCTTCTGACCTCGTGATCCACCCACCTTGGCCTCCCAAAGTGCTGGGATTACAGGCGTGAGCCAACGCACCCGGCCCAGATCCTACTTTATACAAGGGAAATGTGGTAAGGTTTGTAACTTTCCTACTAATTTTGATCACTGCAGTGCTTTGCCAGCAATGGTGGCAGACTGAAACCAGGTAGCAGCAACTTGCCTCCTTTAAATCAGTTGCTTTTAAAGCTGATCTATCCTTCAGAGATTATCTAATCCTAATAATCTTTTAAATCTAAAATTCTCAAGTATAAATACTAATCAAAAGATGCTGAGCTGGATAAATTCAGGAAAAATTCCTGGCCAATCCCTTTTTACGACCTGGTGCTAAAGCAATTCTACCAGTTTGAACGACGTTCCTTTCCTTTGCTCTCTCCATTTGTCATGGGAATGAAGGGATCACTCCTATGCTGATGTGAAGTGTGAAAACCCTTCCATCAGAAAGTTTCTTGTACATGTGAATAAAACATGCCACCAAACCTTCGGGTGGCCTCCCTGCTTCTAACAGCTAAGCAACCTTGAGAACGCATCCGTTCTTTCCCTCTTCTCAAGACAGCTGTGTGGACTGAATGGCACTCTCCTGCTTCCTTCGGACTAAGGGGCTCTTGCAAATTGTAACTACCTAGATTGCTCTCATCTCCATGGCTAGTGAGTACTGGCACTACCTGGCTATGGAACCATCTGTCCAATCACCTCTCTTGACCTGTCTGGGCTTCAGTCTCATCTGTGAAACAAAAGGGGCCTGACTGGGTACCTCCGGAAGACCCCCTTCCACCCCAGAAAGTCTACCTAATAGAGACTTGACAACAGAAACTAAAGAGCTTCAAAATTAAGTTCTAGTAGCTGGACGTGGCAGCTCATGCCTGTAGTCCAAGCTCCTTGAGAAGCTGAGGCTAGAGGAACACTTGGGCCCAAACTACCAAAAAAAAAAAAAAAAATTGCTGGGCGTGGTGGCTCACGCTTGTACTCAGGAGCCTGAGGTGGGAGGATTCCTTGAGCCTAAGAAGTTGAGGCTGCAGTGAGCCGTGACCATGGCACTGAATTTAGCCTAGGCAACACGGGCTAAGAGTGCAAAACAAACAACAACAACAGAACAAGTAGTAAGTTCTGGGCTGAGCCAGGGTGCCCATTCCAGACTCCAACTATGTAACTATAAAGAATTAAGGTGATTTTTCTTAGGTTTAGATCAACCTCAAAATACAGAACCTGGATGATGCTGGACATTTGCAATCCCCCCATGAATGGTAGGTTTTAAAAGATTCTGCAGATGCAGTAGCCAGAAAAAAATCCTGGTCAGAACAGGTAGTGGCCGGTATGGCAGCGAAAGGCAGGGTGCCCTGAGCCGACACCAGAGCCCTCCTGTGACCAGCCTTGAGAGCCCAGATATACAAATGAAAGGGGTCTCTGAATGCAATCCCTGCTTGGTATCATTTTACACAGGATCGATGCAGTTCTAAGTACCCAGAACACACTGTGGTTTCAGAAGAGCCAGTGCTTTCACAGCTCCAGGCCGCCTGCAACAGAGATGGGGACAGGGAGCACCCAAATGGTTGATAATAAAAAGCTACCAGTGAGTAAAAGAATGGCCTCAATGTGCTCGTTATTAGTAAACAATGAATTTTTAAAAGAATGCATTGTCCAAAAACTATAAAATGAAATCCACTTTTATAAACCTTCCAGCTAAAAGTTGGAGCAGAACTTTGGTAGGATTTCATGCTTCATTTAGAAGCTCCATGTCTCATCTAACCACAATTTGAAACTGAAAAACCACAATTTTAGAGCTGTTAAAACAATCGATAGGTAAGGATGTGCATGGATGTAATTCTCTCTGAAACAGGTGTAAAATTATTTTTAAGGAAATAAACTGGAGCTGTGTGGAGGGTCCTATAGCCAGAAATGTGGTAGTAGCCATGAACAGCGGCTCCCGGGAAAGGGGGGAAGGGACTGGGAAGAACAGGTCGTCTAGCAGCAGGAATTCCAGGGCCTGTTTGGGGCTTCCCGGGCAGATGCACAGACACGCCCCCTCGGGCCTGGCGACAATCCGGCTGCCCCAGCTAAATGGAGGAGGCTTGACCTCTGACCCTGCAAGTGACCACCCTCTTCCCTGCCCCCAGCTTCCAGAACGTCCCACCCATTGCCTTCCTCTCCCCAAAATCTAGAATACCAGGCAGAGACAAAGACCTAGGAATGTGAGCCCAGCAGGAAAGGAACGGGCGGGAGACTAGGCCGGGAGGAATGGGGGAGGGAGGTTAAAGGAAAATAAATAAATAAAAATACAAAGTAGGCATGTTTGTACCTTAGCCAGTGTTTAAATAAAATGCTTTGTTAATGAACGTGTGTGCACGCATGTGTGCACATGCAAATGCACGTGCACCCAGGCTTCTGGAATCTAGATTTTACACTATCTGTGGCCCAACAAGGAACACACACACCAAGGGACATCTGAAAGAATGAGCTTCAGGTTTAAAACACAACTACCCCTATCAGTGAAGAATGTAAGCTGAAAGGACAGAGGAAGGCCCAGATTGCCATTTAAGTTCATCGAAATGTCTCAACTAAAATACATAAACTGCTGTAAACTTTTTAAAGATTAGTTTGGTATCCCTTAAAATGACTGAGGACATTTACTTGGGCTCCCACAAACCAAGGCTGAACCGCTGACACCTGGCTAGATCTCCACCCACCCAAGAGGGTTTCTGAGTTTCCCACTACAGAAGTAAAGTGGAGGCAACAACAGGTTCCAGAAGCAAATGAGGCCCAGAAGAAGCCTTACCTGTGTGTGCTACTCTGCAGGTTCTCACGTGGGACAACACAAGATTCGTTTTAAAAATGATAAGCCAAGTTCAAGGAGGTAAAATCTAGCCATGAAATAAGTCTATTAAGTAATATTAAAACAACGCTTTACTTGACTGAGATAGACTGAGTGCTTGTGCTCAAATCTGCAGCCCAAACCCTCAGCAGAAGCCTCTCCTGTAGCCCTGGCCACGTGCTGCCCCACAACTATGGCCTGGATAAATATAGGAAAGGAATAGGGACCCAGTTCAGGCATAGTCCTCACCAGTTCAAGACAACAGAGCCCCGCTGCAGACACATTATCCTTTCTGTGGTGGGAGTATGAGGAGGGAGTGTTTCCAAAACACTTTTTATTTGGCTAGGTAACAAGTATTTGTTCAAATGCAGAAAGTAATACAAGCAAACAGTTTTTTAAAAAAAAAAAAAACCCTAATGTCTCACTCAATTGTCTCCACTTTAACCATGAAAAAAAAAAAAGCTTTATTCTAGGCGTAACTTAGTTTTTTAAGACAAAACAAAGTTTCTCTTAACTATATTAACTTGGAGAATGTTCTGGGTCACTCCGTGCAGAGATGCCTGGCTTTCCGAATGGCTGCATGGTATGTTGCTATATGAATGTACCACAACTTAATGAGTATAGGCTAATAAAATTGTAAAACTGTTTCCTGATTTTTGAAAAATCGCAAGCAGTGCCACAGTTAACATCCTTGTTCTTTACAGAATCCCTAGTTTTCAATTTGGTAATATATTCAATTGTTACATCACTTGATATAATGGTTATTGGGGGAAACCTACTTGCAAGCTTGGATAGTAAGAATTCCCGAATTCTTTTTAGTCAGGTCGACCTTCACCCATGTGAAGGGCAAAGTACCAGTTTCTGTTCTCAACACAACCAAAAACAAAAGGCCAGCAGGGGATGCCAGGAGAGGCAGTCAGTATGGACACAGTTCACAGTTGGAATTGGAGTTAAGATCTACTCCTGCTTGGGTGGAAGGCTTTGATGGGTGCCAACATTGAAAAGGGGCCTACAAGAGGAGCAGTCCAAGGAAAGAAAAAGTCTTGTTGTGTTGCGTTCTGGCAGTCTCAGCAGCGTCTGTTAAATAAGATTAAGCGGGGCTGCTTCATGGTATCTCTAGAAATTGAAGGAATCTCAGGCAATAAAAAAAGGGGTGTTAGGAATTAAAACACACACACCACACACAAGCAATTAACACACACACCCTGAGGCCCACAATCCCCTTTCTGCAACTCCAACATCCAAGACGATGCTCTGGAAAACAAAAGTTGTTCCATATACTATTTGGCAGCAAAACTGATGTGCAACACGGTACTATAGTTATTATAGTATTTTTGACAATCACTGAGTACATTTTTATGTGTTCTCACCACAAAAAAATAAGTATGTGAGGCAATGCATGTTAATTAGCTCAATATACATACTCTACAATGCATACAGACTTCAAAACATGTTGTACACAATAAATATGTAAGATTCTGGCTGGGGATGCTGGTTTAGGTCTACAATACCAGCACTTTGGGAGGCCAAGACAAAAGGATCACTTGAGCACAGGAGATGAAGGCTATAGTGAGCCATGATCGCACCGCCGCACTCCAGCCTAGGCCACAGAGCCCGAGACCCTGTCTCAAAAATATGTATGTATATATACACACATACACACACACACAAATTTTTGTCAATAAAATAATTTTAAAAACTGAAACTGGTGTGAAAATGATCAATCATTTTTACCTATGTCATTTAGTAAATGTTTATGTATTTCACTGCAAAACTAATGTTCTTTTGCAGTCCCATTATATGTATTATGTAAATGCACAGTATTAAACGTACACATGTAATACTGTCTGGCTGAACAAGATTCATTCCCAGGCTAAACAAGCAATATAACATGTGAAGATCTAAAAAAGAGGAGGGGGAGGGGGGTGGTAAAAGTGGGAGTGTCCAAGAACAATCTGCAGTGGGGTCAGAGGCATCTACTCATCTCAAATTTAAATGTTTGGGCTCCATGGACAAGACAATTTGAAAGGAAAACTTGAAATCAGAGAGGGATGCCGTTATCTCTGCATCTGAACTCATCGCAACTGCTGGTACCCAGGGAGAGGTATAGTTTGACAAACATAAAATGTCATCTGTTAGCACTTGTTCACTTTAAGTTTTTATGTGACTCCAAAAACCACACCATGCTCCCTTCTTCCCTAATTTTCTTTAAAAATTCTTCACTACCACTGACTGCTGCTCCCCAAAAAGTTGCCATTACTCCTCTCCAACAGCAGCCAACCAACCACACCTCGCAAGCCCCTGCTCCCCCAATGCCCCATTCTACAAGACTTCCAAAACACTGCGTAGGTTCCTTCTATCACCTGCTCCCCTGCTTGTGGGACCAGGCCCCACAATCACACAGGCCCTTGGTGAAGTGGTCCAGCTTCACAAGTCCCTGAATTATTTTCCATCGACACGGCCCTGTCCAAAGTCTCGGAGCCTCAACATACTCCAGTAGCACACCACCATGTCTAGGTGTTTCTCCTGAACACACAGCTCTTACTAATAACACACAAAACACAAAGCATTGATCAGGCGTGGTGGCTCACGCCTGTAATCCCAGAACTTTGGGAGTGCGAAGAGGGCAGATCACTTGTTGACTAGCCTGGCCAACATGGTGAAACCCTGCCTCTACTAAAAATACAAAAATTAGTGTGGGGGCAGGCCCTGTAATCCTAGCTACTCGGGAGGCTGAGGCAGAATAGATTGAACCCAGGGGGCAGAGATTGCAGTGAGGCGAGATCACGCCACTGCACTCCAGCCCAGGAGACAGAGCAAGACTCCATCTCAAAACAGAACAAATAAACAACCAAACAAAAAGGCCTGGTGCAGTGGTTCACGCCTGTAATCCTAGTACAGGCGCATGCCTGTAATCCATCTCCAAAAAAAAAACAAAAATCCTGGAAGCATCATGTTTTAAAAGTAAGTCATGTTGTACATGGTGGCTCACGCCTGTAATCCCAGCACTTTGGGAGGCTGAGGCAGGCAGATCACTGGAGGTCAGGAGTTTGAGACCAGCCTGGCCAACATGGCAAAACCCATCTCCTCTAAATACACAAAAATTAGCCAGGCGTAGTGACGGGCATCAGTAATCTCAACTACTCAGGAGGCTGAGGCAGGAGAATCGCTTGAGCCCAGGAGGCAGAGGTTGCAGTGAGCCAAAATCTCCACTGCCTCCAGCCTGGGTGACAGAACAAGTCAGACTCTGTCTTAAAAAAAAAAAAAAAAAAAAAAAAAAAAGGTGGGGCGGGGGGGGGGGGGGGCCGGCGGGCGGCAAATTAAAAGGTCCAGATAGTGAAAGTGACTAAATTCTGTTTACAGAGTTGAATGCTGGAATTTGGCTGGGCTTACTTGCTGACTTGATAAAAAGAGAAACAGCCTCATTTCTGGCTCACAGGAACTATCAGAACTATTAAAAGTGTGAAAATGAGTTCATCCTGGAAGAAAATCATTTTCCCCCAGCAATGACTCTCTTAAGGAAGATGAAAACCCAGATAAGAACAATGCCCTGGGCAGCACAGCAAACGCCTTCGACCAGTTTTGGCAGAGTCAGACAAAGTAGTTTCATGAATATGTCTCTTGCTGCCGCCCAACCCACACAGCCATCAGTGTGGCCTGAGAAAGGGTGGTGTAACTCGTGTATGTAGTTTTCCGTGATTCTGACCCTCCGCAGGCTGCAACAGTGGGTTTTTTGGTTTGTTTTTGTTTGCTTGTTTTTTGTTTTTTTGAGATGGAATCTTGCTCTGTCCCCTACGCTGGACTGCAGTGGTGTGATCTCAGCTAACTGCAACCTCCAACCCCCGAGTTCAAGTGATTCTCCTGCCGCAGCCTCCTGAGTAGCTGGGACTACAGGCGCGTGCCACCACACCCAGCTAATTTTTTGTATTTTTAGTAGAGACGGGGTTTCATCGTGTTAGCCAGGATGGTCTCAATCTCCTGACCTCATGATCCGACTGCCTCGGCCTCCCAAAGTGCTGGAATTACAGGCGTGAGCCACTGCGCCTGGCCCTGCTACAGTGAGTTTTACAGGGCAGGAGCAATCCTCCAGGTGAACCATAAGGGGCAGAGGTCGAGGTAAAAGGAGAGGAGGGGATTCCGGCAGGGAAAATGACAGGCACCCCCCATGTTGAGCTAAAATTAGCACTTCTCCAGACCTTTGTGAACACACACACACACACACACACACACACACACACACACACACACACACCACTTAATTTTTAAAAGTATAATCATGATGTTGCAAAATACCAACTGGGGGACAACACACATGCCAAGTGGGGGAAGAGGGATGCATACTGGGGAATGTAGCTATGCCTGACATTTCCTTTACCCAGACTATCCACTCTACACCGGACCTGAGCCTGAGCCCTGAGGGCAGACGGCAGACACTCATGCTCTGCCCCTGGGGGCACTGGGGTGTCAGGACCCTGTTGACATCCTGCATCCTGCCTTTCAAAGCAGGGGATCTCGAATAAACAACACGTCCTCCACACTCTGCCTCTGGCGAACCCAGCGGGCACCAGCTCCCTAGGCCCTTTGGACTTACTTGACTCCCAGATCAGAATCTGCTTTTTGGGCTGGCACCTTGTTATCTTCACCCACCCCACACAGCTTGAGGCAAACTCATGGCCCACCAGCCCACCACCTTCAGTTTCTCACACATTTCCTGAAGGCTCTGCAATAAAAGGGCATCTTCCTAAGAGTGCCACACCTGTGCTTGGGGTGTCCTCTAACAGATCCAAGTTACACTACACAATACTCAGTGACAGCTTAGAAAATGCCAGAGTTGTGTTTTGGATTACTGCCTCCCAAATATAGTTTTGAACAAATAAAAACTTGATAGCTACTCAGAAGGCTGAGGTGGGAGGATTGCTTGAGCCCAAGGAGTTCAAAGTTACATCAAAGTTACAGCAAGTTATGATCATTCCACTGCACTCCAGCTTGGGCAACAGAAACCCTGCCTCAATCAATCAGTCTTGGATGTTTAAAAGTAAAAACAAAACTTCCACATCAACATACACCGTGGTACATACACACAACAGGATGTTTGTCAGTAACTACACACAAGAAGTTCAGGCGTGGTGGCTCATGCCTGTAATCCCAGCACTTTTGAGAGGCCGAGGCGGGTGGACCATTTTTAGTCAGGAGTTTGAGACCAGCCTGGCCAACATAGTGAAACCCCATCTCTACTAAAAATACAAAAGTTAGCCAGGCCTGGTGGTGGGCACCTGTGGTTCCAGCTACTCAAGAAGCTGAGGCAGGAGAATTGCTTGAACCCGGGAGGCAGAGGCTGCAGTGAGCCAAGATCTCACCACTGCACTCCAGCCTGGGTGACAGAGGAGACTCCGTCTCAAAAAAACAAAAACAAAAACAAATAAATAAATATACCTACATACAAGAAGCTTAAAGGCACTAAGACTGGTGAAAAAGCTAAAATCAAGAGAATATATTGCATAACTCCATTTATTAATATATGAAGATAAAACTCAACGTGGAAGAAAACAACAGTAGTTGCAGGTGAGAACGAGGGTGAACTAGAGGGACCCCAAGGGAATCCTTCTGGAATTAGAGAAAATCTATATCTTGATGCGAGGATTGATTACACAGGTATATATAAATCATCAAAAGTCAAAATGTACACTTAGCCCGGCCAACAAAGACCCTGTCTCTACAAAAGAATTAAAAATTAACCAAGCATGGTGGGGCATGCCTATAGTCACAGCTGAGGCAGAAGGATGGCTTGATGAGCCCAAGAGTTCGAGGCTGCTGTGAGCCATGTATGCACCACCGCAGTCAGCCTGGCTCAAGCCAGACACAGCAAGACCAGCTCCAAAAAAAAAAAAAAAAAAAAAAAAAAGGTTCAATTAATACTCCTCCCTCCCAAAAGTGAGGGGAGAATCCTTCCACTGACAACCTAAGTTGTTGAGGGGGTGATGCTTGGAGCTTGGCCACAGCGCAGCACTCTTCATAGCTAAGGACCTAATAAAATACTCATGGAGCCCATAAATGAGTTAACTCCAATGGCCCCACATAATTTACTTCTAATAGGTTGCTACCATTTTTTCCACAATGTTCCCATTAGGTATTATTTTTCCTCTGCCCTCTACTATAAATATTATCTTAAGTTATATCTCGCAAGAGGCAACCTCCCTGGAGGTTTTGAAAAAATTAGAACCCTGAGTCCCGATTTACAGCACCACAGGCGGCCAGCGGTCATACAAAGCCATATGAAATCATTAGTGTCCCAGCTGCCGCCCCGGCATGCATCTGACCTCTGATGTATTAATGAGTGGCCCATGCAGCTTCCAGCAGCAAATAAAAGAGATTTGTTCCAACACTGAGATCACTGCCCATGTAAATTATATATTTTTAAACTGGACACGAAAGACAGATTTGGACGTAGACACACAAGTTTTCCAGCTGCCTCCAAGGTTGCAAAAGCAAGGCAAGGTTTTAATCTGTTGTGCTATGGACAAGAGTCAGTGGTACTTTGGGGCTGACATTTAAAAAATGGTCAGACTCTGTAGGTGGCCATGTAACTCAGTCCTCGCCTCTTAAACAGCGGGCAACAGTGTACACCTGAAACCCTTTCAGTTCCTAAAGAAGCCAAGTAGGTTTCAATCACCCATGTGGCTGAGATGGTGTAGAAAGGCAGAATTTTTTAAAGCAAGGGAAGGCACTCATCACCTGGGTAAAACTGTCCTGAGAAGAGAAGCAGAAATACAGACTCAGATGAGAATACACTAGTAATAAAAACTGTTAGTAAATATTACTAGTCACATTTTCTACCTTTAACACAACCGAGCACTTCCCTCCTCTCTGCAAGTTCCATCATCTTGTGTCCTTGTCCCCTGCATTACTTAGTTGCCTTCTGTCTTGATTAGGGTTAGTGAATCAAGGTTACACTGTCCTATTGGTTGATAAGGCCTAGAGCCAGTTACCTTTCTAGGCAATGCCTCCCACCTGCTCCCCTCCTCCCCCAAAAATCAAGCAGTTAAGATATTACTATAGAAATTTTGTTTTAATACAGAGTTGTTCACAGGCAGTAATTATTTTAAATTGGGAAGTGACCAATCCTGGGAAGCAGTGGATAGCACACACGTGGCCTCTGTGAATTCTCTGAATGCCAAGAAGTACCCGTGCTGCACTGGGATTGCCGAGGCTCAGGTGGGGTGTGGGGGTGTGGAAGAGTGGGTGCTGGGGCATGTCTGTGAATTACGGAGATTTGTCTCCAAGTCCCAAGTCTGGGCTCTTCTATGGCATTCCCCAAAACTGCACCTGTCAAGGAGAGTATTAAAGAGAGAAGCCAGACACACTCTCCCAGTACCTCATCTTCCCCCCGACATTCCAGCAATTACAAGAGCCTTTCTTGACATCTTTCTCTGTAAGTAAAAGGCAAAATGAGCGAGAGCAGAGCAAACATCTTCAGTGCAAAAGCAGGTGAAAGAGGGATGCTTAGTCTTATAAAGAAAATGATTTTTATTTTTTTGTAGAGACAGGAACTCACTTTGTTGCCCAGGCTGGTCTTGAACTCCGGAGTGTTCCTCCCACCTTGGCCTGCCGAGGTGTTTGGATTACAGGCGTGAGCCACCGCGCCTGGCCAACAATTTATTTATTTATTGGCTGGGCACGGTGGCTCATGCCTGTAATCCCAGCACTTTGGGAGGCCAAGGTAGGTGGATCACCTGAGGCCAGGAGTTCGAGACCAGCCTGGCCAACATTGTGAAGCATGCCTGTAATCCCAGCTACTCAGGAGGCTGAGGCAGGAGAATTGCTTGAACCTGGAGGCGGAGGTTGCAGTGAGCCGAGATCGTGCCACTGCACTCTGGCCTGGGCAACAGAGACTCCATCTCAAGAAAAAAAAAAAGATTATTTACTTTATTTTATTGAGACAGTCTTGCTCTGGCTGGAGTACAATGACACGATCTCAACTCACTGCAACCTCTGCCTCCCGGGATCAAGCGATTCTCCTGCCTCAGCCTCCAGAGTAGCTGGGACTACAGGCACGTGCCACAACACCTGGCTAATTTTTGAATTTTCAGTAGAGATGGGGTTTCAGCATGTTGGCCAGGCTGGTCTCAAACTCCTGCACTCAAGCGATCTGCCTGCCTCGGCCTCCCAAAGTGCTGGGATTACAGGCATGAGCCACCGCGCCCAGCCCCACGATTTATTTTTAAAAACCCTTTTCAAGTTAGTGTTTGTAGCCTCTACTCCAAAAGTGGGAAACCTACCCTGCAGACACCTCTACAAATGTCAAAGGGGCAACAGGCCAGCCACGCAGAGCCCAGGCCAGGCCAGGCAGCCTGCTTTAGGAGCTTCTGAGATGGAAGCTACCTATCTGTCCCCTACACAGGGGAGTAACCTGAGGAAGGTGGGCCCCACGGCTGTGATCTAGGCAGTTACTGGGCAGGTTAAGAGTCGTCCCACCTCCCCAAGAGAAACTCCAAACTGTAGAGAGCAATGGTGATCTTCTCTTACCAACCATCAATAATCTAGAGGGTCCTGGGTAGAGCAATGAGGAGAGTAGGGCAACTGAAATGAGGCATAAAAGGCAAAATACCTCAAATTTAAAGGCCTTTTTAAAGAAAGGTGTGAGGGGTCAGGTGCAGTAGCTCACGTCTGTAATCCCAGCACTTTGGGAGTCCGAGGCAGGTGGATCACCTGAGGTCAGGAGTTCGAGACCGGCCTGGCCACAGCGAAACCCTGTATCTATTAAAAATACAAAATATAGCTGGGCGTGGTGGTGGGCGCCTGTAATCCCAACTACTTGGGAGGCTGAGGCAGGAGAATTGCTTGAACCCGGGAAGTGGAGGTTGCAGTGAGCAGAGATCGCACCATTGCACTCCAGCCTGGTTGACAAGAGTGAAATTCCATCAGAGAGGGAAGGGGAGGAGAGGGGAGGGGAGAGGGGAGGGAAGAGGGGAGGGGAGGAGAGGAGAGGGAAGGGGAGAGAAGAGGGGAGGAGAGAACAGGAGGAGAGGGGAGGGAGAAAGAGAAAGCACAACAAAGGGTGGGCCAAAGGGCCTAGGCAAACCAGAAGAAACTGGCCCAACAGGGAACAGAACTGGGTGGCAGGAAAGCTGGATTCCTTAGGTGGTATGACCTGAGGAAGAAGGGCCCAGCCCATGCAGGAATCACATGGGGATAAACCCACCCACCGCAAAAAGATCAATTCAGCTGCCAAACCAGGAACCATGTTACTGGGCTTCACTAAGGACAGAAATAAAGTCCCAGTCCCTTGGCTGCTCCCCATCCCTCTTCCCACCAGTGTGCACAGTCCACTACAAAGAAGCAGTCATTACAGCAGGATGTAAGCAAAGACCAAGTGAAGTGACCCCTGGAAAGCCAGGGAACCCAGGCACCCAGGCCAGCGGCATTCCGGGCAGGGAAATGTCAACTAAATGGTAATAAGATACAATCAGAAGAAAGACCAACATTTGGGGAAACTGTATGCAAAACCACTGGAATCAAACCCCTCTCCAGAACCCCAAAGTTGGCCAGGCACAGTGGCTCACGCCTGTAATCTCAACACTTTGGCAGGCCAAGGCAGGCGGATCACCTGAAGTCAGGAGTTCAAGAACCAGCCTGGCCAATGGTGAAACCCCATCTCTACTAAAAAAACACAATTAGCCAGGCATGTTGATGTGTGCCTGTAATCCCAGCTTCTTGGGAGGCTGAGGCAGGAGAATCGTTTGAACCCAGGAGACAAAGGTTGCAGTGAGCCGACATCACGCCACTGCACTCCACCCAGGCAATAAAGCGAGACACTGTCTCCAAAAGAAAAAAGAAAACCCTAAAATCGCGGTACCACTCATCATGTTTTTCCTCTTTTTGCAAATGATGGTAATGAAAAATAATTTCAAGTCTCAGGTATGAATGTTAATCAGAAATCCTACCTCATTCCAACAAATGAAGCTTGTTGGATGCTCAAGCGTGCTGTTCGACAGAACTTGTGAAACAGGAAACAGGCACCCACTGCCCAGACTGAGCAGGTCACGAAGCCAGGAGAAACCCCACACTTCTGCCCTATAAAAGTGGTGAGGGGCAGAGCCTCACCATCCACCCCATCAGATACACAAGGGTAAACTTCACAAAGATGGGAAAAGCCAGACCTGCTATGGTGGGAAAAAGAAAATTCACAAGCTCTTAGCTGGTGAAACAATCAGGTGGTTTCAGTTACATAATCGAAGTTTTCAGGAGACTTTTCTAAGCCCTCAAATTAGTCTTTACTTGGGTCCTGAAATTCCTGTCTTGCTCCATCTGGCCCTGAACAAGTCACCCTTACTTTGTCTATCACTTAAAGTCAGGAAAAGGTGATACACATGGCACAAGAAACCTAAATATTTGGCTCTGTCCTTCCCCCAAATTGTTCTGAGGCCCTACGTGGCTTTCCTTAGTCTTTCCACAATACTCATCCCACTGCATCTAAAACTCTTCCCCAAGAAGAGGTGGCCAGGGAGGCTCAGGCTGTTCAGCTGGGCCTCCCGGCTCTCCCAGAACTTCCTCCTGGGCCTCCAACTCCATCTGTTTTAGAGACAGCTCTTAAAGTTGGTCTGTACTCAGACTCAGAGACTATGAGGCCACAGTATCCTGGCCTCATAGTCAAGTGTGCTGTGTTCACTGCTAATTTTTAAACTATTTACATCGGATTTAAGACTGTGCTAAAAGCCTTGAAAGAAAAAACAACTTGAGAAGCTTCTATTCCCAGAGCTGTTCGACCGTCAGTCTGGGCAGGTTTGCTCACGATGTCTAGGCTTAACTGTTAACAGAACCCCTTTCACTCTCACCCATGGCCTGATTTGGAAAATATACCCCTGCTAGAGAGGATCAGTAAGACAAATGAGGAACTAACCAAAATACAGTTGACCCTTGAACAACACGGGTTTGAAACACAAGGGTCCACTTATACATAGATTTTCTTCTACCTCTGCCACCCCTAAGACAGCAAGACTAAACCCTCCTCTCTCTCTTCCTCCTCAGCCTACTCAAAAGACAAGGAGGATGAAGACCTTTATAATGATCTACTTCCACTTAAATAGTAAACACGTTTTCTTCTTCTTTTTGTGTCCCGCCCCTCACCCCGAGACTGAGTCTCACTCTATCACCCAGGCTAGAGTGCAGTGGTGCGATCTCGGCTTGCTGCAGCCTCCGCCTCCTGGGTTCAAGCGATTCTCATGCCTCAGCCTCCAGAGTAGCTGAGATCACAGGCACCCACTACCACACCCGGCTAATTTTTGTGTTTTTAGTACAGACACGGTTTCGCCATGTTGGCCAGGCTGGTCTTGAACTCCTGACCTCAAGTGATCCACCTGCGTCGGCCTCCTGAAGTGCTGGGATTACAGGCATGAGCCACTGCACCTGGCCATTATTATTTTCTTAGTAACATTTTTTTCTATCTTACTTTATTGAAGAATATAGCAGCACATAATACATGTAACATACAAATAATACATAATACATGTATTAATTGACTTTATATTATCTGTAAGAATTCTAGTCAACAGCATACTATATAGGTTTTGGGGAGTCTACACACAAATTTGACTGTACAGGGCGTCAGCGCCCCTAACCCCCCACATTGTTCAAGGGTGAATTAATTGCACATGAGGCCAGTTAGAAAAAAATTGCTTGCTAAAAATGGCTAGAAATTTTGCACAGAATGACTCCAAGAAGAACTTCAGCCACTGCCTAGGAGACACTGCAGTAGCATGCCCTTGTGCTAAGCAGGTAAATCAGAAATAGCTTCTCAGGGAGAATGGGACAGACCCAGGAGGACTGAGGTGGAAGATTTACAAATCTGCCAGTTAAAAGGAACAGCTTGAGCAAAGAAGCATGCTATTCCTGACCAAAGTGCAGAGGAAGAATTCGAAGTAAAACAGAGGGAACAGGGGACCCAGGGAAAGCTCCTGAAGAGAAGTGTGTACATGGCAGTTGGGTGACCTTGAGGGGCCAGAGGTTAGTGATTGTTCCAGCCACGTGGAAGGAGGCCAGGACACAACTTTGGGCCAACTTGTGTTGTGGAGTCAGAAAACCCGGGTTCAAATGTTGAGTGGTCCTTCTCCAGCAATTTTGGATAAGCTGGCTCACTGAGCTGTTTTCACCCATAAATGGGGATACTACATTTCCTCTCGGGGTGGTGGTGGAGAATTCATCCTGAGAGTACATGAAACCCAAAAATGTCCGTGGCAGTTCCAGAAAGAAAAGGCGTGGTCATGAGCCCGTAAGGGTTCCAGCCTGGTAAGTGGCAAGGCAAGTTAAATCACAGTGTTTGCAAGGCAGGACTGACAATGAGCCAAGAAGGCACTCCTGCCCCGGGTTCTCCAGGTTACTTTGTTTGCTCGTTGAAAAGAACGTTGAGAGATTTCATAAATAAGATTGGGAGAAAGCATGCTGAATGATGACCTCTGACCCTACATGTCCCAAATTCCTCTGCAGGAGGCCAGTGACTCCACTCTTATTCATGTCCAGTCAAAACAGCCTTTCACCCCTTTCACCTTCCACCAACAGAGGTCCTATTTTTAACATCCAGTACATTTCCTTATTGCCTCATGCTTGGCACTATGATGTCCTTGCCCTCAAAGTGTTATCAGTCTAAAAGAAGGGACAACTGAATAAGGCCAGCTGAGATGTAATCTCAGAGAACTTCCTGGAGGAGGAGAAGTCAAGTCTTAAAGTGCAAGTAGGGATGGGGGGGCAGGGGAGCGGTGAAAGTTCCAGGTAAAGAAAACTATTAGAGGGCCAGGTGCGGTGGCTCACGCCTGTAATCCCAGCACTTTGGGAGGCCGAGGCAGGCGGATCACGAGGTCAGGAGATCGAGACCATCCTGGCTAACATGGTGAAACCCCGTCTCCACTAAAAATACAAAAAAATAGCCGGGCGTGGTGGCGGGCACCTGTAGTCCCAGCTACTCCGGAGGCTGAGGCAGGAGAACGGTGTGAACCCAGGAGGCGGAGCTTGCAGTGAGCCCAGATTGCGCCACTGCACTCCAGCCTGAGTGACAGAGCGAGACTCCGTCTCAAACAAACAAAAAAGCAAAAATAAATAAATAAATAAATAAATAAAACTATTAGAGAAAACTAGGTACCTTCTAGCTCTGCCTAAGTCAGCACCAACAATGAACTCCAATCCAGGCTCTGCTCAGATGGTGCCTGTAGGAGAGGCCAGCTACCCATCTTGGGGCATCTCTCCTGTATGCTGTCCCTCTGAACTGTGGGTTGTTTTATAAACAGTACAGAAGCAGCTCATTAGCCCTGTGTACCACATAGGGCATCCCTTCCCTCACCACTTAAACCACATGTCAGCTTATACTGGGGTCTCTCTGAGATCCTTCCTCCTCTCTCTCAGCCAGGGTCTCCCTCCTGCTGTGCTCCCCAAAACCACCATCCCTGAAGATGAACCTTCATTCTGGGACATGTCCCTCTAGGGAACACTGCTTCTCCCAGATACTTTCCAGAGAACCGACAGGCTGAGGATCTGTCTCCTTCCTGCCCTAGTGTGTTCCCCATGTAGCAGCAAAAGAGGAGGGCTAGAGACAGGTCAGAGACATATCACGCCACACCCCTCTTTAAAACCCTCCAGAGGCTCCCCCACTTCACTCCTGGGGGTCACTGTGCCCACAGCGTTTGGCTGGGCCATCCTGGACTCCCTGCTATTCCCTCTGCCTGAAAGCCATGCCCTCCCCCACCCCACAGTGGCCCCATACCTACCTCCCTAGACACTTTCCCCACTACTAAACACAACACTGGTACCCCTCACTTCCACCCCCTTACCCGACTTAACTTTCCTCAAAGCCCTTTTCAATCCCTGAAAATGTGTATCTAGTCACGTTCATTTGAATTTAAGTACAGTAGTTCCCTCTTATCCTTGGGGGATACGTCCAAGACCCCCAGTGGATGCCTGAAAGCACGGATAGTACCAAACCCTATATATACTATGTTTTTCACTATACATATATACTTATGATAAAATGTAATTTATAAATTAGGCACAGTAAGAAGAGTAACAACAACCAATATTAAAATAGAACAATTATAACAATATATTGTGTAACAACATACTGTGTTATATGAATGTGGTATCTCTCTCTCCCAAAATACTGTGTGCTGCACTCACCTCTTTTCCAACTGTGGCTGACCGTGGGTAAGGGAGATCACTGTACAACGAAGGCTGGAACTGACTTTTCCGTCTTGTTCACTGCTTCATTCCAAGCATCTAAGTGTCTGGCACATGGATGCTCAATACCCATTTGAACAAACAGAAGGAAGGAAATAACGGCTTATGCAATAGCTCTATTTAAGTGGGTGGTTAGCACTGTATCCCATCAGCATCAAACTGTGGCCAGAAAATGATAATCAAAACACCATTCTCATCTATTAAAGAACATAAAACAACTTTGTGAGGAGTTGGAGCTGAGGGCTAGAAAGATTTAGCCAGATGATGCCTTGTTTCCTCCTTGAGTAAGGCCTAGGGAATGAAGACGATATTCAAACTAAGGTTCCTTCCAGTTCTGCACACAGCTAATTCCATCAAAATCTCATTCATGGATTACATTCCAGAGCCTTGGTCAAGTGGGTAGCCACAGAGAACCAGAGGAAAACTCAGGTTTCCATGAGCTGGTCACAACCTCTCAGAGCCTGAACAGCCTAAGCAATGTCCAGAAGCATCTTTACATGTATATGTCCATGAATGAGGTGTCTCTCCAGAAACAACTATCTCTAAGAATGTGCTAGAGAACAAAACTATTAAAATGGGAATGTAGGCCAGGCACGCAGTGGCTTACGTGTGTAATCCCAGCACTTTGGGAAGCCGAGATGAGCAGACCACTTGAGTCAAGGAGTTTGAGACCACCCTGGTCAATATAGTGAGACCTCTGAGTCTCTACAAAAAAATTTAAAAAATTAGCCAGGCATGGTGGCACATGCCTGTCATTCCAGATACTTGGGAGGCTCAGGCATGAGAATTACTTGAACCCAGGAGGCAGAGGTTGCTGTGAGCCAAGATCGCCCAAAGGGGCCAACACCAAGACTTTTCTTTCCTTTTTTTTTTTTTGAGATGGGAGTCTCGCTCTGTCACCCAGGCTGGAGTGCAGTGGCGTGGTCTCAGCTCATTGCAACCCCCGCCTCTTGAGTTCAAATGATTCTCCTGCCTCAGCCTCCTGAGTAGCTGGGTCTACAGGCACACGCCATGCCTGGCTAATTTTTGTATTTTTAGTCGAGATAGGGTTTCACTCTGTTGGTCAGACTGCTCTTAAACTCCTGGCCTCAAGTGATCTGCCTGCCTTGGCCTCCCAAAGTGCTGGGATCACAGGCGTGAGCCACCGCACCAGGCCTCCCACAAACTTTTGACAAAACCAAACTCCAGACTTGACAAACTTACCACGGGCTATCTCAGCACAAACTTTTAACTTCCATTTCTCCTCAGGAAAAAGGGTGTCCCTTCTCTAGTAAAAACACTTGCAAGCTACAAGACAATCTTTAGATGTTCATCCAGGCAGGAATGAAGCACTTCCTTAAAAATAGGTGATTTATAGCACCACATGAGACTGGAAGCAAACTAAATGTCCATTAATAGAGTACTAGTTAATAATGGTTAAATAAATTGATTCCAGGGCAACCATTAAAAAGAATGAGATATTCTGGCCGGGTGTGGTGGCTCATGCCTGTAATCCCAGCACTTTGGGAGGCTCAGGTGGGCGGATCACGAGGTCAGGAGATCGAGACCATCCTGGCCAACATGGTGAAACCCCATCTCAACTAAAAATACAAACAAATTAGCTGGGTGTGGTGGCATGCACCTGTAATCCCAGCTACTCGGGAGGCTGAGGCAGGAGAATCGCTTGAACCCAGGAGGCGGAGGTTGCAGTGAGCTGAGATGGTGCCACTGCAGTACAGCCTGGGTGACAGAGTGAGACTGTCTCAAAAAAAAAAAAAAAAGAGAGAGAGAGAGAGAAATAATCTCCAAGATACATTATTATGGAAAAAATACAGAAGACAGTAATGTATACATATATTTACTATTTGTGAAAAAGAAGAAAAATGGATACAAGTATTCCTTGGTAACCAAATCTATAGTAAGGGGGTCCCTGTCAAGTGTTTGCATGTCACAGAACAAAATTTCATACTTTTTATTCACACCAAACTGGGGTGTGTTTGTGTAGCTACTTAGAATTTAATTGCAAATACCTTTTGCTATTCTCTTCGTGTTCCTAAAATATTTTCCAAGACAAAGCTACATGTTTCATTATTGCTTATACTAAATACCAGATAAAGTTTGTTTTTGTTTTTTTTTTTTTTTAAAAGACAGTATACAAATATAAACCTTCCTCTACCCAGTTAGAGTTCTGTAATCCTCAGGCAGAGGCAATTCTACCTGTGTGCCATCAACCACTGCTAAATTCAGCTGCTTTCTTTTTTTCATTACTTCCAAACTCAAGAACCCTCAATGGCTCCCTATCCCCTACAGGTCAAGAATAAATGCCTGCTGGGTTTAACAAGCCTGACTTTAATAGCACATTCCCATAGCTCCCTAAAATGAGCCTAGCACAAGAAGACCTCTCTGGCAAAATGCTCTTGTCTTGCTTTGGGTCCGTTTCTAAGTTCTCACATCTGAGAGCCCCACTCTCCTATCACTGCATTTGTTTGAACCACTGTTTTGCTTCCCAATACTTCAAATTTCTACACAACACCCTCAGGCATAAACCCAGTAGTGGACATATGGAGAAGCTGGAGAAACCTATTTATCTGCCTCCCAACCCCCACCCTCCCTCTGGTCAGAGAAAGGAACACAGCCCTCAATGTCCTTCTCCAGGATGTGCCTCCGGCGCTCCAGTTTAGGCCGTGACACTGTCCCTGTCCCCAATTTCATTCATGGCCCCACAATCCAAAAGGCTACCCCCCAGGGAATCTGTGACCAGTTTGGTCCAAGGCCGAGGACCGACCATAAAACAGCCTGGTCCAAGCTGGCAGCAGGTCCAATATAGAGCCTTTGTTCCCACAGGACCCCTCGGGCACGCTCCAGAGGGTTTTGGGTACTTCTCTCTCCTGAATAGTTGTTCCCAAGTGGGAAGTGAACAGAAAATTCCTTTCCTGCCTACCCCACAAAAGAAAGCTGTTGCTATGCCTAAGTGATAACATCAGCTTTCCTTTCTCTCTTTTGCAATTTTGATACTCTTCAGACCTGTTTTGCCACCTGAAATTTAAGTTTGAAATAATTAAGTTTCCCAAGATTAATGTCACACAGTAGAACTGCCCCAACCCTTTCAAAGTTGCCAGTTCAGGCAGGGCGTGGTGGCTCAAACCTGTAAACCCAGCACTTTGGGAGGCCAAGGCAGGCAGACCACCTGAGATTAGGAGTTAGAGACCAGCCTGGCCAACATGGTGAAGCCCCATCTCTACTAAAAATACAACAATTAGCCAGGCGTAGTGGCGGGCACTTGTAATCCCAGCTACTCGGGAGGCTGAGGCAGGAAAATCGCTTGAACCTGGGAGGCGACGGTAGCAGTGAGCTGAGATCACACCACTGTAACTACAGCCTTGGCGACAGAGCAAGACTGTCTCAAAAAAAACAAAAACAAAAACAAAAAACAAAGTTTCCAGTTTGCCAGTTCACTTTCATTAATTAAAGGTGAGGAGGACAACGCTAAGTCTTCAAAGAACTTAGCTGGGTGGATTCAGTTAAGGAGAGAAATATACCAATCAGTGAATTCTGCATATTCTCCTTATCCTCCTCATTGGCTTGGCCATTTGTTCATTGTATTCCACTCTATTACCAACTGTATTCAGTTCTTTTACTAATTGTAGCCTGAAATTCAAATTTCACCATCTACTTAAGAAATTTTCTAAAAAGTGAGAGTGAGGAGGAAATTGAGACGTAAGGCTTATCAAAAAGAACAAACTTTTTTCCCCACAGCCCGAGAAACACAAGGTTTTAAAATGTGTAAGCTGAACCAGTAACATTTCCATAGTCACAGTGAGAAAGCGGAGCTTTCTAAAAAGCTTGACAGAACCATAAGAAAACAAAACAGGAAAGTGGAGAGGCTTGTTTTGAAAAATAATAATTTGTTTTTCATTTTGTGTATTTTGATAGAGAACACCTTTTCTATTTAAACCCCTCCCCAACCTGCACCTCAGGATGTCTCATTAGAATGAGGTGGGTGGTGGGGGTGGAGAATGACTTGAGATTTCGGGATCTGATCAATGCAACATGTTAGGGGCAGAGCACAAGGTCAAAAGGAAATGATTAATCCCACAAGAGAAACAGGCGGATAGGGCAGCGAATGGTCCCCCCTACAAAACCCTCACTAACAAGCCGGTCAAGATACCCTGCTTAGCAGCGTTCTCTCCATCCTGCACTCAGTATTTCAGCTTAAAATTCAAAGAATGTTCATCTACACAAGCTAGTCTTCCTTAAAGGTTATTTTTATTTGCTGTTATGTTCCAGTGGTTGCAAAAGAAGGTCGAGAATTAAGCAGGAGAGAGAATGACTCTAGTCATCAGGATGACTAAAACATTCTATGACAATCTGACAATTTCCATTCCTGGAGGGAGCCATGCTGATCATTAATGGAGGACGGAGTATTTTGGGCCTATTTAAAAGCAGTTACCAGTCAAGACATACAATATCCCTTTGAAATACTATGACATCAACACTCTGAAAGTACATAAATAGGTCAAACACAAGAGGAGGGGGAAGGGAAATGCCTTTTGCAAAAATCCTTTGGGAAACAATTTCCTCTTAGCTTTTCACCCTCCCTAATGCTTGCTTTTAGAGAATTGCACACAAAAAAAAATCTGTATTCCCAATTAGCAATGCAAACTTCACCCGCTAACCACCACATCCTCCTATAGAAAACCCTAGATTTGCCACAGGATTAGTATTTTAAACTCAGATGCCTCAACACCTTTCTGTCCCACTACCTGCCTTTGGAAAAGAGGCACGGAACGGAGGGAGACTGGAAGACAACGAACCTCCATGCCACAGGGCCTAAATTCTGAAACCATCCAGATGCGTGGGGTTTTGTTTCATTTTTGGCAATACATAATTAACAGATGACTATCTTGCTTTGAAAGACACTGAAGACATACCCCAAGAACGCTTTGAGCCACACAATCTTAGGAGCTAGATAGGAGCTACCTTCAATTTGTGTGCACAACTTGTGACAATCTCAGGGCCTGGCAACCCCTCAATTAGTGTGCAAAATTTTGAGCGTGCAGTTCTTTCTGGAGAGAAAGTACACAGGTCAGATTCTTAAAGGGGTTCTTGACAAAAAAGTTAAGAATCCATAGCCAATGCACCCAACTCTTACCCCACCGGACAAAAAAAGTGGAAGGGGAAGGAGGCTTGTTTACCTGGTAAAACAGCCACAGTTTAATTAAGAAATAAGGATTAGAACTCCAGGCCCTAGGCCAGGCTCACGCCTGTAAATCCCAGCACTTTGGGAGGCTGAGGCGGGTGGATCACTTGAGGCCAGGAGTTCGAGACCAGCCCAGCCAACATGACAAAACCCCATCTCTACTAAAAATACAAAAATTAGCTGGACGTGGTGGTGCACGCCTGTAATCCCAGCTACTGGGGAAGCTGAGGCAGGAGAACTGCTTGAAGCCTGGAGGCCGAGGTTGCAGTGAGCTCAGATCGCACCATTACATTCCAGCCTGGGTAACAGAGCAAGGCTCTGTCTCAAAAGAAAAAAAAAACCAAAAAAACTCCAGGCCCTATGCAAGATCCTTCCTCTAACCACACTGTTTAAAAATTAGTCCTGGGGGAAACTGCAGTGCCAGCGTTTCTAATCTAAGGCAGGTAAATGAACTCGCTCTACCTTCACCATGAAACAATGTTTAACTACCAAGTAGTAGCTCCACAAGACTGGGTTCCTTCTGACCTTATCCATCCAAACTGAGGGGCTTATTTTCCAACATAACAGCTTTTTAAATTCACTTGCAGTTATCATGCCCTTAAGTCCCCTGTCCACTTAGTACCCCCAGCTTAAGGCTCCCCTGACTGCCCAGGGCCAGGATCCCATGTTTTCCCATTTCCTAAAATAAGAGTGTTTGAAAAAATTTAAATATCATCTTAACCTCTCTCCAACCCTAGACCCCCAGAGCTTCAGGGAACTCATTGAATAGGGGTGAGGGATTGGGGTTTAGGGGCTTAGGGATGTGTCTGGCAGGGCTCTGAAATCCACAAGTTTCCACTGCTCCATGACACTACCACATGAAAGCTCAGCTTTCTGGTTGTCCTGTGACCTCAAGTCTCAGCTAACCAAGGTGATTCCCGCCATCCCCAGACTCCACTGGGTCCACAGCCTGGCCACTGCCCCAGGTTTCATTCAGCTGGCCAAGGCTGGTGTTTTAAAGGGCAAAAATGAAGAGGCATCAGGCATTTTAAAACTGCCTGGCTCAAGGGAAAAATAACCTCAGGACCCTAATCATAGACAAAACTAGGGGTATTTTTGAGCCTCGTTTCCCAAAAAGAACCATAAAAAGAAAACAGTATTAAGAAATATGAGATAAAGAGATAGCAGAGAATTAGCAAAGACAATCCCCTTATTTCTTCGGAGGGAACCTTCCACAACGGCTTCATGCCCTGATGATTCAGGCCCCCACCCCTCCAGGGAAGAGGGGTGGTTATCAGGGAAAGAAGTGACAAGACCAGCTGACTTCTGCAGACAAGATAAGAGTTTATGGGCCAGACCTTGCAAAACTCCCTTGGCAGGATTCCTCTGACCTGTAGAACTAAGAGGGCAGAAAGAAATGCACACTACCCTGGGGTGCACAACTGTCAAAACTCACCATATATTCAGATCTGTGCATTTCATCATGCGCACAGTATAGCATAAGTATCTACCTATCATTTCTATTTAACAAATTAAAAATCTAAGGCAAAGAGATTAACTCACATGAGGTCACACAGTATTAAGTGGCTCTTTGCCATGCTTGTATAAAGTACAGTCGTCTCTCGTTATCTGTGGAAGACTGCGTGTCCAGGACCCCCTTGGATACCAAAATCCAAGGATACTCAAGTTCCTTATATAAATGGTGTAGTATTTGCAGACAACCCATGAACATCCTCCCATATACTTTAAATCATTTCTAGATTGGTTATGAATATCTAGTACAATGTAAATATTATGTCAATAACTATACTGCATTTGAAATTTTTATTGCCTTATTTCTAATATTTTCAATCCACAGTTGGTTGAGCCCATAAATATATAAAACATTACACTCCCAAAACAAAACAAAAAACCAGCCCCATATTGAGAGCCAGCTAAGCCAAGACTCAGAGGCAAATGTGGGAGGAGGCCAACTCCAGGCGAATCTCTGCTTGTCAGCACATTCATTTGTCACATATGGAAAGGCCTGCATTTAACTGAGCACAAAGCTGAGCTCAAGACAGATAGTCAATGTGTACTTGCCAAATGTAAGGATACAGTAAGTCAGGCACTGGCCTGGATGCTTCCCTGTATCAACTCATTTAAAATGCACAACCTTAAAGTTAGTACAGCCATTATGGAGCCAAGGGCACAGAGGTTCCTCAGAAAGTTAAAAACAGCACTACCCTGGCTGGGTGCGGTGGCTCACACCTGTAATCCCGGCACTTTGGGAGGCCAAGGCAGGCGGATCACCTGAAGTCGGGAGTTTGAGACCAGCCTGACCAACGTGGAGAAACCTCTCTCTACTAAAAATACAAAATTAGCGGGACATGGTGGCACGTGCCTGTAATCCCAGCTACTCGGGAGGTGGAGGCAGGAGAATCACTTGGACCCGGGACGCGGAGGTTGCGGTGTGCTGAGATTGCGCCATTGCACTCCAGCCTGGGCAACAAGAGCAAAACTCAGTCTCAAAAAAAAAAAAAAAAAAAAAAATTGCTGGACCTGGCGGCGAGAGCCTGTAGTCCAAGCTGCTCCAGAGCATAAGGCAGGAGAATCGCTTGAACCTGGGAGGCGGAGGTTGCAGAGATGGTGCCACTGCACTCCAGCCTGGGTGACAGAAACTCAAACAAAACAAAACAAAAACAGAACTTCCACATGATCCAGCAATCCCACTTCTGGGTATATATACCCCAAATAACTGAAATCAGTATGTCAAAGAGCTATCTGTCCTCTCATATTCACTGCAGCATTGTTTACAAGACAGCAAAATGTGCCATATATGCATGGGTGAATACTATTCAGCCTTTAAAAGGAAGGAAATCCTGTCATTTGCAACAACTGGGATGAAACTGGAGGTTATTATGCTAAGTGAAACAAGCCAGGCACAGAAAGACAGACACCACATGATGTCACTTATATATGGAATCTAAAAAAGCTAATCTCATAGAAGTAGAGAGAAGAGAACTAGAGTAGAAGTAGAGAGTAGAATATCAGAGGCTGGGGTTGGAGCGGGGGGCTGGGGACAGGGGTGGGTGCAGGGGAGGGGCAAGGGGAGATGTCGGTTAAAAGTTTCAGTTAGACAGGAAGACTTAAGTTTTCAAGAGCTAATGCACAGCATGGTGACCACAGTTGTTAATGATGTATTGAGAACAGATTTTAAATATTTTAAACATTATCATTACAAAAAACATAAGTATCTAAGTTAATTACCTTAATATAATCATTCCACAATGTATGTATATACCAAACATCACATTGTACCCCCTAAACATATACAGTTATTATGCCAATTTAAAAATAAGAAGTGGTGGCCAGGCATAGTGGCTCACGCCTGTAATCCCAGCACTTTGGGAGGCTGAGGCGTGTGGATCACAAGGTCAGGAGATCGAGACCATCCTGGCTAACACGGTGAAACCCTGTCTCTACTAAAAATACAAAAAATTAGCCAGGCATGGTGGTAGGCGCCTGTAGTCCCAGCTACTCAGGAGGCTGAGGCAGGAGAATCCTGTGAACCCGGGAGGCGGAGCTTGCAGCGAGCCAAGATCGCGCCACTGCACTCCAGCCTGGGCGACAGAGCGAGACTCCATCTCAAAAAAAAAAAAAAAAAAAAAGTGGCTTACCAAGTTAGTTTCCCATCCAAAAACATAATAAATAAATGCACAAGCTAGTGAGCCATAGTCTCCAACTCCGTTTTTTAAAAAAGGATGCAAACTGCCAGGTGGATCACCTAAGGTCAGGAGATCGAGACCAGCCTGGCCAACATGGCGAAACCCTGTCTCTACTAAAAATACAAAAATTAGCCAGGCTTGGTGGCAGGTGCCTGTAATCCCAGCTACTCGGGAGGCTGAGACAGGAGAATCACTTGAACCCGGGAGGCGGAGGTTGCAGAGGTTGCAGTGAGCTGAGATCACTCCATTGCACTCCAGCCTGGGTGACAGAGAGACTCTGTTTCAAAAAAAAAAAAAGATCCAAACTTGGCCTAGGTCGCATGGCAATTTGACCCAGTAACCTCATGAAAGATCCCAAGGCCCTTTGTTCTCTCACAGGGCATACTGTCATTAACAATACATACAACTGGCTTATAATATCATATGATCTCATTTACCTAGTGACCACTGAGTTAAAGAAAGGGTTTGTACCTGTGAGTAACCCCCAGAGTAACCCCCAAACTGAAGACTCCTTGCAAACCCGCTAGAGGGAAGGAGGGCTGCCAAGCCAGGTGGCAGCAAGACTGTTCATGGTGTGGTGGCAGGAGCTGCTCAGCCAGATGAGGGACAGTGGGGACTCCTGAATATACTAAACACCTTCTTCTCTTTCATCCTTTTTGCCCTGGCTCCTGGGGATTCCTACATCTTTGCAAGCTTTCTGTGGGTTTGAGCCATGTGTCTCCCACATTTTCACCCAATTAACCCTGGGAGTGAAATGGAAGCCCTGGCATGGTCTGGGAGACACAGCCACAAACATTTCAGCTCTGTCTGAAAATTACTGTACTCCCCTCCACAGCACAGCATTAGCTGTTTTTATACAATCCAGACAGGTACCTGGAAAGCCTCCAGGTGGCTCCTGTTCAGCTCCATTTAGAGAGAGATGCCAACTAGAGGTGAAACCAGAAGGGAAGACCTGGCAAGGCCCTCAGATGCACAGCCTCACCTAGTTCTAGCTGTCCTTGTTTGTGTTGAAGGCAGAGTCCCACATGAAACAACTTTGGGGAGTTTCGCTCAAATTCAGCCCAAAAACTCAGTCTTCATTACCTTGTCTTAATTTGAATTTCCATCCCAATGTCATTAAAATTGGGGAACTTTGGAAGTACGGAATGGCTTCTTAGAAATACAATGTCTCCACTGGCTATCTTTTCAAGGTGGCTCAGAGGAGGGGGATGGCTAAAGGTTGATTCAATATTCTAGGAATTGTTATGGCTTGAAGTTGGTTAACCGACTTCATCAGCTAAGTTAAAGCTTCATTATTATCACAGGCTGCTTAAACCCACCAGGGCATCTGATAATAATACAGGTCTACCAATTTACAACTCAGGAGATATCATTTAAAATGAAATAGAAAAGTTATGATTGGCCAGGCTCGGTGGGTCACTGGTGAGACGCTCTCTACAAAATTTTTTAAAGTTAGCTAGGCATGGTGGAGAGTGCCTGTACTCCTAGCTACGCCAGAGGCTGAGGCAGAAGGATTGCTTGAGTCTGGGAGGCCGAGGCTCCGGTGAGCTGTGATCACGCCACTGCACTCTAGCCTGAGTGACAGGCCGAGACCCAGTCTCAGGGAAAGGGAATAAAAGTGAAGTTATGACTGACAATTGGGTAAAATGCCAATTCACAAAACAAAACAGTGTGCTGAGAACTCTGTTGTGACCTAAAATCCCCTCTTCCTCCTAGGGCAACATTTAAATCTGTTTCTCAAAGGGGCCACCAGCATTAGAATCCCCAGAGGTACTTGTTAAAGATGCAAATTTGAGCCCCACCCCAGTTTTAGAGAATCAGAATCTCCATGGGGTAGGGAGCCCCAGGGCTAACCAACTCCCAGGTCATTGTTAACCAGGGAAGGGCTGATTTACACAACCACACAAAATAACGACGACGCGAGAAAGCATGGGTAAGCACATAGTGGGCAGTCACTACAGATAATTTCCCCGTAAAATACTTCGGCTCTCATAGTTTTTAGGACACTTATTTTCTCTATAGTTCACATTAAAACATCTTGAGACTCTAACCAGAAAAAAGTGCGTTTATCTGGAGTTATTTGCATAACATTAAATCCAGCAGGATTTATGGAGCTCCTCCACAAAGGCAGGGTGGGCGGGCAGGGCCCAGATTAACCCTTGCCCACACCCTGGTTTGCTTTCTGGGCCGGCTCTGCACCTTCCCAGAAAGCAGCACGACAGGAAAGGAGCTCAGGGAGGTTCCCTCAGCTAATGGCCCTTGGGCGAAGACTCCTCCAGAATGTTACTTGTCCTTGGCTGGGCTGGAACAGAAAACCCAGCGGGTAACGGGATAAGCACGCAGGCGGGCATTAAGCCTGCTTCCCGGGGAAGATTAAACACAGTTAATTAAAACCCTGCAGAATGGGAGGCACGGGGATTAGCTGGCAGGGAAAGGGAGGGGGACCTGCTAGCAGGAGAGGTGATGCCTGCCCAGATTTCCTTCCCAGAGCTCTTTTGCCACTAATAAAGATTAAATGTGCTAAGCACAACTGGGCCATCCACTCCATTTTCACAGATCCCAGTATCCCTTACTTCGAGGCCCCTGGGTAAGCCTGTCCCAAGAGCTGGGCAAACCAAGAAATAAGCTTACTGGGGAGTTACTGCTATGCCTTAGAACTCTGGTTGATGAGAAAAGGGATCCTGGTGAGTTGGGGGGAGTGTCCTGAGGTGCAAATCAAGATCAACCCTCAATTACCATTACCTTCACATTTCTCCCACCCCCTGCTACCATGCAGGCCAGATCTTGGGGGGTGAAAGTAGCAGGAAGCAGAGGGCTCCCTTGGAGGGTGAGGCCCTGCCCCTCTTGTATTTCTCAACAAAGGCATGACTTGACCAATTCAGTCAAACCTAGTCCCAGCACCCTGGAAGCCCTTGCCCAATCACAATGTTCCAGGCCTATACCCAGCTGGAGGGGCTGTGGCCAACACCCCGATAATCCTATAAATAGTCCCACCCCCGCCCTCCAATTACAGAAGACCAAGGGAATCACCATCAAAAAGCATTTATTAAGCACCTAAGACTCATAGGGGCTTGGCCCTGCCCTGAGAGAGG
Source organism: Homo sapiens (assembly GCF_000001405.40). NCBI lineage: Eukaryota > Metazoa > Chordata > Mammalia > Primates > Hominidae > Homo > Homo sapiens. The sequence goes on along the minus strand of NC_000003.12, from coordinate 32,842,923 downwards.
GTCATTTATGACCATTAAGGCCAGAGTAAGGCAGGCTCCCAGAGGCCCATAAAACTCCCAGGGAAGGAAGTGGGGATTAACCACTTCCTCTCACCTCTCAAGAAGGGGTTTCAAGATGTACCAAATTGCAGAACAGAGGGTTCTTGGGTGGGGGTGGGGAGATGGGGATCAGAAGAGCCTACACCTGGCTAAGGCCTGTCTGTATAAGGGGACATGAATAACCCTGGGGTTTCTCAAATCACTTTGATTTTTACAGAGGAGAGCTTTGTAGTCCTCACTGCCCCGACTTCTCTGTGAGGCACATGCTGGCAAGACTCTGCACCCGCCCCTTGGCACGGGTCTGGACTCTATCCAGGAAGGGACAGAGCATACATGGGGATTATATGCATATTTGACAAGTGCTATGCTGGTACAATGGCTTAATTCTTTTACCTAACTCAGCAGTCTGATTTCTTGGATCAAAACCTGTCTATCCTGGACAATTTACAACCCCATCATACTCAATTTTTACTGAAATTTTTTTCAGGAACTCTCACCCAAATCTAAGAAAAGCAGCTTACAAAGAAGACAAACACAGGCAAGCTTGAGTCATGAAAGGAGAGCAGCATGCGGGATGGGACTTCCTGGATTGAGACCATGGTTTGGCTCTGAGCTTCCTGGGAGTCAAAGCAAAATGACCAACAATAAATAATTATGCCATTATCAAACTAACAGTTTTCAAAACGGACAATGTTTTCCCAGCAGTAAATCTAGACAGTGATGGAATCTGCAAATTCCCCTCCTCAGCATATGAGGACCAGCACTGAGAGTTTCCTTTCTCTTCTCCCTTCTCTCCCTGCTGAGCTGTGGGGAAATCCCTGCTGAAATTACAGGGGCAATCTTTATGGTGCTAGAGCAAAGCAGGTAGAGACAGGTGCTCAGAAGCGAGTGGAGTTGTTCCTAGGTGTATGGCGTGAGTTCCAAGAACTGCACCCTGGCTGAGCACTGTGGCACATGCATTTTGGGAGGCCGGGGATCACTTGAGTACAGAAGTTTCAGACTAGCCTGGGCAACATGGCAAGACTCCTGTCACTACAGAAATTTTTAAAATAGAAGTAAATATTAAAATAAATTAAAAAGGAAGCTTCCTGGTAAGTCCTGGGGGTCCAAGTTAGGTGAAGTCCCACAAACCTCTTGAAAAAGGAAACAATAAACTTTAGAACGTTTCATCAGTAGAGAAGCCACCACGTTAAGCCAAAGAATGTACGGCACTAAACTTATTAACCAATCCCTGCCTCTGGGGCTTTTTCTTTTGGGGGGTGGGGGTTGGCGGTGGGCCTCACTCGTGGCCCACGCTGGAGTGCAGTGAAGTACAGTGGCGTAATCTTGCTTCACTGCACACGCCACCACGCCCAGCTAACTTTTGTATTTTTTTTGTAGAGACAGGGTTTTGCCGTGTTGCCCAGGCTGGTCTCCTGAGCTCAAGTGATCCAACCACCTTGGCCTCCCAAAGTGCTGGGATTAGAGGCGTGAGCCACCTCACTAGGTAAAGATACCTAGTATTCTTTACGCAGTTTCTCCTAATGGTAACATCTCCCAAAACAATAGTATAATATCACACTCAGGGTACTATCGATACAATCAGGGCACACATTTCCCCTGTGCCTGGCTCCTTGGGTTTGTTTTTTGTTTTGTTTTTTGAGACAGAGTCTCGCTCTGTCGCCCAGGCTGGAGTGCAGTGGCGCGATCTCAGCTCACTGCAAGCTCCGCCTCCCGGGTTTATGCCATTCTCCTGCCTCAGCTTCCCGAGTAGCTAGGACTACAGGCGACCGCCACCACGCCCGGCTAATTTTTTGTTTTTTAGTACAGATGGGGTTTCACCAGGTTAGCCAGGATGGTCTCGATCTCCTGACCTCATGGTCCACCCACCTCGGCCTCCCAAAGTGCTGGGATTACAGGCGTGAGCCACTGCGCCCAGCCAGGCTTTTTTAAATGAGGAAGGGATAGAATCTTTAGTTTGTGGATAAGATAAAAGCTGGCTCACTTAGACCAGCCCGGGGTGACTGAGAAGGGAGGCCACCACTCAGGGCCAGAAGCATGCCCCCTTGCACCCCCAGCTGAGCCCTGAAAGCTCCCCAGCAGCAGAGTCGCAAGGCTTCACCAGTGTTAGCCACTTGGGCCAAGGTGATCAACATTCCAGGAGGCAGCCATTCCTGCTGAACAAAGAGCCCAGGGAGGAATTCCTCCTGCCCCAAGCATGTGGGTTGGGGGTGGTATCCAAACAAAACTGGACAGAAGAAAGCAGCCCCAGCAAGGGGCCCTAAGGAAGCCTACCCCCACTGCATGCCCTGTCGGAGGAATGGAGAAAACTCAAGGGAAAGTCTCCAGCACAGATTACAATTGGACCTTATAAACACAGAAGGCAATTTCGGGGCTTTGTCTCTAAACATAATGGAGTAAAGTTCAGGAGAGAGCAATCTCTATAGGAAATAGGCCAAAACCTCTGAATTTAATCATTAACTTTATCTCGAGGGTCTTTGTATTCATGTTATGTACTGGCTTTTACTGTAACCAGTGCAAACATTTTACTGTCCTTCAAAGCACAGAATGCGGGGTTTGTTGGCCTATTTAAAAGAGTGCCTACATCAACATGAGATGATTCTAGGGAGATTCCAATCAGAGATCCCCAGCAAAAAGGACCTTTGGAAGGGAAGGGGGGTGGGGAAAAGGAATTGGTGAATGCAAACTTTTCTCCCTCCCTGTGCTGGTGCACTCTTCCACTGACAATACAGTGGGTACATCTTCAGATGAGCAGGAGATGAACAACTCCTGTTTTGGAGGAGGCTTGCAGAGGCCTTGGGAAAGACATTTTGAGGCAGACTTACAAAGCAGCAAGGTTCTCTCTTGCTCTGAAGGGCAGAGGTGGCAAGTTTTTAAACTGGAGCGTTTGAATTAACTCTGTAAACATTAGTTGAACATTTGCTTTGTAGATACAGTTCTAATCGCCAGTAGAGTCCTCAGCAAAGTGCTTCCCAGTTTTTCAAACACCCAGCTCCTCAAAAGCACTCAGGTCTTTCTTCTGGGACCACTGCAAGTGGCTCTTCTACCCTCTTCCCCGGGCAGCACCCCACCTTCAATGCCCTTACCCAATTCCAGCCCAGCAACCTCTGACTTGCCAGCAGATCCACGTATGAGGGAAGAATTAGACATGAGAAACCAATTCTGAACCCTGCTAGTGCCGAGTGATAAAAGCGATAAGGGACCCCACCCCCACCCCCCCCCCAAAAAAAGCTCAATAATCAATTCGACTTACTACAGTGAAGACTCAACAATTATGCACAGAGGAAACAGCCTAAAGCCTACTGTAAGTTCTGGGGCTTGACGGGTCAGACGTTCCTCCTTGGTAACATCACGTCTTCCGGGGGCTGTGGCTCACGCTGTAATCCCAGCACTTTGGGAGGCCAAGGCGGGTGAATCATGAGGTCAGGAGTTCGAGACCAGCCTGACCAACATGGTGAAACCCTGTATCTAACTAAAAATACAAAAATTAGCCTGGCGTGGTGGCACGCACCTGTAATCCCAGCTACTCAAGAGGCTGAGGCAAGAGAATCACTTGAACCCGGGAGGCAGAGGTTGCAGTGAGCCGAGATGATGCCACTGCACTCCAGCCTTGGTGACCAAATGAGACTCTTGTCTCAAAAAAAAACTCATGTCACTTTCACACAGGACCTTATCATCCATGAAAGATGGTTCTGAATGGCATGTATAATAGCTGGTCCATGACAAGAAACACCCTCCACTCACACCCCTGAAGTGAAATGTCCTTGTAAGTTTAGATTTCTGATTAAGGAGGCTCAAGGCTGGGCATGGCGGCTCAGAAATCCCAGAGGCCAAGGCGGACAGATCAACTGAGGTCAGGAGTTCAAGACCAGCCTAGACAACATGGTGAAACCCCGACTCTATTAAAAATACAAAAAGTAGCCAGGCGTGGTGCCATGCACCTGTCATCTCAGCTACTCAGGAGGCTGACGCAGGAGAATCACTTGAACCCGGGAGGAGGAGGTTGCTGTGAGCTGAGATCGCAACACTGCACTCCAACTTGGGTGACAGAGCGAGACCTCGTCTCAACAAAGAAAAAAAAAAAGGAGCTCAAAATCCACATTTTTCCTAAGAGGGATAGTCTTCAGGAATGGAAACCACCAATCTGTCACATCCAATTGACCAACAGGCCTGAAAAGCTATGAACTTTCTCATAAGTGTTCACTAGCCTCTACAAGCAACCTTCCTCCAAGGACCAAAGAGCTTTAGCTCCCCTATATCAACTGCCTCTGGGAGAATACACAGAAACTGGCATTCTGCGTTAGGACTTCACTTCTCCACTGCATGCCCCTAAAATGCTTGATTAAAAAAAAAAAAAAAAAAGGCCAGGTGCAGTGGCTCACGCCTGTAATCTCTGCACTTTGGGAGGCAGAGGCGGGTGGATCACTTGAGTCAGGAGTTCGAGACCAGCCTGACCAACATGGAGAAACCCCGTCTCTACTAAAAATATAAAATTAGCTGGGCATGGTGGCACAAGCCTCTAATCCCAGCTACTAGGGAGGCTGAGGCAGGAATATCACTTGAACCTGGGAAGAGGAGGTTGCGGTGAACCGGAGCTCACACCACTGCACTCCAGCCTGGGCAACGATAGTGAAACTCCGTCTCAAAAAAATATAATAATAATAATAAGCATATAGTACCTAATCCAAAATAATTTAGTACTTCTACATGTACATCATTATCCATGGAACCGCAAATCCCCGGTAATTCTACCTCCCTTTATACTGATGTAAGGGTCTCCAGAAGGCAAGCCCTGTTTATTGCTTTGTGTCCTCAAACACCCGGATAGCCAGGCACATGGCAGATGCTCAATGAAAAGTGTGTTGATTGAGCAAAATTCACATCCACATTTTCCGAGCAATCCTTGAGGAATTTGCCTCCCAGCAGGCATCTGCTCAGAGGAAAACAATGTGCCCTGGCCATTTGCATTGTGGCCCTGAAACAGCAAATGTCTTAAACACAGAAGAGATAGAATCTGGGCCTTCTCAGAAGCTAAATGCCATAGAGGTAAAGACTTCAGGAGGTTTTTTTTCTTTTTTTGAGATGGAGTCTCGCTCTGTCACCCAGGCTGGAGTGCAGTGGTATAATGTCGGCTCACTGAAGCCTCCGCCTCCCGGGTTCACACCATTCTCCTGCCTCAGCTTCACTACAGGTGCGTGCCACCACGTCTGGCTAATTTTTTGTATTTTTAGTAGGGAGGGGGTTTCACCAAGTTAGCCAGGATGGTCTGGATCTCCTGACCTCGTGATTCGTCCACCTTGGCTTCCCAAAGTGCTGGGATTACAGGCATGAGCCACCACGCCCGGCGACGTTAGTAAGTTTTACAACTATCCTCAGATCAGTAGTAAGCCAGGACATCAAGACATTGCAACTTTCCATCATTAGAGATTTGACCATATCCACAGCCCCTAAAACTATACTTTTCATAAATCCTTTTGAGACCCATGACCAGAAAAGCAGGCCAAATTCTCCACAGATTTGTACTAAAAGGCCACACAGTAAAGGAACTTTCTGGGCTGGTGGAAATGTCCTATATCTTGATTGTGGTGGTGGTGGCACAGACATATTACAGACAGTACAAAATGCAATATATATTTCAAAACACCTTTATATCAATGCTTACACGACTAAATTACAGACAGTCATAAAGATGGCATTGCATACGCTTAGGAAATAAGAACAATTACATTATCCACGCTGTTAACAATGATTACATTTGGGGAGTGAAACTGGCAAGTTGTTGTTTTTTTCTTAATCTACTTCAAGTTTGCCTGTGTTATAGTGACTACTTATTTCTTTTGTAATTTAAAAATCCAATGAAGATAAAAATTGGGGGGAAAAGGCACCTATAAGATAGCAATTCTGTATAGAAAGACCCAGCCCAGGAATAGGTACATGCTGAAGGAATGGGTCGTTTGTAACAAGACCTAGACCAATATAAGCATCATCACTTGTCTGCTGTGAATAACTGAACGTCTGCAGAGACTATTTCCTTAATAGCTACCAGTATAATAGCTACCAGTATATGGCCACGAAGCATGAACACTCAACTGATTGCAAGCCAGCTGGCATTCACAAGTTAAGGGCCTTCATATACCTACTCTTCACCCACAGCCAACAGCTATTTTCAGAATGGCTTCCCTGAAAGCTAAGGTACAAAGAAAAAAAGGACAAGAAACCATTCACTAACAGACAGAACATTAGGCTCGTTATTTGTTCTAAATAAAATTAGATCCACCTTCTATGATATACCAAGACTATATTCTAAGGTGGGACCTAAAGACACAAAATGTAGAGGAAGTAAACATCTATCACACTAAAAATTTAAAATGTATACCAAGTTAAACTAAATGGAGGCAAACTATGGCCTCAGAAAAATCCTTTGTAACACACAACTAGTAATCAGTATTTATCCAAAATGCCTACAAATTGAATTTTTTTAACCCAAGATATCAGCCCAGGAACAGGAGCAGGGAATTCAGGAGGAAAACTCAAATGGCCAGTAAACATATGAAAAGCTCATGCACACCTCATAGCAATTGCACAAATGAAGAGTAAAACAACAGGACCAGCCATTTTTTTCATTAGATTGATGGCAATAAGGGAGGGGTGGGGAGGGAGGAAATGCGGCTGGTGGAAGGCAAGCTCTCCGGAGCAAAGTGCTGGGATCTATTAACATCTCAAACGTGCCTCTCCAGGGTTCTAGAGATCTCCTTGCTGGGGGAGCTGTCGGGGGAGGGGAAGATCTCCCTTCTATAAGAGAGGGTTACAGGGACACAAGGATGAGCATTGCTGGCAACAGCCAAATAAAAGAGGCAATCAGAAGCAGAAAAAGGCAAAATAAATTTCACACCATAAAGGCCAAGTTTAGAGCAAGTAATGACCAGCAAGTCAGTACAGGGTAGCACCTACACATGTTTTTTAAGACTAACCTCTATATGCTTGTGTATGTAAATGGTTGCTTGAAAGGAGCCCCACGAACCTGGTACACCACAACTTTGGAAAGAAGTGGGACGGGGTACATTTTAAAAATAAAATTTACAGATAATCCAAACAAAATAGGTTTATATATTACTTATAATTAAATCAGGATTAGAGTTAACTAAAGTTACTTCCTAGGATAAAAGATATCCCCAAGAAAAATCTCAGTTTTCTATTCATCCAGCAATTATGAGCTGACCAAGGATGGTGAAGGAAGGAGAAATGAAAAACATCAAATATTATACTCACAGGCATAAACATACTCAGAAAAATTACAGCCTAAAATGACAAGTGTTGTGAATTCTAAACAAAACGTTATTTTCCCAAAACCCTTAAATGTTATCTTTTAAACACATTTAAAACAAAATTGTAACCCCTTCCCTCCCTTTTTCACTCCTATCAAGTGTTAACATACTTTTGATTAAGCATTCATTGATCCGGGTTCCTCTTTTCTGTTCACAGTGAGCCAACCTGTCTGCTTTTACCATTTAGAGGGGGAGAGGACCCTCTCACAGTGATAACATTTACAAATAGGTGTAAAGTCAAGAAATTAAAATGAGAATGTTTCTTAACCTGCTGAAGCTACAGAACTGTTACACCTTGGACATTCTGCCCCCACTCCCCCCATCATGTTACACATGCAAAAACTGTGATTTGTCCAGATGTCCGTAACATGCCAATAACGGGAACCCAGCAGAGCCTGAAACTCAACCTCTTCTCTCAAACCAGAGCTTAACATCACCTCCTTCTCATCTTCATGATTTCATCTTGCACATGACTTTTAAATTTTATTCCATTTGATGTTTTACATACCTTTTTTGATGGGGAAGACAATTGGTTTTACATCTCAACAGGCAAACAAAAAAATCTGGAAAAATTAAGTTCTATGGGGCTAGGACAAAGAGGAACTGATAGAATGAACTGTCATTAAATTCAGACAAATTATGCGCTCAGATTATGCAGTAGACCCTAGACAAAATGAATGCTCAAAACGCCAAATGTGAACACCATCCCCTTTTTTTTTGAGATGGAGTCTCGCTCTGTCACCAGGCTGGAGTGCAGCCGTGCGATCTCGGCTCACTGCAACCTCCACCTCCCAGGTTCAGGCGATTCTCCTGCCTCGGTATCCGGGGTAGCTGGGACTACAGGCGCCCGCCACCGCACCTAGCTAATTTTTGTATTTTTAGTAGAGACGGGGTTTCACCATGTTGGTCAGGATGGTCTCGATCTCTTGACCTTGTGATCCACCCGCCTCGGCCTCCCACCATCCCTCCTTTTATAAGAAAATGAAATGTTCGTTTTCCAACTTTAAAACTGGCTATACTAGAAGTAAAACTCCCCCGATCTAGGAAGCCCTGGTATATTTAATGCCTTTCATTGTATGCCTGTGTATGTTAACATTTGTGTATGTAATTAACACAAAATCTACTTAAATAAACCAACAATAAAGCTGCAGATAAGACAGATAACTTTAGCTGTAGGATCTCAATCAAGGCAAGTCTGGATTTATTGCACAACAGGCTTAACATGAAATTTGTAGCTGTTGTGTCAAGTCCCAAACATCATCTAGACTTAATCACTATCTCCTGCTATGACAGGATTTGCTATCCTTTCTTAAAATGGTTTCCATTTATAACCGTAACAAACACAATCACTCGGTTTCACCTACCAAACTTCAGTTTAAAAGTGGAGACACTTAAACCTTACTTCATCCATACACATGGAGGTAACTCTGAGCCCCAAAGCTCCAAATATTTGGGTCAGTCCACAGCTGAACAGAGCTGTGGTTTTTCTTTGTATTTCCAGCACCTATGTGGTTTTAAAAATTAAATTAAATTGGAAAAACGAATTTTCCTCTTGGAATATTCCTCTAAATCCCTGAAGGCTCTTTTCAAGCTAACAACAGAAACAAAGGAAGTAAAAACCTGTTGTTTTAGGAAAATGAAGAATTAAAAAACAAACAAAAACCCATTTTTTTCCCCAATGGTCAAGGATGGGGGTGGGGCATAGCAGGTGCTCCCATTAGCCCCCATGCAGCACTGTCTGCATATGAATTCCTTCACTTTAAATTTCTACATAAATGTCTTCACTTATAAACAGGGCATATTGCAGAAAATATTTCATTTGATTCTCAAACAAAAAAGTCAGGTCATTCTTCCCACTGCACTTTAGCCTGAGCCAAAAATAAAATAAATAAATAAATAAATAAATAAATAAATAAATAAATAAAAAAGCATTCTCAGTACTCCTGCAGCCTGTACTCAACCTCCCCCTCTCACTCTTAAGATTATAACCATCACACACTGAATGTCTTACTTCACACCAGGGAGATAGCCGGGGGTTCCAAACCAGCCATCCACAGATGCTCCCTCTGTGCAACAGCAGCAGCCTCCACTCCAGTCAGAAGCAGATTAAGGACACAGCAAAGGCAGGGAATCATCTTATTATCCCAATGTGAAGTCTACAAGGGCCTGAGGGATGTGGGACTATTTTGTTCTCTGCTGTTTCCCCAGAGCTTACTTTATCAAATCAGTTTTCATAGAAATTCCAGTCAGTTTTCATAGAAATTACGATATTCTGCACTCCTATTTCATCTTTACTTGAGCTGGGTTAATTACAATCAACAGGTTTGGGAACAAAAACAGCTGCCTCTTTTTTTTTTTTTTTTTTTTTTTTTTTTAAAGACAGAGTTTCATTCTTGTCACCGAGGCTGGAGTGCAATGGTGCAGTGGTGCAATCTCAGCTTGCTGCAACCTCCACCTCCCGGGTTCCAGTGATTCTCCTGCCTCAGCCTCCCGAGTAGCTGGGATGACAGGTTCGTAACACTAAGCCTGGTTAGTTTTTGTATTTTTAGTAGAGACGGGGTTTCACCATGTGTTGGCCAGGCTGGTCTAGAACTCCTGACCTCAGATGATCCACCTGCCTCGGCATCCAAAGTGCTGGGATTAAGGCGTGAGCCACCGCGCCCAGCCCAGTCAATAATTCTTTATATTACCTATTAATTAATGTGGCTCTGGCCCCTGATACACCAATTATTTCTTCAATGTTATCAATCGTCCACCCCCTAGGAAGGGAGGAAGAGGAGGGTACCCTTATCTCTTCCTTACAGATGTTGAAAGAAGTAGAAAAAATTAGGTAAAAGGTCTAATTTTACAATCTTTATTATAATATTTTTTATTGAGACGGGGTCTTCACTTTGGAACCCAGGCTGGAATGCAGTGGTATGATCTCAGCTCACTACAACCTCCACCTCCCAGGCTCAAGCAATCCTTCTACCTCTTGAGTAACTGGGAACACCTATGTGTGTCACCACACCTGACTATTCCCCAAGAGTACTGTTCATTCAGCCTCAAACTCATCTCCCCATCTGAACTTATTTGGATTCCATTAACTTTAGCAGACAGGATCTCACTCTGTTGCCCAGGCTGAAGTGCAATGGCATGATCATAGCGCACTGCAGCCTTGATCTCCTGGGCTCAAGTGATCCTCCCACCTCAGGCCCTCTCCACTCCTCCAGTAGCTGGGACTACAGGGGCACAACTACTGTGCTCGGCTAATTTGTACGGACAGGGTCTTGCTTTGTTGCCCAGGCAGGTCTCGAAATTCCCAGTTTCAAGCCATCCTCCTGTCTCAGCTTCCCAGAGTGCTGGGATTACAGGCATGAACCACTGTGCATGGCCACCTTTAGTGTTTAAATTTCATCTAGTAATTTAAATAAGACCACATATAAAGTGGCCATATAGGGAAGTAGAGAATCCCCCCCCACCACAATTCACCTTTTCCTTTTCAGTTTTATATTCCCAAACAGTCAAACCACAAGACTAAAGCAAGGAACAGGATGTAGACTGCTCTTATACATCTTTAGCAAAGACCACAATTCACACTGAGCAGAAACAGGCATTCAAATATTTTGATGGCAAATTTTAACACATCAAGTTCTGTCAGCAATGAGGAACTGCCCAAGTTATTTCATGGCATCAAATACTGCTTGGCCATCAACCAAAATATATCTTTTAAGGAAGATAACAGCCGGGTGCAATGGCTCATGCCTGTAATCCCAAGAACTTCGGGAGGCCAAGGAGGGCAGATCACTTGAGGTCAGGAGTTCAAGACCAGCCTGGCCAACATGGTAAAACCCCATCTCTACTAAAAATACAAAAATTAGCCAGGCATGGTGGCACGCGCCTGTAGTCCCAGCCACTTTGGAGGCTGAGGCAAGAGAACCACTTGAACCCGAGTCGGAGGTTGCAGAGAGCCGAGATCGCGCCATTGTACTCCAGCCTGGGCATCCCAGCGAGACTCTGTCTCAAAAAAAAAAAAAAAAAAAAGGAAGATAAGCAACATTATTTAATTTCATGAAAAGAAACTAGCTGTTTGGCTGCAACTTGCAGGAAAAGTTGAAGCCAAATTTTTTCATGATTATTTACAGTTATGGGCACATACATTACAATATAAATTTTTCTAGCTCTTTCAAAGAACCTTCATGTGAAAGAGCTCCCCACAAATAGGTCTGGAAGATGTAGCCACCTCTATCACTCCCATCTTAACGGTCAGAAATCAAGTCAGTTAAGTGACTTGTCCAAGGTCACATAGGGCAACACTAGGACTTAAATCCAGTTGTTACTCTGTAGCTCATGGTCTTACCTATACCAAGAAGCTGAGAGCATTTTTCAAGCCACTCTTCCCCTTTCATCTCCAAAATCCCCCACGGTCCCCCACCCCCATCTATATAACGTGGGGAAAAATCCATCAAAACTCAACACTTGCAGGCAGGCACAGTGGCTCACGCCTGTAATCCCAACACTTTGGGAGGCCGAGGTAGGCGGATTACCTGAGACCAGCCTGGCCAACATGGTGAAACCTAGTCTCTGCTAAAAAATATCACAATTAGCTAGGCGTGGTGGCGGGCGCCTGTAATCCCAGCTACTGGGGAGGCTGAGGCACGAGAATCGCTTGAACCCAGGAGGTAGAGGTTGCAGTGAGCCTAGATTGCACCACTGCACTCCAGTTCCAGCAAAAAAACAAACAAACATCAAAACAAATAAAAAAAACCCTCAACATTTGGGGCAGGGGGAGGCATTCTATGGCTTGAAAACTAAGAAGTGTCCTTTGTTTCTGCAAAGGAATGAAGGCAGACTTTGGGCATCTTCTGAGGGTCAAACCCAACTTGCATAACTCATTGGAAGTTGACAATCAGGCAAAAGCTGGAATTGGTCCTTAAATCCACTGATATCGACAGAGGCCAGACTTAGTGTAAAAATCCCCAATCCATCAATGCCAAATTGCTCTGAGGTGTTGGGGCCAGGGTGAGAGGGTATGGGGACAGGAGCAGGAGATGAGCTCCATTCCCGGCAATCTGGAATAGAATATGCCCAGAGGATGCACCTCACCCTGATACTGTGAGATGGAGTTATCATTTCAAGAGATTAACAAAACTCAAAGCTTTCTCCCTTGCTAAATTATCGTTCTGGTAATACTTACTATTAAATGAATTTTGGAATGACAGGCGGTTTTTTGCAAGATGGTTATACTCAGTTTTTGGCTAAGAGACCAGAGCCCATTTATGCTTTTTAACGTTCTCCTTAATGACTTAGAAAAGGTCAAAGCAGGAAGATAAAATACAAAAAACAAAAACATTTAGAGGCTGGACACGGTGGCTCACACCTGTAATCCCAGCATTTTGGGAGGCCAAGACAGGCGGATCACCTGAGGTCAGGAGTTCAAGACCAGCCTGGCTAACATGGTGAAACCCCATCTCTACTAAAAATACAAAATTACCCGGGCACGGTGGCATGTACCTATAGTCCCATATACCCGGGGAGGCAGGAGAATGCTGGAACCCAGGAGGCAGAGGTTGCAGTGAGCCAAGATAATGCCAACTGTACTCCAGCCTGGGCGACAGAGCAAGACTCCATCTCGAAAAAAAAAAAAAAAAAAAAAAATTCAGGCAGTAAATTTAGTATTAAGCAGATTTTTAAGGGTTAATTTCAAAAAGCTACACTTGTCAATAACACATGTTACTGTCACATAAATAGCAATGTGGAAAGAGTGCTAGACTAGGAGTCAGGACAGTTTCTGATGAAGTCATTTCATAACCAGGCCTCAGCATTCCCATTTGTAATGGAGAAGCTTCTTCTATGAAGACTTAAGGCCTTTCTTGTGATTTGATTCCTCTTCAGATGCCTCCTCCAATGCACACACACGCACACACAAACACACACACACACACACACACACAATACCATGACATTAATGCTTACTAAATATTCTAGTTGCTGAGATTAGACTGTTCCATTGAGCAAGTTGATCTGCTTCCTTGATATGCCACAGTTTCCCTTCCTCTCCCCAGCCCCCACACAATATCTTGGCTTTAAAGATTAGTGGTGACAGCAGGGCATCGTGGCTCACGCCTGTAATCCCAGCACTTTGGGAGACAGGCAGATCACCTGAGGTTGGAGTTTGAGACCAGCCTGACCAACACAGAGAAACCCCCTCTCTACTGAAAATACAAAATTAGTTGGGTGTGGTGGCTCATGCCTGTAATCCCAGCTACTCGGGAGGCTGAGGCAGGAGAATCACTTGAACCTGAGAGGTGGAGGTTGCAGTGAGCCAAGATCGTGCCATTCCACTCCAGCCTGGGCAACAAGAGCAAAACTCCATCTCAAAAAAAAAAAAAAAAGAAAAGAAAAAAGAAAAAAAGAAAATTATCCAGGCATGGCGGTGCACTCCTGTACTCCCAGCTACTCAGGAGGCTGAGGCAGAAGAATTGCTTGAACCTGGGAAGCGGAGGTTGCAGTGAGCCGAGATCACATCACTGCACTCCAGCCTGGGCGACAGAGGGAAAGTCCGTGTCAAAAAAAAAAAAAATTAGTGCTTTCTAGTGGGGGACAGTGGCTCATGCCTGTAACCCCAGTACTCTAGGAGACTGACATAGGAGGATTGCTATCACTTGAGGCCAAGAGTTCAAGATCAGTGAACTGGGCAACAAAGTGAGAACCCTGTCTCTACAAAAAAATTATAAGAAAAATTAGTGGTTTTCAAACATGTCATATAAAATGTAAATTGGGGCCAGATGAGGTGGCTCACGCCTGTAATCCCAGCACTTTGGGAGGACAGGCAGGAGGGTGGCTTGAGCCCAAGGGTCAGACACAAGCCTGGGCAACATGGTGCAACCCAGTCTCTACAAAAAGAATTTTTTTTAATTAGCCGGGCATCGTGGCATGCACCTTCTCAGAAGGCAGAGGTGGGAGGATCACTTGAGCCGGGAAGGTTGAGACAGCAGTAAGCTGTGATTGCACCACTGCACTCCAGCCTGGGTGACAGAGCAAGACTCCATCTCAAAAAAAAAAAAAAAAAAAAAAAGTTTACAATTGCCTTCAATTGTAGGGCACTGTGCTATGAGACTTTATATTTCAGCTCTACTCCTTACAACACCGCAAAGAGTTACCCTCATTTTACAGATGCAAAAACTGAGGCAAAGCAGAATCTAACCTAGAATCAGAGTGCTCAAGCAAAGCCAAATAATAGACACTTGATTAAGACTGCCTATCAGGAGTCTTACATTTTTCCAACTGTTACCTAAACTTTCTACTCTCCTGCTCAATGCTTATCTACAACATTTCTGGAAGCATTTTCAGTACAAATCTATTGATAATCCTAAGTAATAGAAATATCTCCCTTTGACACTGATCTCGGAGGGCACAGACCAAAATGTGGAGATATATGATCTAAACTCCTGAATTCCTTTAAGTGTCCAATACATGGTAATAATGGCTGCTGATGCCACTCATTCACAATTCTCATTTCTAAAACACCAGTGCTTAAGTAGTCATCCAATCTATATTTAGCAGCAAAACTTAAGTGCAGATTTTTTATACAACAGCATTTTAATAATTATCCCAATTAGTCCCAAAAGAGTATGAAACGACTTCCCCAAATCCACTGGCATTTCAAGAAAAACATTTTAACTGCAAAAGGTTAAGACGAGAAGAAAATGGCTGGCCAAACTTTCCAGAAGTAACAGCTACAGGATGCAGCAGCCAACAGATGTTTACAAAGGCTCTCATTCTCAGAGGCGCCTGACCTGATTGACCACTCAGGCTCCAAGGTCCATTCAAGGGCCCCTGGAATTCACAGGGTGTCAGAACCAGGAGGGTATGTCCTCAGTCTACACAACTGATCTGCACCCACTTTATTCTTTTTTGTGCCCACTGCTCTGCTTTAAAACCTATTAATGTTGACAAAATGTGCTATTCTGCAGAAGCTCTTATAGATAAATGATCACAATCAAGAATTATCCCCCCTTGCAAGGCGCGGTGGCTCACGCCTGTAATCCCAGCACTTTGGGAGGCTGAGGCGGCAGATCACCTGAGGTCAGGAGTTCGAGACCAGCCTGGCCAATATGGCAAAACCCCATCTCTACTAAAAATACAAAATTAGTCAGGCATGGTGGTGCATGCCTGTGATCCCAGCTACTCGTGAGACGAGGCAGGAGAATCGCTTGAACCCAGGAGGCAGAAGGTACAAGGAGCCGAGATCACACCATTACACTCCAGCCTAGGCAACAGAGTGAGACTCCACCCAAAAAAAAAAAAAAGAATTATCCCCCTACCCTTCATGACAAAGGACCTCATTCCCAATAATCACAACTTCAATATGCTAACATAATTACTGAAAACAGTATTTTTATTGCTAAAGACTACTACTTCTATGTGGAAAATTGTTTTTGAGTGAAATACAACTGACTGCTAATTTTTTGTGCCAACTGATAATTTATAGCTTCACTAAAAACAAACTCATAGCCCGGGCGCGGTGGCTCATGCCTGTTAATACCAGCACTTTGGGAGGCCGAGGCGGGTGGATCATGAGGTCAGGAGATCAAGACCATCCTGGCTAACACAGTGAAACCCCGTCTCTACTAAAAATACAAAAACAATTAGCCGGGCATGGTGGCAGGCACCTGTAGTCCCAGCTACTGGGAAGGCTGAGGCAGGAGGATGGCGTGAACCCAGGAGGCAGAGCTTGCAGTGAGCTGAGTTCGCACCACTGCACTCCAGCCTCAGGGACAGGACAGAGCAAGACTCCGTCTCAAAAAAACAAACAAAACACAAAACTCACCTGACCGGGTGTGGTGGCTCACACCTGTAATCCCAGCACTTTGGGAGGCCAAGGTG
The DNA here is from genome assembly GCF_000001405.40 of Homo sapiens. Classification (NCBI taxonomy): domain Eukaryota; kingdom Metazoa; phylum Chordata; class Mammalia; order Primates; family Hominidae; genus Homo; species Homo sapiens. Next base: position 32,826,691 of record NC_000003.12, on the reverse strand, counting down.
GGTGGACCATTTGAGGTCAGGAGTTTGAGACCAGCCTGACCAACATGGTGCCACTACACTCCAGCCTGGGTGACAGAGCTCCCTCTCAAAAAAAAAAAAAAAAAAAAAAGAACTCACCTGATGGGAATTAAAGTTCTGGTTAGGAACCATCTAGGATTAGTAGAAAATCTACAGTAAGGATGACAAAAAAAACTATTAGCCTAAGTCTAATATGAGTATCTCTAAAACTCAGGTTTGGATGGGAGTTTGTTTGTGAGACATAGTCTTGTTCTATCGCCCAGACTGGAGTGCAATAGCATGATCCTGGCCCACTGCAACCTCCGCCTCCCACGCTCAAGTGATTCTCCTGCCTCAGCCTCAGTAGCTGGGATTCGTCCGGCTAATTTTTGTATTTTGAGTAGAGATGGGGTTTCACCATGTTGGTAGGCTGGTCTCGAACTCTGGGCCTTATGTGATCTGCCCACGTCAGCCTCCCAAAGTGCTGGGATTGCAGGCGTAAGCCACCGCACCCTGCCTGGATGGGAGTTGAGTGGGATCTTCCCCCATTTCATTTCATTCTACCACCTTCAAAGCCAGTTGTAAGCAAACTGCATTTATCTACAGCATGAGGAAGGCAAGAGATGGCATGGGAGAGGCAAAGATTTACTTTGGAATATCGTTTAAGTCAAACAGTTTCAAATGTAAAGGGACACCACTAGGCCCCCTACTCCTCCCACTTTTTAGGTTGACAAGTCAGAGTCTTGTCAATCAAAACAGTCAATCTGGTTTCAGTCAACTCAGTTTGTGAGTATAGACAAAACCTCAAAAGGAGGGGAATAATTTAGTATTGAACAAGCAGGAGGTCACATCAGCTTTAGAGGAAAGATGGATCAAGCTTACTCTTGCAAGCCACAATGCTTGAAAGGTCAAGAAGAAAAGCGGTAACGGAGTAGGCTTCAATGGGTGGCATCTTGCTCCCTTAAGGCAACTGTAATTCTTTATCATTATCTTTCTCTTGCTCGCTTCCAAAATGTCAGAGATAGCAAAAACAGCCTTAGTGAGCCAGGCCTTTAACCTTTATTAGTTTTATGGGTGGGAGTGGGAGAAGGGGGGAAGCAGTATTTTGAAACTGCCTGCATAGTATAGAATTCATCTCACCCTTTTGCCTGTCAAAAATGACACTGAAATGGTCCTTTATTTGCTAAGAATGAACACAGACAAAATAAACCTTGCCCTGTGTAGAGAACTGGATGGAGAAATGGCAAACCATGTGACTTTTAGCACCAGAAATAACTCAGAGGGGGTTAAATTTTAGAGCTACAGAATTATTTAATGAAAATTTCTCTTGAACCAGAAAAATTTATAAACACGTTTTACCCTGGCAAACCACTTAAAAAAAAGCGTTTTAGCCATTTAACTTCATTGACAGCTTCCACAAGAGCTAACTCCCTTACTATATATGCACGATTATTAGTTCCTTTTTTCAGTGAAAAGACATAAAGCCCAATTATGCTCATAATTTTACATGTGAGGAGAAAGTTGCATCCATATTAAGTAGTACTTGAGGAAACTAGACATTTAAGCCTCCTGAGATCCTTCTAGAAAAGGACTACCTAAGGGCCAGGCACAGTGGCTCACACCTGAATCCCAGCACTTTGGGAGGTCGAGTTAGGCAGATCACCTTGAGGTCAGGAGCTCAAGACCAGCCTGGCCAACATGGTGAAACACCGTCTCCACTAAAAATACAAAAATTAGCCAGGCATGGTGGCACATGACTGTAGTCCCAGCTACTTGGGAGGCTGAGGCTGAAGAATTGCTTGAACCAGGGAGGCGGAGGTTGCAGTGAGCCAAGATCGCGCCACTGAACTCCAGCCTGGGTGACACAGCGAGACTCCATCTCAAGAAAAAAAGAAAAGAAAAGGACTATCTAGCCCAGCGAGGTGGCTCATGACTGAAATCCCAGCATTTTGGGAGGCCTAGGTAGGCAGGTCGCTTGACCTTGGGAGTTTGAGACCAGCCTGGGCAACATGGCGAAACGCCATCTCCACAAAAATTACAAAAATTAGCCAGGTGTGATGGCTAGAGCCTGTAGTCCCAGCTACTTGAGAGACACAGGCAGGAGGATCTCTTAAGCCTGAGAAGTCAAGGCTTTAAGGAGCTGTACAACTGCACTCCAGCCTGGGATGAGTGAGACTCAGCCTTAAGAAAAGGACTAGGGCCAGGCGCGGTGGCTCTTGCCTGTAATCAATCCCAGCCCTTTGGGAAGCCGAGGCAGGTGGATCACCTGAGGTCAGGAGTTAGAGACAAGCCTGGCCAATATGGTGAAACCCCGTCTCTACTTAAAAAAAAAAAAAAGAAAGAAAAAAAATTAGCCGGACAAGGTGACGAGCGCCTGTAATCCCCGTTACTTGGGAGGCTGAGGCAGGAGAATCACTTGAACCCGTGAGGTGGAGGTTGTAGTGAGCCAAGACTGCACCACCGCACTCCAGCCTGGATAACAAGAGTGAAACTCCATCTCAGAAAAAAACAAAAGGACTAAATAAAAGTATTAAGTAAGTAGCTATAATACAATGGGAGGGAGAACTAGATGGGAAATGGCAATTTTTACCTAATCTTCAAACACTTTTTTTTTTCTTTTTTTGAGACAAGTCTCACTGTTGCCCAGGTTGGAGTGCAGCGGCACGATCTCGGATCACTGCGGCCTCCGCCTCCCCAGTTCAAGCAATGCTCCTGCCTCAGCCTCCTGGGTAGCTGGGACTACAGGCACGCGCCACCACGCCTGGCTAATTTTTGTTGTATTTTTAGTAGAGACAGGGTTTCACCATGTTGGCCAGGATGGTCTCGATCTCTTGACCTCGTGATCCGCCCGCCTCGGCCTCCCAAAGGCGCGGTGGCTCACGCCTGACCCTCTTCAAACACTTTTAGGAAGATTTCCCTGTATCTTTTTAGATAGTCTCGCTCCGTCACCCAGGCTGGAGTGCAATGGCATGATCTCGGCTCACTGCACCCTCGGCTCACTGCAACCTCCGCCTCCTGGGTTTCCCCATTTCAAGTACAACTATTTCACTTTGAAAACAATGTCAATGATAAAGAACAAATACCGTTGTCAAATGAAGAACTGGAAGTCTAGAAAAAGTAACGTTTTTTTCCCCAAATATCTTGTCTTCCAAAATGTATATTCCTAGAATTGGAAATAAAAATCTTGTATCAAATCTATGCAATCCCCAAACCACTAAAACCACTATAGTTTATCTTTGTAAAGGAAGGAAACTGAACAAATAATCACAAAAGGTTTCCCAGACAGTGCTGATACCACAACAGCCTCCATACTACTAGCACAGTTTATGACAGGTTATGCCTTCAAGGCAACCTCATCAGCACAGGCTTGCCAAACTAGCTGTGGCCCACTTCCTGAGGGTCCATGTTGAAAAATCCATTCCTATGCACTTTAATGGAACTACCTTAAGCCCACAAAGGCTAAGCAATTAACATATCAATAACGAACATTTCCCTCCCATATATTTTTATCAAGCATTTTCTGAATTCAGTAGGCTTCCTAATGTCTACCTGCTGAACTGGATTCAAAGCAGCAACCTCTGTAATTATTTTCAAGGCAGTTAGGTTTGGTTTTCCAGCCAGTAGGTGAGATGTCTGCACTCAGAGGACATATTCACCCAGTAGTGTAGAGCAGGTTGAAAGCAGGTAACAGAAATACTAGAATACCCATTTCTGTTCACTTTCTCTCCTTGTCCTTCCTTTAAAAAAATTTTTTTTAAAAATTTGTTGAAATTAATATGAATCAATCGGATTCCAATTAAAATGCCAATTTCTTGTAGAAATTCTCAAAGTTTATCATAAATTTCACCAACTTAGTTACATCTGATCGCCTCTAAAGACGGAAAAGATAGGAAAGTGGTTCTTTAGCTATACCTACATTTCACACCCTTAAAAAGAGAATTACTTCGACATGCAGTGTAAGTGGGAAAATTTGTATTATGCTTTTAAAAATATTTTGGTATGGATTTTATAATTTATGCAAGAACATGAATATAATTTAAAATAAGCATGCATACACTGAGTATATGCAGACCTGAAAAAACTTAGACTTTGGGAACAGAGAATAATATACACTGGTGCTGAATACAGGTACAGTCCCATTTACAATATGACTTAAAATATACAAAACAAATTCACACAGCAACCGATTATTTTAGGCAGCAAACCTCCTTGTTCCAAGTGACTGAAGCCACTTTAAGTTTCCTGCCAGGAGACAGTCCCAGGAGTGCTCAATGTTCAGGGTCAAATCAAGTTGGAATTCTAGAACTTTTCTCTTCAGGAGGCATTTTAAAGCCCAACACAGGGACCGCATGGATTCTACCAACACCTGCACCCCTTTTTCCAACCAGACTCCAGAAAACGCCACCCCCAGACCTGCCTAACTGGGAACAATATTGCCATCCTCGGGTGGGGCGGGCTACAATGTTTTCCAGGTGGCAACAATGTCACCCCCACTGCCCCTCACCGCTAGTGACAGAGGCTTTCCTGGGTTCAAACCCTGCTCAACTTCCCGCCATTCACAGAATCCTGACGCCCAGCTTAGGCACACAACACACCCAGCATTTCTGCTGCCGGTGTCGCCTCCAAGGCTGCAAAGGGCTCACGTTCTATGTGCCAAAAGCAAAACAACACTAAAGGGTCACTTGTGAGCAGCTGGAGCAGCGCTCACAACTCCCTAGTTGTGAAACTCTTCCCCCAAAACTCAAGCGAAGACCCTACTCCATGACCAGAGCGGCCGTGAATACCCCAGCGGGTGCCTGCGGGGAGAAGAGCAGCCGCCGGCCAGGCCACGTCCCCAGAGCCGAGGCAGGCTCCGGGCTGGCCGGGCGGCGGCGCAGGCCCGCGGCGACTCTACCTGCGCCCGCCTCTCCCGGGACCCGCGGCACGCAGCGGGCCCGCGGCCAGCTGTTCCGGGGACGGCGACCTCGGATTCCTCGCCTTGGATTCCCCGCCCGGATGCCGGCTGGGCCACGGAGCCTGCAGGCCTTTCGGACTCTGGAGGCACAGAACTAGTGAAAAGCCCCAACTATGTTGTTGAAATAAGCCAAAATAAAAGAGTAGCAGCAAGTACGTCTCATTATTTCGTTGGAAAACCCAAAGATTTCCAGGTTATCATCATTACGGTTTAAAGCCAATTGCTCAGACGAGACACCTTACTTGCCAATCCTAAGAAGGCATTTTACAAGGGGATGCTTAAGGAAGAAAGTCCCCCTGGGCGAGAGACCCTGCAGGCTGGGGTAGGGTGTTTGGGCCTCCTTCCCAAGGTCAGGTGGCCTGAGTCACTATAAGGAAAAGGTGCTACTCTGAATTATTTAACGGAGCCTGTGGACAAGGGAAGCAACTCAGTTAAGGAGCTCATCTTAAAAATTGAGGTAGACAGTATACACATTAAAATATGTGGATTTAGGCATTCAGTGTATCGCAGTCCAGATATGGGTCAGTCTATCATCCTCCAAAAATGTCCTAAAGCTCCTTCCCAGCCAGAGAGGGATGACTTTTTAAAGGAACAATATTCTCAAACTGTTAACGAGATCAAAAGAAAAGGAATTATTTAAGCTGTAGGTGGAACCGTTTATGAACCTCACTACCTGTTAGTGCTGTCTCTCCTAACACTTTAGTCTTCTACTCAGAACACTGGTTTGTCACCTTTAATCTCAAATTTCTAGCGTTCTAAATCCAGGAATGAATAAAAAGGCCAAACAACTTCCGAAATGTTTTTAATGAAAAGCTAAAGGGAGCAAGCAGAATCTTGCTCAAAACTGAGCAAATTTTATGTTAAGGATTATTAGTTACTTCAACCTGACATTGCACATGCTAAAAAGTGAATTTGAAGAGCTTCCGAGTACCTCCCAGGGTGAGTGGAGAGCTTCACTTCTCAATTCACACTCCCCAATGCAGTTTGAAGGGTTTTCTAATTTTAAAAGTGAATAAATCTTTTACAAGTCTGCCAACACTGAGCATCTACTGTTTCAGCCCAAATAAAATATAGGTGTATCTTTAACTGGAAATATAAACTGACATTTAAACTAAAAGCACCTCTCAGAAGGGGAAACTCCTGGATTCAACCCCATTCTGCTCACCCTGCATTTGATCCCAAACTGCAAGTGAATTGGCTCCATTTTTCTGTTCCTGGGATTTGGATCGGTATTTACCTCAATCACTCATTTTTCTAAAAGTGATGAAAGAACATGAACCCACAGTATATTAAAACTAGGAGTCCATTCAAAGTTTAAAAACGGAAAAAAAAGATAACTGCCCCCTAGCTTCTTACCTAGAAGAAACCTTTTAAAAGGAGATGCCTACAACAAGTAGATTAGAATTTCAACTTTTTTCCAACAGGAGAAGCCAGCTAAAGGCCATCAGGCAATAGCTCCGCCCTCCTCCCCAAATAACAGGTTAGGAGTGGAAAAGGCAGCGGCGCTGGGCTCACCTTTGCGGTGCTCGGTACCCACTCTCCAGCTCACACAGGCCACGACCCCCACTATGGCTTTTAAAGCCTCTGCAGTCTCCAGCTTACGCTCTAAGTCAAGACTTTCACCCACACCCTCTCTTACCGGTCTACAGGTAGATCGCCTAAGTTACCGACCCCCTCGGCAAGAGCCCGCTTCTCAAGACTTTTGGCCTGCCTTCATTGGGTTCGGGGGAGAAGACGACACTCGCATAATACCAAAGTGGAAAGGAGAAAGGGGTCACACTGTGTGAAAAGCAAATGTTTACTCGACAGCCCAAAGGGCGAAATCGAGCCCGAGGGTTGCAATGTAGCCCTAAAAGCCTTTGCACTCCGGCGTTCCAGCAGCGTACGGCTGCCTTGGTCTTTTCCAAGGAAGTCGAGACCCTGGTTGAGCCGGGTGGATACCTCCTAACCAGGGAAACCGGTTCCTGTAGGGCTTGGAGTCGGGGCAGGCGGGCGCGGCCCAAGAGACTCAGGCTGGTGAAGGTAACGTCGTCCCTTTATTCCGCTTCTATCTCGGGGTGCAGCCGTGGGCCCACGAACGGCGATTTCACGCTAGGAGAATTCAGGGGCCAGAACACGCATTTTAAACAATATAGGAAGCAGCCGCAGAGAGAGAAGGGCTTAAGACTGGGGGCCCTTGGCCCTCAAAGATCCACAGACGCTCCCACTCTTACCCAACATAAGGAGGCAAGGACTGCCATGCTGTCCCAACAACAAAAAAACCAGTCTTCCCCTCACAAGTGCGCACGTGGAAACCAGGTCTACGGAGGCACACAAACTCCACGCACTCACCCACACAACCATCTCTTCCGGGCTCACGCCCCATTTTAAAGGCAACAATCTATGAGTTTTCCAAACAAAAATCTGAAAATAAAGGAGCGCCTTCTCAGCACGTTGGGAGGCCTCTGGTGTGCCCACAAGAGCAGGAGCAGGCCACGTCTACACAAACACACACACCTATCTCCTCCCAACTCACGCCTAACTCAAGACGATTGCCGCGTTTTGCCACACAGAAATTAAAATCAGAAAAGGGAGGACCCCACGCTATGGGATTTTTCGGAGCCCCTCGCGACACGTACACAGAATCCACTTCCACATACTTCCCAGGTCATGATCTACTTTGGTAGCAAGGACTGCCACGTAGCCAAAGGAAATACAAACCAAATCCGGAGAGGGCCTCCTCCCCTCGCTGTGGGACCGGCCGGGAAACGCTGTTGAGCACACACGCAGTTATCCGATGGACACAAACACACGCCCCCACGCACTCACCTCGTCGTCGTGGTGCTGGCAGAAGCCGAGGCGCTCGGGAAACACTGAGAGGATGGAGAAGGGCGGGCCGGGAAAGGGCGGCCCGAGCCCGAGCTGCTGCGCCGCTGCTGCGGCACCGGGACCCGGCGGGCCGCGCTCGATGTAGTGGTCCTTGGTGAGGCGCACGCGCTGGTGCGCTCGGACGCAGTTGTCGCACAGGTGCTCCTGGCAGTCGAGGCAGCGCGAAGAAGCTGCGTTGCCCTCATCGCACGAGCTGCAGCCGTGAGGACGGCGGAGCAGCAGCGCCGACGGGGAAGCGGCAGGGCCGCCGGGTGCCGAGCGGGAAGGCGCGGGCGGCTGCGGCGCCTGCGGGAGTGGCGGCGCGGAGGCGGACGCGCGCGGGTGCGCGTGGTGAGCGTGGTGCCGGTGGTTGCTGTGGCCGCCCGCTCCCGCCGGAGCGCCGGCGCGCCCGTTCTTGGGCGGCGGCTCGTCGGCAGTGGCCACCACCGCGTCGAGCAGGTTGCTAAGCAGGAAGGCGGACGAAGGCAGCGCGTCCATACCCGCCGCCTCGGCTAGCACTACTTTCTGGTCGCACACGGGGCAGCGCAGCTTGAGCGGCTCTCCCGCCGCGCCGCCGCCCGCCGCCGGCAGCCGGTGCGCCTCGAGGCAGGGGCGGCAGAAGGCGTGCAGGCAGGGCAGGACGTGTAGGCGGCGCGCCGCCGCCCCAGGGCCCCCGCCGCCGCCCCCCGACGACGTGGACGTCTGCGAGGAGGACGACGACGCGGACGAGTTGGAGGAGAGCGGCGCCGGCGAGCCGCACATCTCCTTGCACAGCAAGCAGATCTGGAAATCGGTCTCGGGGAACGAAGCCATTTGCAACCCAGCCCGGAGGAGGGAGGAGACCAGAGAGGAAGAGGAGGAGGAGGAGGAGAGAGCGGACGAGGTGGGTGGGGGAGTCACCGACTCACTCAGAAAAATGCATCGATTAGGCCTGCAATCCGGGAGCCGGCACCAGAGCAGCGCTGCCCGCTTGGCCTCGCCACGTCCGGCCCGAGCGCTGCCACCCCCGACACTGCAGGCATTAAATGCCACTATCCAGCGGCGACACAGATTCCTCCGGATAACTTGGGGGCCGCGTGCCTTCCGAAGAGGGAACGCCGGAACAAGCCCCGACAGGCGAGGGGCGAGCGGGGGCAGGGAGGTCGGAAGACTCCCTGGAGCAGCTGAGGCTTCCCTTCGCGATAGACGAAAGGAGTTCCCAAAAGGAGAGTTCGCTGTGCAGTCCCAGTCCCGGCGAGAGCAGAATTTGGTTCCACGAGTATTTGGTGCGTTGCTTTTCTTTAAACGGATTTAGTCTGTTCTTGGGAGGGGAAGGAGCCCCAAACTAGTAAAGGCGGGAGCGGTGCGTCGCCAAGCCGGTGTCTCCCCGCGCGACGTCGGCTGCCCCGCCGCATGACGCGGCGGCCAGGGGCTCCTGGGTGGCCCGGCGTGCTGCGCTTGGGGCTTGCGCACAGCCAGGCACGGCCTCCCCTGCAGGGCGGTGGGCCCCGCAGCAGCTGCAGCTCGTGGTGGCCCAGCCGCGGCCGCACGCGTGCAGTACGCACGCGCGTCCCACGCGCCTCGAGTCTTCCGCGCGCCTGCCCAGCCGGGCCGCGGCTGCCCGCGCTTAACACGCACGCGCGCCCCACGCGGCCCGGAGCCCTCGTGCCCCCGCCTCGCCTGGCCTGGGCGCCTCACGCACGCTCCTTCCCCTTCGGCTTAGCGCGCGGGGCCGCAGGTCCCCGCGGGCCGCCCTGAATTATTCATCGGCAGGAAGATATTAGATGTACCCGCTCCGCGCGGGCCGTCGTGCAATGCTATCCGAGCTCCGCGCGCGCCCTGCGCCCCTCCTCCTCCTCACGTCCGTCCTCTCTGAAACCTTGGCAGAGAAGGGGGATCACATTTCCTTTGTCATCGGGCCATTTCGCCCTCGCCTTGGTCCCCCCTCCGATCCCGAGCCTCGGGGATGGAGGCTCCTCTCGGGCGCGCTGGAATCAGTGGAACCGGCAACAGCCCCGCGCGGCGAGCTCGGGAGCCGCGTGGCCAACGCCGCCGGCTCGCGCCCGCGTCATCTTCTTTCTGAAAGGAGTCGCCGATCCGGACGCGGGTGGCCTCGGCCGCGCTGCGCCTACCGAGCTTTGCTCCCGCCGTGCCCCGGCCTCCTGGGGCTTTGCACAACTCCCCCAGTTCGGGTTGCGTGCGCGCGCGCGCGCCCCCTCTTTCTCTGCTTTGCCGCCTCTGCCTCCTCCTCCTCCTCCTCTTCTCTTCAGTACGCCGGTTATTGGGACTGATCGGAATTCGGAATCCTTTTAATCTCCAAAGGAGCAAACTCACTTCCGCCCGAGTGCTGGGAGGGGGCTGGGGGAGGGGAGGCAGGGGAGGGGGCTCCAGGCAAACAGGAAACATTAGCCCTCTCAGCACGGCCCGCTTTTGTGTGCTCCCTCCCTCCGCCCTCCAACCTCCTCCCTTCTCCCGGCCGCTGGGGAGATGAACGCCCCCGGGCTTCAGTGTGACGACCTTTGAAACCTTCTGAGCGAGGAGCAGAGAACGACTCTTCCGTTTATTTAAAAAAGAAAAGAAAAGATTTCATTCTGAATCCCTGGCTCAACCGAGACATATCCACTGCCCGGGAGATCTCGGTTTTTACCCACCTTTTCTTTTTTTCTTTTTACGTTTTTTAAAGAACTCTGCATATCTGATCACCAAAACATCACACGGTGGTGTGCAGTTGGATGCATGGAATTAAGCGAGTCTGAATTCTGATCGGCAGAGGGGCCAGAGTTCCCTTTTGAGTTTTAATGGGGCTGGGGGGAAGCAGGGGGCAGCTGTTCTGGGGAGGCGACCTGGTGATGGCCCCGCAGCCATCTGGGTGGTGCCCGAGGCCGCCTGAGCGGTTCTGGGAGAGGAACTTGCATGGCCCTGGAGAGAGACTCACTTGGAAGGGCAAGGAGGGCCACTTACCAGGATATAGGTAGTATCTGGCCTGGAGGCCAACGGGGTAAAAATTGTCCCCTTCTTAACACTATCTCGCTGTTAGTGATATCCTATTTAACCTGGTACAGGCAACAACCTGATGACTCAAAAACATCGTGTTGGGAGAGAGAAGCCAAACACAAAAGAGTTCATACTGTGTGATTCCATTTCCAGGAAATTCTAGAACAGAGAACTAAGCTATGGGGAGAGGAAAAGTACCCTTGGGGATGAGGAGGTATTGACTGGGAAAGGGCATGAAGGAACCTTCTGGGGTGGTGAAATAAAAATAGATTGCCGTGTATGTACATTTGTCAAAACTTATAAATGCCATTTAAGATCTATGCACGATTTCACTGTTTAAATTATACTTCGATAAGCAATTTAAAAAAACACCTCGGTGTCCAACCTGCATAACTATGCCTGGATCATAAAGATGGAGAAATTTAAAAATACACTACATGGACCTCCCCAGCTCCTCTGGTTTTGCTCATTGGAATCCATGGGAAAATCACCCTGGAAAAAGCCCTTAAATCAACCCAGCTGGACACATGTGCTGATGGCCCTAGGAAGCTGCAGAAGTACCTCTCCAAAAGGATGAAGCCGTCTTGGGGGCCAGGGTGCTGTCCTGAGATGGGAGCGTTTCCTAGGCTGAGGAAGAGCCTGGCAGCCCCACCGGGAATGCCTAAGCCCTCAGCTGCCCCCAGAGCTCCCTCCTTAGCACCTGGAGCAAAATGAACATCAGTGAACATTTTCTGAAATGTGTGAGGAGTGAAAAATTATTGATCAAATAAGACCAAAACAGAGCCCCTCCTTTGCCAAACGAAGAAGCAAACTTTGTATAATTTAAAAATTAAAGAGGAAGCTTCTCATGCCACCATCTCTTGCCTAAACAATGTATTTCTTCCATAATTTGAGACCTGTGTAGAAACATGAAATGCTCATATGAATCAATGCACTCCTATAATTTTTTACCATAATTTTCTACCATACTGGCCTTGCCATAGAGATGTTTCATGTAATTTTGTTTTGTTTCGTTTCTTTTCCTTTCTTTGATTGTTTTTCCTTCTTTTTTAAAAAACAAAAACAAGAGGAAAACAGATGGGGGAAGAGAATTGCCAGAAGGAAGATGGCCCCAGAGGGTCAGAAGAGGGATGGCCCAGACCTGCTGTCTCCCTCTTAGTTTGGCCCCACCCACCACCAAAAAAAGAAAGAAAGAAAAAGAAAAGAAAGATGACAAGGAAAAAAAACCTCAATCGTCCTCCTGGTCCTAAGACTCAACATGTATTTTGAAAACGAGTAGCAGAGGTGGTACTTCAGCTGAGCCATCACGGAGGAGCAGGAAGGCTGTAACTCCAGAAAGAGGAATCAAACTTGACAGCGGTTTGTGGGTTTGTTTCCTGGGGACCATTGCTCAGAGGAAAAAAAAAAAAAGGAAGAAAAGAGAGAGCGAGAAGTGGGGGTGAGGTTTGATTTCTCATCGTGAAGTAGCTTTCCTTCTTTCTTTTCTTGAATTGACAGCACATTGCCAGGAAGCAGGCCTGTAGTGTAAATTGTTAAATTAGCACATTCCTAATTTTGGTTAAGACAATTTTTTAGCACTGGTAGCAAAGGGGGAAATCTTTAAGTCAACCAATTTAACCCCACTTATATAAGAAATACAGCTTATAGCTATAATGATTTTTTTTAATATGGCATAGCGACGGTTAGTATTTGAATCTAATAAGGCTTTATACAGCTTATCCATGAGGAGCCAGAGCTACACATCCAGATGAGGAGCCAAAGACACAGTCCACTGCTATAAACTACGTTGTATTAAATTTTTCATTGCCATCCTAGCTAATAAACACCCTTTGTTAGCAAAGGAGGAGGACGCAGGCTTCCAGTTTTTCCTCCACTCATTTACATTTGAAAGGGAGTCTATATGCCTTCAAGAATCCTGAAAATAAATCATCTTGTATTTTAATAATTAACTAAAAAGAAACTAAAGGTACAAAAAACTAGCCGTGTGTGGTGGCAGGCGCCTGTAATCCCAGCTATTCGGGAGGCTGAGGCAAGAGAATTGCTTGAACCCGGGAGCCGGAGGTTGCAGTGAGCTGAGATCCTGCCACTGAACTCCAGCCTGTGTGACAGAGCAAGACTCCGCCTCGTAAAAAAAAAAAAAAGAAAGAAAAAAAAGAAACTAGCCCTAAAATTATATAAGCAATACATTTTCATTCTTTCTTGAATTCATCTGTAGCCATGTTTTGTATTCAAAGGTGACACTAGCTTCTGTCACTCTCTCAGACCTTGGGTTGGGGGTTAGGCCACATTTCCATCTGAGCGACTTCGCATCTGCTTTCTTCATCTGATCCTTTAATTAAATATTAGATGCACCCACTTGTTTTGATGTCAAAATTGCACCTTTCACCATCATCCTCAGGGTGCATTCAGATAGTTTTTAAGTCCATAAATCACCAGAGTATTTTTTTAAACATTAAACATTACATCATAATTACTATTTTGAACGATGGCAGGGGGTGAGGGGATGGGATGGGGGGAACCAGCCTAACCTACTGAATCATTGCCTGCATCCTGCCGGTTAGGGGGGATGGAGTTCTTACACACCAGGCCAACTCTTCACTGCAGCCTGACTCTGGCCTTGGAATCATTAACAGAGTGTGTCAGCTGCTTTCAACAACCCTGAGTCCAGAACAGCAACATGTCAGATGATATCATGGGAGCTCTAGTCACCTAGAACTTTATAAATTAGAATAGAGAAACTTGAATTGCACATATAAAAGGTAAAAGTAAATATCTAGCTTTGGTGGTTAACTACAGAACTCAGCTAAACTAACACTTCAGCTCCACTACCCTTTTTTTCTTTTTTTTCCTTTTTTCTTTTTTTTAGAGACAAGGTCTTACTGTGTTGCCCAGGCTGGTCTCAAACTCCTGGCCTCAAGCAATCCTGCTGCCTCAGCCACCCAAAGTACTGGGACTACAGACTTGAGAGCTCCACCACGCTTAACTGGAGCTTTGGACAAGTTGCTTAACCCTTCGGTGCCTCAAATTTTTAATCCATGTAATGGGAATGATACAGGTACCTGACTATCAGGGTTAAATGAGTTACTAAATGTACAGTGCTTAGTATAGTACCAAGCTATAAATGTTCACTTTTTTTTGTTTTGTTTGTTTTTTGTTTTTATTTTTATTTTTTTGAGATGGAGTATCGCCCTGTTGCCCAGGCTGGAGTGCAGTGGCGTGATTTTTGCTCATTGCAACCTCTACCTCCCAGGTTCAAGCAATTCTCCTGCCTTAGCCTCTCAAGTAGCTAGGACTACAGGAGCGTGCCACCATGCCCGGCTAATTTTTTTGTATTTTTAATAGAGATGGGGTTTCACCATGCTGGCCAGGCTGGTCTCGAGCTCCTGACCTCGTGATCCACCTGCCTCGGCCTCTCAAAGTGCTGGGATTACAGGCGTGAGCCATGGCGCCGGGCCCCATGTTCACTGCTTTTTTTTTTTTTTTTTTTTTGAGACGGAGTCTTGCTCTGTCGCCCAGGCTGGAGTGCAGTGGCGCGATGTATGCTCACTGCAAGCTCCACCTTCCGGGTTCACGCCATTCTCCTGCCTCAGCCTCCCGAGTAGCTGGGACTACAGGCGCCCGCCACCATGGCCGGCTAATTTTTTTTGTATTTTTTAGTAGAGACAGGGTCTCACCATCTTAGCCAGGATGGTCTCAATCTTCTGACCTTGTGATCCGCCCGCCTCGGCCTCCCAGAGTGCTGGGATTACAGGGATGAGCCACCGCACCCAGCCGTTCACTGTTTTTTAATCATTGGTATTCACCGGGTGCAGTGGCTCACACCTATAATCCCAGCTCTTATGGAGGCAGAGGCGGGAGGATAGCTTGAGCCCAGGAGTTCGAGACCTGCCTGGGCAATATAGCGAGACCTCATTCTCCACAGAAAGAGGGGGGAAAAAAAGACCAAAAAAAAAAGTGTAATAATTGGTATTCAGCAGAGTGGTTTGCAAACTGCCTGCCGACACTTAAGTTTGTCATTGTCTAATCACTACTCTCCCCTGGACCTCAACATCTCACACAACAAACCACATCCTCCTTCCCCTCCATAATAGAAAGTTGTAGTCTTGCCTCTTGTCATTCCCAGCTCAAGACCCCAAAGTGGCTGCCTGCTGCCAACCATTTTAAAGCTAAACTGTCATTCCGGATTTTTGAAAATGAAATTTGTGTCTTTCATAATAAGGGTTAAAAACAATGAAAGTTGTTTTTAAAATATAGGCTGGGCGTAGTGGCTTATGCCTGTGATTCCAGCACTTTGAGAGACCGAGGAGGGCAGATTGCTTGGGCCCAGGAGTTTGAGACCAGCCTGGGCAACATGGCGAAAACCCATCTCTACAAAAAATACAAAAAATTATCCAGGGCTAGGCGTGGTGCCTCACCGAGGCAGGCAGATCACCTGAGGTCAGGAGTTCGAGACCAGCCTGGCCAACATGGTGAAACCCTATCTCTACTAAAAATACAAAAATTAGCCAGGCATGGTGGCGCACGCCTGTAATCCCAGATACTTGGGAGGCTGAGGTAGGAGAATCGCTTGAACCCGGGAGGTTGAGGTTGCAGTGAGCCGAGATCCTGCCACTGCACCCCAACCTGAATTACAGGGCGAGATCTTGTCTCAAATAAATAAAGCAGAAAAATCAAAAGCTATATAAATCAATACATGCTGTTAAGCCTGACCAGCTTCTTACTCCAAATGCTGCCTGATTTTGTAGCTGAAAATTTTTACGCCATTTATTCATCCTTGTTTGGCCTAGTCCTCTCCTTCACTCATTCTTTGAATTCACCTGCTGTAGAATTCAAGGGCTCCCTCTTACCTAGAAAAGTTAACTCAACTGCTTAACCTGACAGCCGAAGACCTCTCTAGTCTCTCATAACTCCCTGTCCAGTATTACTTCCTTTTTTTGTGTTTTTAAATTTTATTTTATTTTATTTTATTTTATTTTATTTTATTTTATTTTGAGACAGAGTCTTGCTCTGTCACCAGGCTGGAGTACAGTGGCACGATCTCGGCTTGCTACAACCTTCACCTCCCAGGTTCAAGTGATTCTCCTGCCTCAACCTCCCGAGTAGCTGAGATTACAGGCATGCACCACCACATCAGCTAATTTTTGTATTTTTAGTAGAGACGAGGTTTCACCATGTTGGCCAGGCAGGTCTCGAATTCCTGATCTCAGGTGATTCAACCACCTCGGCCTCCCAAAGTGCTGAGATTACAGGCATGAGCCACCATGCCCGACCCAGTATTATTTCCATCACTCTTCCACACGAGGCCCACCCGCAACCATCATATACCCAGACTCAACTGCTTAGGACCCATTATGGCTCCCATTTTTATTTTGCATTATTATTATTATTATTATTATTATTATTATTAGATAACAGGGTCTCACTGTGTTGTCCAGGCTGGAGTGCACTGGTGCCATCATAACTCCCAATATAGCTTCTGCCTGGCGGTTCCAACTCAGCCTTTTCCCTCCTCCCAGAACATGACTACTTTGATTAATAAAGCATGGCAGAAGTAATGCTATGCCAGGTCCAGGCCTAAACTTTAAGAGAATTGGCAGCTTCCACCTTGGTCTCTCATAGCCTGAGCCACGACGTAAGAAGTCTGACCTTCCTGGCCGGGCACGGTGGCTCACGCCTGTAATCCCAGCACTTTGGAAGGCCGAGGCGGGTGGATCACGAGGTCAGGAGATCGAGACCATCCTGGCTAACACAGTGAAACTCCGTCTCTACTAAAAATACAAAAAATTAGCCGGGCGAGGTAGCGGGTGCCTGTAGTCCCAGCTACTCGGGAGGCTGAGGCAGGAGAATGGTGTGAACCCCGGGGGGCGGAGCCTGCAGTGAGCCATGATCGTGCCACTGCACTCCAGTCTGGGCGACAGCAAGACTCTGTCTCAAAAAAAAAAAGAAAAGAAAAAAAAAAAAAAAGAAGTCTGACCTTCCTTCCAGAGAGACCACATGAAGAGGCTCAGAATCTCCATGAAGGACAGGGACTCACTGGAGCCCAGCCTCCCAACTGTCCCTGCCAAGGTGGTAGTGTAAGAGTGAAGCCATCTTGAAACCTCCATCCTTGAACATCCCACCCAGCCGAGCCTGTCTGAATTCCTGATCCACAAAATTATGAAATATAATGGTATGACTGTTGCTTTAAGCCACTATATTTTGTGGTCATTTGCTGCAGCATAGCAATAAATAATTGGGACATCCATTACTCTCAGCTCTTCTTTTTTTTTTAGACAGAGTCTTGCTGTGTCGCCCAGGCTGGCGTGCAATGGTGCAGTCTAGGTTTACTGCAACTTCCGCCTCTCAGGTTCAAGTGATTCTCCTGCCTCAGCCTCCCAGGTAGCTGGGATTACAGGCACACACCACCACACCCGGTTAATTTTTTTTTTTTTTTTTTTGTAGACAAGTGGTTTCACCACGTTGGCCAGGCTGGTCTCAAACCTCTGACCCCCTGATCCACCCTCCTCAGCCTCCCAAAGTGCTGAGATTACAGGCTTGAGTGACCGCGTGCGGCCACTCCCAGCTCTTTTTTTAAAGCAGCTTCATTGGCCAGGCACAGTAGCTCACACCTGTAATCCCAGCACTTTGGGAGGCCAAAGAAGGAGGATTGCATGTGCCCAGGAGTTTGACACCAGCCTGAGCAACACAGCAAGACCCTCATCTCTACAAAAATTTTAAATTAAAGAAAAAAATTTTTTTTTTTTTTTGATACAGAGTCTCACTCTGTCACCTAGGCTGGAGTGCAGTGGCACGATCTTGGCTCACTGCAAGCTCCGTCTCCCGGGTTCACACCATTCTCCTGCCTCAGCCTCCCGAGTAGCTGGGACTACAGGCGCCTGCCACCATGCCCGGCAAATTTTTTGTATTTTCAGTAGAGACTGGGTTTCACTGTGTTAGCCAGCTTGTCTCGAACTCCTGACCTCAGGTGATCCACCTGCCTCGGCCTCCCGAAGTGCTGGGATTACAGGTGTGAGCCACCGCGCCCAGCCAGAAAAAAATTTTAAGGCCGGGCACAGTGGCTCACGCCTGTAATCCCAGCATTTTGGGAGGCTGAGGCAGGTGGATCATGAGGTCAGGAGATTGAGACCATCCTGGCCAACATGGTCTCTACTAAAAATAAAAAAATTAGCCAATCATGGTGGCGTGCACCTGCAGTCCTAGCTACTCAGGAGGCTGAGGCAGGAGAATCGCTTGAACCCGGGAGGTGGAGGCTGCAGTGAGCCGAGATAGTGCCACTGCACTCCAGCCTGGGCAACGGAGTGAGACTCTGCCTCAAAAAAAAATTGAGGGGAGACTTTTTTTTTCTTTTTTCTTTTTTTATTTTGAGACGTAGTCTCGCTCTATTTCCCAGGCTGGTGCCATCTTGGCTCACTGCAGCCTCCACTTCCTGGGCTCAAGCGATTCTCCTGCCTCAGCCTCCTGAGTAGCTGGGATTGCAGGTGCTCACCACCATGCCCGGCTAATTTTTTGTATTTTTAGTAGAGACAGGGTTTCACCACGTTGGCCAGGCTGGTTTCAAACTCCTGACCTCAGGTGATCCACCCGCCTTGGCCTCTCAAAGTGCTGGGATTACAGGCGTGAGACACCACGCCTGACCTTTTTTTCTTTTTTTGAGACAGAGTCTTGCTCCGTCATCTGGGCTGGAGTGCAGTGACGTGATCTCAGCTCACTGCAACTTCTGCCTCCCAGGCTTAAGAGATTCTCATGCCTCAGCCTCCCAAGTAGCTGGGATTATAGGCATGCACCACCACGCCCGAGTAATTTTTGTATTTTTAATAGAGATGGATTTTGCCATGTTGGCCACGCTGGTCTTGAACTCCTGGCCTGATTCATCCACCTTGGCCTCCCAAAGTGCTGAGATACAGGCATGAGCCACCGCACCCGACTATTTTTAAATTAAAAGTGTTTTCAAGGGTTACTGAGGTGTAATTGATAAATAAAGTGTATATGAGTGCACAATGTCTTAAGCCTGTAATCTCAGCACTTTGGGAGGCCAAGGCAGGAGGATCTCTTGAGGCCAGGAGTTTGAGACCAGCCTGGGCAACATGGCACTACTCCGTCCCTACAAAAAAACGAAAATATTAAGTGTGGTGGCACATGCCTATAGTATATTACTAGCCACTCATGTGGCTGAGGCGGGAGGATCACTTGAGCCTGGGAGGTCGAGGCTGCAGTGAGCTGTGATTGTGCCACTGCACTCCAGCCTGGGCAACAGAACAAGACACTGTCTCAAAGAAAAAACAAAAACAAGCCAGGCACAGTGGCTCATGCCTGTAATGCCAGGCCTAGGCAGATCACCTGAGGTCAGGAGTTCGAGACCATCCTGGCCAACATGGTGAAACCCCATCTCTACTAAAAATACAAAAATTAACCAGGCATTGTGGTGCATGCCTATAGTCCCTGTTACTCTGGGGGCTAAGGTGGGAGAATTGCTTGAACCTGGGAGGTGGAGGTTGCAGTGAGCCAAGATAGCGCCACTGCACTCCAGCCTGGGTGATAAAGCGAGACTCCATCTCAAAAAAAAAGTCATATTGTGAATAATACAGACAATTTTTTTCTTCTTCTTAGAGATAGGGTCTCCCAGGGTGGGCATGTTGGTGGCTTGTGTTTGTAATCCCAGCACTTTGGGAGGCTGAGACAGGCAGATCACCTGGGGTCAGGAGTTGAAGACCAGCCTGGCCAATGTGGCAAAACCCCATCTCTACTAAAAATACAAAAATTAGCCAAGTATGGTGGCACAAGCCTATGGTCCCAGCTACTCAGGAGGCTGAGACAGGAGAATCACTTGAACCCGGGACATGGAGGTTGCAGTGAGCCAAGTGCCCACTGCACTCCAGCCTGGGCGACAGAGGGAGACTCTGTCAAAAAAAAAAAAAAAAAAAGAAAGAAAGAAAGAGATAAGGTGTCCCTCTGTTGCCCAACCTGGAGTACAGTGGCACAATCATAGCTCACTGCAGCCTCTACCTCCCTGGAGTAGCTGGGACTACAGGTGTACACCACCATGCCTGACTAACAACACAACATTTTGATATACCTATACGTTGTAAGATAATTACCACATCTGTTGGTCACGGTGGCTCATGTCTGTAATCCCAGCACTTTGGGAGGCTGAGGCGGGTGGATTGCTTCAGCCTGGGAGTTTAAGACCAGCCTTGGCAACATGGCAAAATCCTGTTTCTACAAAAAATACAAAAATTAGCCGAGCTTTGGGAGGCCAATGCGGGCGGATCACGAGGTCAGGAGATTGAGACCATCCTGGCTAACACGATGAAACCCCGTCTCTACTAAAAATACAAAAAATTAGCCAGACGTGGTGGTGGGCGCCTGTAGTCCCAGCTACTCAGGAGGCTGAGGCAGGAGAATGGCGTGAACCTGCACCATTGCACTCCAGCCTGAGCGACAGAGCAAGAATCCATCTCAAAAAAAAAAAAAAAAATTAGCTGGGCATGGTGGCATGCACCTGTAGTCCCAGCTACTTGGGAGGCTGAGGCAGGAGGATTGGTGGAGCCTGGGAGGTTGAGGCTGCAGTGAGCAGGGTTTGCACCACTGCATTTCAATCTGTGTGACAAAGTGAAACCCTGTCTCAAAAAAAGAAAAAAAAGATAATCACCACATCAAGCTAATGAACATATTAATCACTTCACATAGTTAACTTTTTGCTTTTTGTGTGTGTGAGAACATTTAAGATCTACTCTCAGGGCTGGGCATGGTGGCTCACACCTGTAATCCCAGCACTTTGGGAGGCTGAGACGGGTGGATCACGAGGTCAGGAGATCGAGACTATTCTGGCTAACATGGTGAAACCGCATCTCTACTAAAAATAGAAAAAATTAGCTGGGCGTGGTGGCGGGCGCCTGTAGTCCCAGCTACTTGGGAGGCTGAGGCAGAAGAATGGCGAGAACCCCGGAGGTGGAGCTTGCAGTGAGCCGAGATCACACCACTGCACTCCAGCCTGGGCGACAGAGTGAGACTCCGTCACAAAAAAAAAACAGATTTACTCTCGGCCGGGCGCAGTGGCTCATGCCTGTAATCCCAACAGTTTTGGAGGCCAAGGTGGGCAGATCACGAGGTCAAGAGATCGAAACTATCCTGGCCAAGATGGTGAAACCCCGTCTCTACTAAAAATACAAAAAATTAGCTGGGTGTGGTGGCGCATGCCTGTAGTCGCAGCTACTTAGGAGGCTGAGGCAGGAGGATCGCTTGAACCACGGGAGGTGGGGGTTGCAGTGAGCCAAGATTGTGCCACTGCACTCCAGCCTGGCGACAGAGCGAGACTCAGTCCATCCCCCACCCCCCCAAAAAAAAACTACTATCTTAGCAAATTTCAACTATACAATACAGTATTATTAACTATAATTGCCATATGTTAGATCTCCAGAACTTACTCATCTTGTATGAGTAAAACAGCTCTATAATAACTGACCAGTCTCCTCATTTCCTCCACCCACCAGTCCCTAGCCGCTATCATTCTACACTCTGCTTCTATGAGTTCAGCTTTTTAAGATTCCACATATAAGTGATATCTTTATCATGCAATATTTGTCTTTTTATTTTCACCTAACATAATGGCTTATTTCACTTATTATGGTTTATTGCACTTAGCATAATGTCCTCCAACTTCATCCGTGTTGTTCCAAATGACCACATTTCCTTCCTTTTTGAGGCTCTATGGTATTCCATTCTCTGGATACACCACATTTTTAATATTCATTTATCCTTCCACAAACACTTAGGTTGATTTCATATCTTGGCTATTGTGAATAATGCTGCAATGAACATGGAAGTGCAGATACCGCTTCAACATACTGATTTCATTTTCTATGGATATATACCCAGAAGTGGGATTACTGGATCATATGGTAGTTCTTTTGTTTTTTTGAGATGGGTCTCACTCTGTCACCCAGGCTGGTGTGGTGGCTGAAACATAGCTCACTGCATGCAGCCTTGAACTCCCAGGCTCAAGCAATCCTTCTACTTCAGCCTCCCGAGGAGCTAGGACTACAGGTGCGGCCACCAGGCCTTGCTAATTTTTTATTTTTTGTAGAGATAGGGTCTCACTATGATTCCCAGGCTGGTCTCAAACTCCTGGACTCAAGCAATCCTTCTGCCTTGGCCTCCCAAAATGCTGGGATTACAGCTATGAGCCACCATGCCCAGCTTGTGGTTCTATTTTTAATTTTTCAAGGAACCACCATAACTGTTTTCCATAACAGCTCTACCAACTCATAATCCCTCCAACAGTGTACAAGCGTTCCCATTTCTCCACATGTTGTTATCTTTTGTCTCTTTGATCATAGCCATTTTAACAAGTGTGAGTGATATCTTACTGTGCTTTTGATTTGCATTTCCCTGATGAGTGGTGATGTATTTTTCTTTTTTTTTTTTAAGATGGAGTCTTGCTCTCTCGCCAGGCTGGACTGCAGTGGCATAGTCTCGGCTAACTGCAAACTCCGCCTCTCGGGTTCAAGCAATTCTCCTGCCTCAGCCTCCAGAGTAGCTGGGACTACAGGCATGTGCCACCACGCCCAGCTAATTTTTGTATTTTTAGTAGAGACGGGGTTTCACCATGTTGGCCAGGATGGTCTCTATCTCTTGACTTCATGATCCACCTGCCTTGGCCTCCCAAAGTGCTGGGACTACAGGCGTGAGCCACCATGCCCGGCCAATGTTGAATATTTTTTCATACACCTATTGGCCATTTATATATCTTCTTTTGAGGTATATCTGTTTGGGTCCTTTGCCCGTTAAATTTTTTATTTTTATTTTTTTAGAGATGAGGTCTCGCTATGTTGCCTGGGCTAGCCTCAAACTCGTGGGCTCAAGCAATCCTCTCACCTCAGCTTCCTAAGTAGGAGGGACTACAGGTAGACACCACTGCACCTGGCTGTTTGCCTTTTTTTTTTTCTTTCTTGTTTTGAGATGGAGTTTCACTCTTGTTGCCCAGGCTAGAGTGCAATGGTGCAATCTTGGCTCACTGCAACCTCCACCTCCTGGGTTCAAATGATTCTCCTGCCTCAGCCTCCCGAGTAGTTGGGATTACAGGCATGTGCCACCACGTCCAGCTACTTTTGTATGTTTAGTAGAAACAGGGTTTCACCATGTTGGTCAGGCTGGTCTCAAACTCCTGACCTCAGGTGATCCATCCACCTCCGCCTCCGAAAATGCTGAGATTACAGGCGTGAGCCACCATGGCTGGCCTCTTTGCTCATTTTTTGATTGGGTTATTTGTTTTCTTGCTGTCGAACTACTTCAATTCCTTATATATCTTAGATATTAACTCTTATCAGATGTGTGGTTTGCACATATTTTCTCCCATGCTATAGGTTCTCTTCAACTCTGTTGTTGGTTTCCTTTGCTGTGCAGAAGCTTTTTAGTTTGATGCAATCCCATTTGTCTATTTTTGCTTTTGTTGCCTGTGGTTTTGGGGTTATACCCAAAAAAATCATTGTCCAGACCAATGTGAATAAGCTTTTTCCCTGTTTCTTCTTAGTAGTTTTGCAGTTTTTGGTTTTATATTTTAAGTCTTTAATCTACTTTTAGTTGATTTTTGTGTGTGCTGTAAAGGTCCAATCTCATTCTTCTGCCTGTAAACATTCACTTTTCCCAACACAATTTATTGAAGAGACTGTCCTTTTCCCATTGTGTGATCTTGGCACCTTTGTTGCAGATTAATTGAGCATAAATACATGGATCTATATCTGGGCTTTATATTGTGTTCCATTGATCTGTGTATCTGTTGTATGCCAATACCATGCTGTTTTAATTACTACAGTTTTGCAGTGTATTTTGAAAGCAGGTAGTGTGATGCTTCCAGGTTTGTTCTTGTTGCTCAAGATTGTGGCCAGGAGCAGTGGCTCACACCTGTAATCCCAGGTTTGGGAGGCTGAGGCAGGCAGATCACTTGAGGTCAGGAGTTTGAGAACAGCCTGGCCAACATGGTAAAACCCCATCTCTACTAAAAATACAAAAATTAGCTGGGCATGGTGGTGCACATCTGTAATCCCAGCTACTTGGGAGGCTGAGGCAGGGGAATCACTTGAACGCAGGAGGCAGAGGTGGCAGTGAGCCAAAATTGCACCACTGCACTCCAGCCTGGGCAACAGAGCAAGACTTCATCTCAAAAATGAAAAAGAAAAAAAAGAGATGAAAATGGAACCTAGTGCTCAAAATTAAATGAGATAGTACTTTTAAAACAAAGCCAGAGGCATCATACTACCCCGCTTCAAACAGTACTACAAGGTTACAGTAACCAAAACAGTGTCGTACTGGTACAAAAACAGACACGTAGACCATTGGAACAGAATAGAAAACCCAGAAATAAAGCTGCACATCTACAACTATCTGATCTTCGACAAAGTTGATAATAACAAGCAATAGGAAAGGACTCCCCATTCAATAAATAGTGCTGGGATAACTGCTTAGCCATATGCATGAGTGAAAATGGATCCCTTCCTTCTCAACTCAAGATGGATTAAAGACTTAAATGTAAAACCCAAAACTATAAACACCCTAGAAGAAAACCTAGGAAATACCATTGTGAACACAGGCCTTAGTAAAGATTTCATGCCAAAGACTCCAAAAGCAATTGCAACAAAAACAAAAGTTGACAAGTGGGACCTAATTAGACCAAAGAGCTTCTGCACACAGAACAAACTATCACACAGTAAACAGATAATCTACAGAATGGAAGAAAATATTTGCAAACTATGCATCTGACAAAGATCTAATATCCAGAACCTATAAGGAACCGAAACAAATCAACAAGCAAAACACAAACAACCCCATTAAAAAATTGACAAAGGACATGAACAGACAGTTCTCAAAAGAAGACATATATATGGCAAACAAGAATTAAAAAATGTTCAACATCACTAATCATTAGAGAAATGCAAATCAAAGCCACAGTGTGATACCATCTCACATCGATCAAAATGGCTACTATTAAAAAGTAAAAAAATAGGGCCAGGCACGGTGGCTCACGCCTGTAATCCCAGCACTTTGAGAGGCCGAGGTGGACGGATCATGAGGTCAGGAAATCGAGACCATCCTGGCTAACACGGTGAAACCCTGTCTCTACTAAAAATACAAGCTGAGTGCCCAGCTACTCAGAAGGCTGAGGCAGGAGAATGCCATGAACCCGGGAAATGGAGCTTGCAGTGAGCTGAGATCACGCCACTGCACTCCAGCCTGGGTGACAGAGGGAGACTCGGTCTCAAAAATAAATAAATAAATAAATAAATAAATAAATAAATAAATAAAATCACAGATGTTAGGCTGTAATGGTGGCTCATGCCTGTAGTCCCAGTACTTTGGGGGGCCGAGGAGGGCAGATCACTTGAGCCCAGGAGTATGGGACTAACATGGGCAACATGGCAAAGCCCCCTCTCTACAAAAAATACAAAAATTGCTGGGCATGGTGGGTCATGCCTGTAATCCCACCACTTTGGGAGGTTGAGGTGGGGGGATCACTTGAGGCCAGGAGTTCAAGACCAGCCTGGGAAACATGGTGAAACTCCATCTCTACAAAAAAACACAAAAAATTAGCTGGGCGTGGTGGCCCACATGTATAGTCTCAGCTAGTAGGGGGCTGAGGTGAGAGGATCACTTGAGCCCGAGAAGTTGAGGCTACAGTGAGACTTGATCATGCCACAGCACTTCAGCCTGGGCAACAAAGCAAGACTCTGTCTGAAAAACAAAAACCAAAAAAACCTGGTTGGGAGTGGTGGCTCATGCCTGTAATCCCAACACTTTGGGAGGCCAAGGTGGGTGGATCACTTTAGGTCAGGAGTTCAAGACCAGCCTGGCCAACATGGTGAAACCCCGTCTCTACTAAAAATACAAAAATTAGCTGAGTGTGGTGGTGCACGCCTGTAATCCCAGCTACTCGGGAGGCTGAGGCAGGAGAATCGCTTGAACCCGGGAGGCGGAGGTTGCAGTGAGCCAAGATCGCGCCATTGCACTCCAGCCTAGGGGACAAGAGCAAGACTTTGTCTCAAAAAACAAAACAAAACAAAACAAAACTAACTCAAAGTCCACTGCTTTTCCAGAATGCTGGGTCAGAAGTTGTTTTTCCTCCTTGCCACCTCCCAACTTTGCTGCACTTAAGCTAGTCCTCTCTTCTGAAATTAGCTGTTGGGGTAGACTGTTGTAATCGTGGCCCCCGATTTGTGCACGCCTCCCTGTATGCTTGCCTTTTGACTGTGACCTCTCACCATGACTCTGGGAAGGGCCACATGATGTGCTTTGGCCAATGGAACAATAGCAAACATGACACAAGCAGAAGAGAAGGAGGAGCTTGCCTTCTTGCTGCTATTCAACCTATGTGATCACCTGGGCTACTTTGCTGGAGGATGAAAGACATGTGGCTCAGTTACCTCCGTCTCCCCACAGACAGCTGGCCAACTAACAACTATGTGAGTGAGACCCTGCAGGAACAGCCATCCACCAGCCTGCTTGCCAACTGCCCAGAGAAGTTATTTGCCTGAGGTTACACAGTGAGGAAATGAGGCAATAAGTGAATTCATTCAATGAGTATTTATTGAGCACCTACCATATACCAGGCTTTGGGAAAGCAGCAGTGAACAAAACAGTCCCTGCCTTGAAGGTGGAGACAGACAATGCACATGTAAATGAATGTGGAGCAGATTAGCCTTTTGTGATCAACGCTGTAAAGCAAAGCACAGCAAAGCCATGCTGGGTGTGGGGACAGTGATAGAGTTGAGTGTGCTATTTTTGGATGGAGAGGTTAAGGAAGGCCTGTCTGAAGAGATGACATCTGAGTAGAAACCAGAATAAGGTGAAAGATATCTATGTAGATATCTAGGGGAGAAGAGTAACAGAAAGAGGGAACCACAAATTAAAACACCCTGAGGTGTGAATATGATAGATTCCTTTGAGAAACAGCAATGTTGCCAGTGAAAGAATGGAATGAACAGAGGGGTAAACTGGCAGGAAGTAAGGTCAGATATAAAGTCAGGGGTTTGATTATACAGGGCCTTATAAGTCCAAGTTAGAACTTTGGATTTTCTTCTGGGTGATAAGAAGCCAATAGAAGATTAAGATCAAGGCAGTCTATGATATCATTTAAGTGTTTTTGTTTGTTGTGGGTGTTTTTCTCTTTTTGAGACGGAGTCTTGCTCTTATCGCCCAGGCTGGAGTGCAATGGCGTGATCTTGGCTTACCGCAACCTCCGCCTCTTGAGTTCAAGCGATTCTCCTGCCTCAGCCTCCCGAGTAGCTGGGATTACAGGTGCCCGCCACCACGCCCGGCTAATTTTTATATTTTTAGTAGAGACAGGGTTTCACCATGTTGGCCAGGCTGGTCTTAAACTCCTGACCTCAGGTGATCTGCCTGCCTCGGCCTCCCAAAGTGCTGGGATTACAGGCATAAGCCACCACACCTGGCCTGTTTGTGGGTTTTTATTGTTGTTTTTTTGAGACAGGGTCTCACTTTGTCTTCCAGGCTGGAGTGCAGTGGCACAATTCACTGCAGCCTCCACCTCCCAGGTTCAAGCAATCCTCCTGCTTCAGCCCCGCCAAGTAGCTGAGACTACAGGCATGAGTCACCATGCCCAGCTAATTTTTGTATTTTTAGTAGAGACAGGGTTTCACCATGTTGCACAGGCTGGTCTTGAACTCCTGATCTCAAGTGATCCATCTGCCTCGGTTTCCCAAAGTGGTAGGATTACAGGCATGAGCTACCATGTCCAGCCATGATTTATGTTTTATAAGGATCACTCTGGCTACTGTGTAGAGAATAGATGGTGAGGGTGCCTAGGAGGGATGGAGTGGAATCACTGAGGCAGATGGATGGTAATTATAGCTTGGACCAGGGTGTTAGCAGTAGAGGTTGTGAGGGGTGCTCAAATTCAAGATAACGTATTTTGTGGACTCAAAGACTCCACTAATTTTAAGATACGCTGTGGCAGTTCTAAAACATAGCCCCAAATTCTTTGACACTCTTCTTATGGAGAGGTCAGGGGTCTGTGTGCCTTCCCCTAAAATTTGGGTGGGCTTATGACTGCTTCAAGCAGCAGAGTACAGTGGAAGTGACGCGATGTGACTTCGGAGGCAAACTTTCGTCTTGCTCACTGGGCGCTATGATCTGAATGTTTGTGTGTCTCCACAAAATTCATATGTTGAAATCCTAACCCCCAAGGTGATGGTATTAGGAGGTAGGAGGTGGGGCCTTTGGGAGGTGATGGGTCATCAGAATGGAGCCCTCATGATGAATGAGTGCCTTTATAAGAGACCCCAGGGAGATCCCTCACCCCTTCTACCCTGTGAGGTTACAATGAAAACATGCCTTCTTTTTTTTTTTTTTTTTTTTTGAGTTGGAGTCTCACTCTGTCGCCCAGGCTGGAGTGCAATGCAATGCGCGCGATCTTGGCTCACTGCAACCTCTGCCTCCCGGGTTCAAGCAATTCTCCTGCCTCAGCCTCCTGAGTAGCTGGGATTACAGGCGCGTGCCGCCACACCCAGCTAATTTTTGGATTTTTTAATAGAGACGGGGTTTCATCATGTTGGTCAGGCTGGTCTCAAACTCCTGACCTCGTGATCCACCCACCTCAGCCTCCCAAAGTGCTGGGATTACATGCGTGGGCCCCCACGCCCAGCGAGAAGATGCCCTCTATGAAGAAACAGGCCCTTACCAGAAACCAAATCTACTGGTACCTTATCTTCAATTTCCTAGCCTTCAGAAAGGTAAACTGTTGTTTACAGGCTACTTAGTCTATGGTACTTTATTATAGCAGTCCAATCAGAATAAGAAGCTGGGACACTGGCCCTCAGAACCATGAGCTGCCATAATAGAGAGGCCATGTGGAGAGTCCACATGGAGAAGTTCCGAGAATATATAACAATATATGATAGACAGATAGCCAGCCAGCCAGTGAGCCCCCAGCTATTCTTGTCATCCCAACCAAGGAGCCAGACATGTCAGTGACTCCTCTCCAGATGACTCTAGCCTCCAGCCCTTAGTCATCCCAGCTATCAGCTAAGACTCCAGGCATTGTGAAGCTGAGACAAATATTTCTTGCTGTGCCTTCTCTCAATTCCAGACCCCCAAAATCGGTGAGCAAGGTAAAATGGTGATTGTTTTATGCAGCTCAGTTCTCAAGTGGTTTGTTAAGCAGCAATAAATAATTGAAGCATATACCATTATTACCACCACACAAGGAAAAACTCCACTAGTTTAATGCTCTGAAAACTTCATCCCAGCTTCAGAAATGTCAAGTGAAAAATGTGCCTCTTCGCTGGGCGCAGTGGCTCACGCCTGTAATCCCAGCACTTTGGGAGGCCGAGGCGGGCGGATCACAAGGTCAGGAGATTGAGACCATCCTGGCTAACATGGTGAAACCCCCGTCTCTACTAAAAATACACAAAATTTGCTGGGCGTGGTGGTGGGTGCCTGTAATCCCGGCTACTTGGGAGGCTGAGGCAGGAGAATGGTGTGAACCCGGGAGGCGGAGCTTGCAGTGAGCTGAGATCGCGCCACTGCACTCCAGCCTGGGCGACAGAGTGAGACTCCATCTCAAAAAAAAAAAAAAAGAAAAAGAAAAATGTGCCTTTTCAGACTGATGAAATACACAATGGTTTTAAAGTAGAGCCCTTGCGGGGCTCTGTGGCTCATGCTTGTAATCCCAGCACTTTGGGAGGCCGAGGCGGGTCGATCATGAGGTCAGGAGATTGAGACAATCCTGGCCAACATGGTGAAACCATGTCTCTACTAAAAATACAAAAATTGGCTGGGCGCCGTGGTTTACGCCTGTAATCCCAGCACTTTGGGAGGCCCGAGGCAGGCAGATCAGGAAGGCTGAGTAGCTTGAACCTGGGAGGCGGAGGTTGTAGTGAGTTGAGATCGCGCTGCTGCACTCCAGCCTGGGCAACAAGAGCAAAACTCGGTCTCAAAAAAATAGAAAAATAAAAAATAACAATACAAAAATTAGCTGGGCATGGTGGTGCATCCCTGTAATTTCAGCTACTGGGGAGGCTGAGGCAGGAGATTCGCTTGTGTCAGGCCTCTGAGCCCAAGCCTGCATGTATTTGTCCAGATGGCCTGAAGCAAGTGAAGAATCACAAAAGAAGTGAAAATGGCCGGTTCTTTCCTTAACTGATGACATTCCACCATTGTGATTTATTCCTGCCCCACCTTAACTGAGGGATTAACCTTGTGAAATTCCTTCTCCTGGCTCAGAACCTCCCCCACTGAGCACCGTGTGACCCCTGCCCCTGCCCGTAAGAGAAAAACCCCCTTTGACTGTAATTTTCCACTACCCACCCAAATCCTATAAAATGGCCCCACCCCTATCTTCCTTGGCTGAGTCTTTCCGGACTCAGCTCGCCTGCACCCAGGTGAAATAAGTAGCCTTGTTGCTCACACAAAGCCTGTTTGGTGGTCTCTTCATATGGACGCGTGTGACATTTGGTGCCGAAGACCTGGGACAGGAGGACTCCTTCGGGAGACCAGTCCCCTGTCCTCACCCTCACTCCGTGAGGAGATCTACCTCGGGTCCTCAGACCAAACCAGCCCAAGGAACATCTCACCAATTTCAAATCGGGTAAGCGGTCTTTTCACTCTCTTCTCCAGCCTCTGTTGCTACCCTTCAGTCTCCCTGTCCTTCCAATTCCAGTTCTTTTTCCTCTGTAGTAGAGACAAGGGAGACACATTTTATCTGTGGACCCAAAACTCCGGCGCCGGTCACGGACTCGGGAAGACAGTTTTCCCTTGGTGTTTAATCACTGCGGGGACCCCTGCCTGATTATTCACCCACACTGTATTGGTGTCTGATTACCACGGGGACGCCTGCCTTGGTCATTCACCCACATTCTCTTGGTGGCAAGTCAATGGTGGGGATGCCTGTGTTGGCTGCTCACCCACATTGCAGCCCAGGGCTGCTCACTAACCCCCCTTCTCTGTGTCTCTACCCTCTCTTTTCTGTGGACTTGCCTCCTTCACTATGGGCAACCTTCCACCCTCCATTCCTCCTTCTTCTCCCTTAGCCTGTGTTCTCAAAAACTTAAAACCTCTTCAACTCTCACCTGACCTAAAACCTAAGCGTCTTATTTTCTTCTGCAACACTGCTTGGCCCCAGTACAAACTCGATAATGGTTCTAAATAGCAAGAAAATGGCACTTTTGATTTCTCCATTTTACAAGCCACTGCACTCCAGCCTGGCAACAGAGCGAGGCGCCATCTCAAAACAACAACAAAAACCAAAAACCAAAAAACAAAATAAAGTGGAGCCCTTAGGATTTGTTGATGGGTTGGATGAAAGACAGAAGTCAAAAGGTGAGAGTGGGGTTGACTCCAGAGTTTTTACCTGAGCACCTGGATGTATGATGGTACCATTTCCTGAGCCAAAGAACACTGGGGGATTGAATAAGTCAGTGCTGATACATGGACAGAAAAGACTGCCCAATTTATGTGCGGGACTGAAAACAGCTCCCATATGGACTGCTTCTGGGTCTGGGTGCCCTCAGATCCATTCCCAGCCCTTCCCCTGCTCTGTCCTAGATCACAGCGAGGCTGATCCTCAGTTATACTCCCTCAGTTCCTATGTCAGTTGGCTTTGGCTGGGTTTAGCCAATAGGAGGTTGGCAGTTGACAAGAGGATGAGAAGGGAAAAGCCAGGGTATTCTCTCCTCCCTCTGCCTTGGTAGCAACTCCCGCCTTCATTAGTGGCTGCATCTCTTCCATGGCTCCAGTTCCAGGCCTGTTGTGGCTTCGGCTTCCAGCAGGTGACCTCAACCCTTGGGTTCAGGTAACATCACTTCCTCCCTTGACCCTCCAGCCTAGGAGTGGCAGCGGCTTCCTGCTCTAGCTGACCTCTTAATTCCCTCACCTGTCCAACAAAATCCCCCCACTAAATTTCTCTGTTACAAATATGTATAGTCATTTCTGTTTTCCTGGGTTGACCCTGACCATGGGACTATAGGCTGAGGCCTCATGTGAAAGCCTGCAGGCTCAGGTGAGAAGCAAACACCTTGCACAACCCCACCTTGTGCAGACTCCCAGGCTCCAGAGTGTTTACCGTCCCCTTAGCCTTGGGATTTGCTCATTCCTGACCTGTGTGCTCATTCCCTCTGTTTGTCTATAATACGTGGTTTTCACGAATCCTTGGCAGTCTCCTTCTTCAAATCCTAGCTCAGAAACTCTAGCCTCCTCTAAGCCTTTCAGCCATGACTCGCCTGTCCAGCCTCCTGCCTGATGCTTTTCAGCACCCACTTTGCTTAATGTGCCTTTGTGACTTGGCTGTTGCATACTGTCTCCTATCTCTGTGCTTTGCAGACTGTCTCCTCTACCAAGGCTCACAACTCCCTTCTCTGACTCCTACTCAGCCTTCAAAACCTGCTTTCAGTGTCACATCTTCTGAGAAGTAAGTTGTTTCCGGCAGGTTCCCTCCCCAGACTGAGGTGCACACTCCCACATTCATGCTACCGTCACAATTCTTGTGGACACTGCAATAATTTTGTGTGTGTTAGTCTCTTGCATAAAACTGCCAGCTCCTTGGAGGCAGGAGCTAAGTCACAAACTCTGGCCTGGGCACCAAAGGTCTTTAGTAACTCTTTGTTGAATGATGGCTCCTGGATACATGGATGACCACAGGTTTTCAATTACTGCAAGTGCCTTAGGTCTTCCGAGTTTGGTTACAAACCTCTTTGGGGTGATTCTTAATTCTTGTGTAGCCTGTTAGCACCTGTCTTGATACATTATGGGGCAAGAGGAAATAAAAAAAGTCACAGATTGTTTCTTTCCTTATCTACCTCCTTTTTGTTTCTTTTTTTCTTTTAAGGTTTCTTTTCATTTATTTATTTGTTTATTATTTATTTATTCATTTATTTTTTTGAGATGGAATCTCACTCTGTCACCCAGGCTGGAGTGCAGTGGCACGATCTCAGCTCACTGCAACCTCCGCCTCCCTGGTTCAAGCGATTCTTCTGCCTCAGCCTCCCGAGTAGCTGGGACTACAGGCACCTGCCACAATGCCCAGCTAATTTTGTGTATTTTTAATAGAGATGGGGTTTCACCGTCTTAGCCAGGATAGTCTCGATCTCCTGACCTTGTGATCTGCCCACCTCGCCCTCCCAATGTGTTGGGATTACAGGCGGCGAGCCACTCCCCCAGCCTGTTTGTTTATTTATTTAATAGAGATGAGGTCTCACTATATTGACCAGGCTGGTCTTGAACTCCTGGCCTCAAATGATCCTCCTGCCTCAGCCTCCGGAAGTGCTGGGATTACAGGCATGAGCCACCATGACTGGCTCTTTTTTAAAGCTTTTATCTCTTCTTAAATTTATTTAGTTTTACTTATTTTTATATTAGCTTACCTTGTATTTTGAAATAATTTCAAATTTAGAGAAAAATTGTAATAGTACAAAGAACTCCAATATATCCTTAACCTAGAGTCCCCAAATATTAACACTTTGCCCAATTTGCATTATCACTTCTTCTCTCCCATATATTTACATATATATTACTATATCTATATATTATATACATGTATTACATGTACACGGTATGTATATGTTGGGATATGTACATATGTGTCTATTATAAGTGGAGTATATATATCTATACACACGTATACTATTTTTCTTGAACCATCTGGGAGTAAAGTTGTGGATATGATGCCCTTCTATTTCTCGAACTCATGACCTCACGTGATCCGCCCACCTCAGCCTCCCAAAGTGCTGGGATTACAGGCGTGAACCAGAACTCCTGGTGATGCCCCTCTATGTCTAATCACTTCCTTGTGCATTTCCTAAGACCATGGTCATTATCTTACACAACAAAAGTACAGTTCTCAAAGTCAGGAAATTAAATGTTGATATAGTACCATTATCTAATCCATAGACTGGATTCATGTTTCACCAGTTGTCCCAAATCTGTCCTTTCTGGGCAAATTTGTTTCTCCCTTCCCAGGATCCAATCCATGATCACATGCTACATTCAGTTGTCAAGTCTCCTCAGTTTCCTTTTTGTTTGTTTTTTGTTTTGAGACGAAGTCTCACTCTGTCACACAGGCTGGGGTGCAGTGGTGCAATCTTGGCTCACTGCAACCTCTGCCTCCCAGGTTCAAGCAATTCTTGGCCTCAGCCTCCTGAGTAGCTGGGATTACAGGTGCCGGCCACCAGGGCTGGCTAATTTTTTTGTATTTTTAGTAGAGATGGGGTTTCACCATGTTGGCTAGGCTGGTCTTGAACTCCTGACCTCATGATTCACCTGCCTTGGCCTCCCAAAGTGCTGGGATTACAGGCGTGAGCCACTGTGCCCAGCCCAGTTTCCTTTCACCTGTGGCAGTTCTCTGGCCTTCCTTTGTCTTTAAGGACCCTGGCTTTTTTTTTTTTTTAGATGGAGTCTTGCTCTGTCACCCAGGCTGGAGTGCAATGGCACGATCTGGGCTCACTGCAACCTCTACCTCCTGGGTTCTAAGTGTTTCTCCTGCCTCAGCCTTCCGAGTAGCTGGGATTACAGGTGTGTGCCATCACGCCCAGCTAATTTCTGTATTTTTAGTAGAGACGGGGGTTGCCATGTTGGCCAGGCTGGTTTCGAACTTCTGACCTCAGAAGATCAACCCGCCTCGGCCTCCCAAAGTGCTGGGATTACAGGCGTGAGCCACCGCACCCTGCCATAAAGTGTTTAAGCGCCCGGCCAGGACCCTGATATTTTTGAAGCATCTAGGCCAGTTTTGTTTCCTCCCAGGTCTAAAAATGCCCCCCTAAGATTTTAGCTCTCACCACGTTTTTACAAACTCTCTTCTCCTCCAGACTTAGGGGAGGGACTCTTTGCAGGGCCTTGTAAAACCTTAAATAAACTACACGAACAAATTCCACTTTGACCACTATCTTGTTAAAATTCCTTGAAAAAGTTAACTCATTGGGCCCAAAGTACCTTAACAAAAGCCAGGCTGTACTTCTCCTAGTATTCAGTCTTCCTCAAAGGATTTTATGTGCTGTTTAATGATTTTTCACAAATAGTTTTTCTTGCCCTTAAAGTTGGATTAATTGAATTTTAATTCAGCAGGATCACTCTCTAAAGAAAGAAACACTGACCAAGCAGGTCGAGTTAGGGCCGCTAGACCTCATTAAGACCTTTTTCAAGCAGAAGGGATTCTGAGGGGTGAAAAATGCAGCTGTACGGCACCCTAAACTCACCTCTATTTTAGATCAAAAATTTAAAAGCCACTCTTCCTTCCCAGCAAAGGAAAACCTAGTTGGCCTAAGAAAGGAAATCTACCACTTTGGCTTTGTCTGGCTTGAGCTCCTCACTCTCTCCAGTTTGATTCTTGTGCCTTTGACTCAGTGGGCCTAAGAACAGTTCGCTGTGCCCCAAGTCCCCCGTTAGCTTCATTTTCTTCCATTTGTTCCTGACCCTTTCAGAACTTCACTCCCACTTAAAACAAAACACAGAAAAAACTCAGCTATTAAAAGTTTTCATGAACAGCCAAACCTGGTTAGAATTTTCAAAAGAAAAAAAAAGTCTAGGCCTAATCTCTTGAATTTTGGCCTCAATTTCACCATGTTTACCTGTTTCTGCTGAATCCTTTTTTTTTCCAAAGGGAGTTTTGCTCTTGTTGCCCAGGCTGGAGTGCAATGGTGTGATCTCGGCTCACTGCAACCTCTGCCTTCCAGGTTCAAGCAATTCTCCTGCCTCAGTCTCCTGAGTAGCTGGGATTACAGGATGCACCACCACACCCGGCTAATTTTGTATTTTTATTTTTAGTAGAGACGGGGCTTCTCCATGTTGGTCAGGCTGGTCTTGAACTCCCGACCTCAGGTGATCTGCCCGCCTTGGCCTCCCAAAGTGCTTTTTGTTTTTTCGAGATGGAGTTTCACTTTTGTCGCCCAGGCTGGAGTGCAATGGCGGGATGTCAGCTCACTGCAACCTCCGCCTCCTGGATTCAAGTGATTGTCTTGCCTCAGCCTCCCGAGTAGCTGGGATTACAGTTGCCCGCCACCATGCCCAGCTAATTTTTGTATTTTTAGTAGAGATGGGGTTTCTCCATGTTGGCCAGGCTGGTCTCAAACTTCTGACCTCAAGTGATCCACCCGCCTCAGCCTCCCAAAGTGCTGGGATTACAGGCGTGAGCCACCTCGCCCAGCCTTGAATCCTTTTGTTCTATGAATTTTACTGCAGGAATCAGTGAAGCAGGGACCACAGCTTGTCATCTCCTCCAAGAATCCTGTTCTCTATTTTAATGATTAGTCTAGCCTGGATTGTAGTAAAAAATGATAGATGATAGACAGATAGATAGACAGACAGATAAAATCCATACTCAGAGTTCTATAGAGCATCAGACTCTAAGTTGAAGGGGCAATTGTCATAGCAATACTGGGCTCCACAACAGCTGCCCCAATTTTGGGGCCTGTGAGGGGCTTACAGGCCAAATGAGGGGCTGCATGTGACTTCAGGTTTTTGATCACAAAATCCTGTGATTTTCAAAGTTTTTCACACTGTTCTTTTTTTTTTTTTTTTTGAGACAGAGTCTTGCTCTGTCACCAGGCTGGAGTGCAGTGGTGTGATCTTGGCTCACTGCAACCTCCGCCTCCCGGTATCAAGCAATTTTCCTGCCTCAGCTTCCAGAATAGGTGGGACTACAGGCACCTGCCTCCACACCCAGCTAATTTTTGTATTTTTAGTAGAGATGGGGTTTCACCATGTTGGCCAGGATGGTCTCAATCTCTTTTTTTTTTTGAGATGGAGTCTCGCTCTGTCGCCCAGGCTGGAGTGCAGTAGCATGATCTTGGCTCACTGCAAGCTCCGCCTCCTGGGTTCACGCCATTCTTCTGCCTCAGCCTCCCGAGTAGCTGGAACTACAGGTGCCCACCACCACGCCCGGCTAATTTTTTATATTTTCAGTAGAGACGGGGGTTTCACCGTGTTAGCCAGGATGGTCTCAATCTCCAGACCTTGTGATTCGCCCGCCTCGGCCTCCCAAAGTGCTGGGATTACAGGCGTGAGCCACTGCACCCGGCTGGTCTCAATGTCTTGATCTTTTTTTTTTTTTTTTTTTTTTTTTGAGATGGAGTTTTGCTCTTGTTTCCCAGGCTGGAGTGCAGTGGCACAATCTCGGCTCACTGCAACCTCTGCCTCCCGGGCTCAAGTGATTCTCCTGCCTCAGCCTTCCGAGTAGCTGGGATTACAGGCATGCACCACCATACCCAGCTAATTTTGTATTTTTAGTAGAGATGGGGTTTCTCCATGTTGGTCAGGCTGGTTTTGAACTCCTGACCTCAGGTGATCCACCCACCTCGGCCTCCCAAAGTGCTGGGATTACAGGCGTGAGCCACTGTGCCCAGCCAATGTCTTGATCTTGTGATCCGCCCACCTCGGCCTCCCAAAGTGCTGGGATTACAGGCGTGAGCCACCACACTCGGCCACACTGCTCTTATGAAAAGCCAGAAGGAAGAAAAAGCCTATTTTTTCCCCTATTCTGGGAAAGAAGGCCTGGAAACTTCAGGGGATCCAGGGAAAGGATAGGCCAGGGAAGTTCCCCTCTTATCCACTCCTACACCTGTGGCAGCTGCCATCTCTAGTGGACTGGATTTTCATAGGCAAAAAACAGAAAACCTCAGGAACCACTCTGACAACAGCAGAGGCCGTTTACTGTGTAGCCTTAGCTAAGGAAGCTCTTTTCCTTACCACTGCCCTGCAAAGTGAGCATTATTTTCATTTTACAGGTGTTGAGACTGAGGTTCAGAGGCCAAGAAGCTTACACATGCTCACACAGCCAGGGAGTAGCAGAGCTGGGATTTGAATCCAGGAGTGTCTAATCCCAACGTCCAAGACTTTTCCATGAACCCATCCTGCTTCCCTTCCAAGTCTGCAAGGGAGGTCCGGATACAGGAGCTCTACAGGGCATTGATGGTAGCTTCTGCATTTACTTAATTTATGTAACTTTCACTGATCTAGTATAATACTAGGGACTGACTGTTTCTTGAGCTTTACAAATACAACCTCATTTAAGCTTCATTAACAGGTCTATGAGGTCTGTATCATTATCATCCTATTTTACAAATAAGGAAATTGGCTGGATGCAGTGGCTCACGCTTATAATCCCAGCACTTTGGGAGGCTGAGGCAGGCAGATTGCCTGAGTTGAGGAGTTCGAGACCACCCTGGGCAACATGGCAAAACCCATCTCTACTAAAAATACAAAAATTAGCTGGGTGTGGTGGTGCATGCCTGTAATCCCAGCTACTTGGGAGGCTGAGGCATGAGAATTGCTTGAACCCGGGAGGTGGAGGTTGCAGTGGGCCAAGATAGCAAGCACCACTGCACTCCAGCCTGGGAGACAGCAAGACTGTCTCAAAAAAAAGGAAACTGCAGCACAGAGAGGTAAAGTAACTTGCTCTAGGTCACACAGGAAGTAGTAGGGCTGGGAATTGGACCTCAGTAGTTTGGTTCCCAGTATATGTTTCCCACCTTCCTTGAAGTGCTATCCAGGAGGAGGAGGAGGAAGCATACAAGTGGATGCATCACAAAGAAATTAGAAAGCAGCAAAGTGAAAATCCAAAGTCCGTGGAAAAGAACCCACCTTTTGCCTGACTTGAGTGATAGGAGCCTGTGTTGGTGGGACTCAGGACTCACATGCCTGGTGGTGTCATCACTGGGCCTGTGGCTAGTGTTGCTCTTCTCAGGGGGACAGCAGGAATCTTGTCCAAGTAGGCTCCTTGACCCAACCACTTAGTGTGGCACGGGAAGAAGACTTCTTTCTTTTTTTCTTTTCTTTCTTTTTTCTGAGACAGAGTCTCACTCTGTCGCCCAGGATGGAGTGCAATGGTGCGATCTCGGCTAACTGCAACCTCTGCCTCCCAGGTTCAAGTAATTCTCTCACCTCTGCCTCCTGAGTAGCCGGGACTACAGGCACGCACCACCATGCCTGGCTAATTTTTGTATTTTTAGTAGAGATGGGGTTTCACCATGTTGGCAAGGCTGGTCTTGAACTCCTGACCTCAAGTGATCCGCCCACCTCGGCCTCCCAAAGTGCTGGGATTACAGACGTGAGCCACCGCGCCTGGCGGAAGACTTCTTTGTTTACAACCTCTCCCATCTATACTCCTTTCCCGCCGTGCCATTAAACCCTATCTGAGATAGAGGACCTTAAAAACCTGCCCCCACCAGATGATGATGGATTAATCCCCACCTCAGGACTGCTGTCCACCCTGCATTTCACCAGATGTGAGTCAAGCAAGAGCAGCCACACTAACCACTTCTCAACACTGTGCTGCATCTCCTCATCCTAACAGGGCTCCTCTAACCAGTGTTTTGGCCATTGCCTGCATCTGCAGCCATCTCCCAAATCTCCCAGATTCCTCCCTTTCTGGTGTTCAGCGCTAATGAAAGTCACAACGATTAAATGGAAATCGGAGTTTCTCAACCTAGAAAACATGCCATTTTTACAAAGGGAAATTTGGATGTCGTTGTGGTTTCCTTATTGGATTGTTTTGGAAGCAGTGTGGGGATAGGAGTGCTGGGAGCTAAATACACAGAAAAGCAAGAGCAAACTATTTTTTTTTTTTTTTTGAGACGGAGTCTCGCTCTGCCGCCCAGGCTGCAGTGCAGTGGCGCGATCTTGGCTCACTGCAAGCTCTGCCTCCCGGGTTCACGCCATTCTGCCTCAGCCTCCCGAGTAGCTGGGACTACAGGTGCCCACCGCCACGCCCGGCAAGAGTTTGCAAGAGCAAACTTTGAAAGAAACCAGCTGGGCGCAGTGGCTCACACCTGTAATCCCAGCACTTGTGGGAGGCCAAGGTGGGTGGATCACTTGAGTCCAGGAGTTTGAGACCAGCCTGGCCAACCTCGTCTCTACTAAGAATACAAAAATTAGTTGGGTGAGCGGCCGGGCGCGGTGGCTCATGCCTGTAATTCCAGCACTTTGGGAGGCTGAGGCGGGCGGATCATGAGGTCAGGAGATCAAGACCATCCTGGGTAATGTGGTGAAACCTCGTCTCTACTAAAAATACAAAAAAAAAAAAAAAAAAAAAATTGGGCGTGGTGATGCACGCCTGTAATCCCAGCTACTCGGGAGGCTGAGGCAGGAGAATCGCTTGAACTCAGGATGCGGAGGTTGCAGTGAGCCGAGATTGTGCCAATGCCCTCCAGCCTGGGCGACAGAGTGAGACCCTGTCTCAAAAAAAAAAAAAAAAAAAAAGAAAAGAAAAGAAAAGAAAATAAAGAAACCAGTCCTCCTGGCCCTCTCTCCTGGCTAAGTGAGGACACAGGGAGAAGGCAGCCATCTATAAGCCAGGAAGAGAGCCCCATTAGAACCTGACCATGCTGGCACCTTGATCTTGACTTGTGGCCTTCAGAACTAGCGAAGATATACAACAGCAAATCATCAGGAAGGCATTCCATTTGGTATCTAAGAGAAATGAAAATGTTTGTAATTTCCTAGAAGGGGGATTTTGATATTAGTCTTTTTTTGCGGAGTCTT
Source organism: Homo sapiens (assembly GCF_000001405.40). Lineage (NCBI taxonomy): Eukaryota > Metazoa > Chordata > Mammalia > Primates > Hominidae > Homo > Homo sapiens. The sequence continues at coordinate 32,786,445 of NC_000003.12, read as the reverse complement.
GCTCTCGCCCAGGCTGGAATGCAGTGGCGCGATACTGGCTCACCGCAAGCTCCGCCTCCCGGGTTCTCGCCATTCTCCCGCCTCAGCCTCCCGAGTAGCTGGGACTACACGCACCCGCCACCACGCCCGGCTAATTTTTTTGTATTTTTAGTAGAGACGGGGTTTCACTGTGTTAAGCCAGGATGGTCTCAATCTCCTGACCTCGTCATCTGCCCACCTTGGCCTCCCAAAGTGCTGGGATTACAGGCGTGAGCCACCGGGCCCGGCTTTTTTTTTTATGCTGAAAAGATATATATATATATATTTAGAATTAGGCAACTGGACTCAGTTTAGATGATCCCAATTTTGTTGGCAACATCCAAAGCATCGTAATCAGGAGCCAGTCAAACATACACCTTCTTCTCTCCATCAGGCCGAATCAGGGTGTTGACCTTGACCACATCTTTGTCATAGAGCTTCTTCACAGCCTGTTTAATCTGGTGCTTGTTGGCTTTAACATCCACAATGAACACAAGTGTGTTATTGTCTTCTATCTTCTTCATGGCAGACTCAGTGGTCAGCAGAAACTTGATGATAGCATAGTGGTCAAGCTTGTTTCTCCTAGGAGCGCTCTTCCGAGGATATTTGGGCTGTCTCCGGAGTCGCGGTGTCTTGGGCCGCCGTAAGGTGGGTGACGTGCGGATCTTCTTTTTTTTGTGGCTGCGGACACCTTTCAACACTGCCTTCTTGGCCTTTAAAGACTTCGCTTTGGCTTCGGCTTTAGGAGGGACGGGAACTTCCTTCTTCGCTTTCCGCGCTATCTTGTGACAAGGCTTTTTTTTTTTTCTTAAGACAGGGTCTCCCTCTCTTCACCAGGCTGGAGTACAGTGGCACCATCTCGATTCCCTGAAACTTCTGCCTCCTGGGTTCAAGTGATCCTCCCACTTCAGTCTCCTGAGTAGCTGGGAGTACAGGCGAGCGCCACCATGCCTGGCTAATTTTATTTTATTTTTATATTTTTGGTAGAGACAGAGTTTCACCATGTTTCCCAGGCTGGACTTGAACTCTTGAGCTCAAGTGATCTGCCCATCTAAGCCTCCCAAAATGCTGAGATTACAGGCGTGAGCCATTATGCCTGGCCTCAATTTTTTTTTTTTTTTTTTTTTTTGAGAGGGAGTGTCGCTGTGTGTCGCCCAGGCTGGAGTGCAGTTGTGCGATCTGGGCTCACTGCAACCTCTGCCGCCTGGGTTATAGCGATTCTCCTGCCTCAGCCTCCCAAGTAGCTGTGATTATAGGAGCCGGCCACCTCACCCGGCTTTTTGTATTTTTAGTAGAGATGGGGTTTCACCCTGTTGACCGGGCTAGTCTCCAACTCCTGACCTCAGGTGATCCACCTGCCTCAGTCTCCCAAAGTGTTTGCTCACGCCTGTAATCCCAGGACTTTGGGAGGCTGAGGCAGGCTGATCGCCTGAGGTCGGGAGTTCAAGACCAGCCTGGCCAGCATGGTGAAACCACCCCGTCTGTACTAAAAATACAAAAATTAGCCGCGCATTGTGGCGGGTGCCTGTAATCCCAGCTACTTGGGAAGCTGAGGCAGGACACCTGTAATCCCAGCTACTCAGGAAGCTGAGGCAGGAGAATCACTTGAACCTGGGAGGTGGAGGTTGCAGTGAGCCGAGATTGTGCCACTGCACTCGAGCCTGGGCAACAGAACCAGACTCCGTCTCAAAAAAAACAAAACAAAACAAACAAAACAAAAAAAGTTCAGCAGGGGCTGGGGGCAGTGGTGCGCCTGTAATCCCAGCACTTTGGAAGGCTGAGACAGGTGGATCATCTGAGGTCAGGGTTCAAGATCAGCCTGGCCAAGATGGAGAAACCCTGTCTCTACTAAAACTACAAAATTAGCCGGGCATGGTGTCACATGCCTGTAATCCCAGACACTTGGGAGGCTGAGGCAGGAGAATCGCTTGAACCTGGGAGGCAGAGGTTGCAGTGAGCCAAGATCGTGCCATTGCACTCCAGCCTGGGCAACGAAAGCAAGACTCCGTCTCAAAAAAAAAAGAAAAAAAAAAAAAAGTTCAGTAGGCCAGGGGTGGTGGCTGATGCCTGTAATCCCAGCACTCTGGGAGGCTTGAGGCCTTTGGGAGGCTGAGGCGGGTGGATCACCTGAGGTCAGGAGTTCGAGACCAGCCTGGCCAACATGGTGAAACCCGGTCTCTACTAAAAATACAAAATTAAGGCCGGGCACGGTGGCTCATGCCTGTCATCTCAGCATGACTTTGGGAGACTGAGGCAAGTGAATTGCCTGAGCTCAGGAGTTCCACACCAGCCTGGGCAACATGGTGAAACCCAGTCTCTACTAATATACAAAAAATTAGCTGGGCGTGGCAGTGTGTGCCTGCAGTCCCAGCTAGTCGGGAGGCTGAGGCAGGAGAATTGCTTGAGCCCGGGAGGTGGAGGTTGCATTGAGCTGAGATCGCACCACTGTACTTCCAGCCTGGGCGACAGAGCGAGACTCTGTCTCTAAAAAAAAAATGAGGCCAGTCGTGGTGGCTCACGCCTGTAATCCCAGCACTTTGGGAGGCTGAGGCAGGCGGATCACCTGAGGTCAGGAGTTCGAGACCACCCTGGTCAACATAGTGAAACCCCATCTCTACCAAAAATACAAAAATTAGCCAGGTGTGGTGGTGCGCGCCTGTAATCCCAGCTACTCGGGAGACTGAGGCAGGAGAATCGTTTGAACCCCGGAGGTGGAGGTTGCAGTGAGCTGAGATTGCGCCATTGCACTCCAGCTTGGGCAACAAAAATGAAACTCCGTCTCAAAAAAAAAAAAAAAAAATTAGCCTGCCGTGGTGGCACATGCCTGTAGTCCCAGCTACTCAGGAGGCTGAGGCAGGAGAATCACTTGAAGTCAGGAGGCAGAGGTTGCAGAGAGCTGAGATCGTCCACCGCACTCCAGCGTGGGTGACAGAAGGAGACCCGTCTCCAAAAAAAAAAAAAAATTCAGTAAAAAAAGATAGATAGATGCATACATACAGGTTTGTGTGTGTGTGTTTGTGTGTGTGTGTGTGTGTGAGAGAGAGAGAGAGAGAGGAAGCATGCTAGAGTAAATGCTGGCAAAGAATCAGTTGGTGGATTTAGGACATAAAGTTTCATTAAGCGACTTTTCCATCCTTTTTTTTTGAGACAGATTCTTGCTCAGTCGCCCAGGCTGGAGTGCAAATGTGTGATCTCGGCTAACTGCAACCTCTGCCTCTGGGGTTCAAGCAATTCTCCTGTCTCAGACTCCTGAGTGGCTGGGATTACAGGCACCCACCATCATGCCCAGCTACTTTTTGTATTTTTGTAGAGATGAGGTTTCGCCATGTTGGCCAGGCTGGTCTTGAACTCCTGATCTCAGGTGATTCGCCAACCTCGGCCTCCCAAAGTGTTGGGATTACAGGCGTGAGCCACCGGGCCCGGACATCCATCTTTTCTACATACTTAATATTTTTCAAAATTAAAGATTGGGGGAAAATAAGGTGAATATTCAGAAATGCAATTCATTGTGCTTTCTAGAGAACTGATAGCAAATAAATAGGGAATCATCTTCCCCTATCCTCAAAATAATACATAACACACATCATACTGTATGGGGAGCGGATGTCACAACCTTGAAGGCCCTCCCATGGAAACCACAGAACCATCAGGGCCCAGGCCTGAGACTTTCCTGGCCTAACTCAAATTGCAGACAGCTCGCTCCAGCACAAGAGACTCTCCACAGTGTGACGGAACTCTTCCTTGTATTGATATGGAACATGGCCCCTATTATTCAGGCACGGCCCCTATTATCCAGGCACATGAAGCAGCTTCCTATCCCTTTGTATCTGCCCACCTGAAATGACACCTCCTCCATGGAGCCTGGTTTGAATTATTGGGTCTTTGTTGTTTGTCAGTTTGGCTTGGGGCTCTTGAGCCTAGGACTATGTTGTCATCTCCTCTTTTCTGCCCTGTACACTGGGCAAGTTATCTTGCCTAGAGCAGGCAGCTGGAAGGGGTTTAAAAAAATATGATTGAGGCCGGCAGGGCGCAGTGGTTTAGGCCTGTAATCCCAGCACTTTGGGAGGCCGAGGAGGGTGGGTCACCTGAGGTCAGGAGTTCGAGACCAGCCTGGCCAACATGGTGGAAACTCCGTCTCCACTAAAAACACAAAAATTAGCTAGGTGTAGTGGCGCACGACTGTAATCCCAGGTACTCAGGAGGCTGAGGCAGGAGAATCGCTTGAACCCAGGAGGCAGAGGTTGCAGTGAGCCAAGATCGCGCCACTACACTCCAGCCTGGGCGACAAAGCGAGACTCTGTCTCAAAAAACAACAACAACAACAATAACAACAACGAAAAATAAGACAAAAAAGGTATCCGCCCTTTCCCTTCACTCACAAATAAAGTAGTGAAACAAATAATTAAATACTGAGACAGAATAAAATTAAATAATGGGGAAAACAGAATTAATGAAGTAAAATTAATGAAGTAAAACCATAAACCAAATAAAATATTGAAGTGAAATAAGTGAAATAAAATAAAATGAAATAAATAAAAATAAAAGAAATAAAATAAGTCACATGAAACGGAGTTAATGAAGCAAGCTCCGCGGTGGCAGAAGGAGACGTGCGGGTACCTGCCGGCCGGGCTTCGGCGTTTCCGCGGCGCTCTGGGCCCCGGATGTGGGCCACAGCTGAGGGTCAGCTGGAGGGCGGGTGGGGCTCCTCGCCGAAGTGCCCCTGGGCTTGACAGCGTTCCCCGCCCTTCTGGGGCCTGCTGCGCCGACCGTGCCGCCGGTAGGTGGTGCTCTGGGTCCCGAGCCTCGCGCTGCGCCCGCGATTAAGTCCGCCCGGCGCCGCCGCGCCGGCCGCTGGGTCAGTCCGCGCATTTGCGCTCCGGGCGCCTGTGCTCAAGAGAGGGACCCCGGTGGCCCCTCAACTCTGGGTTGTGTCTTCTTCCGTAAAACGTGCATGAAATACCCTTACCCCTTCGGCCCCGCCACCTGCGGTCGCTTGGATGCCACTGAAGACGAACCACGTAATGGGTAGTTTGGAGCCCCTAGTGTCACGCCAAACACAGCGTGTTCGCCACAGGACATAAATGTGACGCTGTAGTGGGGCATGGCTCAGCCAACGCCGTGCCCTTCCTCGCTGGAACAGAGGTTGTTCCAGATACAACTCTCTTTGTCAAGTGTCTCAAGTATGGAGTAAAAAATGTTCACCTGCCCGGCTCCCCAGGGGAAAGGCTATCCATTCAGAAAGTAGCTATTTGTGGCTTTAACCGGGATGAAATAAATGACGGCAGAGGACGTTTGAAGGCGGCCCCGGCCCGAGGACAGAAGTCCCCGGCCAGCCGTGCTGGGGTGGGGGAGGGCCGAGGGTGGGGACGGGGATCTGGGGCCGCTCACATGCAAATGCGCCGGGACAATCCGGCCGGGCGCCTCTGCGCCTCCGGGAGGCCGAGGCAGGAACAAAGCATTAGCATTTTCTACATGTGAAAGGCCTGCATTCCTGGGCGGGGAGGCCCCCGGGGCGCCGCCCCCCTCTTCCCATTCACACTCGGGACCACACAGAGCGCCTCTCGCGCCAAAAGCTCCGAGGTTCGTTTCAGCTTTTCTTTTCATCCGAGCGATGCATACGAAATGTAGATATTTCCCTAAACGCCGGCTTTGACATTTAATGCGATCCTAAGTAGTCTGAAATGTGGACGGGATTAGGAGGAGGCTGGGGGCCCACAGGGACACTTGGCCAAATCCCCCTAAATCCTCCAGGACAATTGTTTGTCACCACACGGATTCCTATTGCCCCAAATGAGGGGGCTAATGAACTTCGCTGCCTCCTCCCGTCGCAGCCCCACTCCCACCCTGGAGCCTGCATTTCTGCCCAGTCCTTTCTAGGAAGAAAGGGAAGATGAATTTTTAAATTGCAAGTTTTCTGCATGGGTTTGGTTACTTTAGTCCAGGCCAAGTTGACTTGGAGGATTGACTTTGACCAGTAACTAACCCACCCGTCCCGGGCTACTATTTAACTCTCACTCCATAAAGGCGCAGAGGTCAAGGATGCTGAGGCCCTGTGAATCTTGGGCTTATGTTAATAGGCCTTCACCACCTTGAAAGAAGTAGGCCCTGGGTGTCGTTGCCAGGCCTAGAAAGGACATGTCACCAAAAATTCTGTTTAGCAGGCTTTATTGTTCACCTAGAACAATCCACACACTGTATAATGCACAGCCTGTCTTCAAAGGTACTTACAATCCAGTAGGGGAAAGAAAATGGTCAACAAAGAACACGTCATGAAAGACATGCGCTTGCAGATTTGCCTAGTTACTATGGGGCTGAAACAAAAAAGCTTCTGGGACCAGAGCATGCCCTCAGTAAGCATGTGTGAAATGAAGAGTGGGGGCATAAGAGGAAATCCCTTGGAGGAGGATAGGGCTATGGAGAGGCAGTGTGGGATGCCCAGGATGTTGACACATTAAAACTGGAAGGGAGAAAATTTTAGGCAGCAGAAGAGACTGAAGCAAAGCTCTGAGGGTAGGAAATGGTGACTCCTTTTAGGGGATGGCAGAGAATCCAGTGGTGGAACAAATGGGGCATAAGGGAGGGATTAATAGTAGCTAAACTGGGTGTGGTGGCTCATGCCTGTAATTCCAGCACTTTGGGAGGTGGGAGGATCACTTGAGGCCACGAGTTTGAGACCAGCCTGGGCAACATAGTGAGACATTGTCTCTGCTTTAAAAAAAGAAAAAGGCTAAGTAGGAAGGGCAGAAAGAGACCTTCAGGTATCCCTGAAGCAACCCCTAGGCAGGAGCCAGAGCTGTGCTATAGGAAGTTACAGGCTGTGGTGAGGAAGAAAGGGTGGGAGAAGGAATCTGAGGCAAGGAGACCGGGTACCTCTTGTCATCACAAGATGAGGTCCTGGGCAAGGCAGGAAAGAATAGGATGAGAACACAGGATGCCACTAGGTGTTGAGCAAATCAAAAGTGAAGGAGGACTGGGTGCAGTGGTTTGCACTTGTAGTCCCAGCTACTAGGGAAACTGAGGTGGGAAGATCATTTGAACCCAGGAGTCTGAGGCCAGCCTGGACAACATAGTGAGACTCCGTCTCAGAAAAAAAGTGAAGGAGGTGGTAATTTATCTCAAGGAGTCCCCCTCCATTCCCCACTGTCCAGCCTCAGTGCTGTTATATAATCTTTGCTTTGATATCACTTTTACATGATACAGTGAAAATTATGGTGTTCCCTTTCAAACATTTGGGAGTTCAAGGCACATTCAGCAATGGTACAATGGCCGCACCCTTAAACATCATTCTAATCCTATGAATTAGTATCCCCATTTTACAGATGAAGAAACTCAGGCACAAAGAAGCAAAGCAACTTGTTTCATATCAAAATTGTTCCAGAGAGAGAACCAAGATTTGAAGCCAGTCGGGCTAGAGGGTCCATGATGTCATCAGTCACTTTTCTCCAGGTGGCTTCCAAGAACAGGGAGGAATGAGAGAGACTCAGAGGTAGCACTGAGATGAAGGAAGTACAGAGGGAGACTGGGCTGAGCAGGCCCTTTCGGTAACAAGAGGGATAAGTGAACTCACCTGTATTAAGTGTCCACCAGGCACACTTTGCATGCATCATCTCATTTTAATCCTCACACTAGGCCCTGAAGAAAAGCATTTTACAAACTGGTCAAAAAACCTCAAGAGAGATGAAGTCATTTGCTCAAAGTCACTTAGATTGAGTAAGGGCAGAGCTGTCAGAAAACTAGTCAGAAAGGGACTATGAGAGGTGACACTCTGATATGAAAGAGGAGGCGGAGGGTGCATAGTTTCCACATGCAGGCAGATGGCAGTGCATTGGGCAAGGCCATGCAAGGTTGCTGGCCTGTGTTCCAGTCAAGGGCATGGCTTTAACAGAGCTCTGCAGGAGGCTGTTAAGGGCCGGAGGGCACAAGGGAAGACTACTACAGCTGTTCTGAGGGTTCATGCCATGTGGTTTGGGAGACACTTGCAACAACATCCTCCTGGGTCCATGAAGAAATTCATGAGGTCGATTTTGTCCCGTATTGTAGATGATGCAGCTGAATGAGTGGTAGAGCTTCAATAGACCTAATGGCTCTCAGAATTCAAAACCCCAGCAAAGGCCAGGCACGGTGGCTGATGCCTGTAATCCCAGCACTTTGGGGGGCTGAGGCAGGTGGATAGCTTGAGCTCAGGAGTTTGAGATCAGCCTGGGCAACATAGCGAAAACCCGCTTCTACAAAAAATACAAAACTGGGCATGGTGGCTCTTGCCTGTAGTCCCAGCTACTCGGGAGACTGAGGTGGGAGGACCACTTGAGCCCAGGAGGTCCAGGTTGCACTGAGCCTTGATAGAGCCACTGCAACATTTGCCTGGGCAACAAAGCAAGACCATAGAACAACAACAACAACAAAACCCAAAAACCTAAAAACGTAAACCCCAGCAAATAAGTTGCCATATTTTGAGACTGATGCCTATGGTTCTCATATCTGCTAAATTCCAGAAAACCATATACCATAGAAGAAACTGTATTTACCAGGGAAGATACAAAGGGGGAAGAAACTGGGAACAACCAGGAAAAACTTTAGTAAGTGACATTTAAATCCTTTTTTTTTTTTTTTTTTAGACAAGAGTCTTGCCCTGTCACCCAGGCTGGAGTGTAGTGGCACGATCCTGGCTCACTGGAACCTCCATCTACCAGGTTCAAGTGCTTCTCCTGCCTCAGCCTCCCGAGTAGCTGGGATTACAGGCACCCGCCACCACGCCCAGTTAATTTTTATATTTTAGTAGAGACGGGGATTTCGCCATATTAGCCAGGTTGGTCTCGAACTCCTGACTTCAAATGATCCACCCGCCTTGGCCTCCCAGAGTGCTGGGATGACAGGCGTAAACCACCAAACATGGCCAAAAGCCTTTTTGTATAGATAGGGTTGTTACTAGAAAGGGGTCCCGATCTAGACTCCAAGAGAATTCAGAAAGACTTCAGCGTAAGTCTGTAAAGTGAAAGCAAGTTTATTAAGAAAGTAAAGGAATAAAGAATGGCTACTACACAGGCAGAACAGCCCTGAGAGCTGCTGGTTGCCCATTTTTATGGTTATTTCTTGATGATGTGCTAAACAATGGGTGGATTATTCATGTTTCCCCTTTTTAGACCATATAGAGTAACTTCCCAATGTTGCCATGGCATTTGTAAACTGTTATGGCGCTGGTGGGAGTGTAGCAGTGAGGATGTCACTCTCATCACCATCTTGGTTTTGGTGGGTCTTAGCTGGCTTCTTTACTGCAACCTGTTTTATCAGCAAGGTCTTTATGACCTGTATCTTGTGCTGCCCTATCTCATCCTGTGACTTAGAATGCCTTAAGCCTTAACCACATGGGAATGCAGCCCAGTAGCTTTCAGCCTTATTTTACCCAGCTCCCATTTAAGATGGAGTTGCTCTGGTTCAAACCCCTCTGACAGAGTTACCTCAGTTAGCAGAGGTGGCTTTAACAAAATGGGGCAGGAAAAATAGGTGGGAAGAAGCCTTCCTGGCTATGGGAACCAGTATGAGTCCAGACACAGAGGTGAAGAACTTATATTTAATTTGCTGGGCTCTGCTGACAGTAGGCAGTGGAAGGAAAAGCTGAGCTGCTGGAACATTAATCTGAAAAACACTGAATTGGCCTCCCTTAGGATGTGCAGGGCTATGCCAGCAACTGCAGCAGGCATGGTTATGACATCTTTGCCAGGCTTCCCTGCAGCTTAGGATGGCTCCATGACATGATGTGACAAAAGAGATGTTAAGCTCAAGGCTGCTGAGGTTTCTAAGAAAGTTTTGTTCCAGATAGTCTCCCATCAAGATTAGCTAGTTTTTGCCCTGTTTTTCTTGCCTTCAATGTTGATGTGATACTGGAATATCTTGTGACTATGGAAACAAATGCCCAAATGCTGAGGACAGTGGCATGGAAAAACAGAGCTGAGTCCTGGATGGCATCACGGGACACTAGAACCCAGGCCAGCAGCTGCCTTCATATCCCCTTCTCAAGTGAGAGAAAAATAATCTTTAAGTCACAGACCTATTTTTTGCTACTTGCAGCCAAATATAGTCTTATTTAATATAGGACCTGCCCTACCCTTACTAGGTATTGCCTGCTTTCCCATAAACAAACCAGCATGCAGAGAAAGTTCTAATTTCTTGATTTCTCTAAAGATGTGTTTTTTTGAAGTACAATTATAGGGCTTTTCCCCTTCATACTACCATGACTATGTGAGTTCCTAGCGATTTATGAAGTCTGTGGACTCACTCTCCAGAAAATTCCCAGGCAAAGCAATTCTGCTCATTTGAGTGGGTCTCACAGTACTGCTGTCGGTCTGGAGTATGGGAAAGCAGAGACGGCAGACTTAAACCAACAGCAGTGCAGATTACGGGTCCTATGGTCCTACTTAGAAGGGGCTTCAAGAGGTCCAAGGAAGCTAGGCTATCTCTGCTTTCTGTGTCCACCTGTAAAAATCTACTCTGTGTACAAAACAACTACAATGTGGCACTCGATCAATGGAGCCCCTACATCCATCCATCCATGTTTAAAAAGAGGAGGATATTCTCCCCTTCTTTGAGTCTGTTGGCAATGCCTATCTCAGTCACAAATATTCAGTTCTAGTATATATCATTACCTGAGTTCCGCTTCCTGTCAGCAACAGAATAATTCAGATAGGCTGGGCTCGATGGCTCACGCCTGTAATCCCAGCATGTTGGGAGGCTGAGGCGGGCGGATCACCTGAGGTCCGGAGTTCGAGACCAGCCTGACTAACGTGGAGAAACCCCCATCTCTACTAAAAATACAAAATTAGCCAGACATGGTGGCGCATGCCTGTAATCCCAGCTACTCTGGAGGCTGAGGCAGGAGAATCACTTGAATCTGGGAGGCGGAGGTTGCGATGAGCCGAGATCGTGCCATTGTACTTCAGCCTGGGCAACAAGAGCAAAACTCCGTCTCAAAAAAAAAAAAACGGCCAGGTGCAGTGGCTCACACCTGTAATCCTAGCACTTTGGGAGGCTGAGGCGGGTGGATCACAAGGTCAGGAGTTCCAGACCAGCCTGACCAACATGGTGAAACCCCATCTCCACTAAAAATACAACAATTAGCCAGGCGTGGTGGCGGGCACCTGAAATCCCAGCTACTCAGGAGGGTGAGGCAGGAGAATCACTTGAACTCAGGAGGCAGAGGTTGCAGTGAGCCGAGATTGTGCCACTGCACTCCAGCCTGGGAGACAGAGCAAGACTCCGTCTCAAAGGAAAAAAAAAAAGAATAATTCAGATAAAGTTTCAGATAAATCAGTACTTATCCACACACTTGTCTCTCTAGTTCTGAAACTGAGGTAACATGTAGATTCAGCTAATGTGTCTCCAAACTAGGGAAGTGAAGCATTGTGACGTTAAGGGATATTCCTAAATGGCAAGCTTTGATGAATCTACCAAACACCATCTTAACTAGGGGGACACCCAATTTACTAGAGCAAATCCACATTGTCTTTTGTTTGTTTGAGACAGGGTCTCACTCTGTCACTTAGGCTGGAGTGCAGTGGTGCCATCATAGCTCACTGCAGTCTTGAATTCCTAGGCTCAAACAATCCTCCCACCTCAGCCTCCAGAATAGTTAGGACTACTGGCATGGGCCACCATGTCCAGCTTTTAAAAATGTTTCAGAGACAGAGTCTTGCTATGTTGCTCAGGCTGGTCTTGAACTCCTCAAGTGATCCTCCCGCCTTGGTCTCCCAAAACATTGGGATTACAGATGTGAGCCACTGCACCCACTTGTATTGTTTTTTCCCCCTACTTAATGTTAGTGTATATACATCCTATTGGCAAATTTTGTCAACGTCAATCCCACAACACATAACTGTCTCTTGGGAAGAAGCTATTAAATTCTTGTTTGCATTTGCAAAAGGGTTAGTAATGAACCTTGAACTGCCTGCCAGCAGACTCCAGAACCTAGGAGAGTGAACAAGGCCAGTACACTGAACCCTGTTGTATTTGCACTTTTTAAGCAAATGATTCCTAACAGATCAGTTGTGTCTTCTTTTTTGAGGCAGTCTTGTTCTGTCGCCCAGGCTGGAGTGCAATGGTGCAATCTCGGCTAACCGCAACCTCGACCTCCTAGGTTCAAGCGATTCTCCTGCCTCAGCCTCCTGAGTAGCTGGGACTACAGGTGTGTGCCACCATGCTTGGCTAATTTTTGTATTTTTAGTAGAGACGGGGTTTCACCATGTTGGCCAGGCTGGTCTCAAACTCCTGACCTCAAGTGATCTGCCCACCTCAGCCTCCCAAAGTGCTGGGATTATAGGGATGAGCCACTGTGCCTGGCCCAGTTGTATCTTCTTAACCTACTTTCTCAACACATTTTCTGGTCTTTTCAGTCATAACTAGACATAAAACACGTCAACTCTCTTTCCCTCCCCTTCACCCCCAGGTCAGCTTCTGAACTGGCTATTTCATCTACTGCTGATGTTCTTTGTCAATTTTTGAACGTTAACACAAAACCTCAGATGCTAAAATAATCTAATAGTCAATAAAAGTGTAAAAGACTTCTGATAAAATTATGTTTTAATTGCCTATGGCATATATTACATAATGGCTCAAAATTAATAGTCTGGCTGAAATTAAGAAAAACAGCTGATGATGACTTAGTAAATCCTTAATTTTAAGTAAGCTTTTGGCCAAATGTCAGGGGTAGAATTGACTCAAAATTAACAGCCTTCACCATCTTTTATTCATTCTGCTGTGATACAACTAAAATGGCCAGTAAATTCTCCCCTGGGTCTCAGGTAACAGTTTTCCAAAAGTGAAGTATCACTTTCTCTGCACAGTGGTGAAAGCCGGCATTTGGATGGGCTGGATCGGGTGGACAGGCTGAAACACTGGCTTCTTTCTCACTTCAGAGTGTGTTTTCACTGCAGGGAGCAGCTGATTCCTTTTGATGATCTGTAAGGCCAGCTGAGTATTACCTATAAAAACACTTCCCGTTAAAAAACAAAGCACAGAACAATACTGCCACACACAAAGCAAGACATGAAAATCCTGCTGGGGAGGTAAAAGATGATCTAGAAGAGCTGTCATCTGCAGCCTTGGCTGTATACTGGAATCCCATAAAGCCTCCATCTTATCCCCAGAAATTCTGATTTAAGCGATGTAGGGCATGGCCCAGGCAATGGAATTTTAAAAAGCTTCCCAGTGATTCTAAGGTATAGCCCAGGTAGAGAACTTGTTATAGGTGGGCTGTATAAAAGAAACAATCATCTGGGAGGGTTGGTTCATGCCTGTAACCCTAGTACTTTGGGAGGCCAAGGTGGGCAGATCGCCTGAGCTCAGGAGTTCGAGACCAGCTTGGGTACCATGGTGAAACCCCGTCTCTACAAAAAAATACAAAAATTAGCTGGGCATGGTGGTGCATGCCTGTAGTCCCAGCTACTTGGGGGGCTGAGGCAGGAGGGCTGCTTGAACCTGGGAGGTCAAGGCTGCAGTGAGCCAAGATCACGCCACTACATTCCAGCCTGGGTGACAAAGTGAGACCCTGTCTCAAGACAAACAAAAAACAATGAAACAATCTAGGGCAATGCACTAACCCTAATCACATCTTTAAGGAGGCTAAGGCCCGCTGGGTGCCAGGCACTAAAGACCCCTTCTTCAGCTATTAAAAAAAAGGGAGCCTTGTAAGAGTTCCCAAGGTCAACAAGGAGTTATGCCTTAGAACATTGGGTTTTTTTTGAGACAGAGTCTTGTTCTGTGGCCCAGGCTAGAGTGCAGTGGGGCGATTACGGCTCACTGCAACCTCCATCTCCCAGATTCAAGCAATTCTCCTGCCTCAGCCTCCAGAGTAGCTGGGATTACGGGCATGAGCTACTGTGCCCAGCCTTTTTAAAATTTTTTATTTTTTAAAAAAGAGACAGGGTCTCACTATATTGCCCAGGCTGGAGTGCAGTGACTGTTCACAGGAGCAATACTGCACACTATAGCCTTGAACTCTTGGCCTTAAGCAATCCTCCCGCCTCAGCCTCCAGAGTAGCTAGGACTCCATGCTTGGCTGTGACTTCATTTATGTCCCTTTTTTTTTTTGAGACGGAGTCTCGCTCTGTCGTTCAGACTGGAGTGCAGTGGCACGATCTCGGCTCAGTGCAACCTCCGCCTCCGGATTCAAGCAATTCTCCTGCCTCAGCCTGCTGAGTAGCTGGAACTACAACTGTATGCCAACACGCCCAGCTAATTTTGTGTATTTTTAGTAGAGACAGGGTTTCACCATGTTAGCCAGGATGGTCTCGATCTCCTGACCTCATGATCTGCCCGCCTCGGCCTCCCAAAGTGTTGGGATTACATGCATGAGCCACCGCACCTGGCCTATTTCTGTCCCTTCTAATCTCTCTCATTCATGTCTCTTTTCTACTTCATGCTATCTCATATTTAGAGCCAACAGCCTTTCTTCTAGTGAGATACATCTTGGAGATCGTATATGCCCTAGAGGCATGACCTGAATTTATGTTTGAATAAATAATTCTCAGCAAGAACTGGCTTACTGTAAAACTTGTTAATATGTGTTCAAAATACTATGGTGTATAACTCAAAGCAACTGCATTCTAACTCATGTTCTCAGTCATTTAGCTGCCTAGGAGAAAGGTTAATTAATAGTGATTAATTATAATTAAGTGTCTGAAGTTATGATTCTGTATTTTCTCAGATAAAAGGAGATAAGCTTAACTTGTAAGGAGTATTTGTAGGATACCAAAAACTCCCTAACTATATCTATCAATTTATCTATTTATCTATCTATCTATCTAGATAGATATAGGTATTTATTATTATTATTATTTGAGACAGGGTTTCACTCTGTCGCCCAGATTGGAGTGCAGTGGTGTGTCTCGGCTCACTGCAACCTCCCACCTCCCAGGCTCAAGCGATTCTCCTGCTTCAGCCTCCTAAGTACCTGGATTACAGGCATGCGCCACCACGCCTGGCTAATTTTTGTATTTTCAGTAAAGATGGGGTTTTACCATGTTGGCTAGGCTGGTTTCGAACTCCTGACCTCAAATGATCCACCCGTGTCGGCCTCCCAAAGTGCTGGGATTATAGGCGTGAGCCACTGTGCCCGGCCTATTATTATTTTTTTAGACAAGGTCTTATTCTGGCATGATCTCAGTTCACTGCAGCCTCAACCTCCAGGGCTCAAGTGATCCTCCAATCTCAGCCTTCCCAGTAGCTGGAACTACAGGCGCACACCACCACACCCAGCTAATTTTTGTATTTTTTGTAGAGATGGGGTTTTGCCATGTTGCCCAGGCTGGTCTTGAACTCCTGAACTCTGGTGATCAGCCCACCTCAGCCTCCCAAAGTGCTGGGATTATAGGCATGTGCCACTGCGCCCAGCTCCTAACTATATTTTTATGTAGAAGAATTTGATGGGTCGTCGCTCTGGCTCACGCCTATAATCCCAGCACTTTAAGAGGCCGAGGCAGGCAGATCACCTGAGGTCAGAAGTTCAAGACCAGCTTGGCCAACGTGGTGAACCCGGTCTCTACTAAAAATACAAAAATTAACCAGGCATGTTGGTGGGTGCCTGTAATCCCAGCTACTTGAGAGGCTGAGACAGGAGAATCTCTTGAACCTTGAACCCGGGAGGCGGAGGTTGCAGTGAGCTGAGATAGTGCCACTGCACTCCAGCCTGGGTGACAGAGCGAGACTCCATCTCAAAAAAGAAAAAAAAAAAAGAATTTGATGGGTCACCTATCTTCAAGGAAGGCAAATTTCTGACTCTGAAGAGAAAAAACAGACATTAAAAATCTCAGCCTTGCCGGGTGCGGTGGCTCACGCCTGTAATCCAAGCACTTTGGGAGGCCGAGGTGGGCAGATCATGAGGTCAGGAGATCGAGACCATCGTGGCCAACACGGTGAAACCCTGTCTCTACTAAAAATACACAAAATTAGGTGGGCGTGGTGGCGGGCGCCTGTAGTCCTAGCTACTCAGGAGGCTGAGGCAGGAGAATGGCATGAACCCGGGAGGCGGAACTTGCAGTGAGCCGAGATCGCGCCACTGCACTCCAGCCTGGGCTACAGAGCAAGACTCTGTCTCAAAAAAAAAAAAAAAAAAAAAAAAAATCTCAGCCTTGGCTGAGCATGGTGGCTTATGCTTGTCATCCCAGCTACTAGGGAGGGTAAGATGGGAGGACTGCTTGAGCCCATGAGTTTGAGAGCAGCCTGGGCAACAAAGCGAGACCACATCTCTAAAAAAAATTTAAAAAATTAGTTGGGCTCAGTGGCGTGCACCTGTAGTCCCAGCTACCTGGAAGGCTGAGGTGGGAAGGCTGCTTGAGCCTAGGAGTTTGGAGGCTGCAGTGAGCTCTGATGGTACCACTGCACTCCAGCCTGGGCAACACAGTGAGACCCTGTCTCCCAACCAAAAAATCTCAGGCTCTTTCAAGGGATAAAGTCCTAAACAGAGAGAATTACTCACCATTCTGCAGTTCAAGGTAGACTGCCAGCAAGATGGCCTCAGGGGGCACCTCTTTAGGATGGATCATTGAAGCCGCCTTTGCTCAAAACAGAAAGATGCCCGTGAAAAAACAAAAGCTTAAGATACACACTCCAAGTACATCTGCCAACCAACAAGGTAACAAACTTATTCAAGCTCATTCCCACGTGACTTCCTAGGGACTACCTGTTGTTCTGCTCTGATGAGCCTCAGTTCCTTTTGTCTTAAAACCTAACAATTAAGCTAGACATGTAATACTCTGGGTTTTGAGATGGGTGACTGGACACCCCGATACTACAGTCAACCATCCAATTCTGCTGGTGGCTTTCACAACAGACACATACAGTTGCAATTACATCAAAATCTGCATGCCCATTTGTTTTCCTAAGTAACACTTCAGTATTACAAACTGTAAGTTGTCAATGTCAGGAATAATAATTCAAACTTATAGTAATACAGAAAAAACGTACCACGTAGCATGTTTGAGGTCTCCATTCTTAAGGACTGAAACACACTTCAATTTAGTCCAATAAAATAATTTACTAGTTTAGGCAACATGCTGCCCTTAGATCTGAGTAAGAGCCATAGCATCGGCCAGCAGTTTCTCTCTGATCCAGTCCTGAAGAAGGAAGCCTGGACTGCTCTGGACAGAAGTGCTGAAATTACAGGTTTATTTCCTCAGTCTGGGCCTCTTTGAGCTACAGCCAAAATATTCCTCACCTTATTATCAACTTGTACTTCCCCATCTAGTTTTAGTTGCTCATTGCTTCCAGACAGCTCTGCCTCTTCTCTTAATCTAATCAGATAATAGACTTCTACAAATACTTATTGAACAGAGGTGGGTATGGAGATAAGACAGGGACTTCCCCTGATAACAAACAAGCATGCAAATAACTAACAATAATCCAAACACAGTTACGTAAATGCCAGGGAGAAAGGCAGTGAATGTGCTGTGAATATGGAGAGAAAGGAAGAAGTTTCTTTCAAACAGAGCTTTGGGGTAAGGGAGGCCTGCTTTAGTCCTTGCAGGGTAGATATCTCACAGGTAGAAAATGGGGAGAAATGGTACTGAAGGTAGCAGCTTGAACGTGGGAGATGTTGGGGAAGACCAGAAACGTGTACTAGGTTGGTTTCTGGCAGCATTAGGAGAAATCTCAGACTAGCGGGGCATGTTGCCCAGAGCATGTGCTTCTAAGAAGTTCCTCATGAATGAGGTGGGGAGGCTTTTATTCCTCTCGCCACAACACTGAGGTATAACAACTCTTTTCAGAAAATGAGATTTTATATATCTAAGCCTAGCTTTCTAGGCAAGCTGTATAGGCAAGATCGTCTTTATACCATTTTGTGGATTTTTTTTTTTTGAGACGGAGTTTTGCTCTTGTTGCCCAGGCTGGAGTGCAATTGCACGATCTAGGCTCACTGCAACCTCCGCCTCCTGGGTTCAAGCGATTCTTCTGCCTCAGCCTCCCAAGTAGCTGGGATTACAGGCTCCTGCCACCACGCCCAGCTAATTTCTTGTATTTTTAGTATAGACGGGGTTTCATCATGTTGTCCAGGCTAGTCTTGAACTCCTCACCTCAGATGATCCACCCGCCTTGGCCTCCCAAAGTGCTGGGATTACAGATGTGAGCCACTGTGCCCGGCCCATTTTGTGGATAGTAAAATCTCTGTTTTCCATCCAAGTGGCTAGTAACACATTTTATTTACTGTTTTTTTCAATGACCACAGTCTGAAGCTTTTTTTAAAATACAAGAATTCAAGGCAACATCTTTATGATACTTAATGGCATTTTGCTTACTGGCTGTTCAGAATGGTTAGTGGTGGGCAGGCAACCTTGGAAACATCTACTCGGAGCCCTTTCCAACTCTTCACATCACTGTTCTTCCCTCCCAGGCAGGGTGGGCCTCCCAATTAACAAAGGTCCAGCCATTGGATTAACCTAAAAACCAAGGGACCAAAACAAAACCCCCTTCAGACCCCAAACCAGGCCTGACCCCATCTGTCTCTCCCAGCGTGGCAGCAGCCATGGCCACCTGCTGTACGAGAACCTCAGCTGGACTGTACACACTGTAACTTTAGATCAAAAGCTCTGTTTGCTGCAGTGACTGAGGTCTGGGGGCACTTTGAGAGGGGCTGCTCAACACCCTAGCCTTGTTACTGAGAAGAGTGAAACATTTTAACTCTTACTGGTTTAACTCATACACTCAATGCCTAGATAATATCAAACATGTTACCCTGGACAGCCTGTCACTTAACTTTTCTGATCTGGGATCAGAAATGCTGACCAGATGCCACTAAGTTGACTAAATAGAATTTGTAGTTATTTTTCACATGGTAAAGCATCATCACTTCTAGGCACAACAAGGCTGCTCACATAAGCAGGAACCTATGTGAAAGCCACATAGGCTTTTTTTTTTTTTTTTTTGAGACAGAGTTTCGCTCTTGTTGCCCAGGCTGTAGTGCAATGGCGCGATCTCGGCTCACCACAACCTCCACCTCCTGCGTTCAAGCAATTATCCTGCCTCAGCCTCCCGAGTATCTGGGGTTACAGGCATGTGCTACCACGCCCAGCTACTTTTTGCATTTTTAGTAGAGATAGGATTTCTCCATGTTGGTAAGGCTGGTCTCGAACTCCTGACCTCAGGTGATCTGCCTGCCTCGGCCTCCCAAAGTGTTGGGATTACAGGTGTGAGCCACTGCGCCCGGCTGAAAGCCACCCTATCTCCTGAGAAGAGGTTTAATATCAACTTTAGTTGCTGTGGCAAGCATGTGGGGATGTGGGCCTTCTCATCTGCTGCTGGAGAATGTACCATTTGATACAAACTTTCTATATCAGAAGTCTTAAAATCCTGCATATCCTCTGACCATGCAATTCCCTTTTTAGGAAGGTGTCTCCTAACTGCAAAGGTCTACAAGCAAGGGCAAGATTGTAGTATGTCTGCTTATGTGCAGTCTTATTCCCATGGCTTAGCTCAGAAGTAAGTGCTCAACAGATATCTGCTGGATGAATGTCCTTTTGAGGAACTATTTCTAATTTTGTGAGATTCCTCTGGGGCTGCCAATGGTGGTACCCAGTCCCCTACTACAGGTATGGCTCAATGCCCATGATTGGTCCAGGGATTGGCAGGTGACCTACTAAAGAGATCCAATCAAAATCTTCCTTGAAGCTTCATGATGCACCATTTCAGTGGTAGAATTCAGAGGTTTATTTTAGTTATATATTGCCAGTAGCTTTCTTTAGTGTGTATGGAGTTTCTCTAGTATTGGCTTTCTGAAAGGTGGATTTATAATTCACTTTTTTTTTTTTTTTTTGAGACAGAGTCCCGCTCTGTTGCCCGGGCTGGAGTGCAGTGGCGCGATCTTGGCTCACTGCAAGCTCCACCTCCCGGGTTCATGCCATTCTCCTGCCTCAGCCGCCCGAGTAGCTGGGACTACAGGCACATGCCACCACGCCTGGCTAATTTTTTTGTATTTTTAGTAGAGACAGGGTTTCACCGTGTTAGCCAGGATGGTCTTGATCTCCTGACCTCATGATCCGCCCACCTCGGCCTCCCAAAGTGCTGGGATTACAGGCATGAGCCACCGTGCCTGGCCTATAATTCACATTTTGAAAAAAGATTTACACAATTCAAAATTTAAAAGCACCTGGGCACGGTGGCTCACACCTGTAATCCCAGCACTTTGGGAGGCTGAGGCGGGTGGATCACCTGAGGCCAGGAGTTCGAGACCAGCCTCAACATGGAGAAACCCCGTCTCTATTAAAAATACAAAATTAGCCGGGCGTGGTGGTACATGCCTGTAATCCCAGCTACTTGGGAGGCTGACGCAGGAGAAGTGTTTGAACCCGGGAGGCGGAGGTTGCAGTGAGCCGAGATTGCGCCATTGCACTCCAGTCTGGGCAACAAGAGCGAAACTCCGTCTCAAAAAAAAAAAAAAAAAAATTAAAAGCATAACAGTATACAGTGAAAAGTCTCCCATTCTACTGCTCCAGCCATGTAGTATTCGTCCTGCCACCCCAACAACTAATGTTTGCAGTTTCTTGGTGTGTCCTTTCAGAGATCTTTTATGCATGTATACAGGGTTATACAGAAACTGTTTCACACCTTGCTGTTTTCATTTAGTATGTCTTGGACATCTTTCCATTTTAGTACCTAGAGTTTATAGCTGCATTGTCTTCAACTGTACAGATGCACTATTATTTATATAAGTGATCTTTTAGACAGTTTTCCATCTTTTGGAATTTTAATAATTAAAACTGTCAACTTACTTCTTTTGTCTTTTTTTTTTGGGGGGACAGGGTCTCACTCCAGTTGCCCAGGCTGGAGTGCAGTGGCATGATCTTGGCTGACTACAGCCTCAACCTCCCAGGCTCAGGTAATCCTCCTACCTCTGTCTCCTAAGTATCTGGGACTACAGGAATGCACCACCATGCCTGGCTAATTTTTGGTATTTTTAGTAGAGACAGGGTCTCATTATGTTGCCCAGGCTGGTCTCAAACCCCTGGACTCAAGTGATCTGCCTGTCTCAGCCTCCCAGAGTGTGGGATTACAGATGTGAGCCACTGTGCCCGGCCCCAAGTTGCTTTTTATTCTGCTGATTTGAAATTTAAACATCTTTTTTTTTTTTTGAGACGGAGTCTCGCTCTGTTGCCCAGGCTGGAGTACAGTGGCACAATCTTGGCTCACTGCAACCTCCGCCTCCCGGATTCAAGCGATTCTCCTGCTTCAGCCTCCCGAGTAGCTGGGACTACAGGTGCGTGCCACCAACCTGGCTAATTTTTGTATTTTTAGTAGAGATGGGGTTTCACCATATTGGCCAGGCTGGTCTCAAACTCCTGACCTCATGATCCGCCTGCCTCGGCCTCCCAAAGTGCTGGGAGGCATGAGCCACTGTGCCTGGCAAAAAAAAATTTTTTTTAAAATAAAATCATCAAGAAGAACTTTCCTTTAAGTGTCTAGGTTCATTTACAATGCTGATTAGTTGTTTACCTTGCAAGAATATTTTTATATCTGGGAAAGTGATATTCCAATATTTAACAAACTGATCAGATGCTTCAAACAAAGTAACAAAAAATATAAACCTCAAACTTGTGTTGGCTGCTTTACAAGGTTCAGTTCCTCCCACTCTGGACTCACCTGGTGGAGACACTTTCGGGCTTTGTCATATTCGCTCCTCAGGCAGTAAGCGCTGCCAAGGTTGAACAGCATCACAGTCCTGGCAGAGTTGACGGAACTGGGGTAGCACTGAGGGGCCCGCTTACCAGCTGGGGAAAAAGAGTGTAGACACTGGTGAAGAGGCCGTGCCAACAGCAAGGAAGCAACCCAATCTATCGCCTTGAGGAGCCACTTGGCACAGCAGTATTCCTCAGGCAGAAAAACGAACACAGAAGATTTAGAATCTAAATTTTTGGGATGCAGGCCAGGCTACTTAAGTATCACAAAACTTCTTACTTACAGGATTCCATTGCTTCATTTTCACCTTTGTCTGATCCTACAAAAACACGAAAATAAATCTGAGGGGCAGAACAACAGAGCATATTTTCTTTCTTTTCTCCTCGGGCTCAGAAGGTAGAGGGCATATTTTCTTTTCTTTTCTTTTTTTTTTTTTTGAGATGGAGCCTCGCTCTGTTGCCCAGGCTGGAGTGCAGGGGCATGATCTCGGCTCACTGCAACCTCCGCCTCCTGGATTCAAGCGATTCTCCTGCCTCAGCCTCCTGAGTAGCTGGGATTACAGGCATGTGCCACCATCCCTGGCTAGTTTTTGTATTTTTAGTAGAGACGGGGTTTCACCATGTTGGTCAGGCTGGTTTTTTTTTTGGAGATGGAGTTTTGCTCTTGTTGCCGCCCAGGCTGGAGTGCAATGGCACGACTCACTGCAACCTCCGCCTCTTGAGTTCAAGTGATTCTCTGGCCTCAGCCTCCTGAGTAGCTGGGATTACAGGGGCATACCACCATGCCTGGCTAATTTTGTATTTTTAGTAGAGACAGGGTTTCACCATGTTGGTCAGGCTGGTCTTGAACTCCTGACCTTAGGTGATCCACCCACCACAGCCTCCCAAAGTGCTGGGATTACAGGTGTGAGCCACTGTGGCCAGCTGAGAGCATATTTTCTAAAAACCTAACTTTCTTTATGAAATGGAAATTTAATATAAAGCAATTTATTTACTTTTCATGTAGTGGAGATTCCATTAAAAAATGCCAGAATGCTACCACCCACCACCATCTCAAACCTGAGCACTAGTCTTGAGTAAAATGAATGTCACATAGCTTTAATTATTTAATTTTTTTTTTTTCTTCAGACAGAGTCTTGCTCTGTCACCCAGGCTGGAGTGCAGTGGCGTGATCTTGGCTCACTGCAACCTCCACCTCTCAGGTGCAAGCGATTCTCCTGTCTCAGCCTCCTGAGTAGGTGAGATTACAGGCTTGCACCACCACGCCCTACTAATTTTGTATTTTTGGTAGAGACGGGGTTTCACTATGTTGGCCAGGCTGGTCTTGAACTCCTGACCTCAGGTGATCCACCTGCCTCGGCCTCCCAAAGTGTTGGGATTACAGGTGTGAGCCACCGCACCCGACAATTATTTAGAAATTTAGCAATGACTTAAAACAAACTTTTTTTTCTTTCCTTATTTTTAAAATAGAGACAGGGTCTCACCAGGTTGCCCAGGCTGGTCTTGAACTCTTGGGCTCAAGTGACCCTCCTGCTACAGCCTCCCAAAGTGCTGGGATTACAGGCGTGAGCCACCACGCCTGGACTAAAACTGACTCTTGAATGCAATATTTTTACTCCCCTATGGATTTTAGAATCACTCCAAAGGAAAACAAATAAATAGTATCAGAACCAAAATTAACCATTCTAACAGTACCAGCCTTTCAAAAGTGAGAATTTAGATGATGTGATCATTAACTCTCAGGTCTACTTAGCAAACAACTGCTACAAAGTAAGTACAGACAAAAATGTGGAAAGCCAACCTAAAACTTTCTTCTCATTACCACCATGCCTAAATTTCCACACATCCTGAATTATGACAGGAGGGAAATGGAAACAGTGACCAGTTCTGATCAAAGATGTCCTCATTAACCTTGGTCCTGCTCATTTGAAGAGATCCCTAAGGAGACATCAGTGACATTCTCCGGGTTCAAGTGAGTAATGGCATCAGATATTCTGTCGAGAGAGATGAGGGCTTCTGCAGCATATAAATGTCCCAAAAACCTAAAATGAAAAAACAGATTCCAAACTGAAAAGTACAACGTCACAAAAATACCCAATGTAAAATAATGCTGGGTATATTATGTTATTATACATTGGATATAGGTCTCATATTTCATGTCCTTAAATTGAAATCTAAATTTATTTAGGTAAAACGAATCAACTGCCTGGGTGTAGTGGCTCATGCCTTTAATCTCAACACTTCAAGAAGCCTAGGTGGGTGGACTGCTGAGTCCAGGAGTTTGAGAACAGCGTGGGCAACATGGCAAAACCCTGTCTCTACAAAAAAAATACAAAAATTAGCTGGGCGTGGTGGCATACACCTGTAGTCTCAGCTACTCAGGAGGCTGAGGTGGGAGAATCACTTAAGCATGGGAGACTGAGGCTGCAGTGAGCAGTGATCATGCCACTGCACCTCAGCCTGAATGACAGAGTGAGACGCCATCTCAAAAAAAATAAAAATAAAAATTAAGATCGATCTCCTGATCTCGTGATCCGCCCGTCTTGGCCTCCCAAAGTGTTGGTATTACAGGCGTGAGCCACCATGCCCAGCTTTTTTTTTTTTTTTTAACTGGGGACCTTTTGATCTGCTCAAAATCTTAATGACTTTCTACACAAGAACAACACCACCACAAACTAAACTTTTATAGTTTTAAAACTCTCCAGGTTGAGCATGGTGGCTCATGCCTGTAATCCCAGCACTTTGGGAGGCCAAGATGGCAGATCACCTGAGGTCGGGAGTTCGAGACCAGCCTGACCAACATGGAGAAACCCCATCTCTACTAAAAATACAAAATTAGCCGGGCGTGGTGGTGCATGCCTGTAATCCCAGCTACTTGGGAGGCTGAGGCAGGAGAATCGCTTGAACCCGGGAGATGGAAGCTGTGATGAGCCGAGATCACGCCATTGCACTCCAGCCTGGGCAATAAGAGCAAATACAAAAAGTAGCCAGGTGCGGTGGCTCATGCCTGTGAAACTCCGTTTCAAAAAAAGAAAAAAAAAAAAAAAAGAAATTAGTAGGGCATAGTGGCGTGCACCTGTAATCCCAGCTACGCAGGAGGCTGAGGCAGGAGAATCCCTTGAACTGGGGAGGCAGAGGTTGCAGTGAGCTGAGATCATGCCACTGCACTCCAGCCTGGGCAACAGAGTGAAACTGTCTCAGAAAAAGAAAAAAAATTAGCCGGGTGTGGTGGTGGGCTCCTGTAATCCCAGCTACTCGGGAGGCTGAGGCAGGAGAATCGCCTGAACCCAGACAGTGGAGGTTGCAGTGAGTTGAGATTGTGCTACTGCACTCTAGTGTGGGTGACCCAGACAGACTCAGTCACACACAAACACACAAAGTCCAGTTCTCTCATAATGGCCGTATACACCACAATCTGAACACCAGCATCAGCTGCAATTCCCAACATTGGCATTTTGAGTTGGGCAATGATAAGGACGGAAGGTACTTTAGAGGCAACCCAAATGCCTTGAACTGAAAATTAGGATCTTCCCCATCTCCAGGCCTGAATATTGGACAAGATTTTCTTGCAGAAGAGCAGGAGCTCCCTTATATTTGAATTGTGACAAAGTCTCTTATATAGTTGAATGATTTATTACTTTTTTTTGAGATGGAGTCTCACTCTGTCACCCAGTTTGGAATGCAGTGGTACAATCTTGGCTCACTGCAGCTTCTGCCTCCCAGGCTCAAGCAATTCTCGTGCCTCAGCCTCCCGAGTAGCTGGGATTACAGGAGTGTGCCCCCATGCCCGGCTAATTTTCATATTTTCAGTAGAGATGGGGTTTCACCATATTGGCAGGGCTGGTCTCCAACTCCTGACCTCAAATGATTTGCCCAGGTAGGCCTCCCAAAGTGCTGGGATTACAGGTGTGAGCCACAGCGCCTGGCCTTAATTACTTAAAAAAAAAACAAAAACACTAGGTATGTTTGGGGATCACTAAAAAGCCAAAGAGTAAGTAGTTATATTTTGGCATTTGTAAGTATACACCTATACGATGAATGAAAGAACTGTTCTAATGTTGTGCAGAATACTCGTGGCTTTTGATAAAATTTCCAGGATCAGCACCATACAAAAATTCAAGCTGTATTTTATTTTTATTTTTTGAGAGGGAGTCTTGCTGTGTCACTCCGCCTGGAGTGCAATGGTGCAACCGTGGCTCACCGCAACGTCCGCCCCCCAGGCTCAAGTGATTCTCCTGTTTCAACTTCCCGAGTAGCTGGAATTATGGATGCCTGCCACCATGCCTGGCTAATTTTTGTATTTTTAGTAGAGATGGGGTTTTACCACGTTGGCTGGGCTGGTCTCAGACTCCCGACCTCAAATGATCTGCCTACCTCAGCCTCCCAAAGTGCTGGGATTACAGGCATGAGCCACCACACCTGGCCTGTATTTTACTCAATTTTGGTAAAAGAAAAGATAATGTGCTTTGGAAAATTTTAGAATGACAATGATATTAATGAAGAAGTATTTGCAGTTTGACTAAAACTAGCTGATTCTGGAATGATACAGTAGCTTGGAAAGATTTTTCAAATTCTTGTCTATTTTTTTTTTTTTTGAGACAGAGTCTTGCTCTGTAGCCTAGACTGGAGTGCAGTGGTGCAGAGATCTCACTGCAACCTCTGACTCCTGGGTTCAAGCGATTCTCCTGCCTCAGCCTCCTGAGTAGCTGGGATTACAGGTGCCCGCCACTACGCCCAGCTAATTTTTTGTATTTTTAGTAGAGGCAGGGTTTCACCATGTTGGCCAGGCTGGTCTTGAACTCCTGACCTCGTGATTTGCCTGCCTCGGCCTCCCAAAGTGCTGGGATTACAGGCGTGAGCCACCGTGCCTGGTCCCTCAAAGTAGATTTATCACATTGACCACACTCCTTTTTTTGTAGGTCTTCTCTCTGAGGACTTGACTTATTTGGAGAATTAAAGTGCTGCAGTGAAGCCTAGAAGTGGACACTAGAGTCCGAAGTTTTTGTCTCCTAACGCTCAGTACAGCACAAGTGAAAACATTTTCACTGCCGAGGCATGGGTTAAAAAACGTTCTTTTAAACAGTTGCTTTCCTTACAAATATATATTCCACTGGAGGAGTCAAAAGAAGCAACATAAACCACAAACCAAGGAGAAACCTCAAAACTAAAGAAACCAGGGACACACAGGGCAAGTCACACTTACTTAAGAGATCCTGACAGCTTGGGCTGCTGAAGAAGTTTATCTGCATGATTCAAAGCCATGAGGTTATCACCCAAAGCCAGAGCCACGTAGGCACTGCAAGCAAGTATGGAGCACCTATAACACAAAAGGGAAGGGGCCGAAAATCTCATTTTAAACATTGATAATGGTTATATTTGCTAAATAGGAAGAAATGCCCTTTAGCTGTGACAATCTGGACACCAGGAAAGAGGAGAGGAAGCCACGGTACTAATGGTAAGAATTAGATTGATGTATAAAACAATTCTGAAACACAGTTTGGCTATTTACATAAGTCATCTTTAGCTTTCATCCAATTGACCCACATCCCCAACAAAATAACCAATGGATTACAATACATAGCCTGTATGTATGTATGTATGTATATATGTATAGATAAATACACACACACACACACACACACACTATATATATATAGCCTAATGAGAACTAACTTCCATAGAAGTTTGCTTTTAATAACCTAGGAATAAAGCTATAGAATGAGATCTTATTCTTTCTACATATATTTGTGATATGCTAAGAAATAATTAACTTACTAAAGCATTCATTTACTTTAAATGTTCTTTTCTCAACCAATTAAGTCTACAGTTCTTGCTAAACCATAGTATCAAGAGTAACTAAAAAGTTTTATTCACACAGTTACTATTCTTCTAAAGGAATACTGAAGGAAAAAAAACAGGTTAAACAAACATATGTGAAGACAACGTTTAAGTTACATTGATTTCGCTAAGTTGGATTGGAAATCTAAGTTTCTATAATATTTGGTTTTCTACTTCACAGACAGCTCATTTAAAACAAGTCTGGTTAAAGACTTAATACTAATAGATCACTTGAATGTTAAACAACTGCTCCACAAAGCAATCTTAAAATAAACCCTTGTCAAATAGAAATGAAGTCTGAATGGCTAACCACAAATGACCTCACTCAGATACAGGGTTTTGAGTTATGTTTACAAATTACAATACACATATGTATCATTAAGTGCATTCAGGTTGTAATTTTAGTCTAAGGAAGAATGTAACCAGTATATCACCACAGAGTTTTGAAATGTTCTGAAATCCTCTGACTAGAAATGGCTCTTCCTATAAAAAGCACAGCTGGGCAAATTCAAAAGTATTCTGTTTCCTCTTCACTTGCTAACTTTTGGTTCCTAGAATCTTAGAAAACTACCCTAGAATTTGGTTCCTAGAATCTTAGAAAGGCAGCCCCTCAACTCTTAACAACACAGAAAAGTAGAGTGGTCCTTGAGAAGCATAACGAAATTGAGGTTTATGCCTTATACTACCATGGGAGGGCTGAAAGACTGTCTAGTGTGGTTCCTTGTTTAACTGATGTGGAAACAGAGACTCAAAGTGAGTAAACATAATCTTTAGCTTAGTGTGTGATTAGTTAGGTCTAATATTTGACATTGTAGACTCCCAATCCGCTGTTCTTCCCATCCAATCACATTGCTTCTTTATTAACTCACAAGACCACTTACAAAAAACACAACAGAAAAGATTCTTGTACATTATAATTTTCTAAGTTCTAGGCATACACAACATAGGTATTCTAACTTGTCTTTTTAAACAGGTAGAAAAAGTTTAATCCAAACATAAGTTTATATTTTGTCCCTGAGTATGTAATTTTAAATCTGACCCTTATTACAGAGGATAGTAATTTGAGAGCCAGCAAGTAGTGCCACTTTCAAAGGAATTTTCCTGGCAAGCCTACTATCAATATTTCTGGCTCTTCAACAGCTGGCTTTACCAGCAAGGTTGTCCCATGGCCACAGTCCCTACAATGAACCCTCCCCATGAAGGAAGACTCAGGGACCAGAGGCAGGAGGCTAGTTATCTCTCATCTTCAGAAGAATGTTAGTAGTTAGGTCTGTGTGGCAAGACTGGTGACTTAATTTCTCCTTTTGGCTTATTTGTATTTTTAATTTTAAAATGGCAATGACATTCATTCATTCAAGAAGTATACTGAGTAACTACAACATATCAGATATGTACTACTTATGAACAAAAAAAGACTATTAAAGGTCCGGTCTCCGGAGGCTCAAGAAGACCATTAGTGGCTGGGTGCGGTGGCTCATGCCTGTAATCCCAGCACTTTGGGAGGCTGAGACAGGCTGATCACCTGAGGTTGGGAGTTCGAGACCAGCTTGACCAACATGGAGAAACCCCATCTCTACTAAAAATACAAAATTGGCTGGGTGTGGTGGCGCATGCCTGTAATCCCAGCTACTTGGGAGGCTGAGGCAGGAGAATCGCTTGAACCTGGAAGGTGGAGGTTGCGGTAAGCTGAGATCACGCCATTGCGCTCCAGCCTGGGCAACAAGAGTGAAACTCCGTCACAAAAAAAAAAAAAAAAAAAAAAAAAATTAGTTCAGGGCCTATGTGAATGACAGTTACAAAATTTAGTATCTTTTTTTTTTTTTTTTCTTTTGAGACGGAGTCTTGCTCTGTTGCCTGGGCTGGAGTGCAGTGGTGCAATCTCGGCTGACTGCAACCTCTGCCTCCTCGGTTCAAGCTATTCTCCTGCCTCAGCCTCCCAAGTAGCTGGGATTACAGGTGCCCGCCACCATGCCCAGCTAATTTTTTTGTATTTTTTTATAGAGATGGGGTTTCACTATGTTGGCCAGGCTGGAAACTCCTGACCTTGTGATCTGCCCGCCTCGGCCTCCCAAAGTGCTGGGATTATAGGCGTGAGCCACTGCACCCGGCCCGATATCCATTTTCATATGTGACTCTGCCAAAGGTCAGTGTAAAACATAAGCTTCTTAAAAGCAGAAGCACACATCTGTGGTTTCCTACACAGACTAGAGCAATATCTCACATAGGCAGTAGGTGCTTAATAAGTATTTGTTAAAGAAACACAGCTTTCAACATTTTAAATCTGCTTCTCCAGACCCCCACCTTTCCTGTTGGTAGGTCACTTTGCTAATGAAGCCAACTCTTTTCCAGCTCCCACAAATGGGACTTTTCCTGCATGATCTAGGTCCTAGAGTCTAGGACAAGACCCACTTCAGGCAGGCTTGCTGGGAAATGCCTGCCCTGGCCTCTCCCGACAGTAGGTGGGCTATTACTGCTCCAGCCCACTGTCAAACCCACTTTGGGTCCAGAAATCAGTCATGTAAGATTTGCAGCAGGATTCTGTTTCCCAGGAAGCCCAAACTATAATTACGTAGAATATAAAAATCTGCTTTCTTCAAATTCTAAATCAAAACAGGGTAAAAGACTATAAAAAATAATCATTCAATTAAAAGTTCTCAACTGTGAATATGAAACTTTAGGGCTGACATTCTGATTAAGAGCCATCAGGATTAAGCAAGTTTCATTGCCCGAAACTCAAACCAACATTTATGCTCCCTTCTCTTGGTGCATTACAATCCATCCCAACTCACCTCTCATCACTCTCACACTCATCCTCCTTTTCCTCTTAGAAAACACCGCACTCTGCACAATTCCTGCAGACTGCTAACGCTAGAAGCACACATGGCTCTACTGAGCCCCCAGAGAATCACTTTACTTTTGATAGTTACTACTTAAAATATTGTCCCCACCCCCACTTCCTCGAGTCACTGTCCAATCTGCTTTACCAATCACTCAGTGGATCTGACAGTTCATCAGACTGGAAGAACTATACCTCAAGGGAAGAGACACTAGCTTTTCCCCCCTGTGGAGGATCTGACAAAACCCCACTCTCCCCTTCACATGCTGAAGGAACTAGCTCTAGGTCCCCAGAATGCCCATCCTTGGAAAAGAAGATAAAAAAAGAAGAAAAAAAAAAAAAAGGAAAGGAAAAGAAAGGAGTAAACATTTTCTTCAAGCACCAAGTTACAACAAGCTATGCAAGACTAGGCATTAAAATTTGTCAAGCCATAGATCCTGTGAGTTAAAGAAATCTAAACCAAATATCTGAAATAGTTTAACCCTTATTAAAAAAGGCTAAAATGAGGATAAATCCAGTCAGTCACCATTTGTCAAAGGAAAATAAATTTACAAAGTAGCCTCACAGCAAACATTTGAAAAATTGGCTTAAAAAATCCAATAATGATACAAAAAGTTACACAGGCGTGGTGGCACATGCCTGTGATCCAAGCTACTTGGGAGGCTGAGGCAGGAGAATTGCTTGAACCTGGGAGGCAAAGGTTGCAGTGAGCTGAGATCATGCCATTGCACTCCAGCCTGGGCAACAAGAGCGAAACTCTGTCTCAAAAAAAAAAAAAAAAGAAAAAGAAAAAGAAAAAAGAAAATAAAAATAAAAAATCTAATAATGTAATTTCTTTTCTTTCTTTTTTTTTTGATATGGAGTTTCGCTCTTGTCACCCAGGCTAGAGTGCAATGGCATGATCTCTGCTCACCACAACCTCCACTTCCCGGTTGCAAGTGATTCTCCTGTCTCAGCCTCCCGAGTAGCTGGGACTACAGGCGTGCACCACCACACCCACCTAATTTTGTATTTTTAGTAGAGATGAGGTTTCACCATATTGGCCAGGCTGGTCTCGAACTCCTGACCACAGGTGATCCGCCTGCCTTGGACTCCCAAAGTGCTGGGATTACAGTCGTGAGCCACCATGCCCGGTTAATGTAATTTCTTTCAACAAACTGAATATGGGAAAGTACACACTAAATATCTATTTTTTTTTTTTTTGTAATGGTCCTTGGAGAACAGGGCTACCCCACAGGCAGTATGCCCAGAGTAGCTGAGATTTTTAAATTTCAAAAGAGGCCAGGCACGGTGGCTCATGCCTGTAATCCCAGAACTATGGGAGGCCGAGGCAGGCTGATCACCTGAGATTAGGAGTTTGAGACCAGCCTGACTAACATGGCGAAACCCCGTCTCTACCAAAAATACAAAAATTAGCTGGGCGTGGTAGCGCATGCCCCTGTAGTCCCAGCTACTCAGGAGGTCGAGGCAGAAGAATTGCTTGAACCCGGGAGGCAGAGGTTGCAGTGAGCAGAGATCACACCACTGCACTCCAGCGTGGAAAACAGAGCAAGACTCCGTCTCAAAAAAAAAAAAAAAAAAAGTAAAATAAATATATATATATATATGTATTTTTTTTTTTTTTGAGACGGAGTCTTGCTCTGTCGCCCAGGCTGGAGTGCAGTGGCACGATCTTGGCTCACTGCAAGCTCCGCCTCCCAGGTTCATGCCATTCTCCTGCCTCAGCCTCCCGAGTAGCTGGGACTACAGGTGCCCGCCACCATGCCCAGCTAATTTTTTGTATTTTTAGTAGAGATGGGGTTTCACCATGTTAGCCAGGATGGCCTCGATCTCCTGACCTCATGATCCTCCCACCTCAGCCTCCCAAAGTGCTGGGATTACAGGCGTGAGCCACTGCACCTGGCCAATAAATAAAATTTCTAAAGAAAAAAATATTAATGCCAATTTGTCTACAATAATCCAAAAAATGTTAAACTTGTCAACCTTCAACTTTTTTTTGAGACAGAGTTTTTTGCTCTTGTTGCCCAGGCTGGAGTGCAATGGCATGATCTTGGCTCACTGCAACCTCCGCCTCCTGGGTTCAAGCAATTCTCCTGCCTTGGTGGCCTTCCCAGTAACTGGGATTACAAGCATGCACCTCCATGCCCAGCTAATTTTTATATTTTGTGTGTGTGTGTGTGTGAGAGCAAATTAATTTATTTAGTACTTTTTCCATTCCATATCATCAGGATTGATTTCAACTTTCCTTTTACCTACATCAGACCAGCTGGTACTCAAAACTGTACCATCAGACTCCCATAAAGGATCTGTTCATGGCACATTTCACTTCATCAGAACCATCTGAATAGATCTGCTGAAATAATCTGTTTAAAGCTGCATCTCCCTCCAACTTTTCATTATTTTCTTCTTCTTTGATTTTACCCACTAATTTATCCCAATTTCTTGTATAAGGAGATGATGATGGATGTAGGTGCTTTACACCTGCTATGAATTGTTTTGGTGTAGGCACATCTCCTTGCTCCTCTAGCTTTTCCCATCTCACAGCCTCTGGCTTTTTCAGTTTAATTTCAATCTTGGTTGAAACTACTTTAAATGTGCTCTGTTCTGGTATTATAGGATGAAGTTCCAGTTTCAAATTGTAATCCTCTCCAGAAGGAAGTTTAACCAAAGCAGACAATTCCTTTTCTGAAAATTCCACATTTACATCATTCTTTGAACATTCTTGATCGTAAGTGTAATGACTACTTGCGATTCTGTTTGATACCAGTCATACCTGATTTTTGACTGATGAGTCCACACATCAGATTCTGGGCCATTCTGAGCTTCTTGACATCTTTTAATCCAGACACTGAAATTAGCATCTGCACTATCTAATTTTTGTCCTTCTGTAAAAATTTCTAGGGCAGCAGCATAGTTTTTTTCATAGTATTCACATGTTCCTTTTCTCAACATAGTGGTGGAATTATTTGGATTGAATTCGAGAGACTTCTTTGCATCAGCAACAGCAACACAGTAATTACAAGAATGTGACAATAAGCTCTTTGACACTAATATTATGCATCATTTGGTTTCTGTTCCAAAGCCTTAGTCAGCTCCTCTAATGCCGCCTGGGGGTCCTCGTCGATTAGAGTATCCAAGAAGCTCTGGAAAAACCTCTGGGAAGTTGCAGGTCCTGCTGCAGCTTCCGCCATCCTCGTAGTCACTGCTGCTGCCGCCGGAGCTGCTACTGTCGTAGTTACCACCTCCGCCACTGCCCAAGGGGGAAACTTCTCAATTTTTGTATTTTTAGTAGAGAAGGGGTTTCTCCATGTTGGTCAGGCTGGTCTCCAACTCCCGACCTCAGGTGATCCGCCCACCTCGGCCTCCCAAAGTGCTGGGATTACAGGCATGAGCCACCACACTCAGCCAACTTTCAACTGTTAAAGTTGAAGTTTAGTTGTTCAATTAGTTTTTAATTTTATCTTCTGTAAACATTTTGCTAATAACAGTTCTGTGCAAAAAGAATCTTATTGACAAACATAGTCCAAATCCAACAGAAATAGAAGTACAACACAAAAAGCTAAAGAAGTTTTATCTTTATCAAATCT
Source organism: Homo sapiens (assembly GCF_000001405.40). NCBI lineage: Eukaryota > Metazoa > Chordata > Mammalia > Primates > Hominidae > Homo > Homo sapiens. The sequence continues at coordinate 32,752,513 of NC_000003.12, read as the reverse complement.
GGCATCCCAAAGAACCCAGTCTTATCCTGGGCAGCAAATAAAATATAAAGTCACAGAGACTTAGCATTTTACACATGGACGGGATCTTAAGATCACCTAAACCAATTGCTTTATTTGATAGAAAAGGAAAAGGCAGCCCACAGGGGTTAAATGATTTATCCACATTAGTGGCCCTGTGGGGTTTCCACAGAGTGGCAGACCACTGAAGAATTTTTTTTTTTTTTGAGACGGAGTTTCGCTCTTGTTGCCCAGGCTGGAGTACAATGGCGTGATCTCGGCTCACCACAATCTCTGCCTCCTGGGTTCAAAAGATGCTCCTGCCTCAGCCTTCTTGACTAGCTGGGATTAATGGCATGCACCACCACTCCTGGCTAATTTTGTATTTTTAGTAGAGATGGGGTTTCTCTATGTTGGTCAGGCTGGTCCCGAAATCCCAACCTCAGGTGATCCACCTGCCTCGAACTTCCGAAGTGCTGGGATTACAGTGAGCCATTCCACCTGGCCTGAAGAATTATTTTAACCCTGGTTTGTGATCAATCTGATCACCAGTTCATCTAAATGAGATCCTTGGAGGCAGATGTGAATCATGCCAACGTGAACACAAATTGCTGATAGTGTGAAGGAAATGTCACACAGGTAGGATCCTTCTACGGTAGAGTTCGTTAGATGAACAAGTTTCAGGAGGACCACACTCAGTCGTAAGACTGAAATGGGGCTGGATCTCTAGCAAAAGCAATATAAGATTCAAAAGATTATTAGCCATAATCCTCTTTTAGTTATGTCTTATGGGCTACAATATCACCACTGGGCTAACAAAAGAAGAAATATGGTTTCTTAAGCACACTAAAACTGTCTATAATATTTATGTTATCAACCATTTGTTTGATTCATCTTCTTTTATAGACACTGGACCACAGGAGGTCCCTTTTAACTGAATGGAAAATAATTCACTGACTGTCACATTAGAGTCTGAAAGAACTAATTAAGCTTTATAATTTACACTTGTGGAATAACTGGGCTTAATTAAATTTGCTCCAAACATTTCCTTTTATCCCTTTTGTGGCCTCCCATTTTAGAAATGACCAATTAAATTAAAATTTCATTTTCAGGCCAGGTGCTGTAGCTCACGCTTATAATCTCAGCACATTGGGAGGCTGATGTGGGAGAATTGCTTGAGCTCAGCAGTTTGAGACCAGCCTGGGCGATACAGTGAGACTCTGTCTCTACAAAAAAAAAAAATTAAAAATTAGCAGAGCATGGTGGTGCACATCTGTAGTCCCAGCTACTTGGGACGCAGAGGTGGGAGGGCTGCTTGAACCTGGGAAGTAGAGGCTGCAATGAGCCAAGATTGTGCCACTGCACTCTAGCCTGGGCGACAGAGCAAGACCCTGTCTCAAAAAAAATTTTTTTTTCATTGAAATTTTGTATGCTTTGATTTTAATTTCTTGTACAGACATCTCCCATGTTGGCTCCAACATTATTTCCTACCTTTTTCAGTTCTGTTACACTCTTTATCAGACTCTTGAATAGCCTCCATTAAGTTCAGCTAATATCACAATCTCAGAACGAATAACAAAGATGTTCTATAATAAGCAACATGTAAGAGTCAGTTCATACCCATGACAGTTATTAAACCACTATGCAACAATGAAATATTGTTATATAGCTGGGCCCGGTGGCTCACGCCTGTAATCCCAGCACTCTGGGAGGCTGAGGTAGGCAGATCACGAGGTCAGGAGTTCGAGACCAGCCTGACCAACATGGTGAAACCCAGTCTCTGCTAAAAATACAAAAATTAGCCGGGCCTGGTGGTGCATGCCTATAATCCCAGCTACTCAGGAGGCTGAGACAGGAGAATCGCTTGAACCCAGGAGGCGGAGGTTGGAGGAGCCAAGATTGCGCCAGTGCACTCCAGCCTGGGCAACAGAGTGAGACTCTGTCTCAAAAAAAAAGAAAAAGAAAAAAGAAATATTGTTATATGACTAAATCTATGAAATTACTTCTTTACTCTTTTTTGTTTTTGAGATGGAGTCTTGCTCTGTCGCTCAGGGTGGAGTGCAGTGGTGCGATCTTGGCTCACTGCAACTTCGGCCTCCGGGGTTCAAGCAATTCTGTCTTAGCCTCCTGAGTAGCTGAGACTATAGGCACACAACACCGCACCTGGCTAATTTTTATATTTTTAGTAGAGATGGGGTTTCACCATATTGGTCAGATTGGTCTCGAACTCCTGACCTCAGGTGATCCACCCACCTTGGCCTCCCACAGTGCTGGGATTACAGGCATGAGTCACTGTGCCCAGGCCTTACTTTTTTGACACAGTGTCTAGCTCTTGTCATCCAGGCTGGTGTGATCTCGGCTCACTGCAGCCTCTATCTTCTGGGCCCAAGCGATCCTCCCACCTCAGTCTCCCAAGTAGCTAGGAATACAGGCACGCGCTATCATGACCAGACTAAATTTTTTGTAGAGACAAGGTCTCACTATGTAGGCCAGGCTGATCTTGAACTCCTGGACTCAAGGGATCCTCCCACTTTAGCCTCTCAAAGTGCTGGGATCACAAGCATGAGCCACCACACCCAGTTATTTCCTTTCTTCCTCCTTCCCTCCTTTCCTTCCTTCCTTCATTTTATTTCCATAGGTATGTGGGGGAACAGGTATTTGGTTACACAAGTTCTTTAGTGGTGATGTGTGAAATTTTGGTGCACCCATCACCCGATATTTCTCTACTATTAACAAGATCGTAGTATGCAAAAAAAAATGAAGTTGAGCCTTATCTTTCCTCATCTATAAAAATCAACTCAAAATAAGGCAGGCCGCAGTGGCTCATGCCTGTAATCCCAGCACTTTGGGAGGCCGAGGCAGGCAGATCACCGAAAGTTGGGTGTTCGAGACCAGCATGACCAACATGGGGAAATCCTGTCTCTACTAAAAATACAAAATTAGCCAGGTGTGGTGGCACATTCCTATAATCCTAGCTACTTGGGAGGCTTGAGGCAGGAGAATCACTTGAACCCAAGAGGTGGAGGTTGAGGTGAGCCGAGATCATGCCACTGCACTCTGGCCTGGGCAATAAGAGCAAAACTCAGTCTCAAAAAAAAAAAAAAAAAAAAATTAACTCAACATGGATCAAAGACCTAAATGTAAGTGCTAAAACTTAGAATTCTTATAGGAAGACATGGTAAATCCTCATGATCTTGGATTTAGTGAAGAAGTCTTAGAAATGGCATGAAAAGCACAAGCAACAACAAAAATAAGAATTAACTTTCATCAAAATGAAAAACGTTTATGCTTCAAAGGGCACCTTCAAAAAAGTGAAAAGACAACCCTCAGAATGTGAGAAAATAACTACAAGTCATATATCTGATAGTTGTATCTAGGACATATAAAGAACTCTTGGCCGGATGCGTTGGCTCATGCCTGTAATCCCAGCACTTTGGGAGGCCGAGGCAGGTGGATCACCTGAGGTCAGGAGTTCGAGACGAGCCTGGCCAAGATGGTGAAACCCCATCTCTACTAAAAATACAAAAATTAGCTGGGTGTGGTTATGCATGTCTGTAATCCCAGCTACTCGGGAGGCTGAGACAGGAGAATTGCTTGAACCCGGAGGTGGGTGAGCAAAGACTGTGCCACTGCACTCCAGCCTGGGCGGCAGAGCAAGACTCCCTCTCAAAAAACAAAAACAAAAAAACCACAAAAACAAAAACAGGCCGGGCATGGTGGCTCACACCTGTAATCCCAGCACTTCGGAAGGCAGAGGTGGGCAGGTCACTTGAGGTCACGTGTTTTTGAGATCAGCCTGGCCAAAATGGTGAAACACCGTCTCTACAAAAAATACAAAAATTAGTCGGGTGTGGTGGGCAGCTGTAATCCCAGCTACTCGGGAGGCTGAGGCAGGAGAATAATTTGAACCCGGAAGGCAGGGGTTGCAGTGAGCCAAGACTGCGCTACTGCACTCCAGCCTGGGCCACAGAGTGAGACTCCATCTCTAAATAAATAAATATCAAAAAACATATCAGAAGAAAAATACATTATTCTATTGCGATCAATCATTGTTATTTCAAAAACCTATCGTCTCCCAAATGTATGCAGCAAACATTCACATCTAAATCAAAGAATATAGCCAAAATATCAATCCTGCCCAAGAAACTGTGTTCTAAGATTCCTTTGGGTATTAGGCCTTTTAACAAAAAAAAATTTTCTAAAGAGAAATAATTCAGTTAAAATTTGTGGTACAAAAAACTGTGACATAGTAACAACATTCACACACGTAAAAATCATGTTATAGCATACAAACATTCGAACACACTTGTCTTAAAACCTTAGAGCAGCTCTGTTCAAGAGAAATATAATTAGAGCCATAGCCAACTGCAGTGGCTCACACCTGTAATTTCGATGCTTTGGGGGGCCAAGGTGGGAAGACTGCTTCAGCCTAGGAGTTTCACTTCAGCCCAGGAGTGTTAGGACTAGATTGGTTAACACAGTGGGACCCTGGCTCTACAAAAAATAAAAAAGTAGCTGGGCATGGCGGTACATGCCTGCAGTCTTTTTTTTTGGAGGTGGGGGGAGCGTTGGGACGGAGTCTTGCTCTGTCGCTGGGCTGGAGTGCAGTGGCACAATCTCGGTTCACTGCAACCCCTGCCTCCTGCACTCAAGCAATTCTCCCGCCTCAGCCTCCCGAGGAGCTGGGACTACATGGGCGCGCCACTACGCCCAGCTAATTTTTGTATTTTTAGTAGAGACGGGGTTTCACCATGTTGGCCAGGATGGTCTCCATCTCTTGACCTCGTGATCTGCCCGTCTCGGCCTCCCAAAGTGCTGGGATTACAGGCGTGAGCCACCGAGCCCAGCCCATGCCTGTGGTCTTAGTTATCCAGGAGGCTGACGTGGGAGAATTGCTTGAGGCCAGAAGTTTGTGTGTGGTGTAGTGAAAGTTTGTGGTACAGATTTTTTTGTAAAAGACAAAAAAAAAAGGAAGAAATATAATTGAAGCCATAAATGTAATTTAAATTTTTCTAACAGACACGTTTAAAAAATAACATTAAAAGAAACACGTAAAATTATTTTTATTTTATTTATTTATTTATTTATTTATTGAGACGGAGTTTCACTCTTGTTGCCCAGGCTGGAGTGCAATGGCACCATCTGGGCTCACTGCAACCTCCACCTCCACCTCCTGGGTTCAAGCGATTCTCCTGCTTCAGCCTCCTAATAGCTGGGATTACAGGCATGCGCCAGTACACCCGCTTAATTTTTTTGCATTTTTAGTAGAGACAGAGTTTCACCATGGTGGCCAGGCTGATCTCGAACTCTTGACCTCAGGTGATCCACCTGCCTTGGCCTCCCAAAGTGCTGGGATTACAGGTGTGAGCCACCTGCCAAGCCTATTATATTGATTTTTTTGAGACAGAGTCTTGCTCTGTCGCCCAGGCTAGAGTGCAGTGGCACAATCTCGGCTCACCACAACCTCCGCCTCCCGGGTTCAAGTGATTCTCCTGCCTCAGCCCCCCGTGTAGCTGGGATTACAGGTGCCTGCCACCACACCTATATTTACAGCTATATTCATCTATATTTACAGCTGCTCCCATGACTTGCATTACTGCCTGAGCTCTGCCTCCTGTCAGATCAGCAGCAGCATTAGATTCTCATAGGAGTGCATATCTTTTTTTTTTTTTTTTTTTTTGAGACGGAGTCTCGCTCTGTCGCCCAGGCTGGAGTGCAGTGGTGCAATCTTGGCTCACTGCAAGCTCCGCCTCCTGGGTACACACCATTCTCCTGCCTCAGCCTCCCGAGTAGCTGGGACTACAGGCGCCTGCCACCACGCCTGGCTAATTTTTTTGTATTTTTAGTAGAGACGGGGTTTCACCATGTTAGCCAGGATGGTCTCAATCTCCTGACCTCATGATCTGCCCACCTCGGCCTCCCAAAGTGCTGGGATTACAGGCGAGAGCCACTGCACCCGGCAGGAGTGCATATCTTATCGTGAACTGCGCCTGCAAGGAATTTAGGTTGTGTGCTCCGTATGAGAATCTAATGCCTGATGATCTGTCACTGTCTCCCATCACCCCCACATGGGACCATCTAGTTGTAGGAAAACAAGCTCAGGGCTCCCACTGATTCTACATTATGGTGAGTTGTATAACTATTTCATTATATATTACAATGTAATAATAATAGAAATACAGTGCACAATAAATGTAATGTTTTTGAATCATCCTGAAACCACCTCCCCTGCAACCCTGTCCACAGAAAAATAGTCTACCATGATCCTGGTCCCTGGTGCCAAAAAGGCTGGGGTCTGCTGCTTAAATTGATGCGTTTATATTTCTTTCCAGTCAATTCCCGCAACCACTGTTCTGATTTCTAGCAACATAAATTAGTTTTGTCTATTCATAAAGTTTTGTTTGTCATATAAATGGTATAAATGGAATCACACAGTAGATACCTTATGCGAAGGAAAAGAAAAAACAGGAAAATGTTTTGAGATTCATCCATGTTAACTTGTGCATTAGTAATTGGTTTTGGTTTGAGACAGGGTCTCACTTTGTCACCCAGGTTGGAGTGCATTGGTGCAACCTCAGCTCACTGCAGCCTCAAACCTACAGGGCTCAGGTGATCCTCCCACCTCAGCCTCCCGAGCAGCTGGAGCTACAGGTGTGCAGCACCATGCCTGGCCAATTTTTTGTACAGACAGGGTTTCACCATGTTGCCCACACTCGTCTCAAATTCCTGGACTCAAGCAATTTGCCTGCCTGGACCTCCCAAAGCGTCGGGATTACAGGCATGAGCCACTGTGCCCGACCTCACTGGTTCTTCCTTATAGCTGACTAGTATTCCAAAATACAAGTGTAATACAACTTAGTTATCCATTCTTCTACTGATGAATACCTGGGCTATGTCTAGGTTTTGTCTACCAGGAGTAAAGCTGCTATAAAATTCTTTTATGGACAAGTTTCTGTTTCTCTTTGGTAAACATCTAGGAACACAATCACCTTAAAATTTCAAAGTCATAGCATTTATTTAATTCCAGGGCACAGAATGTTTATTCAATCCTTAATTGAATAAAACTTATGGCTTCATACAGCATTGAGTGGTTCAGAAACTGAAGCAAATTTCTAAAAGTGTCATTATGTGTACAGTTGGTGCTTGGAATCCACAGGTTCCAAATCTGTAGATTCAACCAACTATAAATAGAAAATATTCTAAAATATAATAATAAAAAAAACTACAATAATTTTTTAAAAATTAAAAACCAATACAGTATGACAACTGTTTATATAGCATATATAGTGCACTAGGTATTATAAGTACTCTAAAGATGACTTAAAGTATATGAGAGAAGGCTGGATGCAGTGGCTCATGCCTGTAATCCCAGCACTTTGGGAGGCCAAGATGGGCGGATCGCTTGAGGCCAGGAGTTCAATACCAGCCTGGCCAACATGGTGAAACCCCGTCTCTACTAATAATACAAAAATTAGCCAGGCATTGTGGCACACGCCTGTAATCCCAGCTACTTGGAAGGCAGAAGCAGGAGAATCACTTGAACCCAGGAGGCGGAGGTTGCAGTGAGCCAAGATTGAGCCACTGCACTCCAGCCCGGGTGACAAGAGCAAAACTATGTCTCAAAAAAATAAATAAAATAAAATAAAAATAAGTAAAGTATATGAGAGGATGTGCACAGGTTATCTGCAATTACTACACCATTTTATGTAAGGAATTTTATATCTGAGGATTGTGGTATCTGTTGGGGGCCCTAGAACCAATCCCTCAAGGATACCAAAGGATGACTATATAACTTTCTTGATCCATTATATTAGTATCTCTAAGTTCATCCAAACCTTAACAGTTAAACTAGTTAGTTGATTTCTGAGACGTTTTCCTAATTTGGGGCCACATTTTAATTTCAATTGTGAGAATATTTTTCTGAAAACTACCTTGATTTAATATACAATCTCACAACTTCTTTAATTATTATCTGCCTTCTAAAAATATACTTGGTAAATTGGTTAGAATGAAATTTTTTGGACTTACCTTAATTTATGTACAAATGAAAAAAACCGAAAATACTCAAGGGGCTATAAACCCGTATCATAAAAAGTGGCCATTGGAAAAGTCATGATAATTTACTGCATATTAGTTATGCTGGAAACAGAAAATGGGGCTTTGCATTGGTGTCTTGGGTATTATTGAACACAAGGGGTCAAATATGATAGTCCATAAAAGCTAAACTATATACTAGTCACATTTTCAATAATCTAAAAGAGTTCAGGTCAGAAATAGATGAAATCTCAAAGAATTTCACAATCTTAAAACACAGTGCTCAGGCTCCTTAGATAGAAGACAGCTGGCTCCTGCCACAGAATTGCCCTTTAACACACCCAACTGCATTGTGAGCTTTATGGCTTTGAAAATTACGACACAATTCTTTTACGACTCCTCCCCTTCACCATTTGTGTCCACATTACCATTGCTACTGTCTGGCATAGCAGTCCTTTTTATAAATCTACCCTAAGGCTCCTTCCATCTTGTACTGTTTCCTTTCTCCCTCCCATCTGCTCCAGAAGAAAAAAATATATATATACTACAGAATCCACCCTTGCCTCACTTTATGATGACGGCATTCCCTATGGAAGCCCTATGCTCCTTTTCACACACAAAAAAAATGGAAGTAATATTATTTTCTTTGAAAATCATCAATCCTCCTACTATGACATATGGAAAGCAAACAGCTGTACCCACGAAAGGTACAAAACTCTGAGAGGAATCCCATCCTGTATGTACACTTCTCTTTAATGACATTCTCAGAAGGTAAAGTTAAATTACACAACTCTGCAGATGTTTAACCACCGTAAGACAATATACTACTTTTTGTGCGTGTGTGTATGTGAGACAGAGTCTCAGTCTGTCTCCCAGGCTGGAGTATAGTGGCACGATCTCGGCTCACTGCAACCTCTGCCTTCTGGGTTCAAGCAATTCTCCTGCCTCAGCCTCCCGTGTAGCTGGGACTGCAGGTGTGTGCCACCATGCCCAGCTAATTTTTTTTTGTATTTTTAGTAGAGACAGGTTTTCACCATGGTGGCCAGGCTGATCTCGAACTCTTGACCTCAGGCGATTTGCCTGCCTTGGCCTCCCAAAGTGCTGGGATTACAGGCGTGAGCCACCACACCTGGCAGAAACAATATACTTCTTAAATTGCACACAAAAATAGAGCAATCCTAAGATTAGTACTCATTAAGCTGGGTGGGTGGCTCATGCCTGTAATGCCAGCACTTTGGGAAGCTAAGGCGGATGGATCACCTGCGGTCAGGAGTTCGAGACTAGCCTGACCAACATGGTGAAACCCCACCTCTACTAAAAATATAAAAAATTAGCTGGGCATGGTGGCGTATGCCTGTAATTCCAGCTACTTGGGAGGCTGAGGCAGGAGAACTGCTTGAACTCAGGAGGCGGATGTTGCAGTGAGCCAAGACACACCATTGCACTCCAGCCTGGGGAACAAGGGCAAAAATCTATCTCAAAAAAAAAAAAAAAAAAAGATTAGTATTCATTCAAGTAAACTTGTAAAACTTAAATCAAGTTTGAAAAACTGTTTCAAATGTCTTCTTCATTAAGGATTCCCTTTAAATGTGTATAACCATATTCACTGCAGCATTATTTGTAACAGCAAAAGCTGAAAACATTATAAACAGCTCAATAAAAAGCAATGTTAGATAAATTAGATCATATCCACAAAATGCAACTCTAGGCACCCATGAGAAAGAGTGAAACAAAGGTTTGTGCTGATATGGGAACAAAGTAAGGTACAGAGCAGTTTACAGACTACAAAATTACTGGTAAAGGACAGATGCGGTGGCTCACGCCTATGATCTCAGCACTGTGGGAGGCTGAGGCGGGCAGATCACTTGAGCTCAGGAGTTTGAGACCGGCCTGACCAACATGGTGACACCCCATCTCTACCAAAAATACAAAAATTAGCCGGGTGTGGTGGCACATGCCTGTAATCTCAGCTACTCAGGAGGCTGAGGCATGAGAGTCGCTTGCACCTGGGAGGCGGAGGTTGCAGTGAGCTGAGTTCCTTCCATTGCACTCCAGCCTGGGCAACACAGCAAGACTGTCTCAGAACAACGGCAACAATGACAACACACCAAAACAAAACAAAAAGCTATACCACATGAAAAGAAGTTCATTAGAGAAATGCAAATAAAAATCACAATGAGATAGCACTACACATCTTACTTCCCTATTAGAATGAGTAAAGTAAAAAGTGCCTATAACAGGCCAGGTGCTGGGATGCCTGTAATCCCAGCACTTTGGGAGGCCGGGGTCGGTGGATCACGAGGTCAAGAGACTATCCTGGCCAACATGGTGAAACCCCGTCTCTACTAAAAATACAAAAATTAGCTGGACGTGGTGGTACACATCTGTAGTCCTAGCTACTCGGGAGGCTGAGGCAGGAGAACTGCTTGAACCCAGGAGGCGGAGGTTGCAGTGAGCCGAGGTCATGCCATTGCACTCCAGCCTGGCAAAAAAATAAAATAAAATAAAATAAAAAATAAAATAAAAACCTACAACACACACAAATATCAAAACAAGTATGTGATGAAAAAATAAATTTTTTTAAAAAAGAAAATAAGAAATATTGTGGTAAAGAAACTGGATCACTCATACATCACTGGTGGGAATGTAAAATGGTATAGTCACTCTGTTAAAAGAGTTTGGCAGTTTCTTTTCTTCTGTTTTTTTTTTTTTTTGAGACGGAGTCTCGCTCTGTCGCCCAGGCTGGGGGGCAGTGGCACGATTTCGGCTCACCACAACCTCTGCCTCCTGGGTTCAAACGATTCTCCTGCCTCAGCCTCCAGAGTAGCTGGGACTACAGGTGCACGCCACCATGCCTGGCTAATTTTTTGTATTTTTAGTATAGACAGGGTTTCACTATGTTGGCCAGGCTGGTCTTGAACTCCTGACCTCGTGATCCGCTCGCCTCGGCCGCCCTAAGTGCTGGGATTACAGACGTGAGCCACCACGCCTGGCCTTGGCAGTTTCTTAAAATATTAGACATGTAACTCCCCTACTATGCAGCACTGTTGGACGTTCATCCTGAGAGACAAAGATTTATGTGCACATAAATACCTGTGAATATTTCTAGCAGCTTTATTTGTAACAGCCCCAAACTGGAATGGAATAAAGCTAGATGTCCTACAAAAGGTGAATGATTAAACTGAGGTACAATCATACCATGGAATAATACTCACCAATAAAAAGGAACAACAATTGATTTACTCAGCAAACTTAAATGAATTTTCCAAGAATTATACTGAATGAAAAAAATCAATCCCAAAAGGTTACATGCTGTATGATTCCATTTATATAACATTTTTGAAAGACAAAATTATAGAAATTAAAAAGAGATTAGTCGTAACCAAGGGTTAAATAAGGGGCAGGAGCAGGAGTGGAAGTGGGTATGGCTATAAGAGGGCAATATGAGGGATCTTTCGTAGTAATAAAAATGTTCTGGGTTAGGCACGGTGGCTCACAACTATAATCCCAGTGCTTTGGGAGGCCAAGGTGGGAGGATTGCTTGAGGCCAGAAGTTTGAGATCAGCTTGGGCAGGACATCAAGACCCCACACCTACACAAATTTTTTTTTTTTTTTTTTTTAAGACGGAGTCTCGCTCTGTCGTCCAGGCTGGAGTGCAGTGGTGCGATCTCGGCTTATTGCAAGCTCCGTCTCCCAGGTTCACGCCATTCTCCTGGCTCAGCCTCCCGCGTAGCTGGGACTACAGGCGCCCGCCACCACGCCCGGCTAATTTTTTGTATTTTTAATAGAGACAGGGTTTCACCGTGTTAGCTAGGATGGTCTCGATCTCCTGACCTTGTGATCCACCCGCCTCGGCCTCCCAAAGTGCTGGGATTGCAGGCATGAGCCACCGCGCCCAGCCACAAAATTTTAAAAAAATTTTAAGAAATTGAATGTAATGAAAATATTGTAAAACAAAAAAAGTTCTGTATCTTTACTGTATCAATGTCAATATCTTGACTGTGATATTGTACTAAAGTTCTTTTTTTGTTTTGAGACAGAGTCTGTTGTCTAGGCAATAGCACGATCTTGGCTCACTGCAACCTCCCTCCGCCTCCCCGGTTGAAGCGATTCCCCTGCTTCAGCCTCTCGAATAGCTGGGACTACAGGCACACGCCACCACACTCAGCTAATTTTTGTATTTTTAGTAGAGATGGGGTTTCACCATATTGGTCAGGCTAGTCTTGAACTCCTGACCTCGTGATCCGCCCACCTCGGCCTCCCAAAGGGCTGGGATTACAGGCATGAGCCACCGCACCCAGCATGTACTAAAGTTCTGTAAGAAGTTGCCTTTGAGAAAACTGGGTAGAGGGTAGATGAGGTCTCTGTATTATTTTTTATTTTTAGAGACAGAGCCTCGATCTGTCATCCTTGCTGGAGTTTGATGGTACAATCACAGCTTACTGCAGCCATGACCTCCAGGGCTTAAAGTGATCCTCCCACCTCAGCCTGCCAGCTACCTGGAACCACAGGCATGCAACATCACGCCCAGATAATTTTTTTTCTTTTTTTCTTTCGAGACGGAGTTTCACTCTTGTTGCCCAGGCTGGAGTGCAACGGCGCGGTCTTGGCTTACTGCAACTTCTGCCTCCTGGGCTCAAGTGATTCTCCAGCCTCAGCCTCCCAAGTAGCTGGAATTACAGGCACCCGCCACCACACCTGGCCAACTTTTGTATTTTTAGGAGAGATGGGGTTTCACCATGTTGGCTAGGCTGATCTCGAACTCCTGACCTCAGCTGATCTGCCTGCCTCTGCAGCCCACCAATGTGCTGGGATCACAGGCATGAGCCACTGCACCTGGCCTAATTTTTTGATTTTTTTAGAGACAGGGTCTCACCATGTTGCCCAGGTATCTGTATTACTTTTTAGACTATTATGTGAATCTACAATCGTCTCTAAATGAAGTTTAATTTTGAAAAAAAAGACACTATGGAGTGAAATAAACAAATAAAACATAACTGTTTGTGGAAGGAAGTCACAGCAGGCTTAAAGGGAACTGTGTAGAAAAGGACCTTTATCTAAAAATCAGTGACCAGCATAAGAAGTTAAAAAAAGAGCAAAATAAACCAGAGTTAGTAGAAGAATAAAATAAAGAGCAGAAACGAAATAGAAAACAGAAAATGAAGTAGAAGTCTATTCTCTGAAAACATCAATCCAATATGTAAATTGCTAGCAGGATTGCTTAGGGAAGAAAGGAGAGAAAGCAAGAGATCCCACAAATATCACAAATGAAAACTGGCCGGGCGCAGTGGCTCATGCCTGTAATCCCAAAACTTTGGGAGGCTGAGGCGGGTGGATCACCTGAGGTCAGGAGTTCGAGACCAGCCTGGCTAACATGGTAAAACCCCGTCTCTACTAAAAACACAAAAATTTAGCCAGGCGTGCTAGCAGGCACCTGTAATCCCAGCTTCTTAGGAAGCTGAGGCAGGAGAATCGCCTGAAACTGGTAGGCAGAGGTTGCAGTGAGCCGAGATCATACCACTGCACTCCACCCTGGGACAGAGAGTAAAACTCCAACTCAAAAAAAAAAAAAAGAAAGAAAATAGAGGTATAACTGCAGATTCTACAGACATTAAAAAGGTAAAAAAAATATTATGAACAATGTTATGCCAATAAATTTGACAACTTAGAAAATTCCTTGAAAAATAAAACTTAACCAAACTGAGATAAGATGAAATACAGGCCGGATGCTGTGGCTCACGCCTGTAAACCCAGCACTTTGGGAGGCCGAGGTGGGTGGATCACGACGTCAGGAGATCGAGACCATCCTGGCTAACACGGTGAAACCCTGTCTCTACTAAAAATACAAAAAATTAGCCCTGTGTGGTGGCAGGCGCCTGTAGTCCCAGCTACTCGGGAGGTTGAGGCAGGAGAATGGTGTGAACCCAGGAGGCGGAGCTTGCAGTGAGCCGAGATCGCGCCACTGCACTCCAGCCTGGGAGACAGAGCGAGAATCCATCTCAAAAAAAAAAAAAAAGAAATATAAAATCTGAAAAAAGTGTTGTTGAACAAGTTGAATTCATTATCAAAAATCTTCCTGCAAAGAAAATCCTAGGCTAGATGGTTTCACTGGTGCATTCTATCAAATACTTAAGGAAGAAGTAATACCTGTCCTTTTTATTAGTTCAGGGCTACATGTGCAGGTTTGTTATATGGTAAACTTGTGTCATGGGGGTTTGTTGTACAGATTATTTTGTCACCCAGGTACTAAGCCTAGTACCCAATAGTTATTTTTTCTGATCCTCTACCACCCTCCACCCTCCAGGAGGCCTTAGCGCCCGTTGTTCCCCTCTTTGTGTCCATGAGTAATACCTATCTTACACAGACTCTTGCAGAAAACAGAGGAAGATGAAGCACTTCTCAACTCATTTATATGGTCAGCATAATCCTGAAACCAAATCTGACAAAATCATTTCTAGGAAAGAAAAGTATGGACCAATCTTCCTCACGGATATAGAAGCACTTATTCCCAACAAAGTATTAACAAATCAAATCTAAAAATTTATACAAAAGAAAATACATTCTGACCAAGTAGGGTTTATCACAAGATTGAAAGATTGGTTTAACATTTGATCAGTGTAATTCATCATATTAACAGTATCAACAAGATAAAAAAGAATGTGTTCTTTTTTTTTTTGAGACAGAGTTGCTCAGGCTAGAGTGCAGTGGCACACTCACTGCAACCTCCGCCTCCCGGGTTCAAGCAATTCTCCTGCCTCAGCCTCCCAAGTAACTGGGATTACAGGCGCCTGCCACCACGCCCGGTTAATTTTTGTATTTTTAGTACAGACAGGGTTTCACTATCTTGGCCAGGCTGGTCTCGAACTCCTGACCTAGTGATCCACCAGCCTCGGCCTCCCAAAGTGCTGGGATTAGAGGTATGAGCCACTGTGCCCAGCCATGAATATGTTCATTTCAATAGATGCAATGCTAATTTTGTTTAGATACTCACTTTAAGTTTTCTAATTCCTGTTTTCTCAATGGAGAAGAAGGTGGAGCTGGAATGAATTTATCTCCATCATGGCTTTTACTGCTAAAATAGAGGTAAGAGTCTTAATTATGAAGAGCAACAAATAAATAATTAAACGTAAAATTTTGTTTCCCTGTCCTTACTCCCAACTTTTTTTTTGAGACAGAGTTTTGCTCGTCGCTCAGGATGGAGTGCAATTGCACGATCTCAACTCACTGCAACCTCTGCCTCCCAGGTTTGAGTGATTCTCCCGCCTCAGCCTCCCAAGTAGCTGGGATTACAGGCGCACACCACCACGCCCAGCTAATTTTTTGTATTTTTAGTAGAAACGGGGTTTCACCATGTTAGCAAGGCTGGTCTCGAACTCCCGACCTCAGGTGATCCACCTGCCTTGGCCTCCCAAAGTGCTAGGATTTACAGAGGTGTCTCACCTCGCCCGGCCTCCCATGTAACTTTTTACAACAAAAGTGTAAAAGAGTTAAACAATGGAAATACTTAGTAATTTGGTAACACTAACATGTTAAAGCTATATTGTATATTAGTTTCTTCCCCCACTGCCCCCACCCCTCCAATACTGCTTTAAAAAATCTCTAACTGAAAACAGTATCTTTACTACAAAAGGGAAATAACTGAATATTTTCGCGCATTTCTCATTATTCTAATTACCCTGACCCCTCAACCCCTGCCTTTTCTTGAGACTGGGTTTTTGAGACTGTTGCCCAGGCTGGAGTGCAGTGTGGCATGATCATAGCTCACTGCAGCTTCAAACTCCTGGGCTCAGGCGATCCTCCTACACCAGCCTCCCAAGTAGCTGGTACTAATGGTGCCTGGCACCACACTCAACTAATTTTTTTATTTCTTGTAGAGATGGGGTCTCATTATGTTGGACAGGCTAGCTTCGAACTCCTAGCTTCAAGCAATCCTTCAGCCTTGGTCTCCCTTAGCACTGGGATTACAGGTGTGAGCCACCATGCCTGGCCCAAATTTTCTATAGTAAATATGTATTGATTGCTATTATAATCAAGAAAAAATGCTGGGATGGGAGATGTAAGTTTAACGATGCCATGTATAAAAAGCAGAATTTCCAGCTGGGTGTAGTGGCTCATGCCTGCAATCTCAGCACTCTGGGAGGCCGAGGAGGGAGGATCACTTGAGGTAAGGAGTTCAAGACCATCCTGGACAACATGGCAAAACCCTATCTCTACTAAAAATACAAAAATTAGCCGGGCATAGTGGCGCTGGGCCTATAATCCCAGCTATTTAGGGGGTTGAGGCAGGAGAATCGCTTGAGCCTGTGAGGTGGAGGTTGCAGTGAGTTGAGATCGTGCCACTGCTTTCCAGCCTGGGTGACAGAGGGAGACTCTGTCTCAAAAACAAACAAACAAACAAAAAACAAAACAAAAAGAAAACAAAAGAAAAGAAAGAAAGAAAAAAGCTGAATTCCCTATATATAATGGTATGTGTTTTGTCCTTACCAAAAGTTCTCCCAATTTCTATAGTCACATAATTTTTATTTACTTATTTTTAATTTTTTTGAAGAGATGGGGTCTTGCTATGCTGCCCAGACTAGACTTGAACTCTTGGCCTCCTCCAGCACCCTGCCTAGATTTGCATAATTTTGAATTTATACTAGAAAACCAGAAATATACAAAAATATTCTGGAGGTTAGTGATTATAGTATATTAAGAGGATAGACAGAGGATAATAAGAAATAAGCAGCTTTAGGAGTCAAGTGTTTATTTTAATAAATTTTCTGTTTTTTTGAGATGGAGTCTCATTCTGTCACCAGGCTGGATGGAGTGCAGTGGCATGATCGTGGCTCACTGCAACCTCTGCCTCCCGGGTTCAAGTAATTCTCTTGCCTCAGCTTTCCCAGTAGTGGGGATTATAGGTGCCCACCACCACGCCCAGCTAATTTTTGTATTTTTAGTAGAGACGGGGTTTCACCATGTTGGCCAGCTGGTCTTGAACTCCTAACCTCAAGTGATCTACCCATCTTGGCCTCCCAAAGTGCTGGGATTACAGGCGTGAGCCCCCACACCTGGCCAAATTTTTTTTAAAGCTGTCTGACAACAGGACTTCTTACAAATATCCCTCTTGTCAATGAAAAGCTGCTACTTTCTTTTTTGAGATGAAGTCTCACTCTGTCGCCAAAGCTGGAGTGCAGTGGCACAATCTCGGCTCGCTGCAACCTCTGCCTCCTGGGTTCAAGCAATTTTCTTGCCTCAGCCTTTTACAGGCAGGCATGAGCCACTGCGTCCGGCCAAAGCTGCTACTTTCTACTTTTCTTTTTCAAGGATCTCTCCTAACTTAGCCTTCACCTTATTTCTCTCTTCCAGAAAGACTCAGAAACATAAATACTTTCCTTTCTTGTTACGCAAAACAGAATTTCAGAAATTCAGGTTGAAGATTTTAGGAATTTACTTAAAGAACAAAGGGTTTACTAAAGAAGTCCTGAAAGGATTTTGCCAAAGGAGGTCACAAGGATTAGAATACCTGCAAGTTTCACTGCTTTCGCTGCTCTCTGTGTTCCCACCTAATTGATTACTATTTTTAGCCCCATTTTCCTGCTTTGGATCTTGCTGTTCTTCAGGTAGCAGCAACAAGGCATTTCTGAGACATATGGCTGCAAACTCCATACTGGCTACAGGAATGGCCGAAGACTGCCCATCACTTAAAAGAACAAAACCAAATTAGCTAAGTGGATAAAATATTTTAAAATAAGGCTCTTTTATTATGAGGAATAAAACCAATTGATTATAAATGAAAGCTATGCCTTTTGATAGGTAGAAATTTTAATATAAGCAGTTATAAAAGCATGCTAAAGAACCCAAATCCTAAGTATAGGTTGTAAATAGTATAAATAATGGATTGCAAGTATATAAATTACATACACTGTGTCTCTAGGAATGAGACCAAGGAGAAGAGATAATTTGATGTATATCACAATGTTAATGTTAACATACTAGAGAAACTGCAGACAAGGGCAACTGTAATGAGGGCAAGGAGAGGTATACTAAGAATGGGACGAAAGGGAAGAAAACAGATTTTCACGTTTGAGCCTTACTTTGGTTGATCCTTGCTTTCAAAAATGCCTCTATACACTTTGAAACACCAACATTACTTTTTGTCTTATAATTTCATTGACATTTTATACAACTTTCTGTTGGTTTGATATACCCAAAGAGAATCTTTACTAGAGAAAAATAAAATTTTGAAAAGTAGTAACAACTTTGAAATTGCTTTAAAACTTTGAAATGCTTTATCATAATAGTTTTAAAAAATATTCTTGCATTATAGTTTAACTAAATTAAGACTAAATTATTGTGTATCAGATATTTTTTAAACTGTGGAAAAACTTTTAAATGGTAGAGAACAATTTTCTTCTTTGACAAAAACAAATTAAGGCAGCTAATTATTTGCAAAGTTTGCCACTTTACAAATAATGGCAATTCCAAATTGTCAAATGAAGATTATACATGTGACAGCTTCTATACTGCTTTGGTTGCTTTATGTTTTAATACACCTTTTTTCTCTGAATAGTAAGAATTCCCTTTCATGTATTTTCAGTCCTAGGGACTATAAGAAAATACCCAAATGAAAAGTATCAATGATAACCAAAAGTACATAAAAAGGAAATACCAAGATGCCCTCTTCTGGACATTCTTAATAATGGCACTGAACAGACTAGGGTTTCCTAGGCCATCAATAATTGCAGCACCCATGGATGTAATAAACCAAAATCATGTTAGATAACATTCACTATGGACCTATACATGAGGGTCTGTTTGTTGAAATAGCAATAAAATCTAGTTACAAAGTGGTTCCTCCTATGCAATGATAAATCCTAATCATACTTTTATATATAAGTAACATTATGTAAACTAGTATTAAATATATATACACTTTTTCTTTGCAAAATACTTACTTATAAACAGTATTCTGTATAGACTGTGATGCCAAAACTATTTTACGATGATAGCCTTGACCAACAATAGACTGTACAATTCCTTTTTTGCTGGGAAGGCCTTTAGTTTCTTGTTCAGAAGTCTACAAAATACAAATAATTTCCAATAAATTTAAGGGAATTGTAAGATGTGGTATAAAAAATGAGGGAATATCTCTCACAATTACTCTAAATTTAAGAAAGTTCTTAAAGTCAATGAGGACTTTTTTTGGTGATAATGGAAACATGTTTGGTATTAGTGGAAAAAGTATATAAGGCTGAAAATCTGGGATATGTGCTACATTTTGTTTACATGAGATTGGAGAAAATTCTACGAACAAAATCCAATTCAATTATGTCCCAATAATTTATTTAGAATCATTTACTTAGAATATTCTAGACCTCCAGTACCATGCTACATGTTACAGGTACTTTGACATCAGAGTAAGGAAAATAAGAGAGCCCAAAATAGTGTAAAAGAAAAAGGAAGTCGCTCCACTTCCTAAACACAGATCATTTCCTTCTTAATTCAAAGTATTAATTACATTGTCAACAATATATAAACTTTAATAAGCTGTACGTGGTAAAAATTTACATGGACACAATACTTGCCTTCTAGGAAATTAAAATCCCCAAACCAAATGAATAAACATTAAACTGAAAATAATAAAAGCTACTTACACATACATAGTACTTTAGGATATTTGATTAAGATGTATTATCTCACTACAGAGCTCACAGTGATAATTTGATTAATGATCCCCCTTCATTCTAAGTCTCTAATTTGGTTGGGTGCAGTGGTTCATGCCCGTAATCCCAGCCCTTTGGGAAGCTAAGGCAGGAGGATCACTTGAAACCAGGAGTGTGAGACCAGCCTGGGCAACATAGTGAGACCCCCCTGTATCTACCTTTTTTTTTTTCCTTTCTTTTTTTTCTTTTTTAAGACAAGGTCTGGCTCTGTTGCCCAGGATGGAGTACAGTGGCATGATCTCGGCTCACTGCAACTTCGGCCTCCTGGGCTCAAGTGATCCTCCTGCTTCAGCCTCCCAAGTAGCTGGGACTACAGGTACAGGTGTGTGCCACCATGACTGGCTAATTTTTCTATTTATTTTTTTTAGAGACAGGGTTTTGCCAAGTTGCTGAGGCTGGAAAATTTTTCTTTAGGCTTGGGTGCAGCGGTGTTGTCTCGGCTCACTGCAACCTTCACCTCCTGAGTTCCAGTGATTCTCTTGCCTCAGCCTCCCGAGTAGCTAGGATTACAGGCGCCTGTCACCACACCTGGCTAATTTTTGTATTTTAGTAGAGATGGGGTTTCACCACATTGGCCAGGCTAGTCTCAAACTCCTGACCTCAAGTGATCCGCCCGCCTCGGCCTCCCAAAGTACTGAGATTACAGGTGTGAGCTACCGCGCCCAGCCAGAAAAAATCTTTTATTTATTTATTTTTTTGAGATGGAGTATCACTCTGTCACCCAGGCAGGAGTGCAGTGGCACAATCTCGGCTCACTGCAACCTCCGCCTCCCAGGTTCAAGCAATTCTCCTGCCTCAGCCTCCTGAGTAGCTGGGACTACAGGTGGGTGCCACAACAACCTGGCTAATTTTTTGTATTTTTAGTAGAGATGGAGTTTCACCATGTTAGCCAGGATGGTCTTGATCTCCTGACCTTCTGATCCACCCGCCTCAGCCTCCCGAAGTGCTGGGAATACAGGCATGAACCACTGCTCTAGGCCAAATCTAAAAAATAAAACTAAGCTGGGCAAGGTGGCTCACACCTGTAATCCTAGAACTTTGGGAGGCTGAGGCGGGTGGATCGCTAGAGCCCAGGAACTTGAGACCAGTGTGGGCAATGTGGTGAAACTCCACCTCTACAAAGAAATACAAAAATTAGCCAAGTGCGGTCATGCATGCCTATAGTCCCAGCTACTAGGGAAGCTGAGGAGGGAAGATCGCTTGACACCAGGGAGGTCGAGACTGCAGTGAGCCATGATCACGCCACTGCACTCAAGCCTGAGTGAAGAGTGAGACTCTGTCTCAAAAATAAAATAAAATAAAACAAGTCTCTAATTTACCTGCAGGTGGAATCCCAAGTAGTTATCTTATAATGACATCCAAATTCTCACATACCAGAACAAACCGGAGTCAATCAATATGAATTTGCAAAACTAATCTCTGCCCTGCAAAAAGTCTTTTCTCTAAACACAAATGTTTCTGTACTGTTACTTATTGCTCCTGAATGTAACTTATTATAGTTGCACTTCCATATATGACTTTTAATAAAGAACATACTACACAGTGCTAAAAAATACAATAAAACTTCTCTGATCAAAACTAATTGTGTATAGAGAAGGCCATGCAATATTAATGAAAAAGTGGATATTTTAAACCATTATTGTGAGGACTTCCGTTCTGACTTCTTTTCCTAGTTGTGGTAATCAATTTACATGGATTCATCCATATTCTCTTCTCTTTTCTTATTGCTAAGGCCATGAAAACTGATCCAAATGGCTAGATACGAAGATGCAACAGATGAAAACAAACTGGCCCACGATGGAATGGAACTAAAAAACGTAGAATAATAATCCATACCTTCAAGCACCGATAGCCAGAAAGTGTGCCAGATAAGTTTTAAGGTAAAAGGATCATACATAATTAAAATATTGGGACTATTTTTGTTTAGCAGATCTTTTCCCATATTTATACACTGCCCAGGTAAATATAAGCCTTGCCTCTGCCAAGTCTGAAATAATATGTACCAGATATTCAGGACAAAATGTCCTCCTTAGCATAAACAAGTTAATTTTTTTAAATCCAAAATGAATTTATTTCTGAAGGTACAAACTACTTTGTTCAGCATACCTCCTGTCCTGACTAAATAAAACAAATTTTATGGAATTTTATTTGGAGTTTACAATTACTCGTATTGGGATTTGTCCTCTGATTTTATTAGTGTTTTGGGCTTGTTTTTACTGTTTTTTAGGTTACCCTAAAGTTTTTTTTTAGGAGGAGGAAAAGCACAAAGATATTACTGGTGGCAAGTTTCCTATTAGCAGCACAAATTGTGTGTGTTCATGAAGTTATGGCAACCGAAAGTCATCTTTACCATTTTTTAAAAATTACAAATTTACAACTTTTCTAGAAAAAAAAACAGGACTGGCAGCATATTAATATGGAAAATACTTATCCTCCCCTCCCGCTCCTTCTCCTCTAGGGGGAGGGGAGGAGACCTTGTAAGCTTAATGGCTTCTGTAGAACACAATCCTAAAAGTACTATTTCTAAAACCAGTTAATTTAAAAAGAAAATATTAAACTTTACAATCTTTCCCTAGTCCCAGAAAAAGGTAACTCCCTGGTTTCCAGTAAATACCAAAGAAAGGCGCCCAACACTTAAATTTATAAACAGATTAAAGAGAATAAGCAATTTCTATTTGCTTCTTTTATCTTTAAGAAGTATAAATTCTGGGCCGGGCGCGGTGGCTCACGCCTGTAATCCCAGCACTTTGGGAGGCCGAGGCGGGCGGATCACGAGGTCAGGAGATCGAGACCATCCCGGCTAAAACGGTGAAACCCCGTCTCTACTAAAAATACAAAAAATTAGCCGGGCGTAGTGGCGGGCGCCTGTAGTCCCAGCTACTTGGGAGGCTGAGGCAGGAGAATGGCGTGAACCCGGGAGGCGGAGCTTGCAGTGAGCCGAGATCCCGCCACTGCACTCCAGCCTGGGCGACAGGGCGAGACTCCGTCTCAAAAAAAAAAAAAAAAAAAAAAAAAAGAAGTATAAATTCTGCCTAGAACTGTTTATCAGTTAAGAATTAACCAATAAGAAAGTTGTCTTTTAAAAAGCAAAGTATAATTAAATCATTAAAGTCTTTCAAAGACAAATCACTCATCTCTTCCTCTGTTGGTATACTCAAATCACAAACTACCTAAGTACCATGTATGAAAACTAGCAAACACACTTCTTTAATCCCCTTAGTTCTTGTACTTCTCAGAAACTGCTGTTCAGCGGGAGGAGAGCCTCAACATCTTATATCACCTATGGTAGGCATGCAAGGTAAAACCTCCAGGTACCATACCTTCCCAATGTCTATACACACCCAAAAAGCACAGCAAGGGCAGGGCATGGGGTAGCAAATGGAAGACACACATATCTGGTAATTCTGACACAACCCGTCTTTCCCCTATCTCCTACTGATCCCTCCCAAATTGAAATTCAAAAGGCTTCCACCAATTGCCATTTAGAGATTATCTAAGCATGGAAATCAATGTAAACTGGCCTATTCCCATAGCTACCATGGGCAATCATGTGTCAGAGAGAAACAGCCTGGTAATCCATAAACTCTGTATCATTTACTGAAACCAAAGTAAAACCCTCAGGCATTGATGGAAATCCAGCTTAATGCAGCTCTTTCCACATTATGTTATCAGAACTTTTTTTTGAGACAGAGTCTCTCTGTCACCCAGGCTGGAGTGCAGTGGCGCGATCTTGGCTAGCTGCAAGCTCCGCCTCCTGGGTTCACGTCATTCTCCTGCCTCACCCTCCCGAGTAGCTGGGACTACAGGCCCACAACGCCCGGCTAATTTTTCGCATTTTTAGTAGAGACGGGGGTTTCACTGTGTTAGCCAGGATGGTCTCGATCTCCTGACCTCGTGATCCACCCGCCTCGGCCTCCCAAAGTGCTGGGATTACAGGCGTGACCACCGCACCTGGCTGTTATCAGACCTTTTCTAATCACCAGGCTACACACTATTCTTACGCCAGCAGATGCATGTATCCTGACCCCTGGAGCAGCTAGCAGACCACTGTTCCAACATACATGACTTTCTCACTGGCTTCAACTCTTTAATGTTGCCATACTTACTTACCAAGAATGAGAATGTTAACAAATGACTTTTTAAATTTTTATTTTTATTTTTTTTGAGACAGGGTCTCGCTCTGTTGCCTAAGGTGGAGTGCAGTGGCTCTATCTGGTCTCACTCCAACCTCCACCTCCCAGGCTCAAACGATCTTCCCGCTTCAGCCTCTTGAATAGCTGGGACTACAGGCGCTCACTGCCACACCCAGTAATTTTTTGTAGAGATGGAGGTCTCACTATGTTGTCCAGACTGGTCTTGGACTCCTGAGCTCAAGTGATCCACCCGCCTCAGCCTCCTAAAGTGCTTGGATTACAGGCGTGAGCCATTGCGCACGGCCAACAAATGACTTTTTGAAACTAATTTCCCCCAGTGGTTAAGAAGAGAAGACTATACATTTCACGCCTGTAATCCCAGCACTTCGGGAGGCTGAGGTGGCTAGATCACATAAGGTCGGGAGTTCAAGACCAGCCTGGGCAACATGGTGAAACCTCGTCTCTACTAAAAATACAAAATTAGCTGGGCGTGGTGGCATGTGCATGTGGTCCCAGCTATTTGGGAGGCTGAGGCAGAAGAATCGCTTGAACCCGGGAGGTGGAGGTTGCAGTGAGCCGAGATCGTAACATTGCACTCCAGCCTGGGCAATAAGAGAGAAACTCCGTCTCAAAAAATAAATAAATAAATAAATAAATAAATAAAAAGAGAAATGTCTTATGTATGTTTCCAAGGTTTTTTTTTTTTTTTTAACCATTCCATGTAGTAAGTGGGGAGAAGACAGGGTTTAAAAAGATACCCAAGTAGCACTCACCCCCTTATTGGCAGCAATGCAGCATTCAGCCAGCCGTAGCCAGAGGCGAGGATTTGCATGATAAACCTGAACAGCTTCAATCAGACATTCGAAGGCAGCAAGAGGCCTTCCAATGTGAAGAAGCTGAATTCCACAGTTATACAGCAACTCATATCTCTTATTGGTTAGTAACGTACACATGGGTCTTCCTGAAAATTTTTTACCTAGTGATAAAAATTAGATAAGAATACATCATTAGATTTACAGTAATAGTAACCTTGAAAACATTTACTCCATTAAGTACTTAGACACTACCATGTTTAACACCAATAATCCTGATCTGAGTTTTAATAGCTCTCGCCAATGGTGGTCTCCATTCTCAACCCCACAAATATTCTCCAGAGTCATCTTAGTTGTCTATGCTAGCAGAGCCAGAGATGTCTCTTCTCATTTGCCAGCTCCTCAGGCAACAACGTTCCAGGAAGGCAAAGATAAGTGATGGGACCCGCTCTCACTCCTTTGCACCTTATACTACTTTTCTACATTTTTACTTTATTCTCTTTTATTTTTTATTTTTATTTTTGTAGAGATGGGGGGGTCTCACTATGTTGCCCAGGCTGGTCTTGAACTCCTGGACTCAAGTGATCCACCTTGGCCTCCCCTAAATGTTGGGATTACAGGCATGAGCCATCTTTCCTAGCCAACATTTTTAGAGTCTATATAAAGTTTCCACTTTTTAAAATTTTCAGCTGGGCACAGTGGCTCACGCCTGTAATCCCAGCACTTTGGGAGGCCAAGGCGGGCAGATCACGAAGTCAGGAGTTCAAAACCAGACTGGCCAAAATAGTGAAACCCCATCTCTACTAAAAATACAAAAATTAGCCGGGCATGGTGGCATGTGCCTGTAGTCCCAGCTACTCGGGAGGCTGAGGCAGGAAAATTGCTTGAACCTGGGACGTGGAGGA
The DNA here is from genome assembly GCF_000001405.40 of Homo sapiens. Taxonomy (NCBI): domain Eukaryota; kingdom Metazoa; phylum Chordata; class Mammalia; order Primates; family Hominidae; genus Homo; species Homo sapiens. Next base: position 32,726,926 of record NC_000003.12, on the reverse strand, counting down.
TGCAGTGAGCCAAGATCACGCCACTGCACTCCAGCTTGGGCAACAGGGTGAGACTTCGTCTCAGGAAAAAAAAAAAAAAAAAAAAAAAAATTCATCTTGGTTAACCATTTTATTGTCATGTGTTCATGACAATAAAACCTATTCAATGTTTCGGTCTACCTTGATTTATAATACATTTGCCATCAATTAAATAGGTTATTATTATTATTATTATTATTATTATTATTATTATGGACAGAGTCTCGCTCTGTCACCCAGGCTGGAGTGCAGTGGCATGATCTCGGCTCACGGCAAGCTCCGCCTCCTGGGTACACGCCATTATCCTGCTTCTGTCTCCCAAGTAGCTGGGGCTACAGGCGCCTGCCACCATGCTCGGCTAATTTTTTTTGTATTTTTAGTAGAGACAGGGTTTCACTGTGCTAGCCAGGATGGTCTCGATCTCCTGACCTCGTGATCTGCCCACCTCGGCCTCCCTAAGTGCTGGGATTACAGGCGTGAGCCACCGCCCCTGGCCTAAATAGGTTATTATTTTTAAAAGCTAAATAATTGTTTGATTTTAGGCATTTCAGATCAAGGATCCATATGATAATGAATATTAAAGGATAAATGTCAGGAATTTGCTTAAAGACCGTCAGATGCTGCCAGTAGTATCACATGTAAAACTCTGCAAAGAATCTATAACAAGCCGGGCACAGTGGCTTATGCTTGTAATTCCAGCACCTTGGAAGACTGAGGTGGGAGGATCACTTAAGCCAGGAGTTCCAGACCAGCCTGGGCAACATGGTGAAACCCTATCTTTACAAAAAACACAAAAATTAGCCAGGTACAGTGGCATGTGTCTGTAGTTCCAGCTACTCAGGAGGCTGAAGTGGGAGGGTCACTTGAGCCCAGGAGGCAGAAGTTGAAATGAGCTGAAATCACACCATTGCACTCCAGCCTGGGTGATAGAGCTAGACTCTGTCTCAAAACAAAACAAAACAAAACAAAACAAAACAAAACTATAATAAACCTAGTTTGGCACAGTCATGTTGTGACTAATCAAACATTCTGGTATATAACATTACCACAGGGAATTACTCATTTTCAAATCAATGAAAAATGGAATGCAACTTAAATTTCTGGATAATTCAAAATTACTCTTAACACCTTGTTATTGCTCTTCAAAGTAGCAATATCTACTAAAAATCCCCAGAGCCAAACTTGTTGGGTAAGATCAGAGTTAACTATATGTAAGTCTACATGGTGGGTATTTTAACCACATTCATGCTTTTTAAATCATGCTTTTCTGAAGTAGTAAATACAAACTGTCCCCCAGTACTGGGCTTACCTGGATCAGTGCTACCTGCACTGAGCTGTGCACAGACATTGTCATTCTCTTGCAGAGCCTTTTTAAAGTAGAATATTCCCAAATTGTGCTTGCTCATGGCAAAATGGATGCAACCAAGGTTATTCCAGAACATGCATCTCAAGCATTCACCTGAAAAAAATGCAAATAAATTTGTCCACAGAAAAATTTTAATGTTGATGTCCCTCAGACAAGAATTGGGCTCATCTTGCACGAGTTAACACTGTTACCATTCCACTTACTCCCTAAAGAACAGTTCACAAGGCATTTGAAATTTAGGAAATATCTGAAAAATTTTAAAACTCCTTTTAAAATCTCTTTTATTAAAGGTGATACAAATTATTTTAAAAAAACCAGTCCTATTTTGTTACTCTAATTTTGTGGATTTTTTTTTCCTTTTTTAAAACAATTTTTAAAATAGGGTCTCACTATATTGCCTACCCTGGTTTCGAACTCCTGGGCTCAAGCAACCCTTTCACCTTGGCTTCCCAAAGTTCTGGGATTACAGGCATGAGCCACCATGCCCAGCTAATTTTTAGTAACTGTAGACAAATGATACAAAAATGCAAAAGACAAAAAGTGTTTATCAGTAATATAATGTATATGCATTGCATCCACTAATGAAATATTATGTAGAAATTAGAAACAAGGAAGCAAGTATGCATGGAAACAACCAAAGCATATTAAGTGAATAGCAAGAATATATAGAAAAGAACAGAGTGAGGCTGGGTACGATGGCTCATGCCTGTAATCCCAGCACTTTGGGAGGCTGAGGCGGGTGGATCACTTGAGGTCAGGAGTTCGAGACTAGCCTGGCCAACATGGTGAAACCCCACCTCCACTAAAAACACAAAAATTAGCCAGGCATTGGGCTGGGCGCAGTGGCTCACGCCTGTAATCCCAGCACTTTGGGAGGCCGAGGTGGGCGGATCACGAGGTCAGGAGATGGAGACCATCCTCGCTAACATGGTGAAACCCCGTCTCTACTAAAAATACAAAAAATTAGCCGGGCGTGGTGGCGGGCGCGTGTAGTCCCAGCTACTCGGGAGGCTGAGGCAGGAGAATGGCGGGAACCCAGGAGGCAGAGCTTGCAGTAAGCCGAGATCGCACCACTGCACTCCAGCCTGAGTGACAGAGCAAGACTCCGTCTCAAAAAAAAAAAAAAAAAATTAGCCGGGCGTAGTGGAGGGCGCCTGTAATCCCAGTTACTCGGGAGGCTGAGGTAGGAGAATTGCTTGGCCCTAGAGGGCAGAGGTTGCAGTGAGCCGAGATCGCACCACTGCATTCCAGCCTGGGTGACAGAATGAGACTGTCTCAAAGAAAAAAAAAAAAAAAAAAGGAACAGAACAGAGTATGTCTATTAAACTGTAAGTCTCCACTGATTTTAATTCACACTTCTTTAAATACCACTGCAGCTAAGCATCTTTTCATGTTTGGGAATTTGTATTTTTCAGCCTGTGTTGCCTCTTGTCTTTCACCCGTATTAATTTTTTTCTTTCTCTGAGACAGGGTCTCATTCCATCGCCCAGCCTACAGTGCAGTGGCATAATTAGGGCTCACTGCAGCATCGACCTCCTGGGCTCAAGCAATCCTCATGCCTCAGCCTCCTGAGTAGCTGGGACTACAGGCACGGGCCACCATGCCCAGCTAATTTTTTAATTTTTTTGCAGAGACAGGGTCCCTGTGTTGCTCAGGCTGGTCGCAAACTCCTGGAATCAAGTGATCCTCCTGCCTCGACCTCCCAAAGTGCTGAGATTACAAGTGTGAGCACCGTTCCTGGCTGATCTATTGCTTTATTTGGTTACAGATGTTTTTTCTGTTGGTTACTAGTTGTTTTACATGTTATAGAAACCTTCTGTCACATCTGTTTCAAATATTCCTGCCCACCTCTGTTTGTCATTTGTTTCGTGACTTGGTTCAGTATGTGTATGTGTGTTTACATTTTGAATCATAAAATGTTTAACATTTTAATGTGATCAAATTTAGCCATGTTTTCTAAATTCTATGGTACTTAGATTTTGGAAAATGTTTACTCAAGCCTTCTCCATCACAAAATTAAAATATTCATCCAAGTTTTATCTTACTGCTTTTATTTATTTTTAAATGTTAATCCTTCATCTCTCTGAATTTTATTTTGGCGTAATGAAAGTAATCTAAGCTTTAATATTCTCTTTTCTTTTTTTTTTTTTTGAGACGGAGTCTCACTCTGTCGCCCAGGCTGGAGTGCAGTGGCGCAATTTCAGCTCACTGCAACCTCTGCCTCCCGGGTTCATGCCATTCTCCTGCTCAGCCTCCTGAGTAGCTGGGACTACAGGCGCCCGCCACCACACCTGGCTAATTTTTTGTATTTTTAGTAGAGACGGGGTTTCACCGTGTTAGTCAGGATGGTCTTTATCTCCTGGCCTTGTGATCTGCCCGCCTCAGCCTCCCAAAGTGCTGAGATTACAGGTGTGAGCCACCGTGCCCGGCCTTTAATATTGTTTTTCTAAATAGCTACCCAAACATTCCAAAACAATGGCCCTTAATGACATAAAATGCCTGACTAGAATGACAAAATTAATAATCAGGATATTTATTGTTTAGCACTTAAAATCTAAAGGTAATCTTCTGACATATTTTTAAATTAAGCAATGACAATATTTAAAAGAGGAAAACTAGACTGAGCTCGGTGGCTCACACCTACAATTCCAGCACTTTGGGATCCTAAGTAGCTGGGAATACAGGCGCATGCCATCACGCCTGGCTAATTTTTGTATTTTGTGTAGAGACGGGGTTTCTCCATGTTGGCCAGCCTGGTCTTGAACTCCTGACCTCAAGTGATCCGTCGGCCTCAGTCTCCCAATGTGCTGGGATTGATTATAGGTGTGAGCCACCACGCCTGGCCATCTTTATTTATTAATTTATTTTTAGAGACAAGGCCTTGTTCTGTTGCCCAGGCTGGAGTGCAGTGGCATGATCATGATTCACTGGAACCTCGAACTCCTGGTCCTCCTGCCTTGGCCTCCCAAAGCATTAGGATTACAGGCATGAGCCACCACTTCCAGCTCCTGCCTTCATTTTAAAGATTGACAATGTCAATACTGACACCTACATGAAGAAAATCCTAAGCAAAATTTTCTCAAAGTATATTATCTTTTTAGTTTGAGGGATCATTGCATGTTGTGTGTTAGTGGACCTCTGAGGAGAAACTATGACAATGAAAACAAAACACTAAAATTGAGCAGAATTAGAAATGGGTATTTAGAACAGAAATAATACCCACAAGAGAATTATAAGGAAAAAGTGCCTTTCTCCATCCTCCATCACTCCTGTGAACTGAAAGGGTAAATAGGGGAAGGTCTCAGTATGTTTGCATGTGTATTCTGTGCGTGTATCTGGGTAGAATCCAAAAAAAACAAGACAAAACATACCAAAATACATATTAATTGTTTGCATTTTAAACTTGAGGCAAAATATACATTTTCAATAGTTTATCCTCATTTCTCGAATAAGTGATTTTCCTTCTCCTGCCCCATCAAATACTGATGATATAAACCTAAATGACAGTCACAATTTTTACTTTCATATTATCATTAGTATCAAAGGATTTGTAAGACTTTTTAGTCTAAATAGAGGCAAGAATATGTAATAGGCCGGGCACGGTGGCTCACGCCTGTAATCCCAGCACTTTGGGAGGCCGAGGCGGGCGGATCACGAGGTCAGGAGATCGAGACCATCCTGGCTAACACGGTGAAACCCTGTCTCTACTAAAAAAAAAAATACAAAAAATTAGCCGGGCGCGGTGGCAGACGCCTGTAGTCTCAGCTACTCGGGAGGCTGAGGCAGGAGAATGTCGCGAACCCAGGAGGCAGAGCTTGCAGTGAGCCGAGATTGTGCCACTGCACTCCAGCCTGGGCGACGGAGGGAGACACTGGCTCAAAAAAAAAAAAAAAAAGAATATGTAATAATACTTATCTTCCTAGCATTATAGAAAGATTTTTGATCTAGGTAATGATCTAAAGAAGTCATATTAATTGGGCAAGTTACTGAAAAAAATTATATTATTAACTGGCTTTATGGCAGAAAAAAGTAAAAACATATTATTTACTTAAAAGGCCTCACTTTTCTGGTATAGATGGTAATTCACTAAAAAAAAAAAAAAAAAAAAAAAAAGATGAAAGAAAAATTAGGTCTCACTTCACAAAGCAAAAGTCCAAGGATCTTACAAAAACAAATGAAAGGGCCAGGTGCGGTGGCTCACACTTGTAATCCCAGCACTTTGAGATGCTGAGGTGGGCGGGTCACTTGAGGTCAGGAGTTCGATACAGCCTAGGCAACATGGAAACCTTGTCTCTACCAAAAAATACAAAAATTAGCTGAGCATGGTGGTGCGTGCCTGTAGTCCCAGCTACTCAGGAGGCTGAGGTGGGAGAATTGCTTGAACCCGGGAGGGAGGTGGAGGCTGTAGTGAGCCAAGATGGTGCCACTGCACTCCAGCTCAGGCAACAGAGCAAGACTCTGTCAAAAAAAAAAAAAAAAAAAGAAAGGAAAGAAAGGAAGGGAAGGAAGGGAAGGAAGGAAGAGAGGGAGGGAAGGGAACAGAAGGAAGGGAAGAGAAGGAAGGGAAGGAAAGGAGGGAAGGGAGGGAAGGGAAGGAAGGGAAGAAGGGAAGGAAGGAAGGAAGGAAGGAAGGAAGGAAGGAAGGAAGGAAAAGAAGGAAAAGAAAGAAGGAAGGAGGGAAGGGAGGAAGGGAGGAAGGGAGGAAGGGAGGGAGGGAGGGCAGGCAAGTCAGGTTAAAGAAAAAAGACAAGCTATCTGGGCCAGGCACAGTGGTGCATGCCTGTAATCCCAGCACTTTGGGAGACTGAGGTCAGCGGATCACTTGAGCCCAGGAGTTTGAGACCAGCTTGGGCAACATAATGAGACCTTGTTTCTACAATAAATAAGCCAGGCATGGTGGTGCATGCCTATAGTCCCAGCTACCTGGGAGGGTGAGGTGGGAGGATCGCTGGAGCCTAGGAGGTTGAGGCTGTAGTGAGCTGTGATTGTGGCACTGCACTCAGCAAGACCCTATTTCCAAAAAAATAAAATAAAATAAAATAAAAATAAAAAAGGTGGGGGAGGGGAGGAAAGCGATCCAACCTGGAAAAGTAAAAAAAAGAAAGAAAGCAAAGTGAAAGCAAGAAGTAATGAGGTTTCTTCTAAAGTAGAAACAAGAATTCCTGGAAATTTTTGCACCAGAAATATTAAAACATTTTCATTAAAAAATTAGCATAAATCACTCAAAAGACTGGGTGTTGGGAGGTGGACAAGCAAGAAGGGGTAGAAGAGCAAGGCAAAAAAAAGTTAAAATTTCACAATTTTCTTTTACCTGTTTTCATGAATCCTGGATGCTCAGCAATGTTTGAACTATTTAATAGCTTCACGGCTTTTCGATAATTACCTCTTAAGTACTCAAAATTGCTTTTAAGAAAGAGAGAGGGTGCGGACTGTAGAGAAAATATAAAAGTTACTTATAATTTGTTTTCAGACGCCTAATGTAAGATCTTAATTATACTGTTGTACTGACGTGTTCAAAACCATAAATGAATCAATTAAGTCAGTCACAAAAAATTATATAGTCTCTAAATTTTTCATTGCTCTCACAATCAAAAAAATTGAAACTTGTCAGAGAGCACTTTGTAAAAATAATTACTAAGGGTCCACCTGAAAAAATAAATATAGGTATATGTATAAGAATACAGTCTGTAGATTATCAACTGATTGTGTTCATCTACTACACTACTAACTGAAAACCAATTTGACAACACAATCTATGTCCTTCATTTTAATAGTTATTAGAGAGACTGGTGATCTTTCTTACTTTTTAGGATACAAATGCACCTTTCATTAGAACCTACAGAGATATAAATAATCAAATACTTTTCCAAATAGGAAAAAAAAAGTGCCATTCTACAAATAGAAGAATTTTCAACAGAATGCCTTATTTGCAAGCACTAATCTTGCTGTTCCAAAGATCACGTTTTGAATGGTAGATCACCTTTCACTTCTCCTAAGAATCCTCCTGGTGGAGGACCCTAGATAGTACTACCTGTTTAGAGTACGAAAGCATGCAGAGAGCTCTGGAGACTCAACATCCATCCAGGAGGACATCTGGAATCCTGATTGAGTGATTGATTGATTGAGACGGAGTCTTGCTCTGTCACCCAGGCTGGAGTACAGTGGCATGATCTCGGATCACTGCAACCTCCGCCTCCTAGGTTCAAACAATTCTCCTGCCTCAGCCTCCTGAGTAGCTGGGATTACAGGCATGCGCCACCATGCCAGGCAAATTTTTGTTTTTGTTTTTGTTTTTAGACGGAGTCTCGCTCCGTTGCCCAGGCTAGAGTGCAGTGGCGCGATCTCGGCTCACTGCAACCTCCGCCTCCCGGGTTCAAGCAATTCTCCTGCCTCAGCCTCCTCAGTGGCTGGGATTACAGGCGCATGCCACCACACCTGGCTAATTTTTGTATTTTTAGTAGAGATGGGGTTTCACCATGTTGGTCAGGCTGGTCTTGAACTCCTGACTTTGGGATCCGCCTGCCTCAGCCTCCCAAAGTGTGGGGATTACAGGCGTGAGCCACCATGCCCGACCTAATTTTTTTATTTTTAGTAGAGATGGGGCTTCCCCATGTTGGCAAGGTTGGTCTCAAACTCCTGACCTCAGGTGATCTGCCTGTCTCAGCCTTCCAAAGTGCTGCAATTACAGGCATGAGCCATCACGCCTGGCCTATTTATTCACTTAATTTAGCAACAGGCTTTCCTTCTAAATCCTAGTTTATCCTTTGCTCTGCCTCCCACCCACCCCAAAGTTCTGGTCACTAAAGAAACAAGGGCTTTCAGTGCTTATTCTTAGTGGTAGCTATTCCTCCTGAAGTTTTCGCCGATTTAGGATGACTATTAATTTTCAATTGTCTTTCCTCTATGACTGTGGTCTCCTTTAAGGCAGGAATTATGTCTTTTTTTTTTTTTTTTTTTTTGAGAATGAGTCTTGTTCTGTCGCCCAGGCTGGAGTGCAGTGGCGCGGTCTCGGCTCACAGCAAGATCCGCCTCCCGGGTTCACACCATTCTCCTGCCTCAGCCTCCCGAGTAGCTGGGACTACAGGCGCCCGCCACCACGCCCGGCTCATTTTTTGTATTTTTAGTAGAGATGGGGTTTCACTGTGTTAACCAGGATGGTCTCGATCTCCTGACCTCGTGATCCGCCCGCCTCAGCCTCCCAAAGTGCTGGGATTACAGGCGTGAGCCACCGCGCCTGGCTAGGAATTATGTCTTTTATCATTAAAAAAAAAAAAAAAAAAAAAAGTTTGATAATGGGTGGCTGGCTAACTGGGCCTTTCCCTCTTAGGCTCAGGTCTAGGCCACAATTGTTCTCAAAAATCACTAGCATATTAACTAACTCAGTGACTAATCTGGATCCTGCCTGAGATTTTTAACCATATTTTCTCATGACTTTATACTTCTAAATTTATAGTTTTTCTAGAAGCATCAAGATTGTTCACAATTCTGTTTCTTTCCTACACCATCTTAAAAATTATCAATGAAAGATTAGGGTGGAGGGAGTGGAAGGAAGAAGTAATTCTATCTCAGTTAAATCGAAGGTACTGTCAAGCCAAAAGTCACTTGGAAGGGGCAGGTTTTGGCTATAATTTGACTGTTAGATTTTTAATAAATTTTTTTTTATTTAAAAAATGTTTTTTGACAGGGTCTCACCCTGTTGCCCAGGCTAGCGTGAAATGACACGATCTCAGCTCACTGCAACTTCTGCTTCCCAGGTTCAAGTGATCCTCCCACTTTAGCCTCCCTAGTGGCTGGGACTACAGGCACACGCCACCACACCCGGCTTATTTTTGTATTTTTAGTAGAGACAGGGTCTCATCATGTTGACCAGGCTGGTCTTGAACTCCTGACCTCAGGTGATCCGCCCACCTTGGCCTCCTAAAGTGCTGGGATTACAGGTGAGTCACCACCTGGCCATAAATGTTTTGAGTATAATACTAAAAAATTCTAAAATAACCTAAATGTCTAATATTAGCAAAATGTTTAAGTGAGTTGTGATAAACCAGTCACAGAAAAATAGGCAGTTATTTAAAATGGTGGTTTTGAAGGTTACATAAAATAGAAAAGTGCTTGTTGTAATTTTAAGTAAAAAAAAAAAAATTAAACTATAGACACAGTATTATTACTACTTCCCAACTTTAAAATAGCAAGGTTCATATCTGGCAGTATATGTAAAAGACTAAGATAAATTATTTAAACCTGACAATACCCATAGTCTAAATAAGAAAGACACAAATTGAAAAACAAAAGTCCAGAAGAAACTTACATTTCCAGCTGTATTCATGACTGACTTGATTTCCCTTTTACATGCTTTCAGAGACTTCATTTGGATATAAGCTCGTACTTTGTACTGTCAAAGGGAAAATGTTAGTATGTTAAAACTATGGTGGATTTACATACAGTTTTACTTTCTAGTTAAGAAAACCCAATCTATTTACAACATAGTTACACTAATTACTTGCTAAATCAAGTTTACAATTTTAGAAAATATGCTATTTTCACTGTACTCTTCGAATATACTTCAAAATACTAAAATCACGGTAGAATAAAAACTTAGCCAGATGTGGTGGCTCACGCCTGTAATCCCAGTACTTTGGAGGCCGAGGCAGGTGGATCACCTGAGGTCAGGAGTTTGAGACCAGCCTGGCCAACATGATGAAACCCTGTCTCTACTAAAAATACAAAAAATTATCCGGGTGTGGTGATGCGCACTAGTAATCCCAGCTACTCAGGAAGGCTGAGGCAGGAGAATCGCTTGAAACTGGGAGGCAGAGGTTGCAGCGAGCCGAGATCGCACCATTGCACTGCAGCTTGGGTGACAGAGTGAGGCTCCGTCTCAAAAAACAAACAAAAAACTTAAATACTCAAGTTCCGGGCAAAAATCCTATCAATCCTCTTCTGCACATGGCTAACAATGACTTTTTAAAATTCCAGTTGATTTTATCATGCAGTACATTCCCGTGCCATTTCTCTCAAACTTTATTTATAGAGCAATTTAAATAAATTATATTATCCTCTTAAGAAAAATGTATTTAGGATAAATGTGCTTCTAAACTACAATACTTCAAAAGACAAACAAATATATGCACCTTGAATTATTGACTGCTTCCAATGATCTATCTCATTGCTTCATTTGTCATAACTACAATTAAATATATGTGATGTATTGCCCCCCTTTAAAATTTATACTACCTGATGTATCTTTGATTTTGCAGCTTCTATTAGAGCTCCACTTTCAGCTTTATGATTAGATCCATCTTTGTTGTTGTTATTACCAGTCTGTAGGGTGATGAAACAAAGTTTATCAAAATTAAATATTTTTGACCATAATTTAAATCAGTGATTTCCAAGTGAGCTAATCTAAATTACCTAGAGAGCATTTTCAAAATGTAGAATTTGTGGGAAATGGTGGTTCATGCCTGTAATCCCAGAACTTTGGAAGGCAGAGGCGGGCGGATCGCTTGAGCCCAGGAGTTCGAGACCAGCTTGAGTAACATGGCAAAATCGCATCTCTACAAAAAATACAAAAATTAGCTGGGCATGGTGGCCATGTACCTGTAGTCCCAGCTACTCAGGAAGCTGAGGTGGGAAGACTGCCTGAGCCCAGGAGATCAAGGCTGCAGTGAGGCGTGATTGTGCTACTACTATACTCCAGCCTGAGGTGGCAGAGCAAGACCCTGTCTTTAAAAAATGCAGAATCCCAGGTCCCACTCCTAGAGACTGAGGTTCAGTAGTCTAGAGTGGGTGACAGGAAGCTCTACTCATGAGAAGCTCACAGTCGAACGTAATAATGAGCTGGTTTTATTTATTTACAATTTTAATTTTTCATAGAGACGGGGGTCTCCACTGTGGCCAGCCTGGGCTTGTTTTAAAAAACATGAATATTACTTTAAGCAAAACTCAGAATATCTTTCTAAAACCCAGAACAGATCTACCCACTTCTTAAAACTTTCTCTGTTATGAACACTGCCAATCATATCAAATTTGAACTTTCTAGTATTCAAAGTTCTTCAAGCTATCACTCACACTCATATTGCCAACATCATCTCCCACTGCTCTCCTCTGCATTTCTCTGGTACTGTTCATTTCATTACCAGAAAGGTCTCCAGCACACCATTAAGCTCATACCTTTTGTGATATTCTCTGCCAGGCTGGTTATCCTGCTCTACCCCTCCTTGTCTGACTTGTCAAACTATTAACCATCTTCCAAGGCCCAAAACAAACATCCAAATTCCTTTGAAACATTCCCTAACCTCTTTCACCTCTTTCCTCCTTGTCCATGACCAGATGTTGCCCAATTTATCTCTTCCTAGACATGAGATCCTTGAAAGCAAGGACTGCAACGTTTTTGTTTTTGTCACCTTAGTACCTAGCAGAGTACCTTAGAACCGGGCAGAGCACATAAGCATCTGCTAAATTAAATTATATTTAATCAAATTTTACAAGTACTGAATATAAATATTTTACTACACAATGTTTCGGTATAATGCTAAGGTTATTCAACTGAAATCCCTTATGAATACACACTTAAATTGAAAAAAGTAATGCCAGATGTTTATTTTCTTTTTAAACATCAAGAATGTACACAGGCAAAAAGGTATTGGCAACGTTTCCTGCAAATACTCCTTTTAAAACAAAGGGACAGAAAACGGAAGTAAGAAGGGTCATCCCTTGATAACCAGAAGCACAAATAAAAGAAAAACATGAGACCCAGGATATACTCATACTGGGCACCAAGTCTCTCACCAGAACATGGTGAAGCTTAAACATCATAAATGTATGCTTTTTTATTTTTGAGTTTGAGTCTTGCTCTGTCTCCCAGGCTGGAGTGCAGTGGCGTAATCTTGGCTCACTGCAATCTCCGCCTCCCAGTTTCAAGTGATTCTCGTGCCTCAACCTCCTGAGTAGTTGGAATTACAGTTGTGTGCCACCATGCCCAGCTATTTTTTGTATTTTTAGTAAAGACACGGTTTCACCATGTTGGCCAGGCTGGTCTCTAACTCCTGACCTCAGGTGATCCACCCGCCTTGGACTCTCAAAGTGCTGGGATTACAGGTGTGAGCTACCACGCCCAGCCATGTATTTTTTTTTTTTTTTTGAAGAACTTTAATGATGAAATTTTCCCTAATGAAAGCAATAGTGTTTATCCAGGTTATGGATTCTATTGTCTTAATTCCAATCTTTCAATTCTATAAAAATAATAGCTCATATATGAAAAGATGCTCAATGTACATCCTTAGTCATTAGGAAAATAAAAATCAAAACTGTAACAAGATACCACTTCACACCCCCTAAGATAGCTAATTTTTTTTTAAAGATAGACAATAACAAGTGTTGGTAACAATGTGGAGAAATTACAACCTCACAAGTGGCCGGTGGGAATTTAAAATAGTGCAGCCACTTTGTAAAACAGTCTTGTATAGGGTTAAATATAGAGTTAAGATACCATATAACCCAGTGATTCTATTCCTAAATATTATATCCAATGTAACTGAAAACATATATCCACACAAAAATTTGTACATGAATGGTCACAGAAGCACTATATATAATAACCAAAAAGTAGAAAAGAACCCAAATGTCCACCAACTGATAAAGAATTTTTTAAAATGTGGCATATTCATATAATGAATGGAATATTATTCAGCCACAAAAGGCATGAAGTACATGAAACAAAAATAAGTATATGCTAAAATATGGATGAAGCTTGAAAGCATTACACTAAGTAAAAAAAGCCAGTGACAAATAGCCGCATATTATGATTCCATTCATATGTAATGTCCAGACAGTAAATTCAGAGACAGTAATTAGATTAACGGCTGCTTGGGGCTGAGGAAAGGGGGAAATGGGGAGTGACTGCAAATGGTACAGGGTTTCTTTTTGGGGTGATAAAAATATTTTGAAATTAGATAGTAGTAATGGTTGTACAAATGTGAGTACACTCAAAACCACTAAACTCTACACTTTAAAATGGTAAAGCTTATAATATGAAAATTGTATCTTTAAGCTGTTAATAGTTCATAACCACAAACATTAATCATATTTTAATTGCTTTCTTTTTAATCCAGTAAACCAACAAGTAGAGAGAATTAATCACATTTTAGATTTTAGTCTGATCACCTCTAAAGACTCACCTCATTCTTTCCATTTTTGTTATTGTTACCCTGTGAAATCATTTTTTCTAGGACAGCAAGAAGATGCAAAGCTTTCTCAGCTTGGTAGGTTAATATATACAGGTCTACAAGCAAAAAACACACTGCTTGGGCAAATTTTTCTTCTGGGAGAAAAAAAACACAGAAAAGAATAGTCACAACCTAAAGTAAAGCACACATTTCAGACCACCCTCCAAAAAAGTATACAAAGCTTTAAATAGCAAAGCATAAGTCTTTACTCAAATGAATGCCTATCACCTAGAGCCACGAATGAAAGCAACTTGCAATGCCAACAATGTCATTTTACTAGGCACTGCAAGGCCTCTCATTTCAGAAATTCCAGTGATTAAATCTTCCTTAGGAAAATATCTACTAAACACTAGCACATGTAATGAGGAATATTACTTTAGGCGGAAAGAAACCTGAATTCCAATAGAGGTTGTGCATTCCTAACCTGAAATGTTGAAATCTGAAATTTGTAATCCTCCAAAATCCAAAACTTTTTTTGTTTCTGAGATGGTATCTCACTGTGTTACCCAGGCTGGAGTGCAGTGTTGCAATCTTGGCTTACTGCAACCTCTGCCTACTAGGCTCAAGAGATCCTTTCACCTTAGCCTCCTGAGTAGCTGGGACCACAAACATGTGTCACCATGCCTGGCTAATTTTTTCATAGAAACAGGGTTTCACTATGTTGCCCAGGCTGGTCTCAAGCTCCTGAGCTCAAGTGATCCACCCACTTTGGCCTCACAAAGGATAGGATTACAGGTGTGAGCCACTGTGTCCAGCCTCAAAATCCAAAACTTGTTGAGCACCAATGATGCTCAAATAAAATGCTCATGGTAGCATTTTGGACCTCAGGGTAGGAATACTGAACCAGTAAGTATAATGCAAATATTCCAAAGTTAAAAAAAATCCCAAATCTGAAACACTTCTTGTCCCAAGCATTTTGGATAAGGGATACTCAATCTGCACCTATTCAGCCACTAACTAGGTATGTGTGGTCTCTGTACATCATTTAACTTTTCAGACCTCAGCTGGCTGACCTGTCAAATGAGGAGAATATTTTACCTGCCTGAAGGCAGAAGGGTGGACCAGGGGATCTTGTGAGGTTCCTTCTAACTAAAAAAGTCTATGACTCCATGAAATACATTGCTTTTCTAGGTCATGGAGATGGAAAAAAAAAAAAAACAAACAAACACCTGATTACAGAAGCAAAAGCAGCAAGGTATGGGCTGGAGTATATCAGAAAATTGAGACTGCCAAGAGACAAGACCTTCAAAAGAAAAAGAACCCAATGAAGAGAGGAAAGTTAACCTGGTGTGACATAAAACTATCTTTCCTTTCAAAAAAGAAGATAAAAGGAAAAATAAGGTCTAGAAGAGAAAATTTCAAAAGCCTTTAAAGAGTGGAATTCATTTAAAAAACTGAAATTAACACAGCTGGTGTGCAAAGGTCATATATCTCCAAGGGAATCTCACTGCACCTAAGACAGTAAGCCCTGCCCTAGGCTTTACCTCTTCTGCCCGTGGCTAATTCTGACTTTATTTCCTATTATCCTCCTTACCTAGCTCCAGTCACAATGATCTTGCTGCTATTGCTCTCACCAAACACAGCCTCTCACCTCAAGTCTTCTCCATATCCCATTACCTCCAGTGGGAATGCTTTCCCTCTAAACAGTAGCAAGGATAATGTCTTTTCTTTATTCAGGTCTCGTTTCAAATACCATCTCATCCCAGGCCTTGCTTGATTACCTTACTTAAAACATCCCCAGTCAATCTCTACATTCTCACTCAATTTTAGCTTTACTTCATAGCATTCAGTATACAGCCAGCCCCCTGTATCTGACCTGCACCCACAGATTCAACCAACCTCAGATTGAAAATGTTAGAAGAAAAAAAAAAGTTGTTGCATCTGCACTGAATATGTACAGACGTTTTCCCCATCATTGTTCCCTAAACAATATGGTATAAAAACATTTTCATAGCATTTACAGTGTATTAGGTATTATAAGTAATTTAGCGATTATTTAAAATGTACAGGAGGACATACACAGAGACTGTATGTAAATACTACACCATTTTATATAAGGGATTTAAGTATCAGCAGATTTTGGTATCTGAAGAGGGGTGTCCTAGAACCAATCTCCCTTGAATACCAAGGGATGGCTGTTTTTTTATTATGTTGCTTTCTCTCCTATTAGAATAGAAGCTTAACGGGGGTAAAGAGTTTCTGTATTTCATTCATTGCATTATCTCCAGACCCAGAACAGTGTCTGGCCCACAGTATTGGACCATGTGCTCAATTAGCATATGTTGTATGAAGAATCTGAGTACTGGCTAGGCATGGTGGTTCACACCTGTAATCCCAGCACATTGGGAAGCCAAGGTGCTGGGCTTGAGCCCAGGAGTTCAAGACCAGCCTAGGCAACATAGTGAAACCCAGTCTCTGCAAAACAATACAAAAATTAGCTGGGTGTGGTGGCGCGTGACTGTAATCCCAGCTATTGAAGAGGCTGGGGTGGGAGGATCGCTTGGGCCTGGCAGGTGGAGGTTGCAGTGAGTGGAGTTCACGCCACTGCACTCCAGCCTGGGCAACAGAAAGAGACCCCATCTCAAAAAGAAAAAAAGAAGAAAGAAGCTGAGTAGTTATGATTCCAAGTTTGACACTGTAGAAAAGGCAAAACTGTAGAGACAGTAAAAAGATCAGTGGTTATAGGTAGAAAGGGAATGAACAGGCACAACACAGAATTCTTAGGGCAGTGAAAAATACTCTGTATGATACTATAATGAATATATTTGTCCAAACACATAGAACATACAACACCAAGAGTGAACCCTAACGTAAACTATGAACTTTGGATGATTATGATGTATCAATGTAGGTTTATCAATTATAACAAATGCACCACACTGTTGAGGGATTGTGGTAATGAGGGAGGCTATGGATGTGTTGGGGCAGAGGACACACAGGAAATCTCTGTACAAGAGGAAACTTGGTTTTGCTGTAAATCTAAACCTTCTCTAAAAAAACAGTCTTTAAAAAAAATCCAAGCAGTAAAAGTTTAAAAAAAAAAAAGCCATAAAAGAAAAATGAATGTGAATACTGACTAGTTGATTACTATTAATATATTCTGTTCAGCCATAGTGCAGATTAACAGGATTTCATGAATTCAGGAAATTCTCTTTTTTTTTTTTTTTTTTTTTTGAGAGCAAGTTTTGCTCTTGTTGCTCAGGCTGGAATGCTGTGGTGCAATCTTGGCTCACTGCAACCTCGGCCTCTCGGGTTCAAGTGATCCTCCTGTCTCAGCCTTCCTGAGTAGCTGGGATTACAGGCATGTGCCACCACACCTGGCTAATTTTGTATTTTTAGTAGAGACGGGGTTTCCCCATGTTGATCAGGCTGGTCTCCAACTCCTGACCTCAGATGATCTGCTCACCTCAACCTCCCAAAGTGCTGGGATTACAGGCGTGAGCCACTGCGCTGGGCATATTTATATTTTAATAGCTGCCTTTAAAGGCAGTTTCTCCATATTGAAATTCTAAGAAGCATCAATAACAGTAACTTTACAGAAAAATGTGTACAGTCCTAAAAGTGTAACTCTGATTTCTAGCTATACAGAAGGACCTGGTCACTAATTACATAATCCCTTACCACTGGTGTCTCTCCCGCCCAGTCTGTCCAGCTACCAAGCTCTCAGGATTGAGGGAAAGAAGAGAAGCACCTCAGAATGGGTCTCTGGAGCCATAGTAATCAGCTGTTCAACCAGCTGTCAGCAAAAGGGGACTCTCTACCTCTTCCCAAAGAACCACAGAGCGCTATCATACCCCACCACTTGTCCTGTGGTAACCACATGAGCAATCAGGCGTTCCTGATAAATTAGGAATTCTCATTTGTGTTTTGAATGTAAAAGAAAGCAATTATGGAAAAAAAAGACAAAAATGTAACTCACAAATGGAATTTGACTGCTTGTGGGCTAGAAACCAACAGCCTTCTCTAACAACCATTTCCTGGGTCTAGCTTTCTCCTTTGCTCTTCTTTTTTCCTTTGCCCTTACTTTTCTTGCTACTCCTACTTGAGGTTAGTAAGCTAATTAAGATAGCAAAAAACTAACTCTGTTCTATACTTCCTACTCCATAATTACCACCAAAAATTTCAGTAAGGCAAAGGGCAAAAATGAAATACCTCACTGTCCCCTAACATTCCAAAATGCTACTTCCTTAATGTACTAAAGTAAGAAAGGATCAGGTACACTAAAATAGTGTTGAAACAGCAAAAACCCCACAAACATCACTAAGTGTTTTCAGCACTTTCCAACAGCATTTTTAACAGTTATCTTCAAAATTTGGGAAGGGACACTCAAAGAAAACCTGGATTACATTTTTATCTTTTCTAACCATTAAGCAAAGCTGATACGGCTTTTCTTTGAATACTGGCATGGACTTCTCGGATTTAGGTTATCTAGGTAAAAGTACCAGAGAATTCTGCAAGTATAGGGAAGATAGGGAAATTTTTGACTTGACAGATAACATACCAAAAGGCTCTATGAACTGATAAAGTTTTTCACCAACTGATATGGCTTCTGTATACTGCCGCAGATGATAAAGAATGACTGCTTGATTATAGTACAACATGCTGTTTTCAACATCATCTAATCCATCCATTTCTTCAACAGCTGAGTGGACCTATAAAGCAATCAACAGAGGTTATATTTTAACATTAAGGAAATAAAAAGCAAAAGTGAAAGAATTCATATGAATAAAAAGGAACATAGGCCAACATTCTTATTCTGAATTTTTCCATACTTTCAACAGTATCTTTAGATTTTAATTACTCTCACATACTAAAAATTATTTTCATTCTTCTGTGCCACACATAATAAAATTTTAGGTAAAATGTTTTCATGAGACTTTATTAAGTACCCAGCACATGGCTAGACAATTATCTTCCTTGTCACTGTGAAGCTATCTTCCCTGTTTCAATTGGTAACACCACTTCTGAGTAGGATTCCCATCTCCTAGTCTCACAACCTACAAGAGGCTACACCAGGCGTGCAACAAACTCAAAATGACCTTTCCCATAAAAATGTCACGTAGTATTCATAGTTTGATTTCATTTTGTAAAAACTAAGGTAAAATTTAAACATTAATAATAGCTGGCCGGGCGTGGCAGCTCATGCCTGTAATCCCAGCACTTTGGGAGGCCGAGACAGGCAGATCACTTGAGGTCAGGAGTTTGAGACCAGCTTAGCCAACATGGTGAACCCCGTCTCTACTAAAAATACAAAATACAAAAAAAAAATTTAGCTGGGTGTGGTCGCACGTGCCTGTAGTCCCAGCTACTCGGGAGGCTGAGGGAGGAAACTTGCTTAAATCCAAAAGGCAGAGGCTGCAGTGAGCCAAGATCACATCACTGCACTCTAGCCTGAACAACACAGCGAGACTCTGTATCAAACAAAACAAAAATAGTTAACTATTTACCATGTGCCAGACTTGCTATGTTAAAACTTTTACAGGTTAATCCTCACCATACCTCAAGGTCATAGATAATTTTTTTTTTTTTGAGATGGAGTCACCCAGGCTGGAGTGCAGTGGCACGAACTCAGCTCAGTGTAACCTCCACCTCCAGGGTTCAAGTGATTCTCCTGCCTTAGCCTCCTGAGTAGCTCGGACTACAGGCATGCACCACAACACCTGGCTAATTTTGTATTTTTAGTAGAGATGGGGTTTCACCATGTTGGCCAGGCTGGTCTTGAACTCCTGACCTCAGGCGATCTGCCCACCTCGGCCTCCCAAAGTGCTTGGATTACAGGCATGAGCCACCGCACCTGGCCGAGGACATAGATAATTTCATTTCCACTTTATACATAAGGAAACCAGCACAGAAAACTTAATTATCTTGCCCAAGGCCATAGGGCTAGAAAGTATATTTTCAGGTTTCGTTCCCGTAAAAAAGAATAGATTTTTTTAAAGTACTCAATAATAAAAATATATTATTGCACACATGATGGTTAGAAAAGGCTTTTATGGGCTTCACTAAAGGCTAACATCTGTAACTGACACAAAAGAAAAAAAAAAAAGCATGACACTTTGCATTCTCAAACTGTATACCCCCTTATGTAAGCTGTAGCAATGGGCTTTTAAATTTTAATCAAGCTTTACAACCATTGCACAATTCCATGTAACACATGAAACTGGAAGTCTACTTGTATTAAAACTAACCTTTGCCATTATGAAGATTGCAATAAATTATTGTTCAATATTAAGTAATTAACTCTAAGACCAACACTTCCATAGAACTCTGATATACAGTACATGGATTTAACAGCCTTGGTTTGACTAATGGCAAGGAACCTGAAGGTTCACTACACACAATGAATTGTAAATTTTGTAACTGGACTTCAGCAGACGTCAACCACCCACGTGGTTAAGCTTGACATGGTTCAAATGTTAGCAAGTGGTCCTAGCTGACCAACATGTGCATCTCAATGAGTTTGGGAACTTTTTATAATCTTCACTTATCAAGTCACTATCTTAAAGAGATTAAAAACAGTATCTTCAAACAGTGAAAACTCAATTTCCAAAGGCAACTCTTTCTGTAGTTATGTAATGGAGAGAGACTGAGTTAAGAAGAGTTTAGCCAGAAAAGCTTTTAGATAAACTATGGCGTTTTGGATTCAGCAATGGTTGAATAATTATCACACAAATAACTTTGCCACATATTCTATGACTCACCAAAATAGTCTAGTAACTGCTCCAGCCAAAAGAAAAACTACTCATTAAGTGAAATTAGACGTTTGCTAATTAAAATGGAATAGGTTGAAAAGGTGTGTCACTGTGCCCGATGTGACTGCGAACAGAAGTATGATTTAAAGAAGTCAGTAACCACAAGTACAAACACTTCTAGGAAACTCAAGAGTTGGAAGGCCCTAACAAACCTTATAAACAATAAAAGCTAGTGAAAGAACTTCACAAAGTTTTTTTGGCCTAACTGGAAGTTTGCAGGAATTGCTTATTCAAAAAAAGTTTAAAGGCTGAACTTATTCTCAAAAACCAAACAAATTTGTCTTGGAAGAAACTGTCTATGGGGTCATAGGGTGCATGTACTAGATTATCAGTAAGCATCATCTTTCTTTTGATTCTGGAACACTAGATAAAATCATCAGTAATAATACTGGAGTAATGAGGAAACGTGAGGACATACAAATTTATGAAGACTGAGACAGGTAGGAGAACAGGCTCAAGAGTCAGAAGGCCTGGTTTAAATCTGTTCTTCCCCTTCCTAGTTGTGTAAATTTAAATTAGACTTCCTAAATTCTGGTTTTAAAACTGAGATAATAAGCACCTACTGCCTCAAGAGTTGAATGTGAGGATTATATGAGATAAGGCATAAAAGGCACTTAATACAGAATTTGGCACCCAGTATGCATTCAATAAATGGTAGCTATTATTCTCATTTTTGAATTTTAATGGGGTTTAAAAATTACTTTATGCCTATAAAGGATTACAGAGAGCCTGAAGGGACAACTTGCTTCTCTACCTGTGTCACACTTTAGGGTGATACTATAGAGTATCATGGTACTCATGATTACAGGAAAGGTCTCATGACTCCCTAACAGCATGAAGCAGTAACTAAAATTACAGGCTATAGAGTTAAATACAACTGAGTTCATGTAGCTCTTACTACTCAAAAACTTTGTGTTTTTGGACAATTTACACAGCTATCTGTGCCTTGGCTTTTCCACTTTTAAAATAAGAAAAATTATATAGCTATTTCATAGGGCTACTGAGAAGAACAAGCTGAGAAGTTGCATACAAGCGCTTGGCAGAGCCCTGTCACACAGTGAACACTTAACATATGCTAGCTGATCCTATCAGCACCATCACTGTTATCAGCCCTCTTGAACACCAAAAGTCTAGCCCCAGGATTCAAGAAACATTGCCATTATCACCAGACCAATCCCCAATTCAAGCCCCAAGCCAGATACAAAGCAGAATATCTTCTATTTAATCAATCATCTCCTGATCCAAATGCTAAAACGACTTGACATTAGGATTAATCATATTTTTTTCATTATAAACAAGATATATCTCCACAGCTAAGCTTCTTCATATAGTTCTTTCTCAAAACTCCAAAGCTCATTCAAATTTGGTATATTAGTCTATTCTGTTCAAGTTCATTAAAACCCCAATTAAAAAAAATGATCCCACAACATACCTTTTATCTCCTGGAATAATAATTTTACGGAAATAAAATTAATGCTAACAAATGTTTCTGACAAGAAATACCAGACAAATCACATTTATTTTCCTTAACTATTTGTGTTTCATAAATTAAAGAACAGAACAATATTTTTTATAGTTAAATTCATTTATGTATCACCTGATTCTTCAGCTGGTTAAGTGTTTGTCTCAAATTATCTGTTGTTGTTTGGTTACTTTTAAAAAACTCAGCTACTGCTGTATTCAAAATTATTTTATAATCATCTTTGTTTATATCTTGTAGACAGGCAAGGTGTTGTAGACAGGCATCATAATTTCCAGACTAAAAAAAAAAAACCACACACACACACACAAAATTACATACCAGCTTTAAATACAGTATATCATTCCAAATATATTTCATTCATCTTTATCTTAAAAGTTCTTAAAAAGAAAGATGTAGTTTCCCTACATATACTAATCAAAGTCACTAAAGCAACATTCATGTCAGTTAAACTGTGGATATTTACTTCCTAAGACTCAAAACCCTGACATTGACACATATAAGACACATATATTGATATGATAAATATACTGGCATATACATATAGTGCTAGCAGGGTATTAATGGCTGAGGCTAGTCAAGAAAGGTAATATAATCACTCCAAATTTTATTTTCTAGTAAATATATTTTAAATACCCAAGCATCAAGTTCTTCTGCTTACATGCACGTAACCTGATAACCAAATAAGGTTTTCTTTCATATTGTTTAATGCCAGAAAAAGTTAAAATTCTGCCAATAAAGTTTTGGGGTTCCATTTTAAAGTACCTTCAAGAAAATAATTTTTGAATCTGATATTTTCAGAAATAAATAAATAAAAGAATTGAACAGCTTAGTGAAATGAAAAGACTGACCCACATACTTACAAATCTAAATTTAAAAGACTTAAAAACAACAGTATATGAGTTAAAACATGTTTACAAAAACTTGGGAATGGCTCCAATTATTCCCATTCCTTTCACCATATTTAAACTCTAAAACATTTATTTTAAAAATTAAACCTACTTATCTCTAAATTAACTTTTGAATTATTACAGAGTAAAAATTGTAAATTTAAAAATTCACTATGAAAAGATTCATACTTGACAGAACCCTACAACTTGAGCAGACTAAGAGAAGCCATTTCTTACTGTGAAAGCTTGGAAAGCATTGGTGGATAACTCCTTCTCTTGATCAGTGATCCCAGAGGACTGACCTGTGCCTTCATGTTTCTCTGCTCCCTGATCTGCAAACACACAAATTTTACAGTTCTTTAGAAATAAAAGTTGTACAGTGGTCCCTCCTTATCCAGTTTCACTTTCTGCAGTTTCAGTTACCCAAGGTCAAGTATGAAAATATCAGATGGAAAATTCCAGAAATAAGCAGTTCTTAAGTTTTAAACAGCAATGTTCTGAGTAACATGATGAAATCTCTTGCCATCCTGCAGTGTCCCGCTCTGTCCCATCCAGGAAGTCAATCATTCCTTTGTCTAGCATTCCATGTTGTATAAGATACCTCCCCCTTGGACACACAGTAGCCATCTTGGTTATCAGATCAATAGGTCACAGGAAGAAAGGTGAGTAGGGTACAGTAAGATATTTTGAGAAAGAGAAACCACATTCAGATAACTGTTATTTTATTACTGTTGTTGTTAATCTCTTACTGTGCCTCATTTATAAACTTTATCATAGTTATGTACGTATTAAAAAAAGCAGTACATAGGTTCAGTACTATCTGTGGTTTCAAGTATCCACCGGAGGACCCTGAATGTATCTTCTGAGGAAAAGGTGGGGGACTACTGTATAGTGAATTTGTCCCTAGTTTTCATCTTGTGTTCTTCCTAATAAAGTGGCCAAAGTTAGGGCTCTCTCAACAATAACTGATTAATGTTGCCAGGCACGGTGGCTCACGCCTGTAATCCCAGCACTTTGGGAGGCCAAGGCGGGCACATCACAAGGTCAGGAGATCGAGACCATCCTGGCTAACACGGTGAAACCCCGTCACTACTAAAAATACAAAAAAAAAAAAAAAAAAATTAGCTTGGCGTGGTGGCGGGCGCCTGTAGTCCCAGCTACTTGGGAGACTGAGGCGGGAGAATGGCGTGAACCTGGGAGGTGGAGCTTGCAGTGAGCCAAGATAATGCCACTGCACTCCAGCCGGGGCGACAGAGTAGGACTCCGTCTCAAAAAAAAAAAAACAACAAAAAACAATGACTGATTAATGTTATAAGCTAATAAGAAGCTACTCCTCTGAAAGCTTGAAAAGGTTCCTATGGCCAAGTTGAAACACAATGAAAACCTGCCCACTTAAATAAAGACCACAAGCCCTGTAGATGAGGACATTCAAGCTGAGAATATTGTGCTCTTTAAAAAATATTAGATCTGCCACCCAGCAATATACAGTCCCACATATTCAAGCAACTATGGCAGGTGCTGGAGATATAAACACACCTACGATGGCTTTAAGAGATTTATAATTTAGTTGGAAAGTAGTAACAATCAGAAAACTACACTGATAAGGGCTTACAGCTAATTTCCAGGCAAGGAATATTTTCATAGGCTCAGAAATCCAAAATATTAACACATTTAAAAAGTTTCTTTAATATGTTAAGTGTCCATATAAATTCACAGTAAAGGTTAATAATCTGTTTAGCTGGGAAAACTACCTCCTACCTCTATAATTTGCTATTTTAAATATTAGATGTTTTGCTTTTTGTTTTAATTTGAAAATAGAATTCCAAAATAAAGGTAAAAATCTCAGCTGAACCAAACCTAAACTACTCAGAGCAAAAGTGTGTTAAGTACTCTAACAAATGCTTCAATACTTTTTATAGTTCTCTCAAGAGTCACTGTTGGCTGGGCGTGATGGCTCATGCCTATAATCCCAGCTACTTGGGAGGCTGAGGCACGAGAATTGCTTGAACCTGGGAGGCAGAGGTTGCAGTGAGCTGAGATCACGCCACTTCACTCCAGCCTGGGCGACAGAGTGAGACTGTCTTGAGAAAAAAAAAAAAAAAGGCCAGGTGTGGTGGCTCACGCCCGTAATCCCAGCATTTTGGGAGGCCAAGGCGGGTGGATCACGAGGTCAGGAGATCGAGGCCATACTGGCTAACATGGAGAAACCCCATCTCTACTAAAAATAAAAAATAAAAAAATTAGCTGGGCGTGGTGGCGGGCACCTGTAGTCCCAGCTACTCAGGAGGCTGAGGCAGGAGAATGGCGTGAACCCGGGAGGCAGAACTTGCAGTGAGCCGAGATTGCACCACTGCACTCTAGCCTGAGCAACAGAGTGAGACTCTGTCAAAAAACAAACAAACAAAAACAACTATCAGAGACTGGGCAATTTATAAAGAAATGAGGTTTAATTGGCTTATGGTTCCACAGGCTGTACAGAAAGCACATATAGGGAGTTCTCAGGAAACTTACAATCATGGCAGAAGGCAAAGAGGAAGCAAGCAGATCTTCACATGGTCAGCAGAAGAGAGAGCAAAGGGGGAGGTGCTACACACTTTTAAATAACGACATCTAGTGAGAACTCACTCACTATCACCAGTACAGCAAGGGGGAAATCCACCCCCATGATCCAGTCACCTCCCACCAGGTCCCTCCCCTAACATTGGGGATTTACAATTCAACATGAGATTTGGTTGGGGACACAGAGCTACACGATATCATTAGGTCATTGTTTTTTGGTTTTTTATTTTTTCAAAAGAGTCTAAGCCAATTAGAATTAATTAAATAGAATTAGAATGTCCTACATTCTGAATTTTTCTGGTTATTTCCTCAATATTACATGCAGTTTAACATTTCTGGCAAGAATACTATATATAGGTAATGTAAATATTAGTCATTTTTATTTTTATTTTTATTTTACTTATTTATTTAGATGGAGTCTTGCTCTGTCACCCAGGTTGGACTGCAGTGGCACAATCTTGGCTCAGCCTCCCAAGTAGCTGGGACTACAGGCACCTGCCGCCACACCTGGCTAATTTTTTTATTTTTAGTAGAGACGGGGTTTTGCCATGTTGGTCAGGCTGGTCTCAAACTTCTGACCTCCCAGGTGACTGCTGGCCTCAGCCTCCCAAAGTGCTAGGATTACAGGTGTGAGCCACTGCGCTTGGCTTAGTCATTTTTAATGTTAAGTTTTCTTTTCTGCAAAAATTTGCCATTTGTTTTTAAAAGATGCCTTTTATATTTTACTATCTCCCAAAGAATATTCTGTTTCTTGGTTCTACTCACCAGCAAAAGCTCCATGCACCACTAATGGAAATATCATTAAAAGGAAATGTGACCACTGTATAAATGTGATGTCATGGGCTGCAAACATAGGTAGGTGATGGCAATGTCACTGTGTATGACTTTAAAGAATTTCAAAGTCTCACAATATTTGAATTTCTTATTTATACAGGAATTTTTTTCATACAGAATTGTTGCTTCAGACTGAAACTCAAAGACCTCCAAAGCTTGAACCTATCCGCAAAATGGGGATAAGAAAACCCTTTTTCAAGTTATTGTAAGGCTTTAGTAAGAATATATGTGAAGCAATTGGCATGTACCTGGCAGAGTAAACCCCTGATATGTAGCACAATAGTGCAGATTCTATCATTTTCAACATACAGACGGGAGGCAGGTTGCACAGTGACGTACAGACAATTTTTAGAATTGAAATAAGACTAAAACTTTAATGTCACTTCTGAAATTAAACAGATGCTACAAAGTGGAACTGGGGCAAGTTTCAGCTTCCCTATTTACTAAAATGAGAGTCTGTATTAAATAGTTTTTAGCATCCCTTCCAACTCAGATTCAGTAACTCCAAACATGCTTCTATAAAGAAACTGAGGCCGGGCGCAGTGGCTCACGCCTGTAATCCCAGCACTTTGGGAGGCCGAGGCAGGCGGATCACCTGAGGTCAGGAGTTCAAGACCAGCCTGGACAACATGGTAAAACCCCATCTCTACTAAAAACACAAAAATTAGCCGGGCATGGTGGTGCATGCCTGCAGTCTCAGCTACTTGGGAGGCTGGAGCAGAAGAATCACTTGAACCTGGGAGGCAGAGGTTGCAGTGAGCCGAGATCATGCCACTGCACTCCAGCCTGGGTGACAGAGCAAGACTTCATCTCAAAAAAAAAAAAAAAAAAGAAACTGATATGTTTGTTCCTAAAGCAGCACTCATATCCAATTAAGGTTTCTATGGAAGACAAATACCCACATGAGAAATAGTAGACCACCTTGTCCCCAAGTTTACCCCTCAAGAGTGCCTACAACCAACTTTCCAGAAAGTTGTCAAGAATCACACTGGTTATGGGGTTCTTTTGCTTACTGGCTCCTTTCCATTCTTCCCTCTCCTTCTATAGATCTGCCAACATGGACTCAAGTTGGGGCTAGAGCTAGTGGAATGCTCCCCCAGTATGGTGCCCTAGAGTTGCATCTGTCATAGTAGCCTCCACTTTCGCACCTCATCCATCACAAGCCCCCTTCCAGGATACTGGGAAGTGTGACTCCCTCTATAATGGCTTCCAGGAGTTGCCTAGATAAACAAACTCCCTTATCTTCAAGAACCCTGCCACAGTCCTTCACAGTGTTCCTCAAACACCAGAAACTTGCTGAAAGAAGAGTAAATATGAATGGCTTAATAACGTGAAATGAAATTCAGCCTCATTATTTATTAAATAATTGTAAATTAAAACGATAATACTAAATGTCTAGAAATAAATATTCTTCAAGAGATTTGATAACTAAATCATGGTATAGGAATACAATGGCACATTAACAGTTATTAAGTCTATATAACTTGATGTGGAAAAATATTTACAACATGTTGTTAAATAAAAGAAACAGATTGCAAACTGCTTTGTACAACTGAATCCCATGTTTTATAAAAATATATACACAAATATGTACCTCTGAATAAGTATAAAGTCTACAAGGATACACAGCAAACTATTCACCAAACTGTATGTGCACTTATGATCTGGGCACTTTTTGATAACTGCCTAGACAACAGGAGCATCTCAAAGAACCAGTTGTTGGCCAGGTGTGGTGGCTCACACCTGTAGTTCCAGCATTTTGGGAGGCCAACGCGGGTGGATCACTTGAGCCCAGGAGTTCAAGACCAGTCTGGGCAGCATGGTGAAACCCCGTCTCTACAAAAAATACAAAAATTAGCTGGGCATGGTGGCATGCATCTGTAGTCCCAGCTACAAGCGAGGCGAAGGTGGGAGGATTGCTTGAACACAGGAGGTGGAGTGTGCAGTGAGCTGAGATTGTGCCAAAGCACTCCAGCCTGGGCAGCAGAGTAAGACCCCATCTTAATAAACTAAAAATAAAAGAACCAGTTGTCAACAGAACTAACTTTGGGAAGTCCTAGCCTGGCACATGTCAGCAGTCAGTGAAGATTCCCAACTTCCCTTTTCCAAGAAGGCAATATGACATAATTAAAAGAGCACAAGTCTTAGAATCAGTCACATCTTCAGTCCAGTCGTCCTTTGGCCTGTTTTTAATTAGAGATGCTAAATAAATATAGCTCCCTTCCCCACTTTCCTTTCACCAGAACTAAAAATTCTTGTACTTATATTTTTAAAAATATATTTATGTCTGTAATTTAAACATAAAAATTAACAGTAAAATTCAATTTCATGTGACTTGACTATGAAACAGCTCTTTAGATCACTACGAAACCCCCAGAAGACTGAACACCCTTTTGAGAGTCACCACTTATAACAACGTAATACTGTATAACTTGTACTTAAAAAAACTCATCTAAGAACTTATCTGCTGTATAAAAAAGGCATTCCAGTATTTGGGCTTATTAAAAAGTGTTACTTGTGATAATTAAAGTTAGCAGGTCAAGTAGTTATTTTATTTCCACTTTAGCATACGACAGGGAGGAGGAAAAGCTAAGAGTTAAGTGAATAAAGTTTGCCAGTTTCAAAGGACAATGTTAAACAGTTTTTTCTTTGGAAAGCCAATAACAATGAGTTTCACTGCAAGAACATACTGTTTATCCAATACATGTGTTTTGCAGAACTGTCAGGTGCACAAAAGAGGTAAGGACCAATTATTTTAAAACGTGTAAAAATGTGACACAGGACTTTAGGACCTCAGAAGGCAAGTTATAAGTTTAGATTGAAACAGGATCCTCAATCCACATATTGTCACCATAAAACTTTAACAAAGAATATAAATATCTTTCATGTTTCTTTTATTATTAAAGATTTTATAAAACCTAACATTTTAAAAAATGTGTCTTCTCTCATAAAGAAGCATAATTTAAACCAAATGCCAAAAATTCTTAGTTTGCTATTGAGTTTTCTCTAAAGCTTCTTCTAAAATATGCCCCTTGGCTGGGCAGTGGCTCACACCTGTAATCCCAGCAGTTTGGCAGGCCAAGGAAGGAGGACTGCTTGAGCCTAGGAGTTCCAGACCAGCCTGGGAAACAAAACAAGACCCTGTCTCTATTTTAAAAAATTGTTTTAATTAGCCAGGCATAGTGGCATGTGCCTGTAGTCCCAGCTACTTGGGGAGGTGAGGTGGGATAATCGTTGAAGCCTGGGAGGTTGAGGCTGCAGTGAGCCGTGACCATGCCACTGCACTCCAGCCTGGGTGACAGAGTGAAACCCTGTCTCAAAAATAATAATAATAAAAGATATGAATAAAATAAATAAGTAAAATATGCCCTAGATTAGATGACATTCTTTAATGGGACTTTTGGGACCAACTGTAAGAGCACCTTAGAAATACAGGGCAAAGGGGAAAACCCAACAACTCACCCAGGTGTTGAAAATTTTGAGCTTCTATTCTCCACTAAAAGTAGAGTAGTTCATGTGGCCACTGCTGTTAGCAACCCCAGAAAATGGAAGTATCAGGCTGGACATGGTGGCTCACGCCTATAATCTCAGCACTTTGGGAGGCCAAGGTGGGCAGATCACCTGAGGTCAGCAGTTCCAGACCAGCCTGGCCAACATGGTGAAACCCGTTTCTACTAAAAATACAAAAATTAGCTGGGCGTGGTGGCATATGCCTACAATCTCAGCTACTTGGGAGGCTGTGGCAGGAGAATCACTGGAACCCGGAAGGCAGAGGCTGCAGTGAGCCGAGATCACGCCACTGCACTCCAGTCTGGGTGACAGAGCGAGACTCCATCTCAAAAAAAAAAAAGAAAAGAAAAAGAAAATGTAAGTCTCCTAAAATTCTCCAGAAAAGGAGAGAAGCCAATTTAAGATAAATATATAAGCTGGGCTGGACACACTGGCTCACGCCTGTAATCCCAGCACTTCGGGAGGCTGAGGAGGGTGGATCTTGAGCTCAGGACAACATGGTGAAAACCCATCTCTACCAAAAACACAAAACTTAGCCAGGTGTGGTGGCACATGCCCGTAGTCCTGCTACTTGGGAGGCTGAGGAGGGAGGATCACTTGAACCCAGGAAGTGGAGGCTGCAGTGAGCTGAGATTGTGCCACTGCACTCCAGCTTGGGTGACAGTGAGACCTCATCTCAAAATAAATAAATAATAAATAAATAAATAGATAAGCTGGACTCTAAGGCTGACAAGAGCCTCTGAAATTCCCATTTCTACACACATTTCACAGAACTGAGCTCAATAAATAACCTTTTACATGTTAACGAACCATTATTTTACCTACCTTCTTTAACTTCAGGATGAAAATTTTCTGTTTTTAAAAAAACACACTTCACTACTCAGGAGGCTTAGGTGGGAAGATTGCTTGAGCCCAGTATATGACTACCAGCCTGAGCAATCAGTGAGACCCCATTTCTTCTTCTTCTTCTTTTTTTTTTTTGAGACGGAGTCTCACTCTGTTGCCCAGGCTGGAGTGCAGAGGCACAATCCCAGCTCACCGCAACCTCTGCTTCCCAGGTTCAAGTGATTCTCCTGCCTCAGCCTCCTGAGTAGCTGGGATTATAGGTGCCCGCCACCATGCTCAGCTAATTTTTGTATTTTTAGTAGAGGCAGGGTTTTACCATGTCAGCCAGGTTGGTCTTGAACTCCTGATCTCAAGTGATCCGCCTGCCTCGGCCTCCCAAAGTGCTGGGATTACCAGCATGAGTCACCACGCCCGGCCAAGACCCCATTTCAAATACACACACACACACACACACACACACACACACACACACACACACACACTCTCTTCAACAGGATTATTTTTATTTTCCTTGTGTATTTGTACATTTCTCGAGTTTTCTGCCAGAAATGGGTATTCATTTTTGTAATCAGTTTTTTTAATGTTTTAAAAACATTTATTATTTATAACTACTGACTTCTTACCAGACAGAGTCTGCACATAATCCCACAGCATTTCTTTATTTGCCCAAAAGTAGTCTCCGTTGCCAATTGAAAGAGTATACGACCGTTCACCCATAAGCTTGACTTTCCTTCTACTCTGGCCTAATGAACATGGCTGACCTTCTATGCGTACAGAGCTCTTTGACCCACAAACCTTGACAGTCTTTACACCAATAGACTTCATTTCTAAATAAACAATTGCCTTTAGGTTTGAACTAAGCAGAAAAGAAATGCACCACGTTTTCAAAACTGAAAATCATCAGTTAACTGAAAGCACAGACACATTCCAATACAGAATGTTAATCATTCAAATCTGATTGGTGGAGACTACAAGCTACACTCATCAAAATACAGCTCCACTGATATATCAAGAAAAGAAAACTTTTCCAAAGAAAAAAGGGATGTTAAAAGACCTAAGGAAATCAACAATCACAGTCACAAAATACCAATGATGCCCTTGTGAAGGAAAGTTTTAAATCTTAAGAAGGATGCCACTTCGAAGAAAAACAATTCAGGCCCACTAATGTCACTATACAGCTAGGTTAACATACCTCACATATGATTTCTATCATCTGAACAAGTATACTTGACTTACCAAAACCTCAAATGGTTTATTCACTAAACCATATTCCCTCCACTGGACAAGAGGAGCTGGAGAAATGGGAAAGCACACACTTCGCAGCCCAAAGAATAAGCCATTTGTAACAAGCAATGTTACAGAATTGAGCATCCTGCCCAGTAGTGTAGAAATAAAGGAACAGAAATTCAAATCAATAATATCAGCATGGCCAGCACGGTGGCTCAGGCTTGTAATCCCAGCACTTTGGGAGGCCAGGGCAGGAGGATCACCTGGGGTCAGGAGTTTGAGACCAGCCTGGCCAACATGGTGAAATCCCATCTCTACTAAAAATATAAAAGTTAGGCTGGGCGCGGTGACTCACACCTATAATCTCAGCTCTTTGGGAGGCCAAGGCAGGCAGATCACGAGGTGGGGAGTTTGAGAGCATTCCGACCAACATGGTGAAACCCCCATCTCTACTAAAAATACAAAAATTAGCTGGGCGTGGTGGTGCGCACCTATAATCCCAGCTACTCAGGAGGCTGAGGCGGGAGAATCACTTGAACCCAGGAAGCAGAGATTGCAGTGACCCGAGATCATGCCACTGCACTCCAGCCTAGGCAACAGAGCAAGACTGCCTCAAAAAACAAACAAACAAACAAAAAACTGAAAGAAGAAAAAACAATATCAGCATGCTTTAAGGAAGCTAGGCAAAGCAGAATATTGCCACTGCTGATGAGTATTTTGTTTTCACATCTAAGAGGAGGAGTTTTTATGCATAGAAAAGACTGAGATTTACTCTAGTTTTAAAATATTAATACTTAATTTATTAAAGTTACAAATTCAAAAAGCCTAGATTTTACTCAAATTTTTACACCGAACTTAGACAACTTATTCTACTTGGAGGTCTAATTTTAAAGGCCTGTGATGAATGTCTAAACTCATTTCAAAGTTCACCTTCAACATAACATCTTCAAACATAAAATGTTAACTACTTAAAAAATTTTACCAAGACTACACTTTCAGGGATCATTTCTACAGTTTGTTACTGGAGAAGTTTCTCTGAAAGTGTAGAGTACCAAACACTTTTTTTAAATTAAAAAAAAAAAAAATTTATCAAGTGAGAACTATTGCAACCCCCCCACCAAACCCCAACAATATATTCAATTTTAAGTATAATTGCTAGACTTAAAAAGACAAAATTTTTGTATTTTAACATGTGTCAAGAAAAAAAAATTTCCTGAGAATAACTTACATACCTAAAAAATTAAACTTATAGTGACTCTTAGGTACTCTCTAATGTCCACAAAATAAAATAACTGCAATAAGGTTTCAATTTAAATTCACAAGTATAAATCAATATTCAGTCAATTATACATTTTAAATTGAAATCATAAGACTAATATAAGTGCCGGGCATGGTGGCTCACACCTGTAATCCCAGCACTTTGGGAGGTCAAGGTGGGAGGATGGCTTGAGCTCAAGAGTTCAAGACTAGCCTGGGCAACATGACGAAACCTCATCTCTACAAAAAATACAAAAGTTAGCCAGGCGTGGTGGCGCATGCCTATAGTCCCAGCTACTTGGGAGGCTGAGGTGGGAGGATCGCTTGAGCCTGGGAAGTCAAGGATGCAGTGAGCAGTGTTCATGCCACTGCACTCCAGCCTGGGTGACAGAGTGAGACCCTGTCTGGAAAAAAAAAAAAAAAGACCAATATATTACTCTAAATTCTAATATTAAAAACACTTACTCACGCCTGTAATCCCAGCAATTTGGGCAGTCAAGGCAGGAGGCTTGCTTGAGTCCAGGAGTTTGAGACCAGCCCGGGATACATGGCAAAACCCTGTCTCTACAGAAAAACAGAAAAACTGGCCAGGTGTGGTGGCATGTACTTGTAGTCCCAGCTACTTGGGAGGTTGGGGTGGGAGGATCACTTGAATCCGGGAGGTCGAGGCTGCGGTGAGCCAAGATCATGCCCCTGTACTCCAGCCTGGGCAACAGAGTGAAAGCCTGCCTCAAAAAAATTAATTAAATTTAAAAAAGAAAAAAAACCACTTTAAATATCAAACATAGGTCACTACCACATCAACTCCTTGTTCTGAAAACTGGTAATTGAAAATAATGAATTAAGCTTTTAGCATTTAACATGGCTTTCTGGGAAGACTAACAGTCAATATGGGAAAGCTATTCTTTTTTGTTGTTGTTTCTGAGACAGGGTCTCACTTTGTAGCCCAGGCTAGAGTGCGGTGCTGTGATCACGGCTCACTGTAGCTTCGACTTCCTGGGCTCCAGTGACCTCCTACCTCAGCCTCCCAAGTAGCTGGGACTACAGGCACGCAGCAGCACACCAACTAAGTTTTTTCAATCTTTTCGTAGAGACAGGCTCTCATGTTGCCCAGGCTGCTCTTGAACTCCTGGGCTCAAGCGATCTGCCTACCTTGGCCTCCCAAAGTGCTGGGATTACAGGCATGAGTCACTGTACCCAGCCCAGGAGAGCTACTCTTTAAAGAAGAATATTCACTAACAAAGGTAGAAACTACAATAGAACTAGGTAAAAATCATTTTGTAACCCTCAATAATACAACTGATTGAGGAAAGAATCAACAACAGTGGATATTTACGAAATGCCAATTACTCCATAAATTACCTCTAACTGAAAATGGAAAAAGATGTTCCTGTCAGCACCTCAAATTGATCAAATTTAGCATCACTAATACTGGATAACCTGACATTATGTACTTTATACAGAAAATAAAGTATATAACATCACCTACAAAGTTTCTCAAAAATATGTTGAACCTATATCTAATCAAGCCTGTAGAAATAAGTTAGAGTTTAAGAAAATACAGGAGATAAAGCTGGGTGCAGTGGCTTACACCTGTAATCCCAGCACTTTGAGAGACCAAGCTGGGAGGATTCCTTCAGCCCAAGAGTTTGAGACCAGCCTGGGCAATATATTGGGACCCTGTGCCTACAAATAAATTTTTAAAATATAGCCATAGCTGGGACTACAGGCACATGCCACCACACCCAGCTAACTTTCTGTATTTTTTGTAGAGACAGGGTTTTACCATGGTGCCCAGGCTGGACTTGAACTCCTAGGTTCAAGCAATCCACCCACCTCGGCCTCCCAAAGTGCTAGGATTTATAGGTATGAACCACCATGCCTGGCGGGAAATTGGCTTTTTTTTTTTTTTTTTGGTGACAGGGTCTCACTCAGTCACCCAGGTTGGAGTGCAGTGGTGTTTATCTTGGCTCACTGCAACCTCTGCCTCCCAGGCTCAAATGATCCTCCCACCTCACCCTCCCTTGTAGGTGGGACTACAGGCATGCGCCACCACTAATTTTTTACATTTTTGGTAGAGACAGGGTTTCACCATGTTACCTACGCTGGTCTCTAACTCCTGAACTCAACTGATCCTCCCACCTCAGACTCCCAAAGTGCTGGGATTACAGGCGTGAGGCGCCATGCCTGGCTGGCAGGAAATTTTTAATATATTAAAACATGAATTGTCTAAACTATGACAATGGCATCATGGTTACATAGGTGAATGTCCCTATTTTTAAGAAACGCATGTTGAAATATTTAGAGATGAAGTGTTATGATGTTTATAACCTATTTTGAAATGATTCAACATTAAAAGTCATAGCTAGAGCCAGGTGTGTTGGCTCACATCGGCACTTTGGGAGGCCGAGGCGGGCAGATCACTTAAGCTCAGGAGTTCAAGACCAGCCGGGCCAACATGGTCAAACCACGTCTCTACTAAAAATACAAAAGTTAGCTGGGCATGGCCAGGCACAGTGGCTCACGTCTGTTAATCCCAGCACTTTGGGAGGTCGAGGTGGGTGGATCATGAGGTCAGAAGATCGAGACCATCCTGGCTAACACAGTGAAACCCCGTCTCTACTAAAAATACAAAAAATTAGCCAGGCATGGTGGCACACACCTGTAGTCCCAGCTACACAGGAGGCTGAGGCAGGAGAATCACTTGAACCCAGGAGACAGAGGTTGCACTGAGCCGAGATTGCACCACTGCACTCCAGCCTGGGCAACAGAGTGAGATTCCATCTCAAAAAAAAAAAAAAAAAAAAGCTGGCTGTGGTAGCGTGTGCCTGCAAGCCCAGCTACTCGGGAGGCTGAGGCAAGAGAATCGCTTGAACTCGGGAGATGGAGGTTGCAATGAGCAAAGATCGTACCACTGCAGTCCAGCCTGGGCAACAGAGTGAGACTCCATCTCAAAAAAAAAAAAAAAAGTCATAGCTAGTGATAGAGGAAGCAAATATGGTAAAATATAACAATTGCTGAATGAACTAGGGGGTAGATATATAGATATTCATTTTATTTTTTAAATTTTTTAGGTGTTTGAAATCATTCATAATAAAAAGTTGAAAAAATACCAAATAAGTCTGGGCGCGGTGGCTCATGCCTGTAATCCCAGCACTTTGGGAGGCCGAGGCGGGCGGATCATGAGGTCAGGAGTTAGAGACCAGCCTGGCCAACATGGTGAAACCCCTTCTCTACTAAAAATACAAAAAAACTAGCCGGGCATGGTGGCATGCACCTGTAGTCCTAGCCACTTGGGAGGCTGAGGCAGGAGAATGGTGTGAACCCGGGAGGCGGAGCTTGCAGTGAGC
This sequence comes from Homo sapiens, assembly GCF_000001405.40. Lineage (NCBI taxonomy): Eukaryota > Metazoa > Chordata > Mammalia > Primates > Hominidae > Homo > Homo sapiens. Next base: position 32,690,616 of record NC_000003.12, on the reverse strand, counting down.
CAAGATCGCACCACTGCACTCCAGCCTGGGCAACAGAGCGAGACTCTGTCTCAAAAAAAAAAAAATTATCTGGATACAGTAGTACACACCCGTAGTCCTAACTACTCAAGAGGCTAAGGCAAGAGGATTGCTTAAGCCCAGGAGTTCATGGCTGCAGTGAGCTATGATGGTGCCACTGCACACCAACATGGGTGAAAGAGTGAGACCCTGTCTCAAAACAAAACAAAACAAAAAAACCAAAAAACTCAGAGCCTGAGATTATATCATTTAACCTGTTACCATACCTGTGAGGTAGATACTTTCATCGTTCTCATTCTACACGCAGGAAAGCTGAAGCTTAAAAAAAAGACTTCTTGAAATTTGCCCAATTTCCCACAAATACCAAGTAGTACAGCTAGGATGAACCTAAACTATCTGATTTCAAAGCCCCTACTCTTATCATTCCTTACCTGGATCAGTTAAATATAAATCAGATCACACCATCATGCCCTTATTGAAAACTTCCACTCTCTTCCCATTAGTTAAAATGAATTCAAACTCCCTCCATGGCCTGTAACGCCCAACATACACCAACTCCTGATACAACTGTGACTTTATCTCTTGCCATGCTGCCTTTGCTCCCTATGCTATAAATTATGTGTATTGGCTTTTTTGTTTTCTGTTTGAGACAGGGTCGCACTGTCACCCAGGCTACAGTACAGTGGCACAATTATAGCTCACTGCAACCTTCAACTCCTGGGCTCAAGCCATCCTCTCATCTCAGACTCTGGAGTAGCTAGGACTTCAGGGTCACGCCACCATGCCTAGCTAATTTTTTTTTATTTTTTACGGAGACAAGTCTGGCTATGTCGCCTAGGCTGGTCTTGAACTCCTGGCCTCAAGCGATTCTCCCACCTCAGCCTCCCACAGGTGTGAGCATCTATGCCCAGCCTTAAATTATGTGTTGAGTGTCTCTTGTCAGATATTGTTCTAGGGACTAGAGCTAGAACACAACTAACACAGACAAAAGTCTCTATCTTCGGGGAGCTTGTATTCAAGGGGTCTGCTTGATGTTCTTTAGACATTTTCCAAGCAAGGGTTCTGTACATTTGCATATTTGTTGCTCCTCTTACCTGGATCATTCTTCCCAACACAGCTGGCTCTTTATCCTTAGGGTTTCTGTCTAAATGTCAACTCTAAGAAAGCCCTTCTCTAATCTATCTGAAAAACAAGGCTTTCAGTCATCCTCTATTCTTTTTTTTCTTTTTCTTTTTTTTTTTTTTTGAGATGGTGTTTTGCTCTTGTTGCCCAGGCTGGAGGGCAATGGCACGATCTTGGCTCACTGCAACCTCTGCCACCTGGGTTCAAGTGATTCTCTTGCTTCAGCCTCCCGAGTAGCTGGGAATACAGGCGTCTGCCACCACGACCAGCTAATTTTTGTATTTTTAGTCAAGACAGGGTTTCAACATGTTGGCCAGCCTGGTCTCAAACTCCTGTCCTCAGGTGATCCACTCACCTCGGCCTCCCAAAGTCCTGGGATTACAGGTGGGAGCCACAGGCACCCGCCAGCAGGCCCTGCTAATTTTTTTGTATTTTTAGTAGAGACGGGGTATCACTGTGTTAGCCAGGATGGTCTCGATCTCTTGACCTCGTGATCTGCCACCTCGGCCTCCCAAAGTGCTGGGATTACAGGCGTGAGCCACCACGTCCGGCCTTTTATTTTATTTTTTTGAGAGAGGGTCTCATCCTGTTGCCTGGACAGTGGCGTGATCAAAGCTCACTGCAGCCTTGAACTCCTAGGTACAAGCAATCCTCCCACCTCAGCCTCCCTAGGAGCTGAGACTATAGGCACACACCATGATATCTGGCTTTTTATTTTTTAGAGTCAGGGTTTCACTTATGCTGCCCAGGCTGGTCTCAAACTCCTGGCCTCAGGCAATCCTCCCACTTCAGCCACCCAAAGTGCTAGGATTACAGGTGTGAGCAACTGCAGACAGCCTCTCTTACTCATTTTTTTCTTCTGAGTATTATTTTTTTTTTTGAGATGGAATCTCACTCTGTCACCCAGCCTGGAGTGCAGTGGTGCGATCTCGGGTTGCTGCAACCTCTGCCTCCCAGGTTCAAGCAATTCTCCTGCCTCAGCCTCCCAGCTAGCTGGGATTACAGGTGTGCGCCAGCATGCCTGGCTAATTTTTGTATTTTTAGTAGATGGGGTTTCACCATGTTGGTCAGGCTGGTTTTGAACTCCTGACCTCAGGTGATCCACCCCCCTCAGCCTCCCAAAATGCTGGGATTACAGGTGTGAGCCACTGCACTTGGCCTTCTTCAGAGTATCTATCACAACTTGAAATCATCTTATTTTTCATTTTATTTACATGCTTATCTGTCCTTCATAGTAAATAAGCTCCAGAACAGAGACTTTGTTTTGTTCCTGCCCAGTTCCTAAAGTAGTACCTGGCAAAACAGGCCATTGGTGAATATTTACTGAATAAATTAATATCACAACATTAACTCATCTTAGGTGGTCTCTAGGCTTCCTGTCTTACTTCATTTAAATCCACCACCTACAACAGTCAGTGTGATCAGATCACTCACCTTAAGTCCTTTCATGACCCTTTTTTCTTACCTGATGAAGAACACACACACAAGACCCTCCGTGACAAATATCCTGACCTCGTGAGCTCAGAGAGGAAGCAGCATGTAAGATAGACTGAATGAATAGTGTTCACCAGACGGAGAAGAGAAAGGACACTACGGCTCAAAAGCTCAAAAAACACAATGCTTTGCAACAGTAATTTATGATGTGAAGAGCTGGGTGGGTTGATACAGAAATCCAGCTGGAAATAGATTTTGAAGATGCTCACAAACCACATTAGAGTGAGGACGGCAGGGCGCGGTGGCTCACGCCTGTAATCCCAGCACTTTGGGAGGGCGAGGCAGGCGGATCACAAGGTCAGGAAATGGAGACCATCCTGGCTAACATGGTGAAACCCTGTCTCTACTAAAAAATACAAAAAAATTAGCAGGGCGTGGTGGCGGGCGCCTGTAGTCCCAGCTACTCGGGTGGCTGAGGCAGGAGAATGGCGTGAACCCGGGAGGCGGAGCTTGCAATGAGCCGATATCGCACCACTGCACTCCAGCCTGGGTGACAGAGCGAGACTCCGTCTCAAAAAAAAAAAAAAAAACAAAAAAAAAAAACCGTGAGGACTTAAAAGGAGAAAGAAAATACAATAAAAATTAAATAAAAAGAATGATGACTTGATGCCCAAAGCATGTACAGTCTTAGAAACTTTATAGGAAGGGGAATGACAGGATTCAATGAATGTCTTAGGACATAAAAAAAGCGGGGGGCGACAGTGAGGAAAATGGATGGGATAGGAAGAGACAAGAGACAAACACCAGTGAGAAGACTACTCAATGCGACATAGATCATATTAAAAGATAAAGGCCAGAAACACAGCAGATGAGATGGAGATGAGCAGAGATTCAAAGGAGCTACACTAAACACTCATCTATTTTATTCAAATTTAACCTTATATCAAAGCAGGAAGTTTCCTTCAATATGGCCTATAAACTTAAACCAATGAAAAAAACAGTCCCCTAATCACTGTGGACCTTATTCTTCAACTACACACATTACACAGCTCTTACCAAACAGGAGTGCAGCTAGGATATGCCTGTCTCCTCCAACAGACTGAACAGCAGGTCTTCAAAGGCAGGGAGTGTGTCATATCCATTATTCAACACTCAATCTTTGCGAATGAATAAATGAACAAGTAGAAGGCTTTATGACTGAGGATTTGAAAACTGGATGGGCTTTAGGTCTAAAAGGGTGATTTCGGGCAAGCGCAATGGTATGAGCAAGTAGGAATGGTAAATGTGGGGAACACAGACACTATTCTAAAATAAGGAGGAAGATGTTGGTCCCCTGGTCCAGCCTTGGACAGGCCATGCCGTTTTCCTGTCTAATAGTCTCTCCCTCATCCACCTTTCCTCATTTCTTATGGCTCATTCCCTCACTTCTTACATATCTCTGCTCAAATATCATCTCACCAGAGGCCTTCCCTGAACAACCTATCCAAAATTTCACAGCACATTCCTTATACCCTCTCAAGGCCTTTGTTCTGTTGTTTTTCTTCTTAGATTATTGAAGAGATCCTCTAATGATTTTTATTCCTCTGTACCTAAAATAGAATTGGCTTAATTTCCAAGTGAAGTTCATTTGTCAGTTATTGTGACCAGAACCTACTAAAATCCACAGCACACTGAGTTTTTCTTTAATTTTAAATTAAATTCACTGTAAAAATTTTAAGTTCCATCACTTTTAAATCCTGTCACTTAAGTTCTTTCCAATAAAACCTGGATGCCACAAAGAATATGAATTTCTTGCGGGAAACATTCCGGACAAGGTCAGGAAATAATTTTATATTCCTTAATGTGGAAGATTCTAGGAATGGGAGCAATAATCCATAAAGAAAACCATTGAGATTAAGTAATTTCGAGGAACTAGAGCAATTAAGTACCAAATGCAAGATTTTAGGAGCACAGACTGTAGAGAGACAATAGGATTTTATGCCTTTTTAAATAAGTGGTTTACTTTGAGAGGCCAAGGCGGAAGGATCGCTTGGGCCCAGAAGTTCGAGATCAGCCTGGGCACCATAGCGAGACCCCCGCCCGTCTCTATCAAGAAAAAAAAAAGTGGTTTTTACAAAGTTAATTTCACAGGAGTCAATGACCAGAGGAAGCCACATGTGGTCAAAACAGCCCAGGTGAATCCCAGCCTCAGCCACGCGATATTATAGGCAGATGTGTGCTCCAGGGTGACTTTCTCTTGTCTGCTTTTCCCACGAAGAAGCGGAAAATTCTGCGAAGCGGCAAAATACATTTAAGCTTTTTGGGCCGGAGTTATTCTGAAGAGCAGGGCAAAGGCGGCCAGTGGCGACTTCAAATACTGCACTTGAGTAAAACAACTATTGGACCCGGGGCCCGAAGACTCATGTTAGCGACAGCCGAGACAGAGGATGGGGTAAAGAAATGCACGCCCAAATTCAAGTCGCCCTGGAGTCCCCACCCCGGGCCCCGCCGCCTCCGAGTTCAGGGTCCGCCCGGCCCCGCACGTCCCGCCGTCTCGTCGCTCGGGACATTGGCGCCCTACCTGCAGGCTTGTCTGCAGCCATCTTCCCGCTTCGACTCGGGTTCTTCCCTGCAGGTGGCGTGGCCCTGACTCCCGCCGCCGGGCTGGCCGCTGTCCTGGACCTCCGAGGACAACTCTGTGCCTACCCCGGCTCCGGGCCCCCAGGTTCCGGCTAGAGGAGTGGGCAGACGGCGGGCTGAGGAAGTGACGAGAGCTAGTTCCCGTCGTCTAGCAACAGCAACAGCTTCCCCACCAAGGGACCGCCACAGCCTCCCGCCATACACAGCTTCCGCCTCACGGCGTCCCGGTACCCACTACTTCCGGGGGCGGCAGCCTGCCGCGCCTGGAGCGCCGGCGTGGGAACTGCTACTGGCCCCGCCCCACGCCGACGTCCCCTCCGCGCCCCGCCTCCGGCCGGACGTACTCTGGCTGGAACCTCTGGATGTTCACAGGGCTGACGCGGTGGGACGTACGCGCGTCTGTCCTTTGCTTACTCTAATTAAAACACCGAGGTGTCAGAGCTTTTGTCCCTCAATGTTACATAATATTACAATAACCACATCTGACATTTATGTGCTAAGCACTGAGCCCTGCACTTGGTCTGTACTATCTCATTGATTTCTTGCAACCCCATGAGAGAGGCGCTGTTGAGGATTCCCGTTTAAAAAGAAACGCCTTTTATTTTAGAATAGTTGTAGTTGTGCAGAAAAGTTGCAAAGATGACACCTAGAGTTCCTGTCTCCTCACCTAGTTTCTCCTATTGTGAACATCTTAATTATTTTACTATGTTACGTTGATCACATCTAAGAAACCAGTTTGATTGGCGCACTATTACTCACTAAACTACACATTTTATTCACATTTACCAGCTTTCTTTCAATGTCCTTTTTTTGTTGTTGTTCCAGGATCCTGTCCAGGACACCATATTGCATTTATTCATTATGTCGTCTTAGGCTATTTTTGGCTGTGGCAGTTTCTCAGATTCTTCTTGTTTTTGATGACCTTGACAGTTTTGAAGAGTTACTCCTCAGATATTTGGTGGAATGTGCCTCAATTTGGGTTTGGCCAATATTTTTCTCATGGTTAGACTGGGGTTTTGGGTGTTTAGGAGGAAGACCACAAGGTGACTGGCTGTTCTCATCACATAGAATCAAGGGTACATGCTGTCAAAATGACATCACTGATCATGTTAACCTTGATTACCTCTCTAAGGTAGTGCTTGCCAGTTTTCTCTACTGTGCAATTACTCCTCCTACCCTTCCACACTACTTTGGAACCAAGTCAATAAATGCAACCCACACTCAAGGTGGGAAGGCGGGGTATTTAAGCTCTACCTCCTGCAGTGGGGAGTATGTACATAAATTATCTTCCCCAAGGGAAGTTTGCCTCTTCTCCCTCACTTAGCTATTTATATCAGTATGGACTCATGGATGTTTATCTTATAATGGTTACATTCCAATACTACATTATTTTGTTGCTAAAATTGTCCCAGCTTTGTTAATTGGGAGATTTTTCAGGTTTGTACCTGTTTTTTTCTTTTTTTTTAACTTTTGTTTTAAACTTTCTTTTAAAAAAGTATTTGTTTTTGGCCGGGCGTGGTGGCTCACACCTGCAATCCCAGCACTTTGGGAGGCCAAGGCAAGTGGATCACTTGAGGTCAGGAGTTTGTGACCAGCCTGGCCAACATGGTGAAACCCCGTCTCTACTAAAAATACAAAAATTAGCTGGGCGTGGTGGTGTGCACCTGTAATCCCAGCTACTTGGGAGGCTCAGGCAGGAGAATCCCTTGAATCCGGGAGGCGGAGATTGCAGTGAGCCAAGATTGCCCCACTGCACTCCAGCCTGGGCAACAGAGTGAGACTCTGTCTCAAAAAAAAAAAAAAGTATTTGTTTTTTCTTAAACTTTTTAATTCAGGCTAACATACACAAAGAAAAGTGCATGAATCATAAGTACAGTGTATTGACTTTTCATCAACTCAACACATACATATAACTAGCACCCAGAGAAAGGGCAGAGCTTTACCCATATCTGGGAGTTCCCCTCATGCCTCTTCCCATCTCTCCACAAAGATAATCATTATGCTGACATTTAACACTATGGATTAGCTTCACCTGCTTTTAAACTTAATGTATATACATTATACAATATATTTTTTAGGGTCTAGCTTCTTTTGCTCGATAGTATGAGATTCATTGACATTGTTGAATGAAGTTGTATTTGTTTCTCATTGTTATATATTATAATGTTACATTATGTGAATATTCCTTAATTTATGTATTCATTTTATTGTTGGGCATTTGGATATTTTATCTATTTTGAATAGGGCCAATATGATTACTCTAGTATGACTTTTGATGAATATGTGCCCACCATAAAAAGGCATACCTGGCTGGGCAAAGGCATACCTGGCCGGGCACGGTGGCTAATGCCTGTAATCCCAGCACTTTGGGAGGCCGAGGCAGGCAGATTACCTGAGATCAGGAGTTTGAGATCAGCCTGGCCAACATGGTGAAACCCCGTCTCTACTAAAAAAAAATACAAAAATTAGCCGGGCGTTGTGGCGGGTGCCTGTAATCCCAGCTACTTGGCAGGCTGAGGCAGGAGAATTGTTTGAACCCGGGAGGCAGAGGTTGCAGTGAGCCGAGGTCGTGCCATTGCACTGCAGCCTGGCCAACAAGAGCAAAAGTCTATCTCAAAAATAAATAAATAAATAAATAAAATAAAGAATAAAAAATAATAAAAAGGCACACCTGAAGTGTAGTAGGGAGCCTCTTAATGAAAAGGAATTAGGAGGAATCTCTTATAGAATTTGGGCTTATTCTAGAGGGATTGGGAAAGTAGGAGGCCAAATTTGAATTGGATGCTGTCAGGAAACAAGCAATTCAGTCTTGGTTTTATCTAAACAGAAGGAGGAACAAAGCAAGCTAGAGCTGTCATTGGTTAAAAAAAAAGCGGGATCATTTACATTAGAAGAAGGGGGTGTTTTCCCATTTGTGTGGTTGTTGAGGGCCTTGTTTCTGTCTTGTCCAAAACACGATCATGGTGAAACTGTCTATGAACATTGTTCATATTCTGTGAGTGCTGTTTATGTCCAGTTGGGAACATTCTACTAACAGAACTGTTTTTTTTTTTTTAATTTTCTTAGTCCCCTTTTCACTTTCTCACATGTGGTCACATCTATGTTGGTTCTTGTCCCCCATTTCATAGATAGGGAAACTGAGGCACAGATGTTAATCCACTTTCCCAAGCCACAAGACTGGTAAATGGCTATTATCTTAACCACTACATTCTAGATTCTAGGATTTGCTATTATATTGAAGATATTTGGGCTCTCTTCCCTCTACTTTCCGTATCAGCAGCTCTCCCTTTTTTCACAATCAGGCTGACATCAATGATGGATAACTAATTCAGGAGTGGGGAGGTGGAAAAGCTCAGTAGGATTTTGCTCCGTCATAAACTACGGTGAGTCACTTTACCTCCAGCTAATAATGATACCACTATCCATTCACAGTACTTTAGACTGTATGTGGTTTGTTTGTTTGTGTCTGTGTTTTGAGACAGGTTTCACTCTGTTACCCAGGCTGCAGTGCAGTGGTATAATCATGGCTCACTCCAGCCTCTAACTCCCAGTTTCAGGTGATTCTCCCACCTTAGCCTCCCAAGTAGCTGGGACTACAGGTGCACGCCACCACACCTGACTAATTTTTTATATTTTTGTTATTTTTATTTTTATTATTATTTATTTATTTATTTATTTATTTTGAGATGGAATTTCTCTCTTGTCAACCAGGCTAGAGTGCAGTGATGCGATCTTGGCTCACTGCAACCTCCACCTCCCGGGTTCAAGCAATCTTCCTGCCTCAGCCTCCCAAGTAGCTGGGATTACAGGCGCAAGCCACCGTGCTTGGCTAATTTTTCTTTTTTTAGTTCACCACATTGGCCAGGCTGGTCTCGAACTCCTGACATCAGGTGAACCACCCGCCTCAGCCTCTCAAAGCGCTGGGATTACAGGCGTGAGCCACCTCGCCTGGCCTAATTTTTTGTATTTTTGGTAGAGACCGGGTTTTGCCATTTTTCCCAGGCTGTTCTCAAACTCCTGGACTCAAGGGATACACCCACCTCGGCCTCCCAAAATGTTGGGATTATAGGTGTTAGCCACAGTGCCTGGCCTATATGTGATTCTTACTGCTTGTGGAAGACTGCCTCCAGAGAATCATACAATATGTGACCTTTTACATCTAGCTTCTTGGTTGACAACTCTTACCATCCCAATACGCACATGCTGCTCCTCCCATCCATCAGGAGGTGGAGTCGAACCCAATGTATAGCATGGTGACTATAGTTAATAATAATGTATTGTAAGGTTGGGTGTGGTGATTCACACCTGTAATCTCAGCACTTTGGGAAGCTGATGCAGGTGGATCACTTGAGCCTAGGTGTTTGAGACCAGCCTGGGAAACATAGCGAAACCCTGTCTCTACAAAAAATACAAAAATTTGCCAGGTGTGGTGGCAGGCACCTGTCGTCCCAGCTACTCAGGAGGCTGAGGTGGGAGGATTGCTTGAGCCTAGGAGTTGGAGGTTGCACTCCAGCCTGGACAACAAAGCAATATCCTGTCTCAATAATAATAATAATCATGTATTGTATATGTGGAGTCTTCAAAAAGTTCATGGAAAATATGTATTATGAAAAAACTATGCATGAATTTCAAACTCTTTTTGCACCAAAATAAATTCATACTAACTTATTATAACATGTCAAAATAGGATCCAGTTTGAGGCACTAAGAAAGATAAGACATCAGTTTGAAAAGAGCCCCTTTCAGAGCAATATGAATTCTGCTAAAATTGAAGCAAGAACAAACACCACATTTCTGGTAAAGCTTGGATGGAAGAATGGTGAAATAATTTATCCTTTATAAAAGGTTTATAAAGAGAATGCCCCCCGCAAATCAGTAGTTTACAAATGCATAACTCGTTTTAAGAAGGGATGAGATGGCCAGGTGCAGTGGCTCATGCCTGTAATTCCAACACTTTGGGAGGCCGAGGTGGGTGGATCACTTGAGGTCAGGAGTTCAAGACCAGCCTGGCTAAAATGATGAAACCTTGACTCTACTGAAAAAATACAAAAATTAGCCAGGCGTGGTGGGGCGTGCCTGTAGTCTTAGCTACTCAGGAGGCTGAGGCAGGGGGATTACTTGAACCCAGGAGGTGAAGCCGCAGTGAGCCAAGATCGTGCCACTGAACTCCAGCCTGGGTGACACAGTGAGATTCCATCTCAAAAAAAAAAAAAAAAAAAAAAGAAGGGATGAGACAATGTTGAAGACAAAGTGCAAAGTGGCAGATCATCCACATCAATTTTCAAGGAAAAAAATCTATCTTGGTTTGTGCCCTAATTGAGTAAGACAGACGATTAACAGCAGAAAAAATAGCCAATACCATAGACATCTCAATTGGTTCAGCTTACACAAGTCTGACTAAAAAATTAAAGTTGAGCAAAATTTCCATTAAATAGTTACTCAAACAGTTGCACCCTGATCAACTGTAGACAAGCAAAGGTTTCAATGGAAATTTTAAACAAATGGGATCAAAATTCTTAAGCATTTCTTCTAGGAATTGTAACAGAAGATGAAACATGGCTTTACCAGTACAATTTTGTAGACAAAGCATAATCAAAGCAATGACTACCAAGAGGTTGGAGGGGTCCAGTCAAAGCAAAAGCACACCAATCAAGATCAAAGATCGTGGCAACAGTTACTGGGGATGTTCAACTCATTTTGCTTGTTGACTTTCTGGAGGGCCAAAGAATAATAACATCTGCTTATTATGAGAGTGTTTTAAGAAAGTTAGCCAAAGTTTTAGGAAAAAAAGAAAAGAATTCCGGGTGCGGTGGCTCACGCCTGTAATCCCACCACTTTGGGAGGCTGAGGTGGGCAGATCACGAGGTCAAGAGAGCAAGACCATCCTGGCCAACATGGTGAAACTCTGTCTCTACTAAAAAATACAAAAATTAGCTGGGTGTGGTGGCATGTGCCTGTAGTCCCAGCTACTTGGGAGGTTGAGGCAGGAGAATCACTTGAACTAGGGCGGCAGAGATTGCAGTGAGCCAAGATCACACCACTGCACTCCAGCCTGGCGACAGAGTGAGACTCTGTCCCAAAACAAAACAAAACAAAAAACAAAAAAACTGAAAAGAAAAGAAACAAAACCACACAGGAAAGCTTTACTAGAGAGACTTTCTCCACCACAACAATGCTCCTGTTCATTCCTCTCATCAAACCAGGGCAATTTTTTGAGAGTTTCAGTGGGAAATCATTAGGCATCCACCTTACAGTCATGATTTGGCTTCTTCTGACTTTTTTTTTTCTAACCTTAAGGCTAAGGCAGGCAGATCACTAAAGAACTGAGGGGCCTGGGGATTTAACCATGTCAATGCATGTCTTTTTTTCATTGTTAGCTGAATAAAATGGGTGCCCTTTAAGATTTTTTTTTTTTTAATGGAGTCTCCCTCTGTTGCCCAGGCTGGAGTGCAGGGGCATGATCTCAGCTCACTGCAACCTCCACTTTCCAGGTTCAAGCCATTCTCATGCCTCAGCCTCCTGAGTAGCTGAGATTGCAGGCGTGCGCCACCACACTGGGCTAATTTTTGTATTTTTAGTAGAGAGAGGGTTTCACCAAGTTGCCCAAGCTAGTCTCAAACTCCTTACCTCAAGTGATCTGGTATCATCATTTATAAGTGTCTTGAACTCAATGAAGTTTATGTTAAGAAATGAAGTTTATCTTTTTAATTCTATTTTTCCATGAACTTTTTTTTTTTTTTTGAGACAAAGTTTCACTATTGTCACCCAGGCCGGAGTGGACTGGCTCAATCTCGGCTCACTGCAACCTACGCCTCCTGGGTTCAAGTGATTCTCCTGCCTCAGCCTCCCAAGTAGCTGGGATTACAGGCGCCCACCACCAAGTCCAGCTAATTTTTTGTATTTTTAGTACAGACGGGGTTTCACTATGTTGGCCACGTTGGTCTCAAACTCTTGACCTCAGGTGATCCACCCGCCTTGGCCTCCCAAAGTGCTGGGATTACAGGCGTGAGCCACTGCGCCTGGCCCAAACATCAATTTTCTAAGTGACCCATTTAGGCTCACTGCAACCTCTGCCTCCTGGGTTCAAGTGATTCTCCTGCCTCAGCCTCCCAAGTAGCTGGGACTACAGGCGCCCGCCACCACGGCCGGCTTATTTTTTGTATTTTTAGTGGAGACGGGGTTTCACTATGTTGGCCAGGATGGTCTCAATCTCTTGACCTCGTGATCTGCCTGCCTCGGCCTCCCAAAGTGCTGGGATTACAGGCGTGAGCCACCGCGCCTGGCCCATGTTATTCTTTTAAACTGCTGAGTTTGAAGATGCTTTGTTGTGCAGCAACAGGTAACTGAAACATCTACTAATTCATTTCCCCATCTAGTTCAACCAACCAAGGTCTGTGCATTCTACTTCTTAAATAGGCTGGATCTTCCCATTCTCACTGCTACTCCATTCCTAAGCCTAAATCCCAACTGAGACTAGCGCCACTTCAACCTTTTCATCTGGTCTGTTTTCCTCCAGAATCCTTCCATTTAGCCAAAGATTTTTAGAAATATGAATTGGATTATATCCACACCCATTTAAGACAATTCAATGCTCTTAGTACCAAGTCCAAACTCCTTAAAAGGCCTTTTTTTTTTTTGAGATGGAGTTTTGCTCTTGCCCAGGGTGGAGTGCAATGGCGAGATCTTAGCTCACTGTAACTTCCAACTCCCGGTTCAAGTGATTCTCCTGCCTCAGCCTCTGGAGTAGCTGGGATTACGGGTGCCCGCCACCACATCTGGCTATTTTTTTGTACTTTTAATAGAGACAGGGTTTCCCCATGGTGCTCAGGCTGGTCTCGAACTCCTAATATCAGGTGATCCACCCGGCTTGGGCTCCCAAATTGCTGGGATTATAGGTGTGAACCACTGTGCCCGACCTACAAGGACTTTTAAGGGCCTTCACAATCTGGCTGTGACCTCTGGCTTCATGTCTCCATACTCCCCACTTTGGCCATATTACTGGGGTTCCTCAGAGGCACTATATTGTTTTTTTGCATTTGCCATGGCATTTGTCTATAATCCCCTTTAGCCTCCACTCCACATGCTCTTTTTTTTTTTTTTTTTAAGACTGAGTCTCTCTGTCACGCAGGCTAGAGTGCAGTGGCACAATTTCAGCTCACTGCAACCTCTGCCTCCTGGGTTCAAGCAATCCTCTTGCCTCAGCCTCCTGAGTAGCTGGGACTACAGGCATGCAGCATCATGCCTGGCTAATTTTTGTATTTTTAATGGAGATGGGGTCTCACCATGTGCCCAGGCTGGTCTCGAATTTCTGACCTCAGGTGATCCACCTGCCTTGGCCTCCCAAAGTGCTGAGATTACAGGCGTGAGCCACTGTGCCTGGCCACACACTCTTGTGTAGCCAATGCCATCACCTTCCAAGGAAGGACGAGTGTCATTTTCCCAAGAAGACTTTTTTGACTGCCAAAGACTGTACTACTAGCACTTTGGGAGGCCAAGGCAGGCGGATCACGAGGTCAAGAGATTGAGACCATCCTGGCCAACATGGTGAAACCCCGTCTCTACTAAAAATACAAAAATTAGCTAGGCGTGGTGGCGTGCACCTGTAGTCCCAACTACTCGGGAGGCCGAGGCAGGAGAATCGCTTGAACCTGGGAGGCAGAGGTTGCAGTGAGCCAAGATCGTGCCAGTGCACTCCAGCCTGGCGACAGAGCGAGACTCCATCTCAAAAAAAAAAAAAAAGACTGTACTAACATCTTTCAAATCTTCTATTACACTTCGGGGACAATCTCTTGGCATGAATCCCCTTGCCACCACCCTAACTGTAATCTCCAAATTCTGCCTTTAAATATTATCAATATTGTATTTCCATTGATTTGTATATGCGTCCGATGCGTAGTAAGCACTATGATATCTGTAACCACACAACTTTAAAATATAATTCCTCACTATATCGGGGTGTTAAACAGTCTTTACTTTTGTATGGCCTTTGATGGTTTCATACAGAGTTTGTACAATTATTTCTCTTTTTATCCTTAACATCCCTGTGATAAGGATATTCATACCCATTTTATAGATAAGGAAAGTGCGGCTTTTTTTGATTTCTGAAAAGTAAATCAGTAGATCAACTTGCTCAGCTAGTAAGTATTAGAACTAGAACTTGAAAAGAGTTCTTGGACTCTAGATGTGACTCTTTCTAGGTCCCTGAGGGTTAAATCAAGGTGTTATTATTCCCATAATCAAGATTTAGATGGAAACTACAAATGGTTTTGCAACTGATTCATCACAGGAACACTCTGTTACCAAGAAGTACTACAAAGGTGCAAAAGCATAAATTTCTGCCCCTTTTTCCAAAGCAGTAACATACCCAGGGACATCAAGCCCCTGGCCCAACTGTGCTTCTCTTTCACTGGCTGTTCAAATCAAGCTTCCAAGGGAAAGCTATTTGCTAACTTAAAGTGTGGTAGTAACCGTTGGACCCAAGTCTGGTAAATTTTGTTTGACCTGCCTTGGCCTCCCAAAGCCCTGGGATTATACTTATTTGTCAATGAAGTCATGTACTTGGGTAGTACACATGCACTGCAAATATTTATGTTGTCTAACTGAACCAGGGTCCCTTCACCTGGCACAGTAAGGCCAAATACCCACACCAAGGTTTGTGGTGGGAGAAAGGAGTGTTTATCTGTAGGGCACCAAGCAAGGAGAATTGGGCAGCTCATGCTTAAGATCCAACCTTCTTGATGGCTTGCAAGTAAGGGTTTTTAAAGGTAGGTGGGGGCAGGTGTGGTGGCTCACACCTATAATCTCAACACTTTGGGAGGCTGAGGTGTGAGGATCACCTGAGCCCAGGAGGTCAAGGCTGCAGTGAGCAGTATCCTTGCCATTTCATTCCAGTCTGGGTAACAGATCGAGAACCTGTCTCAAAAAAAAAAAAAAAAAAAGTTCAGCCATAATTTATAAGGTTATAACTCATGAAAGGGATTTCCTTTGCCCTTGGCTCTACATTTTGTCCTTGTTGTGCTCTGCTCTGCTCTGTATCACAGGGCTCACTCCTCTAGGCTGCTTCCCAGGCTCCCATGTCAGCTGGCTTCAGTGAAATTCAGTCAACAGAAGGCATCAGTGAGAGATTATGGGGCAAGAGGAAGGGCAAGGTGTTTCTCCCTTTCCATGTCTGCCTCAGAAGTCTTTCTGGCAAAGGCTTTATCCCCAAACAGTCCCATGATGGTTCTGGCTTTGTTCAGTGACGCCAGCCCTTGGATGTCAGAAACATCTCTTCCATCCTTCCCTTTCTCCTGTAGCTGAGGGTGGTGGTGGTATTCTTCTGTTGCTAAGGCCTGGGTTGCTTTACTCCTTTGCTTGGTTTCTCAGCTCTTCCATCCAATTCCTACTATTTGATTCCTCCTTTTTTAATTTATTTTTAATTTTTTAATTTTTTTTTTTGAGATGGAGTCTCACTCTGTCACCCAGGCTGGAGTGCAGTGGTGCAACCTCTGCTCACTGCAACCTCTGCCTCCTGGGTTCAAGCGATTCTCCTGCCTCAGCCTCCCAAGTAGCTGGGATTACAGGCGTGTGCCACCATGCACAGCTAATTTTTTTTTTTTTTGTATTTTTAGTGGAGATGGGGTTTCACCATGTTGGCCAGGCTGGTCTCAAACTTCTGACCTCAAATGATCCATCCACCTCGAACTCCCAAAGTGCTGGGATTACAGGCAAGCGCCACAGGGCCCAGTCTCCTTTACTTCTTCTTCTTGGCTTTTTATTTATTTTTATTTTTATTTTTTTATTTTTGACACAGAGTCTCACACTGTTGCCTGCCCAGGCTGGAGTGCAGTGGCGTGAACTTGGCTCATTGCAACCTTGGCCTGCCAGGCTCAACCGATTCTCCTGCCTCAGTATCCTGAGTAGCTGGGATTACAGGTGCACGCCACTACCGCCCAGCTAATTTTTGTATTTTTAGTAGAGGCGGTATTTCCCCATGTTGGCCAGGCTTGTCTTGAACTCCTGATCTCAAATGAGCCACCCTCCTTGGCCTCCCAAAGTGCTGGTGTTACAGGCGTGAGCCACCACACCTGGCCCCTTTACTTCTTTAATCATGGTTTCCTTTAGTTTGTTCCAACATATCTATAACAAGTATTATACTTTGAAGGATTTGTTTGTTAAATCTGAAGTCTGCTTGCTCTCACATGCAGTATCTGTTGCCTGTATTTTTTTGTTTGTTGTTTGTTTTCTAGAGTGAATCACACTTTCTTGTTTCTTTGTATGTTCTATAATTGTTTTTGTCAGTAACATTTTAGTAATACTGAGATGTTAAGCCAGCTGGGCTTCCGGGTTGAGTGGGGACTTGGAGAACTTTTCTGTCTAGCTAAAGGATTGTAAATGCACCAATCAGCACTCTGGGTCTAGCTAAAGGTTTGTAAATGCACCAATCAGCACTCTGTCAAAGCGGACCAATCAGCACTCTGTAAAATGGACCAATCAGCTCTCTGTAAAGTGGACCAATCAGCAGGATGTGGGTGGGGCCAAATAAGGGAATAAAAGCAGGCCACCTGCACAGGGGCTGCAACCCCCTGGGGTCACTGTGGATGGTTTGTTTTTCTGCTTTTCCTAATAAATCTTGCTGCTGTTTGCTCTTAGGGTCCGCACTACCTTTATGAGCTGTAGCACTCAGCATGAAGGTCTGCAGCTTTACTGTTGAAGCTAGCGAGACCACAAACCCAGTGGGAGAAACCAACCATTCTGGACCTGCCACCTTTGAGAGCTGTAACAGGGTGAAGGTCTGCAGTTTCACTCCTTAAGTCAGTGAGACCATGAACTCACCTGGAGGAAGGAACGACTCCCGACGTGCCACCTTTAAAGAGCTGTAATACTCACAGCGAAGGTCTGCAGCTTCACTCCTGAAGTTAGCGAGACCACGAACCCACCAGAAGGAGGAAACTCCCGACACATCCGAACATCTGAAGGAACAAGCTCTGAACACACTGTCTTTAAGAACTGTAACACTCACCGAGAGGGTCCGCAGCTTCATTTTTGAAGTCAGCGAGACCAAGAACCCACCGGCAGGAACCATTTCCGGACACAATACATTGTAGTAACTCTGTATACTGTCCCCTTCCTCTGTTTATTTGGTGGCTGGCTAGATTATTTTAGTATAGTCTGTTCTCCCTGCTTCCCCTCACTATGTCAAGCTCCTCACTGTGTCCAGCTCCTCAGGGGAAAAGACTGCTGCTCCTGAAGGGAAAAAGCTGAGTGTCCACTGTCACGCCAGGTTGACAGCGGTTTTAGCTAATTTCTTAGTTCCATTCTCTTATTTTGGGAGTTCAGATATGTTCTCTTACTAAAACATAAGACAATACTTTTAAAAACTGAAAAAATATGAAATAACTATTGGCTTTAATATTGACATTCTGTATTCAATATTTTTACACCAAATTCTCTACTGACATTTGTAGATGCACACCTTTTTTTTTAGGACGGATTCTCGCTCTGTCGCCCAGGCTGGAGTGCAGTGGCACAATCTTGGCTCACTGCAACCTCCGCTTCCCGGGTTCAAGCGATTCTCCTGCCTCAGCCTCCCGAGTAGCTGGGCTTATGGGCGCCTGCCACCATGCCCAAATAATTTTTGTATTTTTTTGGTAGAGACGGGGCGTCACTATGTTGTTGGCCAGGCTGGTCTCAAAACTCCTGACCACGTGATCTGCCCGCCTCAGCCTTCCAAAGTGCTGAGATTACAAGCGTCAGCCACTGCCCCTGGCCACCTTAAAAAAAAAAGAATTATTTTTGGCTGTATGTGGTGATTCATGCCTGTAATCCCAGCACTTTGGAAGGCCGAGGCAGGTGGATCACTGGAGGTCAGGAGTTGGAGACCAGCCTGGCCAACATGGTGAAACCCCATCTCTACTTAAAATACGAAAAAAAAAAAAAAATTAGCTGGGCTTGGTGGTGTGTGCCTGTAGTCTCAGCTACACAGGAAGCTGAGGTGGGAGAGTTGCTTGAATCCAGGTGGTGGAGGTTACAGTGAGCCGAGATTATGCCACTGCACTCCAGCCTAGGCGACAGAGTGACCCTGTCTCAGAAAAACAAAACCAAAAAACCTTTTATTTTTATCTAATTTCAGACTTAGAAAAAAGTTCCGAGAATTCCCATATACCTTTCAATCAGCTTCATCTAATGCTACCTTCTTATATAACCATAGTACAGTCATTAAAACCAGGAAATTAATCTTGGTATAACACAGGCATACATTGTTTTATTGTACTTTGCTTTATTGTGCTTTGCAAATAGTTTTTTTTTTTTTTAAATAAGTTGAAAGTTTGTGGCATCCCTGCATCACACAAGTCTATCAGCACCATTTTTCCAATAGCATGTACTCACTTTTTGTCACGGTGTCACGTTTTGGTAATTCTCACAATACTTCAAACCTTAGCATTATTGTTATATCTGTTATGGTGATCTGTATTTAGTGATGTTTGATGTTACTATGTAATTGTTTTGGGGTGCCATGGACTGTGCCCACATAGGACAGCAAAGTTATTGATCAATACGTGTGTTCTGACTGCGTCATGGATTGGCCATTCCCCTATATCAGGGTTCCCCAACACCTGGGTCACAGACTAGTACCAGTCCATGGCCTGTTAGGAACCGGGCTGCACAGCAGGAGGTAAGAGGCAGGTGAGCCAGCAAAGCTTCATCTGTATCGTATTTATAGCCACTCCCCATTGCTCACATTACTTCCCGAGCTCCGCCTCCTGTCAGATCAGCAGCGGCATTAGATTTTCGTAGGTGTGTGAACCCTGTTGTGAACTGCACATGTGAGGGATCTAGGTTGTGTGCTCCTTACGAGAATCTAATGCCTGATGATCTGTCACTGTCTTTCATCACTCCCAGATGGGACTACCTAGCTGCAGGAAAGCAAGTTCAGGGCTCCCACTATGGTATGTTATGGTGAGTTGTAAAAATATTTCATTACGTATTACAATGTAATAATAGAAATAATGTGCACAATAAATGTAATGTGCTTGAATCATCCCGGAACTACTTCCCCATCCCCCAGTCCATGGAAAAATTATCTCCATGAAACTGGTCCCTGGTGCCAAAAAGGTGGGGACTGCTGCTCTCTCTCCCTCTTTTTGGACCTTCCTATCCCCTGAGACACAGCAATATTGAAATTAGGCCAATTAATAACCCTGCAATGGCCTCTGAGTGCTCAAGTGAAAGGAAGAGTCCCACATCTCTCACTTTAAACCAAAAGCTAGAACTTTCATACAATTTTGAACACAAGTAGTGAGAATGATTAAGCTTAGTGAGGAAGGCTTGTTGAAGGCCAAGACAGCCTGAAAGCCAGGCGTCTTGCTCCCAGCAGTTAGCCAAGTTGTGATTGCAAAAGAAAAGTTCTTGAAAGAAATTAAAAGTAGTACTCCAGGCCAAGCATGGTGGCACATACCTGTAATCTCAGTGCTTTGGGAGGCCAAGGCAGGAGGATAACTTAGCCCAGGAGTTCAAGACTAGCTTGGGCACATAATGAGATCTTATCTCTACAAAAAATAGAAAATAAAAATTAGCCAGATGTGGTGGCATGAGCCTGTAGTCCCAGGTACTTAGGATTGAGTACAGCCTGTAGTCCTGTACTCAGATACAGGCATGAGCCTGTAGTCCCAGGTACTGAGGCAGGAGGATCGCTTGAGCCCAGAAGTTTGAGGTTGCAGTTAGCTATGATCACACCACTGCACATCAGCCCGGGCAACAGAATGAGATTCTGTCTCAAAAAATAATAGCAAATAAATAAATAAAAGTGCTACTTCAGTGAACACACAAATGCTAAAAAAGCAAAATAGCTTTATTGCTGATACGTAGGAAGTTTGAGTGGTCTGGGTAGATCAAACCGGTCACAATATTCCCTTAAGCCAAAGCCTAATCAAGAGCAAGGCTCTAACTGTCTTCAATTCTATGAAGACTAAGAAAGGTGAGGAAGCTTCAGGAAAGAGTTTGAAGCTAGCACTGGTGGATTCATGAGGTAAAGGAAAGAAGTCATCTCCATAACATAAAAGTGCAAGGTGAAGCAGCATGTACTTTTGTAGAAGCTGCAGCAAGTTACCCAGATCTAAGATCATTGGTGAAGATGGCTACACTAAACAACAAATATCCAATGTAGATGAAGCAGTTTTATATTGGAACAAGATGCCATCTAGGACTTTTATAGCTAGAGAGGAGAAGTCAATGTCTGGCTTCGAAGCTTCAAAGGACAGGTTGACTCTCTTGTTAGGGGTTGATGCAGCTGGTGACCTTAAGTTGAAGCCAATGGTCATTTACCATTCTGAAAATCCTAAGCCCCTTAAGAATTGTGTTAAATCTACTGTGTCTGTACTTTACAAATGGAACAACAAAGCCTAGATGACAGCATATCTGTTTACACATTTGGTTTACTGAATATTTTAAGCCCACTGTTGAGAACTGCTGCTCAGACAAAAGATTGTTTTCAAAATATTAGTGCTCATTGACAATGCACCTTGTCACCCAAGAGCTCGGATAGACATGTACAAGGAGATGAATGTTGTTTTCATACCTGCTAACACAACATTCAGACAGCCCATGGATCAGGGAGTAATTTCAACTTTCAAGTCTTATTATTTAAAGAATACATTTTGTAAGGCTATAGCTGCCATAAATAGTGATTCCCCTGATGGATTCGGGGAAAGTAAATTGAAACCCTTTGGAAAAGATTCACCATTCTAGATGCCATTAAAGAACATTCATGATTCATGGAAGGAGGTCAGAATATCAGGATTCATAGGAGTTTGGGAGAAGTTGATTCCAACCCTCATGGAAGACATTGAGGAGTTCAAGACTTCAGTGAGAAGTCACTGCAGATGTGGTAGAAAATAGCAAGATAACTAGAATTAGAAGTAAAGCCTGAACATGTGACTGAATTGCTGCAACCTCATGATAAAACTTGAATAGATAGGAGATGTTTCTTACGGAAGAGTAAAGAAAGAGGTTTCTTGGCCAGGCGTGGTGGCTCACACCTGTAACACCAGCACTTTGGGAGGCCAAGGTGGGCAGGTCACTTGATGTCAGTAGTTCGAGACCAGCCTGGCCAAAATGGCGAAAACCTATCTCTACTAAAAATACAAAAATTAGCCCAGCGTGGTGGTGGGCGCCTGTAATCCCAGCTACTCAGGAGGCTGAGGCAGGAGAATCACCTGAACCCAGGAGGTGGGGGTTGCAGTGAGCTGAGATTGCGCCACTGCACTCCAGCCTGGGTGACAGAGCAAAACTCGGTCTTGAGAAAGGAAAAAAAAAAACGTGGTTTCTTGAGACAAAGTCTACTCCTGGTGAAGATGCTGTGAACATTGTTTGTTTTGTTTTGAGATGGAGTCTTGCTCTGTTGACCAAGCTGGAGTGCAGTGGTGTGATCTCAACTCACTGCAACCTCCACCTCCCAGGTTCAAGCGATTCTCTTGCCTCAGCCTCCTGAGTAGCTGGGATTACAGGCACATGCCACCATGCCCGGCTAATTTTTGTATTTTTTGTAGAGACAGGGTTTCACAGTGTTGCCCAGGCTGGTCTTGAACTCCTGAGCTCAAGCAATCTGATTGCCTCAGCTTCTGCAAAGTGCTGGGATTACAGATATGAGCCACTGTAACCCGGCCAGTGATCACTGTTGAAATGACAACAAATAATTTAGAATATTACATACATTTAGTTAATAAAGAAGTGGCATATTTGAAAGAAGTTCTACTGTGGGGTGAAATGCTATCAAACAGCATCGCATGCTGCAGAGAAATCTTTCATGAAAGGAAGAGCCCATTGGTGTGACAAGCTTCATTGTTGTCTTACCTTAAAAATTGCCACAGGCATTCCAACCCTCAGTAACAACCACCCTGATCAGTAAGCAGCCATCCACATGGAGGCAAGACCCTCTAACAGCAAAAAAATTACAAATGTGTTGAAGGCTCAAATGATTATTAGCATTTTTTAGCAATAAAGTATTTTTATTTTTCTTGAGACAAGGTTTCGCTGGTCACCCAGGCTGGAGTGCAGTGGCATGCTCACTCCTGCACTCTTAACAGACTTAAGCTATAGTATAAACATAATTTTTATATGCACTGGGGGACCAAAAAATTTATGTGGTTTGGTTTATTGCAATACTTTATTGCAGTGATCTGGAACCAAACCTGCAATATCTCCAAGGTGTGCCTGTACTATTATTTAAAGCGTAGAACTTATCCAAATTTCAGCAGTGTTTCCAATGATGCCCTTTTTCTGTTCCAGGATTTCACATTCACATAGCATTTAGTTATTATTTCTCTTTAGTCTTTTTGTTTTGTTTTGTTTTGTTTTGTTTTGTTTGAGACAGTGCCTTACTCTGTAGCCTAAGCTGGAGTGTACTGGCATGATCGTGACTTACTGCTGCCTCTAACCCCAGACTCAAGGGATCCTCTCACCTTAGCCTCCTGAAGAAAAAAAAGAGGTGAGTGTGGTGGTGTGTACTTATAGTCCTCCCAAGTAGCTAGGACTGTACACACACATCGCCACACTCACCTCATTTTTTTGTTTTTTTGTAAAGACGAGGTCTCACTTTGTTGCCCAGCCTTCTCCTAGTCTTTTGTTGCTGTTATTTTAGAGTTAGGGTCTTGCTCTGTCACCCAGACTAGAGTACAGTCACACAATCATAGCTTACTACAGCCTTGACTTCCTGGGCTCAAGTGATTCTCCTACCTCCTCCTCTCTAGTAGCTAGGATTATAGGCATATGCCACCATGTCAAGCTAATTTTTTCAAACCTTTTTTTTTGAGAGACAGAGCCTTGCCATACCGCCCAGGCTCTGAGTCTCTTCTAATGTCCTCAGTCTTTCTTTATCTTCCAATGATCTTGACAGTTTTTGAAGACTACTGGTCAGTTTGGAGAAATTTGGAGAACGCCCCTCAATTTGGGTTTGTTTGATGTTTTCTCATGGTTAGAATAAGGTTATGCATTTTCGGAAAGGATATTACAGAAATACAGCCATGCATTGCTTAAGGACAGGGATACCTACTGAGAAATGTGTCATTAGGTGATTTCATCATTGTGTGAACATCACAGAGTGTATTTACACAAACCTGGATAGTATATCCTACTACACACCTAGGCTATAGTGTAGCCAATTGCTCCCAGGCTACAAACCTGAACAACATGTTACTTTACTGAATACTGTAGGCAATTGTAACACAATGGTAAATATTTGTGTACCTAAACATAGAAAGGACACAGTAAATGATAGTATAAAAGATAAAAAATGGTACACCCTTATAGGGCACTTGCCATGAATGGAGTTTGCAGGGCTTGAAGTTACTCCGAGTGAGTCAGTGAGTGAGTGGTGAGTTAATGTGAAAGCCCACGACATTGCTGTACACTTCTGTAGACTTTATAAGCACTGTACACTTAAACTACACTACCTTTATAGAAAGAAAATTTTTCTCTTTATTATTTATATATTTATTTATTTGGAGACAGAGTTTTGCTCTTGTTGCCCAGGCTGGAATGCAGTGGCACGATCTCAGCTCACTGCAACCTTCGCCTCCCAGGTTCAAGTGATTCTCCTGCCTCAGGATCCCGAGTAGCTGGGATTACAGGCACATGCCACCACGCCCGGCTAATTTTTGTATTTTTAGTAGAGATGGGGTTTCACCGTGTTGGCCAGGCTGGTCTCAAACTCCTGACCTCAGGTGATCCACCCGCCTTGGCTTCCCAAAGTGAAACGATTACAGGCGTGAGCCAACACACCCGGCATTATTTACTAATTTTTTTTTTTTTTTTTTTTGAGACGGAGTCTCGCTCTGTCGCCCAGGCTGGAGTGCAGTGGCGCAATCTCGGCTCACTGCAAGCTCCGCCTCCTGGGTTCACACCATTCTCCTGCCTCAGCCTCCTGAGTAGCTGGGACTACAGGCGCCCACCACCATGCCCGGCTAATTTTTTGTATTTTTAGTAGAGACAGGGTTTCACCTTGTTAGCCAGGATGGTCTCGATCTCCTGACCTCGTAATCCACCCGCCTCGGCCTCCCAAAGTGCTGGGATTATAGGCGTGAGCCACCGCGCCTGGGCTATTTATTAATTTTTTAATTAAAAAAAAAGAGACAGGGTCTCACTATGTTGCCCAGGCCAGTCTCGAACTCCTGGGCTCAAGCGATCTTCCCACCTTGGCCTCCCAAAATGCTGGGATTACAGGTGTGAGCCACTGCACCTGGCCAGAAATTTATCTTCAATGATAAATTAACCTTAGTTAACCCTATAATAACAATGCCTGGCTGGGTGCAGTGGCTCACGCCTATAATCCTAGCACTTTGGGAGGGCAAGGCAGGTGGATCACCTGAGGTCAGGAGTTCGAGACCAGTCTGGCCAACATGGCAAAACCTTGTCTCTACTAAAAATACAAAAATTAGCTAGGCATGATGGCGATGCCTGTAGTCCCAGCTACTTGGGAGGCTGAGGCAGGAGAGTTGCTTGAACCTGGGGGGTGGAGGTTGCAGTGAGCTGAGATCGTGCCACTTCACTCCAGCCTGGGCAAAAGAGCGAGACTGTCTCAAAACAAACAAACAAACAAACAAAAACAGTGCCTGCCTTTGGAATACCTGCTGAGGAACCTGCCTCAGGCTGTTTTACAGTTAACTTTTTTTGTAATAAGTAGAAGGAGTACACTCTAAAATAATGAAAAAAGTACAGCATAGTAAATACATAAACTAGTAACATAATTTTTAAATATCATTACCAAGTATTATGTGCTGTACATAATTGTATGTGTTATACTTTATTTCCGCACAAGAAAGAAATGAACTTTTGTTTTTTTTTTGGAGGTGGAGTTTTGCTCGTCACCCAAGCTGGAGTACAATGGCGCAAACTTACTGCAACCTCTGCCTCCTGGGTTCAAGCAATTCTCCTGCCTCAGCCTCCAAAGTAGCTGGGATTACAGGCATGCACCACCACTCCTGGCTAATTTTTGTTTTATTAGCAGTGACGGAGTTTCACCATGTTGGCGAGGCTGGTCTCGAACTCCTGGCCTCAGGTGATCCACCCACCTTGGCCTCCCAAAATGGTGGGATTACAGGCGTGAGCCACCG
This sequence comes from Homo sapiens, assembly GCF_000001405.40. Taxonomy (NCBI): domain Eukaryota; kingdom Metazoa; phylum Chordata; class Mammalia; order Primates; family Hominidae; genus Homo; species Homo sapiens. The sequence goes on along the minus strand of NC_000003.12, from coordinate 32,665,337 downwards.
GGCCCGGCCAGAGCCCTCTATTGACATGTGTCTGCACAGTTATCATGCAAAGGAAGACAAGTTACATGTAAAAAGATGGTGGTTGTAATATGCTTTGAAATAGCAAAAAATTGGAAAATATCTCACAAGATCATTGTGGAAGATTGGCTAAATAAATGAAGACAACTCCATACCACGGAATACTAACTACCATTAAGGAAAAGGTAGAGAAAACAATTTAAAAGGGGAAAATATATATGAAAAACAATGGTTTTCAAAACATTGACTATCAGCTTATAAAGGACAGTGATCCTTGTGGACGTGCATTTTACATATGTATTGAATATCTTTGTGCCTTTGCTTGTACATGCTTAACTTGAAAACATACATTTACCATTGACCACTAGGTGGTATCATAACACAAATTATTCTACAGCCAGGGTAGGCATTTATTTTATTTTATTTTATTTTTATTTTTTTATTTTTTATTGATCATTCTTGGGTGTTTCTCGCAGAGGGGGATTTGGCAGGGTCATAGGACAATAGTGGAGGGAAGGTCAGCAGATAAACAAGTGAACAAAGGTCTCTGGTTTTCCTAGGCAGAGGACCCTGCGGCCTTGCGCAATGTTTGTGTCCCTGGGTCCTTGAGATTAGGGAGTGGTGATGACTCTTAAGGAGCATCCTGCCTTCAAGCATCTGTTTAACAAAGCACATCTTGCACCGCCCTTAATCCATTTAACCCTGAGTGGACACAGCACATGTTTCAGAGAGCACAGGGTTGGGGGTAAGGTCACAGATCAACAGGATAAGAATTTTTCTTAGTACAGAACAAAATGAAAAGTCTCCCATGTCTACTTCTTTCTACACAGACACGGCAACCATCCGATTTCTCAATCTTTTCCCCACCTTTCCCCCCTTTGTATTCCACAAAACCGCCATTGTCATCATGGCCCGTTCTCAATGAGCTGTTGGGTACACCTCCCAGACGGGGTGGTGGCCGGGCAGAGGGGCTCCTCACTTCCCAGTAGGGGCGGCCGGGCAGAGGCGCCCCTCACCTCCCGGATGGGGCGGCTGGCCTGGCGGGGGCTGACCCCCACCTCCCTCCCGGATGGGGTGGCTGCCGGGCGGAGAGGCTCCTCACTTCTCAGACGGGGCGGCCGGGCAGAGACGCTCCTCACCTCCCAGACGGGGTCACGGCCGGGTAGAGGCGCTCCTCACATCCCAGACGGGGCGGCGGGGCAGAGGCGCTCCCCACATCTCAGACGATGGGAGGCCGGGCAGAGACGCTCCTCACTTCCTAGATGGGATGGCGGCCGGGAAGAGGCGCTCCTCACTTCCTAGATGGGATGGCGGCCGGGCAGAGACGCTCCTCACTTTCCAGACTGGGCAGCCAGGCAGAGGGGCTCCTCACGTCCCAGACGATAGGCGGCCAGGCAGAGACGCTCCTCACTTCCCAAAAGGGGTGGCGGCCAGGCAGAGGCTGCAATCTTGGCACTTTGGGAGGCCAAGGCAGGCAGCTGGGAGGTGGAGGTTGTAGCGAGCCGAGATCACGCCACTGCACTCCAGCCTGGGCACCATTGAGCACTGAGTGAACCAGACTCCGTCTGCCATCCCGGCACCTCGGGAGGCTGAGGCTGGCGGATCACTCGCGGTTAGGAGCTGGAGACCAGCCCGGCCAACACAGCGAAACCCCGTCTCCACCAAAAAAATACGAAAACCAGTCAGGCATGGCGGCACGCGCCTGCAATCGCAGGCACTCGGCAGGCTGAGGCAGGAGAATCAGGCAGGGAGGTTGCAGTGAGCCGAGATGGCAGCAGTACAGTCCAGCTTCGGCTCGGCATCAGAGGGAGACCATGGAAAGAGAGGGAGAGGGAGACTGTGGGGAGAGGCGAGAGGGGAGAGGGAAGAGGGAAGAGGGAAGAGGGAGAGGGAGAGCCAGGGAAGGCATTTTTAAACAGGTTTCTTTTTTTGAGTGTCTGATAATGTCTCTCAAAACTGTCAGGTTTAAACCTTGTAGGTCCAATTCCAACATGAATGTAAATAACTTAGCTGAACTACATACATAAGTAACCACATAGTGAGACTGACTGGGGTCTGTGTTCCTCCATTCAACCTGTATTTGTTGTGTCTGTGATGGATTAGCCACTATCTTTCTGATATATTTCAGAGAAGAAATATCTCTTCTCTCACTTACTTCTGTCTGGACTACCAGATATCCCTATGCATACCATCTCTTGTTTCTCTTCCTCAGTCCAGCTGGTTCAGTCTGAGAATTTTACCGACTGTGGGTACACCTTCCACCTTTGCTCTTTCATTTATCAATAAAACCAAAGAAAGAACAATAGTCCTTTTCCTTAGGGTGGTACAAGGAGGCCAAGGCCTCACTATTTATAGCAAATAATGCAAATGGAAATAAACCTAGGTATCTTCTCCTGCAGGTAACTTTGTTTTGGATCTTTGCTACTGTTTAACTTCCTTTGGTGACTAGCCATATTTCATTAACCTTGCAAGCAGTTGAACCTTGCTCAATTGCAGGAAATGCTGGGAAATCCCACTCAGCTGTCCCTACATCTTGTCCCAAAGCACTTGTAGACTGGCAAGGCTTGTTACCTGACTTCCTGTCATGGTAATTTGCTTTATTTCATGTCCCTTATATTTTATTTCTTTTTTTTTTTTTTTTTTTTTTTTGAGACAGAGCCTCACTCTGTTGCCCAGGCTGGAGTGCAATGGCATGCTCACAGCTCACTGCAGCCTCAACCCTCTAGGCTCAAGCCATCCTCCCACTTCAGCTTCCCTAGTAGTTAGGATTACAGGAATGCACCTCCATGTCCAGCTAATTTTTGTTTGTTTGTTTTTGTAGAGACAGGGTTTCACCATGTTCCATGTTGCCCAGGCTGGTCTCGAACTCCTGGACTCAAGCAATCTGCCTGCTTTGGCCTCCCAAAGTGCTGGGATTACAGGTATGAGCCACCATGCCGGGCCATATTTCATTTTTAATTGACTGATAATAACTGTATATATTTATGGGGTAAACTGTGATGTTATGAAACATGAATACATTGTAGAATGATTAAATCAGGCTAATTAACATATCCGTCACCTCACATACTTATTTCTTTGTGATAAGAACACTGAAAATCTCCTCACTGAGCAATTTTGAAAGACATAATCCACTATTATTAACTATAGTCACCATGCTGTGGGGTAGCTCACTAGAACTTACTCTTCTTGCCAGACTGAACCTTTGTGCCCTTCAATTAACAGTTGTTTCCCTCTCCACTCCCTCCCCTCAGCCCCTGGTAATCACCATTCGACTCTCTACTTCTATTAGCTCCACATACAAGTGAGATCATGGGTTATTTGTTTTTCTGTTCCTGGCTTAGTGCACTTAGCATAATGTCCTCCAGCTTCATCCAAGTTGCCACAAATGACAAAATTTTCTTTTCTTTTTTTGGGGGCTGAATAGTATTTTATTGTGTATATATCTCACATTTTTACTTATTTATTTATTTACCTATTTATTTGTTTTTTGAGATGGAGTTTGCTCTTGTTGCCCAGGCTGGAGTGCAATGGCATGATCTTGGCTCACTGCAACCCCCGCCTCCCAGGTACAAGCAATTCTCCTGTCTTAGCCTTCCAAGTAGCTTGGATTACAGGCATGTGCCACCACGCCCATCTAATTTTTTTGTATTTAGTAGAGACGGGGTTTCACCACGTTAGTCAGGCTGGTCACGAACTTCTGACCTCAGGTGATCCACCCCCATCGGCCTCCCAAAGTGCTGGGATTACAGGTGTGTGCCACCGCTCCTGGCCTATTTTTTTATTTTTATTTTTATTTTATTTTACTTTAAGTTCTGGGATACATGTGCAGAATGTGCAGTTTTGTTACATAGGTATACATGTGCCATGGTGGTTCGCTGCACCTATCAACTCATCATCTAGGTTTTAAGCCCAGCATGCATTAGTTATTTGTCCTAATGCTCTCCCTCCCCTTGCCCCCGATCCCGCGGTGTGTGATGTTCCGCTCCCTGTGTCTATGTGTTCTCATTGTTCAACTCCCACTTATGAGTGTCAACATGCGGTGTTTGGTTTTCTGTTTCTGTGTTAGTTTGCTGATGTATGATGGTTTCCAGCTTCATCCATATCCCTGCAAAGGACATGAACTCATTATTTTTTATGGCTGCAATATATCTCATGTTTTCTGTATCCATTTATCCCTTGATGAAAACCATGATAAGATATCAACCCACATCTGTGAGAATGGCTATTATCAAAAAGACAAAAGAGGGCAAGGCGTAGTAGCTCAGGCCTGTAATCCCAGCACTTTGGTAGGCTGAGGTGGGAGGATCGCTTGAGCCCAGGAATTCAAGATCAGACTAGGCAACAGAGTGAGACTCCATCTCTATAAAAATTTAAAAATTAGCCAGGTGCAGTGGCATGTGCCTGTAGTCCCAGCTACTCAGAAGGCTGAGGCAGGAGGATCCCTTGAGGTCAGGAGGTACGGTTGCAGTGAGATGATTGCGTCACCACACTCCAGCCTGAGTGGAAGAAGGAGACCCTACCTAAAAAAGAAAAAAAAAAAGAACAATAACAAGTGGTGGAGTAAAAGGTAACCCTTGTATATTATTGGTGAGAATGTAAATTAGTACAGCAACTATGGAAATCAGTATGGAGGTTCCTCAAAAAACTAAAAATGGGATTATCATATGATCCAGAAATCTCACTACTGGGTATATATCCAAAGGAATTGGCCTGGCACGGTGGCTCACGCCTGCAATCCCAGCACTTTGGGAGGCTGAGGCAGGCAGATCACTTGAGGTTGGGAGTGCAAGACCAGCCTGGCCAACATGGTGAAAACCCGTCTCAACTAAAAATACAAAAATTAGCCAGGTGTATGGCAGGCACCTGTAATCCCAGCTACTTGGGAGGCTGAGGCAGGAGAACCACTTGAACCTGGGAGGTGGAGGTTGTGGTGAGCTGAGATCACACCACTCCACTCCAACCTGGGCAACAGAGTGAGATTCCATCTCAAAAAAATAAAAATAAAAATAAAACAAAAGAATTGAAATCTGTACATTGCTGGACGCAGTGGCTCACGCCTGCAAATCCCAGCACTTTGGGAGGCCAAGGTGGGTGGATTGCTTCAGCCCAGGGGTTTGAGACCAGTCTGGGCAACATGGTGAAACCCTATCTACAAAATAAATACAAAAATTAGCTGGGTGTGGTGGTGTGTACTTGTAATCCGAGCTGCTCGGGAGGCTGAGAAGGGAGAATCACTTGAGCCTGGGAGGTGGAGGTTGCAATGAGCCATGATCATACCATTGTACTCCAGCCTGGGTGACAGAGTGAGACTCTGTCTCAAAAAATAAACAAAAGAATAAATAAATAAAAATAAAAGAAATCTGAACATTGAAGAGATATTTGCACTTCCATGTGCATTGCAGCATTATTCACATTTGCCAAGATACAGAAATGACGTCTACCATTCTTGATTGGAAACACCTATCAGCCTGAAGTATGTGTCAAGGTCTCTGTACCTTACACCTGTCTTCTATGAAGGGTTTAGCCCCTGGCAAAGTATTATAAAGTAGGGGGGATTTTCAAACTAGAGGTTAGGGAGAGGGGGATTGACAGTCTTGTTAGCTTTAGTGAGAGATAGCAGAACCCTGGTAACTGATGTGGGAGTTCCCTGCTGGTTTGTATTCCATTTAACTCTTTTTTTTTTTTTTTTTTTGAGATGGAGTCTCGCTCTGTCACCCAGGCTGGAGTGCGGTGGTGCGATCTCGGCCCACTGCAAGCTCCGCCTCCTGGGTTCACATCATTCTCCTGCCTCAGCCTACAGGCACCTGCCACCGCGCCCGACTAATTTTTTGTGTATTTTTTAGTAGAGACGGGGTTTCACCGTGTTAGCCAGGACGGTCTTGATCTCCTGACCTCATGATCTGCCCGCCTCGGCCTCCCAAAGTGGTGGGATTAAAGGCATGAGCCACCGCACCCAGCCTATTTAACTCTTTTGAGAGAAAACAGAAGGTGAGAAACCAACAAGGTGCACAAAGATACTTAGTGTTAATCTACTTTTGGTTTGTGAGATTATCAACAAATCTTGGCCGGGCGCAGTGGCTCACACCTGTAATCCCAGCACTTTGGGAAGCTGAGGCAGATGGATCACTTCAGGTCAGGAGTTCAAGACCAGCCTGGCCAACATGATGAAACCCTGTCTCTACTAAAAATAGAAAAATTAGCTGGGTGTGGTGGTGTGTGCCTGTAATCCCAGCTACTTGGAGGCTGAGGCACGAGAATCGCTTGAACCAGGGAGGAGGAGGTTGCAGTGAGCCGAGATTGCGCCACTGCACTCCAGCCTGGAGGACAAAAGCAAGACTCCATCTCAAAACAAAACAAAACAAATCTTGTTCTCTGATCATAAACCTCAGATTTATCTGTAGATAGTACTTTGTATACACACTGCAGAAACTATATAAGCCTCTGACTTTATTCAGAATTTGGCAAATAAAAGACAGTGGTTGAAGTTAGCTATGTGGAGCAGTCACCAAACAAGACTGTCACCCTGACTCCAGGTCAGAAGGAGGCTGGCTAATGGATAAAATTAGAAAATGAAAAGCAATAGGTCAATAGAAAGAGTCACGGCCCACAGAGAGATACATTTTAACAGGCGGTAATAAAATTGAATTCCTTCTCTCTGTGGAATAAGCCAATTTTACGTCGGTTTGTAAATTCATTTCAGCATTACTGACTGCTTATGTATCTTGTTCTCTGATCATAAACCTCAGATTCATCTGTAGATAGTAATTTGTATACACACTGCAGAAATTCAGTGTGTTTCTACAGTATGTTTTTCCAGCTGAGGTGAGGCGTGAGGATGGTTTGAGGCCAGGAGTTCAAGGTCAGCCAGGGCAACATAGTCAGACCCTGTCCCTACAAAAAATTTAAAAATTAGCCTGGCATGGTGGTACATTCCTGTAGTCCCAGTACTTCAAAGGCTGAGACGGGAGGATCACTTGAACCCAGGGAGTTGAGGCTGCAGTGAGCTGTGATGGTGCCCCAGTGCACTCCAGCCTGGGTAACAGAGTGAGACCCTGTCTTGAAAACAAAAAGCAAAAAACAAAAAACAAAAACCCAGCAAAACTTTCCAAGTTAGGATGAGAAGGGGAAACAGTTATGGATCAGTTCCTGCCCCTGTTAATCAGAAGTTGCTCCATGTAAGTGCTGAATTGGTTTAGAGAGGGTCAGGGCAGGAGATGAAAAACTTGGTGAGATATTGGTTGAAGCCTGTAAGTGGTCACTGTAGCAGTGGCTTAAACAAAAAGAGTCCAAGACAGTAGTGTGGGAGTGTGTGAGTAAATGCTTAACGACCAGCTTCCAAAAATTGGGAGGAAGCCCTGATCTGTAGCATTTGCCAATTTCCTTCACATGCATATTCCCACTGTGGTCGATTTCAAGCTGCCAATGTGATGTCACTGAATAGAAGGGGTAAGATGTGCACAATGGGCTCTTATAAGCTGGTGGAAGCCAGCTCCAGCTCACCTCTGGAAGAGGATTTGAAGTGGTGCCCAAGACTTTTCCAATATCCTGTAATACACTATCATTCAGGATTCTATGGTTGTAATGCAAATTGGAATTTATTGACTCACATGATTGAAAGGTGCAGGGGTGGAGCTGACTAGACTCAGTTGCTCAGATAATGTAGTTGAGAATTCCTCTTCATTGTTTACCTTTGCCTTTTTCCCTGTTGGCTTCATTCTCAGGCAATCTCTTTCCGCATAGTGGCAACATGAACCCCCACAAACCTCAAGTTCACATGCTAGCAGAAGGCATCTTCAGCAGAGAACTGCTCTTTCTCATTAGTTCCAGGACTCAAAGCAGACAGCCTAGAGTTTCTCTAGATTTGACTATATATTGATTACATACATATACATATACACATACATGCATATTTGAACCCTTCTATCTGTATAGATATAATGTTGTGCATTCTATATGCTTTTCTCCACAGGTCTTTTTTGTGTGTTACAATTTATCTGGCTGGGCACGGTGGCTCAAGCCTATAATCCTAGCACTTTGGGAGACTGAGGTGGGTGGATCACCTGAGGTCAGGAGTTTGAGACCAGCCTGCCCAACGTGGTAAAACCCTATCTCTACAAAAAATACAAAAATTAGCCAGGCGTGGTGGCAGGTGCCTATAATCCCAGCTACTGGGAAGGCTGAGGCAGGAGAAACGCTTGAACTCGTGGGGGCGGAGGTTGCAGTTAGCCGAGATCGCACTGTTTCACTCCAGCCTGGGCAAAAGAGTAAAACTCCACCTCAAAAAAACAAAACAAAACAGTTTATCTTAGGCATCATTTCATAGCCCTTATAAAAATCTTCAACTCTTCCTTATTCCTTTTTATAGCTGCATAGCATTCTATTGTGTAGATGTATCATGTCTTATGTTATAGCCATTGTATGGTTTTCACAATCTTTTGTGCTGCAATGAGTAGCTATGTGCATATACCTTTTCATATTTTCATCAGGGTATTCTAAGATAGAGTCTGAGAGATAAGATTCCTGGGTTAAAAAAATGAATTCATATGTAACTGTGCTAGATATAGACAGATTCCTCCATATAGGCTTTACTAGTTTGCATTTCCCCAGCAATGTTTGAGTGTCTGTTTCTGCACAAACTTGCCAAGAGAGTTTGTTGTCGAACTTTTACATTTTGTCAGTGTGGGAGATGAGAAATTGTCAGAATCAGTTTAACTTTCTGTTACTATGAACAAGGTTGTGCATGTTTTCATATGGTTAAAGGACATTGCATTTGTTTTTCTTGTGAAGTGTCTTTTAAAATCTCTAGTCCATTTTTCTATGAGGTTGTTGGTCTTTTTCTTCTCTCTACATTTCCCAGATCTGCCCATTGAAAAGGTCTAGAAACAGTGATAAACCAAAGAGAAATGAGCACCCTAAGCACCCAGAGGATGGTTTTCAAAGACCATTTCACACCGGGAAAATCAAGACTCTTTGGGGAAAATGGCTGCTTCCAAGTCTGGGATAGAAAATGAAATATGCAAGATAAGCCTGGAGCATCTCGTCAAAGCAGCTTTCAAGGAAGCTATCAAAGAGGTTGGTGTCAAAAGTATTCAGAAATCAACTTAAAGAGGTTGCACCGGTCAAATGTGAGATAATCTGAGTGTTAAAAAATGCAGTGGATGGTTCCATCCTGGCTAACACGGTGAAACCCCATCTCTATTTTAAAAAAATACAAAAAATTAGCTGGGTGTGGTGACGGGCGCCTGTAGTCCCAGCTGTTCGGGAGGCTGAGGCAGGAGAATGGCATGAACCCGGGAGGCGGACCTTGCAGTGAGCTGAGAAAGCGCCACTGCACTCCAGCCTGGGCGACAGAGCGAGACTCTGTCTCAAAAAAAAAAAAAAAGAAAAGAAAAGAAAAAAAATGCAATGGATTGAAACACATAAAATAAATGTAAATTCATGAGTTTATAGTGCTGCTGAAACAAATTATTTAGTCACTGTTGCAGGATGGTAGAAAATAACTCATTTGGAAAGCTTGAAAATAAAAGTAGAGAATCAGGTATGTATGCTGCCTTTCCAATGCCACTATTTGGTACAGTACCTCTATGTCACCAAATAGTAGATGAGGGGAAGTGGAAGTGTTCTTTATAGAAGTAGTCCAGCTGATACACAAAGAAGAAATGAAAAAATTAGAATATAACTACATGTAAATCTCTAATGGAGTAATTGATCTATTATTGGTCATCAATAGCTGATCATGAGAGATAAAGTTGTTATGTGCCTCCTAATTGAAGAACACAATATGAAGCAGTCTTGCAAAAAATCAATCAATCAAGCAAGCAAATAGACAAAACAAAACAAAATAAAACCAAACAAAAAGAAAGTTGATTAAGCCTCTAGATCTAACTACAGAAAATTCGGAAGGCAGAAGAACACGTTAAATAAACCAGAAGGAATGCAATCAGCAAAATTGAGTCAGCACTTTCTAATAGAATTTTCTACAATGATGAAAGTATACAATATTTGCACTGTCCAGTAGCCATTAGTCAATACATTGTATGGACGTATCTGTAAGCCAGGTGTGAGCTTTTTGGCAAAGCTGGTCATAGGAGAGTCTACACAAGACCATGGATGTGGATTGATGGAGGGGCAGCAATGCAGCAAGAGTAGGTGTCAAAGGAGGAGCAGATATTGAACAAGTCAGAGCCATGTGCCTATCTGACTTACTTATGCGTTCTAGGCATGCTTCATTCCGTATCATATATACCACCACCGCCTGATGATGGATTGCTGCACATGCATCACCTCATGGCTTGGCAGGTGTATTAGTCTGTTCTCACACTGCTATAAAGACATACCTGAGGCCAAGTATGGTGGCTCATGCCTGTAATCCCAGCACTTTGGGAGGCTGAGGCAGGTGAATCACTTAAGGTCAGGAGTTCAAGACCAGCCTGGGCAACATGGTGAAACCCCATCTCTACTAAAAATACAAAAATTAGCCAGGCATGGTGGCAGGTGCCTGTAGTCCCAGCTACTCGGGAGGCCGAAGCAGGAGAATTGCTTGAACCTGGTAAGTGGAGGTTGCAGTGAGCTGAGATTGCACCACAGCACTCCAGCCTCGGCGACAGAGCAAAACTCTGTCTCAAAGAAAAGATGGCTGGGTGTGGTGGCTCACGCCTGAAATCCCAACACTTTGGGAGGCCAAGGCGGGTGGATCACCTGAGGCCAGGAGTTCAAGACCAGCCTGGCCAACATGGTGAAACCCCTTCTCAACTAAAAATACAAAAAAATTAGCTGGGCGTTGTGGTGGGTGCCTGTAATCTCAGCTACTTCGGGAGGCTGAGGCAGGAGAATTGCTTGAACCCAGGAGGCAGAGGTTGCAGTAAGCTGAGATTGTGCCATTGTACTCCAGCCTGGGTGACAAGAGAGAAACTCTGTCTCAAAAAAAAAAAAAAAAAGGACATACCTGAGTATCTGAGACTGGGTAATTTATAAAGAAAAGAAGTTTAATCATTTAATCGACTCACAGTTCTGTAGGCTGTACAGGCTTCTGCTTTTGGAGAGGCCTCAGGAAACCTACAATCACGGCAGAAGGCAAAGGGGAAGCAGGCACATGTTCGCATGGCTGGCAGGAGAGAGAGAGAGAAAAGGGGGAGGTGCTATACACTTCTTTTTTTTTTTTGAGATGGAGTCTTGCTTTGTCACCCAGGCTGCAGTGCAGTGGTGCAATCTCAGCTCACTGCAACCTCCGCCTCCCAGGTTCAAGTAATTCTCCTGTCTCAGCTTCCCGAGTAGCTGGGACTATAGGTGTGGGCCACCATGCCCGGCTAATTTTTGTATTCTTAGTAGAGACGGGGTTTCACCGTATTGGTCAGGCTGGTCTCGAACTCCTGACCTCAGGTGATCCACCTGCCTCGGCCCCCCCAAAGTGCCAGGATTACAGGCATGAGCCACCATGCCCAGCCAAAATCAACTCAAAATTACTTAAAGACTTTTTTTTTTTTTTTTTGAGATAAAGTTTCGCTCTTGTTGCCAGGCTGGAGTGCAGTGGCACGATTTGAGCTCACTGCAACCTCCCCTTCCTGGGTTCAAGCGATTCTCCTGCCTCAGCCTCCTGAGTAGTTGGTATTACAGACATGCACCACCACGCCTGGCTAATTTTATACTTTTAGTAGAGACAGGGTTTCGCCATGTTGGGCAGGCTGGTCTTGAACTCCTGACCTCAGGTGATCCACCAGCCTCGGCCTCCCAAAATGCTGGGATTACAGACATGAGCCACCGCGCCCAGCCACTACTGTAGGCTTTATAAACACTATATACTTAGGCTATGCTAAATGTATAAAAAATATTTTTTCTTCAATAATATTTTTACCTTATAAAGTTTAAGAAATCTTTTTGACTCTTGTAATAACACTTAGCTTAAAATACAAACACATAGTGCAGCTGTACAAAAATATTATTTCTTTATATCCTTATCGTATAAGTTTTTTTCTATTTTAAAATTTTTGGGCCGAGCACAGTGGGCAGTGGTGTGTGCCTGTAATCTCAGCACTTTGGGAGGCCAAGCTGGGTGGATCTCTTGAGCTCAGGAGTTTGAGACCAGCCTGGGCAACATGGTGAAACCTCATCTCTATGAAAAATATAAACATTAGCTGGGCATGATGGTGTGTGTCTGTAGTCCCTGCTACTCAGGAGGTTGAGGTGAAATGATAGCTTGAGCCCAGGAGGTTGAGGCTGCAGTGAGCTGTGATTGCGCCACTGAACTCCAGCCTAGGCGACAGAATGAGGCTGTATCCAAAAAAAAAAAAAAAGAAAAAGTATTTTGTTTTTTATTTTTTAAATTTTTTTGTTAAAAGCTAAGACAGAAACACAAGGCTGGGCACAGTGACTCATGCCTGTAATCCCAGCACTTTGGGAGGCTGAGGATCACTTGAGCTCAGGAGATCCACCCACCTCCGCCCCTACAAAGTGCCGGGATTACAGGCATGAGCCACCATGCTCAGTCAAAATCAACTCAAAATTACTTAAAGACTTTTTTTTTTTTTTTTTTTTGAGGTGAAGTTTCGCTCTTGTTGCCCAGGCTGGAGTTTAGTGGCACGATCTCAGCTCATTGCAACCTCCCCTTCCTGGGTTCAAGCGATTCTCCCGCCTCAGCCTCCTGAGTAGTTGGGATTACAGACATGCACCACCACACCTGGGCAAAATGGTGAAACCCCATCCCTACTACAAATACAAAAAATTAGCTGGGCATGGTGGTGCATGCCTGTGGTCCTAGCTACTCAGGAGGCTGAGGTGGGAGGATCGCTTGAGCCTGGAAGGTAGAGGTTGCAGTGAGCTGAGATTGTGCTACTGCACTCCAGCCTGGGCAACAGAGCCAGACCCCACCTCAAAAAAAATTAAAAAAAAAAAAAAAAGAAAACCAAAAACTAAGACACAAACACCAATATTCTCCTAGGTCTACATAGGGTCAGGGTCATCAATGTCATTATTTTCTCCCTCAATATTTTCTCCCACTGGAAGTTCTCCAGAGGCAATAACGTGCATAGAGCTGTCATCTCCTATGATAACAATGCCTTCTTCTGGAATTCCTCCTGGAGGACCTGCCTCAGGTTGTTTTACAGTTAACTCCTTTTTCTTTTTTAATGAGTACAAAGAGTAGACACCATGATTAAAAATATAGTATAGTAAATACATAAACCTGTAGCAAGTCATTTATTATCATTATGAAGTATTATGTGCTTACCTAATTGTAAGTGCTACACTTTTACACAACTGGCAGTGCAGGTTTCTTTACATCGGCATCACCATAAATTCACAAGTAATGTATTGTGCTACAATGTTATAACAGCTACAATGTCACTAGGTGATAGGAATTCATTTTTAGATTTTTTAAAATTTTTACTTTGGTAGAGATGGGGTCTTACTGTGTTGTCCAGGCTGTTCTTTTTTTTTTTTTTTTTTTTTTTTTGAGACGGAGTCTCGCTCTGTCGCCCAGGCTGGAGTGCAGTGGCGGGATCTCGGTTCACTGCAAGCTCCGCCTCCCGGGTTCACGCCATTCTCCTGCCTCAGCCTCCCAAGTAGCTGGGACTACAGGCGCCCGCCACTATGCCCGGCTAATTTTTTTTTTGTATTTTTAGTAGAGACGGGGTTTCACCGTTTTAGCCGGGATGGTCTCGATCTCCTGACCTCGTGATCCGCCCGCCTCGGCCTCCCAAAGTGCTGGGATTACAGGCGTGAGCCACCGCGCCCGGCCCCAGGCTGTTCTTAAACTCCTGGCCTCAAGTGATGCTCCTGTCTTGGCCTCCCAAAGTGCTGGGATTACAGGCATGAGCCACTATGCTGAACCTTGCAATAGGAATTTTTAAGCTCCATTATAATCTTATGGGACCATTGTTGTACATGTGGTTCATGACTGATTGAAACATCATGATAAAGCACATGGCTATGCTTGACTTCCCATAGTCAAACATGTCTCTAGCAGGGCTTAGTAGTAAATCAGAAACTGCTTCTCAAAAGGAGAATAATTAACAGCAAAAGAGGGCATGACTTTGCTCCAGAATTGTACATATGTGTGCTAAGATTCTCCTCCTGGGGCTCACCAGTGGCTTTGTCTAGTACCTTAAAATTTTTTTTTTTTTTTTGGCTGGGCGCAGTGGCTCACGCCTGTAATCCCAGCACTGTGGGAGGCCGAGGCGGGCGGATCAAGAGATCAGGAGATCAAGACCATCCTGGCTAACACTGTGAAACCCTGTCTCTACTAAAAATACAAAAAATTAACCGGGCCAGGTGGCGGGCACCTGTAGTCCCAGCTACTGGGGAGGCTGAGGCAGGAAAATGGCGTGAACCCAGGAGGCGGAGCTTGCAGTGAGCCAAGATCATGCCACTGCACTCCAGCTTGGGCGATAGAGCGAGACTCCGTCTCAAAAAATAAATAAATAAATACAAAATAAATTTCCTTTTTTTTTAACCAAAGAACATTCAAAGTGTTATGTGTCCAAAGGCCCAAGTGGCACAGTGGCTTGTACCACAGCCGGGATTTGCTGCAGAGTTTTTTATTGCTTTGGGACATCACTCAAAATTGGTTCCTTTATGCTAAGTGGGTTGGAGCAGCACACCCAAATATAGTATGTTTGCTTTCAAAATCCCAAGAAGCTAAAACTGTAAAATCCTTAGAAGAAAATAGGCATAAAACTTTGTGACCTCAGATCATGCAATAGTTTCTTATCTATAATACTTAAAGTACAGCCAGCAACCAAAGAAAAAATAGATAAAATGGACTTTATCAAAATTAAAAACTATTGAACATCAAAGGACACTCTCAAAAAAAATGAAAAGACCACCTACAGAATGGGAGAAAATATTTGGAATATCATATATCTGATAGGGTCTAGTATCTAGAATATACTTAAAAACTCTTACAACTCTGCAATAAAAAGATAGCCCAATTTAAAAATTGACAAAGGATCTAAACAGACATTTCCCTAAAGACATACAAATGGCCAAAAAGCACATGAAAAGATCTTTAACACCATTAATTGTTAGAGAAATGCAAATCAAAATCACAATGAGATACTGCTTCATACTCACTAGAATGGCTATAATAAAAAAGATGGACAATAACAAGTGTTGGCAAAGATGTGGAGAAATTGGAACCCTTACATATTTCCTGGTCGAAATGTAAAATAGTACAACCACTTTTGCTAGCAGCTTGGAAGTTCATCAAAAACTTAAACATAGAGTTACCATGTGACCTAGCAATTCTACACCTAGGTATATACCCAGGAGCATTGAAAACATATGTTTGAGGCTGGGTGTGGTGACTCACACCTGTAATCCCAGCACTTTGGGATGCTGAGGCAGGTGGATCACTTGAGGCCAGGAGTTCAAGATTAGCCTGGCCAACATGGTGAAACCATCTCTACTAAAAATGCAAAAAATTAGCCGGGCATGGTGGTGCATGCCTGTAATCCCAGCTACTTGGGAGGCTGAGGCAGGAGAATCACTTGAACCTGGGAGGTAGAGGTTGCAGTGAGCCAAGACTGCACTACTGCGCTTCAACCTGGGTGACAGAGTGAGGCTGTCTCAAAAAAAAAAACAGAAAAAAAAGTCCCCCAAGTACTTATACATAAATATTCATAGCAGCATTATTCATAATAGCCAAAAGGTGAAAACAACCCAAATGTTCATCAGCTAATGACAGATAGATACACAAAATGTGGTCTATCCATACAATGTAATGATATTCAGCCATAAAAAGAAATGAAGTACTGATACACATGACAACATGGATTAGCCTTTAAAACATCTTAAGTGAAAGAAGCCAGCCTCCAAAGCCACATATTGTGATTCTGTTTATAAGAAACGTCCAGAATAGGCAAATCCATAGACATGGAAAGATCAGTGATGGCCAGGGGCTGGAGGGAGGACTGTTAATAGGAATGGGCTTTTTTGGGGGTGATGAAAATGTTCTGGAATTCAATAGTGGTGATGACTGCACAACTCTGTAAACATACTGAAACCCATTAAATTGTATTTTGTTCTTCTTTAATCTGAAAATAGTTCTTCAGTTTTTCTTTGTTGTACATGATGACACTGACACCTTCGAAGAACACAGGCTGGTTTTGTACAATGTTCCTTGATTTTAATTTATCTGAAATTTCTTCATGATTAGATTCAGGTTATGCATTTTTGAGCAGAAATGATGTGCCATTCTTAGTGTATCATTTTAGTGTATCATTTCTGGAGACACATCATATCAGTTTTCCTGATGTCAGTTTGTCCCAATATTGATGATGTTAACTTGGATTATTTGATGAAGCTTGTCCAGGTCTTGCCACTGTCATGTTACTATTTTTCTTTTGACAATTAACATGTAATTTGTGGGAGGATACTTTGATACTATGAAAATGACTTATTCTTCATCAAACTTTCACGCATTCATGATTTTCTCAATCCTCTATGGTTTAAAATGACTTGTTTCTACTCAGACTAGAGACTGTTTAAATGTATTTGTGTTTTACTCCTAAATTAACACCGCTAGCTTTACATAAGAATGTTTTTCAAGAAAATTCCTGATACTCTGAATATCCTAATCAAAAGGGAAGCATCCAGGCTAAGAAAAAGTTTGCTACAGATAATTAAAAAACAGTAGGGGCCGGGTACGGTGGCTCATGCCTGTAATCTCAACATTTTGGGAGGCCAAGGTGGGTGGATGATCTGAGGTTGGGAGTTCAAGACCAGCTGGCCAAAACGGCAAAACGCTGTCTCTACTAAAAGTACAAAAATTAGCCAGGCATGGTGGCAGGCACCTGTAATCTCAGCTACTCAGGAGGCTGAGGCAGGAGAATTGCTTGAACCTGGGAGGTGGAGGTTGCAGTGAGCTGAGATCCCGCCACTGCACTCCAGCCTGGGCGACAGAGCAAGACTCTACCTTAAAACAAACAAACCAGTAGGGTGCTTTCTCTTTTCTGTTCTCGTTTGTTTTCAAATGTAAACTCTATGTCTAGACATGGAAATGAACACACCATTGTTCAGTATAATTATATCCATTGTTTATGGGGCTGAATCAGTCTGGTGGGGGAGGATTGACTAATGAGGAGGTTACCAGAATTTTCTCCTACCCACTCAAACACAGATGGGAACAAACACAGGTTTGGAGATGTAAAATAATGTTTTCAATGCTTTTATTAAGATTATCATTTGATTATTTTTTTATTGTAGTCCGGGTGATGGTGCGTGCAGATTTATAGAAAAGCTAGTGGTTTAGGAGACATTCTGGAAATAAAATACTACAGAAGGAAGCAATTGGGCTCCTTTGATGATATTTTAGCAGCATTGCTTCCTGGCTACATGTGACCCTAATTTAAGCATTGTAAGCCTCAGTTTCCTTATCTGAAACATGGCAGGGGGGTAACAGCAGTACTCAACTCATTGTTTAGCAGATTAAATGAGACATGTCAAACACTTGTTGTGGAATTGGCACCTAGTAAGTACTCTGTAGTGTTTGTTACTATTGTCCTTATCATTGAGCAGTCTTTTTTTTTTTTTTTTTTTTTTGAGACAGGGTCTCACTCTCACCCAGGTTGGAGTGCAGTGTCTTGATCTCGGCTCACTGTAACGTCTGCCCCCTGTGCTCAAGCGATCCTCCCATCTCAGCCTCCTGAGTAGCTGGGACAACAGGTGTACACCACCATGCCTGACTATTTTCTTTATTATTATACTTTAAGTTCTAGGGTACATGTGCACAATGTGCAGGTTTGTTACATATGTATACATGTGCCATGTTGGTGTGCTGCACCCATTAACTCGTCATTTACATTAGGTATATCTCCTAATGCTATATCTCCCCCCTCCCCCCACCCCACGACAGGCCCTGGTGTGTGATGTTCCCCACCCTGTGTCCATTGTTCAATTCCCACCTATGAGTGAGAACATGTGGTGTTTGGTTTTCTGTCCTTGTAATAGTTTGCTCAGAATGATGGTTTCCAGCTTCATCTATGTCCCAACAAAGGACATGAACTCATCCTTTTTTATGCATGCCTGACTATTTTTTCATATTTTTAGTAGAGATGCTGTCTCACTATGATGCCCAGGCTGTTCTTGATCTCCTGAGGTCAAGCGATCCGCCCACCTCGGCCTCTGAAATTGCTGGGATGATAGGCATGAGCCACCATGCCCAGCATACATTGAGCAGTTTTAACTGGGCTGGGGTTATTGCAGTGACAATGTTTTTAGAAGGAGGATTATTGACATTGCCAGGCTGAGTGCACAAGCTTAAAATCTTACCACTGCCTATTAATTCTACCAATGTAGCCTCATTCGTTTTGGGCCATGAAAGAATTTGTAGCTCCAGATGTTACCAATTAAAAAGCAAAAGGCCTGAGGACATGATCACCCTCCTGAGCTGCTTTAGAGAGCTGGGTCCTGGAAGGGACAGGAGCAGAGGCAGGAGAACACCAGCTCTAGAAGAATAGTTAAGGGAGTGGCCATAGCACCCAACCCCTGGGCTTAAATCTCACCTCCAGGAACAAGTGGTGTGACCTTTCATTATTTGTATCACTCTGATACTTTAGTATCTCCATTTGTAAAAAGAGGACCATTATTAATTACTAGTTTTTTTTTTTTGAGACAGAGTCTCGCTCTGTCACCAGGCTGAGTGCAGTGGTATGATCTTGGCTCACTGCAGGCTCCGCCTCCTGGGTTCAAGTGATTCTCCTGCCTCAGCCTCTCGAGTAGCTGGGACTACAGGTGTGCGCAACCATGCCCAGCTAATTTTTGTATTTTTAGTAGAGATGGAGTTTCACCATGTTGGCCAGGATGATCTCGATCTCCTGACCTTGTGATCCGCCCGCCTTGGCCTCCCAAAGTGCTGGGATTACAGGCATGAGCCACTGTGCCCAGCCAATTACTCCTTATTAACAAGAGAAAAGCAATCAGAAGTTTAATAGCAGTATATATCCTGTACATATGAGAGATACCCAGAGAAATAAGTAAATCTCCTAGAGTAGATCTCAAAAAGTTGTCTTAGAGGTCAGGCTTAAACACCATGTTTCCTGAAACAAAGGAAGAAGGGTATGCGGAAAGCCTGGTTAGGGAGAGATGATCAAGAAAAGCATCTTAATAAGGGCAATTTTTTTTTATTATACTTTAAGTTTTAGGGTACATGTGCACAACATGCAGGTTTGTTACATATGTATACATGTGCCATGTTAGTGTGCTGCACCCATTAACTCGTCATTTACATTAGGTATATCTCCTAATGCTATCCCCCTCCCCTCCCCCCATCCCACAACAGGCCCCAGAGTGTGATGTTCCCCTTCCTGTGTCCATGTGTTCTCATTGTTCAATTCCCACCTATGAGTGAGAACATGCGGTGTTTGGCTTTTGTCCTTGCGATAGTTTGCTGAGAATGATGGTTTCCAGCTTCATCCATGTCCCTACAAAGGACATGAACTCATCATTTTTTATGGCTGCATATATTCCATGGTGTATATGTGCCACATTTTCTTAATCCAGTCTATCATTGTTGGACATTTGCCTTGGTTCCAAGTCTTTGCTATTGTGAATAGTGTTGCAATAAACATACGTGTGCATGTGTCTTTATAGCAGCATGATTTATAATCCTTTGGGTATATACCCAGTAATGGGATTGCTGGGTCAAATGGTATTTCTAGTTCTAGATAATAAGGGCAAGTTTTGTTATGACTTTTTCTTTTCTTTTTAAGACAGGCTCTCACTCTGTTGCCCATGCTGGAGTGAAGTGGCTCTATTTCAGCTCACTGCAGCCTTTACCTCCTAGGCTCAGGTGATCCTCCCGCCTCAGCCATCCAACTATCTGGG
The DNA here is from genome assembly GCF_000001405.40 of Homo sapiens. Taxonomy (NCBI): domain Eukaryota; kingdom Metazoa; phylum Chordata; class Mammalia; order Primates; family Hominidae; genus Homo; species Homo sapiens. Next base: position 32,645,498 of record NC_000003.12, on the reverse strand, counting down.
ACTACAAGCATGCACCACCATGCCCAGCTAATTTTTGCAGAAATGGGGTTTTGCCATGTTGCCCAGGCAGGTAGCAAATTCCTGGGCTCAAGCCATTTGCCCATCTCAGCCTCCCAAAGTGCTGGGATAACAGACGTGAGCCACCACATCCTGCCTGTTAGGACATTTTAAGGCAATTATTTCTCCATCGATAAGAGTCTCTAGTGATTTAGTTATCCTTCTCTTTCTGGTGCAGAGAGAAAGACACCTTTAAAAATGGAGATTTCCTTCATAAATGTCAGTTTGTCTTACAAAAGGGTAACTTTTCTGAGCTTCTCCTGTGTCTGCAGTTTCTCAAAAATAATCCTTATGCCAAAGGGGCACATCCGGGATAGCATATTCTGGTCTTCTACCATCATATTTTAGGGTGGCATGTCCTAGGCCCCATCAATAGTATTTTCTATGTGTTGCACTGTGGGGAATTTAACAAAGGCAATGGGTTCTGGCATTGTTAACCCCTCAATAACTAGATGCATACCAGTTTTTCTTCCTACCCAAAGAGGACAGCTGGAGTTGATCACATATGTGGACAACACGGAACGGGATTTTTACCAAGGGCTTACTTACTCAGTGCCAGGCACTGTTCTAAATACTTAACATACATTAATTCATTGAATTTTTTTTTTCTAGCAGACAGGTGTCTCCCCATCCGGAATGCAGTGGCATGATCATAGTTCACTGCAGCCTCTAACTCCTGGGCTCAAGCAATCCTCCTGCCTCAGCCTCCAGAGTCACTAGGATTACAGGTGTAAGCCACCCTGTCCAGCTTAACTCATTGAATCTTAACCATAAGCCTATGACATTTAATTTAATATAATTTAATTATATTTAAATTTAATATAACATAGGTTATATATAACCTATGTTATAATATAATTTAATATAATATAGGTTATATTATATTTAATATAATTTAATATTATATTATATTAAATATAATATAATTTAACTTAATATTATATTAATATAATATAATTTAATATTATATTATATTAATATAATATAATTTAATATTATATTATATTAATATAATTTAATTTAATTTAATATAACATAGGTTATATTAAATTTCTGTTTTACAGATAAGAAATCTCAGGCACAGAGAGGACACGGTAAGAGGTGGAGCCAATTCAAACTCAGGCAAGTTTATACTTTTAATAAATAGGCTGCCTTTTAACATCTAGAAATATATGGGTGCAGCACACCAACATGACACATGTATACATATGTAACAAACCTGCACGTTGTGCACATGTACCCTAGAACTTGAAGTATAATAATAATAATAAAACATCTAGAAAACAGGAGTAGAACCTAAGAAGAGTCAGATCCTCCTAGCTGGTCATTAGGCACTTATGTCTTGACTTACGGAAGCAGAGTGTTGGCATCCTGGGAAGTCACTGACCTCTTTATAGAGCTCGTCCAAGCTAGAGCCTCTGTGCAGACAGAACACATTGCTGCCCTCTACGTGAAGACCTGTATACACTGGGGCAGGAGCAGAGGAGCCCATGGTGCTAAAAAATAGAAGAAAATGGTAAGTAAAAGTTTTAAAAATCAACAGCTCTGAGTGGATTCTCATAGATGAAAACAAGCTCATCCTAATTTGTTAAATTTGGCGACCTGAGGCACTTGCTGCTCAGCTCCTCCACATTGTGTTCCCGCCTTTTGACCATCTCTTCCAGTAGTTGCTGCAGAAACTGGCTGTGAACAAGTGTAAACTAACAATATCTTGCCTCAGCTGCCCTGTGTATCTCTTGCTTTCTGCCCCTGGGGCTTCCGAAAGCCATGCTGCTGAATGGGATGGCTGCAAGAATCTGTTCAGCCATGCGGTTGCATTGGCGAACCTGGAAGTTCGAGAGTTAACACCTTATGGTGTAACTGTTGACCAAGGGGAGATAGGAGCTGATAGATAAATAATCCCTCTTCTGTTTTCAGGCACAAAACTGAGGCTTATCCTACACAGCTCCTTAGAGTCCCCAGTGGAATTGAGCTCCAGGTGCCTACAGCAGTGACCTTGCAACACAACCTTGCACTGGCATTTCTTCCTTGTTTCTCTCTTGTCCCCAGATCTCTTCCCAAAACAAACTGCTGAACACATATCCTTGTCTCAGTTTCTGCTTTTGTGAGTGGAGCTTGGGGTAAGACATCCATTGTTGACATTAGAAAATGCAAGGACTTCATGTTGTCACGTCTTCCAGTTTTTCAGGAGAAAATAAACATTTAAATTTTTGTGTGAAATCTCTTGATTTTAAATAGATGTCCCAAATACATATAACATTGTCCAGATCAAATATTCAGCAGACTAAATATGAAAGCAACCCAAATACAGTGGTTTGTAGTTTGTAAATTTTTTTTTTTTTTTTTTTTTTTTTGGTGACAGAGTCTCATTCTGTCACCCAGGCTGGAGTGCAGTGGCATGATCTCAGCTCATGCAACCTCTGCCTCCAGAAGTGATTCTGCTGCCTCAACCTCCTCAGTAGCTAGGATTACAGATGCATGCAGCCATGCCTGGCTAAATTTTGCATTTTTAGTAGAGACAAAGTTTCGCCATGTTGGCCAAAGCTGGTCTCGAACCCCTGACTTCAAGTGATCTGTCTGCCTTGGCCTCCCAAAGTGCTGGAATTACAGGCGTGAGCCACTGTGCCCAGCCTTTAAAATTCTTTATACCTAGAAATTGAGGATACAGTAATGGAAGGTCTTTTTGTTAATTAAGCTTTAAAATTATAACTGTTTGCTCAGGTGCCGTGGCTCATGCCTGTAATCCCAGCACTTTGGGAGGCTGAGGCAGGCAGATTGCTTGAGCTCAGGAGTTTGAGACTAGCCTGGAAAACACGATGAAACCTCACCTCTACCAAAAATACAAAAATCAGCCAGTCTCATAACCTGATCTCAAAATAAATAAATAGATTAAAATTTTAAAAATATATAACTGTTTTATAGGTATTTACATTTTATCAAGTATTTTTATATACATTACCTCATGCAATAAATTAGAGAATCCTTGTTTACAGATCAAATAGTTGGGCTGAAATACCAAGGTATGAAAGGACAGGAAAAGTGAGAAAGAAATGGACCTCGTGGCCTCCCCAACATTCTGGGCCATTTGGGAGGGGTAGGACTTCTGGCAGACCACTAAACCTCCACCCTTCTGTAGCTGTAAAATCTCATCCTGTTTGATTGATTTGCAATATCACCACATCCCTTCTTAAAGTATTGGTTTGCTTTTTAATACTATGCAGCCATAAAAAATGATGAGTTCATGTCCTTTGTAGGGACATGGATGAAATTGGAAATCATCATTCTCAGTAAACTATCGCAAGGACAAAAAACCAAACACCACATGTTCTCACTCATAGATGGGAATTGAACAATGAGAACACATGGACACAGGAAAGGAAACATCACACTCTGGGGACTGTTGTGGGGTGGGGGGAGGGGGGAGGGATAGCATTAGGAGATATACCTAATGCTAAATGACGAGTTAATGGGTGCAGCACACCAGCATGGCACATGTATACATATGTAACAAACCTGCACGTTGTGCACATGTACCCTAAAACTTAAAGTATATATATAAAAAAAAAGTATTGGTTTGCTTTTTGCCTTTCCTTTTTGTAAATTTTGAAGAAATGATTTGTGGTTTGGGGATCACTCTGAGCATCACTGTGATTTGGATGCTTCTGATTATTCTTTAATGATGTGGCAATTATATGGTTCATCTGTCACTGTGTAACAAATTTCCCAAGATATAGCGGATTAAAACAACATGTGTAAACCCTCATGATTCTGTGGATTGACTGGGCTCAGCTGGTAGGTCTCCTGCTCCTGTGATATCAACTGGGGCTGTAGTTGCCCTGGGGCTTAATTGGGCTGGAAAGCCTAGCTGGCTGTCATGGCTCACAGCTCCAGGCTGGAGCTCAGCTGGGCCGCTCTGATGAAACGTCTACGCATGGCCTCTCCATGTGTCTTGGGCTTCTCACAGCATGTTTCTGGGTTCTGAGGGAGTTTCCCAAGAGTGAGGATTCCAAGAGGGAGGAAGCAGAAGCCCAGAACTTTTGCTGGCCCAGAATTAGTACACAGTCACTTTAGCCACAGTTCTATTGGTAAAGCAGTCACAGAGCCCAGATTTAAGGGAAGAGAAATAGAGTGCACCAAGGAGTTTGTGTCCATCTTCAATTTCCTTCTGGAATTAAACCATTTCCTTCACAAAAAAATATTCTCAATTCATCTATCTGATCGGTGCAATTCTTACGTTTCTCTTTTGTTGAATCTCAGATGTAGAGGGCTGAGTTAGTGATGTCATTGTTCATGACATCATTATCACAGTCCACACAAGACCTCTTGCGTTTTATTTCTTGATCCTCTTGTTACTCCTGTTTCCCTTTCCATCCTCTTCCCACTGCTGACAAACACTCCAAGGCATTTAAAATCCACATTTTGTTTACAGAGCTTCCTTCTAAATGTGTACTGCTGATTTGTATGCATGTATTTTAAATTAACATAAATGGTATTCTGATAAGTACATCAGCACTGTTTTAAAGATTTGTTCGTGTTGCTATATATTTATTTAATCCCTTTTTTCTAACAGCTGCATGGTGTTCCACTGTATTTTGCCTATTGACTCCTCCAGTGTGACCTCTCAGACTGCATCCAGTTTCCCATCAATACAAACTAGACTATGATAATACTCTTTCGTCTTCATATGGGCCAGTATCAAAATTCCTTTGGGATATTTAACCAGGGATAAATTCTGTGGCACAGGGTAAGTTTATTCCTTTTTTTAAAAAAAGAGGTCTTGAAAAATCCCCAGTGCCAGCTAGCAGTTGCATTATCCATCTTTCTAATTTTTGCCAGAGGTGTAAAATGAAATCTCAATGGTCTTTCATTCTTATTTCTCTGATTCCTAATGAGCTTGAGTATCCCAGCATATGCCTGTTATAGACTGGTTTTGTCGTTTATTAATTACTCATTTACTGGGGTTCCTGTCTTTTTCTTGTTGATGTATGAATCTCTTATATAGTCTAGATATTAGCCACTTATCAGTTTTAGACATTAAGACTGTCTCCTCCTATCTTGTTACTTGTTTGTTAACTCTTCCACAGTGGTCTTCACTGAATACGAAGAGTTGATCAAATTTATCACATTTTTGTCTTATGGCTTACGCTTTTGAGTTTCATTGAAGAATTCCTTCTCAACATAAAGTCTCCCACATTTTCTTATTTAACTTTATATATTTATCTTCAAATTTAGGTCTTTAATCCATTGGCAATCACCTTTGTATGTGATATTAAGTAGGAATCCAGCTTTATTTTTCCCCAAAATGTGGGCCACTTTTTCTAGCAAATTTTACTAAACAACCACCTCTTCCCTCCTTGCTTTGTGGTGCCAGAAAGTGCCATATTTGTCATGACTTGGCAGAGCCTTCTTGAGAATACAGACAAGCCAGAAGAAAGCACAACTGAGCAATACAGAGTGAGGCAGAGATGCTATAGTTTGTAGTCTAGATATGTCCAAAGCCAGAAATCCACCTCTTCATTTTTGCTGGGTTTTTGTCCTTTGAAACTAAAATGACCATTACAACAATGATGTCCTAATCTTGCTTCTATCTAGAAGAGCTAATTTCATATCCTGCTGAGATTCAAATGACAATGATAATTCCAGTCAACATAATTTATTCTTACTTGTATCAGTTAATTGAATTTGTGATATGTTTGGTTGAATTATTTTGTTTCTTTTTAACTTGAGACAGAGAAACATGCAGTTTATTATTATTTTTTTGAGACAGAGTCTGGCTCTGTCGCCCAGGCTGGAGTGCAGTGGTGCGATCTCAGCTCACTGTAACCTCTGCCTCCCAGGATCAAGCGATTCTCCTGCCTCAGCCTCCCGAATAGCTGGTATTACACGCGCCCACCACCACGCCTGGCTAATTTTTGTATTTTTAGTTGAGACGAGGTTTCACCATGTTGGCCAGGCTGGTCTCGAACTCTTGACCTCAAATGATCTGCCCGCCTCGGCCTCCCAAAGTGCTGGGATTACAGGCATGAGTCACTGCACCCAGCCAAGGCAGAAAAATAATACAGTTGAAATGTGTTTTTTTTCTGAGATAACTGGGAAACATTTTGAGAAACTAGCAGATTTTGAGAAACTGACAGTTTTTCCCTACTAAAAGTTCACAGGAAAAACATAGGGAAAAAATATGTATATATTTTAGAGACAGAATCTTGCCCTGTTGCCCAGGCTGAGTGCAGTGGTGTAATCATATCTCACTGCAGCTTCAAACCCTGGGCTCAGGCAATCCTCCTGACTCAGCCTCCCAAGTAGCTGGGACCACAAATGGGTGCCACCACATGCAGCTAATCTTTTTATTTTTTAGAGATGGGGTCTTGCTATGTTGCCCGGGTTTGTCTTAAACTCCTGGCCTTAAGCAATCCTCCCACCTTGGCCTCCTAAAGCATTTGAATTATAGGCATAAGCCACTGTGTCCAGCTAGGGAAAAAAATATTTTGAGCCTGGGGTAGGCAAAGATTTCTTAGATACAAAACCAAAAGCATAATCCATAACAAAATTAGTAAATTAGAGTTCTTCAAAGTCAAACCTTTTTCTCTTTGAAAGATATTGTTAAGAGATGGAAAAGGCAAATTATAGCCTGGCAGAAAATATTTATAAGACACTTATCTGGTAAAGAACTTGTGTCCAGAATATACAAAGAATTTTCAAAACTCAATAATAAAACAACTTATCCAATTTTAAAAATGGTAAGAGATTTGAATGCTCTTTACTAAAGATGTATAAATGGCAAATAAGCACATGAAAATATGTCCAACAACATTAGTCATTAAAGAAATTAAAACCACAGTGTGATATTACTACACATTCATTAGAAGGGCTAAAAAGATTGACAATACCAAGTGCTAGTGATGATGTGGAGTAACTAGAAGTCTTATATACAACTAGTGTGAATATAAAATGACCAAGCACTTAATTTTTTTTTTGAGACAGGGTCTCACTTTGTTGCCCAGGCTGGCCTTGAACACATGGGCTCAAGGGATCTTCCCACCTCAACCTCCTGAGTAGCTTGGACTACAGGAGTGCACTACTGTGCCCAGCTCCAAATGATCAAACACTTTGGAAAACTGCTTAGCGTAAGTTCTCCAAAAGACATTGTATTTGTTTCCTAAGGCTGCTGTGAAAAAGCACAAATTAGAAATGTATTGACAGAACAGAAATCTGTTCTCTCACAGTTCTAGAGGCTAGAGGTCCCAAATCAACCCTGTTGGTAGGATTGGGTCTTCTGAGGGCTCTGAGGGAGAGTCTGTTCCATGCCTTTATCCTGGCTTCCAGAGGTGGCTGGCAAATTTTGTCTTTCCTTGGTTTACAGCATCACTCCAATCTCTCCCTTTGTTTTCTCATGGAGTTCTCCCTGTGTGTCTCTATGTTGGTTTCTTTCCTCCTCTTCTATAAGGATATCAGTCGTACTGGATTAGAGTCCCCCAAATTGGATATGACCTCATCTAACTTTGCAGATATCTGCAAAGATATTTCCAAATAAGGTCACATTCACATGGACCAGAGGTTTAGGACTTCATATATCTTTTTGGAAGACACAGTTTGACCTATAATATACATGTACTTGAATATTCATAAAAGCACAATTTGTAATAGCCTAAATGGGAAACGATCTCACTACTCATCAACAGTTGAATAGGTAAATAAATCATGATATATTCATGTGATGAATACCATAATACAATAAAAATTAACTACCTACAACTATGGACAATATGGATGAATCTCACAAATAAAATGCTGGATAAAATAAATAAAACAGCATATACTGGCTGGGCATGGTGGCTCACCCCTATAATCCCAGCACTTTGGGAGGCCGAGGTGAGTGAATCACTTGAGGTCAAGAGTTCGAGACCAGCCTGGCCAACATGGTGAAACCCCGTCTTTACTAAAAATACAAAAATTAGCCCGATGTGGTGGTGCATACCTGTAATCCCAGCTACTAAGGAGGCTGAGGCAGGAAAATCACTTGAACCTGGGAGGCCCAGGTTGCAGTGAGCCAAGATCGTGCCACTGTACTCCAGCCTGGGTGACAAGAGTGAGACTCTGTCTCGAAAAAAAAAAGAAAACAATTATTTTTCACAGAATTTTTTTGGTGTTGTTAAGATACAGGATCTCACTATGCTGCTCAGGCTGGCCTTGAACTCCTGGGCTCAAGCGATCCTCCCATCTCAGCCTCCTAAGTAGCTAGGACTACAGGCTTGCAGCACTACACCCAGCTAAGAATTCTTAATTTGCCTCCTTAAGAGATGTACATCAATAAATATGATTTCTTCAAATGTAGCAACTCTGAAATATTCACTTAGAGTCCCTCAGAGATCAAAAGAGTTTCAGACTACCTAATTTTTTTAGGTTCTTAGTTTTATATATACACAGAAATGCACAGACAGGGTGACAAATATGTGATATATTGTGTAATGTATTTTATATTTTTACATTTACTAAATCTAATAATTTTAACATAAAAGAATTCCAAACAATGTCAATGATGTCAAAAGTCCTAATACAGGTCCTTCTCACTGTGAAGGCACTATTCTAGATGGTGGGGATACTTCAGAGAACAGAATAGACAAAATCCTTGCTTTCAAAGAGCTTGCCTTTCTAGCTGCCAGGAGATAGGCAGTAAACAATAAATATAAGAGCTATGCTAATTCTGTGGTATGATAGAGGGGATAAGTCACCATGGGAAAAAAAGAGTAAAGCAAGGAAAAAGTGTTCAGGGGAGGAGGGGAGGGACTATGTTTTAATGGGGTGGGCAGGGTAGACCTCCTTAAGAAGGTGACAGTTGAGCAAAAATTGAAGAAGAAAAGGGAATGAGCCATATGAATATCTGGTGGCAGGGGAGAATCACTTCAAATAGATGGATGTTCCAAAGGCCCTTAAGATGTAGCCATACTGGCAAGTTTGAGGCAAAACAAGGACAAATTCCATTTGTATAAATGGAGAGAAATATGTGTGAAGGAGAGTAGTAAATGAATCAGACAGGTAAAGGGCATTCAGATTATACAGAGCATCTTAGGCACTATAAGAACTTTAGCTTCCTCTCTGACAGAAATGGAAAGCCACTGCAGGGATTTGAGCAGAAGAGTGATATGCTCTGATCTCCATTTTATTTTTGTGAGACAGGGTGTCATTCTGTCACCCATGCTAGAGTGCAGTGGCACAACACAATCATGGCTCACTGCAGCCTCAAACTCCTGGGCTCAAGCGATCCTCTTACCTTAGCCTCCCTAGTAGCTGGGACTATAGCCATGCACCGTATCACCAGGCTAATTTTTAAAATTTCTGTAGATACAGGGTCTTGTTATGTTGCCCGGGCTGGTCTCAAACTTCTGGCCTCAAGTGATCCTCCTGTCTCAGCCTCCCAGAGTGTTGGGATTACAGGTGTGAGCCATCACCCCATCCTGACTTCCATTTTAACATAATTTTTCTGGCTGCTATGTTGAGAACAGATTTTCAGAGGCAAGTATAAAAGTAGTGAGACAAGAAAGGAGGCTAATTAAATAATTCACGTGGGAGGTAACAGGAGTTTGGATCCAGATGATAGCAGAAGTGATAAGAAATGGTTATACCTGGATATATTCTGAATGTAGGGCCAGGAGAATTTGCTGACAGACTAAGATGGGTGAGCGGGAGGTATAAGAGAAAAAGAAGAGTCATGGAAGATGCCAACCCAAGAACCAAGATGTAAAAGAGGGCAGACGGAGTAAGTCTGAGGTAGAATATTAGGAGCTCAGTTTGAACTTGTTAAGATTGGGATGCCCTTTTTTTTTTCTCGCGTCCTGGCCATCTTAGCGGCTGCTCTTGGTGGAGGGCCATCTCGCACCTAAGGCAGGAACATGGTGGCCGCAAAGAAGATGAAAAAGTCACTGGAGTCGATCAACTCTAGGCTCCAACTCATTATGAAAAGTGGAAAGTACGTGCTGGGGTACAAGCAGACTCTGAAGCCAAGGCAAAGCTAAATTGGTCATTCTTGCTAACAACTGCTCAGCTTTGAGGAAATCCGAAATAGAGTACTATGCAATGTTGGCCAAAACTGGTGTCCATCACTACAGTGGCAATAATATTGAACTGGGCACAGCATGTGGAAAATACTACAGAGTGTGCACACTGGCTATCATTGATCCAGGTGACTCTGACATCGTTAGAAGCACGCCAGAACAAACTGGTGAAAAGTAAACGATGCAAAATTTTCCTTTAATAAAATTTGCCTGAGCTTGTTTAAAAAAAAAAAAAAGATTGAGATGCCCCATTTGTCTTAAATAAAGATATTCAGTAGACCATTAAGTTCACAGTTCTGGAATTCAGGGAAGAGGATGTCTGTACTAGAGATACTTTTGAGAGTCATCATCATATAGTAATATCGAAAACTATAAGATTTGGATGAGTTTGCCATGAGAATGAGGGTAGAAAAGAGGAGAGGTCGTCCAAGGTCTGAGCCCTAAACTCCTCTAACATTAAGAGGCTGTGGGGATTAGAAAGAAACAGCAAAGGACCAGGAACAGAACCACAGGAGGCAGAAAGAAAATCGGGGAATTGTGGTGTCATAGAAGCCAAGTGAGGCCAGTGTTTCCAGGAAGTGGGAGTGATCAGCTGGGTCCAGTGTTGCCAATAGGTCAAGAAAGATGAAGACTGAAAGCTGACCTTTGGAATTGACAAGTGAAGGTCATTGTTGACCTTGACAAAGGCAGTTTCTGGGAAGTGGTATGGACAAAAATCTGACTAACATAGGTTTAAGAAACAATGAGTTAGGCCAAGAAAAAAAGAGAGAACACAAATTACTGATATCAGAAATTACAGAGGTGACATCACTACAGATATGATGGGCAATAGAAGGATAATAAAAGAATACTATCAACATCTTTATGCCCACAGATTTGATAGCCTAGATGAAATGGATCAATTCCTTGAAAGACACAAACTGCCAAAACACACAAGAAGCAATAGACAATCTGAATAGGCCTGTATCTATTAAAGACATTGAGTGAATAATTAATAACTTTTCAAAACAGAAAGCACCAGACCTAGCCCTAGATGGATTCACTGGTGAATTCTACCAAATGTCTATAGAAGAAATTCTACTAATTATCTACTTTCTCTTTCAGAGGATAGATGCAGAAGGGGATACTACTTCCTAACTAAACCCTAATACCAAACCAGCCAAAAACATTACAAAGGAAACTATATACCTATACACCAGCACTGAACAAGTGGAATTTGAAATTAAAAACAGTATAATTTACATTATCACCCCCCAAAATGAAATACTTAGGTATAAAACTAACAAAATGTGTACTAAATCTATACAAGGAAAACTGGAAAACTCTGATGAACAAAATCAAAGAAGAACTAAATAAATGGAGAGATATTCCATGTTCATGGATAGGAAGGCTCAATAGAGTCAAGATGTCATTCTTTCCAACTTAATCTATAGATTCAAAGCAATCCCAATCCCAGTCTCAGCAAGTTATTTTGTGGATATCAACAAACTGATTCTAAAGTTTACATGGAAAGGCATAAGACCCAGAATAGTCAATACAATATTGAAGAAGAGTAAAGCTGGAGAACTGACACTACCTGACTTCAAGACTTAATATAAAGCTGTAGTAATCAAGATAATGTGGTGTTGATGAAAGAACAAACAGATCAAGGCCAGGCACGGTGACTCACGCCTGTAAACACAAACACAGCACTTTGGGAGGCTGAGGCAGGCGGATCACAAGGTCAGGAGATTGAGACTATCCTGGCTAACACAGTGAAACCTCGTCTCTACTAAAAATACAAAAGCAAAATTAGCTGGGCATGGTGGCAGGCGCCTGTAGTCCCAGCTACTTGGGAGGCTGAGGCGGGAGAATGGCGTGAACCTGGGAGGGGGAGCTTGCAGTGAGCCAAGATCACACCACTGCACTCCAGCCTGGGTGACAGAGTGAGACTCCGTCTCAAAAACAAACAAACAAACAAACAAAAGATCAATAAAACAGAACAGAGATCCCAGAAATAGACCCACATAAATATAGTCAATTGATCTTTGACAAAGGAGCAAAGGCAATATAATGGAGCAAAAAAAAAGTCTTTTCTTTTCTTTTTTTTTTTTCAGACAGAGTCTCATTCTGTTGTCCAGGCTGGAGTGCAGTGGTGTGATCTCGACTCACTGCAACCTTCACCTCCTGGGTTCAAGCGATTCTCCTGCCTTAGCCTCCTGAGTAGCTGGGACTATAAGCACAAGCCGCCACTCCTGGCTAACTTCTGTATTTTTAGTAGAGACGGGGTTTCACCATATTGGCCAGGCTTGTCTCGAAATCCTGACCTCAAGTGATCCGCCCACTTCAACCTCCCAAAGTGCTGGGACTACAGGCATGAGCCATCACATCTGGCCAAAAATAGTCTTTTCAACAAATGGTACTGGAAAAACTGGACATCCACATGTAAAACAAACAAACAAAACCCAAATCTAGATAACAGATCTTAAATTTTTCACAAAAACTAACTTAAAATGGATCATAAAACTAAATGTAAACCTCAAAACTCTAAAACTCCTAGAATATAACATAAAAGAAAACTTAGATGACTTGGGTATGGCAATAAATTTCACTCACAGGATTAGAGTAAGGATTAAATAAAATAATACTTTAAAACATTAGAACAGTGCCTGGAATGTTTGCTTTGCATAATCCCATGATCCCCATGGCTATGAAGAAATCATGTTTTGGTATATTCAATTATATTTTAATTGAGCCACAGAGGTCATTTAGCAAGCCCATTAGTTAGATAAATTTTTTGACATACAAATAAATTATCTCTTACTTGATCTGTTCAATTAAAAAACAAAACAAATAGTTCTTCTTTTTTTTTTTTAACAATGCTATCTTGGGAACTGTGAGGTCTCCTGTCACTAGGTTGCCCCTGGGTGGGCTCCAGGAGAGTGACACAAGGAGCCTGAAGGTCATCTGACCCAGTGTCACTCACTGGCTGCCAGACGGATTCATAGCTGAGGTTTTTGGTCGGAAAGGAATTCACAAAACTTTTTTTTTTTTTTTGAGACCGAGTTTCGCTCTGTCGCCCAGGCTGGAGTGCAGTGGCGCGATCTTGGCTCACCACAACCTCCGCCTCCTGGGTTCAAGCAATTCTCTTGCCTCAGCCTCCTGAGTAGCTGGGACTACAGGAACGCGCCACCACACCTGACTAATTTTTGTATTTTTAGTAGAGACGGGGTTTCACCATGTTGGCCAGAATGGTCTCGATCTCCTGACCTTGTGATCCACTTGCCTCCACCTCCCAAAATGCTAGGATTACAGGTGTGAGCCACCGTGCCCGGCATTCACAAAACATTTTAAAATTTTACTTGCCAACATTTAAAAATCAGGAGATTTCATATAAAAACTTGATTTCCAGACTTAATAAATTGCAAGATCTTGCAACCCTGGGCCTGAAACCCTGTAGCACAGCCTTCTGTGGTACAGAATAAAGGCTTCCTCCTTTAGCTAGGCTGGTATCCTCCCGTGCAATACAGCCCCACTGTTTCCAGCCCACTTGCTTCTCTCATTGGCTCCTCCTTGGTTCCTATAGGTACCTGAGTTTGTAACTACTAATTAGTTCAATCCTTCTCTTTTTAGATGCAGAGGCCGAGGTCCTGAGAGAAATAGAGAGCTGGAACTGGAATCTTAGCCATCAGACCAGGGCTCTTTTACATGCCTTGTGTTGTTTTATATTTGGTTGTTTTGAGAAAAAGATAATAGCTTAAAAAAAAAAAAAGGTAAGACATAGTGGGGGGCCGTGCAAGGTGGCTCACACCTGTAATCCCAGCACTTTGAGAGGCCAAAGCAGGCAGATCACAAGGTCAGGAGTTCGAGACCAGCCTGGACAATATGGTGAAACCCTGTCTCTGCTAAAAATACAAAAAAAAAAAAAATTAGCTGGGTGTGTTGGCATGTGCCTGTAGTCCCAGCTACTTGGGAGGCTGAGGCAGAAGAATCACTTGAACCCGGGAGGTGGAGGTTGCAGTGACCTGAGATCACACTACTGCACTCCAGCCTGGGTGACAGAGAGAGACTCCATCTCAAAAAAAAAAAAAAAAAAAAAAGACATAGTGGGGAAAACTAAAATTTAGGGATTTTTAGGCACCATTTAGGTGATTAAATTGAGATAAAGGAAAAAGTGGAGGTCAGTAGAATTCCTTTTCTCTGTAGAAAATAGCTTCATTGTTTTGGGGGAAATGATATATGTTCAGTGCAAAAGATTCCAACAATACAGATAAGTACAAAGAAGACGGTAAAGATTCCCCCAAATTTCACTTTTCACTTATAATTTCCATTAACATTTTGATATGTACATTTCTATGTCCCCTCTTGACATATTTATAGATACACTTAATCTAACACTGTCTCAGCTGGGGATTATGTGTGAGTGTGGGGTTTTAGAGTTCCCACATAATCTTCATCAGCTTCTCTCCAACCAATTATTTGATATAGCCAATTGGGATATTTTTCAATTATATTAAGGTGCTATGCAAATACAAGGTCAAGCCTCCTTGTTTGACCCAACTCCCTTCTAATGAGATTGTTATGTACACATCCAGCCCACCTATATAGAAATTCTGAAGCTGCTAGATTGCATGTTTTTCTGAATGAGAGTGTCCATACAAGTCACTCTCATTATGTTCTGTAATTTGATTTTCCCACCAATAATATTTCTGGAATATTTGTGTCTAGTATATAAACACAGACTTTTAAAAACCCCCACAAATTTCCCTTTTAAGAACACCCTCAGCATCCTCAAGACAAGCCAGTTGGTCTCTTACATAGACTTTGCTCCATCTGACTGATGCCTGGGAAAATGGGAACACCTGATTGAAACCCATTGCGCACATTCTAGTCTGTTTGATTGTTCACAATAGGCACTGATGAGAACAATTAGTTTCTCAATGATTGTATTAGTCAAGATTTAATGCAATAGTGTTGCACAACAGGTAACTCCCAAATGTCAGTGATTCATAAGAACAAATATTTATTTTTCACTCACTGGTCTGTGCACTGCATGTGGGTTGTCCAGGCTCACTTGGGCTTAGGTTTGGGTCTTTCCTATGTGTTTCTCATTCCAGGACCCAGGCTAAATGGGCAATGGCTACTTGGGGCATTCTCTCCTCAAAGCAAAAGGCAGAAATGCAGGAGGTCATGCCAAATTTCACAAACTCATATAAAGTCTCTGGTCAGATATAGCATATGATACATCCACCCACATTGTATTGACCATGCCCAACGTGAATTAGGTGGAGAAGCGTACTTTATCTATAGTAAACCATAGCAAGCTTGGGGAAGGAAGGAGTTGTGAAACAAAAATACTGCTACCACAGGGACTAATCAGGATGGACAATAAAATAAAATTTAGCCTGAGCCCTACTGTTGAGCCTTATAAATGCAATCTGAACCCGTACCTCCTGAGAACTGCAACACCTTCACGTAGTGTATCCCAAAGACCCTTGATCCTCTCTGATCATATTCACTCTGCCTTTACATTTGATATGCTTTTTGCTCTTCAGGGTCATGAGCACCACCTAGGTCTATACAAATGAAAAAGGTTAAACTGCCATATCAATTTTTGAACCTTAAGAGAGCTATTTTCACTTTTCCCCTTCCTTGCCACAGTTGCACTGATCAGCAAATATTTCTGAAATTTCCCTGTGAATAAAAATAAAGAGTATTGTTGCCAGGCAACAAATAAATAGAGAATTATTTTTATGCTTTCTGGAAGGTGTAGCATCTTGCTGCAGTGTTTCCAGGGAGAACCCCAATTGTTAAGTTTTTGGGGTTTTTTTTCTTAAAGACAGGGTCTAGCTCTGTCACCCAGACTGGAGTGCAGTGGCACAATCATGGCTCACTACAGCCTCGATCTCCTGGGCTCAAGCAATCCTCTTACCTCAGTCTCCCTAGTAGTTGTTACTACAGGTACATGCCACCAGGCTCAGCTAATTGGTTTTGGGTTTTTTTTGTTTTTTTTTTGAGATGGAGTCTTGTTCTGTCACCCAGGCTGGAGTGCAGTGGTGTGATCTTGGCTCACTGCAACCTTGCCTCCTTAGTTTAAGTGATTCTCTTGCCTCAGCCTCCCGAGTAGCTGGAATTACAGGTGTGCGCCCCCACGCCCAGCTAATTTTTTGTATTTTTAGTAGAGACGGGGTTTCACTGTATTGGCCAGGCTGGTCTTGAACTCCCAACCTCAGATGATCCTCCCTCCTTGGCCTCCCAAAGTGCTGGGATTACAGGCGTGGGCCACTGCGTCCGGCCCCAGTTGTTTTGTATTTCTTATAAAGACGGGGTTTCACCATGTTGCCCAGGCTGGTCTCAAACGCCTGGACTCAACCAATCCACCTGCCTTGGCCTCCCAAAGTGCTGGGATCACCGCTTACACCCCAACTGTCAAGATTAATCAAATGCTGGAAAATGGAAATTTATTAAACAAGACTAGCTTGAGTAAGAAATTCCCTATGCTAAGGGACAACGAGAACTATTTAGATGAAACCTTTTACCAAATCAAGCATTATCCCATGACATTCATTGTCTCAAGTTAACTCTTTACTGTATGTCAACTGCTTTTCTAAATTTAATGCAATAATATTTCATCAAAATCACAAATGACATGCACACCATTTCCACTGCTGGACGTTTAGTGAGTATATTGTGGGAAAGAAAAATAATAATATCTTACCCATTAAAAGGTCCACGGCTGAGGCCCCTATAACAAAAGGCAGATTAATAAAAGAAAACCATGGCCAGGTGTGGTGGTGGGCGCCTGTAATTCCAGCTACTTGGGAGGCTGAGGCAGGAGAATGGCTTGAACCCGGGAGGCGAAGGTTGCAGTGAGCCGAGATTGCACCATTGCACTGCAGCCTGGGCAACAAGAGTGAAACTCCATCTCAAAACAAAACCAAACCAAACCATATATATATACATATATAATTTTTTTTTTTTTTGAGATGGAGTCTTGCTCTGTCACCCAGGCTGGAGTGCAGTGGCTCAACCTTGACTCACTGCAAGCTCCGCCTCCTGGGTTCACGCCATTCTCGGCACACTGCAACCTCCACCTCCCAGGTTCAAGTGATTCTCCTGCCTCAGCCTCCCAAGTAGCTGGGATTACAGGCGCCTGCCACCACATCCAGCTAATTTTTGTAGTTTTAGTAGAGACAGGTTTTCACCATTTGGCCAGGCTAGTCTTGAACTCCTGGCCTCAGATGATCTGCCTGCCTCAGCTTCCCAAAGTGCTGGGATTACAGGTGTGAGCCACTGATCACAGCCTGAATAAACCTTGAAAGTATTATGCTAAGTGAAAGAGGCCAGTTACAAAAAACTACATGTATGTAATAAACAATAAATATTTGGTCTTTGACTCCAGTTTCTGACACAAAGCTCCCAAAACTCTTAGAATCTCTGGAGTAATAAGTATCTTTTGCATGCTGATGAAATGACTGGTGGCTGGTAACTCCTAGATAACTGTAGAATGGGGGATGGTCTCCAGGAAGACGAGGCATGATTAGAGGGTTGGATGTTTCATTCCCACCCCCTGACCTCCTTGGACGGGAGAGAGGCAGGAGATTGAGCTAATCACCAATCACCAGTGATCTAATCAATCATGGATAAGTAATGAAATCTCCATAAAAACCCCTAAATGTTGGGTTTGAAGAGTTTTCAAGTAGGTGAACACATCGAGGTACTTGGCAGGGTGGTATGTCAGAGCAGACATAGAAACTTTGTTTCCCTTGCCCATCTACCTTGTCTTATTTTTCTGTTCTATTTCTCTTTTCCTAGTTTGTATCCTTTGGAATAAACTGGTAATGGCAAGTAGACCATTTCCTTGAGTTTTGTGAGACACTCTAGTAAATCACTAGGCCTGAGTAGGGTCTCATGAGATCTCCAATTTATAGCTAGCTGGTCAGAAGTAAAAGTAGCAACCTTGCACTTGCAATTGGTGACTGAAGAGGGGATGATTCTGTATGAATGAGTCCTTAACTTGGTGTGACACTAATTCTGTGGAGTGTGTTGTCAGATTTAAATTGAGTTTTTGGACACCCAGTTGGTGTCTGGAGAACTGGAGAATTTGGCTGATATTAGGAAAAAAAAACCCACACATTTTGGTCTTAAGTGTTAGTGAATAAAAATAGCTCACCACATATTCTATGATCCTTTTGTGAAATATTGATAATAGGCAAATCTCTGGAAACAAAGTAGATTAGTAGTAAAGTCTGGAATGGCTGAGAGAAAATGAGACATTGTGCCTAGAAATGGCGGGTTCTTGGTCTCACAGACTTCAACAATGAAGCCAAGCACCCTCACAGTGAGTGTTACAGTTCTTAAAGGCGGCGTGTCCACAGTTTGTTCCTTCTGATGTGGAGATGTGTTTGGAGTTTCTTCCTTCCGGCTGGGTTCGTGGCTCGCTGGCTGAAGAGTGCAGCTGCAGACCTTCGCGGTGTTACAGCTCTTAAGGCAGCGCATCTGGAATTGTTGGTTCCTCCCTGCGGCTTCGTGGTCTCGCTGGCTCAGAACTGAAGCTGCGAACCTTCCCGGTGAGTATTACAGCTCTTAATGCGGCGCATCTGCAGTTACTCATTCCTCCCGGCGGCTTCGTGGTCTCTCTGGCTCCAGAATAAAGCTGCAAACTTTGGCGGTGAATGCTACAGCTCCCAAAGGAACGGTGAGCAGCAACAAAATTTACTACAAAGAGCGAAGAAACAAAGCTTCCACACCGTACAAAAGAACCTCACCCAGTTACCGCTGCGAGCTCAGGCAGCCTGCTTTTATTCTCTTATCTGGCCCCACCCACATCCTGCTGATTGGTCCATTTTACAGAGAGCCGAGTGGTCTGTTTTGACAGGGTGCTGATTGGTGCGTTTACAATCCCTGAGCTAGACACAAAGGTTCTCCACGTCCCCACTAGATTAGCTAGATACAGATTGTTGACACAAAGGTTCTCCAAGTCCCCACCAGAGTAGCTAGATACAGAGTATCAATTGGTGCATTCACAAACCCTGAGCTAGACACAGGGTGCTGATTGGTGTGTTTACAAACCTTGAGCTAGATACAGAGTGCCGATTGGTGTATTCACAATCCCTTAGCTAGACATAAAGGTTCTGCAAGTCCCCACCAGAGTAGCTAGATACAGAGTGTCCATTGGTATATTCACAAACCCTGAGCTAGACACAGGGTGCTGATTGGTGTGTTTACAAACCTTGAGCTAGATACACAGTGCCAATTGGTGTATTTACAATCCCTTAGCTAGACATAAAGGTTCTCCAAGTCCCCACCAGACTCAGGAGCCCAGCTGGCTTCACCCAGTGGATCCCTCACAGGGGCGGCAGGTGGAGCTGCCTGCCAGTCCTGTGCCCTGCGCCCGCACTCCTCAGCCCTTGGGTGGTCGATGGGACTGGGCGCTGTGGAGCAGGGGGCGGCGCTCGTCGGGGACGCTCCGGTAGCACAAGAGCTCACGGAGGGAGGGGGGAGGCTCAGGCATGGCGGGCTGCAGGTCCCGAGCCCTGCCCCGAGGGAAGGCAGCTAAGGCCCGGCGAGAAATCGAGTGGGCCGGCACTACTGGGGGACCCAGCACACCCTCCGCAGCCGCTGGCCCAGATGCTAAGCCCCTCATTGCGCGGGGCCGGCAGGGCCGGCCGGCCAGCCACTCAGAGTGCGGGGGCCCGCCAAGCCCACGCCCACCCGGAACTCCAGCTGGCCCTCAAGCACCGCGCGCTGCCCGGGTTCCCGCTGGCGCCTCTCCCTCCACACCTCCCTGCATGCTGAAGGAGCCAGCTCCGGCCTTGGCCAGCCCAGAAAGGGGCTCCCACAGTGCAGCGGTGGGCTGAAGGGCTCCTCAAGCGCGGCCAGAGTGGCCGCCAAGACCGAGGAGGCGCCGAGAGCGAGCGAGGGCGCACGCTGTCACCTCTCAGGGCGACTGCTATAAAGGGTATGAGTTTCTTTTTGGGGTGATAAAAATGTTCTAAAATTATTGTGATGATAGGGCCACTAAGAATCACTGAATTGTACATTCTAAATGCGTGAATGGTATGGTATGTGAATTATATCTCAATAAAGCTGTTATAAAATAATAATTGGGGACAGTTATCCAGCCTTTTATTCAGGCTGCAAAAAAAAAAAAAATAATAACTGAGGATGGGAAAATGGATTAGTAACTTCAAAATTGTTTCCACATGAGCATCCATTAAATATAAAAAGCTAAAAACAAAAGAGTAGAAGAGGCAAACAGGATCTCCATATGCAAAAGAATGAAGTTGAACTCTTATATAGAAAAATTAATTATCAAAGGTCTAGAAAAGAAAAAAATTAACTCAAAATGGATCAAAGCTCTAAACATAAGAGCAACACTATAAAACTCTTAGACAAAAACAGGGAAAAACTTCATGACACTGGATTTGGCAATGATTTCTTGGATATGACACCAAGTGCACAGGAAACCAAAGAAAAAATAGATAAACTGAACTCATCAGAAGTAAAAACTTTCATGCATCAAAGGACACTATCAACAGAGTGAAAAAATAACCTATGATATGGGAGAATATATATGCAAATCATATATCTGACAAGGGATTAATATCCAGAATGCATAAAGAACTCCTGCAAGTCAAGAACAGGAAAACAAACAATCTGATTTTTTAAAAGGCAAAGGAATTAAATAGATATTTCTCCAAAGAAGATATACAGGCTGGGTGTGGTGGCTCATGCTAGTAATCTCCACATTTTGGGAAGCCAAGGCAGGAGGACTGCTTGAGGCCAGGAGTTCAAGACCAGCCTGTGGGGGATGGCCAGGCGCAGTGGCTCACGCCTGTAATCTCAGCACTTTGGGAGGCCGAGGCGGTCGGATCACCTGAGGCCAGGAGTTCGAGACCATCCCGGCCAACATGGTAAAACCCCATCTCTACTAAAAATACAAAAATTAGCTGGGCATGGTGGCAGGCACCTGTAATCCCAGCTACTCGGGAGGCTGAGGCAGTAGAATGGGAGGCGGGAGGTTGCAGTGAGCCAAGACCACGCCACTGCACTCCAGCCTGGTGACAGAGCAAGACTCCGTCTCAAAAAAAAAAAAAAAAGAAAAGAAAAGAAAAGAAAAACCAGCCTGGGCAACATAGTGAGACCCTGTCTCTATTAAAAATTATTTTAAGCATAAAGAATTATAAAGTAAAACAAAAACGAAGATAAACAAATGGCCAATAAGCACAGGAGAAGATGCTCAACATCACTAATCATCAGGAAAATGCAAATCAAAAACACAGTGAGAAACCATTTCACAAACATCAAGATGGCTATTATTTAAAAAACAAACAAACAGAAAATGACAAATGTTGGTAAGGATGTAAAGAAACTGGAACACAGGTAATTTGTGGTAGGAATGCAAAATGGTTCAGTCACAGTAAAAAACTGGCGGTTCCTCAAAAAGTTAAACATAAAATAGCCATATGACCCTACAATTTCATTACTAAGGATATACCAAACGAATTGAAGATGAGCACTCAAACAAGTACATGTACACATTCATAGCAGCACTATACACAATAGCCAAAAAGTAGAAAAAGTCTAACTGTCCATCAATGGAGAATAAACAAATTATGGAATGAAATACAATGGGATATTATTCAGCCATAAAAAGAAACAAAATACTCATGTGTGCTACAATGTGGATGGCCTCCAAAATATTATGCTAAGTGAAAGAAACCAGACACGAAATGTCACATTTTGTACAATTTCATTTATATGAAATATCCAGAATAGATAAATCCACACAGACAGGCTCAAGCGATCCTCCCATCTCAGCTTCCCAAGTGGCTGGGACTATAGGCGCATGCCACCATGCCCAGCTAATTTTTTATTTTAATTTTTTGTAGAGATGGGGTTTCACCATGTTGCCCAGGCTAGTCTCAAACTCTTAGGCTCAAGCGATCTATCCACCTTTGCCTCCCAAAGTGCTGGGATTTCAGATGTGAGCCGCTGCGCCCAGCCAAAAAGGCTACCTTTTAATCAGAAAGGCCACACTCAAGCTGGACACAGTGGTACATGCCTAGTCCCAGCTACTCAGAAGGCTGAGGTGGGAAGATGGCGTGAGCCCAGGAGTTCAAAGCCAGCCTAGGCAACATAGTGAGATCACATCTTTTGAAAGAAAAAAAAACTGAAAGAAAGGCCACACCCAGAGAGTCTAGTTTTAGACATCTAGAGTTGGAAGCACCTGCAAAACATCCAAGCGGAGATGTTCAGGAAGCCCCTGGGTATAAGGCTCTGGAGCTTAAGAGAAAACATTAGGCTAGAGAAAAAGTTTTAGAGAAATTAGTACAGTTAGTAACTGGAGCTATGGAATTACATGAGCTCTGTCAGAGAACGCTTTCACATTACCCTGTTAGAAAACAAAGTAAGAAAAAACAACCAATTGTTTCTTTACGGACAAATCGCCAATTTGGCAAGGTAGTAAACTTGGTGAATAACTCAGGCTTTCTTCCTTTGAAATGCTGTTACATTTTAAATTTCCAATAAACCAAATTGGTTAAGTCACCAAATGGTCTACATGATAAATTACACATATATGTTATTCTAGGAGTGTCAACCTAAGTGTCAACAGTAGTTGTGGCAGAGACTGATGGTAGCCTCCTGCAATCTTCCTCTTCCTTAACATCAAGAATCCTGATTATCTTGGCACGTTGATGCCTAGATTACTAATTCATTTTCTTCACTTGTTATAACTCTATTGAGATTTTCTATTTCTAGGTTATCTAATTTGTTAACATATAATTATTCATAGTAGTCCCTTATAACCTTTTTTATTTCTGTAAACTCTGTGGTAATGTTCCCTCTTTTATTCCTGATTTTAGAAACCTGCATCTTCTCTCTTTTTTCCTAGTCTAGCTAAAGATTTGTCAATTTTGTTGATCTTTTCAAAGAACCAACTTTTGATTTTGATTATTTTCTCCATTACTTTTCTGTTCTATATTTCATTTATTTCTGCTTGAATCTTTATTATTTCCTTCCTCCTACTTGCTTTGGGTTTAATTTGCTCTTCTTATTTTAGTTTCATGATAAGGAAGGTTGGCAATTGTTTTGACATCTTTCTTTTTTTTAAATTGTAAGTACTTACAGCTATAAATTTCCTGTTAGCACTGTTTTATCTGAATCCCATAAGTTTTTGAATATTGTGTTTTCATTTTTATTCAACTCAAAGTATTTTCTAATTTCACCAGTGATTTCTCTTTTGACCCTTTAGTTATTTATGAGTGTACTGTTTCATTTTCACATACTTGCAAATTCTCCAGATTTCCTTCTGTTATTGAATTTAATTTGATTCCATTGTGATTGAAGAAGATAATTTGAATGATTTCAATCCATTTAAAATTTTAACATTTTTTATATTTGGGAGGCTGAGGAAGGAGAATCACTTGAGCCCAGGGGTTAAGTCCAGCATGGGCAAAATAGTGCGATCTGTCTCTCTTAAAAAGAAAATACACCCTCCCTCCCCAAGATGGCTGCTGAAGATGAGTTACTGTTGCCGCGGCTCCCCATGCTGCTCGAAACAGGCAAACAGCTTCTGGACGAAGTAGAATTAGCAGCTGAAACCACCGGTTACCAGATAGTCCAGGAGAAGGTGTTCAAGGGCCTGGGCCTCCTTGAGAAGGTTCCCGAAATGTTATCGCAGCTCGACTTGTTCAATTGAAATGAAGATTTGGAAGAGATTGCTTTCACCGAGCTGAAGTACCTGTTGGTGCCAGCACTTCAAGGAGCCCTCACCATGAAACAAGTCAACCCTAGCAAGCGTCTTGCAGCGGGCTCGAGAACATTTTATAAACTACTTAACTCAGTGCCATTACTATCACATTGCAAAGTTTGAGCTGCTCAAAACCAAGAACAACTCAGCTGAAAATCACACTGCTAATTCCTCCATGGCTTATCCTAGTCTCGTTGCTATGGCATCTCAAAGGCAGGCTAAAATAGAGAGATACAAGCAGAAGAAGGAGTTGGACCATAGGTTGTCTGCAATGAAATCTGCTGTGGAAAGTGGTCAAGCAGATGATGAGCATGTTCGTGAATATTATCTTCTTCACCTTCAAAGGGGGATTGATACCAGCTTAGAAGAGATTGAGAGCATTGACCAGGAAATAAAGATCCTGAGAGAGACTCTTGAAGACAGTCATTAGCTTCTAACTCATCTCTCCAGGAGAGGCCTCCAGTGAAATCCTTCATTCTCACGCGGAACACAGCCCAAGCCAAATTATTTGGAGCTAGTTATCCAAGTCTGGCAACTATGACAGTGAGTGACTGGTATGAACAACATCGGAAATATGGAGCATTGCCAGATCAGGGAATAGCCACTGCAACACCAGAGAAATTCAGAAAAGCAGCTCAGCAACAGAAGTATCAAGAAGTGAAGGAGGGAGAGGATGATGAACACTCTACAGAGTTCGGGAGTGGGATAACTGGAAGGACACCCATCCTGGGGGCTATGGCAACCGACAGAACATGGGCTGATCTTCCCCCAACACGACAGGACTGCAGGGTGCACACCTCCCCCACCAAGGAAAACCATGCAGTGTTCCCCTCCCTGGGCTCCCGCTTCAGCTGTGTACAACGAAGGCAAAGATGCTAAATATTGCTTTGCATTCAATGAAGTGTCAAGTGATTAAGTAAGTGCGTATTTGTACCCTAGATGATGTGAGCCAGCAATCTTGTTTTGGCATCATCATTCTCATCATGCTGTATTCCAATTTCTTAAATGGAGAGAAAAGAGCGCTGAGAAATGGCTCTGTTTAATCAATGGCTGTCTGAATTCTCTGAAAAAATAATAAAAGTCCCTTCTATTAAAAAAAAAGAAAATACAGTGATAGATTTTGATATGCATTTTATGGCCTAATATACGTTCTGTCCTAGAGAGTGGCCTATATATACTTGAGAAAAATGTGTATTCTGTTGTTGTTGGGTGGAGTGTTCTATAGATGTCTATTAGACCTAGTTGGTTTATAGTATTATTTAAGCATTCTGTTTTCTTGTTGATCTTCTGTCTAGTTGTTTTATCCATTACTGAATGTGAGGTATTGAAGTCTCCAACTCTTATTGTTGAATTGTCTATTTTTCCTTTAATTCTGTCAGTTTTTGTTTCATTTACTTTTTGGCTCTGTTATTAGGTTAATATATGTTTATAACTGTTACACTTTCTTGAGGACTGACTCTTTTATCATTAGAAAATGGCCTCTGTCTCTAGTAACAATTTTTTGTCTTAAGTCCATTTTGTCTTATATTAATACAGCCATTTTAGCTCTCTTTTAGTTACTCTTTGCATGGTATATCTTTTCCCATTCTTTTGCTTTTAAGCTCTTTATATCTTGAACCTAAAATGTGTCTCTTGTAGAATGAAATAATGGCATTTGCAGCAACCTGGATGGAATTGGAGACCATTATTCTAAGTGAAGTAAGTCAGGAATGGAAAACCAAACACATATGTTCTCACTCATAAGTGGTAGCTAAGCTATGAGGATGCAAAGGCATAGGAATGATACAATAGACGTTGGGAACTTGGGAGAAAGGGGGTTAGGGGGTGAGGGATAAAAGACTACATGTTGGGTACAGTGTACACTGCTCAGGTGATGGGTGCACCAAAATCTCAGAAATCACCACTAAAGAACTTATTCATGTAACCAAACACTGCCTGTTCCCAAAAAAACCTATTGAAATAAAATAATAATAATAACAATAACAATAATAATAAAAATAAAGTGTGTCACTTGTAAACACAATATAGTTGGATCATGTTTTTCATCAATTTTGCCAATCTCTGCCTTTAATTGGAGTGTTTAAACCATTTACACTTAGTGTAATTATGAATAAGAGGCTTTATAATTGCCATTTTCCTATTTTTTCCTATATTGTTAAATGTGTTTTACTGTACCATTTTTATTCCCTTCTAATTTATTTTAGGATTCTTTGAGTTATTTTGTGATTGCCTTAGAGATTACAATTAACATCTAAACTTAAAACAATTTAGTTTGTATTAATACCAGATTAATTTCAATAGTATAGACAAACTTTTTCCCTATATGGCTCATTCCTTCCCTCCCCCTTTGTTCTATTATTGACATAAAAATTATATCTTTATACATTATATACCCATTGACATAGATTTGTAAGTATTGTTTTATGCAGTTATCTTTTAAATAAGATAGGAGAAAAGGAACATTTCAAACAAAAATTACCTTTATACTGTTTTTTGTATTTACTTATGTAGTTACCATTACCAGTGGTATTTCTTTATTTCTTCATGTGGGGAGAGAATCTGTAAACAGGGCTAGTTAAGATGTCACAAAGCTCACTTTTTTTTTTTAACCACGATTCAGCCAATTTCTTCAAGAAATGCTTTTTGGATTGTTGCAAGCCTTTGATTAATATCCAGTATTCTGAAAAAGTTGATTTTGACTATTTTTGTCAGTGTTTTTATTACTGTTATGGAGGAGTAGATTTTTGGAGATCCTTATTCTGTTGTTCCCACTCCAGTGCCCACCTAAATGTTCTATATTTCCCTTTTTTCTGGCAGCTATGTGGCTGTGTGACTGAGTTTGGTCAATTAGTTATAAAATATATTGTATGGCAGCTTCTTGGAAAACCACCTTATCACAGATGTGGTGACTCACACCTGTAATCTCAGCACTTTGGGAGGCTAAACTGGGAGGATCACGTGAGTCCAGGAGTTTAAGATCAGCCTGGGAAACATAGCTAGACTCTATTTCTATTATTTATTTATTTACTTATTTATTTAGAGACAAGGTCTCAGTCTGTCACCCAGGCTGACGTGCACTTTTGTGATCACAGCTCCCTATAGCCTCCTGGGCTCAAGCAATCCCCCAATCTCAGCCTCTCAAGTAGCTGGGACCACAGGTGTGCTTTGCCAGGCCCAGCTAATTTTTAAATTTTTTGTAGACAGGTTCACACTATGTTGTCCAGGCTGGTCTTAAAATCCCAGGCTCAAGTGATCCTCCTGCTTTGGCCTCCTAAAGTGCTGAGATTACAGGCATGAGCCACTGTACCCAGCCTACATATTTTTTAAAATTAAAGAAAAAAGTAAAAAAGAAAACCACTTTAAAAGGACATGTTCTTTGTACCTTGCTTGCCTCTTTTCACCAATCTGCTACTTGGAATGTGAATGTAATGACTTCATCATGTAATGACTGATTAAAGAAGTGTAAAGCACTTCTTTAATCAGTTTTTGAGAATAAGAATTTTAAGCCTCTCCCTGGAGCTTTCTACTTAGAATACTGAATTGCTCATGTTCTCTTTTCCCAGTATTTTATTTTTTATTTTTTTGAGATGGAGTCTCACTGTCTTGCCCCAGGTGGAGTGCAGATATCTTAGACCATGAGGATGGGGGTTATACCTTAAGAATGATGGAGTGAAGATCTGGAAGTTGATGGATTATGATGGATTTGGAACCACTGTACAAGCACTAGATAGCCAGTGGCCAGACATTTTATATTAGAGAAATATCCTTTATTTGATGTTATTTTGGATATTTTTTCTGGGTAATTGTAGCTGAAATTAATTTTGACTCATACAATAGCTATTACTGGACTTTAGGAGTATTCATGATTTTTATCTATTTCTCTTCTTTTTCTTTTCTTTCTTTTTTTTTTTTTTTTCAGTCTTGCTCATGTAGCCCAGGCTGGAGTGCAACGGCGCGACCTCGGCTCACTGCCACCTCCACCTCCCAGGTTCAAGCAATTCTCCTGCCTCCATCTCCCGAGTAGCTGGGATTACAGGTGCCTGCCATCACACCTGGCTAATCTTTTTTGCATTTTTAGTAGAGACAGGGGTTTCACCATGTCGGCCAGGCTGGTCTCGAACTCCTGACCTCAGGTGATCCACCCGCCTCAGCCTCCCAAAGTGCTAGGATTACAGGTGTGAGCCACCGTGCCCAGCCAGTTTTTATCTATTGCTTTATATTTTTTGTATTACCTAGTTTTCCCATAATTAGTATCTATTACTTTTTTTAGTCAGAACAAAAAGTATTTCCATGTAAATAAATGCATATGATAATATTAATGTATATACAAAAACATACATGTATGTATTTAGTATATAAAATATATATAGATGCATGTATAATATATGTCATATTGGTATATGTATTTATATATTTATTCACACAAAAATACACACACATACATATATTTCCATCGTTTTATGTTTTAGAAGATTGAAAACTGCCTTCTATTAGTTGGTCATATATCAGACGGATGCATTTCCAAAATAACTGGAACACAGTCACAGCAATCAAGCAAATCAAGAATTCAATCTGAAAACTTTGTTTCAGTTGCTATGATGGGGAGAGACAAAGATAAACCAGAGCTGATGGTAGAAATCACAGTGTTTGGGAGATGAGATGAATGGAGATTTGGGAAAGGCATGCTATTGAAATAAGAAACATTGACACAAGTCAGTAAAGCAACATCTGCAAACCTTCCCCTCTACCTTTTCTGGAGGGACACAACCCACACAGATCCAGGGACTCTAATGTTATTTCAGTGTTCCTGTAATATTTACAATAGTGCCTTTAGTAGTTTTCTCTGACTACTACATGATTACAACCAGGTAAGCCAGTTCTGCAACCAAAACCATTTGGGAGGAGGCAGCCTGGAGATATCTTGGAAAAGAAATAAATATGACTCATTTATAAAAGCTAGGTGACTGCCATACTTGGCTCTGGGTAAAATATAAGAGAATATGGTTTAGGTAAGATTAAAAACAAAAGATCAGAATAAGCACTTCTTTAATCAGTTTTTGAGAATAAGAATTTTAAGCCTCTGCCTGGAGCTTTCTACTTAGAATACTGAATTGCTCATGTTCTCTTTTCCCAGTATTTTATTTATTTATTTTTTTGAGATGGAGTCTCACTGTCTTGCCCCAGGTGGAGTGCAGTGACGAAATCTCCGCTTACTGCAAGCTCCGCCTCCCAGGTTCACGAAATTCTCTTGCCTCAGCTTCCGAGTAGCTGGGACTCCAGGCGCCCGCCACCACACCCGGCTAATTTTTAGTATTTTTAGTAGAGACGGGGTTTCACCGTGTTAACCAGGATGGTCTCGATCTCGTGATCCTCCCGCCTCGGGCTCCCAAAGTGCTGGTATTACAGGCGTGAGCCACCGCACCGGGCCCCAGTATTTTATTTTTATTAGCTATATATGCATACATTTTAAAAAACAAAATATTAAAAAGTTCAAAATCACCTCTCCTTTGTTCTCCAGACCTACACTCTAGAAGCAACTACATTCAATACTCTTATTTGTTTATTCTTTTATTGGTTGCATATTTCTAAATAATATGCTTATTGTGTTAATTTCTGATTGATCAAATTTAGACATTGTTTATAGCTTTCTGAATCAGTCAGCTTCAAGTCAGAAAACTAAAACCCTTAGCAAATTTAGTAGAGAAAATTTAATACAGTTATAAAGGGGTTGGAACTTCAGTTCTTTTCTTTTCTTTTCTCTTCTTTTTTTTTTTTTTTTTTTTTGAGACAGAGTCTTACTCTGTCGCCCAGGCTGGAGTGCAGTGGCACGAGCTCGGCTCACTGCAACCTCTGCCTCCCAGGTTCAGGCGATTCTCCTGCATCAGCCTCCTGAGCAGGTGGGATTATAAGTGCACGCCACCACGCCCGGCTAATTTTTGTATTTTTAGTAGAGATGGGTTACATCTCAACATGGTCACCATGTTGGCCAGGCTGGTCTCAAACTCCTGGCTCAAGTGATCCATCCACCTCGGCCACCCAAAGTGCTGGGATTACAGGTGTGAGCCACTGCGCCCGGCCCAGCCTTTAGTTCTTAATTAGGGGTGATTTTGCCCCCTAGGGAACATTTGGCAATTTCTGGAGACATTTTTGTTGTCACAGCTGGGTGGTGACTACTGGTATCTAGTGGATGGAGTCTCTCAAGGAATGCTGCAACTCATTTTATAATACACAGGACAATCCCCCAAAACAAAGAGCCATCCAGACCAAAATGTCAATAGTGTTGAGGTTGAGAACCCTGGCTTAGAAAACCTGGAAGGATAATTAGGGGAAGTGGAGGTACCCTTAACTTAAGCAGCTGCAGGAAACAATCATTATTATCTCCAGAGCCAGAGGGGCTCTATCTAAGGCAGAAAGAGTGGGAAGGAGAAATATCCTGGTGTCTCCTTCACTGCCATCCTCCAATCCCTGGCTACCACTTCCTGTTGGCTGAACTCAGCCAAAACAGTCATCGAGATCTTGGAAGCATAGTTTACAGAAGTAGCCTGTGCAATATGAGCCTGGGAAGGGGAAAGGCAGGAAATGAATTTAAGAACAAATAAGCAAATACCCAGCATATCCTCCCATTATGGATGACGAGGATCAAATTCTATTCAATGGCTTTCCCTTTATGTATATATTTTATATTAATCATAATATAATGAGTAATGTTGCTTATTTATGTGGTAAGTGTTGTTAATTGTAGTTACATTTTCTTTCTTGTACAACTTTTTGGTTTTTTTCTAGAGTTAACAACCTTTTGTTTGTTTTATTTTCTGTGCCTGTATCACTAATTATTCCCAAATTGCCCATTAGGTCTATAAGAGTTTTTCAATATTTTTTTTCTGGTTCATTTCTTCAAATGCATTAGAAAGTATATTAGTTTAATTTTTTTCGGTGCCCTCCTTCCTAGAACCCTCTCTCCTTTAGCCATTGTTCATTGAAAATGTCCGTAAGTTTCCACATCTTTTTTTGTTTAACCCATTTATAATTTAGGAAAAAAAAAAGTGCAGCTTGCTGCCAGTGCAGGGTTCTTGGGGCAAATGAGAAATGGTTAAAGAAAATTTACCTCTTTATACTCTCTATTGGCATTTCTTTGTTAATCACATCATTTTCCACAATGAAACAGCCGCACAATAAATAATCCATCTCTTTCCTTTATTCTGTCCCAGAATTAGTGGTAGTCCCAGGGTCCTATGGTAATCATGGGATGTGGCAGTTCATAGACGGGAAGTCTGGACTTAGCAAATTAAATTCAGGTACCTTGCCTTTATTATTATAATTGTAGTCAATAATGTCAGTGCACCACCCTCATCCCCTTTACTGTGGTGGCATCCCCAGCCCCAGCTACTATAAGCATTGCCTGCTAATGGCACAAACGTACACTTCTCTCTAGAAATGCTTGGGAGGTTATATTTTCTATCAGGACATCATGCACCCAATGACTGACTGATATGGGGGCAGGGAGATAAACAAATGTTGAGCCCTTTCCTTAAAGACGACGACTCTGTGATGTAATTCACACCGTCCATGGGATCAGGCTGAAATTAGACTTCAGCTGAAACCCTATCATTGTTTCACCTCTGCCCCTGCTCTATCCTTTACCTTCTTACAGATTTCTACTGAAAGTACATCTTCAATATGTCTCTAGTACAAGAATCCCTGCCTCGGTTTCTTCTTCTGGGAACTCAACTTAGACAGTGATGAACATTTGATATTTTTGGCCTTCATTCCCTCTTCCTAATAGAACCAGAGTTTCTTTTTTCTTTTTTTAGGCAGAGTCTTGCTCTGTTGCCAGGCTAGAGTTCAATGACGCAATCTCGGCTTACTGCAACCTCTGCCTCCTGGGTTCAAGCGATTCTTCTGCCTCAGCCTCCCGAGTAACTGGGACTACAGGTGCGTGCCACCATGCCCGGCCAATTTTTTGTATTTTTTTAGTAGAGATGGGGTTTCACCATGTTGGCCAGTATGGTTTCGATCTCCTGACCTCGTGGTCTGCCCACCTCGGCCTCCCAAAGTGCTGGGATTACAGGCGTGAGCCACCGCACCTGGCCCCAGAATTTCTTTTTTGGGAAATCTGCTTCCTTTCCCTCTTTGTGGACAGTCTTGTTGTGACTGTAAATCTAGATACTCGCCCTTCCATCTAGAAGCTGAAGGAGTTACTGCGTGTTCCTTCCACAGGACTCTTCCTCTTATTGCCCTAGTACAGCAGGCCCAGACACGTAATCTCAACTCAGCCAATTCAACACTCTCTCCTGGGATTATGAGTTTTGAGTGAGTAATACAAAGACAGAATAGACTGTTGAAATTGACTTATCTCAGCACAGGTTTCTTCTGGACCCTTCTGTGGTTCTTGCCCATTTCCAAGTTATTTGGAGGGCCTTTTGTGAGTGTCCCAAATCTTTTGGTAAATTCTCTTTTGTGTAAGTTCTCTCAACTTGAGTTCTCTTGCTTATAATAAAAAGAATCATAAATAATGCAGTTATCTAACTTTTTTTGGTCTATACACAGAATGAAAAAATCTGGAACCAGATCACTAATTCAGGAGATGGGAGACTCAGGGCTTCTAATCTTGAAAAGGAAAAGCCTACCTGGATAGCCCTCCTTGCTTCAATGAAGAGGTAGGAGTTTGCAAAGCTCCTCTCACCTGGTTAAATTATACTTTGATCTTTTGTGAGATGCTGAACCAGATTTTTCTCTTAGAAAGCTGGTGTCTGGCTTTTGGTCTCAAAACATACAACTCCATCTGAAACCTCCTCTCAGCTGGGATTTTTTCTTTTCTCATATGTTCACACACCAGCCCTGAAAATAGAGCGATTCAACTGCATGCAGACAGCTGCACTTACTAATAAAAATATCTTCTGAAAGAAAATAGTCTTTTTTCTGAGTGGAATTTTACTCCAGAAATTGTTCAGTTTTGGATTGCAGGGAAGGAAATGAGCTCAACACAAAAACCAAAATAGACACACATGATTGCAGAGGATCTAAAGACAATCTCCTGGTTTGAGTTGCCAGGCAACTGTCTCTCCAAAGATGCTGTCATTTTAATTTTATGGAATAATTAGGTACCCAAATTTCTGATTCAAGATGTCTTGGGATAATAATGAATTCATCTTTTATGATTTTTTAAAAGTATAAGCAGAAACCTCTTTCTTGCTTGGAGTACATGTTTTACTGTTGGTTTGTTCTTCCTTGCCCCACAGTATCTTTGCTGTGTCTCTTCAAAACAAGTAAGTTTTCATTTCTTTGGGATGTTCTTGCTGGATCCTGCTGAGAATGGGGATGGATGAAAGAACGCTTAGGGTGTTGATTTCTAGCAGCTTCAGATTCTGATCCTATGGTTATTAAGATGTTTTATCCACAGGGAGCGAAAGAAAAATATTCCACATAAACATCAATATTCCACTTAAAACACCAATCATGGGAAACTCGGCCTTATGATTAGAAACAAGGTCACTGCACTTAAGTAAACAAAATATTAGGCCAGGCGCGGTGGCTCATGCCTGTAATCCCAGCACTTTGGGAGGCAGAGGCAGGCAGATCACTTGAAGTCAGGGGTTCAAAACCAGCCTGGCAAACATGGCGAAACCCCATCTCTACTAAAACTACAAAAATTAGCCAGGAGTGGTGGTGCTCACTTGTAATCCCAGCTAATCTGGAGGCTGAGGCAGGAGAATCACTTGAACCTGGGAAATAGAGGTTGCAGTGAGTGAGATTGCACCACTGCACTCCAGCCTGGGTGACAAAGCAAAACTCCATCTCAAAAAAAAAAAAAAAAAAGAAAAAAGAAAACAAAAGAAAATTAAAACAAAACAAAACATTTTCTTTTCTTTTTTCTTTTTCTTTTTTTTTTTTTTGAGATGGAGTCTTACTCTGTCGGCCAGGCTGGAGTGCAGTGGCGCAATCCAGGCTCACTGCAACCTCCGCCTCCCAGGTTCAAGCAATTCTCTTGCCTCAGCCTCCCGAGTAACTGGGATTACAGGCACCCGCCACTGTGCCCAGCTAATTTTTGTATTTTTAGAAGAGACAGGGTTTTGCCATGTTGGCCAGGCTGGTCTCAAACTCCTGATCTCAAGTAATCCAACTGTCTCAGGCTCCCAAAATGCTGTGATTACAAGTGTGAGCCACCGCACCCGGCCCTGAACAAATAGCTTTCTAATTGGCCTTCACATACCCACCCTAAAGCCCTCCGGCTAACTTTCCATATTGAGGTCATCTGATCTTAGCACTCTCCTGCCTCAAAAGTTTCACTAGCTTTGATTTTTATCTGTGAGGGTTCGTTTGCAGACAACTTACCTATGACTCTTCCCAGCAAAAAGGAGTTTGATACAGGGAATTAAGTGCTTATGAAACTGTTGGGAGAACTAAGGGGAGTGGGTTCCAGATTGGGTCCCCAGGAATGACTTTCAGAATACAATAGAACTGGACTATTAAGGGAGCTGTTATCTTCATCCCAAATGGAGAAATGGGGAGCTGCCACTGGAACTGTGGGCTCCACAGCACATGATCTTATCCAGGGATGAGGGCATTGCTACTGCTATACTTGTTGGCTCCAGAGTAATGCTGCCTCTCCTAGATCTGCAATGGCCAAATGAATAAATAAATTTAAAACACCCCCACATGTTCTTAGAAAGAAATTGGACCCCTTGACCCCAGAGCACTTCCTAACTATGCTCTGGACCATGCTCACCAGCAGAAACTGCAGAAACAGTGAAGCATGGACTTGCCTCATCTCCACCTTCTAGGCCTCATGTGAGTGAATCTGATTGGCTGAATCTAGATGCCTCCAGTGCCCTAGTTGCAAGGTGTTTGTGAATGTAGTTTTTAGCTTTCCAGCCTCTGCAGTCACACCAAAGGGTAGAATAGATGGGCACCAATCTGTCACACTCTTGCTCTTAGGATGGAAACCATTCTTCATATGGTTTGTAACGCTTTTTATGGTCTAGCCTCTATCTCCCTCTTGGCCTTATCTTTCCCATGCTCCCTTTGTGCTGTTCACTCTCTGCCTGTCAGTCTTTCATATGAGCCATCCTCCCACTACAGGGCTTTGCACATGCTGTTTTTCTTCCTGAAATACTCTCCATCTCCACCTGGTCCTCTTGACCTAGTTAATTCCTATCTCCCCTTTCAACTCAAGTGTCACTTCATTCTGGAAACCTTTGCAGCCTTCCCATCTCCTGGCCACGTACCCCAGCTACAGGCTCTCATGGCACCTAATAGCTTTCCTTGGTAGGCACTTGCCACAATTGCAATGTTGTAATTGTCTAATCATTTCATTAATAATGGGCTCCTCTACAAGGGTATAGGTTCCAAGAGGTTAGGGACCTCATCTGATCCTGATCCCCATATTTTAGAAGTATAGAGAAGAAACTTAAGTCCCTTTAGGGGGAAAAACTGGAGGTGAAGGGGAAGGAAGGCTCTTATGCTTCATTTTATTTCTTTCTGAACTTTTTAATGATTCATGTACATGTATTTTAACCTTAAAATGTGTAATAGAGGCCGGGCACAGTGGCTTAACGCCTGTAGTCCCAGCACTTTGGGAGGCCAAAGTGGGTGGATCACCTGAGGTCAAGAATTCAAGACCAGCCTGGCCAACATAGTGAAACTCCTTCTCCACTAAAAATACAAAAATTAGTGTGGTGTGGTGGCGCATGCCTGTAGTCCCAGCTACTCAGGAGGCTGAGGCATGAGAATCGCTTGAATCCGGGAAGCAGAGGTCGCAGTGAGCTGAGATTGCGCCACTGCACTCCAGCCTGGGCACAGAGTGAGACTCGGTCTCAAAAAAACAAAAAAGTGTGTAATAGAATTGGGGTGGGAGGAGTATTTTCCCAGAGTGATTCGATTTCAGGACCAGAATTAGGGACTTTGAAATCTTCAGAAGTTGAATTTCAAAAACCTATTAATTTCTAGTTTACTTATTGGAATTGCCTTTTAAAAAAGTCTAGAATAGGTATAATTTTCATGGAAATCCTCCTCAATAAAACAAACTTTTCTAGGGATAAGATTCTTCAAAAAAGAAGGCATCCCAGTTAGAGAAAAATGTTAAAGGATGCCACCCCCAGTCATGGACCCACGAAACTCAAATTCTGCTAGTATAACAACAAAAACAGCCTTCCACATAAAGTGCTACTGTTATTTTTCTCTTTACTATGCTTTCTAATTACTCTGTAATAAACACACTAAAAATCATAAAAGTTAAAGTAAAAAAGAATTAATTTAATTACAACTATTCTAACATTTTTCTCTATTGAACCCTTTGAAAAACAGTTCACATAGATACTAGTACATGAAGGATGGCTCCGAAAGGCAATAATGAAACTGCATCATTTACATAATAATCTCGCAAGTAGAAGCATGTGTTTTACTGCGTTCTGGTGCTACCAGTTATGTTAAATTACAATTCCAAGGAACAGCAGGGAAGGATTTAGAACTTACACTCAATAATGGGGTTGAAATGTGAACACTTCCTTTCATGAAAAGGAATTATTACTGGCAAAGCACCCCTCTGGCCTAAGACCAGTAGCTTTGGTTAGAGGCAGCAAAATAAAAGGACCTGAGAACACCCCAGCATACCCAGAGTTGTACTCTAAATGCCAAGAGCTATGAGAGAGGAAAATCCCTAGACTGTTCTAGAACCAAGGATTTTGTTGAATCTTGACGTTAGGAGAAAACTTGGGGGTCATCATTCTAGTCTAAACTCTGTCCCAGTTCAGAAACTTCTTCCTAACATCCTAGCCAGATACTTGTTTAGTACTAGTGTAAACACTTAAAACTTAAAGAAAACAAGTTAAATGATTAGACATTAGCAATTAACACTTAAACCTTTTAACAAGTTAATACCAAGGGATCATTAAAAATAAGAAGTTGAAGGACCACCTGGGAGCATTCAATCGAGAGTAAGGGCCTCCAAGAATCCAGTGAAAGTATTTCTTCTCTTTCTTCTCCTATTGTGTTAAATTTCATCAACATTGCTTGAGTATGTGGTCTCTGGAGGAAAAACAAATTTATACTCCTCTTGCTTTTGTTTATATTTTTTCTTCATCAAAATTTCCTCCCAATTAACCTATCTCACGACCTATCTTTGTTTCTTAAATGTAAAACATTTTATATACTAATTAGTGCTAAATTGCTTTAAGGCTTAAAAAAAACAACCTTGGTGGCTCATGCCTGTAATCCCAGCACTTTGGGAGGCCGAGGCGGGCGGATCACCTGAGGTCAGGAGTTTGAGACCAGCCTGACCAACATGGAGAAACCCCGTCTCTACTAGAAATACAAAATTAGCTGGGCGTGGTGGCGCATGCCTATAATCCCAGCTACTCGGGAGCCTGAGGCAGGAGAATCGCTTGAACCCGGGAGGTGGAGGTTGTGGTGAGCCGAGTTCACGCTATTGCACTCCAGCCTGGGCTACAAGAGCGAAACTCCGTCTCAAATAACAAACAAACAAACAGCAAGAACAAAAAACCCTTAATTTGAATTCAGGAGGTCTCTGAAATGCAAATCAGGTTGGTTAACACACTTTCGCAGCTAGCGAAGTAAACCATTTGGGCACCATCTTTGATTTCCCAAGTCACACTATTCAGCCTTGCTCCATTAACTTCCTTTCTTTCTTGACAACTCTATACTCTATACCTCCCATTGCCCAATTTTGTTCTCTTAATTTAGAAATCGTAGCAATTGCAGTTTAGGAATTTTGCTAAATTTTGCTTCATTTTGCTAAATGAAGAGACGATGACTGTGCTCAAGATCTAGTCTTTTTAAAACTGCTGTAATAAACCAGTCCTATAAGTAAGGAGAAAGAAATTTGGAGATATGTTAATGAATTAATCATACATGCTGTTGCTACAACTCTTCCCAAGCATCTTGAGAGAGAAAGCCAAAGAAATCAGGTTGTTGTTGTCATCACAGACAATTAGGCCAGCAGAAGGATGTTCTCAGGCACAAAACAACTGCTTTTGCTGGTGGCAGCTTCTGTTGAATCATCAGTAAAATTTAAATAACATGTCGGAGTAAATGGCAAGAGTCAAAACAGGAGAAACCCAGAGAAATAAGTTGGTCCTATCTTCTGCTTATCAGCAGAACAGTCCATAGTTATTTTAAAGTAATTTGAAAGTTCAGACAAACAGAGTAAGTCCTTTAAAGGATTTACAGGTATGGCAGCTTAGGTAGGAAGTCTGGGAATGTCAGAAGCTTAGGAATAAAACACATGGAGGCAAAGAAAATGCTTTTGTGAGTTAAGGAGAAAAAAATGGACTTGAACTCACAAGAACTGTGAAATGTTCTCATTTTTTGCCATTTGAGAAGGATCTGTGACAAGGATGTCTGTTACTAAGGGTGTCACTTAATAATGGAAAACAAAGTCTATGAAAAACACTTAAACATGTGAGGGTGTAACAGCTAATGAGAAGGAGGCCTTCTCTTCCCGCTTCCAAAGCATGACTTCATTTTGCCCTAGGGTGGCTGAAGTGTACCCATCAAAGCAGAAATCCATCTGAACTTGGGAGCACACCCACTAACACTGCTGTTAATTAACTCTCGACCTGTGAAAACAAAGCCACATCCTCACTCTGAATATGGAAAAGCTGAAGACAGTGAGTGCTTGCTTAGGTTTCTGGATTCCATCCTTGCAATAGCAAGACGTGGTACCATTTGTGGAGGCCCACTATGTGCCAGGCATTGCTAGGCCATCATACTCACTGTGGCACAACATCCCCTGAACAATTCAGAGAGATTGATGTTATCCCCGCCCCATTTTTTACATGAGGGAACTGACTCTCAGCTCAAATGACTTGCCCAAGACCACAAGGAGTAGAAAGCAGACTAGAAGACAGCCTCAGCCTTGTCTGACTCAAAATCCCAAGCTCTTTGCTGCTAAGAGATGTCTGGAAAAATGGAGAGTTGTTTGCTGCTTCTCAGAGCTGCAGAAAGATGTCCATAGCCCATCCCTCCCCTTCCTTACTACTTAGTAGCATTTCCTTGCTAAGTGTGTGTGTGTATGTGTGTGTATACACACACAGCAGTATACAGCAGGTCCTTGAATAATAGCGGTTCTTTCTTTCCTTTCTTCTTTCTCTTTCTTTTCTTTATTTCTCTTTTTCTTTCTTTCTCTTTCCCTTCTTCCTCCTTTCCTTCCTTCCCTTCCTTCCTTCCTTCCTTCCTTCCTTCCTTCCTTCCTTCCTCCTTCCTTCCTTCCTCCCTCCCCTCCCCTCCTCTCTCCTCTTCATTTTTTTCTTTTGAGATGGAGGCTGGAGTGCAGTGGCAAGATCTCAGCCTCCTGCATTTAAGCAATTCTCCTGCCTCAGCCTCCCGAATAGCTGGGACTGCAGGCGAGTGCCACCATGCCCAGCTCCTTTTTGTATTTTTAGTAGAGATAGGGTTTCACCATGTTGGCCAGGCTGGTCTCGAACTTCTGACCTCAAGTGATCCACCCGCCTCGACCTTCCAGAGTGCTAGGATTACAGGTGTGAGCCACTGTGTCTGGCCCTTTCCTTCTTTCTCCTTCCTTCTTTCTTTCCTTCCTTCCTTCCTTCCTTCCTCCCTTCCTTCCTTCCTTCCTCCCTTCCTTCTTTTTTCTTTTAACTAGGAATTAAATTATCAGTTTTATTGGTCAAGAATTCACAACATAATGACTAATTGTATGTTGACAATGCTGAACTTTACCAGAGTCTGTGATTCTGGAAAGAAGAGCCCTGACCCCCCGACCTCTGTATTATGGGAAATGGTTTGCTGCAAAGGGATGACCACTCTTTTGATTTTTTTTTTTTTTTTTTTTTTTCTGAGACGGAGTTTTGCTCTTGCTGCCCAGGCTGGAGTGCAATGGTGCGATCTCAGCTCACCGCAACCTCCGTCCCCCAGGTTCAAGCAATTCTCCTGCTTCAGCCTCCTGAGTAGCTGAGATTACAGGCATGTACCACCATGCCTGGCTAATTTTGTAGTTTTAGTAGAGATGGGGTTTCTTCATGTTGAGGCTGGTCTCGAACTACTGACCTCAGGTGATCTGCCCACCTCAGCCTCCCAAAGTGCTGGGATTACAGGTGTGAGCCACCGCGTCCAGCCCACTCTTGATTTATAAGACCTGGAGCAACCCACTTTATTTGATTTGGCTGCACTGTTTCCTACACATAGTTCATCCTAAATTCACCTGGTAATTGAGGTTGTCATTTGTGTTAGCTAATTGCCTTTATCCAAAGGAAAAATTAAACTTCTTATATCTCTTAAATATAGAGATATAGCAGGTAGTTTCAGCTTGGAAGCAAGTGCCTAGGCTGAGACAGGGAGATAGAAGGGTGCTATTGATGCAAGCAAGTGCCATCACTGGGGCTTCACCCAGGAAATAATTCAACTGGTGAGGTTAAACAATCTTTCACTGAGGCCGGGCGCAGTGGTTCATGCCTGTAATCCCAGCACTTTGGGAGGCCGAGGCGGGTGGATCGCCTGAGGTCAGGAGTTTGAGACCAGCCTGGCCAACATGGTGAAACCCCGTCTCTATTAAAAATACAAAAAATTATCTGGGCATGGTGATAGGTGCCTGTAATCCCAGCTACTCCGGAGGCTGAGGCAGGAGAATCCCATGAACCTGGGAGATGGAGGTTCCAGTGAGCCGAGATGGCACCATTACACTCCAGCCTGGGCAACAAGAGAGAAACTTTGTCTCAAAAAAAGAAAATAATCTTTCATTGAACCAGAGCTGCTCCTTCCAGAGCAGGGCTAACTCCTAGGTGTGCCCAGAGTCGGCCCCTCCCTCCCTCCCTCTCTTACTTCCTTCCTTTTTTTCTTCCTTCCTTCCTTCCCTCTCTCTCTCTTCTCAGCCTCCCAAGTAGCTAGAAGTACAAGCACAATCTACCACATCTGTCTATTAAAAACATTTTTTTTTGTAGACACAGGGTCTTGCTATGTTACCCAGGTTGGTCTCAAACTCCTGGCCTCAAGCAATTTTCCTGCCTCAGCCTCCCAAAGTGCCGGGATAACAGGTGGGAGCCACCGCACCCAGTCAATAACATCGTTTCATTCAACGTCATTTCATTATAATGTCGACGAGAAAAAAAATTCATTCCTGGCCAGGGCCACTGTCTGTGTGGAGTTTGCACATTCTCCCCATGTCTGCATGGGTTTCCCCCAGTACTCTTGAGTTCCTCCTGAATCCCAAAGATGTGCACATTAGGTGAATTGGTGTATCTAAATGGTTACAGTCTGGTGAGTGTGCATGTGCACATGAGTGTGCCCTGTAATGGAATGGGTCTTGTCCAGGGCTGGTTCCTGCTTTGCCCCTGAACTGCTGGGATAAGCTCCTGCCACTGCAACCCTGTACTTGAATAAGCAGGTTGGAAAATGAATGGATAAATACAAATTATTATAAAATAAAAATGTGTAAAGTATCTGATAATCATACAGATGCACCACAATAAACAATGTGGGACAAAAGCACTTTTTGAGCCCTCCCTATGTGTGATTGTTTATGAGCCCTATGGTCACAGGAGGTGCTCCTTACAATTTTCACTTTGCAAACATTGATTTCTTGATTTTATTTCACAGCCACTATAATCACCATCACTCAATGATTCCCCAAAAACTGGGTAAATGATTATCCTACTTATTTTTATTAATTTTTCTTAAATGTATGAATAACTCATATTTATTTCAATGTTAATAAGTGTTTATTTAGAAGTTCGCTGATGTTTTTGTGACCAGAAATATGCCATAGAAATTTAATTCTTGTTTGTATCATCTAGCCTATGGTAGAGTTGGTTTTGTTATACATCATTTCACTTAAAACCTGTCGATGACATTGAGGACTTCCCATGTGTGCTACATCTGTGTGTGTATATATCATAAAGGTATGTATCCTATTGGTTCTGTTTCTCTGGAGAACCCTGACTAGTACACTAAATGTGGTTCCCAGACCACCTCCACCAGGA
The DNA here is from genome assembly GCF_000001405.40 of Homo sapiens. NCBI lineage: Eukaryota > Metazoa > Chordata > Mammalia > Primates > Hominidae > Homo > Homo sapiens. Next base: position 32,603,709 of record NC_000003.12, on the reverse strand, counting down.
GCAGTGTCTCCTGAAAGCTTCTTAGATATCTGGAAACTCAGGACCCACCCCAGACCTACTGGACCAGAATCCACTCTTTCAAGCTTGAGAAGCACCAATCACCTTCCTCACTGTTACATCAAATATGCGCCTTTAATAAAGTGCTAATTATCCTGCAGCAGATAGTGACTCTGAGAAATAGTTCCTGTGCCCTTCATTAAATCTTTGACTTTCAAAGGAAGAGTCATTTCTACCCACCCCTTGCCAGCCCCAGAATCCTCATCAAGGAAGCAGGGGGAAGAAAAGCAAGGAAGCGTTTTTGAAGGGTTTGCTGATAAGACTTCAGGCAGCTGCCCTGACTGGCACCTGGGTAGTACAAGGTAATGCTAAATATTAACACCTAAGAAGATTAGCACAGATTGCAGGAGGATTCTAATTGGGTTAAAGGTCACTTGCTTACACATCCCTTCCATTTGAGGGAGCCTCGAACCGTGTGGGGGGAGGGGCCTCAGAGTGGACATGGCAAGGCAGGAGGCCAGGAGGAACAGCCCAGGCAGAATTCTCGTGACCTCCTGTGGGGTGTGAGCTCTGCTTTCTTCCAGCCTTGGTGGGGACCAGTTATGGGGACTCTTCCAGAGAAGAAGGTGGATAAACATGGGAAGGGCTTCTTGAGGCTCCAGGTTTTGAGCTAGAACAAGAGGTTACTTGGCAGAGAAAATTATTCAGTAAGAGATAAGAAGAAAAAGAGTAAACTTAAAATAGACACAAGAGATTGCTAAAGAGAAGAAAAAAGTCAAGATGGAGAGAAAAAGAAGAAAAACTTCTGCACTCCTGCAACCATATAATATTATCTATTTTTTTCACTGGGATCATTTTTTTGTTTGAGATTTAAACACCGTTGCCTCCAACTTCTGATTCCTTGGAAGTCTGAAGCTCTCCCAAAGATTTTTTTCAGGTTGCCAGGAGCTTATGTTCTCATGGTCCCATCAGGTTTACAGTCTACATGCCTTTCTAATGCTTGAGTCTCTTCTGTGAAATCTCATGCAGCGAAGGTTCCAGGCACAAGGCATAATTGAATGCACACAATGATTCTGCCCGGGGAGAAATGATATCCTAATTATTTTACAGATAAGAAAGGAAATGGTGGCTAAGAGAAGTGAAGAAATCAAGCCAAGGCAATATAGCCCGTAGACCGGATCTGGATTCCAGTCCATCTGATGCATGGTAGTCGGATATATTGGTGGCCACCAGCATCCCACGCCTCCTGGTGTTTGTACCCTGTGTGCTTCCTTCCTCTCGACTCTGGGCTGGGCCTGTGACTTGCTTTAGCCAATGGAATGCCATCACAGTTCAAGGTCTAAGCTCTTGGGAGCCCCAAGCTGCCTTGTAAGAAGGCAGACTACCCCGCTGGAGAGAACACACTAGCACTCAGATGACAATGTGAGCGAAGCCCCAGACACATGACCTCAATTTAAGGGGTCTCATTTGTCCTTGGTCTTTCCAGTGATGCTAGTTGAGACTTCAGATGTGTTGGGCGTTAAGCTGCAGCAGACAGCATATGGAATAGATATGATGGAGCTGTGCCCTGTTCAAATTCCTGACCCATAGAATTTTGAAAAATAGTACAATCCTTGTTGTTTTAAACCACTGTGTTTTGGGTAGTTTATTAGGTGGCCATAGCTTAAAAAGACACACACTGCTGTCCTGTGGCTGAGGAGAACGAGATAATGATGGGCTCAAGCAGTCCCTGAACAAGGGGAAGACAGCAGGGTTAAGAGTGGGTTAAGCAGGATTGTGCGGGTGGACTGCAAGGGTGGAGAGAGGAAAAGATAAAGGGTATAATTATGCAGTCCTCTAGCAGGAGAAACAAGAACTAACAGAATTTTTAACCTTAGGTCAAATACGTTTGTCAGGCAGCATTTCTGGCCCAGTGCAAATCCTCATAACAGAATTAATGAGTATGACTCTTAGCACTAGATCAAAAAGAGAATTAATGAATGGAAAAGGGAAAGGCAAGACACAGAACTGTCTATTTTAATTTCGACAAGAAGATAATAGACCAAACTGTTTACAGTGGCTCTTTCTAGGTGGCAGGATTACAAATAATACTTTATTCCTTTGTATTCTCTTCTAGTTTTTCCACATTTTCTACAATCACCTTTCTAAAAATTTAATCTTTTCAAATTTTCTTTTTTTTCATAGTCACTTCTTTATTTTTGATAAAAATGTATATGACACATGTCTTGACAATCAGCCCACCCACCACCACACAGGTAGGGTCTGGTTCCCCAGGGAAGAGGTGGGACAGGGAGAGGAGCTGGTGGGTGCTGCCATCTGCTTCTCCAGCCTTCCCAGGCTGCAGCCAGGTTCCCAGGTCTCCAGAGGGTGGGAACACAGCAGGTGCAGGTAGCAAATTTTCAATATCTAAGAAATATAAGTACATGGATTTTAAAAACTGTCATACGGGCCAGGCATGGTGTTGGGTGTTAAGCTGCAGGAGACAGCAGCTTTGGGAATTTGGGAGGCCAAGGTGGGCGGATCACTTTGAGTCCAAGAGTTCAAGACCAGCCGGGGCAACATGGCAAGACCCCATCTCTACAAATGTGGCAAGATCCCATCTCTACAAAAGATACAAAAAATTAGCTGTGAGTGGTGGCAGGTGCCTGAAGTCCCAGCTACTCAAGGAGGCTGAAGTGGGAGGATCGCTTGCCTCAGCCCGGGAGGCAGAGGTTGCAGTGAGCCAAGATTGTGCCACTGCACTCCAGCCTAAGAGACAGAGCGAGACCCTGTCTCAAAAACAAAACAAAACAAATTGTCATACGTACACATGCCACAGAACGGCACTAACCCTCTGCCCTATCTTTCCTCTTCCCATCTTGTACCCTACAGGCAACTCCTTAAAACTAATTCTGGTTTTAGTTCTTTGAGCGGTTAGGTCCACATGTCTAAAAATATTCTTGTAGTTCTATTAATTGGTTTATTGACCAGAGGCATCTACTTCTTCCCTGATACAAAATTCTTACTTTTTTTTTTTTTTTTTTTTTTGAGATGGAGTTTCACTCTTGTTGCCCATGCTGGAGTGCAATGGTATGATCTCGGCTCACTGCAAGCTCCGCCTCCCAGGTTCAAGCGATTTTCTTGCCTCAGCCTCCTGAGTAGCTGGGATTATAGGCATCTGCCACCATGCCCAGCTAATTTTTGTGTTTTTAGTAGAGACGGGGTTTTGTCATGTTGGCCAGGCAGGTCTCAAACCCCTGACCTCAGATGATCCACCTGCCTTGGCCTCCCAAAGTGCTGGGATTACAGGTGAGAGTCATGGTGCCTGGTCAAAATTTTTACTATTTTAATCAACATGTTTATTACCTACTATGTACAAGCACCTTCAGGTACTGGTGAGAGGGTAGAGAATAACAGAGAGAGTTTTTGCCATTTCAGGGCATATATTCCAGTAAAGGGAGGTGGTTCACTAAACACAAATAAATAAATAAGATAATATCCAATAAGAAAAAGGACGATGGAGAAAAAAAACTGGGTATGGGACAGCATGGTTGAGTGTATTTTTCCAAAATTGGCTGCAAAGGATCTCCCACATGCTCATCTAGCATATTGCCACTCACCTACCAAAAGGTAGATTTTATTTTCCTTACCCTTGAATCTGGGTGTGTTGGTGACTTACTTGTAACAAAGAGAACACAGCAGAAGCAATGCTGCCTGACTTCCAAGGCTAGGACATGCAGCGGTGGTGAAGTTCCCCTCCTTTGCTGGAATAGTTCTTGAAACTCCCCAATGCTGACCAGGCATGGTGGCTCATGCCTATAATTTCAGCACTTTGGAGTCTGAGGTGGGCGGATCGCTTGAGCTCACGAGTTTGAGACCTGCATGGACAACATGGCAAAACCCAGTTTCTAGACTAGTCATATGATGGAATACCACACTGCAATAAAAAGAATAAACTACTGAGGTAGCAGCAATAGAAATAATTTTCATTATGTTTGGTGAAAAAAGACAAACACAAGAAAATATACTTTTTGATTTATCTGAAGATCAAGAACAGGCAAAACAGATCAATGGTGATAGAAGTTAGAATAGGGATTATTTCTAGGAAGAGGTGGATCGATGGGGAAGGAGCATGAGGAAATGTTTTGGGGTGCTGGTGATGTTCTATGTCTCCATCTGAGTGATAGCTGCTCTAGTATACACACCTGTAAAGAGTCAGTGAGCTGTTCACTGAAGATCAGTGCACTTCAAGCATTCATTGTATGTGCAGTTGGCCCTCTGTATCCATGGGTTCAACCATCCATGTTATTCCTAAATGCTGAAATTCAAGAAACAGAGTTTACATTATTTTGCAAATATTACTCCTGGCTGAGTCAAGTGGGATGACAGAAGTACATTTCCTTCACAACAGGGCCAATCAATGTCATGACCTCTGTAATCATGTAATCACTTGAATATTCTTTATTTATTTATTTTTTTTGAGATGGTGTCTTGCTCTGTAGCCCAGGCTGGAGTGCAGTGACACCATCTCGGCTCACTGCAAGCTCCACCTCCTGGGTTCACGCCATTTTCCTGCCTTAGCCTCCTGAGTAGCTGGGACTACAGGCGCCTGCCACCATGCCTGGCTAATTTTTTTGTATTTTTAGTAGAGACGGGGTTTCACTGTGTTAGCCAGGATGGTCTCGATCTCCTGACCTTGTGATCCGCCCGCCTCGGCCTCTCAAATTGCTGGGATTGCAGGTGTGAGCCATTGTGCTGGGCCACTTTTTTTTTTTTTTTTTAAGACAGAGTCTTGCTCTGTCATGCAGGCTGGAGTGCAGTGGTGCCATCTCAGCTCACTGCAGCCTCCACCTCCCGGGTTCAAGTGATTCTTCTACTTCAGACTCTTGAGTGGCTGGGATTACAGCATGCACCACCACACCCCGCTAATTTTTTGTATTTTTAGAAGAGACGGGGTTTCACTATGTTGGTCAGGCTGGTCTCTAACTCCTGGGCTTAAGCAATCCTCCCACCTCAGCCTCCCTAGTAGCTGGGGCTACAGGTGTATGCCACCACACATGACTAATTTTTGTATTTTTTGTAGAAACGGGGTTTCGTCATGTTGCCCAGGCTGGTCTTGAACTCCTGGCCTCAAGCAGTCCTCCTACCGTGGCCTCCCAAAGTGTATTATTTTCTGTTGCTCAAAATTTATTCTATGCTTCTTGAAAGCATTCTTGTGGGAGCTCACTGAGGTTTTGATCGAATGTGAACTGGATGTGTTTAGGCTGCTTAAATAGCTGGTATCTTAGAGTCTCTTTTCATAGTTCTCCTTGGGAAGTTTCACTGTTTCTGATATACTACGTCTTTCTTCTGTAGAAAGAGGAGACAGAATTTCTAAGACTTCTCATGATGATAATGTGATGCTAGTATAAATCTTGTTCCTTTATTGGTGATCTTTTTGGTTCCTTTATTGTTTCTTACTCTCTCCTTCAGCTTTGCACTGTAAAATTTATTTTACATGAGAGAGGAATAACCTCTCTTGTTTAAGCTACTGCTAATTTTTCTTCCTGTTTTATGTACCTGACCCTAATTGTAACAATTATAATTTGGCTTCTGCCTCTCAGCCTGGGATCCTTCTCCACCGCAGCCATTGCCTGCATTTTTTCTGAGTTGCTTCCCTTTTTCTGTTTCATCTGGAGAAATTCCACTGGGCTTTTAAAATATCTTCCATGTCTTCTTCACATGGTCAATCTTCCCTCTAGTTTTTCGAACACATGGAAAACAGTTAGAGTAGTGGTTTGAATGTGCTTGTCTGCTGAATCTAACATCTGTAACAATGGTTATCTGCTACACTAACTGGTTTCTCTTATCAGGGTTTCCTGCAATTACTCTCAAAGGGCTAGATCGTCTTCAGTTGGGTTTCCCAAGAGGCAGACCTGAACAAAAGGATGTGAGTTGGGGCTGATGCCAGAAAGAATTGGTAGAGGAGAGCCTGATGGGCCTGACCAAGGCTTCTCTAACTTCAGGCTCCTGAAGTTAGAGAAAGCTCTTAGATAAAACTTCTCAGGTGCTTGCTGTAGAAAGTGGTTGATGTTTTTGGAAATATAAGTACGGCTGTGACAATGTCTGCAAAATACATCCTATATCTAAGAGTCCAAATCCCCATTTAATAAATAAGGAAAGAACTAGCCAATCTCATGAAAGCGCTTTGCCCTTGGCCAGGCGCGGTGGCTCACGCCTGTAATCCCAGCACTTTGGGAGGCCGAGGTGGGTGAATCACCTGGGGTCAGGAGTTCGAGACCAGCCTGACCAACATAGAGAAATCCCATCTCTACTAAAAATGCAAAATTAGCCAGGCGTGGTGGCGCATGCCTGTAATCCCAGCTACTCAGAGGCTGAGGCAGGAGAATCGCTTTAACCCAGGAGGCGGAGGTTGCGGTGAGCCGAGATCACGCCCTTGCACTCCAGCCTGGGCAACAAGAGCAAAACTCCGTCTCAAAAAAAAAAAAAAAAGCACTTTGCCCTTTCCAGTGTGGGTTTTATTGACTCAGTCTGACCCAGTGGACTGTTTCTCCTGAAGGTTTATTTTTGCTCCAAGGCAGTCCACCAAACCTCGTGGTTCTTCCAAGTGTAGGAAGAGATAGTTTATCTTATGTGTAGTCAGCTGATGAAGGAGGTACCCTTTCAGGCTCCTGAGAACTAGAAGAGCATATCCTCCCTTCTGGCGGGGAAGCCAGCTGTCTAGCCATTCTATCTTCTGTGTCATGATGTAATTTAATATCTAAAAACAACCCAAGACCAGAGTCTGATGGCCTGGCCAAGTCTGGTCCATTTGTGCTCTCTCAGAGAGGCTTGTCAAGGGCTTACATGTGTGTCCAAAAGAAATGGTAAATAATAGCCAAAAATTGCAAATGACTTAGCCTCTTTGAAATTCAGTTCCTTTATCAGAAAAGCAAAGAGGGTGTGGGGGGAGATAATCTCCAGGGTTTCTACAAGCTTGAGGTCTCTGATTCTATATGGTGGCAGATCTGGCCTGCAACTCCACAGCCAAGGGGAGTCATCTCTGTATGTCACAGATTTCCACTGAAGACCACTGATAGGAGATGGTCCCTTACAACTCAGTCCCAGACTTTTGGCCTTCTTAACTTTTGACTCTGTAATCTCACATCTGAGAGTACATCCCAACTAAATACTCAGATGCCAAGTGGTCAGTACAAAAGTGTTCACCACAGTTACTGTAAATGGAAATTCACAGAAGAATCACCAAATGATTTATGGAACATCCAGCTGATTAAATATGATTCGGACAATAGCAATATTTCAAAGAATGTTCAGTGGCATACAGAATTAATTGTACAGCCTATTATACACCATATGAAAAACAGGATACGGGCCAGGCATGCGGTGGCTCATGCTTTTAATCCCAGCACTTTCAGAGGCTGAGGCAGGCGGGTCACCTGAGGTCAGGAGTTCAAGACCAACCTGGCTACATGGTGAAACCCCATCTCTACTAAAAATACAAAAATTAGCTGGGCGCAGTGGTGCATGCCTGTAACCCCAGCTCTTCACAGGGGCTGAGGCAGGAGAATCGCTTGAACCCAGGAGATAGAGGTTGCAGTGAGCCAGGAGCCAGGATCATGCCACTGCACTCCAGCCTGGGTGACAAGTGCAAAACTCCATCTCGAAAAACAAAAACAAAAACAAAAAAAAAACACAGGAAATAAAACCATATGCTGTATGTAGAAAGATCCAACTGGTTCCAATATACAATTATATTATAAAAGAGCTGAAATTTATATATTTAAACTTTTATATATATATTTATTTATCAAAGATCATAAGATGGAATTCTAGTTTTCCCCTTTATCTTTTTCTGTATTTTCTACATTTTCTACAAATACCAGAAATATGTCTTATTTTTATAAACAGGAAAAAAAAACAAGTGTTTTTTCTTTTCAGAAGAATTAAAACAGTACATATTTGGGCCTTCGTATTTGTCTGCGAGAGTTCTAATATGGGCACCAGGCACTATTCTGGACATCTTTTACTCACTGGATTTAATTGTCATGGCTATCATAGGTAATTAGCATTGCTACTTGCATTGTCTAGATATAATGATGGAGTCCGAGCCCTATTCTTTCCTGTATCTTGCAAATGCTGCTGTCTCAGTTTTTGAGTGTCAGTGGTGTCATCTTCTGCCCAGACTTGTGCTGACACTAAAGAGAGAGGGTGATCTCATTTACTCTTAGTGCCGCTGGAGTTGGGGGATGGGAATTGCAAATGATGAGGCCTTTAATTCCACATTGTGCTTGCTCCACAGCTAGTACATACAGCTGGATTTTCTGCTACTTTATTAAAGGCAAACAGACTTTGCAAGGCAAAAATGGTTTTCCAAATGACCATACTATATGTCTTAAGTGAGGAATACATGGTTCATTGATGAACCCAAATTTGACCCTTGTAGCAGATGCTGTCAGTGCCCCACCCATATGTTCTTTGCCTACCTGGAGGACTTCCTATGTCTCTCTGTTCTAGCACACTCCCTGTCCTTGGAGTAGGAGTTGATCAGTCCACTTCAGAGTAGTTCAGAAGTGTCAGGTAGTTAATGTTCCAGGAGCAGCTCTCAATCACTAAGGGATGGGCATTGGAATATAAATACCTCAACTCTCTCACCCCACAGTGGGAGACTTTTGAGGCATGTTCCAGTAGACTCTCAGCAGGATTAAAACCCATTTGCCAGCCAGGCACAGTGGCTTATGCCTGTAATCCCAGCACTTTGGAAGGCTGAGGTGGGCGGATCACTTGAGGTGGAGTTCAAGACCAGCCTGACCGACATGGCGAAACCCCATCTCTACTAAAAATTCAAAAATTAGCTGGGCATGGCAGCACGTGCCTGTAATCCCAGGTACTCAGGAGGCTGAGGCAGGAGAATCACTTGAACCAGGGAGGGCAGAGGTTGCAGTGAGCCGAGATCGTGCCACTGCACTCCAGCCTGGGCAACAGAGCAAGACAGTCTCAAAAAGAACAACAACAACAAGAACAAAATTTGCCTACAGCAGAAGTATTCTTATTAATATATGCTTTATTAGCTTTCCTTCCTTCCTTGTCTCCCCTACCCACTCTCTCACTTTGGTCTTGAATAAACTATTTGCCCCCAGATCCTTGTTTCAAGGTCTGCTTTGGGGAAATACAAACTAAGAGAACCTCATTCCTTATGTATCTGACAGTACTCAAAGGGTATCACTTTTACCTCCAAAAAATCAAGGTGAAATTAGGGGACATTAAGTTTATTTCGATAAATGAATACCATGATGCTGGAAGGTGTCCTAAATTCCAATGGTCTGAAACTTTCTAAGTTGGGTATTTTTAGCACCAGTTTTTAAAACCCTCAGTGCAAGTAAGCAGCGAATCATTTCATGTCTCTACAAAGAAAAAACTCTTTCTGGACACTGGCCAGAAAAGAAAAGACAAGAACCCACTTCATTTCTCTAAAGGGTTGAAGATATTTCCCCCTAGGCCAGCAAGAGCTTTTAAATTATTGTGCCCTAAAAATAGTATTCTCACCTGAATGGGTTATAAAAACTGAAATGATGGGTTATTTTCATCCACCTCCAGAGCAGCTGCTCAGGAACTCCGAATGTGAGTGGAGATTATGCAATGACTTGGTACTGTCTTCGCCTTGCCAGAGCAAATCATTGTTCTCCTGTGACTAGCTTTTGAGGTAATGCAATAGGACATTTCAGGACCTGTGCCAGGAGGGAAAGAAATGGGTGAAGAGTGGGAAAGACAAAGAGGATTTGAAGGTCTGGAAGGATGTAAGATGAACAAGTCTAGAGAGCTAATGTATAATGTGAGGATATAGTTAATAAAATTGTGTTGTATTAGGGATTTTTGTTAAACAAGTAGATTTTGGCAGCTCTTGTTACAAAACAGAAGTATCTGTGAGATGACAGATATGTTCATCTGCTTCACTGAAGCAACCATTTTACTATTAATATATGTATCCCATAACATCATGCTGTAAACTTCAAATATACACAGTAAAATTAATTCAGGCCAGTTGCAGTGGGATTAAGCCTGTAATCCCAGCACTTTGGGAGGCTGAGGCAGGCGGATCCCTTGAAGCCAGAAGTTCGAGACCAGCCTGGGCAATACAGAGAGATTCCCCGTCTCTACAGAAAGAAAAAAAAAAATTAGCCGGCAGTGGTGGCACGCACTTGCGGCCCCAGCTATTCAAGGAGGCTGAGGTGGGAGAATCGCTTGAACCCGAGAGGCGGAGAATACCGTGAGCAGAGACTGCGCCACTGCATTCCAGCCTGGGCCACAGAGAGAGACTCTGTCTAAAAAACAAAACAAAACAAAATAAAAACAAACAAGCACACACAAAAACAGATAAACTGATAAAATGGTAACTTTCTTTTTCTGAACACAATAGGTGGCCGGGCAGCGCACTCAGGGGCAGCTGGAAGCAGTGGAGGGGCGACCTGGTGGGGAGGCATAGGTCCCACAGCCCCAAGCCCCGACAAGAGTGCCTGGGGCTCGTCCCTCGAGGCTGCCTCGGGCGCCAGCGAAGGCCTTGGCGAAGGCTGACCCCAACGAGACACGGGCGGGACAGAGAACAGTCATTCTGGCCTGAGCCGGGGAACTGTGTGTGGAGACCATTGCAAAAGATGCCTACTGCTGTGCTCAACAGGGAAACAGGAAAACCCTCCAGAGGAGAGATTTGGATAATGCGATAGAAGCTGTGGATGAATCTGCTTTTTTGGAAGGTACTTCGGGTCGATTGCTCAGCAGTGCAGGTTCCCGGCCTTCATCTGCATCCTTCAGCTCGCCCCTCTCCGCAGGCTTCAGCGTTGAGAAGAACAGTCTTGGCACTTGCATACATACTCTTCCTGTTCTACCCTCGCTCACACCGGTATAAGCCTCCATCTCAACCGTTGGCTTTTCCCTACAAGATCTTCCACAACGTGTGTCCGTCTTCCAGTCAGGCCTGGATGCAGCCGCTGCTGCTTGGAGCAGAGATGAAGAAAGTGTTCTGCTTAAGTGGCTTACTGCACGATGAGGACCAGAATAAAGGTCTTTGATCAGAAAAGGAAGGGAAGGAAGGGAGGGGAGGGGAGGGGAGGTGCGGGGAGGAGAGGAGAGGGGAGGGGAGGGGACGGGAGGGGAGGGCAAGTTAAATGGTAACATATGAACACAAAGAAGGAAACAAGAGACACTGAGGTCTACTTGATTGGGGGGCATGGAGGGAGAAAATATAACTATTGGGTACTGGGCTTAATACCTGAATGACGAAATGATCTGCACAACAAACACCGATGACACATGTTTACCTATGTAACAAACCTTCGCATGTACCCTCAAACAAAAGTTAAAAAAAAAAAAAAAGAAAAAAGAAAATCTGGAAGGAACTAGGGCTTTGTGGGGCCCTAAGAATAGGGCCTCCAGGATTGTCCCAGTTTATGCCTGTCATCCTGGTGTAGCTATTAATAACCTCCTCTTTCACTCTCAAAAGTGCCTTGGTTTGGAATAAATTATGTGGTCACTCAACCAGTTTAAGGAGGCAATTGACTTGCTTAGCACCGTCTTTATGTCTCCCTATGGGGTAGCTTTAACTGTCCATTGTTTGCCCAACTCTGAGCACATCCATCTATCACTCAACCTTCTATTCCTGGTGTCTTGCAAATGATGGGTATATAAATGTTTTGGTTGAAGGAATGAAAGAATGGGAAGAGGCATTACTTGTTGATGGTAACAGGGACCTGGAATCATAGAGTTAATTTGGGAAGAGATCTTCAAACTCATCTGTTTGTAGGTGTGGAAACTCAGTCTCAGAAATGTGAAGTAGCTTGCTCAAGGCCATATCGTTAGTGGCAAATCCAGGGCTTAATGTTTCAAAACTATTACTACTCAAAAAGTGGTCCCTGGATGAGCAGTACCAGAAGTACCTGGTGGTTTGTTAGAAAGGTGGAATCTCAGGTCCCACCCCAAGAACTATGTCAGTGTCTATGAAGGATCCGATATTTTATCTTAATTCCAGGTTAATAAGTTAGCCTGTTACTATTTCATGGATGCTGACAGAGCACACGAGCCCTGGGTCAGAGATAAAGGATTTTGTTACTCACATCACAACTGGCATCATGAGCATAACATTGTTTTTCATCAGTTCCCCATGTCTCCCAGGTCTCATAGGGGAGATGTGGAGAGGCCCAGATGATGCTGGGTTTGTGTCACAGCTGAGAAACACTGAGATTAGGGAATTCACTGTTTTTATATTGAGCAGTAAGCAAGCCTGCTCTTTGTTTTTTGTTTAGGGTAGGGGGAGCTGCTGAGGGAAATTAATTCATTCCATGAAATTACTCTCTGCAAGAACAACCCTGAGAATTGGTCCTGGTAATAAGCAGCCAGAGTCTTGCATTCTTGTCATACAGAGCAAGAACATATAGGGGCATTCAGGGTCCATGGTGCACTGCCTCTCCCAAGAACCTACGGACTCAAAATCTGCATTTTTTTTTTTTTGAGACAGAGTTTCGTTCTTGTTGCCCAGGCTGCAGTGCCATGGCGCGATCTCAGCTCACTGAAACCTCTGCCTCCCAGGTTCAAGCAATTCTCCTGCCTCAGCCTCACAAGTAGCTGGGATTACAGGCGCCTGCCACCACACCCGGCTAATTTTTGTATTTTTAGTAGAGATGGGGTTTCACCATGTTGGCCAGGCTGGTCTTGAACTCCTGACCTCAGGTGATCCACCCGCCTCAGCCTCCCAAAGTGCTGGGATTACAGGTGTCATCTCGGCTCACTACAACCTCTGCCTCCTGCGTTCAAGCAATTGTCCTCCAGAGTAGCTGAGACTATAGGCATGCACCACCACACCCAACTAAGTTTTGTATTTTTAGTAGAGATGGAGTTTCGCCATTTTGGCCAGGCTGGTCTCAAACTCCTGAGCTCATATTGATCTGCCCACCTTGGCCTCTCAAAGTGCTGGGATTACAGGTGTGAGACACTGTGCCCAGCTTCTTTGGCTTTTCTTTACAAAACAAACAAACAAACAAAAAAAAACAAAAACCTTCCAGGAGTTTACAATATAGTAGTAACCTATGTCTCTCTTATGTGGCCCTTTTGCAATGGCATAACTAGTAAGAATGGGCAGTTGATGGAGTCCCACATATAATCAAAAAGAATTATCCTCTGTGATCTGGAGAAGTCTATTGGGCTAAGTAGGAGCAAAGCAAAGCAAGAGACATTTGGTGTTGTAGTTTTGGCTTTTTCCATGGGTGGTAGAAGGTGGATATCTTGGGTCTGGGAGCCATCTCGATGGCCTTACATCCTACCCAAGGCACTTCTCAAGGCAGGGCAAAAGTAAAATTCCTGCCTCAGTGTAACCAAAGTCTGTTCTCTTAAACAGTAGACTGAATTCTGAGTAAAGATCATGATGCCCAGAGTGGCTACCTTCCCCTGTTTCTCATTCCTCCCTCTTTCTTAACTCACTCCTTGAAGGAATTTCAGTCAGTATGCATGTAGGGCAGATGCTGTGAAAGGGAAAGGTGCTATAGTAGGTTCAGTTAGAGCAAGTTGTAGCATTGAACTTTAGCTAGTGTCCACTTACCCCAATTCCAGGCACCCAAAGCACCCCGAGCCCATGGTTCCCCATGCAGTACTCCGGCTGCATTCCCTGCTTCCCTCTGACTGTTGGAGAAAATACCAATAATGTTGGGAATGATGCCTTAGGTCCTTCTACTCCAAATGTGATCCACAGACCAGCATTATCTGGGAGCTTGTTAGAAATGCAGAATCTCAGTCCCAACCTCTGATATTCTGAACCAGTATCTGCATTTTAGCAAGATCCCTGGTGATTCGTGTGCACACTGAAGTTTGAGAAGTTCAGCCTTAGCTGTGTTTGAGCCAAACTGTGTTTGAAGTTTGAGAAGCTCAGCCTAACAATGTGGTCTTTAAATCACATATCTAACTCTTTGCTCATTCAGCCACCTTATGATTGTAATTTGGTAGCTGCAGCAGAAATGCCTACCTCAACATCCTTTTCATTCCCTTCTTAATAATAGAACCTCCACTTTATTTGGGGTAACAATGTGCCTGGCTAAAAGACTACACTTCCCAACTGCCCTTGTAGCTAGATGGGGCTATGAGACTAGCTCTTCATCAATGAAGTGTAAGTGGAAATATTTATGGGACTAATGGAAAGTCTCTTGAAACTCAGGGGATATATCCTTCTTTCTTCTTTACTCCTTATTGCTGCCTGGGACATGGACATCATGAGTGGCTTCTAGCAGTCATCTTGGACCATGGAGTGACCTTGAGAAAGGAAGTTACAGATTGAAGATGACAGAGCAGAAGAATAAAAGCTTATATTTCAATGACACATTGAAATTACTATATCGGTTTGGACTTGCATATGCCCAGACTTCCTTTATGGGAAAGAGAATTGTCTGTCTTGTTTAAACCACCATAATTTGGCTTTTCTGTTTCTATAACTGTTATTTGTGTGTCTACAACTTACTGGCAAAAATAATGCAGATGTTCAGCTCCTCAGCAAGGTGTCTCCTCGTAAATCAATAAAATAGAATTCTAGTTTACACATCTGAACTCCACTAATGTGAATCTGTCCCTGAGAGATGACCTGGTGACTAAGTGCTGGGGGGAAGGCAATAAGGGTGCCACTTGGGGAAGAACACTTGGTGGCCAACTGGTTTCCCTCTCAGGCAGCACACCTTCTTGGTTTTCATTTTCTTCTAACCTTAATATGTACAATTAGCAAGAGATAGAGGGAGAACAAAAGGCCTACCTAATTTAAGACTGAATAATCCAAATAATCCATTGTTCAATCTCTAAAAATCAAGTTATTTATAAACTATTTCCTGAGTTAGGAAGTTAAGTGGTCTCTGTTGACGTTATGTCTTTGAATGTTCTAAGTAGAATATTCATCTCTTTTGAAGGCTATTGTTCTATTCTTATTAAGCATGCAGAATTTCACTGTAATTCTGACATCTTAAATCACTTCCCACACTACAGGGATGAGTGTTAATAATTAATATTTGTATTATGTTATCTTATGAAGCCCTTTCAAATACTCAGTTTACTTAATCCTCAACAGCCCCGTGAGTAGCTATTCAACTCATTCATCTATAGATGAGGAAACTAAGAGCCAGAGAGATTAAGTAATGTACCCAAAGATACACAGCTCAGAAGTAGCATTCTTTCAGTCTCCTTGCTACCATGCTACTCTGCTCTACTTCTGTGCAGAGACTCACATTATGAGGCCAGAGTTTATGTGGACAGGACATATTGGGGACATGGCACATAGAAACTTTTTCAATCACACCATGTAGACATTGCATATTTATACATGCAACTGTCTATTTATGGTTGCAGGTTACACACTGGCTGCAAGCTGGTTTACTTTTTCTTTTCTGAAGAGCTAGAAGGCACAAGAGATTATCCACATTATCCCCTCATCCTTCAGACTCCAAAGCCTAGAGAAGTGAAATGATTTATCCAAGATCTTAATTAGGTACAAGTCCTAGACTATACACCCCAAGTCCCTTAACTCCATGAGAATGAATGTTCCTTCTAAAACATCATCATGATTCTCAGTAAATTCTGAGCAGATCATGGATATTACAGCAATGTTTTGGCCAAAATGAAAAAGTATCCCTGGTTTGATAGTTGTATCAAGATGCAATCCTGGTCCCCAGTTAAATCTGGCCCTGACTTCCAGTCATTAACACCAAAATGAATCATTGGCTTTTCTGGGACCTGCATATTAGTACAGGAATTAGTTCACTTAGAAGCCACAGCCTGCACAGCAGCTCTTGTCTTAAAAAAGCACATAATTACCTTTGAAATACTTTGGATTTTTTTGTTTTGTTCCATTTTTGAGACAGTATCTCACTCTGTCGCCCAGGAGTGCAGTGGTACAATCTCGGCTCACTGCAGCCTCGACCTCCTGGGCTCAAGCCATCCTCCCACCTCAGCCTCCTAAGTAGTTGGGATTACAGGCATGCCCCACCACAGCTGGCTATTTTTTGTACTTTTTGTAGAGATGGGGTTTCATCACATTGCCCAGGCTAATCTCAAACTCCTGGACTCAAGCGATCTGCCTGCCTCAGCCTCCCAAAGTGCTAGGATTACACTATCATCTCCTTGATAGCAGTGGGTTAAAAGGATAAACTAATCTACATTATCATTTATTTATTATCCGGTACATATATTATTATTCATTTAGATAACATATGGCTATAATTCATTAAATGTGTAGAGGGCCCACAGGATATGAATCTAGTAACAATATTTTGCCTTTATGACAAACCACAGAGGAGGCAATTTGAAGATGATACTTCTTTTCATACTTCTCTGATTACAAACACTATAATTTCATGGAAGGCCAAAGAATTAACAAAGTCAAAATTTGAAATAATATATATATTTTTAAATAGTGAAGGGCAGGCACAGTGGCTCACACCTGTAATCCCAACACTTTGGGAGGCTGAGGCAGAAGGAGCACTTGAAGCCAGGAGTTCAAGACCAGCTGGGCAACAAAGCAAGATCCTGTCTCTACCAAAAAAAAAAAAAAAAAAAAAAAAAAATTAGCCAGATGTGGTGGCATGGGCCTGTAATACTGGCTACTTGGGAGGCTGAGGTGGGAGGATTGCTTGGGCCTAGGATTTGGAGGCTACAGGAAGCTATGACTGTGCCACTGCACTCCAGCAGAGTCTCTAGCAAGACTGTCTCCAAAAAACAAAACAAAACGGAACCTTGTCTTTTTACATTGTATATTCCACATGGAAAGCATACAAATCAGATGGCTGTTGATGGAAACCCAAATATCATTTGGGAGATTTCCTGCTCTTAAAGTTTAGGAAACTTGGTTTGAATCCCATTTCCCAAGCCTGAGCAGTTCCAGTCCCTCTCCAAGATTTCAGAATCCACTTTCTTAGGCTTGTTTGGATCCTGGCCTTGGTGGTCACAAGGCTATTGCAGTTCTATGGTCCCTGCATCATGTACATTATATACAGAGCCACATCTCTTTATAGTACCTGAGAAAAGATCATTGAGACCAAGCATGTGACCATTTTCCATTTTTACTAAAAATGTTAAGACACAGAGGAGGGGTCACATTACAGATTATGCAGCCATCTGCCATCTCATGGGGCCCCCGGCTAGTTCCTCATGTTACTCCATTTCAAAAGCCCTTATGTTCTCTGTACATGAGGGTTTCGGTGAGCAGTTCCCCAGCTCTGGCTGCTTCTTTCAAGAGGAACAGTTCCATCAGCTTCCGTATTACTCTAGCTTTCAAGTCACCCCTTCTCCTAGAATTCTAATAAATCCAAATTTCTCTATTTTATTATAATAAAAGATATTAAGAAAATGGTGAGCTCAGTAAGTTGATCACCATTCCCCCACAAGAAAATCTACTGAGAGATAAGCTATTGGAATGAATAAAATAGTTCAGCAAAATAAACATACAAGATCAATATACAAACATCAATAGCATGTTGGTTGCACCAGCGATCAACAATTATAAGTATGTGGTATTTGCAAAGATGCCATTTAGCCTAGCTGCAAAAAGTACAGGGTACCTAGTGATAAGTGTAACAGAATTGTCTAATAGAACAACCTAATTATTCCTATTGGAGGAGAGTAGATTAAATAAACTGCGGCTTATTCATGCTGTAGAATTCTACATAGCAATTACAATGAATGATCTATGATTCACCTCTGTATCCATATGGCTCAGTCTTGAAAACATAATATAGAGCGAAAAAGGCAATTTGTAAAATGCACGTACAGTGTCTCCTACATGTAAAAATTAAAAACATGCAAAACAATTGAATGTATAAACATACATCTGCATGAGAATGAAATTCATCTATTTTTAAGATAAAGACTATCTCTAAGGAAGAAGGGATTGGAAAAGAATGGGAGTAGAATGAGCTTTCTTTAAAAAATTTTAAGAGCTGGCAGATTAGTGTCCTCAATTAAAAAAAAATCAAGAGGAAAAGATTTTCTATGGTGATATTATATTTATTTTGTATAATGTGTGTATTAATATATTAATAGGTGTATATTACCTTATTTTTAGTAGTTGTATATGTGAAATAGTTTATAAATAAAAATTGAGGTGGGACACAGTGGGTCATAACTGTAATCCCAGCACTTTGGGAGGCTGAGGGGTGGATAGCTTGAGCTCAGGAGTTTGAGACCAGCCTGGGCAACATGGTAAAACCCTGTCTCTACTAAAAATACATAAATTGGCCGGGCGTGGTGGTGCGTGCCTGTAGTCTCAGCTATTCGGGAGGCTGAGGTAGGAGCATGGCTTGAGCCCAGGAGGCAGAGGTTGCAGTGAGCCAAGATCGCACCACTGCACTCTGGCCTGAGCAATACAGCAAAACCCTGTCTCAATCAGTCAATCAATCAATCAATAAAATAAAAATTGGAATGGAAATTTTATGTGGGTTCAAGAAGGATTTCAATGAGCTAACTCAAGAAAGGATAACCAAATATTGTAAAATAATAGAAGAAATTCCTTGAAATTTTACCACACAGAAAGGTCAGTTTAGACACATAATACTTTGCCTTTATTTTGAGAGGCTTTTGGGTAATTATGAGGCAAAGCAAGCTATTTAACACTCTTGCCCCTTGGTTTTTTTCTAGTAGCTGAACTATGAAGTCCCTTCCAGCTCTAGTATTTTATGAGATCCTAGAACTCTAAGCACTTTTGGAAAGCCTAGAGTTCAGATCAGCTTGCCAGGGGTGCCCTGCTCCTGGCAAAAGTTAAAGGCAGTTTGTTTCTGTCAGAGATAATTAAGCTGGGAGGGCTCAGAATGCAAGGGACAATTTTAAGGATGTAATCGAGACCTAGAGTTGGCAGACCAGTTAGGAACCAGCTGGAGCAGTGAGAGGAGGGATGCCATGAATGTCATTGCTGCTGATAAGACAATGACTGTTCTGCCCTCCTTGATAACAGCAATGTTCAGGGAACAAGTGTATTTACCTTGTTCTTAAGTGTTGGGTTATTTTGAATTCTACTTTAATAGTTATCTCATTGCCTAATAAAATTGGATGATAATTAAAATATATACTATAAATTCAATGTTATTTTTGAATGAATTATTATAACAGTATTATGGTTATTTTTTTAAAGGAAGAGTCCTTTTTTAAAATTTTATTTATTTACTTATTTACTTCTTTTTTGAGACAGAGTCTCGCTCTGTCGCCCAGGCTGGAGTGCAGTGGTGCAATCTCGGCTCACTGCAACCTCTCCTCCTGGGTTCAAGTGATTCTCCTGCCTTAGCCTCCAGAGTAGGTGGGATTATAGGCATGTGCCACCATGCCCAGCTAATTTTTGTATTTTTAGTAGAGACAGGGTTTCACAGTGTTGGTCAGGCTGGTCTCAAACTCCTGACCTCGTGATCCACCCACCTCAGCCTCCCAAAGTGCTGGCCTGAGCCACTGCACCCGGCCAAGAGTCCTTGTTTTTTTAAAGATATGCATTGCAATATTTATAGATCAAATACTATGTCTTGAATTTGCTTTAAAATAATTCAGAGATGGAGGAAGAGGGAGGAAGGCAAACTAAAGATTGGCCATGTGCTGATAACTACCAAAGCTGAATGATGGGTATGTGGGGTTCATTATATCACCCTCTGTACTTTTATGTTTGAAATTTTCCATAATAAAAAGGGTAGAAGAAAATAATAGTAAAATAAAAAGCTTCAGAATTAGCCCCTTTTCTCAGTTATACATTCCTGCAGAAATCCCTCTGACTCCGAGTCCCATTGCTTGCCTGGGGCATTTTCCCAGTCTGTTTGCACGCCATCTGGTATGAAATGATTTGCTTGCTATGCAATGACAAACTTTTAAACCAATGTTGATGTTGATTTCATCAAGTTAGAATTCTAAGAAGTTTTCAAAGGAAATTGGAATTTTCCATTCTTTTAGGAAGGGAAACTAGCACAACCCCGTAGTGGACAGACCAATAAAGCATTTCTTATAGAAAAACTGAACACACACACACACACACACACACACACACACACATATTTTTTGAGATGGAGTCTCACTCTGTCACCCAGGCTGGAGTGCAGTGGTGCGATCTCGGCTCAATACCACCTCCACCTCCTGGGTTCAAGCGATTCTCCTGCCTCAGTCTCCCTAGTAGTTGGGATTACAGGTGCCGGCCACCACACCCAGTTAATTTTTTCTGTATTTTTAGTAGAGACGGGGTTTCACCATGTTAGCCAGGCTGGTCTGGAACTCCTGACCTCAGATGATCCACCCGCCTTGGCCTCCCAAAGGGCTGGGATTACAGGTGTGGGCCACCGCGCCCGGCCTGAACTTATATTTGTTAAGCACCTACAGTATGCCAGGTACTATTTTAGTATACTATTTTTTATTTGATGAAAATTGATTTAAATAGAAATAGATATTATTATCTCCCTCTTGGAGAGAAGGAAGTTTGACCTTGACAAGGTCACATAGCTCACTGGGATTCCAGTTCATAGAAGGATAAATCCAAAGCTTATGTTCTTTCTATTGTGTAACCGTGTTCTGCATTCAGTGATATGAATGTCCACCTGGAGGCCTGTTAGAGATGAAGAACCTCAGACCCCACCCCAGTCCAACTGAATCAGAATCTGCACTTTGTTTGTTTGTTTGTTTTGTTTTTTTAAGACAGAGTCTTGCTGTCTTAAAAAACTGGAGTGCAGTGGCAGGATCTTGGCTCACTGCAACCAACCTCCCCGTCCTAGGTTCAAGCGATTCTTGCCTCAGCCTCCTGAGTAGCAAGGACTACAGGTGTGTGCCACTATGCTGGGCTAATTTTTGTATTTTTAGTAGAGATGGGATTTCGCTATGTTGGCCAGGCTGGTCTCCAACTCCCAGCCTCAAGTGATCCACCCACCTCAGCCTCCCAAAGTGCTGGGATTACAGGCATGAGCCACCATACCCAGCCCGAATCTGCATTTTAATGAGGATCCCAGGGTATCTGTGTGCACATTTAAACCATTTAAAATTGATAAACTGTGCACTAAAAAATAGCCTTATACATTTATCTCAAATAAAAATAACAGTAAACATTTCTGCTAACATCTATTGAGTTCCTGCTATGTGTCAGATTTGTGTGGTTGTTTATTCCTCAGAAGAACTGTATTAGAGTTGAGGAAACACGCTTTAGCATTTAAGCAGCTCCAATGACACAGAGCTAGTAAGTGGCAGGAGTCTAAATTTGAACTCACCTTCATCTGATTGTGGAGCATGGACTGTATAAGCCATTACCCTTACCACAAACATTAAATGCAAACATTCTGTATCATCTAAATAATGCAAATTAACTGCCATGTTCCTCAATTTAACATTAACATAATTTGATTCAAGACTTACCTTTGGTGGGCCGGGCACAGTGGCTCACGCCTGTAATCCCAGCACTTTGGGGGGCTGAGGCTGGCAGATCGCCTGAGGTCAGGAGTTCGAGACCAGCCTGGCCAACATGATGAAACCCTGTTTCTACTAAAAATACAAAAATTAGCCGGGCGTGGTGGTGGAAGCCTGTAATCCCAGCTACTAGGGAGGCTGAGGCAGGAGAATCACTTGAACCTGGGAGGTGGAGGCTACAGTGAGCCAAGATTGCACAGCTGCACTCCAGCCTGGACAATGAGAGCAAAACTCTGTCTCAAAAAAAAATCTATCTATCTATCTCTATATATCTATATAGAGATAGATATTTATATATATTTGTATGTATTTCAGATAAATATATTAATATATATCTATATATTATATTGATATATTTTTACATACATATTATATCTATATTATATTGATATATATTTTTATATATGTATATCAGGATGAAAATTTTACATATATATGTATATATCAGAGTGAAAATTCCAGTAGTTTATCTGGATAGTCCTCATTTACCAATAGGTGAACTGAATATAGGATGAAGCTGACCCCTCAAAATAATCCTGGGATTTACTAAGGAAGGATCATAAAAGACAAAGTGCTTCTGGATTCCACTTTCACATTACTAGTCAACTTTAACTTTTTGTTCCCAGTAGCAAAAAGTTTAGGATCCTTAGAATCTCCTTAAATATCTTCAAATAAACAACTTTGTAACATTGTATGGTGTAAAAGAATGGATTTATTTTGCTTATAAAAAATTCCCACTGGGCAATTCTTTCATTCACTTTCCCGTGTGAGGAAAAAAGAAACATACATAATGTTTTGGTTGGTGGAGAATATAATAGACTATAATTCTAGGCTTACTTTTAGTAAAAGCAACAAGAAGTCATAATTAGCTCTAGACTAAAGTAGACTAAATTGATATGAATATGAAATCACCTGCAGCTACAAAAGATAGCACATTTCTAAAAATACCAGAGAATTATATTTTTTCCCTTTTTTGCCTAACGCAGAGCCTCCAAAGAAGAAAAACTTAATTACCTTTGTGACCTAGTGTTGGCAGATCTCAATCTATAAAATTAGTTATTAAATATCTTTTCCTTTAGGAAGCAAAGAGGGCAGTAGAGTGTAACACTGGAAATCTGAGAACTAAGTGGTACTAAAATCACTAAATAAAGGTAATGGACTTGAACTTCGGAGTATTTGATTACAAGAAAATTAGATCCTCCAAAAATATGTATAATAAATATGCAATTAACAATACATTAGTCAGTGGACCTTTTTCTTTCTTCTTTTCAGTGGCAAAGAATAGATTAAAACAATGATAACTAAGCACCCTAAAATTCCTATCTGTTTAGTATTGAAAAATGTGTAAGTAGATAATTAAAACACTTAAAGAATGCTTCCAGCCTAAAAGACAAGTGTCTTTGCTTTCCCTGTGCATCTCACTTAACATTAACATAATTTGCCCACTCAAGCTGCTGTATGAGTTGATTTTATAGGTTACTATCCTTCCATTCATCATCCATTTTCCAAGAATGAATATGGATATTGTGGTGAGAAGTTCAGTCTGAAATGAAAGGCAATTCTACTATTACCTTATCCTGGAATTAAAAAATATATATTCAGAGACGGTTATTTCTCAATGATACATTTCTAAGCCAATGAAAAGCAATTTCTTCGACAGGCACGGTGGCTCACGCCTGTAATCCCAGCACTTTGGGAGGATGAGGTGGGCATATCACCTGAGGTCAGAAGTTCGAGACCAACGTGGCCAACATGGTGAAACCCTGTCTCTACTAAAAATACAAAAAAATTAGGTGGCACAGTGATGCACTCCTGTAATCCCACGTATTTGGGAGGTTGAAACAGGAGAATTGCTTAAATTCGGGAGGCGGAGTTTGCAGTTAGCCGAGAGCGAGCTGTTGCACTCCAGCCTGGATGACAAGAGTGAAACTCCATCTCAAAAACACAAACCACAACCAAACAAAAAAATATTTCTTTGTAAAATTTTGTCCTAAAGTATACTTGCATGCACACATACACCTACCAGTACTTTTTTTTTTTTTTTAAGAAAGGTGGGATTTCACATTAGACGTAAAAATAAAAGCATTTTTTTTTTTTTAAGGTGCAGTCTCGCTTTGTTGCCCAGGCTGGAGTGCACTGGTTTGATCTTGACTCACTGCAGCCTCCACCTGCCAGGCTCAAGCGATTCTCCTGCCTCAGCTTCCTGAGTAGCTGAGATTACAGGCATGCCCCAGTATGTCTGGCTAATTTTTGTATTGTTGGTAGAAATGGGGTTTCACAGTGTTGGCTAAGTTGTCCTTGAACTCCTGGCCACAAGTGATCTGCCCTTTCCTGCTTCCCAAAGTGCTGGAATTACAGGCGACAGCCACTGCCCCGGGCACTTTCTGGCGGTTTCTCTGAAAAAACAAACACGTTAAAAGAGTCTATTTCTACTTTCTTTTAGGTATTTCTCCATCTCTCTGTGCTGATGTGTCTGGAATTGACAGGTTCTTCGTCTCACTGACTTAAAGAAGCCGTGGACCCTCACAGTGAGTGTTACAGCTCATAAAGGCGCCGCACGTGGATTTGCTCGTTGTGACATTCGGATGCTGAGACAGTTTCCTCCTTCTGCTGGGTTCACGGTCTCACTGACTTCAGAAAGGAAGCTGTAAACCTCCGCAGTAAGTGTTACAGTTCATAAACACAGCACGCACCCAAAAAGTGAGCAACAACAACATTTATTGCAAAGAAGGAAAAAACAAACCTTCCCCAGTAGGCAATCAAACCCGAGTGGGTTACCACTACAGGCTTGGGCAGCCTGCTTTTATTCTCTTATCTGGCCCCACCCACATCCTGCTGATTGGTCCATTTTACAGAGAGCTGATTGGTCTGTTTTACAGAGAGCTGATTGGTCTGTTTTGACAGGCTGCTGATTGGTGCATTTACAATCCCCGAGCTAGATACAAAAGTTCTCCAGGCCCCCCACTAGATTAGCTAGATACAGAGTGTCCATTGGTGCATTCACAAACCCTGAGCTAGACACAGGGTGCTGATTGGTGTGTTTACAAACTTTGAGCTAGATACAGAGTGCCAATTGGTGTATTTACAATCCCTTAGCTAGACATAAATGTTCTCCAAATCCCCACCAGACTCAGGAGCCCAGCTGGCTTCACCCAGTGGATCCCCCACTGGGGCCGCAGGTGGAGCTGCCTGCCAGTCCTGCGCCTGCGCCTTCACTCCTCAGCCCTTGGGTGGTCGATGGGACTGGGCGTCGGGGAGCAGGGGGCAGCGCTCGTCGGGGAGGCTCAGGCATGGTGGGCGGCAGGTCCCGAGGCCTGCCCTGAGAGAAGGCAGCTAAGGACCGGCGAGAAATCAAGCACAGCGCCGGTGGGCCGGCACTGCTGGGGGACCCAGCACACCCTCCGCAGCCGCTGGCCCAGGTGCTAAGCCCCTCATTGCCCGGCCAGCAGGGCCGGCCGGCTGCTCCGAGTGCGGGGCCCGCCAAGCCCACGCCCACCCGGAACTCCAGCTGGCCTGCAAGCGCTGCGCGCAGCCCCGGTTCCCGCTCGCGCCTCTCCCTCCATACCTCCCTGCAAGCTGAGGGAGCCAGCTCCGGCCTTGGCCAGCCCAGAAGGGGGCTCCTACAGTGCAGCGGTGGGCTGAAGGGCTCCTCAAGTGCCACCAAAGTGGGAGTCCAGGCAGAGGAGGTGCCGAGAGCGAGCGAGAGCTGCCAGCACGCTGTCACCTCTCACTAAGATATGATGTTCTGTGAGGGTCCACTTGATAAAAATCCCTAGGTGAGAAGCAAGAGGAAGGATAGGTCTGTAATTAGAGGGGCTGGTGACTGCAAAATGAATTAGATACCCATCATTTCATTCATTCTAAGGAGGTACTTAGAATGAGAAAAACATGACTCAAAGGAAAGCAAATATAAGCAACCGTGGGTGTTTGCTCGTCTTTAATGGGATCCCTGGTTGGGTCTGCTGGGAGAGACGGCTAGCAAGGACTCTGCAAATTCTAGCATTATCAGTTTGTCTCAAATGTCAGGAATGTTACCAAAAAAAAAGATTCACATATTGTGTAGAGGATGGGACTATTTAAACTCTGAAGTCCTTTTCAACGCTATCATTTGAATTGCTCAGAGTGAAACTTTAAGGGTCCACTCATCTTGCTTACTTCCTTTTTCTTTTGATTTTGGCTTTTCAGCCAGCATTTATATCAACTGTGACTGCCAGCATTTGGCACCATGGGTGAAGCAGGTTTTATTTGAAAATCTGCTTGTGGCAGCCTGTGGAACTGATATAATAGGAAGCAGCCCAAGTGGTAGCTGCCTTGTTTTGGTTCCCAAACAGAGAAGGAGGCATCCCCAAAAGAAAGAGGAAGTGGTTCTGCAGTACCCACCTCCAGACCTACGGAAAGTTCCCCTCCCAGTCAAACTAGTTTTCTGCAGAGCTCTTGTGTCTGTCCAGTGATCACTTTTCTTGAGATAGAGAAATACCCAATGTGACCTTGAGAAAGCTGATGAGTTTGCAGAGGACGCTGGTCGACAGAGAGAGAGGAGAGAAGAGAAGCAAGCAGAGAGGAGAGACGTGTAGCTCTTGGGAGACAGGAAGCTGGAGAGAGGAGGAGCTGTCTCACTTTTGGCTAGTGTTCCATTTCCCACTTACAAGCCCTGAGTCTCAGCTGAATTAGAAACCAAACTAAAAGGCAGAGCCATCTGGGATACACCCGGGGAATCCCAGTAGGACCTAAGCACTTCCCAGATTTAACACGGTAGTATTATTGATGAGCCTAAGGAAGCCAAGGGCCTTCAGGAAAACATAAATCTATATTTATATAACTTGTTAAAATAGGAAAGGAGTGGGGTGTGTAATATACTTTTAAGTGATTTATATTTTTAAAATGGTTAAGGCTGGGTGTGATGGCTCATGTTTGTAATCCCAGTGCTTTGAGAGGCTAAGACAGGAAGATGGCTTGAGTCCAGGAGTTTGAGACAAGCCTGGGTAACATAGTGAGAACTTCTCTCTACCAAAACAAAACAAAACAAAACAAAACAAACAAACAAAAATCAGCCTGGGTAACAAAGCAAAACCCTGTCTCTATAAAAACTTTGAAAATTAGCTGGGCGTGGTGGCTTGCACCTGTAGTCCCAGTTACTCAGGAGGCTGAGGTGGGAGGATCACTTGAGTCCAGGAGGTCGAGGTTGCGGTAAGCTGAGATCAGGTCACTGCATTCCAGCCTGGATGATAGTGTGACCTTGTCTAAAAAAAAAATGAGCTGGAACATGGTGGCACACAGGTATAGTCCTAGCTACTCAGGAGGCTGAGGCAGGAGGTTCACTTAAGCCCCAGGGCTCAAAATTACAGTGAGCCATGATTGTCCCACAGCACTCCAGCCTGAGCAACAGAGAAAGACCCTGTCTCTAAATAAATTAATTTAATGGTTAAAATATCATAAAAGAGAGCTCCTGCTTTCAGGTGTTAGAATGAAGAATTTTTATCTTCTTCTCTTAAACACACACACACAAGCATGTGCACACGTGCCCACACACACACCCCCCATTCTAAAATTTTGGAACACTGGTAACAAGTAGGTTCATTCATTTATTCATATCTTCAGCAAATCTTTACAGAAGGCCTGCTATGTTCCAGGTACTAAGTGCTTGGGATACATTACTGAAGAAGATAAAGATCCTTGCCCTCACAGAGCTTGAGTTCTACTAAACAAGTAAATCCTATACCATGTTAGACGATAATAAGTGCTATGGAGAACAAAAAGGACAGCAAGGTAAGGAGAATCTGGAATTTCAGAGGTGAAGGGCCAGAGTGCAATGTTAAATGGAGAGGTCAGGATAGACCTCACTGAGAAGTTGAGAATGGAGCACACTCACTGCAGGAGAAGAGGGAGTTGGCCAACTGGCTACCTGGGGGAAGATACTGGGATGGACAGCTCCTCACCTCCTTCAAAACAGAAGGAACAGCTAGAACGAAGGCCTCAAAGCAAAGAGACACACAACAGATTCAAGAAACAGCAGTGGGGCTGATGTGGCTGAAAGGGGGAAATTGAAGGGAAGAGTGGAACGGATAAAGTCAGAGAGGCGGTGGGGCCAGATCCTGCATGGCGTTATGGGTCATTGTAACATCTTTGTCTTTTCCTCCGACTGAAATGAGGAGCCACTGTTGGGTTTTGAGCATAGAAGTGACGTGGTCTCACTTACATTCTTAAAGGATCACTCTAGATGTTATGTTGAAGAGCCTTTTACAGAATTTAGGCAAGAAATGATAGCTCAGGTCAAAGGGTATCAGGGGAAGTGCGGTAAGAAGTTGGATTGTGGGTATATTTTGAAGGTAGAGACAACAGGATTCCTCATGGATTCAATGTGTGGTGTGAGACAAATAGAGAAGTCAAGCATGACTCAGGTTTTGGGCCTAAGCAACAAAGAAACAAGGAGTTGCTACCCAATGGGGAAAGCCATAGGTAGAAGATACTTTGTTCCCATAGGACAGAAGTTCAGTTTGGGGCATGTTGAGTTTGAGATATCTATTAGATATTGAAGTGGAGATGTGGAATAGGCAGTTGGCTATATTAACTTGGAGTTCCAGATGGAGCTCTGGGCTGGAGCAATAAATTTAGAAGTCTTTATCATATAGATGGAATTTAAAGTAGTTAGACTGGATGACATCACCAAGGGAGTGAGTGTAGAGAGAGAAGAGGAACAAAGACTGAGTCCAAGAGAGAGAAGAGGAACAAAGACTGAGTCCTGGGGTCCTTGAACACATAGCAGTCAGAAAAATGAGTAAAGAAAAGGAGACTGGGAAGGAACAGCTACCAAGGGAGGAAAAACACAAAGAGAACATGGTGACCTGGCAGCGACATGAAGGATATCCAGAAGGAATGAGCAACTGTATCCTGTGTTGTTGATAGGTCAACAAAGACAAGGATAAAGAGTGTACCATTGTATTAAGCAATAAGGGGGTCATTGACAAGGGTAAGAGCAGTTTCTGTAGAGTCATAGGGGTAAAAGCCTGATTGAAGTGAGCCATAAGGGCAAGGGGGAAGAGGAATTTAAGATAGCATAGAGAGACAATTCTTTTAAAGAGTTTTGATGGCAAAGAAAGGAAAGAGGCCCGGCGTGGTAGCTCACACTTGTAATCCCAGCACTTTGGGAGGCTGAGGAGGGCAGATCTCTTGTGATCAGGAGTTCAAGACCTGCCTGGCCAACAGGTGAAACCCTGTCTCTAATACAAAAATTAGCCAGGTGTGGTGGTGTGCACCTGTAATCCCAGCTACCCAGAAGGCTGAGGCAGGAGAATAGCTTGAATCCCGGAGGCGGTGGTTGCAGTGAGCCGAGATTGCACCACTGCACTCCAGCCTGGGAGACAGAGGGAGACCCTCAAATAAAAGGAAAGATATGTAGTAGTAGCTGGTGAAGGAATGGGGTTCAGGGAAATGTTTCTTTCTTTTTTTTAAAATTAGAGAATCAATAGTATGTTTGTATGTTAATGGCAATAATCTAGTGGAAATAAAAAATGATTATATAGAGAAAGGGAATAATTGTTGGAACAATGTCATTGAGTTGAGGATAGGAGATGGGTTCTAGTGCATAGAGAATGCTTTAGTATAAGAGTATGGATTATTCTTTCGATACTTAGCAGGAGGGAAGAGTATGAAAGTGCAAATAATGGAAGGGGGATAGATGTGTTAGTGGGAATTTGTAGAAGTTGCAAAGGATTCCAATAAGGAGAAAAAAGAACACATAACAAAGATTTAGAAATCAGAATGGCTTTGGATTTCTCAATGGTAACACTAGAATCTAACAGATAAGGGGGCCAAGGCTTTAAAAACCTAAGGGAAGATAGCTTGTAACTCAAGAATTCTATACTTAACCAAACTATTATTAAGTGAGGGTAGATTAAATGCATTTTCAAACACAGGAGGTGTGCTAGATATCTTGTTTGCCCCTTGAGATCCTTCTCTATTCCCACTTTGTGCTCAGGGAGGTAGACCTGCATGGATTGCTTCACTTGGGTCTCTTGTCCTCTGGCTCCTGGTTGGGTTTGGTCAAAGGGCAACACTGGTGGGAGACCAGGGGGCAGAAAGAAAGGGATGGATACTGTGTTCCTTTACTGAAGACTATAAATCTTGGTGGGCAACACTTTCCTATAAGCTGCATCTCTCTCTGGATTCTAGTAAACATTCCTTCCTCTATCCCTTTCAAGCCTAAGGCTTCCTGCTGTTGCTAGTCCTATCTCTTCACACTGTTCACACCTTTGTAAACAGTCCCTTTATTAAGCTTTCCTCTAGCACCCCCTTAAGAATGCCATTTTTCCTCTGGTTGACCTTGACTGGATACACTGGTGTCCAAAGACTTACCAGTGAGCCTTTTTATCAGAAAACTATTGGGGGAAGTTCTCCACTAAAACAAGAAGACACAAGATTGAGGCAAAGGGAATCTTCTGAACAATGGTGAAAGATCACAGGATGACAGCTGTGTATTCAGTTTCAGAATAACCAACTCAGAATGGAGCAGGCTAGAAGGTTCTTAAAGGTGTCTTTAAGAAGGTAAAATTGTTAAAATACCTAACAAGGAGTTTTACACAGCTGGGACGGGAATTTGAAACTGAATTAAAGACATGGAAATCTAAGCAAATGAAAAAGAAGATGGTTGGCCGGGCGCAGTGGCTCACGCCTGTAATCCCAGCACTTTGGGAGGCCAAGGCGGGTGGATCACCTGAGGTCAGGAGTTTGAGACTAGGCTGACCAACAAGGTGAAACGCCGTTTCTACTAAAAATACAAAAATTAGCCAGGTGTGTTGGCAGGCACCTGTAGTCCCAGCTACTCGGGAGGCTGAGACAGGAGAATTGCTTGAACCCAGAAGGCGGAGGTTGCAGTGAGCCGAGATCGCACCAATGCACTCCAGCCTAGGCGATGGAGCAAGACTCCGTCTCAAAAAAAAAAAAAAAAAAAAGAAAAAAGAAAAACAAGATGGTTATTAATTTTAGATGTAAGAAAACATTGGGCAATAAAGAAAAAGCAATCATAGTATAGAAAACAGGTCAATTATAAAACAGCATTTATGCAACAAAAATTCCAAGGGACTGATGAATTATTTCCTTTTATAGACTTCCTCATAATATATAGCTTCCCTATTTTTGTAATGTAGAGGTTTTCACAGAAGGTATTTACCAGAATAGCATCTAAAATTACGAGGACATTTATTTTAACATGGTTTGGCCTAGGTCATTTTACAGACTAGACAGTAAAAAATCTCAGCTTATCTATAAACTTCTGATCTGTGTGACCTGGGGTAGGTTACTTAATTTTGCTGACCCTTACAAAGTATGAGGATTGCAAATACAACACACAGAGTGCCTGGCACATAGTAGGCATTCATAAATGACCACTTTTGTCAGCCACCTTAATGGAAGAATGCTGGATAGGGATATTATAAAACCACAAGGAATACAACTTTGACCTCAATTTAGGTGGGTAGTTGAGCATCTGGAAGTCATGAGGTGTTGAAGCCTGACACTATTATAAAAGTAAACACTTCTCAGACTAAGCAAATATGATATGGAACTGACAACAAAATTGAGGGGAAAATGCTCTGAGGAAGATGACTGAAAGAATAAAGTACAGAGTAAAATGGCTTTCAGAGGGGCCAAGAGCAGTATACAGCTCTCCTTTAGAACAGTAACATAAAGACTCAGCTTCTCCTGGGGGTCTCCATCCTGCTTTGTGCCACAGAAAGTGTAGGACTACTGGGGAGGGTTCTGGTTCCTTTCTTAAGTATATAAACAACAAAATCAAAAGTTTTATTTTATTTATTTATTTATTTATTTAGTGACAGGGTCTTGCTCTGTCATCCAGGCTGGATTGCAGTGGCATGATCACAGTTCACTGCAGCCTCGACCTCCTGGACTCAGGTGATCCTCCCACCTCAGCCTCCTAAATAGCTGGGACTATAGGCACACACCACCACGCTTGGCTAATTTTTTGTAGAGCCGGGGTTTCGCCATGTTGCCCAGGCTGGTCAAGAACTCCTGGGCTTAAGCAATCTGCCTGCCTTGGCCTCCCAAAGCGCTGGCATTACAGGTGACAAAGAATTTTAGCTCCAAGAGTTCTTTAGGCCCATCACTTCTAGAGGTTGGTCAGATATTAATGGTGTGAAAGGTAAAGAAAGTCATTGATAACAATTAACATGTGGTAAGCGCTTAAGATTTGCCAGTCGTTATTCTAAGCCATTTTACATGAATCATCCCGTTTAATCTCAATAACAACTCTAAGTTCTTTTATCCTCATTTGACAGATAAGGAAACTGAGACTCACGGAGGTTAAGTAAATTGCCTAAGGTTACACAGCCAGTAAACTCGAAGAGCTAGACCTGAACTCAGATTTGCCAGCCTCCAAAGGCTTCCAGACTTCTAACCGTAATGCTAATATATAGCAAATAGTCTTTAGTTGTGGATTTTCTCACTAGCATAACAGCATTGATCAGGCCATATTCTAGCAAGTGATTTTCAAATATGAAGTGACAGAGATAACATACAAAGGCCAGGCAATTTTAAGCAAATGCTCTTACAGGTGTACTAGGACAGAGCCTTAAAACCAATGACTCCTTCTAAACATGGAGTTCAGACATTCAAATACCTTTACCTAGTAAAGTTCTAATAGAAAAGGAGTTATTTTAGGGCTAGTATAAGTCCATCCATGTATTCCCAGTGTCAACTGTGCTCGACGTAGTAAGTGTGGAATCAATGTCTAGTGACCGGTTAGATGACCCGCATAGTGGATCTTTTCAAATCTCACATGGAGGATCTCATACAAAAACATTAAGAACATTAAAGCAAGCCCTGACAATAATTTTTAAAAAATAACAGTCTATTTCCAGGGTAAACAATTACTTTGTCACGCCGCTGCTTAGGGGCTCGGAGAACCTGCTTCTGATGTGGGTCCAGGTTGAGGAACACTTCGCCACTTGAGAACGCAAATAAAGTCCAGAAATCCAGGACCACAGCAATACTCCAGCCCAGGGTTGCAGGGCAGCCTCTTTACCAGCCGGGCGACCCATTTCTATCTTGGCGCCGGCGAAGCGCCGGTTTGGGCGGGGGACCGCTCTCAGCCTGAACAGTGGGTGGGCCGGCAATGACAATGCAGGAATTCCGCGCAGGCCGCAGGGTTTGGGGACCTGTCTGAAGGGTGGGAGGGAGCACTTTTCACCTGACACACCCAACCCCCCTGCCGCAGCCCAGGGCCGCGGATGAGCGGAAGGAAAGCACTTCCATACTGTCAGATCACTGGGCTTCAGTTGCAGCATAGCGGCCCACCCCGCCGCCCGCGTACGCTCAGCCCCTCAGCGCCGGCCAGGCAGCCACGCACGCGCAGTCCGTTCTCGCTCGCTCCATCAGTCCTGGCCCGGCCCGGGGCCCCGCCCCCGCAGGCCCCGCCCCGCTCCCGTGCGCTGAACGCCCCATATCCGGGTTCCCGCCGCCTCCACCGCCACCGCCTCAGCCGCCTCGCACATTTAGTCTTGCCGGGAGTGGTGTGATTCCCGACCAAGATGGCGGCCGTGGGGCGAGTCGGCTCCTTCGGTTCTTCTCCGCCGGGATTATCCTCGACTTACACTGGCGGCCCCTTGGGCAACGAGATAGCGTCGGGCAACGGTGGCGCCGCGGCAGGCGACGACGAGGACGGGCAGAACCTTTGGTAACGACTCCACCTCTCCCTCAGCCCCCGCTGGCTCCCCCGGCCTTGCGCGGACGCCTCGGGATCCCGTGCCCGCTGGAGCTCGGCGCCGGGCCCGGCCACTGCGTTCCCGGCAGCCCCATCCCCGGCGCGCCGAGGCCGGGTCCGTCCCTCCCGCGCTGCGGCTCCGGCCTCCGGCCTCACCGTACGCCTTGCTTCCCGTTAGGTCCTGCATCCTCAGCGAGGTCTCCACCCGCTCGCGCTCCAAGCTCCCTGCGGGGAAGAACGTGCTACTGCTGGGTAAGTGTTCCCTGCCTCGCCCCGCCCCGCCCGGCCCCCAGCGGCCCGGGGTACCTGGTCCGCGGGCTAGCTCGCTGGCTCTCTTTGTGCGGACAGCCGGCCCAGCCCCGCCCCGCCTCGCCTCCCGACCTGTCGCGGATGGCTGGGAGAGAAGGGGAACACGAGACCCTTGACCCAGGACCTGCGGGGACCCGCCCTCCCTCAGGTTCCTCCTCCTCCTCCCCGGTATATGGGGGTGGCCCTGACAGCTTCCCCTGGGAAGGACAGAATTCGATCGCTCATCTGAGGGATTCTCGTGGCCTGGGGTTTATCTAGAAAATGACAGGTTTTCTTTCATCACAAAAATTGGTAGCAGGAGGCTCTTTGCGAGAGCTGCAGCGCAAATGGCATGCCATTAATATTTAATAGCTGACTCTTTGTATAATTGACAGAAGCTAGAACTAAGACCTGGCGATAAATGTTCTTGATTCAGCGTTCTCTGGTACAATGTGCTCGTGTTGCAGCTACCTTAACTGTCACATATAATTCTGAAATTTGTAAAGGGCAGTAGAACACAACTTTCTAGTTAAGTCTTTTCAGCCAAATGGATGTAATAAGGAGAAACGGTCCAGTGTCAGTTCTCCTGATTGTTCTGTATCTCCTCGGCTCTCTGGAAGTTGTGTATTCTGTTTCTTTAGTGACTCTGGGGGTGGGGATAGAGGACTGAGGGAGAATAGTTCGCAGATTCGCATTTTTCTAGGCTTAGCTCCTGAATCATTTATAGGAGAAATTTCTCTATATAGCTCTTTACATGCGAGATAACTGAAGTTTGGCTTATACGATGATTAAATTTAAAAACTTTGGTATTTGGTGTCGGCTCAATACCAGAGTTTTTTGTTGTTGTTGTTGTTGTTTTGGTTATATCCATCTAAAAACAGGAAACAAGAAGTCAAATACTA
Organism: Homo sapiens; assembly: GCF_000001405.40. Taxonomy (NCBI): domain Eukaryota; kingdom Metazoa; phylum Chordata; class Mammalia; order Primates; family Hominidae; genus Homo; species Homo sapiens. The sequence goes on along the minus strand of NC_000003.12, from coordinate 32,569,407 downwards.
CTTGATAGGCTGCGTGGTTAAATATGAATGTTTACATAGAAAAAATTACTTTTTTAATAGACTGCTGCCAAGCAAGAATATATGATTATTGATATTCTTTAAAGCTACATGGAGCTAGTTGAAAAATTAGTTTTTACCCTTGTTTTTAATGTGGTTGAAAGCACCTACTGAAGATTAGCCTGGATTGAGTCACTGCCCTATCACATATAAGCCCTAGGATCTTAAGCAAGTTGCTTGACATCTATAAACCTCAGTTTCTTCATCTTTAAAATGGTTGTTATAGAAATAATAATACTTGCCTCTAGGGTTGTGGCGGGAATCAAATGAGTTAATGTTTGTATCGTGGTAATATTTGCAAGTGATACTTTGTCATGGATTTATCTTAAACTGCATTAGAAAATATTTGTGATCAGAACTTTTTAAAAAATTGAATTAGTGCCTACATAAGTGATATTCATAGGGCAAAAATAAATTAGGATCCAAAAGCAAAAAAAAATTGTATAATATATTTTTAGTTTACTAATTTAAACAAATTACTACTCATTTCTAAGGTAAAATGGATTTAAGCTCATATGACCTCATTGAAATTGATTCTATTTTAATTAAATATTTGGAAACACTGTCATGGTAAAGGTAAGATTCAGTAGTTTTGTTCTTATTTTATACATTTTGTCCAGTTATTTCTGCACATTAGATATTGTGTAGATGATTCTGTTTATGGTAAAACAAAAGTGGCAGTTTTGTTCATTTTTTGGTATACCTAATTTGCACTGAGGTTGTGCCATTTTTTTTTTAACACCCCTTTGACACTGGGTCTGTGCATGGGACTGAGTGTTCTTAGAGGTCCCAGCCTCCTTCACTCCACCATACAAGAATAGATTAAATTTCCTTTTTTATGAACTTAATAGTTCATAAAGTGCATCTAATATCAGGTAATATGAGCTTGAAATTTAATATTTTTCTTTCAGTACTATTGGGATTTTCATCAGAGAGTCCTTTTCAGCTTTGGAAGGAGCTAATAACTGATTTGTATACTGGTTACAAAAATAGAGTTAACTTTCTAAAATACCCCTGAAGATTTCTTACAGACATTTCACCGTCACATATGGCAGCATTCACTCTGTGCTGGTGGAGGAAAGAAATACCAAATAGGGATTGTGGTTTTCTTTGTTATGAGTTTGAAGGTGCTAGGCAGGAGGATGCTTGACCCTAATACATCTTTCATGAATGCAAGTGGTCTCTGGAGTCTCTTATTTAAAAAAACAAATCTAAGGCCAGGCACAGTGGCCCACGCCTGTAATCCCAGCATTTTGGGAGGCCGAGGGGTGGATCGTTTGAGCTCAGGAGTTGGAGACCAGCCTGGGTAGTATGGTGAAACCCCATGTCTACAAAAAATAAAAAAATTGGCCTGGCACGGCAGCTCCTGCCTGTAATCCCAGACTTTAGGAGGCCTAGGTGAGCGGATCACCTGAAGTTAGGAGTTAGAGACCAGCCTGGTCAATATGGTGAAACCCCATCTCTACTACAAATACAAAAATTAGCTGGGCATGGTGGCACACACCTGTAATCCCAGTTACTCGGGAGGCTGAGGCAGGAGAATTGCTTGAGCCCGGGAGGCGGAGGTTGCAGTGAGCCAAGATCGTGCCACTGCACTCCAGCCTGGGTGACAGAGCGAGACTCTGTCTCAAAAAAAAAAAAAAAAAAGGCCGGGTATGATGGTGCATGCCTGTAGTCTCAGCTACTCAGGAGGCTAAGGTGGAGGGACAACTTGAGCCCTGGAGGCAGAAGTTGCAGTGAGCTGAGATTACGCCATTGCACTCCAGCCTGGGCAACAGAGTGAGACCCTGTCTCAAAATAATAATAATAATAATAATAAATAAAATAAAAAACCAAATCTGAGCCTATGACAAGGCTTTACATTTCAGAAACAACCTAGAATAGGAACAATGATATAGCCCTAAGTACTCCCCTCACAACACACACAAATTGCAGTTTAGCTTGCCACATTCTCTCTCCTCCTACAACCTGATGGGAGTAAAGGGTCATGTATGTGTAGTAACGTGTGTATGTGTAAGAGCCATTGTCAAAGGATTTTCATACAAATCTCATTTCACCTCCTCTCTCCTCCCTGATCAGGGCACCAATTTATAGATGGGGTAATGAATTGTAGAGACCTGTTAAGTGGATTTTCCAAGGTCACACAACATAAGGGCCCTGTTCTGTGACTCTGGCATGGATTTCTAACTTGATAGAAGTTCCTGCAAGGGAGAGAGTGCCAGGTACAAAACTCTTTCTACTCAAAGCCTGTCTTTGAACAAAAGTACTGGTAATTATTTTAAAGGAAAATCCAAATATTTATTGGATTCTGGGATGCAGCTGTTGCAATGGCACTTGTGTTTAAGTAATCATTTAATCTGCCTAGGCCTGACTTCTAATGAAATCCAAAAAGTCTATGATATTAACTCTTCTTTCTTGAAAGGTTTTGAGAATGGATTTCATTAAGATTTGTTTTTAATAAAGGTAGGACTTCTTGCACATGTATTTTAAGTAGGTTCTAACCTCTAAATTGTTTTTTTAAGAACTGCATTTTCATTTTTACCTTTTATATTTAATTACTTTTAATACAATTGATTATATTTGTTTTTTTGTTTGTTTGTTTGTTTGTTTTTGAGATGGAGTTTCACTCTTGTTGCCCCGGCTAGAGTGTAATGGCAAGATTTCGGCTCACTGCAACCTCCACCTCCTAGGTTCAAGCGATTCTCCTGCCTCAGCCTCCTGCGTAGCTGGGATTACAGGCATGTGCCACCACACCTGGCTAATTTTGTATTTTTAGTAGAGACAGTTTCTCCATGTTGGTCAGGCTGGTCTCGAACTCCTGACCTCAGGTGATCTACCCGCCTTGGCCTCCCAAAGTGCCGCGTGAGCCACTGCGCTGGGCATATTTGTATTTTAATAGCTGCCTTTAAAGGCAGTTTCTCCATATTGATTACTTTCCCATGTTTTGATAAGAAAACTCCCTAAGGAAAATAAATAATAATACCTAACATAGAGCACTTACAGGTACTAGTCATGTAAGGATTGTTTACATACTCTATCCCCTTAAAGATCAGGAAACAGACACAGAATTTTTATTTTTGAGGCAGGGTCTTACTCTGTCACCCAGGCTGGAGCGTAGTGGCATAATCTCGGCTCACTGCAACCTCTGCCTCCTGGGCTCAAACCGTCCTCCTGCCTCAGCCTCCTAAGTAGCTGGGACTACAGGTGCGTGTCACCACTCCTAGCCAGTTTTTGTACTTTTTGGAGAGATGAGGTCTCACCGTGTTGCCCAAGCTGGTCTTGAACTCCTGGGCTCAAGCAGTCCTTCTCTCACCTCAGTCTCCCAAAGTATTGGGATTACAGGGGTGAGCTACCACACCCGGCCAGAAACAGAAATGTTAAGTAAATTGTCCTAGGGTTACATAGCCAGGAGGTAAAATCAGTATTCAAAATTTTGCAGCCTGAGGCCGGCCCCATGGCTCCTGCCTATAATCCTAGCACTTTAGGAGGCTGAGGGGGTGGATCACCTGAGGTCAAGAGTTCGAGACCAGCCTGGCCAATATGGTGAAACCCAGTCTCTACTAAAAATACAAAAATTAGCCAGACATAGTGGTGGCTCCTGTAGTCCCAGCTACTCAGGAGGCTGAGGCAGGAGACTCGCTTGAACCAGGGAGGCAGAGGTTGCAGTGAGCCAAGATGGCGCCATTGCACTCCAGCCTGGGTGACGAGTGAAACTCTGTCTCAAAAAAAAGAAAGAAAAATTGTGCAGCCTAGCTCCCCGAGCTAGTACTCTTAATCTATAGAATCTCCCTAAAGGAAAAGAGCTTTCCTTGTAAGTAAGAGGATGCTTAGCAGTTATTAAGGAATTTTATCTGATTCTTCTCAGTGTGTATCTTTTAGTGCAAGCAATAACACTTATTTAGATTAATTGAATTCATTGTCAACAAAGGTACATATGTAATCCTGGTCCCAAGCACAGTGACTGGTTTTTAGATAGGACTTCAGTGTAACTTTTTGATTTGCTGTCAGTGTGAATTAATGAAAACTAGGTGGTCCTTTGTCAAGTCATATAAGCCTCATCTTTCTCATCTGTAAATCCGGCTATTTGAATTTAATGATCTCCAAAGCCTTATTTGATCTGACATTTTATAAATTTTCTTATTTTAATCTTGTGAGTTATTGAATATTTTTAAAGAAATGTTTTAAGGCATATTGAAATTGGGTTTTAATTAATTAATATAGATGTGGGCCATTTAATTCCACCCCGGAAAGAAATGTAAAGTTGCTATATTGTTCTCTGAAGGTATTAGTCCACGGTAATATGCAGCCAAAAGTCCCACAAAATGCTGAACATCATCAATAAGTATATGTGAAAGTCTTTTTTCCCCCCCTTCAGGAATAAAACTATTATGCTTGAGCTATTGTAGGAAACCTTAAGATATGCACAGTGGAATTCAGAGATCTGTTAAGAGAAGTAACTTGTAACTGGCAAGGGAGTGTATGGTTTTCTATGTGAGGACTGATTATAAAAATAATGAGAGTGTTCAGTCTAAAACTATTGATTTGGTGAGGAGCTGGGATTAAAGATCATCAAGGTTCCATGAGTTATGCTGTTTTCTGGCATGACTGGTTATGGGAATATGATGCAAGGAATAGACTGTTACCATATATGATATTGACTTTTTTCAAAGAATTAGCATGAAATTATTTATTACATGTTTATTATATGTTACTACTACTAAAAATACACCAAATATAAAGTGTTTTGAGAGTAAGATGGCATAGTGGCATCTTATAATAGAATCAGCAAACTCTTTTGTCAAGGGCCAGATTGTAAATAGTTTAGGCTTTGTAAGTCATATGGTCTCTGTTGCAACAACTCAGTTCTGCTGTTGTAGTTCCAAAACAGCCATGGATAATATGTAAATGAATGGGTACAGGCTTGTTTCAATAAAACTTTATTTATAAAAACAGGCAGCAAGCCAGTTTTGGCCTGTGGCCTGAAGTTTGTGAACCTCTGTGTTTGTTTGTTTGTTTGCTTGTTTGTTTGTTTATTTAGAGATGGGGTCTTGCCCTGTCACCTAGGCTGTAGTACACTGGCACGATCATAACTTATTGCAGCCTCAAACTCCTGGGCTCAAGAGATCTTCCTGCCTCAGCCTCTCAAGTAACTGGGAATATACAGGACTGTAGTCCCACCACGATGGCTAATTTTAAAAATTTGTTATATTTTTCTAGAGACAGGGATTTACTATGTTGCCCAGGCTGGTCCCCAACTCCTGGGCTAAAGTGATCCTCCCACCTCAGTCTCCTGAATCACTGGGGTTATAGGTATGACCCACAGCACATGACTGTGTTAGGGGATTATTGGCGTCAGTTTTATCAGTAAGCACAAATGCCAGTTAATAGAGATTTCTAGTTAATGGGATATGGTGTGTGGCACATAATAGGTGCCTAGTGAATATCTGTTGAACAAATGATGAACAGTCTTTACTTAAAGTATCATTGTTATTCCAGTTAGGTATAGTTTGAGCACAGGTTTAAGAATTGTTAAGAGGACTTCATATAATATTTCCCCCAGTGCTACTGTCAAAAGCAGAAAACAGAACTGGCAAATCACAGATACAGGCTGGTAGAGCAGTAATTCAGCTGGTGTGAAATCCATGTGAGAGGGAATGTCAGTAAAAGCACTTAGAAAATATAAAACAGAAAGGAGTCTTGAAATAGGAAAAGAAAAGTCTAAAATTTAGCGTGGGACTCTGTCACTAACAAGTCTAAGTGGCCGGGCGTGGTGGCTCAGGCCTGTAATTCCAGCACTTTGGGAGGCCAAGACAGGCAGATTACTTCAAGTCATGAGTTCGAGACCAGCCTGGCCAACATGATGAAACCCCATTTCTACTAAAAACAGAAAAATTAGCCAGGTGTGGTGATGGGTGCCTGTAATCCCAGCCACTCGAGAGGTAGAGGCAGGGAGAATTGCTTGAACTCAGGAGATGGAGGTTGCAGTGAGCCGAGATCGTGCCACCGCACTCCAGCCTGGGTGACCAAGCAAGACTCCATCTCAAAAAAAAAAAAAAAAAAAGTAAGTGACCATGGACTAACCTTTTTGGGCCTTATTTGCTTTATTTGTAAAATCAGGACAGTGGCTATTAGAAAGACCCCACAGATTACCATTTTATTCTTTTTTTCACCAAACATTTATTAGAGACATGTCATGTATAAAATGCTTTGCTGAATCATCTGGGGTAAACAGGATGACTAAGACTCAGCTCCTGCCCTCCAGGAGCTTATAATCTCCTGTGGGGAAGAGACTCAAAGTAGTAAAGATCAAGTATGTCGGTATGAAATAATTGCTAAATAGGTCACGAAATATTTTGCGGATGAGGTGGTATCTGAGTACAATTTTGCTAAGAAGGGTGAGGGGAGAACAACCTGTGAAAAGGGCCTAAAACGCAGAGAAAAGGGCCGAGGCAGTTTAGATATGGCGGAAGGAGTCCTGACGAAAGCCACAAGATCTTAAGAGTCAGCCTCCCTATCCTTTGAAGTGGTGGAGTTGTGGACAAATTAGAACCTCCTGACCTGTAAACTGAGATTATTTCATGCATCATGGGATTAAAAGAACCAAAAGAAATTATGTCTAAAACACTTTCCTCTCAAAATTGGAAATCACTATTTTAAATTATGAAAGTAATGCATGTTTCTTGCCAGAGAAATTTAAAAAAAGGTAAGAAGATAAAGTGAAAATAGCCATGCTCAGTGGCTCCCGCCTGCAATCTTAGCACTTTGGGAGGCCAAGGTGGGGGCATGGCTTGAGACCAGCCTGGGTAATACAGCAAGACTCTGCCTCTACAAAAAAAATTTTTTAAATAGCTGGTGTGGTGGCACATGTCTTTTGTCCCAGCTACTTGGGAGGCTGAGGCAGAAGGTTCATATGAGCCTGGGAGTCCAAGGTTGTAGTGAGCTGTGATCACACCACTGCACTACAGCCTGGGTGACAGAGCGGGACCTTGTCCCAAAAGAAGGAAAGAAAGAACATGAAAATAATGCATGATCCTACCACGTAGAGGTAAGTGTTCATTTTTTCTTATTTATTTATTTTTTATGTTTTAGAGAGAAAGTCTTGCTCTGTTCCCCAGGCTGGAGTGCGGTAGTGTAATCATAGCTTACTGCAGCCTCCAATTCCTGGGCTCAAGTGATTTTCCTGCCTCAGCCTCCTGAGTAACTGGGACTACAGGACACCATACCTGGCTAATTATTTTTTGGAGAGATGGGAGTCTCACTATGTTGCCCAGCCTGGTCTCAAACTCCTGTGCTCAAATGATCCTCTGGTCTTGGCCTCAAAGTGCTAGGGTTATAGGTATGAGCGTCTATTAACACACCAGGTCATGTTCATTTTCTCTATGTGAATATTTTTTTCTTAAAAATAAATCATGATTTATATTATTTGTTTGCAATCAGATTTTTTTTTAATGTCATGTACCATGGTTCACTTCGTGTAACACGGGTTTTTTTTTTCATGTTAATAGATACGGCTTTGTTTATTGACTGAATAGTATATATAGATATACCATAATTATAATGGATTGGTAGACAGATTATTATTGTTATACCTCATTTTCCACTTGTCCAGTATTTTCTTTGGGATAAGTTCCCAGAAGTGGAATTGTTAGGTCTTTTAAATCTTTCTACATAAGTATTGTCAGTCTTCTAGGAAAGTTATACTATTTTACTTTTTTTTTTTTTGAGATGAAGTCTCGCTCTGTCACCCAGGCTGGAGTGCAGTGGTGCCATCTTGCCTCACTACAACCTCTGACTCCCGGGTTCAAGCAATTCTCCTGCCTCAGCCTCCTGAGTAGCTGGGACCACCGGCGTGTGCCACCACGCCTGGCTAATTTTTCGTATTTTTTAGTAGAGACGGGGTTTCGCTGTGTTAGCCAGGATGGTCTCGATCTCCTGACCTCATGATCTGCCTACCTCAGCCTCCCAAAGTGCTGGGATTACAGGTGTGAGCCACCACGCCTGGCCACATTTTTACCATCAGTATGTGAGAATACTTGTTTGTTTAGCACCATTGCCAATACTAAGTATTATTCATTTTAATCTTTGGCTATCTAGTAGGTTAAAAATTTGCATCTTAATGTAAAGGTGATTTAATTGTAGAATACATACCATATTTGATTAAGAACCATTGCTTTAGTGTGACTTTGACCTCCTAGGGCATGGGAACTATTAATAGCCATTGTAATCAACCACTGTGCTTAGCATTTACTGATCTTGGTAGATATTTATTGGATTAAACTAAATGTTTTCTTTGGTGTGTGTGTGTTTTTTTTGTTTGTTTTTTTTTTTTTTTTTTTTTTTTTTTTTTTGAGACGGAGTTTTGCTCTTGTTGCCCAGGCTGGAGTGCAGTGGTGCAGTCTTGGCTCACTGCAACCTCCACCTCCCTTGTTCAAGCGATTATCCTGCCTCAGCCTCATGAGTAGCTGGGATTGCAGGCATGAGCCACCACGCCTGGCTAATTTTGTATTTTTAGTAGACGGGGGTTTCTCCATGTTGGTCAGGCTGGTCTTGAACTCCCGACCTTAGGTGATCTGCCTGCCTCATCCTCCCAAAGTGCTGGGATTACAGGCATGAGCCACTGTGCCCGGCCAACTAAATGTTATTTTTAATTCATATCTAGACAGCCCGTGGGAGTAAGGAAAATGATTAAGGATAAGTTCTGTTTTTTTTTAATGTAATGTGAATTGCTGAATGATCAATCCAAAGGTAGGGCTTTGGCCAGCTGCAGGGCTGGGAACTATCATGTATTGTGTCTGTTACTTGTGTTGGGTGTTCTGCTAGGTACCGTATTATGTAGCATGTTTACTATTTTACAGGAAAGGGTTTTAAGCCCTAGGTTACACAACTGAGCTGGAATTCATTTTATTTATTTATTTTTTGAGACAGAGTCTTACTGTGTTGCCCAGGCTGGAGTGCAGTGGCACGATCTCGGCTCACTGCAACCTCCGTCTCCCTGGTTCAAGTGATTCTCCTGCCTCAGCCTCTGGAGCAGCTGGGACTACAGGCGTGCCACCAGGCTTGGCTAATTTTTGTATTTTTAGTAGAGATGGGGTTTCACATTGTTGGCCAGGCTGGTCTTGAACTCCTGACCTCAGTTGATCCGCCTGCCTCAGCCTCCATAAGTTTTGGGATTACAGCTGTGAGCCACCACGCCTGGCCTTCAGCTGGAATTCAAAATTGGGTTTGTCTTTTCGCTCTACAGGCACCCCTTGACATGTTGGAGGGATGTAGTCATGAATAGGCATGCATAAATTTTTACTTACAGTCACTTTGTGTCCTGCATTTTGTTAATAGTCTCTCCCTACTCTTACCTACCAATGTGAGGGAGGAAGATGCCCTCTAGGAGATGGGGAGCACACCTAAAGTCCCTCACCCTACCTGGGTCCTCCAGATAACCTGTGGAAGGCCATGCAGAAGATGTACGCCACAGGTAGTTCAGTGAAGACCCCTCATGGCTCTTGTCACCAGAGCTTTCAGATAAAATAGGATAATTTATGTTATATAAGTCCAAATCAAAAATGTCAGCTTTACAATGTTGATATCTCAATTGGATAAGGAAGGGATATAGCACATTAGAATTCCCTGTCTCCTGATGTTCCTGATGCTGGGGACCATGTCAAACAGTGGCATGCGTACTTGGGAAGTGTTCAAGATAGCTATTATCATTAAAGTATTATGTGTTCTTAATTGTTTTGCTTTGACTACTGATTTTTCACAATTCCTGTTTTTATTGTTATATTTTTTAAACTGCTGTATAAGTTACAAAGGAGTTGGGCCGGGCATGGTGGCACACGCCTATAATCTCAGCATTTTGGGAGGCCAGGGTGGGCAGATCGCTTTAACTCAGGACTTTGAGACCATCCTGGGCAGCATGGTGAAATCTTGCTCTACAAAAAATACAAAAATCAACCAGGCATGGTGGATGCACCTGTAGTGTCAGCTACTCAGGAGGCTGAAGTGGGAGGATCACTTGAGCCTAGGAGATCGAGGCTGCAGTGAGCTGAGATCTTGCCACTGCACTCCAGCCTGGGCAACAGAGTTGCCCTGTCTCACACACACACACAAAAACTATATATATATGAGTTTTATTTCTAGTGTATTACTGATCAAGAAGTAATGGATGAAGCTGGGCACAGTGGCACACACCTGTAGTGCAAGTTACTCGGGAAATTCAGGTGGGAGGATTGCTGGAGCCCAGAAGTTCAAGACTAGCCTGGGCACCATAGACTCTGTCTTTAAAAAAAAAAAAAAAAGTAGTAGTAATGGATGATAATAGTACAGCATTTTAAATCCATCACTATAGAGATGGTCTGATCTTACTCTCCTCGATTTAGAAGTTGGGGAACAAATGGAATTATTTGACAGGTTTACACAATCAATAATGACAGTGTTGCAGTTAGAAATCACATTTCTAAGTCTTCACAGTTCTAATCTGTTAATTGTTGTTATTATTTTTTTTTTTTTTGAGATGGAGTTTTGCTCTTGTTGCCCAGGCTAGAGTGCAATGGTGCGATCTTGGCTTACCGCAGCCTCTGCCTCCTGGGTTCAAGGGATTCTCCTGCCTCAGCCTTCCTGAGTAGCTGGGATTACAGGCATGCACCACCACACCCGGCTAATTTTGTATTTTTAGTAGAGACGGGATTTCTCCATGTTGGTCAGGCTGATCTCGAACTCCCAACCTCAGATGATCGGCCCGCCTCGGCCTCCCAAAGTGCTGGGATTACAGGCGTGAGCCACCGCTCCCGGCCCCCTGTTAATTGTTATTATGAAGTTGATGGAGATTACATTCTATTGTTGAGTTAGAGATCTATCAGGGAGATAAAGCAGTATCACCCTGTACTGTTTTGGTGACCATGTGTGGAATCTGAGATTTTCTTTTTCTTTTCTTTTTTTTTTTTTTTTTTTTTTACATTTTTAAAGAGTTGGGGGAATAAAACAAAAAATGTGTGACAGAGACCCATGTGGCCTGAGAAGCTTAAAGTATTTGCTGTCTAGTCCTTTACAGAAGAAGTTGTCTAGCACCTGCATGTAGACATGAAAACTAATAGTATTGCTTTTATGAAATTGTTGTTGTTGTTTGAGACAGGGTCTTGCTCTGTTGCCCAGGCTGGAGAGCAGTGGTGCAGTCACAGCTCACTACAGCCTCAGCCTCCTGGGCTCAGGTGATCTCCCACCTCAGCCTCCTGAGTAGCTGGGGCTACAGGTGTGTGCCACCATGCCTGCCTAATTTTTGTATTTTTTTGTAGAGATGGGGTTTTGCCATGTTGCTCAGGCTGTAATGAAATGATTTGTTTTTTTAAATATGCCCTCTTTAAGAAAATTTAGTATATAAACATGCAAATTTAGATAAAATATTCAGAAAATAATTTTAGCATCATCACCTAAAGGGTTCTTTATGGAAGGGCTTTCATCCAGTCTGTTTGAACAGGAACTCTCTACTTGCGTAATTGTATGTTTACAGATCGTTAACTATTTGGCTGCCAGTCTTAAAGCTGATGTGTCTGTTTCACTGCCAGCTGAAGGCCAAGGAACTGAAGATAGGTAGCTGGATTATTTCAAGTATCGTTGGAAACCCCTTTTCTGTATTGGCCACTTTAAAGGTATATTAATTGTGTAGAATAAAGTAAATTATTTTATTTTACTGGAACTATTAGGTGTGTTGTGTTTTCCAAACAATAACTTATAATTTAGTGACTTAATTTTTAAAATTGTTTGCCATTAAGCATTATTTTTATTTTTACTTCTATTTATTTATTTTTTTATTTTATTTTTATTTATTTACTTTTTTTGAGACGGAGTCTTGCTCTCGTTGCCCAGGCTGGAGTGCAGTGGTGCGATTTCGACTCACTGCAGCCTCCGCCTCCTAGATTCAAGTGTTTCTCCTGCCTCAGCCTCTCGAGTAGCTGGGATTACAAAGTGCCCGCCACCATGCCTGGCTAATTTTTTTTTTGTATTTTTAGTAGAGATAGGGTTTCGTCATGTTGGCCAGGCTGGTCTCAAACTCCTGACCTCAGGTGATCCACCCACCTCAGCCTCCCAGAGTGTTGGGATTACAGGCCTAAGCCACCGTGCCCAGCAAACCATGATTTTTAAACGTATCAGTGTCAAAGGACAGACATCCTAAACTTTAATATTTTTTATCCTTCTAATTGTATAGGTGAATAAAGAGAAGAGGGTTCATGATGGAGTTTTTAGTATCTTCAAACACTGTCCAGCTTGGTTGTGGCAAGGCAACTAAGGACCAACCCTTGGTCCAATGGCTAGAAAAAGTTTTCCTAAGTTTAGTGAAGGAGGAATGTATTATGAGCTTACACTATTAATTGATCTGTTATTGATGAGAGGTGGACATTTGAGTTTTATTTATATGAGTAATGAATGATTTTAATAGATTGTGGTAAATGGCCAGGACAAGCAGTTACAGATGAAGTATATTATGAAAATAGAGATTGTGGTTGGAATCAAGAAATAGCGAAGTTTGGGCCAGATGTCCTGGCTCATGACTGTTACCATAACATTTTAGGAGACTGAAGTGGGAGGATTGCTTGAGTTCAAGACCAGCCTGGTTAACATAGGGAGACCCCATCTCTACAAAAAATTAAAAAATTAGCCAGGCATGGTGGCACACCCCTGTAGTCCCGATTACTTAAGCTGAGGTGGAGGGATTGCTTGAGCCCAGGAGGTTGAGGCTGCAGTGAGCCATAATTGTGCACTGTACCCCAGCTTGGGTGACAGAATGAGACCCTGTCTCAAAACAAAACAGAGAAACAAGAAGGAAACCCACAAAGCAACAAAAAGAATATGAAGGTTGGTGAAAGATCTGTACATAAGACATGGTTTCTCTATTTGGTAAGCAAGCAGTCTCCTTAAAAGCAAAGACTTTATGTCTTGCTGACTGTTAGGAGAACCTGCCTGAAGAGTATTCGTTGAATGTGGGGGACATACCTGACACACTTATAGACTGCTGGAAGAAACACACGTCTAAGATGACCCTCTGCAGTACAGTGTGCTATTCAGTCTGCAGTGTGCTATTGAGAGCACAAAGAGGGCACTTAACCAAACATGTGGAGTCAAAGAAAGCTTCCTAGAGACCAGAAGAAGATAGCGTTCTCCCAGGTGAGGGGAAGGGAAGAGTGTTCCAGAGAGAAGTGATGGCATATGTGAAGGTGTAGAGTTGGGAGAGAACGAGGCCTCTGACTAGAAGTTCCTGAAAGAAATTGTGTGTCTAGAGCCTAGTATGTTGGTGGGGGACATGGTGAGAGATGGGCAGGAAAGGTAAGGGAGCTTTTGTAAGAATGTTGACCTTTACATTTTGCCCTTTACCTGTAAGAACAGCAGGAAGACCCTGACGGGTTTTTTTCTCACATCTTACGAAAATTCCAAACATACAGAAAAGTTGAAGGGATTTTACAGTTAATACGCATATATCTCAACCTAGATTCTACCATTAACATTTAATTACATTTGCTTTATCACATGTGTCCTGCTCTCTTACCCATTTTTTAAAAATGCATTTCAGTGTAAGTTGCAGATATCAGTACACTTTTCCTCTAAATACTTCAGCAAGTGTATCATTAACTAGAATGCCCTGATGAAGGGTCTTAAGAGAGAGAGTAGCATAATGAGATCGGTTCAGGAAGATCACTCAGCTGCAGGATGGGAATGGATTGGGGGCTGGTATATACTTAGTGAATGCTCACTTATAAGTGGTGTGTTAATAGAGTGAGGAGAAGAGAACTGGGAGGAGGCCAAATGTTAAGTTTTGTGCCTAAAGACATGAAAAGAGAAAAACAGTTTAACAAACAATATGATTGGAAGATGTGTATAACCCTAGAACAAGACTGCATCTTTGCAGATACCTCAGATCAGATTCCTGGAAAATAGGAGATAAAAAGTGGGATTTTGTTTACAGAACCTTTGTTTTCATTAGCTTTTCAGACCTTTTATGAAACAGATCTGTTTTCAGATGTTGCATTTGCCATCAAGACACATCATGTCAGACTGCATTTAGGTGTAAAGAAAGTGAAAGCTGCATAATCCCCTGAGGGGTCTTAAGAGGATTTTGAATTGAAGCTTAAGATGTATGAAAAGAAGAAATGGGCTTAAGATGTTTATAAAATATGAATGTTCAATTTTCAATTACCAGGGTCTGATGAGGTGGCTCATGCCATAATTGCAGCACTTTGGGAGGCTGAGGCGGGCAGATCACTTGAGGCCAGGAGTTCGAGACTAGCCTGGGCAACATGGTGAAACCCCATCTCTACTAAAACCACAAAAACTAGCCGGGCATGGTGGCATGCGCCTGTAGTCCCAGCTACTCGAGAGTCTGAGGCAGGAGAATCACTTTAACCCGGGATGCGGAGGTTGCAGTGAGCCAAGATTGCGCTATTGCACTCCATCCTGGGTGACAAAGTGAGAGTCTGTCTCAAAAAAAAAAAAAAAAAAAAAAAATTCAAAAATTTTAATTACCAGATGTTATTAAAGTTGATAAATGAGAGAGGAGGAAGAGTGGTTGATAGAAATTTTGCTCCCAGAAAGATTTTGTTTCAATAAATAAAATGCTTCCTGAAACATTTTAAGAACCTTCTTCCTGCCAAAGCACTGTGTGAGGTGGTCAGAATATTCTTGGGAATAAGTTTTTGTTTTTTCCTTATTCTGTTTACCCTAAGAGCTAAAGGGAGTTGTACCCTTGCAGAGGTTGACTTGGATTCTCTTGGGAGGCATGGATTATTCTATGCTACCACCAATCTTTGTGACTGTAGCCTTGGCCTCAGTTTCCCCATTTGTAAGAAGAGGGGATTTATTACAGTTCCTTGTAGCCCCAAAATGCTGTGTTTATGAAATGTTATTTATTCTCAGTGTGACCATTTCTAACTTGTTACAAGAAGTGAGAAATTTTGAAATCACAGGGTGGGGAAATAATCTGAAACTACTATGTTTAACATACTACATTTATTTGACCATATGCTCTTTCCTTTTTCAAATTTTATGTTGTAAAGTTTACTTAAAACACATCTACAGAGTACTGAATGTTAAGAGGAATAGCTGTCATCATGTAAAATTCTAGCAGAGAAAAAATTACCAGCATAGTAAAACAAATTTCTGCTACTTCAAGTTAGATTCACAAGACTAGGAACATATCCACCTGTCACTCAGAGGAAGTCCACAAAGAAGAGTGCATTAATTTTCTTTCTCTTCTGAAAATAGTAGTGATTCTTGGAAGTGGAGATAACTTTTTTCTTCAGAGAGTCATAATACAAAAAATAATAAACAGTCTTTTTGTTGTTGTTGTTACATAGATTAGAGGTTTCTGTGTTGCCCAGGCTGGCCTCAAATGCCTAGCCTTGCCTCCTTATGCACCAGGACAACAGCCCTGAGCCACCATGGCTCCCAAACAGTCTTGCTTTAATGGTCTCTAAAGACACCAGCACTGTTGAGTATTAGGAAGAATGTGCCTTGGCATTAAATTCCTATGAATCCAGACCTGGCTCTGTCATTTCCTACCTGTGTGAACTTGGATAAGGTACTTAACTGAGCCTCAGCATCCTACCTGCCAAATGGGAGATAATCACGCCCCTCAGAGTTGTTGTGTTAGTTACAGTTGGCAGGATACTCTTGCAGGTAGGCACTCTGTAAGTGTTCACTGCTGTATGCTGCTTGCTGCTTCTGTAGAGAGGGAAGTGGGAACCACTAGTGGCTCCATTTGACTAAGGTATGGGCGAAGGGACATAATTCTAGTCTTTAATATTTATTGTGTGGAGACATGTTGACTTTATCCTTTTTGTGTCCTAGTTTTTTAGGCCTTTGCATTTCAAACTCATTAATATACAATATAGTTTTAAAATACTCTCAAAGTAGGTAAGGGGACGAAATTTGTATCCTGCATTTAGGGATTTGTGAAACTTGGATCAATTTTTGGCTGCAACTGAATTGATAGCACTTTTTTATGGTTTGGTTTGGGTTTTTTGTTTTTGTTTTTGGGATAGTGTCTCACTCTGCTTCCCGGGCTGGAGTGCAGTGGCATGATCACAGCTTACTGCAGCCTTGATTCTCCCATGCCTGAGCTGTCCTCCCACCTCAGCCTCCTGAGTAGCTGGGACCACAGGTGTGCACCACCACACCTGGCCAATTTTTCTATTTTTTTGTAGATAGAGGATCTCCCTATCTTGACCAGACTGGCCTTCAACTCCTGGGTTCAAGTAATCCTCTTGCCTTGGCCTTCCAAAATGCTGAGGTCCATGCCCTGCTGATAGCTTTTTGTTGTTTGAGACAAGATGTGTCAGTGGCTGCTCTGTAGGAGGCTTAGAAGTATACATTTTAGGCCGGGTGTGGTGGCTCACGCCTGTAATCCCAGCACTTTGGGAGGCCGAGGCAGGCAGATCACGAGGTCAAGAGATCCTGGCCAACATGGTGAAACCCCTTCTCTACTAAAAATAAAAAAATTAGCTGGGCGTGGTGGCGTGTGCCTGTAGTCCCAGCTACTCGGGAGGCTGAGGCAGGAGAATTACTTGAACCTGGGAGGTGGAGGTTGCAGTGAGCCAAGATCGCACCCCTGCACTCCAGCCTGGCGAAAGAGGGAGACTCCGTCTCAACGACAACAACAACAACAACAACAACAGCAAAAGTATACATTTTGCTGTGAAAGGAGCAGACATAATAGGCACGTTTGTCACATGTGCTTTTTAGGTACTAGGGATGCAGCAGTGAACAAAATAGAAATGCCTATTTTTCTGGAGCTTGCTTTTGAGGTTGGGGGAGACTAAGTAAAATACATAGTATCTTAGTATGTTCAGTGGAAAAAAAAATAAAGAATGTTGGGAGGTTGTAATTCTAAATGAGATGGGGGAAGAAAAGCTGGGGGTCTCAGTGACTCATGCTTGTAATCCCAGTGCTTGGGAGGCTAAGTGGAAGGAATGCTTGAGGCCGGGAGTTTGAGACCATCCTGGACAACATAGGAAGACCCTGTTTTAAAAATGAGTGAATGAATGAAGAAAGATAACAGAGTGAGACCTGTCTTTAAAATGAATGAATGAATGAATAGTAAATACTTGTTTGTAAGAAGGAATGAATGAATGAGGTGGTCAGGGAGGCCTACCTGAGGAGGTAATATTTAAGGGAAGGCAAAAAGGAGGTTAGGCAACATGCAGATATCTGAAGGAACTTTGTTCTAGGTAGAGGGAATAGTGGATATAAAGGCTTTGAGGTTGGAATCTTATATTAATTATGTAAGTCAGTGTTTTGGGGGAAGTGGCAAGATGATGATAATGCTTTGTGCATATTGAAATGTGAGGTATTCATGGGACATCCAGTAGTAATGACTAGTAAGTAGTTTGGGAGAAGCTGAGCCTTGAAGGAAGTCTGTGGGTCACCAGATTTTAGGTGGAATTGAAGTCCTGGATTTGCAGTCTCTGGGAATTACATATAGAGTGAGAAGGGCAGAGGACTGAGGAAGGAACCCTAGGTAACAAATGTTGGGTAGGGATAGAAGAGCAGTCTGCAAAAAAGACTTAGGACCAAACACTTCAGAGGCAGCTGGTAAAGAGGATGGTGTTTCTGAAGTTATAGCCAGGCAGTCTTCTCTGACTTCTCTGTCTGCCTCTTCTCTCTGCCAACTCCCAACCAAATCAGCCTTTGAGTATAGTTGTCTCTGCCTCCATACCTTAGTTCAGAACTACCTCATTTTTTGCTAGGACTCCATTAATAGCCTATTGTCTTGTCTCTTTACTCCTAAACTTACTCTTGTCAGTCATTCTTCCACACTTTTCCATAGCACTCTTTCTAAAGTACCTAAACTGTGCCAGTGGTTCCTCATCTTCAGAATAGTCTGACCTTCTCAGCTTGGCATAAGATGCCTTTCATGATCTGGCCTCCACTGTTTGTTTTCACCTTTTGCTTCCTTTCCCCTTCACATCCTAAATCTCATGCATTCAAATTATTTGTCCTTCCTAGAAGGATGCTTCTTTGCTTCTGGGTCTCTGTATGTGCTTTTTTCATGTGTTCTTACTTCCTGGAATGACAGACTCTCCATGGTTCATTAACTGTACAAGATTTGACTAAAGCGTTACCTTTTCTGCAAAGACTTCTGACTTCCAAGTAAAACCAGGCTCTTCCCTCTGGGCTGACTTCCTGATTTGTTGCATATCTCTGGTGTAGTTGTAATGACAATATCTTGAAACTGTTTCGTATTTGTTATCCCCTTCCAATTTATGAGCTCTTAGAGGACAACAATTTTGATATAAGGATCTTCATATTCTTAGTGTTTGGCTTAGTTTAATAAATGTTTAATGCAGTGGTTTTCTTTTTTTTTTTTTTAATTTGCTGTTAAAATTTTTTTTACACATTTAAAAACTATAAATAGAGATGGGATCTCACTTGATCACCCAGGCTCTTGAACTCCTGGGCTCAAGTGATCCACCTGCCTCGGCTCCCAAAGTTCTGGGTTTGCAGGCATGAGCCACCACATCCAGCCATGGAATGGTTTTCAATGTGGCTTCTGTACCAGCAGTATCAGCATCTCTGGAAACTTGTTAGAAATGCAGATTCTTAGGCCCCACTCAATATTTACTGGATTAGAAACTAAGGGGGTGGGTCCCAGTAATCTGTGTTTTAACAAACTTCTCAGGTGATTCTGATACCTTATAACAAATCCTGCAGGTGATTCTGATAGTTCTAATAGTTAGAAAATTATTAATTCGTCCAGTGAAACGAATGATTGACAACATTCACAGAGAGGAATAAACTCTGATCTTATGATAAGTGGAGGAGAACCCTGTTCAGTCTTTAGAAAAAGGAAACAACCATGCTGTAGTGATGGCTGCAAGAAATTAAAATAGTGAGCCTATATAGTTAGATTGACAGTTTTGTTTTTTTGTTTGTTTGTTTTGAGACGGAGTTTCACTCTTGCTGCCTAGGCTGGAGTGCAATGGCGCAATCTCAGCTCACTGCAACTTCCGCCTCCCGGGTTCAAGCGATTCTCCTGCCTCAGCCTCCCGAGTAACTGGGATTATAGTCATGCACCACCACACCTGGCTAATTTTGTATTTTTAGTAGAGACGGGGTTTCTCCATGTTGGTCAGGCTGGTCTCTAACTCCCGACTTAAGGTGATCCACCCGCCTTGGCCTCCCAAAGTGCTGTGATTACAGGCGTGAGCCACTGTGCCCGGCCAATAGTATTTTTGATGTCATGAATTCAGGCTCAAAATCTGTTCTGAATCTACTAACTTAAACCTTTAGAGATTAGTTAAACTAAAAGGAAGACACAAGCTTGTTATTGAAAAAATTACTCATAATATCGCCATCAGAGATAACCAAATTATCAATGATTATTTCTAGATAATATGATTTCTATTCTTTTGCTTATGCATGAGATTTTCTGCAGCTACGTATTTTTTATTTGGAAGCCTTTATATTTAAGTAAGTTGAAATATTAATATTTTAAGAAATAAGTTGAAATAAACTCATCTGAAGTTTTTACCCTTATGAAGGTGTCTTTTCACTTTTTTAAAACTGACAAAAATTGTGTATATTGTGTACAATATGTTTTGAAATGTGTGTACATTGTGGGATGGCTCAATCAAGGTAGTGTCTTTTCATTTTCTAACATTTAAAGTGGGAATTAAAGAAATAAGATAAATCCTGGGTCATATTATATGTAGTTTTACTTAACTAATTACTGCTTATTTTTATGGATCTGTGTATGCTTTACAAAATACTTATTGAATATTGTGTTGTTCAGTAAGCTTCTGTTATAAGGCTGGGCACTAGGTTTTTACTTACAGTGCAAAACATTGTTTTTGTGGGATAATCCAAATCAAGTTGATATCATTTTAACTTAGAGGATTTCTTTCAGGAAAGTAGCCTGTCATAAGAATAAAAACCTTAAGAAATCTTGATTCTTTTCCTAGTTCTAGAACAGATTCAGGCTCCTTTTAAAGGAAGATATTCATAGATCTCTTCACATGGTGATTTAAATTATTTTTATTATATAAAGTCTAATGCTTGTGTCTGCTGAGGCAACTAGATATACTTATTTTTTTTGGCTTATAGTTCCCAAATAACTCCAAACCCCAAAATTATAAATTAAATGTACTTATAAATTAAATGCCGTAGAAACTATACTGATTTATAAGTACTTATAAATTAAATGCCATAGAAACTATAGAACTTGGTAAAATTCAAATTAGAAACATCAATATAACAACTGATGTTTTGCTGAAATTAAATGCCAGTGTTGGGTTTAGTAATAGAAAGAAATATTTTTATATTTTATTTTTTACTGGTTATTTCCATTTTAAGCATTTTAAACATGATCATTATGGGAATCATTGTCATCATAGATATTACTGTTTTTAAACCTAATTTCTTTTTTTGATGGGCCAGTTTAATGGTACTTTGTAAAAATAGTACTGAAAAATACAAATTTAGTGTCAAATTCTTTTTTTAAATTAGGTAAAATTGTATATATTTACAGTACATGAAGTTTTAGAGTATATATATGCATTATGGAATGGCTAAATCAAGCTAATTAACATATGTATTACCTCACATAGTTGTCATTGTTGTGAGAACACTTAAATCTAATCTCTTGGCATTTTTCAGTACAGCATATTGTTAATAACTATAGTCACCAAGTTGTACAATAGGTCTCTTGAAGGTATTCCTCCTGTCTAACTGAAATTCTGTAACCTTTGACCAACATCTCTCTCCCCAACTCCCTTCCCTACCATGGCCCCAGTCCCCGGTAACTACTGTTGTGTTCTCAACTTCTGTAAGATCAACTTTTTAAGGTTGCATGTATGAGTGAGATCATGGAGCATTTGCTTTTCGGTGCCTGGCTTGTTTTATTTAACACAGCAGTCCCCAGTCTTTTTGGGCACCAGAAACCGACTTCATGGAAGACAGTTTTTCCATGGACTGGGTGGGGACGTTTCAGGATGAAACTCTTTTACCTCAGATCATCAGGCATTAGTTAGATTCTCCTAAGGAGCATGCAGCCTTGATCCCCAGGCGTGCGCAGTTCACATTAGGGTTTGGGCTCCTATGAGAATCTAATGCCGGCACTGCTGATCTGACGGGAGGTGGAGCTCAGCGGTAATGCTGTCGGCTCACCTCCTGCTGTGTGGCCTCGTTCCTGACAGGCCATAGACTGGTACCGGTCCACAGCCCAGTGGGTTGGGGACCCCTGATTTAACATAATGATGAACCTTCCAGGTTCATTCATATTGTTGCATATGATGGAAATTCCTTCCTTCTTTGAGGCTAAATAGTATTGCATTGCGAGTATGTGTGTGTATAATATATATGTGTGTGTATGTGTATACATGTAACATATACACACACATATATATTATACATACACATACCCACAATGCAATACTATTATGTACATATGTGCATATACACACATACACGTACCAGATTTTCCTTATCTATTCATTTGTTGATGGAGTTGATGGACAATTAGGTTGATACCATATCTTGGCTATTGTGAATAATGCCGCAATGAACATGGGAGTACAGATATCTCTTTAACGTATTTACTTCCTTTGGATTTCTTACTGTCACCTTTTTTATTACCTATTTAAGGTTACACTTATTGCTGTGAAGTATTAGAAAATGTTTCATAAAAAGAACCAGTCTGCCTGGTGCAGTTGAATATGGAATTGACTGCTCTGGGATACTTTGAATTTGGCATGCCTGTGTGTTGACTTTCTTTTCTGTTCTGTCTGCATCACTTGGCTTCACCTTGGCCCCAGTAGGATTATAAACACCATTGCAGAGGTGGGCACTGCAATCTTGTGGCAGCATTCAGATATAAAGACTTAAGACATATATGTTTTTTTTAGCTTAACATGGAAATGAAGACAATTTTTAAATTCTTAGAGAACTCATAGATCTTCAGGAATAAGTCCTTAGATTCAAGCAACTCCAGTTTTATATCTATAAATACTATTACTATGATTCTAATAAGTCCATGAACAGTAACATGTAAGTAGCATTTAAATACTCACAATATTAAAAAGCCCTCACCAAAACATTGAACAGCTAGCCTAGTTTTGTTTTGTTTTGTTTTGAGACAGAGCCTCACTCTGTTGCCCAGGCTGGAGTGCAGTGGCGTGATCTTGGCTCACTGCAACCTCTACCTCCCGGATTCAAGCAGTTCTCCTGCCTCAGTCTCCCGAGTAGCTGGGATTACAGATGCGCGCCACTGTGCCCTGCTAATTTTTTGTATTTTTAGTAGAGATGGGGTTTCACCATGCTGGCCAGGCTGGTCTGAACTCCTGACCTCGGGATCCACCTCCCTTGGCCTCCCAAAGTGCTAGGATTACAGGCGTGAGCCACCGCGCCTGGCCTAGTTAGCCTAGTTTTAAACCTTTTTAAAAAATACTTGTGTCAAATTTAAATCACGTGATTTTCTGTCATTAATACTTTTAAGTCTATTTTTAATTTTTGTCTGTTGTACATCCCCCCTACACTTTTTCTTGCCCAACTTGTTATCCCCATTTTCTCACCATCTCTCCTGCTACGTATTTATTATGGCTTCATGGTTCTGCTAAAGGTCACAGTTCCCTGTCCTGATGTACAGGGAACTGATTGATGTGCCATCCTTCCCCCTTGATTGGCCCTTAGGTGGACATATAACTCAAACTGGGCCAATTAAGAGTCTTTACCTGAGGTTCTTCAGATTGAAAGCTAAGAGTAAGAGTCTTTTATTCCTTGTAGATTAAACTGGGATGACATGAGAGTGGAAATTCCTGAAACCTAAGGTGTTTCACTTTACCTTCTCATCTCCTGAAAATTATCCGTAGAGGAAGTCATTTGCAATAGGATAGGACAAGATTTAACAAGACGGAGAGAGAATCCTGGTCATGATGGAGTCTGCATCTTTTTTATCTTTTTTTTTTCTTCAGACAGAGTCTTGCTTTGTTACCCAGCCTGGAGTACAGTGGCACAATCTTGGCTCACTGCAACCTCCGCCTCCCAGGTCCAAGAGATTCTTCTGCCTCAGCCTCCTGAGCAGCTGGGATTACAGGCATGCACCACCACGCCTGACTAATTTTTCTACTTTTAGTAGAGACGGGGTTTCACCATGTTGGCCAGGCTGGTCTCAAACTCCTGACCTCAAGTGATCTGCCTGCCTCGGCCTCCCAAAGTGCTGGGATTACAGGTGTGAGCCACCATGCCCAGCCAAGTCTGCATGTTTAATACTGTAGCTGCTCCATTATATTTCATCAAATTGCCTTTTTGGTTGAAGCTAGTTCCAGTTGGGTTTTTCACTTGGTACTAGAAAGCATCCTTAAATAATCGGTGTTATAATTTATAAGATTTATCCTTTTTTTACATATCTAGGTGAAGATGGAGCTGGAAAAACAAGCTTAATAAGAAAAATTCAGGGAATAGAGGAGTATAAGAAAGGAAGAGGATTGGAATATTTGTACTTAAATGTGCATGATGAAGACAGGGATGGTGAGTGTCATTTGTAACATAAATTTCTGAAGTCTATTTTGAGGTGCACTGCCATTCACATTAGTCTTTGATTTTTTTTAGTGTGTAATTTTTTACTAGAAGTTCTGTGATGTCATGCTGGTCAAGAAATAGCTATGTTTAGCCATACTTTTATTAATTTGGGATTGGGATTCATATATGATACTTTTAAGCATCTTAAGGTATCCTGGTGTGCAGATACTTCTTTCCTACCATACTTGAAGAATCTCAGTTTTTCAGTTCATCTTCCCTCAGATAGTGATTGTTTTGTTGACTCCCATTTCACTTTCTAATTTTCTGATAAAAATATTATCTACTCAGCTTTTTTATCTATCAGCTATTTTTTCTTCTGTAGATCACTTGCCTTCTCATTTTTGTATATGATATCTTGAGTATGCATATCTCTATCTGCTGATGGTAAAAACATAAACAAGTTATGCATCCTCTGGTTTTGGATTAAGAAATATGAAGTAGAGGATGCTACAGTTAAGTCATTTTAGGCCTTTAGATAAATTAGCAGATGGCCTAAACAGTTGAACTTTACTGGCAGTTAAGTCATTTTCGGCCTTTAAATAAATTGGTAGATGGCCTAAATTGTTGAACTTTGTCAAAGCCAATAGCACATCTCCTGTGGAGATGCACTAAAATACCAAGTGGTACTGTTAGTTGGATGATGAAATGACTTAATCTTGTTGCCTTGGTTACTTTGTTTTGTCTGTTGTAGATCAAACAAGATGTAATGTTTGGATCTTAGATGGAGACCTATATCACAAAGGCCTCCTTAAATTTTCACTGGATGCCGTATCTCTGAAGGATACTCTAGTTATGCTGGTTGTTGACATGTCAAAGCCTTGGACTGCTTTGGATTCTTTACAGAAATGGGCAAGTGTTGTTAGAGAACATGTTGACAAACTGAAAATCCCTCCTGAAGAAATGAAACAAATGGAACAAAAGTGTAAGTAATCTAGAAACAGTAATGTAGGTTTCAAATACAAAATGTCTTGGCTGACTTTAATCATTAGGAATTTTTGACTATAAAAAAGGTTTAATGAAGTAAGCATATTGTAAGTACTTTTTTTTTTTTTTTGGAGACAAGAGTCTTGTTCTGTCACCCAGGCTGGAGTGCAGTGGCGCAATCTTGGCTCACTGCAACCTCTGCCTCCTGGGTTCAAGTAGCTGGTATTACGGGCACCTGCCACCATGCCCTGCTAATTTTTGTATTTTTAGTAGAGACGGGGTTTCACCATATTGGCCAGGCTGGTCTCGCACTCCTGACCTCATGATCCACCCCACTCGGCCTCCCAGAGTGCTGGGATTACAGGCGTGAGCCACCGGCCCAGCCTGTAACTACTGTTTTTAAAATTCTCTTTAGATGATGTGCTAGGTTTTAATATAGTTTCAAATTAGAAACATAAGACACAATGGTAAACTGTTTAGTAGAGATGCCTTTTCTCCTTGCCAAAAAGCTGTGTGTGTTCATTTTGGAAAGTAGCTTTGCAGGGTGAAAAGATTGAATCTTTCTTCAGCTGCTCATTTTCAGCAGTTTCATTTTTTAATTCGTAATCTTACTGACCTTGTCAAAATGAAATGTGCCTAGAAAGATGTTGACAGTATACATATAAAGATATTAAAATGGTTTTATGATTTATAAAGTACATATTTTGTACATGCCTATGTGAATTGGAGATTTTTATGGGAATTATGAAAATTGTATGAGTCATTTCTAACAGGTTGTAAGCCAGCAACATTTTTTATTTTTATTTTTGAGTCAGGGTCCCACACTGTTGCCCAGGCTGAAGTACAGTGGCACAATCTTGGTTCACTGCAACCTCTGCCCGCCCCCCCACCAGCTCAAGCCATCCTCCCATCTCAGCCCCCTGAGTAGTACAGGCACGTACCACCATGCCTGGCTAATTTTTTTTATTTTTTGTAGACATAGGGTTTTGCCATGTTGCCCAGGCTGGTCTTGAACTCCTGAGCTCAAGCGATCCACCTTGCTCAGACTCCCAAAGTGCTGGGATTACAGGCATGAGCCACCACGTCCGGCTGCCTGTAACATTTTTTAATGTCACTTAGAGTTCTTCATTTGCCAATATTGTGCTTTGCATAAGAAAATACATAGGTGGGCCAGGCGTGGTGGCTCACGCCTGTAATCCCAGCGCTTTGGGAGGCTGAAGCAGGTGGATCACGAGGTTAGGAGTTCAAGACCAGCCTGGCCAAGATGGTGAAACCCTGTCCCTACTAAAAATACAAAAAAAAAAAAAATTAGCCCAGCATGGTGGCGGGTGCCTGTAATCCCACCTACTTGGGAGGCTGAGGCAGGGAATTGCTTGAACCCAGGAGGCGGAGATTGCAGTGAGCTGAGATTGCGCCACTGTACTCCAGCCTGGGCGACAGAGCAAGACTCCGTCTCAAAAAAAAAAAAAAAAAAAGAAAGGAAATACATAGATGAACTCCTTTGTTATTATTCACTGACAGTAACTTTTAAAGAAAAATTGACAGCTTGCTGGAATTTATGTGTAAGAAAACAGTAAAAACTTAAAATGTATGTAGTAAATCATTGAAAGAGATGTCTAAATGCTTTTAATTTTTTTTTTTCTGTTTACTATTGCCTGTGGAGTTTTTGTTGTTATTGTTCTTCCCTAAGTCTAGATTTATCCTAGAGTAGTAGTTGTTGAACTGTGGTTCCCTGGACCAGCAGCACCAGTATCAGTATAGCTGGGAACATATCAAAAGTACACATTTTTCACTCCCCATCCTGGACCACTGAATTAGAAACTCTTGAGGGTGGAAACAGTAATCTGTGATGTAACAAGCCTTTGAAGTGATTCTGGTGCATGATAAAATTTGACAGCCACTATTAGATTACAGCCTCTGATCTTAAGAGTGGTAGTCACCAGGGCTGCTAAGGGTACATACAGACCCCTGTGTTTCTAGAGGAACGGTGCCCACCTGTTCGGGATTCCCTATTCCTTGACCCCATGTAAATTCAGAACAGTTTTCCTCCATATGAGTCAGTCTTCATGATCCAAAGATCTGGCTCATAATTACTTTAAGAGAAAACACACATTTTTTTTCTAAGTAAGTAATAATGTACATTCTTTGTTTTTTGAAAATTGAAAATAGGGCTGGGCGCAGTGGCTCACGCCTGTAATCCCAACACTTGGGGAGGCCAAGGCAGGTGGATCACAAGTCGGGAATTCAAGACTAGCCTGGCCGATATGATGAAACCCCGTCTTTTCTAAAAATACAAAAATTAGCCAGGCGTGGTGGTGGGCGCCTGTAGTCCCAGCCCCTTGGGAGGCTGAGGCAGGAGAATCACTTGAACGCAGGAGGCGGGGGTTGCAGTGAGTGAGATTGCGCCACTGCATTCCAGCCTGGTGACACAGTGAGCCTCCATCTCAAAAAAAAAAAAAAAAAAATTGAAAATAGCCGGTCACAGTGGCTCACCTCTGTTATCCCAACACTTTGGGATGCTGAGGTGGGAGGATGGCTTGAGCCCAGAGTTTGAGACCAGCCTGGGCAACATAGTGAGACCCCATCTCTACAAAAATAAAAAGTTAGCCAGGTGTGGTGGCACATGCCTGTAGCTACTCACTCGGGAGGTTGAGCCAGAAAATCACTTGGGTCAGGGCTGTAGTGAGCCATGATTGCACCGCTGCACTCCAGCATGGGTGACAGAGCAAGACCCTGTCTCTAAATAAATAACTAATACTTTTGTGTATTTTTCCCAGTATTTTTATTTCTAAGCTGGAATCATACGTTGGCCTTCTTTTATTTATGTATCTTTTAATGTTACTATTTCCTACAACGTTAAATATTCTTTGAAAACTTGACATCTTATGGTTGTGTATAATTTTTTCTCATATACTATTTTAATCCTATGCTATAGACAGTTTGTTTCCAAATTTGTTTTGCTTTTATACATGAAGAAAAGAGTTACGTGGAAATCCCTATGTATGTGCATCACTGATTGTGCCCTTGAGAATTCCTAGGCGAGTAATTACGGAGTCTAAACATACATTTTCAAGTCTCTTGATACATTCACATTTACTTTATATTTTTTAGTGACAGTTTTGACAACCTTGCAAATAACTCCTAAAAACTGATCAGCACTGGTAATATTTCATTAAGTTGTACCAGAGTTACAGAATGAGCATGGCCCAAGATTGAGCCTAGGTAAAAAAGGAGAGACCTGAGTAAAGGGTTTAGTGAAAGAAGTTAGTATTAGAAAATCATCTAGACTATCTTTTAAGTTATGGGATTTTTTTCTCCCACATTTATTTTTCTTTTATCCATACAGTGCCCTTTGTGAATTAGAGAAGGTAGAGAGACAAAACTAATTGTGACTTGACCAAAATATTTTGCATAAATTGAGCCAGGTCTAGATAGAACCCTACTTTGTAGAGCCATCCCCTGCAGTAGTAATATTCTGTCTCCTAATTATTACTGTGGGTCCAGTGTTTGTATATTCTCTTTGAAATAGGTTTCTCAAACCCTTTTTGTTTCTTCTCTTACACAAGACTAAGTATAAATTCGAGTAAATTTTATCTTTAGATTATGGCAAGAAAAGTTACCTGCTGAAATGAAGCAATTTCTAAATTGTGTTTACTTTGATTTTCAGTGATTAGAGACTTCCAAGAATATGTAGAGCCAGGAGAAGACTTCCCGGCTTCTCCCCAGAGAAGAAATACTGCGTCACAAGAAGACAAAGATGACAGTGTAGTTTTACCTCTGGGTGCGGATACACTTACACATAACTTGGGCATTCCAGTACTAGTAGTTTGCACAAAGGTTAGTTTGCTTCCTAGGGATTCTGCAACTGATATTCACTGAGGATGAACAACTGTTTTGTTTTCCAGGTTTTTTGGAGTTAACACATTAGTTCTCCTAGATGATTTTTTGTTAACAAACAAATAATAGTTTAAAGTATTTAATGATATTAACATGTTGCTTTTGTGGTCTTAATTATAGTTTCTTTGAAAGAAAATGTTATTTCAAATACTTGTGATTGAATTTCATTTTCATAATTCCAATTGAACTTCATTGTATGATCAATCAGTTTAGTAGAAATAATTACAGGTAAAATGATAGTTTATTGGTTTTTATAAAATTATTTTTCAACATTAATTTTTTTTTTTTTTTTTTTGAGACGGAGTTTTGCTCTTGTTGCCCAGGCTGGAGTACAATGGAACAATCTCGGCTCACTGCAACCTCCGCTTCCCGGGTTAAAGCAATTCTCCTGCCTCAGCCTCCGTAGTAGCTGGGATTACAGGCACCCACCACCACTCCCACCTAATTTTTTGTATTTTTAGTAGAGACGGGCTTTCACCATGTTGGCCAGCCTGGTCTCAAACTCTTGACCTCAGGTGACCCACCCGCCTTGGCCTCCCAAAGTGCTGGGATTGCAGGTGTGAGCCACTGTGCCCAGCCTCAACATTAAATTTTTATATATTCTCTAATATCAGAGGATTATATACTTAAAGTAGACTTTTAAACATGTAGCAGCACTCATTATATAAAGTTAACATGCAGTCATCAAGGGTTTCTGTTTTTTAAAGAGGTTCTGATAGGACCACTATTATCAAAATTATATTATTGGTTATTTCACTGTATATATTTTGTAATAAAATTAAGTTTCCTTTAAAAATAATTAATAGAAGGTGAGGCATGGTGGCTCACACCTGTAATCCCAGCACTTTGGGAGGCTGAGGCGGGTGGATCACGAGGTCAGGAGATCGAGACCATCCTGGCTAAAACGGTGAAACCCCTCCTCTACCAAAAAAAAATACAAAAAAATTAGCCAGGCGTGGTGGCGGGCGCCTTTAGTCCCAGCTACTCAGGAGGCTGAAGCGGGAGAATGGCATGTACTCGGGAGGTGGAGCTTGCAGTGAGCCGAGATTGCGCCACTGCACCCCAACCTGGGCTACAGAGTGAGACTCTGTCTCAAAATTAAATAAATAAATAAATACATAAATAAAAATAATTAATAGATCAGCTGGGCGTGGTGGCTCACGCCTGTAATCCCAGCATTTTGGGAGGTCGAGGTGGGCGGATCATGAGATCAGGAGATCGAGACCATCCTGGCTAACATGGTGAAACCCCATCTCTACTAAAAATACAAAAAATTAGCCAGGCATGGTGGCGGGCGCCTGTAGTCCCAGCTACTCGGGAGGCTGAGGCAGGAGAATGGCGTGAACCTGGGAGGCAGAGCTTGCAGTGAGCTGAGATTGCGCCACTGCACTCCAGCCTGGGCGACAGAGACTCCATCTCAAAATAATAATAATAATAATAATAATAGATCAATTTCATGTTCTCCCCACTTGGTCCTAAGTGTGTGTTTTTACTGTTCGTAAGTCATGGAATAGTTAAGAAAATGACAGAACATAAGTCCTTTTGAGACCTGAAATTAATGCCTTTTATTATGTAAAATTTGCACATGTAAAATTAAAGGAGGGTATAGAATTTATTCATTGTTGGAGTAAAATTGATTAAAAAATCTAAAACCTAGCTTAGGTTTTACTTTGCTACAAAAATTATCCATAACAAAGGAATGGAGTGACGGCACTTAAAATAATTAAGTTAAAGTCTGCCATCTGCTTTCAAATGGTGGTTTTGGTATAGTTAATTGTTACATACACCTTTTCTGTAAAACACTATCTTAAAATCTCACACTGAAATCCTTCTGTGTGCTTTGTTTTTTATTTTGTTTTGGTTGGTGAAGAGCTGTTTGTTTATTGGAAGTTGGTTCCATTGGTTCCGTCAGCACTACTTGCCTTATGAAAAGCAGTCTTACTTTCCAAAAGAAAAATGTTAAGCTTAAAGGGTCCGGAATCAGTATCAAATGAGTCATAGAGTCATAACATTTTCAAACCAGAATAGATCATCTACTGTATTTCATAAAATCTAAGACACTATCAGATGTATTTCAGTTTATGAACTTTTAAAATGTATAGGGGTATGGAGAAATGTGTGTTTCCAAAGGGAGAGAAGTATGGTGGTTCAACGCCATCAGTTTAAAGACTCCGGAAATGGAGATTTCTCTTAGTCTTAGAAACTTAGTCTCTCTAAGTTTCTTGTCTTAAGTCCAGATCCTCTGATTTCAGTTAAAAAAAATTTTTTTTTTTTTTTATATGGAGCCTTGCACTGTCACCCAGGCTAGAGTGCGGTGGCGCAATCTTGGCTCACAGCGAGCTCCGCCTCCTAGGTGCACGCCATTCTCCTGCCTCAGCCTCCCGAGTAGCTGGGACCACAGGCGCCCGCCACCATGGCCGGCTAATTTTTTTGTATTTTTAGTGGAGACGGGGTTTCACCGTGTTAGCCAGGATGGTCTCGATCTCCTGACCTCGTGATCTGCCCACCTCGACCTCCCAAAGTGCTGGGATTACAGGCGTGAGCCACCGCGCCTGGCCTTAAAATATTTTTATTTAATACTAAACCACCATGCCTTTCCAAAAGTGTCAATAAGTCAAAGTATAATAATTATTTTTAATCATTTGAAATCACTGTCAGTATTTGATAAAATGGGCAATGAAATGCTCCTCATAATTATATAATGAGACTCTGTTCTGTGCCGTATATATGTTTTTATTTTCATTTTTGTGGAGAGTTTTGCTATGTTGCCCAGGTAGTCTTGAACTCCTAGGCTCAATCCTCCTGCCTCACCTTCCAAAGTAGTACAGGCACATACCACTGCACCCTGTTAGGTTTTTTTTTTTTTTTTGCTATTTTATATATATATATAAATTTTATATATATATATAATAAATTATATATATATAATTATATATATATATTATATATATAAATTATATATATATATTATATATATAAATTATATATATATATTATATATAAATATATATATATTATATATATAAATTATATATATATTATATATATATTATATATATAAATTATATATATATATTATATATATAAATTATATATATATATATGTAACAAAAAAATTACATAGCAGATTTAACCCCAAACTAATATTAGGTGTAATGACCATTATTAAATGTTTATTTTTATATTTTACACCTGCAATTCAGAAGGGTTTTGGTGAAATTATTTGGATGTCGTGATGTTTGAACATGCCTTTTTTGTATTTTTCTTAGCATTTTTCTGTAGCAAGCAGAATTCAGAATTGTCTCATTGATTGTACAGGCGACATTTCAAAAATCAGTTGTAGTTTCCTTATTTTGTTATTAGTGAGATTGTAATAAGAGTGAATAAAAGCACCAGAAAAGAAATTAAGGTCACTTGAGAATTATCAGATAAACACAGGAACAAAGAAGAAATGGTGAGAAGTAGAGACTCCCTGGATATGCAGAAGTGTTTTATAAAACTAAAATAGATGTTAGATTTTTTAAAACTTTGTTCCAGGTTATAAGTAGTTGAGTTATTAGCAAGTATGATTTCTTAGAACAAGCTAGGCTTGTTATTCTTCCTTCCCTTAGGTACTAAAACTTTGTCTTTGGTGTTCTGACCAGATTTAACATTAACGTTGAAGTTAATGCTTTTTAAAAAGATAAAATTATCCATTAGTCCCTCCAACTAAAAGTTCATAGGGTACTTGATATTCTGTGTCCTGCTGTTCATTCACCATATCAGAGTGGTACTTTTATGATGTTCCCCTATCCAGAATTGAACTGTTTAAATTACTATATTTAGTTATGATTATTTTAAATGTATTATTTTTAATTATTTTAACTTAACAGTGTGATGCCATTAGTGTATTGGAGAAAGAACATGACTACAGAGATGAACATTTTGATTTTATTCAGTCACATATCCGGAAGTTTTGTTTACAGTGTATCCTTTTAAATACATTTATTGATTCAGTGTATCACTTTACCTGTTTTAGTTTTTTAAAGTTAAAAGAATTAAATTGATGGACTTGAGAAATTCTGTAAACATTTCTCCTTCTGTCTCTGGTTGGAAATTTCATTTTAGTTCCCAAATTATTTACATTTGGATATTTTGAGATAGAAAAGCAAATATTGAAGTATGTTACTTTGATTTGCTGTGTTTAAAGTATGCTTAAGAAAAATAATTACCAATTGTATGTGGAAAAGTCTAGTAAGCTGTATGTAGTTATGAACATATCTGATTAAAAAACTGTATTTATTGGTGGGTGGTAGGACAAGGTCAGTATTGTGTTTTTTGTGTTTTCATTTTTAATTTGTTTAGTGTGTTGTCATCTTCTCCACATATAGCCTAACAGTGGTTTCAAAATCTGGCTCTGCCTATCTAGACATATTGGATTGGAGTATTCCAAAGTGAGGCTGGAGAATCATCTAAACTTTAGAAACCTTCCTGGAAAATCTATCATAGAAAGTCTTGTTAATCTAGATTGCAAGGATTAGGTGAGCCAGTGAGTAATAATTACAGCTAAAATAGGGAGAAAATGAAGGTTAAAAGTGAGTACTTTTTAGAGACTTTACTGTTGAAAACTTAGTTACACCTTGAATGCACTGAAGAGTAAACTCACCAACCCTCTTGGATCAGATATTTTGCAGTTGCATTCCCCAGCCAAAGTTTTTGAGTCTGAAACATAATGAAATGATTATTAGGAATAGATAGTAATGAGTAATACACACGTTTATGGTGTCTACAAATTATAAATCATTTTCATTAGTGGGCGTTTAATTTAAGGACCACTTAAAGAAAGCCTGAATAAGATCACTTGACACTGATAGTTTCCCTTTCCCCTTTTCTCTTCAGTTCTTTCTCTTTATGGGCCTTTCTCTTCTCATGTCACCAAATGGCTGAGTTGGTTGAGTTAAAGGGTACTAGTCTACCATAGTGTCTTCAAAAATAAAATAAAAAGTGAGGGTAATTGTAGTGTAGGTATCTGTAGCCTCTTTTTTATGTTATCTTTGGGGATTAGAAAATTTGAGAGTAAACAGTCTCTTTAATCATTTATTTAATGCTATACTTAAAAATGTAAGTACAGAAATGTAATCAGAAAGGAAGCTTTCTACCAAAATAGAGACCATTAGAGCCAGTTGATTTTAAAAGAATACAAAATGTGAGAAGTCATCTCAAGATAATGAGGTATGTATTTATCAGTGACAGTGACAGTTCAAAATCACCTTTATTTTATTAAATTTTTAATTGCAATGTAAGTTTTTCAGTTACAGAAATCTTCCAAATTATCATAATTTGGTTTTCATTGTGGGGAAGAGCATTAATGCAAAGTTAATACAGTTAAACTTTTGCCTAAGATTATGTTTGTCTCTACCATGTTAAAGTTTCGTATCAAAGTAAGTTTAGTAAGTTGTATTTAGCAATACTGCTTTTAGGTTTATAAGCCTCAGGTCATGTCCCAGAAAATATGAGTATCCCAGTTAAGAAGTTAGACTGTACTCCCAGCATTTCCCCCTTGGCCTAGGTCACCATCTCCCTTGGAGAAACAAGGGCCAGTGCTAGAATGTGGATGGTCATAGAATTTCTGATAGCCACTCTGAATCCATCATCTGTCAGTGGTCACATTGTCCATGGATGTCTTAATATTTACATCCACTGTGTCTTTTGGATAAAAGGTCAAAGTTAGGCTCTGCTTTAATACATCTTGATGTGAGGTTGTGTTATTTCAAGTTTTGTCATGAAATGTGCTTTTGCCTTGGGTTATTCCTGAAAGCTTCCTAATTGGTACCTGCTGGCTCACCTTTCAACATTGGGTTTCTTTTGCTCTCTCCAGTGAGTCTCCTGAGCCTTATCCCTGAAGTCTTTAATTCCTGGGTTTTGTAAAAACTACAAAGAGACACTGTTAACACACCATTTTTGTTGAAAAGGCAAACAAAACAGCTGTTGATAAATAATATCCCCTCTATGAAGTTTAGGAAAGTTAAAACATAAAAATTGTCCTTTCATGTGCTTTAAATATAGAAGTAGTCATGGTGTCAGTATTTCTAGATTTACCTTTACTTCTTGTCTTAATGAGACTTCTGCCTTCCTAAGTTAAATTGATTATGTAAAAATTCTTTTATTAATTGTAGCCCATATGAAGGTAGTATTTTTTACTTTTGAAGTTCTTGATTACCATATAATATACCTTTGGAGTTATTTCTGAAACTAAAATGCATAGAAATAAAAGTTAAGCTGAAAACACAGAATTTTATGGTATTTGCTCATGACATTTGTCCAGAATTTTTCTTTAACCATATTATTCAGATGGTGCAGCACTTATTTACACTTCAGTAAAAGAAAACAAAAATATAGACTTAGTATATAAATACATCGTTCAGAAACTATATGGATTTCCCTATAAGATTCCTGCTGTTGTTGTGGAAAAGGATGCAGTATTTATGTAAGTGTACTCTTAAATATATAATTTTATCATGTATTATTGCTACTATTTGATGGTGAATCATTATTTCAGTTTTGAGATGGGACCAATAGACCTTCCATGATGAGAAAGTGAGAATCTATCTGTTCCTAGATTGTTTTTTGTTTATAACCTGTCTTGATTTATCTATTATTGCCTTTTAGATTTACTGCTGGCCTGAGCCCTTTTTCAAAGGTTTTTGAGCTAAACTGTCTACTGGGTGCCTATATTAGTGTATTGTATCTGCTTATTCTTTAATTGATTATGATACATAAATGACCAAATATGAGATCTAGACATGCTTTTAAAAATTACCTGGCTGAGCACGGTGGCTCACGCTTCTAATCCCAGCACTTTGGGAGGCCAAGAGCAGATCACCTGATGTCAGGAGTTCGAGACAAGCCTGGCCAACATGGCGAAACCCCCTCTCTAATGAAAAATACAAAAATTAGCCCGGGTGTGGTGGTGCACACCTGTAGTCCCAGCTACTTGGGAGGCTGAGGCACAAGAATTACTTGAACCTGGGAGGCAGAAGTTGCAGTGAACCGAAATCGCACCACTTCACTCCAGCTTAGGTGACAGATCGAGACTCCATTTCAAAAAAAAAAAAAAAAAGAAAGTTACCTGAATAGTCCAGGTGCAGTGGCTCATGCCTAAAATCCCAGCACTTTGGGAGGCTGAGGTGGAAGGATTATTTGAGCCCAAGAGCCCAAGACTAGCCTGAGCAACATCGTGAGACCCCATCTCTACCAGTAATTTAAAAATCAGCCAGATGTGGTACACACCTGTGGTTCAGCTACTTGGGAGGCTGAGGTGGGAGGATCACTTGAGCCTGGGAGACAGAGGCTGCAGTGAGCCATGGTTGAGCCACTGTACTCCAACCTGGGCAACAAAGCAAGACTCTGTCTCAAAAAAAAAAAAAAAAAGGTAACCGTATAAAATTGGGAGGTAATAATTACTGCCCCCTTCCCCCAAGTTAACACTAATGACATTTTTAATATTGGTAATCTTTTTTGAGACAGGGTCTCACTCCTGTTGCCCATCCTGGAATGCAATGGTGCGATCTCGGCTCACTTCAGCTCCTGCCTCCCAGGCTCAAGCGATTCTCCTGTCTCAACCTCCTAAGTAGCTGGGACTACAGGTGCATGCCACCATGCATGCCCAGCTAATTTTTTTTCTTTTTTATTTTTTGTAGAGATGGTGTTTTGGCATGTTGCCCAGGCTTTCATTTTAAGTAGAAATTAGTAAAACGTGGACATCATAATGAAAAGCTAATTCGTTTTCCATAATTGTTCAAATTGACTTCATGAAAGTATTCCTTTTACATGATCTTGGACTGAATGAAAGAATGACTATATAAATGCTTGAGAATTTATCATATGTATTTCTTTCCAGTCCAGCAGGGTGGGATAATGATAAGAAAATAGGAATATTACATGAAAATTTTCAAACATTAAAAGCAGAAGATAATTTTGAAGACATCATAACTAAACCACCTGTTCGAAAGGTAACCATTTTAGTAAATAATCTCAATATTTAGACTTTAGACTAACCTGAGGGGAATTCCATACTTTAAAATTAAATGTAGAAAGGCAAAAATGTCCTTTTCCATCTGGAGGGTTTCTAAGTATAATTTTGGTGTGTTTCTAATGTACAGTTTACATAAGGATTTGTTTTAGCAAAATAGAAATCAGCTATTCAGCTAATTAAATCTTCGCCCTTGGCATATTTATATTAGCAATTGTTAGTGCAGAATCCACATTCTAATATAGTGCTTTGGAAATCAGATTGGCATGAGTGAATATGTGGATCTTACAGAGTTTGAATAGGTAGAAGCTGTGAACTTTCCAACCTAGAGCTTGGCCAAGAGCCAAGAAAACATTGCTAGAATAATTCTGTTGGTTCTATCTATTGAGGCAGGTCTTGGATCTTCTCTCCAGTTAGTTACCCACATTAGCTCACAGCTATCCAAGAACTTTCAATTTTATATATATATATATATATACACACATTTTTTTTTTTTTTTTGAGATGGAGTCTCACTGTGTTACCCAGCCTGGAGTAAAATGGCATGATCTCAGCTCACTGCAACCTCTGCCTCCCAGGTTCAAGCGATTCTGTCGCCTCAGCCTCCCGAGTAGCTGGGATTACAGGCACCCACCATCGTGCCCAGCTAATTTTTTTGTATTTTTGTAGAAATGGGTTTCACCATGTTGGCCAGGCTGGTCTTGAACTCCTGACCTCAAATGATCCGCTCACCTCGGCCTCCCAAAGTGCTGGGATTACAGGTGTGAGCCACTGCACCCGGCCCAGTTTTAGTCTCGACTCTAACATATCAATCTATCCAATCAGATCCCAGAAGATACACTGCTTTCCTATATCTTGACTTCATGCAGTGTATAATGTTCTATAGATAGAGATGTTTCTGAAAGCTCTATAAAAATGAGTATTTGCATAAATAAATTGACTATCCCTAATCTGAAAATCCAAAATGCTCAAAAATCTGAAACACTTTGAGCTCCAACATGACTCTCAAAAGGAAATGCTTATTGAAACATTTTGGATTTTCAGATTACGGATGCTGAACTGATAAGTATTAATGCAAATATTCAGCAATCTGAAACACTTCCACTTCTGGTCGCAAGCATTTCGGATGAAGGATACTCAACTTG
This sequence comes from Homo sapiens, assembly GCF_000001405.40. Lineage (NCBI taxonomy): Eukaryota > Metazoa > Chordata > Mammalia > Primates > Hominidae > Homo > Homo sapiens. The sequence continues at coordinate 32,531,821 of NC_000003.12, read as the reverse complement.
TAGTAGTTCTCACTGACTGACTTTAATCTTGACATATATATCAAGAAAAAATAATTTTTATTTAGCATATAAGAGTCTTCAGAATCCAAACACTCATAATATAAAGCATCCATCTTCTGTTTGTGGGTTATTATTAGTAATAAGAAAAGGTCAAATGAAAAATCAGTTGGTGTGGTATTTGGTTTGGATGTCTATTAAAAGAAATGCATGCATAAAAATAAAATAGCAAAAATATTTCACATTCTTTTATTGAGCATCACCTCAGGCCCTGTTTAGGTTCTAAGTGCTAAATGGGAAGGAGAGTGATACCTATAGTAAACCAATACATAGACATCTGTCAAGTAGTGATAAGTGCTACAGAAATAAAGCAGGATGTAGGGAGAGTGAGCAAGGGGACTGGGCTGTGAGGGATGCTGTATATGAATGATGGGGGAAGGTCTTTGATAAAGGGGGGAGAATGCTGAAGGCAGGGGGAACTAAAAGTGTACATGCCCTGAGGCAGAAATGTATGAGGAAGACAGAGGCAGGAAAGAGCTGTGGGGAAGGTTAAGCTAGTTGATGAGAGGCAGAAGTAAGTTACTGTGGGTCTTTATCATTAGGCTACAGTAAGGACTTTAGGTTTCATTCTGAGTTAGATGGAAAGAGATTGAGAGGTTGAGCAGAGGAGTGATGTAATCTGACTTAACCTTTTAGAAGAATCACTGGCTCCTGGGAAGAAAATAGACTGGGTATGTGTTATACAGCAAGAATAGAAGCAGGAGACTTCTGCAATTCCTTTTCCTAATTATTCAGCTCATAGAAGAGCCATTATATTTTTATTTCAGAGAAACAAGGGAGAAGTTGCATTTCACTTAACTAGGATATTACTGGCCCTTTTAAAACACCCTAACTGCTGTTTAGCAAATTTTATAAGCATGATTAATATGCTTGTGACTCTAGGGTTGTGCTGTTCAATACGGTAGCCACTTGCCTCATATGCCTTTTAAATGTAAAATTAGATAAAATTAAAAATCATTTCCTTAGTCACACTAGCCACATTTCAAGTGCTCAGTAGCCACTGGTGGCTAGTGACTGCCATATTGAACAGCACAGATATAGAATATTTCCAAAACTGTAGCTAGTTACTGGACACCTCTGCTGAAGGCCTTGGGTAGGGCAGCTCACGCATGTGAATATAAATATAGTATAGGTAATGTTCAAATTCTTGAACTGTTTTTTAATTAGTCCAATCTAGAGAATAAATTATTAATTGTGTTAGCATAATATATTAAATTTGCTCATTTGTGCATTGCTCATTTCAGTTTGTACATGAGAAGGAAATTATGGCAGAAGATGATCAGGTGTTTCTTATGAAGCTACAGGTATGAAATTATATCAGAAGCAGACTTAGTATGGTTAATGGGTAAACTGTTCTTGTGTGTATTTTCTTTAAAAATACACCAGTATATGCTATGAATGTCTAAACTAGGATTCTTTTTTTTTTTTTTTTTCAGTCCCTTTTAGCAAAGCAACCACCAACTGCAGCTGGAAGGCCTGTGGTCAGTATTACAAATTTTGACAAAATGATTAAAATGCAGTACATATTATTTTAGTTATTTTTTATTAATTATGTACATATTTCATATGGGTGTGCTTTGATATAAACTTGAATTCAGAATTCTTCTGTAATTTGTGAGATTTTAAAAGTGTAAAGATCTATTTGTAACATTTGTTGTGTGTCAATACTCAGCCATTTATATGTCATTTTACAAATTCTCACAACCGCCTTATGAGGCAGGACTGTTATTAGCCCCATTTTGCAGATGAGGAAATGGGAACCTTAGGGAGGACGTTGTGGCTTGCCTGAGATTATAAAGCTAGTAGAATACAAGTCCAGATTGGAAACCAAGTCTGACTCCCAAGCTTCTAACCATACATCATCACTCAATATGTTCTTTATTTTCTATGAGAGGAAAAATTTGTATGTTAAAATGTGATGGGCCTCTGTCTGGCATTCTCTAATAATGAGGACAGGATTGCTAACAATTTTGTCAATGGCTTGCAGTGTAAAAGTACCAGTAGAACAGGGGATAGTTGCAAAGTAATTTCTTTTTACAATAATAACTTTTGTGAAAATGAAAGTTTCAGGTTTTTATAATTGTATTTTCCTATTTTTACATAGGATGCCTCACCAAGAGTCCCAGGAGGCTCCCCACGAACACCAAATAGATCTGTATCATCTAATGTTGCCAGCGTGTCACCCATTCCTGCTGGGTCAAAAAAAATTGATCCAAACATGAAAGGTACATCTCTTTCTAGGAGATAACAAGACAATACATTTTACAAGAGAAATAAATCTATCTAAAATTCCACCTTTTGCCATAACTATTTTCATTCTTGTGTAATACCTTTTAGGCTTTGTCTCTATGGATATATAATCTCATAGTTAACCAGATTGTAAACCATTTTACAGTGTATTTGTGATGTATCATCATTTCCATGATAAAAGTTTTGTTATATTTAATCAATTTCCTGGTAGATCATTGAAGAAATTCACATTTACACTATAATAAGTAATCTGCAATTAACATAAAGGAAAAAACTATATGCATAATAGTTATTTCTGTAGGAATAATTGCCATAAGTGGGATTAGTAGGTCAAAGAGTTTATGTTTTTATGCCTTTGGATAATATTTTTTCAAATGATTATTCAACTTTGCTTATCATCAACATTGAGTGTTGCAGTTTTACCACAACCTAATTAACATGCTTTAAATACTACCTAATAAGAGTTTTTCCTCTAGTGTTTTCCTTCTATTTGTGTTTCTCTTCTGTGAATTGTTTATTGCTATCATTTGCCCATTTATCTCTGGCAACTTCTACCGGTTTTCATATAGGATTCTGTAACTTTTCCTAATACTTGAGGCAGTTTCTCAACAGTTCTATTTTTAAAGAATCCTTTTCAAAAGGGAGATATATATTAGTATATAACATCTTTTTGTTTAAAATACCTTTGGCCTTTTAAAAATAACATTCTAATTTTTAAATAATTATTTTACACTTAAAGTTTACTCATTAGAGAAATTACTCAGCATCAAAAGATCAAACTAGACTTGAATTTGGAATATAAAACTCTTAAAATTTAAGTTTATTCATTTTCTATGTGTGATTACTGTAATAATAATTTAAGGAAGAATCTTATGTTTTGGCTAAAGCTTTTTGTTTTTTTATTTTTTTATAGCTGGAGCTACAAGTGAAGGCGTTCTGGCAAATTTCTTCAACAGTTTGTTGAGTAAAAAGACTGGCTCTCCAGGAGGCCCTGGTGTGAGTGGTGGTAGCCCTGCAGGTGGGGCTGGAGGTGGAAGCAGTGGTTTACCACCATCCACCAAAAAGTCAGGTATGCTTATGGGAAGCAAGTCACTTGTTTAAAATAACAGCTTTTTTGAGATATAATGAAGTTCACTCATGTAAAGTGTATAATTCTGTGGTTTTGGTATCTTTGCTAAGTTGGGCAGGCCATCACCATAATCTGATTTTAGAACATTTTTATCTCCCCAAAAGAAACCTTGAACCTTCTCTCTTTCCTCTGTGGATTTGTCTATCTGGACATTTCATGTAAATGGAGTCATACAATGTATGGCTTTAACAAATGTTTTTGAAGGTCATACATGTTGTAATATGTATCAATATTTCATTTCTTTTTTTTTTTTTTTTTTTTTTTTTTTTTTTTGAGATGGAGTCTTGTTCTGTTGCCCAGGCTGGAGTGCAGTGGCACGATACTGCAGCCTCCGCCTCCAGGGTTCAAGTGAGTCTCCTGCCCCAGCCTCCTGAGTAGCTGGGATCACAGGCACCTGCCACCATGCCTGGCTAATTTTTGTATTTTTAGTAGAAACGGTGTTTCACCGTGTTGGCCAGGCTGGTCTCGAATTCCTGGCCTCAAGTGATCCTCCCACCTCAGCCTCCCAAAGTGCTGGGATTACAGACATGAGCCACCATGCCTGGCCTTCATTCCTTTTTAATTGCTGAATAATATTTCATTATATGGCTATACCACATTTCATTTATCTGTTTACTGGGTAATGGACATCTGAGTTTCATCTACTTTTTGACTATTATTAATATGGTGCTGCTTTGAACATCCGTTTTTGTGTGGATATTTGTTTGTAATTCTCTTGGGTAAATACCTAAGTGGAATTATTGGGTTGTGTAGTAACTCGGTTTAAACAAAGGTTTTGAAGGACTGCCAAAATGTTTTCCAAAATGCTGTATCATTTTAAATTGTCATCAGCAGGTTAGGAAAGTTCGTTTCTCCATATCCTTGCCACATTTTTATTGTCATCTGTTGTTACCACTCATTCATCTTCTCTAGATGCTACATTTTTGTTGCTATTTTCTGTTTTACCGTTCTTATTGTCCTATGCCTTAAAAAAAAAAACCTTTATGAGATTAAATGATAGGTGCCAGTTATACCTCCATTTGGTAACAGATCCACAATTTAAAATGAGGGAATTTGTTTTTTCTTGAAATTTATATTATTTTTATTTTTTAGACAGAGTCTCACTCTGTTGTCTAGGTTGGAGTGCAGTGGTGTGATCTCAGCTCACTGCAACCTCCACCTGCCGGGTTCAAGCAGTTCTCCTGCCTCAGCCTCCCAAGTAGCTGGGATTACAGCAGGGTTTCACCATGTTGGCCGGGCTGGTCTCGAACTCCTGACTTGAAGTGATCCTCCCACCTTGGCCTCCCAAAGTGCTGAGATTACAGGCGTGAGCCACCACACCCAGCTTGAAATTTTTAAATTAAGTGTTGTTTGTATAACTTAGTGTGCTAAATAAAGTTAATGAAAGTGTTAGGACTTTTTAAATGAAGAGATATTGGTGAAAACGATACTTTCACTTATATCTAAATCTTGTTTTTTTTCTTTTTCTTCAATGTAGGCCAGAAGCCTGTCTTAGATGTTCATGCAGAACTAGACAGAATTACACGAAAACCAGTTACAGTTTCTCCCACAACACCTACATCTCCTACGGAAGGAGAAGCTTCTTGAAGATACCAAATAAAGCCATTTATTCTGTTTTCTGGGATAATGTAAACATGCCTCTGCCTTTTCCTTCAAAAGTGGAATTAGAAAGCTGGAGTGCTTCTTCAGATGGACTAAATTTATGTCGTGTGTGTGTGTGTGTGTGTGTGTGGTTACCCATTTTTTAGAAGGAGCCGTACAGAAGAAAAATTATTCTACATTATGTAGGATTGCTGTTTGCATTGCCATTTTGCATAAGAAAGTAATTTTTGATTTTGAAAATCTCAAAACTTTTAGATCTGAAATACAGCCATGTGATCGATCATATTCTAAAGGCTATTTAAAACATGTAAAAGGATTTGGGGAACGGCAGAAAACATGCAGTTTGGGCATTTGACTGACTTGGAAGTCTAAGCTTATTTTAGTTATAACTATTAAAATCATTTTTAAAAATTTGTTAGTTTTGCTGACAGAGAAAAATCGTCAGTTGTCAGATTTTGCACACCACAATAAATGTACCACCACACACGGAATATGCTAAGAAAACTATCAGATAGCGTTTGATACACTAGTCATTGTCTCAATCACTGATCCTGTAAGTTGTCATCAAAATATGATTTAGAAATATTGGCCAAGGTGTTGCTTTAACTGAGGAGAAAAGAAAGCACACTGCCTAAATGTGTAAAAGAAAAATGCAGAGGTTATTAAAATGTAAAGAAGTAACAATCTTTGGATTTGTCTATACATATATATATATATATATGGCTTTGCCTTAATATACCCCCTTTTTTGTTTGTGACTTTCAACTGTAATCAGTTAATAAAGTATTTATTCTCTGCATTCAGGTTCAAATAACTTGTTGCATTCTCTTATGTTTAAATTTACATGTGTCAGCTAATAAATGAGATTCATTAGTACAGTCATCCCTTGGTATCCATGAGGGATTGGTTCCAGGACCTGCCTCAGGTACCAAAATCTACAGATGCCCAAGTCCCAGATATAAAATGGTGTAGTATTTGCATATAACATTCACATCCTCCTGTTTACTTTAAATCATCTCTAGATGATAATACCTAATTCACTGTAAATGCTATGTATATACTTATACTGTATTGTTCAGAGGAAAATAACAAAAAAAGTGCCTGTTTAGATGCAACTTTTTTTTCAAATATTTTCCTTCTGTGATTGGTTCAATCCATGGATATGGAACCCACGGATACAGAGGGCTGACTAATTTAAAATTTTCGACCTAATTAATAATATAATTATTAAGCTTTCTGACCTAAGAGATAAACGAATACACACGTGCATGTATATGAGGATAAAATGGTGTTCATGGGCATACAAAAATTTATGAAAACATTTTATCTGATAAAATATTTGAGATAAACAATGCCAGTGATAAAATCTTTAGTCCAGAAAGGGTTCTGCAAAAAGGGTGGTGTAGATTCTCTCTAAATCAGTACTCGATGAAGTAAGTGGAACTAATGGAAAAAGGAAAACTGCTGACAGTATTTGGTGTACTTGGATATATCTGCTACCTTGTTTGCATGCATAAACCAACTCATTCTGTGTGTGTGAGACATTGAATGTGTACTAGAAAATCCTTGAAATTAATTGAGTTGTTACTTCAGTTTACTGTAATTGTTCACTCTGGGATTTAGTTTAATCTTAAGACCTTGCATAGATCATGTTTAAATCTGAAAGCTTCACGCCTGTAATCCCAGCACTTTGGGAGACCGAGGCGGGTAAATCACGAGGTCAGTTCAAGACCAGCCTGGCCAACATGGTGAAACCCCGTCTCTACTAAAAATACAAAAAATTAGCTGGGCATAGTGGTGGGCGCCTGTAATCCCAGCTGCTTGGGAGGCTGAGGCAGGAGAATCGCTTGAAGCTGGGAGGCCGAGGTTGCAGTGAGCCGAGATCCCACCACTGCACTTCAGCCCCAGTGACAGTGAGACTCCATCTCAAAAAAAAAAACAAAACCTGAAACCTATTTTTGTACAATTTTTTGCAAGGAAATTTGTTTTAAAACTTTGTTTTTAAGCAAACTTTATTGAAGTATACAATACAGAAAAAATGTACAAGTGTATGGTTTGAAGTATCACAAAGTGACCACATATAACCAGCACCAAAATAAGCAACAGAACATTACCCAGCACTTACAGAAGCTTCGAGTGTGCCCCCTCAATCAGTATCCCCACCCACCAAGTAACCACTGCGTAACTTACAAATATGCAGATAAGTTTGGCTTATTTTTAAGCTTTATAAAAATTGAATCTTACAGAGTTAATATTATTTTAGTGCCAGGTATCTTTCAATATCAGGTTTGTGGTTCATCCATTTTGTTGCATTTATCAATAGTTACTGCAGTATATTATTCCATTGTGCAAATATAGTATCTATTATGCTATAGATGTGTATGTATTAATTTCCTGTTACTGCAGGAAATTACCACAGATTTGGTTGCTTAAAACCTTACAAATTTATTATTTTACCATGCTGGAGGTTAAAATTCCAAAATAAGCCTCACCTGGTTAAAATGAAGTGTCAGCAGAGCTGGCTTTTTTTATTATTATTATTATTTTGAGGCTCTAGAAGAGTATCTGTTGTCTTTTTTTTTTTTTTTTTTTTTTTTTTTGAGACGGAGTCTTGCCCTGTTGCCCAGTCTCGAGTGCAGTGGTGCGATCTCGGCTTACTGCAAGCTCCGCCTCCCAGGCTCACGCCATTCTCCTGCCTCAGCCTCCCGAGTAGCTGGGTCTACAGGCGCCCGCCAGCACGCCCGGCTAATTTTTTGTATTTTTAGTAGATACAGGGTTTCACCATGTTAGCCAGGATGGTCTTGATCTCCTGACCTCATGATCCGCCCTCCTCCGCCTCCTAAAGTGCTGGGATTACAGGCGTGAGCCACCGCGCCCGGCCAAGTATCTGTTGTCTTTCTGGCATCTAGAAGCTGCCTGCATTCTTTGGCTCTTGGCCCCTTCTCCAAAGCCAGCAGCCTAGCATCTTCAACTCTGCATCCATCACATCACTTTCATTCTGACCTCCCTGCCTCCCTGTTGTAAGGACTGAAGTGATTAAATTGGCCCCCCCTGAATAATTCCGTATACTCTCCCTCCACACTTTAAATATTTCACTGCACTCTCTTGCTTGCATTGTTTCTGAAAAGGAATCAGATGAATTTCTTATGTTTGCTCCTCTAGAGGATATTTTTTCCTCTGGCTTCTTTCAAGACTTTTTCTTTAATTTTCTGTAATTTGAATATGATATGCCTAGGTGTAGGGTTTTTTTTTTTCATTTATTTTTCATTTTATTTTATTATTTTATTAATTTTATTTTATTTTTTGAGACAAGTTCTCACTCTGTTGCTCAGGCTGGAGTGCAGTGACTCAATCAGGGCTCACTACAACCTCTGCCTCCCAGGCTCAAGCAATCCTCCCAGCTCAGCCTCCCTAGTAGCTGGGGCTACAGGCATGCGCCACCACACCCAGCTAATTTTTGTATTGTTCGTGGAGACAGGGTTTCACCGTGTTGTTCAGGCTGGTCTCAGACTCCTGGGCTCAAGCAATCCTCTTGCCTCGACCTCCCAAAGTGTTGGGATTACAGGTGTGAGCCACCGCACCCAGCCCATTTATCTTTCTTAATGCTTCCTGAACTTCATGGATCTGTAGTTTGGTGTAACATTAATCTGGGGAAATTCTCAGTCATTGCTTCAAATATTTATTTTGTTCCTTTCTTCTCTTGGTATGCCTATTATCTACATGTTACACCGTTTGGACTTGCCCCACAGTTCTTGCACATTTTGTTCCTTTGTGTGCGTGTGTGTCTGTTTTTTCTTTGCTTTTCAGTTTTGGAAGTTGCTATTGACGTGTCCTCCAGCTCAGCAATTCTTTCCTCAGCTTAGCGATTCTCTCCTTCAATCCAGTCTGCTAGTGAGCCCATCAAAGGCATTCTTTGTTAGCTTTTTCTTAATCTCTAGCATTTCTTTTTGATACGCTCTTAGACTTCACCTCTCTGCTTAACATTACCCATCTGTTCTTGCATGTTGTCTACTTTTTCCACTAGAGTCCTTAGCGTATTAGTCATAGTTGTTTTAAATTCATGGTCTGATAATTCCAACATCGCTGCTATATCCCAGTCTGGTTCTGATGCTTGCTCTGTCTTCAAACTGTTTTTTGTATGCTTCGTACTTTTTTATTAACAGCTGGATATGATGTACAGTAAAAGGAACTCTGGTAAGTAGTCATTTAGCGGTATGGGGGGAGAGGAAGCTTTCTGTATTTGTATGATAAGGTCTCAGTTTTAGCAAGCCTGTGCCCCTGGGATGTAAACTTCACAAGTGCTTTTCAGTACCCCCACCCCCTTTAGGTGGGACAGGATGTCTAGAAGGGGCTGGAGTTAGGTGTTTCCCTTCCACCAGGTTGATTTGGCTCTGATAAAACCTCAACAGGTAAGGCTGTGGCAGAATCATTTTTCTTGAGGACAGGCCTTGTTAAGAACAGAATGCTCTGGCATATTTCAAAATGGTTACTTTCCCCCTCCCTTGCCAGAAGCACGAGAGATCTTCATGGTGAAATCTTCACTCTGATCTTCACGGTGAGAACCTGGGAGAGCTCCTAGAGGTAAAACTCACAAAGTGTGGGGACCCTCTTATGACTGGGTGTTTGTAGAATTATTAACTCACACACTTACCCAAACTGAACCTCTGGGCAATTCATCAATTACAATTCAGATTCCTCTGTCCCAGTACTGGTTCCCATGGAGGTGTATGCCCAGTGATTTCTGCTCCGGTAAGTTGTGATTCTGTGTCACCTGTCTGTCTCCAATTTGGGAGGCAGTGGTTTGCCCTGTGACCATTTCTCCCACAGCTCTACTGCTTTTTCTTTTTTTTTTTTTCAGACGAAATTTTGCTCTTGTTGCCCAGGCTGGAGCGCAATGGCATGATCTTAGCTCACTGCAACCTCCGCCTCCCGGGTTCAAGCGATTCTCCTGCCTCAGCCTCCCGAGCAGCTGGGACTACAGGCACCTGCCAACATGCCCAGCTAATATTTGTATATTTAGTAGAGATGGGGTTTCACCATGTTGACCAGGCTTATCTTGAACTCCTGACCTCAGGTGATCCACCCGCCTCGGCCTCCCAAAGTGCTGGGATTACAGGTGTGAGCCACCGCGCCCTGACAGCTCTACTTAGGACAAAGTGATGACCTCAAAACTCCTTACATGCTGACTGGAAATCTTATTTACCCCCCTCAAGATCCTCAGTCATATCTGCAAAGTCTCTGCCAAGTCAGGTAAAATTTGCAGGTTCCAGGGATTTGAATGTGGACATTTTTGGGGGCACTGTTACTCAGCCTAACCACAGGATGTCTGGGTGATTTTCAGTCTTTCAATTGTTATTACGAATGATGCTGTTGTAAACACTGTTGAATATGTTTGATGGAAAACGTGTTTTCATTTCTGTTGGGTGTTTATGCAGGAGTGGATTATTGGGTCCATAGGTTATATATGTTTTCAACCTTAGCAGATAAAGCCAAAGTTTTTCCAAAGTGGTTTTAAGAATTCCCATTCTTGGGGGGAAATATTTGCAATCATAGATCTGAGAAAGGCCCAGTATCCAGAATATATAAAGAACTCTTACAATTCAATAACAAGATAGCCCAATTTAAAGATGGGCAAGGGATTTGAAGAGGCACTTCTCCAAAGAAGTTATAAAAATGCAAAATAAGCGTATGAAAAGATACTTAACATCTTTAGTTATTGGGAATATGAAAATAAAAACCACAATAAGATACCACTTCACAACCACTAGGATGGCTAAAATAATAAGTGTTGGTGAGGACTTGAAGAAACTGGAACCCCCATCCATTGCTGGTGGGAGTGTAAAGTGGTGCAACTGCTTTGGGAAACAGTTTAGTGGTTCTTCATAAGGTTAAATGTTACCATATGACCCAGCCATTCCATGTCAAGGTTTATACTAATCACAAATGAGAACATATGTCCTCACAGAAACTTGTATACAAATGTGTACAGCAGCATTATTCATAATAGCCAAAAGGCAGAAGCAACCCAAACATCTATCAACAGACAGACAGATAAATGAAATGACATATCCATACAATAAAATATTATTCAGCCATGAAAAGAAATGGAGTGTTGATGTATGCTACAACATGAATGAACCCTGAAAACATGTTAAGTCAAAGAAGCTAGTCACAAAAAGCCATATTGTGTGATTTCATTTATGTGAAATATCTAGAACAGCAAATCTGCTGAGACAGAAAGTAGATTAGTGGGTTGCTAGAAGGTAGAGGAAGGAGGAAATGAGGAGTGGCTGCTAGTGGGGTTTATTTGGGGGGTAAGGAAAGTACTCTAGAATTACATAGTGGTGGTAGTCGCACAATCTTGTGAATATACTAAAAACTACTGACTTGTACACTTCAAAAGGGTGAATTTTGGGCCAGGCGCTGTGGCTCACGCCTGTAATCCCAGCACTTTGGGAGGCTGAGGCGGGTGGATCACGAGGTCAGGAGATCGAGACCATCCTGGCTAACACAGTGAAACCCCGTCTCTACTAAAAATACAAAAAATTAGCTGGGTGTGGTGGCACGCACCTGTAGTCCCAGCTACTCGGGAGGCTGAAGCAGGAGAATCGCTTGAACCCGGGAGGCGGAGGTTGCAGTGAGCTGAGATCATGCCACTGCACTCCAGCTTGGGCAACAGAGTGAGACTCCATCTCAAAAAAAAAAAAAAGTGAATTTTATGTGAATTATATATAATTTTTTAAAAAAGAATTTCCATGACTTACCAGCAACATGAGAGTTGCAGTTGCTCCACATCCTTGTCTACACAAACTATTGACTGTCTGCAGTTTTAGACATTCTGCAGATGTATGGTAGGATCTTGTGGTTTAAATTGTGTTTCCTTGATAACTAATGAAGTTAAGCATATTTCATGTGTACTGGCCTTTGGATATCCTCTTTTGTAAAGTACTTGTTTAAGAGTCTTGTCCTTTTTGGAGGCGGAGGGGGCGACTGTATGACTTTTTCTTATTTATTTATTTTTTTAAGACGGAGTTTCGCTCTTGTTGCCCAGGCTGGAGTGCAATGGCGTGATTTCGGCTCACCACAACCTCTGCCTCCTGGGTTCAAGCGATTCTCCTGCTTCAGCCTCCCAAGTAGCTGGGATTACAGGCATGAACCACCATGCCAGGCTATTTTGTATTTTTAGTAGAGATGGGGTTTCTCCATGTTGGTCAGGCTGGTCTTGAACTCCTGACCTCAGATGATCCACCTGCCTCGGCCTCCCAAAGTGCTGGGATTACAGGTGTGAGCCACTGTGCCTGGCCTGACTTTTTCTTATCGTCTCATTCTTTTTCCGTCCTTCCTTCCTTCCTTCCTTCCTTCCTTCCTTCCTTCCTTCCTTCCTTCCTTCCTTCCTCCCTCCCTCCCTCCCTCTCTCTCTCTCTTTTTCTTTCTTTCTTTCTTTTTTACAGAGTCTCACTCTGTTGCCCAGGCTGGAGTGCAGTGGTGTGATCTCGGCTTACTACAACCTCCACTTCCCAGATTCAAGCGATTTTTGTGCCTCAACCTCCTGAGTAGCTGGGATTCCAGGCATGCACCACCACACCTGGCTAATTTTTGTATTATTAGTAGAAATGAGGTTTCGCCATGTTGGCCATGCTGGTCTCGAACTCCTGACCTCAGGTGATCTGCCCACTTCAGCCTCCCAAAGGGTTGGAATTACAGGCGTGAGCCACCACACCCAGCCTTGTCTCATTCTTTACATATTCAGAATACTGCTTCCAGTCAGGTATGTATTGCAAATATCTTTTTCTACTCTGTGGTTTCCCTTTTCACTCTTATTGGTGTCTTTTGATGAATACAAGCTACTGATTTCAATATAGCTCAATTTATCAGCTTTTCTTTATGGTTATTGCTTTCATAACCTGTTTTTAAGAAGTCTTTGCCAGCTGGGCATGGTGGCTTACACCATAGTCCCAGCACTTTGGGAGGCCAAGGTGGGAAGATCACTTGAGCCAACTTGAGCCAAGGAGTTTGAGACCAGCCTGGGCAATACAGTGAGACCTCATCTCTACCAAAAATTTAAAAATTAACTGGGCATGGTGGCATGAGCCTGTAGTCCCAGCTACTCTGGAGGCTACAAGGAGGATCACTTGAGCCCAGGAAGTAGAGGTTGCAGTGAGCCATGTTCACGCCACTGCAGTGCAGCCAGGACAACAGAGCAAGATCCTGTCTCAAAAAAAAAAAAAGGCCTTTGCTAGCCCCAAAGTCATAAAGATATTCTATGATTTCATTTTTCTATGAGCTTTATTGTTTCACATTTCTACAATCCACTTGGAATTGATTTCTATGCATAGTGTGAAATAGGGGACAACATTCATTCTTAAAATGCAAATGTTCATTTAATCCAATGCCACTGTTAGAAAAAAAAAAACCAAAAAAACCATCCTTTCTTTACCATTCTGCAGTGCTATCTTGGTCACAATTTGACTGTTTATTTATGCAAACATCTATTTCTGGGCTTTTGAACCAATTAGTCAATTGCCACAGAAATTCTGGCATTTTTATTGGGATTGCATTGAGGATAACAATTTGGGGATAAATGTTACTTCGTTTTTGTTTTTTTTTTTTTTTGAGACAGAGTCTCGCCCTGTCGCCCAGGCCGGAGTACAATGGTGCGATCTCGGCTCATTGCAACCTCCACCTCCTGGATTCAAGCAATTCTCCTGTCTCAGCCACCCTAGTAGCTGGGATTACAGGTGCCCGCCACCACGCCCAGCTAATTTTTGTATTTTTAGTAGAGACGGGGTTTCACCATGTTGGCCAGGCTGGTCTCAAACTCCTGACCTCGTGATCTGCCCACCTCAGCCTCCCAAAGTGCTGGGATTACAGGCGTGAGCCACTGCGCCCTGCTGATAACTGTTATCTTTACAACATCGCCAAACTATGCACAGAATAGTCTTCCATTTATTATATATAGGTTTTTTTTCAGTTTCTCTTAGCAATGTTTGTAGTTTTCAGTGTGTACTCTTGTGTCTCCTTTTCGTTGCTTTTTGGGAGAGTATTTGGTTTTGATGGTATTATAAAATAAGATCCTTCTAAGATTTCTTTTTTTTTTTTTTTTTGAGACGGAGTTTGGCTCTCTTGTCACCCAGCCTGGAGTGCAATGATGCAATCTCGGCTCACTGCAACCTCTGCCTCCTGGGTTCAAGCAATTCTCCTGCCTCAGCCACCCGAGTAGCTGGGATTACAGGTGCCTGCCACCACGCCTGGCTAATTTTTGTATTTTTAGTAGAGACGGGTTTCACCAGGTTGGCCAGGCTGGTCTCGAACTACTGACCTCAGGTGATCCACACTCCTCGGCCTCCCAAAGTGCTGGGATTACAGGCGTGAGCCACCACACACGGCCTAAGATTTCATTTTACTTTGTTGCTCATATATATAAATACAGTTTTCATGTTGATTTCATCCAGCAACTTTACCTCCATTTATTTTATTTTATTTTTATTTTTTTGAGATGGAGTCTCCCTGTGTCGCCCAGGCTGGAGTGCAATGGTGCAATCTCAGCTCACTGCAACCTCCACTTCCCTGGTTCAAGTGATTCTCCCACCTCAACCTCTCGAGTAGCTGGGATTACAGGTGTCCGCCATCATGCGTGGCTAATTTTTGTATTTTTAGTAGAGACCGGGTTTTGCCATGTTGGTCCGGCTGGTCTTGAACTCCTGACCTCAAGTGATCCACTCGCCTCAGCCTCCCAAAGTGCTGGGATTAGCTACTCAGGAAGCTGAGGCAGGAGAATCGCTTGAACCCAGGAGGAGGAAGTTGCAGTGAGCTGAGAGATCACGGCACTGCACTCCAGCCTGGGCAACAGAGTGAGACTCCGTCTCCAAAAACAAACAAACAAACAAAGTGCTGGGATTACAGGCGTGAGCCACCACACCGGGCCACCTCTTCATTTATTAATGTAATGGTTCGCCTGTAATTTATTTTGGATTTTTCTACCTGTAGTTATGTAATCTGCAAATAATGACTTTTATCTCTTCCTTTGTAATGTCTTCTTGTTTATTACACCTATACTTCAATACAGATTATTATAGAACTGGTGAGAGGAAACATCTTTAATTGTTCCCCATCCCAGAGTAAAAACTTTCAATATTTCACCATTAAGTATATTTGCTGCGTGCTTTCTGTAGAGACTCTATCAAAAAAGGAAGTACTCTCAGATGAGAACAGGTCCTGGCAAAAAAAAAAAAAAAAAAAAAAAAAAAAAAGGAAGTGCTCTTTTTCTGTTGTTATTTGTCTGAGACGGAGTTTCACTCTTGTTGCCCAGGCTGGAGTGCAGTGGCGCAATCTCGGCTCACTGCAACCTCCGCCTTCCGGGTTCAAGCAATTCTCCTGCCTCGGCCTCCCGAGTAGCTGGGACTACAGGCATGTGCCACCACACCGGGCCAATTTTGTATTTTTAGTAGAGATGAGGTTTTTCCATGTTGGTCAGGCTGGTCTCCAACTCCCGACCTCAGGTGATCCGCCCACTTCAGCTTCCCAAAGTGCTGGGATTACAGGCGTGAGCCACTGCGCCCCACCTGGAAGTGCTTTTTTTCTAGTCAGTTTATGCTATGAGTTTTATCATGAATGGGTGTTTAATTTTATCAAATGCTGTCTTCATCTATAGAGATTATTTTCTTTTTTTCTATTAATGGTATGAGTACCTTACCTTTTTTTTTTTTTTTTTTTTTTTTTGAGATGGAGTCTCCCTCTGTCCCCCAGACTGGAGGGCAGTGTTGCTATCTCGGCTCACTGCAAGCTCCGCCTCCCGGGTTCACACCATTCTCCTGCCTCAGCCTCCCGGCAGCTGGGACCACAGGCACCCCCCCCCATGCCCGGCTAATTTTTTGTATTTTTAGTAAAGACCGGGTTTTACCGTGTTAGCCAGGATGGTCTCGATCTTCTGACCTCGTGATCCGCCTGCCTCGGCCTCCCAAAGTGCTGGGATTACAGGCGTGAGCCACCGCTCCCGGCCTACATTACCTTTTAAAATATTAAGCCAGCCAGGCGCAGTGGCTCACGCCTGTAATCCCAGCACTTTGGGAGATCGAGACAGGCAGATCACGAGGTCAGGAGATCGAGACCATCCTGGCCAACACGGTGAAACCCCATCTCTACTATAAATACAAAAATTAGCCGGGCATGGTGGCGGATGCCTGTAGTCCCAGCTACTCAGAAGGCTGAGGCAGGGGAATCACGTGAACCTGGGAGGTGGAGGTTGCAGTGAGCTGAGATGGTGCCACTGCACTCCAGCCTGGGCAACAGAGTGAGACTCCGCCTCAAAAAAAAAAAAAAAAAAAATTACGCCACCTTTGTATTCCTGGAAAAACCCCTATGCTGATCTTAATATATTAGTTGTATTGTATTCCTGATTTTGATTTGCTAACTTTTTTTAGAATTTTGCATTATGCTCCTGAGAAAGCCTAACCTGTAATTTTCATTTCCCCTAATGTTTTTGTCAGTGTTTTTTATCAATATTATGTTGACTTCATAAAACAATTCTGTTTGTGTTCTTTGTAAAGAGTTCATGTAAGATTGCTGTAGTACCTGTCAAATTTGTTTCTGTAGAATGATCAAATGTCACTTTATAAATCCCCTCATGGAACTGAATAATGAACCAAATGGTAATATCCACTATAGTTTTCTCACTTGGGGGCTTTCATTTAGACAGAAATTACTAGCTGTCTAAACTGGCAGAATCCCAGAATATGGGAGTTCTTCCTTCATGTAACAGTTACTAATGTTTTTACTAAATAGATGTTCCCCATGCTGAAATAAGATTGTAGAAAATGATGCCAGCCAATTCCTGCTGAATGTATAAGACTTATCCTGTGATCATTATCATTTTATAAAATTATAGGAAAAATGAGTGAATATTTCATTATAATAGGTTAAACTTTAATAAACCCTAGGGAGAAATTCAAGCTATGTATAGTATAGGATAATTTGCTAGAATTCTCACCTCTTCTTTCTTGAGCCACGTGGCCTAGTAAATGGCTAAGACATATGAATACCTTATTTGGAAACATCCCGAAGTATAATTCTAAACTGATTATAGGGGTGTGGTTTGGTTGAGGAAAATCATGACTATTATGTTAAGAAACTTCATCTATTATAGTTTAAGGCAGCAGGTAGCAAAATTGGCTTATATGAGGAATTATTTAAAACATTTGGACAATTCTTGTGTCAAATAGGAACAATGTTTAAAAGAAAAATGAAAAAGTGTTTATGTTCATTGCCTAGTAATTTCTTGGGCATCTTATACCAGGAAATGTCAGGAATAGCTGACACTGTATTCTCTTAAGTAACAGGGACATGGCAGGAACGAACACCAGCAACTTTTGGTTTTACTAATTTACCAAATTGTAATCCATACATATAATTAAAAATATGTGGTTATTAATGTGAAGAGGTGCTTGGAATTCAAGGATATTTTAAAAGATATCTCTATTTTACTTGGCTAGACTTAAAAAAATTTTTAACGTATTTCTCAATCAGCTGAAGATAGAGAGTAGATGGCAATAGTCATACTTTGAGAAATTGCAGATACACACACACAAAATACTTTGAGAAATTAGGGATACACACACACAGAGCACGAGAGAGAGAGAGAGACAGAGAGGGAGAGAATTATAAACACATATACACATTTGGTCACACTATATCACCACAGTCTTTTTAGAATTAGTTGGTAACAACTCTTTTCCATCTTATCTTGGGTTAGGAATATTTTTTAAAACTTAAATACAGTAATTCTCAAATTTTTTGGTCACAGGACTTCTTTGCACTCCTACTTGTTAAGGACCCCAAAGAGCTTTTGAAAATGTTTGTAATATTCATTTATATTTACCATATTGGAATAAAACTTAAACATTTTAAATATTAGTTCATTTATAAATAACAAATAATTTTTATGGGTTAACATAAATAACATTTTTAATGGAATATAACTTTCCCCAAACAAACAAAAAAGTATTGAAAATAATGTCATTGTTTTATATTTTTGTAAATCTCTTTAATGTCTTGCGTGATAGAAGAACAGCTGCATTCTCATATTTGCTGCATTCAATTTTATGTGTTACGTTGTTTTGGTTGAATTCTATAAAGAAAATCCAGCTTCACAGATATGTAGGTGGAAAAGATAGGAATATTTTAATAGCTTTTCCAAATAATTGTGAATTTTCTTTTTTGAGGCTAAAACTTGACAAGTGTTAGTTTTTTAAGGATTAAATGTAGTGTGGAATCCATTGGTCTATCCTACTCTTTTAAAAAAATTTTTTTAAATTTTAATTTTAATTTTTTTTGAGACAGCTCTGTCACCCAGGCTGGAGTGCAGTGGCTCCATCTCAGCTCACTGCAACCTCCACCTCCTAGGCTCAAGCGATCCTCCCACCTCAGCCTCCAGAGTTGCTGGGACTTCCAGGGCACATCATCACACCCAGCTAATTTTTTTTTGTATTTTTTTGTAGAGATGGGGTTTCACAATGTTGCCCAGGCTGGTCTTTAACTCCTGGACTGAAGTGATCCACCTGCCTTGGCCTCACAAAGTGCTGGGATTACAGGCGTCAGCCACCGCACCTGGTCCTATCCTACACTTTGAATAGATTGTTACCCCTATGTGAGTTTGTAACATCAATTTATTGATCTTTTAGAAAATATCAGTTTACTGAGTTTCAAGGATCTTCCAAGTATTGATATTTCATTAAAAAAATCACACAAAAAAGGATCTTCCAAATATTGACATTTCTTCAAAAAAATCACACTGTAGCCTGACATGGTGGTGCACACCTGTAGTCCCAGCTACTCAGGAGGCTGAGATGCGAGGACCACTTGAGCCTAGGAGTTTGAGACCAGCCTGGGCAACATAGGGAGACTCTGTCTCAAAAAAAAAAAAAAAAAAAAAAAAAAAGGCCCATTTGTTAATATTACTACTAATCTCACTAGAAAAGTCTAAGTGTTGGGAAGCTATCAAGCTCACTGGTTACATACAAGTGTTCCAAAATGCTAATTTTATTGGAAAGTTCAAATGTTATGAATGGCAACAAATGCTGTCAGTTGTATTCCTTGTATTGACAGGCTTATTTTGTTCATTTTTGAGAAAATGTCTGCCAAATACCTAAATCTGGAAACCTGTTCTTTCAAGTAAGATGGTGAAAAAAGTGGCTAGTTTTGCTTACTTATAACTCAATAGCACCAGTTCTTCTCCTAGAGCTGCCATTGTCACTCAGCATGCAGCAGAAATGCTATAGGTGTACTTCCTATCTTATCACATACAATTGTAAAAGGACTGGTACTAAATGACTGCAATGTAACAAAATTAATCATTTACTTGTTCATCAAGGGAATTTTTTAAGTGAAACTGGCTTTATTTTTTCCCATGTAGTGGTGAAGAATACAATGACTACAAATAGAGTTTGGCACCACTGCCTTGTTTTGTGCTACGGTGCTGGCAGTTTTACTCCACTAGCAGTGCAAACAAATGTCCTCAGTGAAAAAGGCAAATGACTTCTTAGTAGTCTTTTGAAAATAGTCTACTTTACAGAACCTCTGTAAGGAACCCCTGGTGGTGTACAAAAAAATACAAAAATTAGCTGGGTGTGCGTGCCTATAGTCCCAGCTACTCAGGAGGCTGAGGCAGGAGGATGGCTTGAGCCCGGGTGTAGGAGGTTGCAGTAAGCTGAGATCAAGCCATTGTACTCCATCCAGCTCTGGGCGACAAAGCAAAACCCTGTCTTGGCCGGGCGCGGTGGCTCACGCCTGTAATCCCAGCACTTTGGGAGGCTGAGGCAGGCAGATCACAAGGTCAGGAGATCGAGACCATCCTGGCCAACATGGTGAAACCCCATCTCTACTAAAATACAAAAAATTAGCCGGGTGTGGTGGCACGTGCCTGTAGTCCCAGCTACTCGGGAGGCTGAGGCAGGAGAATCGCTTGAACCTGAGAGGCAGAGATTGCAGTGAGCCGAGGTTGCGTCCCTACACTCCAACCTGGCAACAGAGCAAGATTCTGTCTCAAAAAAAAAAAAAAAAAAAAAGACATGAACAGACAAATCAAAAATAACATAAAAATGGCCCTTGATATGAAAATATGTTCAGCTTTCCTCATGGGAGAAGTACACATTAAAACTACACTGAGGCCGGGCGCGGTGGCTCATACCTGTGATCTCAGCACTTTGGGAGGTCAATGCTAGTGGATCAGTTCAGGTCAGGAGTTCGAGACCAGCCTGGCCAACATGGTGAAACCCTGTCTCTACTAAAAATGCAAAAATTAGTCGGGCGTGGTAGTGCATGCCTGTAGTTCCAGCTACTTAGGAGGCTGAGGCAGGAGAATTGCTTGAGCCGGGAAGGCAGAGGTTGCAGTGAGCCAAGATCATGCCATTGCACTCCAGACTGGGTGACAGAGGGAAAGTCTGTCTCAAACAAAGAAAAAAAAACTACACTGAAATATTATTTCTCCCTATCAGAATGAAAAAAATTCAAAGGCTTGACCACAGTGTTGGAGAGGCAATGGAGAAATACATGCACTCCTTCACTGCTCGAGGGAGTGCCAAATAGTATATAGCCTCTAGTGAATGAAATTTGCAGTTTAACAAAATTGCATATGCCTACTCAGTAATCACATGCCTAGGAACTGACCCTAAAGATACAAAAGTAATACAAAAGTATTATTCACAATATAAAAGTAACATTCACAGATTTATTCACCATTTGTAATTGCAAAATAGTGGGAACAACCTAAATGCGTATGGATAGGAAACTGGCTAAATAAACTGTGACATAGCTGCATGATGGAGTAACTACAATTTTTTTCAAATGAAATTGATTTCTATGAACTGATATAGAGTAACTTCTAGGATGTATTGATAAATGAAAATAAAAAGTACTAATATATATGTAACACACATACCCATCTGTATCTGTCCCTTTCCACTAAAGAAACACAGGAAAGATAACCAGAAACTAACAAAATTTGTTACTTACAGTGGAGGGGTGGGTGGGAATCAGGTGGAAGGCATAGAGACTGAGTGACATTTCTCTAAGTGAACCTTTTTGTATGTTTCTACTTTTGAAACCTTTATCAATGTTTCATATTTTCAAAAAATAAAATTTAATCAATAATGAAGACAAAACCTGTAAGATTGATTGTATGACCTGCAATGGCACTCATTATGAGGTTAGACTTTGTGTTAGGGCTGCCTGGGGATGACAGGGTCTCCCTGCAATCCAAATTCCAAATTGGACCCCACCCTTTCCCTTCCCCAGGCACTCAGAAGCTCCTTCCTTTCTTTATCACATCCCTCACTCACGTGGTCAAACTGTCCTGGACTAAAATAACCAAATAATGATGGAAGCAAGGAGGTTAAGTGACACACAATCTTTTCCCCTAATGACACCTAAGAACTAACCCTGCACTGGTGAGTGCAGAAGCCTTAGCATTCCTTTGCCTTTGCGGCCCTCTGCTGGTGTAAAGAAAATGTGGAGGTTGATGATGTTACTTGCTTATTCTCTAGTCTAGTTTTGTTGGGAGAGGAACTTTGATAAGCTGTCTCTCCTAGGAGATCTCTGATCCAAAGTTCTTGCTTATCTGGCATTCTTGGACACTTTGTGGAATTTGGAAATATTCATACAATTTAAGACTCTTCTTTGCCTTCACATCACTGCTCTTGTCTCTTCCCGCTCTTTAACCACTGCTTTATTTTCTTGGCTCTTCTTCACCTTCTTTCCTACTCCTTCCAAAGTTCTGGCCTAAATCCTCTTCT